>NC_000014.9:92111713-93361713 GCF_000001405.40 Homo sapiens
AAATTACCAATAATTCAGTAGGAGAGAGAGAAGTTACTGAGCTAATCAGGAAAGAGTTCATGGAGACAGAATAGACCACATAGATGCACTTCCAGTACACTTTCTATGTCATCTTAGGCTACTCACCTTTTCTGTAATCTTCTTCATTGAAATCTTGTGTTGGCCGGGCATGGCAGCTCAACTCCTAGCACTTTGGGAGGCCAAGGCAGGCAGATGACCTGAGGTCAGGAGTTCAAGACCAGACTAGCCAACATGGCAAAAACCCGTCTCTACTAAAAATACAAAATTAGCTGGGTGTGGTGGCATGTGCCTGTAATCCCAGCTACTCGGGAGGTTGAGGCAGGAGAATCACTTCAACCTGGGAGGCAGAGGTTGCAGTGAGCCGAGATAGCGCCATTGCACTTCAGTCTAGGTGACAGAGCAAAATTACATCTCAAAAAAAAAAAACAAAAACAAAAACAAAAAGGTCGAGCGCAGTGGCTCACGCTTGTAATCCCAGCACTTTGGGAGGCCAAGGCAGGCCGATCACGAGGTCAGGAGATCGAGACCATCCTGGCTAACACGGTGAAACCCCATCTCTACTAAAAATACAAAAAAATTAGCCGGGTGTGGTGGCAGGCGCCTGTAGTCCCACCTACTTGGGAGGCTGAGGCAGGAGAATGGCGTGAACCCCCGGGAGGCGGAGGTTGCAGTGAGCTGAGATCGTGCCACTGCACTCCAGTCTGGGCGACAGAGCAAGACTCCCGTCTCAAAAAAAAAAAAAAAGAGTAAGATTCCTCTGCCCCCTCAAAAGCTGATAGTTCAGTAGTATATAAAGTAATACTTCCAGTATGATGTAATGGTGCTTTAATGTAGGCATGCTCAAGGTGAAACCCCATCTCCACTAAAAATACAAAATTTAGCCGGGCGTGGTGGCGGGCGCCTGTAGTCCCAGCTACTCAAGAGGCTCAGACAGGAGAAGGGCATGAACCCGGGAGGCGAAGTTTGCAGTGAGCCGAGATCGTGCCACTGCACTCCAGCCTGGGCGACAGAGTGAGACTCCATCTCAAAAAAAAAAAAAAAAAAAAAGAAAAAAAAAAAGAAATCTTGTGTTAACAAGAGAGATTGCATAGAGCTATTTCCATCTTCTTGAACACTGTACCTATTAAATCCAAACTCGCATGAATTTTGTTACCCAAAATGAAATAGTTTAACAGAATTTCAAATGTTTGGCATTTTAAAAATTATGATGTGTATTAATCAACACAAATCAGTGGTAACTAAATGGTATCGTTTCAGCGTAATCTTCTCCTAAATTAAATCCTACCTAAAACAATTAATAAAATTTGGCTTCCAAGAAGAGGTAGTAGAACTTGGCAATTTATTTACTTACTTATTTGTTTGTTTATTTAAGATGGGTCTCACTCTATCGCCCAGGCTGGAGTGCAGTGGTGCAATCTTGGCTCACTGCAACCTCTGCTTCCCGGGTTCAAGTGATTCTCCTGCCTCAGCCTCCTAAGTAGCTGGGATTACAGACATGCACCACCATGCCTGGCTAATTTTTGTTCTTTAGTAGAGATGGGGTTTTACCATATTGGCAAGGCTGGTCTCAAACTCCTGACCTCAAACAATCCACCTGCCTCGGCCTCCCAAAGTGCTGGGATTACAGATGTGAGTCACCGTGCCTGGCTATGTTTTTAAAAATTGATAACTGAATCTTGATGATATTGTGTTATAAAAAATGAATCAAGAGAGAATCCAATTTACTATTACAGATCTTGGCATTAGCAATTTATGTTTCATAAAAAATACTACACGTATTTCCAGGAAAGGGAGGTAGAAAAAAATACACACAACAGCATTGTGTTGAAACTCTCCATATATCCCTTAAGGACAAAAGACTTAGGTGTAATATTGCTTGCAATAAAGTATATATGCTTGAAACAAACCAAAGAAAACAAAAGAAATAAAACCTAATGTTTCTGATTAGTGCTATTTTTGTCCTTTCTAAAAATATTCTGCTCTTCCTGATTACAGATTTTTCAAGTATTATTCATCAATCTCCTCTTTCATATATTGAAGGCAAAGGAATATTTTTAAAAGAGTTTACTTCTCTATTGTTTTTATTTTATATTTTATTTTTTGACACGGGCTCACTCTGTCTTCCAGACTGGAGTGCAGTGGCACAATCACGGCTCATTGCAGCCTCATCCTCCACAGGCTCAGGTGACCTCCCACCTCAGACTCCTGAGTAACTGGGACTACCCACCACACCGCACCACACCCAGCTAATTTTTATATTTTTAGTGGAGACGGGGTCTCACCATGTTTTCCAGGCTGGTCTCAAACTCCTGGGCTCAAGCCATCTGCCCACCTTGGCCTCCCAAAGTGCTAGGATTGCAGGCATTGCCACTGCGCCTGGCCCAGCCTCCTTGTAATTCTTTATAACACCTTCCAGACCTTGATCTCTCAACCACTGAACTGCTTTGTTACTGCAGATTGCTGTTTATAACATTTTCTATTTATATAAACAGAATCCTATAGCATGTGTTCTTTTTTATCTGGCTACTTTCATTCAGCACTGTTAGTTTGAAATTCATCCATATTATGTATCAATAGATCATTCCTTTTCATTGCTGGGTAGTAGTCTATGATATGGATTCAACACACTTTATCCATTCCTATGTTGATAGACATTTGGGTTATCTCATTTTTGGCTGTTACTAATCAAGCTGCTATGAACATTCATGTAAAAGTCTTTGTGTGGATATATGCTTTCATTTCTCTTGGGTAAATAAATCAGACTGGGATGGCTGGGTCAAGTGGTAGGTGTGTTTTACCTGAAACTGCTAAACTTATTTCCAAGGTGGGACAACCACTGGTGGCTACATTTTATATTCCTGCCAGCAGTGTGCCTTCTAGCTGCTCTACATCCTTGCCAACAATTGGTAGTCAGTCTTTCAAATTTTAACCGTTTTATTTTTACTTATTTAAATCTATTTTTTGAGACGGAGTTTTGCTCTTATTGCCCAGGTTGGAGTGCAATGGCATGATCTTGGCTCACTGCAACCTCCGCTCCTGGGGTTCAAGTGATTCTCCTCCCTCAGCCTCCCAAGTAGCTGGGATTACGGACATGCACCACCACACCCGGCTAATTTTGTATTTTTAGTAGAGACGGGGTTTCACCAGGTTGGTCAGGCTGGTCTTGAATTCCTGAGCTCAGGTGATCTACCCGCCTCAGCCTCCCAAAGTGTTGAGATTACAGGCGTGAGCCAGCCTAATTTTAACCATTTAATAGGTGTGTAGTGCCATCTCATTTTGCTGTTAATTTCCATTTCTCTAGTGACTACTAATGTTGAGTATCTTTTCATGTGCTTACTTGCCATCCTCTTATCTCTTTTGGCAGTGTTTGTTAAAATCTTTTGCCCATTTAAAAAGTTAAGTTGTTGAAGGTGGGTGCAGTGGCTCACGCCTGTAATCCCAGCACTTTGGGAGGCTGAGGTGGATCACGAGGTCAGGAGATCGAGACCATCCTGGCTAACATGGTGAAACCCAGTCTCTACTAAAAATACAAAAAATTCGCTAGGTGTGGTGGCAGGCACCTGTAGTCCCAGTTACTCGGGAGGCTGAGGCAGGAGAATGGTGGGAACCCAAGAGGCGGAGCTTGCAGATCACACCACTGCACTCCAGCCTGGGCGACGTAGCAAGACTCCGTCTCAGAAAAAAAAAAGTTAGGTTGTTTATTCTTAAGCTATAAGGATTGTTTACATATTCTGGATGTGTTTTTCGAAGAGCAAAATTTTAAATTTTGATAAAGTACAACTTATTTTTTAAATTAATTCATGTTTTGTGTGTTGTATTTTAAAAATCCTTGCTTCCTGTGTGTATCCTACATTTGGAAAAAGGAAAAAGCTTTGCCAAAGCTAAGGTCACTTAAAATTTTCAGTATGTGATTTTTATCAAATAAAATCTTGGCATCATCCTTTTTAAGTCCCGTTGAAGCACAAGGTTTGAAATTTTTTTTGAAAAATATATGATAAAAAATTTGCTCCATGATTTAATAATACTGTGGTTCAAAATGAGAAACAGCAAATTAAATGCTAATTATAAATTTAATACCACGGTATACAATCAGGTACCTAAGAGTTATTATTTTATTTATTATTTATTTTTGAGATGGAGTCTCACTCTGTTGCCTGACAGGACAGGTATGCACCACCATACCCGGCTAATTTTTTGTATTTTTAGTAGAGACGGGGTTTCACCATGTTGGTCAGGCTGGTCTGGAATTCCTGACCTCAGGTGATCTGCCTGCCTCAGCCTCCCAAAGTGTTGGGATTACAGGTGTGAGCCACCGCGCTGGGCCCTAATAATTATTTTTTAAGTATGCTTGTTACCAGAAGGGCTACCTTTGTATGAAAAGAAAGACATTTCAGATTCTTCATGTTTTTATTTCTCTCAGAACTTTAAAATGTGAACATTCGATAATCTAGCCAGTCTTTACTTCCAGGTAACTTCTTCACTGGGTTGCAATTCCCTGTGTGGAAAGCAAAAAAGGAAGAAATGGAAAAACTGTAAATAAAACTGTGATACGAGATAAAAGGGGAAGTCAGAAGAATGATTGCAATATTTCATTTTCTTTTTTTTTTTTTTTTTTTTGAGACGAAGTCTGGCTTTGTAGCCCAGGCTGGAGTGCAGTGGCACGATCTTGGCTCACTGCAAACTCCACCTCCTGGCTTCAAGCGATTATCCTGCCTCACCCTCCCAAGTAGCTGGGATTACAGCTGTGTGCCACCACACCGAGCTAATTTTTTATATTTTTGGTAGAGACGGGGTTTCACCATGTTGGCCAGGCTGGTCTCGAACTCCTGACCTCAAGGAATCCACCTGCCTCGGCCTCCCAAAGTGCTAGGATTACAGGTGTGAGCCACCGCGCCCGGTCAATATTTTATTTTCTATTACACCGATCCATTTAAAAAATTTACATATTAGATTCATCATATGTATTCTTTTCATTCATGATTTTAACTTTTACCATATTGTTAGCTTCATTTTTCTGGGTTAAAGAATTGTAATTACTTAGTTTATCTTTATATGAAAGCTATTATCTCTGCTCAGTGAGTTCATTCGAAATGTTTTCTAAACCCTTTCCAGCTTATTTTCTTTCTTGAAATCCCTGATTTGTGAATCACTTCTACCATCTCTCCATACCCACTGTGGATGCTGCTCAGTTCTCTTGCCCCTCAGGCTTCCTCCTACCCAGCTGTATGCCCACTGGCAGGCATCCTGTCTTGCTAACTGGAACTCTCTGCTGCCAGAGGAGCCATCTCTAGAGGCACAATGGGACCAGGCAGCTGCCAGTTGCTATCACTCTACCACCAGGTCTAAAGCTCTCAGGTAGTGCTGCTAAGAACACAGCACCTAGCTGCTGTTATTACTATTTATCTCAGCTATAGCATGTCTTAAGTAAGATAATATATGACAATATATGTGGAAGCTGTATATAAGCTAGGTTTTGGCCAGCTACTTTTAAACTGTTTCTATATTAAAATGCACTTTGAATTAAAAAAAGACGATACTTTCAAAGACCTGAAACAGCCTATTCATTAAATGAAGACTTTAAATTCTAGAGGTAATCATACTGTTTTATCCAAGGATTCAATAACAAACAAGACTAAAAACAGTATCATTTGAATCTAAGTCCTCAAGGGGGAAAAATTACCCCTTCTGTTTATTTTTGGCACATATCAAAAAGAATATTCCCCAAATTTGGCCAATTGCTGGTTTAAAAAAATGCAGACTAACCTTTTAAATAACATACTCTTGTTCCGGAAGGCAGTTAGCCGTTCATCACTCTTTCTGTCTAAATAACATCCAATGACAAATCCCATAGGGACAAGAACATGAACCCAGTGGTCCCGCACAATCTGAAGTAAGTTCACCATGATAGCTAAAAGAAAAAAAAATTATCAGAAATACAACTGCTTTGTTTTTTTTTTGAAATAGCTTTTAAATTGCATCTGGGCCAGGTGCGGTGGTTCATGCCTGTAATCCTAGCACTTTGGGATGCTGAGGTGGGCAGATCACTTGAGATTAGGAGTTCGAGACCAGCCTGGCCAACATGGCAAAACCCCATTTCTACTAAAAGCACAAAAATTAGCCGGGTGTGGTGGTGCGCGTCTGTTATCCCAGCTACTGGAGAGGCTGAGGCAGGAGAATTGCTTGAACCCAGGAGGCGGAGGTTGCAGTGAGCCAAGATCGTGCCACTGTACTTCAGCCTGGGCGACAGAGCAAGACTCCATCTCAATAAAATAAATAAATTGCATCTGAAACAAGAAGATGATAGACATAGATGTAATAGATGTTAAAAGCCTAATACGCCTCTTTGTTTGCCTGGCATCAGAATGTAGTATAATACTTTAAAATCTAATTGATGAAGATTACATACGGGACAATGATTAATATAAAATTACACCACACTGGGTCTATTTATTACATTTTACTACTAGCTTCAATAGTGATGTGATACGATACAGAGCAGAGAAACAGAGATGGTATGTAAAAAAATTCTACCTGCAACAGCTGATTGTTTGCACCCTCCTCATGTTGTTTTGGAACTTTTTTTTGTAAAAGAGACAAGGTCTTGCTATGTTGCCCAGGCTGGAGGGCAGTGGCTATTCACAGGCACTACAGCTCTCAACTCCCGGGCTCAAGCATTCCTCCTGCCTCAGCCTCCCAAGTAGCTGGGACTACAGGCATACACCACTGCACCTGGCTCTCATTTAGGACTTTTACTTGTGTAAAACATATTTAGAACCTCTCACAATGCAAAAACAAATTTAATACAATTTTGCCAGAAATGGAATTCTTTAGGTAAAGCTGTAATTACTGAAAACTAAATTTAGAAAGGAAATTAAAAGATATGAGAGAAAAAAGAAAACTATATTCAATAATGTCACTGTAGATATGAATATAAATTACTCTAAAAAAGGTAAAGGGGCCGGGTGTAGTGGCTCACGCCTGTAATCCCAGCACTTTGGGAGGCTGAGGCGGGTGGACGACAACAAGGTCAGGAGTTCGAGACCAGCCTGGCCAACATGGTGAAACTCCATCTCTACTAAAAATACAAAAATTAGGTGGGCGTAGTGGCACATGCCTGTAGTCCCAGTTACTCAGGAGGCTGAGGCAGGAGAATTGCTTGAACTCGGGAGGCAGAGGTTGCAGTGAGCTGAGATGACGCCACTACACTCCAGCCTGGGGGATACAGCGAGTCTCTGTCTCAGAAAAAAAAGAAAGAAAAAAAAAGGCAAAGGGAGAAGAAAATTTACTTTTATAGAGTGACTACTAGGTGGCTCATGCCTGTAACCACAGCACTTTGGGAGACTAAGGCGGATGGATCGCTTGAGCCTAGGAGCTTGAGACTAGCCTGGTTAACATGGCAAAACCCTGTCTCTACAAAAAATCAAAAAATTAGCTGGGTGTGGTAGTATATGCCTGTAGTCCCAGCTACTTCGGAGGCTGAGGTGGGAGGATTGCTTGAGCCCAAGAGACGGAGGTTGCAATGACCTGAGATCACACCACTGTACTCTAGCCTGGACGACAGAGCGTGATGCTGTCTCAAAAAAAAAAAAAAGACTACTAGGTTACTAGGTACCAGAGCCATCATCTATTTCTATACGTAATGTGAAATAACTATTATTTACATTTTACAGATAAGAAAACAGCTTAATCCAAATAGCTATTAAGTACAGAGCTGGAGTTCAAATTCAGCTTCACTCTACAGCTCTGGCTGCTATTATAGCCCATGCCTAAGAAACCCCTTCCTGAATTGATGTTTATGGTACTTAAAAGCTTTTAAATGCTGAGTTTCCAGAAGGTAGATGAGGAGGAATAGAACTATAGGTTTTTCCTTATCCGAAATGCTTGGGACCCGAAGTGTTTTCGATTTTTTGATTTTGAAATATTTGCATGCACATAATGAGCTATCTTGGGGATAGGACCGAATTAAAACATAAAATTCATTTGTGTTTTATATATACCTTATACACATAGCCTGAAGGTAATCTTATATGAAACTTTTTTTTTTTTTTAAATAGTCTCGCTCTGTCACCTAGGATGGAGTGCAGTGGAGTTATAATAGTCCACTGCAGTCTTGAACTCCTGAGCTCAAGTGATCTTCCCACCTCAATCTTCTGAGAAGCTGGAGCTACGGGTGCTAATTTAAAAAAATTCTTTAAACATTTTTTTTTGTAGAGACAAGATCTTGCTATGTTGCCCAGGCTGGTCTCAAACTTGTGGCCCCAAGTTTCACATATGGGGGCATTTTGGATTTCCAACATTCTGATCAGGGATACTGAACCTGTAATAGACATCATGTGGAAAATAAATTGCACAATTCAATAAAAACATAGTTGGATTGCCAATTTTCTGTAAAAATTCGTGCATACAGATGAATTCAAAATACACCTGTGTGCGTTTGGACTAAACTAATAAATCATGTACAATGACTAAGAAGACATATGACAACATCCTAGAAAGACAATACATTATTGCCAACAAAAGTGCTTAGCACTAAGCTGTGCTAGGACTATGTAGACTGAATTTCTGCCTCTCCTCTTACACTGGCATGCTTATACAATTCATACTTTTTTCTTTCCTTTTTTTTTTTTTATTTTGAGACGAAGTTTCGCTCTTGTTGCCTAGGCCGGAGTGCAATGGCGCAATCTTGGCTCACAGCAACCTCTGCCTCTCGGATTCAAGGGATTCTCCTACCTCAGCCTCCCAAGTAGCTGGGATTACAGGTATGCGCCACCATGCCCAGCTAATTTTGTATTTTTGGTAGAGACGAGGTTTCTCCATGTTGGTCAGGCTGGTCTTGAATTCCCAACCTCAGGTGGTCCGCCCGCCTAGGCCTCCCAAAGTGCTGGGATTACAGGCGTGAGCCACCGCGCCCGGCCGTTCAAGTGATTTTCTTGCCTCAGCCTTCCGAGTAGCTGGGACTATAGGCAGGTGCCACCACGCCCGGCTAATTTTTGTATTTTTAAGTAGAGATGGGGTTTCACTGTTGGCCGGGCTGGTCTCAAACTCCTGACCTCTTGATCCGGCCACCTCGGCCTTCCAAAGTGTTGGGATTACAGGCGTGAGCCACTAAGCCTGGCCATACTTTTGTCTTTTAAAAGGCAAGGTGGGCCAGGTGCAGTGGCTCACGCCTGTAATCCCAGCACTTTGGGATGCTGAGGCGGGTGGATCACGAGATCAGGAGTTCGAGACCAGCCTGGCCAACATAGTGAAACCCTCGTCTCTACTAAATATACAAAAAATTAGCCGGGTGTGGTGGCGGGCGCCTGTAATCCCAGCTACTTGGGCTGCTGAGACGGGAGAATCGCTTGAACCCGGGAGGCGGAGGTTGGAGTGAGCCGAGATTGCACCATTGCACTCCAGCCTGGGTGACAAGAGTGAATCTCTGTCTCAAAAATAAAAAAGCAAAGTAAAAGGGTAAGCACATCATTTAGGCGCAACGGTGTCGGCTCAAGAGGATTTGCGATTTGGAAGAGAGCGAGGTTAGCGAGAAGACAGAAGGCTGGAACTTGGACGAATGTAAGCTGCTCGCGGAGGGGAGGCAGCGTCTTCCCTGCTTCAGGCCAGGCGTGGGATCCGGGCCGGTCTTCTCTCCAGTCCGGTTAGCGGGCGGTCACTGGGTCACATCTCTACGGACGTTTTCCTGTTATGACAGCCTCAGAAAACCCTTTCCAAAAGCTCCGGCCCGGAAATCCCATCCTCCACCCGAAGAAAACCCCATTTTCCTTTCCCGTCACCTTCGTTCGGAAGCCCCGGGGAAGCCCAGACCACCCCTCCACACATGCACAGCACCGAGGGCTTGCCTAGAACCCTCCCCGCCACCGTCGCCGTGATCCTCGTCGCGGCGGCCCCCCGGGCTCCCCAAACCCACCTGCAGCCTCAGCGCCTACAGCGACCCCGAGACCAAGGGCAACAGGGAACTCAACCCGCGCCAGTGGAAGCTGCGACCTCGGGACCTGCCATTCGCCGCGCCCGCACGGAGCAGAGGGGTGACGCCAGCAAATCATACTACTTTTTCCTCCTCAGGGTTGACTCCTCTCATTTTTTTTTTTTTTAGCTTCCAAACATTACCAATAATTTCTGAATAAAATTTCGCTCCAGACAGACGAGGCGTGCAGGCGTGACCGCCGTCGCCTTCCGACAGCACCGTGCCCACCCCCCGGAGATGGTCTCGCCCTGGTTCCTCCTCGTCTCCGCCGCTAGTCTCCAGCTCCAAAATGGCGGCTGCCACTGTGGGGCTTCTGCCGGCCGGTAGTCCCTGGCGCTGCTGACCCAGCATCGGCTTTTCTACGTCTTGAACCTGGATTCGCCTAGGGGTTGGGAAGGGCTGTGGACGGCGTTGGGGGAGGCCTGACGAGGCAAGTGAGGGCGGGAGAAAGGAGCGAGCCTCGGGCTGGGGAAGGCGGCGTCATTGGCCCTCCGGGAGCACGGGGCCCCGACTCCGACCCGGTCTCCCCCGAGGACTCGCCCCCGCCGCTTCGGCTGCGACTGTCCCGGTCGTTCCCGGCAGAAGTGGTCAGCGAGGGAAAGAGAAGTGACTTCTCCATGGGTTTCAAGCTCCCAGCTGTTTTGCGGCAGCCCGTACGGTTCCCTCCCGGGATCTTCTTCCCTCCTTTCTGCTTCCCTCTGCTTCCCCTTTCATCTCTTGGCGCTGGAAGAGTTAAACCGACGCCAGCTTTAGCTCCTTGGCTTCGTGGCTACGGCGTTCTTAGCCTCCCCTGCTCGGGCTCTTCCCGTCGTTTTGGGTTGAGAGACCACGAGGTTGCTAAGCTCTGGACACCGCTTAGGCGTCCTTTTAGTTCTTCGACTCCAGAGACCTTTCGGTTGTTTGTACCACACTGTACTAAAAGGGTCTTGGGCCTTCGCGCCCTCCCGCCATCGCCCTCCAGCGCTTCCACTATCACTGCGAAGTTCTAATTCTTTTTTGACTTCGTACTATTTTACGTGCTCTTTAGAAAAGAAGAGGTCAGATTGAACCCCGGCAAGTCTGGCTTCCTGTGACCAGGCGAACCTGAGCTATCATTTATACCCATCCCCTAATTTTTAATTTTACAACCCCTTTAACCCCTTTCTTTTTTCTTTCTTTTTTTTTTTTTTTAATAAAGACGGGGTTTCACTATGTTGCCCAGGCCGGTGTCGAACTCCTGGGCTCAAGAGATCCTCCCATTTTGGCCTGTGCTGGGATTCCAGGCGTGAGCCACCATGCCCGGCCTTGCAACCCCAGTATGAAACTGGGGCTCTCCCTCAACTGACCGAGAAGAGCCTTCCCCACTCAGTGAGCTCCAGGGCTAACCCAAACTCCTCTGTTTTCCCTTGGATTTTGCTTAGTTCACCTTAGTTGTCATCAACATGCACGGTAATTATTTTTTATTTTTGAGAAGGAATCTCGCTCTGTCGCCCAGGCTGGAGTGCAGTGGCACGATTCTCGGCTCACTGCAACCTCTGCCTCCCGGGTTCAAGTGATTCTCCTGCCTCAGACTCCCGAGTAGCTGGGACTACAGGCGCGCACCACCACGCCCACCTATTTTTGTAGCTTTAGTAGAGACAGGGTTTCACCTTGTTGGCCAGGATTATCCGCCTGCCTCGGCCTCCCAAAGTTCTGGGATTACAGGCGTGAGCCACCGCGCCTGGCCGATTTATTATTTGAGACCGGGTCTCGCTCTGTCCACCCAGGCTGGAGTGCAGTGGTGCCATCTCAGCTCACTGCAACTTCCGCCTCCTGGGCTCAAGTAATCCTCCCACCTCAGCCTCCCAAGTAGCTGGGGTCACCAGCGCAGCCACCGCGCCCGGCTACTTTTTTGTGTTTTTAGTAGAGAAGGGGTTTTGTCATATTGCCCAGGCTGGTCTGGAACTCCTGAGCTCAAGTGATCTGCCCTCCTCGGCCTCCCAAAGTGTTGAGATTAAAGGCGCAAGCCACTGCGCCCGGCAACATGCACGATTATTATTAAGAGGGCAAGTAACTGTGAGATATTTGCGATGAAGTAGTATCTGTCAAAACCAGTGCTCTGAAGGAATTTATGATATGATGAGGCTTCATTCCTTCTTGCAGTACCCATTTATGCTGCCTTGACCACTGAAGTTGGTATTGGATATACAAAGATGATCACTTTTACTCCTCTATACATTGAACATCCATTCAACAAATACTTTATGTGCCTCCTTTATAACAAAATAACTAACTTTGCCTAGGGCAACAAAAAGGCTTTATAAAGGAGTAAATATGTGAGCTGGGTCATATAGCATCAAAAGGAATTTGCTGAGCTCAAAAGGAGAAGGTAATTTCGGGATTCAGTACAGGAATACAGAGCTTTGAGAAGCTTTAGCATACTTAGGGAGAGTGGGATAATCAACCTGCCTGAGCATTTAGTGCACGAGTGATTGGTGAAGCAAGAGGTAGGTTAAGATCAGCTTGTGAAGGATCTTGGTTTCCAATAGGGAGTTTAGATTTTTTTCAGTAGTTACCAGGAATCCAGTGGATATTTTGTGCAAGGAGTGAGCAGGAGGATATTTGTTTTTTTAGGATGGTCTCTGACAGCTATATGGAGGATCAACTGGGAACAGAAAAACTAGATGAAAGGAAATGGGCAATCATTCAGGTAAGGCAATGAGGGCCTCCATGGAGGCAGGACATAAAGGAGGTCAGAGAGACACTAAGTAAATGTCAAATGGGATTCACCTGCTGACTGCTAAGTTAATGGTAAGAAGGTGACTTGAGTTTTTAGTCTGGGAGAGTAAATGGTTGGCAATACTATTAAAACTTAGTCTGAGACATGTACATAAACATAGGATGGTGCCAACCTGCACTTTAGGGGTGACAACATGATGCTCTATAGTGTAAAGCATTGGTTTTTATGGTCTGGAGTCTAGATCTGCACTGTTATGGTAGTCACTAGCCACATGTAGCTATTGAGCACTTCAGATGTCGTTAGTCTATTTGAAATGTGCTGTAAATATAAAATACACAGTGGATTTTGAAGATTTAATATGAAAATGTAAAATATTCAACATGATTACATGTTGAAATAATATTTTGGTTCTATTGGGTTAAATAAAATTCATTAAAATTCACCCGTTTCTTTTTCACTTTTCCATGTGGCCATGAAGAAATTAAAAAGTACATTTGTGGCACGCATTATATGTCTGTTGACAGAGCTGTTCTAGTCTAGACTAGATGTGGGAATTTGTAAGGAGGTGGAACATGAGCTGGGCCTGAAGACATTGAGCAGTGATGTCAGGGTGGCTTCCTGGCAACCTCCATTGCCAGTTAAGGCATTTGGTTTGTCTTTTCTCAAGCAGTAAGAAGCCTTCAGAGATTTCTGAGCAAGGGGTAATAGGTGCAGGGTATTTCTGAAGATGAATCTGGTAGCAATGTTTAGGTTGGATGAAGGGAGGAAATACTGGAGGCAGAGAAACTGAGAAACCCAAACATAAGGTAGTGAGGCCCTTCCTGTATTAGGGTACTGGCAGTGGGATAGAAAGGGAATGATGTGCAAAGCGTTCCTGAGGGAAGAATAATCAGGAACTGGTAATAATAGACTGTCCCAGAAGTGAAGAATCAGCATGTAGCATTTCAAACCTTGGTTACTTAGATAACAACTAATATATTCATGTCGCAGAGCTATAAAATACAATTTGAGACTGAAGAAATTTGGTCACAAGATAGAATCAGTAACGTTAGGAAGGGGTGGTCCACTAAATACTTTCGCTTTTTATCTCCCTGCTTTCTGTATCATCTCATCAATCATACACACCAGCTAATATCCCCAAAATACAGAATTACCTGTATCATGCCATCTTTCTACTTGATAATGAGTCTTAAAATGTTTCTGTTGCCTGCAGGACTAGGTTCACAGTTTCCAAGGCCTTTCACTATCTGGCCCCTTTCTGTTCATTAGGCCTTATCTTTTATTTTTTGCTTTTGTGAATGTTTTCCAGGCTAGTTTTTTCACTGGTACTTTAAAACTTACTCAAAAGTGTAGAGATCTGAGATGTCTGGTATTCCTTTACTCCTGTTACTCCTCTGTTTTGAGTACCTTCTCTTTGTTTCTACCCATGTCTTACCAATCCTTAGTGAGTAATCTTAAATCCCACCTCTTCTATGATTCTCAATAACATAAGGTAATGTCAACTTAAAAAAAAACTTCCTAAATATTTTTATGTCTTTTATTATCTGTTATGTAAGCTTAAGATTCCTAAAATTAATGACAGATCTCTTTTTTAAAAAAGGACCACGTATTATACTACTTGCTGCTGCTCCTGATGCCTTAGGGCAAGATACAAATTAAACACCATAATTATAAACAGAATGAAATCATAATACCACATTCATAAGGCTTTTATTTATTTTTTAGATTAATAAAGAACTCTTCAGAATTCCTGGTGTTTCATCATATATACGACTAAGATATCAGTAAGTAGTGAATGTTTGATAAAGATATAGCTTTATTATGAATAATTGTAGTGAAAATATCTTTTCATCTGTTGAAATCTTGGTCTGTCTGCAAAACAGTTTTAATATGAACTTACTCAGTTCTAGCTGCAAGATACCTTGCATGTTACTTCATAATCTAAATGAAGAAAGTGGGAATTAAGGAAGACTTAAGTAGAAAAGAGTTTCCCTTAGGCCATTAATATAATTGTGGTACAGTAAGCTTTTTGACAGGGATAATTTCCAAGGTCCTTTCCAAAATTGTATTTATAAACGTTTTTCATCAAATAGAGAATTAATGTCTTTGTACCCCAAATAAGAACACATGAAGGCCAGGCGTGCTGTCTCACACCTGTAATTCCAGCATTTGGGGAGGCCAAGGTGGGTGGATCACTTGAGCCCAGGAGTTAAAGACCAGCCTGGGCAACATAGTGAAACCCTGTCTCTACAAAAAATTAGCCGAGTGTGGTGGTGCGTGCCCGTAGTCCCAGCTACCCAGGAGGCTGAGGTGGGAGGATCACTTGAGCCCAGGAGGTTGAAGCTGCAAATGAGCCATGATTGCACCACTGCACTCCAGCCTGGGTACCAGAGCAAGATCCTGTTTCAGGAAACAAAAACAAGTCAATATATTTTAAATTTTAACTTACCAACAGTTATTTATTGAACAACCACTATGTGCAGGGATGTGCTAATGTACTAAGGATAAAAAAATGGATCAAGCCAACTCCTGTACTCAGAGAGCTCTCCCAAGCAAGGGCAAATACATGTGGATGGGTTCTGGTTTATGGTGTGGTAAGGACAGTGAGCTTATTTAATACTAGCCATGCCCCATTCCTTCCTTTAAGAAACATTTATCGGCTACCACTGTATATTAGGCACTGTGGAGGCGCTGGAATGTAACTGTGATGAAAACAGAGAAGGTCTTTACCTTCATGGAGTCTGCATTCCAGTGTGGGCACAGGAGGGGAGAAGGTGACAGACAAAGCAAGTAAATAAATAAGTAGCAATTAGAGAGCACTAAGTATTTTGAGGGAAATAGAATGATGTTGTAATGGATGTGAAGAAGGACTTTAGGGTGGTCAGAGAATGACTACCTCTGAGAATGACTCAGAATAAATTAGAGACAGGGAAAATATATATAAAAGTTAGAGGTTTTGGTCACAGTGAAGAGAGAAGAAAATTTGAGAAATATAATGAGTTGTTATGAAAGTATATCACTGGAAGTGTTTTATAAAGGTCATTGATAAACCTCTATACAACTTAAGCCAATGGACATTTCTCTGGCTTCTCAGACTTAGTGCAAATGGGAGGTGAGGAAGTGGAGATATATCTGTGGACAAATATTCTGAGAACTTTTGCTGTGAAAGGGAAACCCAAAAATGATGTAGTGGTTGTTGGGGGTTGAAGGGTTAAGAGAGGGTTCTTATAAGTTGGGAAATTCTAGAGTATTTTTATAAGCTTGTGGGAATGGTACATCAGTGATACGTTGATGCAGGGGAAAGAGCGAATGACTGAAGATGTCAAGTCTTTCAGAAGGTGAATAAGAATGGGATCAACGGCACACATAGAGGGATTGGCCTTGGATGGGAGCAGGACTATTCTATACAACAGGAGACCCAACAGTGTACATGCAGATAGGTTAATAGATGTAGTATCTGGAAAATGAGAAATTATTGTCTAATTTTATTTTCTGATTGAAGAATGAAATGAGATTATCAGCTGAGACTAGGGTGGAGGGAGGGATGGGTGATCTTTGAACAAAGAGGAGGAGGTGTGGAGTAGTAGTCTCAGAAACTGAAAGTCAACCTACTAAGAAAAGTCAGATTGAAGGGTAATACTTACGGCCTGTTTGAGGCCTTTGGCCATGAATTTAAAGAGCAAATAGCGTTAGCCAGGTGTGGTGGCAGGTGCCTGTAATCCCAGCTACTCGGGAGGCTGAGGCAGGAGAAATACTTGAACCCAGGAGGTGGAGGTTGCAGTGAGCTGAGATCTTGCCACTGTATACCAGCCTGGGTGACAAGAGTGAAACTCTGTCTCAAAAAAAAAAGAAAAAAAATGGGCCAGGTGGATCATGAGGTCAAGAGATCGAGACTATTGTGGCCAACATGGTGAAACTCCGTCTCTACCAAAAAGAATTAGCTGGGCGTGGTGGTGCATGCCTGTAGTCCCAGCTACTCAGGTGGCTGAGGCAGGAGAATCACTTGAACCCGGGAGATGGAGGTGGCAGTGAGCCAAGATCGTGACACTGCACTCCAGCCTGGCAACAGAGTGAGACTCCGTCTCAAAAAAAAGCAAATAGCACAGCTGTAATTCTCCTCCATATCCCATCCCCCCGCCGGCCCTGCATGATTGGAGTTAATCAGGACTGGGGTTTTGCCAGCCTAGTAGAGAGAAGTACCTAGAGGAGCAAGACATTTGAGTGTTTGCAAATAATGTTAACAGATCATGAATTGAAGGTGAGGACCTGAGTAAAAACAGGAGGGGGTCATGGATAGGGAAAAAGTAGTCAGCGAATTAGAGAGATACCACTGACCCCAGAGGATTTTTGCAATGGGAATACTAGAGTAAGTAAGGTGTTAGAGAATGAGATGCTTGAAGTGAAATTTTGAAAGTAGAACAGTTACTGGTAGTGATAAGGTCTAGGGTGTAATCGTAGTGGTGGGTGGCTGAAGTGAAATGATTATTGGAGTTGAGGAAGTCAAGGAACCAACAGGTCAGTATTGAAGTTACTGAGAGGAACAACGGGTCATGTAAAAGTCCTCAGTGAATGAGGCCAGGTGAATAGATGCCATAGTGAAGAGGAAATGTGGAAGACTAATAGTGAACTGCTGGGTGGCAAGAGCTTTAATGGGACTAGACTATTTGAAAGAGGAAAGAGAAGACATGGTTTAGAAGCTGCAGTGAGGAGCAAGGAACACATACCTCCTGCTTTTCAAGTACAGGGGGTACAAGAAGTTAAAACAACAACAACAAAAAACCTTGAGAAGGCCGTAAGAGGAAGAGTATGATGAGGGAACAGCCAGGTACCTGGGAAGACAAGCAGGTGAAGAGAATTTTCAGAGAAGCAGTTGCAGTTACAGGTGAGTATGATCACAGTTCCAGAGAGCATCCTGAAAGGATTTGAGAGGGAGAAGAGGTAGGGGATTAGGTCTTACTGGGAGACGTACACATCGTTGATAATTGATAACCTAGCAGTCTTGTGATTTTGGCTGTCACTCAGATAAACAAGGCTGGGAGATGTGGTGGGTTTAGCAGCCCCTGTCAGCCTCTTATGAAAGGTGGATATTCAGTTTACCTTAGTTTGTTGATGGCCTTGAGTAGTGGTAAGAAATTATTAGGTAACTCGGTGGCCTTCTCTCCTACTTGCATAGTTAGCCAGGAAAAGCTCATTTATTTTAGGGAGCTAAAATCTGAAATGTTGCTGTGGAGTTGAACTTTGCTAATGAATATTTTCATAACTTCTGCTTAATAGCACACAGTTCCAGGTTCTAAATCCCATTTTTAAAAAATGTATATATTTTATTTTATTTATTTTTTAGATACAAAGTCTCACTTTGTTGCCCAGTCTAGGGTACACTCTAGGGTCTCACTCTGTGCCCAGTCTAGTGGCGCACTCATAGCTCACAGTAACCTCGGACTCCTGGGCTCAAGCAATTCTCTCATCTTGGCCTTCTGAGTAGCTAGGACTACAGGTACATGCCACCAGCCAGTTTTCTTATATTTTTTTTTTGTAGAGACAGGGTCTCACTACATTGCCTAGGCTGGTCTCAAACTCCTGAACTCTAGCAGTCTTCCTGCCTCGGCTTCCCAAAGTGCTGGGATCACAGGCGTGAGCCACCGTGCCTGGCCTGTAGATGTGTTCATGTTATATTTTCCTGAAATATATGTAGTAGGCATCCCAATTTGCATTTCATCAGATATATGTTGAAGCGTGCATCAGGTTCTATTTAGGGAGTTGCAAACATATGCCACCTATGTTTTTCAGTTGCTCACATTCCAATGCAAGGGTTCTTAATGTTAAACTCCCTGAAAAGTTTGTGAATTTCTACGTGTATATGTACTCTTGTTTTTTGTTTGAGTGTGTTGAGAGTTGGTGGGGGAGGGGGAGGGTCCATAGGTTTTTATCAGATTCTCAAGGGGATCTATTTAAGGACCACTGGTCTAATTAATGGGAGAGAAAGACATGTAAACTAATCATTGTAATACAGTGAAATCAGTGCCATCACAAAGCAAGATAAAAGAGGAAGAGATTCACCTTGAAGGATGAGTTCATTAATTCCTAAACATTTATTTATTGAGGAACTTGGATGCAGTAGTATCTGTTATAGGTAATTTATACATTATTTGAAATACTTCAACATTGTTTTTACATGTATACTAATACTAATGTTTTATAGACTGAGATACATAGGTGAGGAAAGTTTAATTAACTTGCTTCAAATCACATAGAAGTAGATTCATATATGGGTCTATTTGATTGCAACATTCACTACCCCACTAGGGAGCCACTAAAGGGCTCATTGTGTCTAAGATTATCTTTGTGCTTTTAAACTTGGCAGTGACTTAATAAACTTGCTTTCACTTAAAAAAAAAAAGTAAACTTGGCAATGATGGAAATGGGCCTTTAAACTGCTTTTCGTGTTAATGGAATTTCTATGCACTTAAAGATTTGAAATAATTTTAATCAATTTGTTTATTATATATGCCAGACTGTGCTTTTATGTTTAATTATGTTTTCATTTCATTTGAAAGACTCTTCTAGCTTGCTGTTTCTGGACCAAAAAAAATGACGTCTATTATCAAATTAACTACCCTTTCTGGGGTCCAAGAAGAATCTGCCCTTTGCTATCTTCTCCAAGTTGATGAGTTTAGATTTTTATTGGACTGTGGCTGGGATGAGCACTTTTCTATGGATATTATTGATTCCCTGAGGAAGTAAGTTACATTTCATAATTCTATGTTTTTATTAAATCAACTTCTCTTTTCTGTACTGTAATACCATTTCGATGTGATAAATACTGCCTTTTTACACTAGTTTATAGCAAAAGGCTTAATTTTACTTATGCCAAAAACCTATAGTGACATTTTAACTTGTAAAGTTTTGATTGACTTATAAGCTTTGCTTGTTGAAATTCAGCAAAATCTTAAGCTAATGGATTTCAGTAGAAACTTTTGCATGCTAATTTTTGGAAAGAACAAGAATACATAAGAATTTGAGAAGAGGAAACATTTTCCATGTGAAAGTTCTGTGGTCAGATCACATTAGCTTACTTTCTACATCTTTTGATGCTTAACATTGTCAGCTGGTTCTCAGAATGACCATGAGATACTGATTCATCAAAAAAAAAATCAATTATGGGCTGGGCACAGTGGCTCACGCTGGCAATCCCAGTACTTTAGGAGGCTGAGGTGGGCAGATCACTTGAGTTCAGGAGTTCGAGACCAGCCTGGCCAACATGGTGAAACTCCAACTCTACTAAAAATACAAAAATTAGCCGGGTGTGATGGTGTGCACCTATAATCCCAGCTACTTGGGAGGCTGAGGCAGGAGAATTGCTTGAACCCAGGAGGCAGAGATTGCACTGAGCCGAGATCGTACCACTACACTCCAGCCTGGGCGCAAAGCAAGACTCTGTTTCAAAAAAAAAATAAGATAAAATAAAAAGTCAATGATGTTTGCAGTATTATACTAATTTTGCAAGAAAAGAGGACTTAAATATTTAAAAAACTTTAGAACTTGAGAAAAAAAATCCAAACCATTTTATTAATTTCTTGTGTTGATGAGAACATATGCTTCCCTGATTAACTGAAGTTTTACTATTCAATTAGCAAAACTGTCTGTGGTTACTATGCGAAAAAGCTGGGACAAAAATCCATTATAAGTATGTGGCCATATAAATATCCTCTCCTTAATAATTTCTGAAATTCTTCTCTTTTATTATTATTTTTTTTTGAGATGGAGTTTCACTTCTGTTGCCCAAGCTGGAGTGCAATGGCGTGCTTTTGGCTCACTGCAACTTCCGCCTCCAGGGTTCAAGTTATTCTCCTTCCTCAGCCTCCCAAGTAGCTGAGATTACAGGCATGCACCACCCGGCCGGCTAAGTTTTTGTATTTTTAGTAGAAACAGGGTTTCACCATATTAGCCAGACTGGTCCCGAACTCCTGACCTCAGGCGATCCACCTACCTCGGCCTCCCAAAGTGCTGGGATTACAGGCCTGAACCACCATGCCCAGCCAATAATAATTTCTGAAATTCTAAGCTGAGTTCTTGAACTTAAATTAATAGTTTGCGACCAGGCACAGTGGCTAATGCCGGTAATCCCAGCACTTTGGGAGGCCGAGGCGGGCAGATCACTTGAGGTCAGGAGTTCGAGACCAGCCTGACCAAGATGGTGAAACCCCATCTCTACTAAAATTACAAAGATTAGCCAGGCATGGTGGTGCATGCCTGTAATCCCAGCTACTCAGGAGGCTGAGGCAGGAGAATCACTTGAACCTGGGAGGCGGAGGTTGCAGTGAGCCAAGATCGCACCATTGCATTAGAGCTTGGGCAACAAGAGTGAAACTCCGTCTCAAAAAAAAAACAAAAAAAACAAAAAGAGTTAAGTGAGGCTGGGTGCGGTGGCTCATGCCTGCAATCCCAGCACTTTGGGAGGTGGAGGAGGGCAGATCACCTGAGGTCAGGAGTTTAAGACCAGCCTGGCCAACATGGTGAAAGTGTGTCTCTACTAAAAATAAAAAAATTAGCCAGGTGTGGTGGTAGACACCTGTAATCCCAGCTACTCAGGAGGCTGAGGCAGGAGAGTTGCTTGAACCGGGCGGTGGAGGTCGCAGTGAGCCGAGGTTGCGCCAGTGCACTCCAGCCTGGGCAACAGAGCGAGACTACATCTCCAAAAGAAAAAAAATAGTATGCAGGATAGCTATTAAAAATCAACTTATGGCCGGGCGTGGTGGCTCACCCCTGTAATCTCAGCACTTTGGGAGGCCGAGGTGGGCGGATCACCTGAGGTTGGGAGTTCGAGACCACCCTAACCAACATAGAGAAACCCCATCTCTACCAAAAATACAAAATAAGCTGGGAGTGGTGGCACATGCCTGTAATCCCAGCTACTCGGGAGGCTGAGGCAGGAGAATCGCTTGAACCTGGGAGGCAGAGGTTGTGGTGAGCCGGAGATTGCGTCATTGCACTCCAGCCTGGGCAACAAGAGCAAAACTCCATCTAAAAAAAGAAAATCAAGTTACTTGTGTCTACTGTTCTTTTTTGTTTTTGTTCTTGTTTTTATTTTTAGGCAGGGTCTCACTCTGTCACCCAGACTGGAGTGCAGTGGCATGATCTCATCAAGGTCAACCTCCTGTGCCCAAGTGATCCTCCCATGTCACCCCTCAAGTAGCTGGGACTACAGGCTCATGCCACCACCCCTGGCTTTTTTTTTTTTTTGTATTTTTTATAGAGAACGGTGTTTTGCCATGTTGCCCAGGCTGATCTTGAACTCCTGAGCTCAAACGATTTGCCTGCCTTGGCCTCCCTAAGTGCTGGGATTACAGGTGTGTGCCATCACACATGGCCTTCTTTTCTGTTTAAAATGTGTGTACACACCATATATTTAAGTGTACCTTATACCACATTTTTTGTAGCTATGGAGAGCACAGGTAGTAATAATTGAAATTCATAGGTAATCATAATTTTAGCTCTTAGTTTTGCTCTTCTGCCCCAGTGTAGTCTTCAATCCAGAATTGGTGAATAATTTTGAATATTCTGTCTTTACCCTTAAAAAGATTCAAGAAGTAGTCCTTTGGATTGTGTTCTTGTAGGCATGTTCACCAGATTGATGCAGTGCTGTTGTCTCACCCTGATCCTCTCCACCTTGGTGCCCTCCCGTATGCTGTCGGAAAGTTGGGTCTGAACTGTGCTATCTATGCAACCATTCCTGTTTATAAAATGGGACAGATGTTCATGTATGATCTTTATCAGGTAATTTAAGCAATTAAAAAAATTTTGTTAGCACTCCTTCAGTGATTGTTTTTCACCTTTATTTGTGTTATTCTTTTAGTCTCGACACAATACAGAAGATTTTACACTCTTTACATTAGATGATGTGGATGCAGCCTTTGATAAAATACAGCAGCTAAAATTCTCTCAGATTGTGAATTTGAAAGGTAAAAAGAATTTCCAGTAGTAAGTATTTAGATGAATGGGGTTTAACTTGCTGGAAAATACCGAGGAGAATTCAGAGAGAAAATTATAGGCATTATAGGCTGAAGAATAAAAAAGTTAGCACATTCTGCCTTGATACAGAACTCTTAACTTCCATTTGAATTTTAAAATATTTCAGAAAAAATGCTAACAGAATGTTAATAGCTCAGGCCTTTTCATATTTAACTTGGGAAAAACTCATTTAGTGTTTACTGTGTACAATAAACAAAAGATAATGTGGCCATTTCCTCTTCCTCAGAGCTTACAGTTAGATTGAGGCAACAAAGTAGCTGAGATGGCTAAATGTAGTGATTGGGGTAAATGAAGTGCTATGGCAGCAGAGTAGATAATGAATTCTAGCATTGGACGTTAAAAAGTTTATTATTGAATTAGGAAGTCCTATACTAAGTCTATATTTATCATCTACAGAGATAATTGTATTAGATATTTTCATAGATATGAACCCTGGCATTGATAAAATGGTGCAATAATGGACTCTGAAGATTTAGCCCAGAAATAACAACAGTCTCAACAGTTTTGCTTCTAGTTAATTTTTCTGCAGGATAAATTCTTTAGCACAATGAGATTTAAATTATTCTGTTAGTTTAGACGTTAGCAAAAATGGAAACATTTGGTAACTGTATATACAAAATACACATTAAAATTTGCTAGTTCATACTAAATAATTTAATAGTGTACTAGCTTTTAAATCTAATCTCTAGCCTTGTACTTATAAGCACAAATAACTCTACAAGATTACATAATATAGTAACAAGAATGTTTGCCTCTAGTGAGGGAGTGGAGTAGGTGGGGGACAGGAGAGTGAAGCCTGCTTTCACTATATGCATTTTTACTTTTGAAATTTGTATTATTGCATATACAGTATTACCTATTAAAATATTATAGTTGAGAAATAAATAACCTTTCTTTAGGGTTGTAAAAGAAATCTGAGTATTGTTATCTTGTTGACATAGGTAAAGGACATGGCCTGTCTATCACACCTCTGCCAGCTGGTCATATGATAGGTGGAACAATATGGAAAATAGTCAAAGATGGAGAAGAAGAAATTGTTTATGCAGTTGACTTCAACCACAAGAGGGAGATGTAGGTATATCAAGAGAAAAGCTAAAGGCAATGCAATTGGTATTATTTTATTCTTTGGAGAAAAAATAAGAAACACAGTTTTTGTTTTGGTTACCAGAAATTTAGAGCAACTTAAAACCGTCAAATAGGGAGTGTTTTCAAAATTAATTATTTGCATAGTAAGGGGGAAAGTATGGTATAAGACATAAGAGATTTTAAAAATTTATAGGTTAAGTATACACTCTACAAAACGGGTATCTCCCTGGAGATGTTGCAAAGGAGATGAATTTTTTACGTATCAAATTACATGTTCTTGACCTGCTATTTAACACAACTTTGTGGATGGGTTGTTCTTTTGTTTTGTAACGTGATATGGTTTGGCTCTGTGTCCCCACCCAAATCTCATCTTATAGCTCCCATAATTCCCACATGTTGTGGGTGGGACCCGGTGGGAGATGATTGAATTATGAGGTTGGGTCTTTCCCGTGCTGTTCTTGTGATAGTGAATGGGTTTCACGAGATCTGATAGTTTTAGAAACAGGAGTTGCCTTGCACATAATGTAATTACCATCTAATATAACTGCCCTGTATGTTTAAAGTTAGTCCCTTTGAAAGGGAACTCAATTCTAGTTATGATTTTACACACTTCATGTGGCACTCAGAGCATTACTATATAATATTTTGGTGTTTAGTCTCTTACAGGCTCGTTTTGTTTTATCTGTACATTAAGTTCATAGCTATTTTGTGTTACATTACAATAGTCTCAGGATCTTTATATTAAGAAATATTTAAGACAAATAGACTGAATTTTAGACACTTATAACCATAGATTAATGAGGAAAGGATGGCTATGTTGCAGGGCAAAAGAGTGAGGGTCGTGATCAACTCAGTATACCACTGGAGGCTATATGAGTAAACAGCAAACTGTTCGCATAAACGCAGAAAATTGGCAAACTGACAAACTGTGTCTGCCACCCAGAAGGAATGCTGAGGGCAGTCAGGCCTCAGGTGCAGGTGTTTCTTGTGATTAGACACATCTGAAGCCTGTTAGCAGTAATGTGAACCTGTGATCAATTAAGCAGCTGACCAATTGTTACCTCGTCCTCCCTGCTCTTTCTACCCAATAAATATGAAGGGCTGTAGAAGCTGAAGGCAGCTCCCTTTGCTCACTAGAAGCAGGGAGCTCTCTTCTTCTTCTCCTGACCCCTTCCTTTAAAATAGTTACTTTTGTTTTAAGTTTTCATTTCTGCATTCGTCCTCCTTCGTTCAGTCTCGTAGTAACCGTGGCAAACTGCAGCATGGCTATTTGAGTAAATGGTATTGAAGGATTCAACCATTTTGGAAAAAAATCAATTTGTGTCCTTTTAATTATATAACAAAAGAAATTTCAGATGGATTAGAACTAAATAGAAATGAAGCAATATTGGTGAGTCTGATCTCTGATTTGGAAAAGACTTTGTAAGCATAAAAATAATGAACCAAGTTACAAAGTAAAAGTTTGATAGATTTGATGACATACAGGTTCAAATGTCTGAAACAACAAATAAAAAAAAAAATCAAAGTAGGAAAATATTTGCAGCAAGTTGCCCAAAAACTTACAACATATATATAAGATCAAGTATTAATTTATTAATAAAAATATACCAGTTGCAAGATGGACAAAAGTTATAAAGTCAAAAGAGAAAATTTAAATGATCTTTTTTTGTTAGATACCATTAAAATTATTATTATTCTTATTTATATTTTTATGTATTTTTTTGAAACAGAGTCTCACTCTGTCACCGAGGCTGGAGGCACAATCACGGCTCACTGTAGTGTCGACCTCCCAGCTTCAAGCAATCTTCCCATTTTAGCCTCCCAAGTAGCTAGGACTACAGGTGCGCTCTAACATGCCTGGCTATTTTTGTAATTTTAGTAGAGATGAGGTTTTGCCATGCTGCCCAGGCTGGTCTTGAACTACTGGGCTCCAGTGATCTGCCCACCTCTGTCTCCCAAAGTGTTGGGATTACAGGCATGAGCCACTGCACTAGTCCAAAATTATTTTTAAATGGTGATTTTCTTCTGGGAAGTATGTAGAATTGGTCAGTCTTTTTGATTGAACTTTTCTGGATGAGGTTAAATCTTGCTGGAAAGCCTTTTAGCAGTACTATGTATTAACAGTAAATACATTTTTAGGAATGTGACCTAAAGAAACAATCAGAAATGCAATTGAAGCTTTTGTAAAAAATGTTCTTTGGAAGATTATAATGGCAAAAATAAGTGACCGAAATATCAGTAAAGGGAAAGGATCAAATACAGTGTAGACACAATAAAATGTTTTTATAACTGTTAAACATTTAGTTTAGAAAAAAATTTTTATGTCCTGGGTAAAAACCAGGATATAGAACTGAGCGTATAGGAATGTATATGGGATATCAGCTTTGTAAAATACATATGTATATCAGTACTTACCATAAGACAGGGCAAAAAGAAAAATAAAAAAAATACATATGTGCATAGAAAAACTTATATGGTTAGCAGGATGTACACCAAAATATTATGTCAGTTATCTCTGAGTAATGGTACTCTGGAAGATTTTTATTTTCTTCTTTATACTTTTTTGAAGTTACTGGATTTCTTATCAATGAGCATGTCTACTTTTATAGTTAGAGGAGGGAACACCTTATAAATGAAGCTGCTTATTTTTTAAGTAAGAGAAGCTATTATTGTTTACTTGAAATGATATAAAATATTCCTCTTCTTAAACTTTCTTATAGCCATTTAAATGGATGTTCCCTGGAAATGCTAAGCAGGCCTTCCCTACTTATCACAGATTCATTCAATGCTACATATGTACAGCCTAGAAGAAAACAGAGAGATGAGCAGCTTCTGAGTACGTATTCTTTCACGTCCTTATTATTATTATTATTTTGTAACTTTTTGTATATTTAGGGAATATAAGTACATAAAAGTACAGGTTTCTTTTTTTTTTTGAGACGGACTTTCGCTCTTTCACCCAGGCTGGAGTGAAGTGGCGCGATCTCGGCTCACTGTAACTTCCGCCTCCTGGGTTCAAGTGATTCTTGTGCCTCAGCCTCCCGAGTAGCTGGGATTACAGGTGTGCACCACCACGCCCAGCTAATTTTTGTATTTTTAGTGGAGACAGGGTTTCTCCATGTTGGCCAGGCTGGTCTTGAATTTCTGACCTCAGGTGATCCACCTGCCTTGGCCTCCCAAAGTGCTGGGATTACAGGCATGAGCCACCACGCCCGGCCACAAGTATAGGTTTCTTAATGCATACGTTGCACAGTGGTGAAGTTTGGCCTTTTACTGTATCCGTCTCCAGAATCGTGAATGTTGTACCCAATGTATAATGTCCTTTTCAAGGAGCTGTGGAAATGCATGGTAGTGGGAATGACTGTATTCTGTTTAGCACTTTTCTTGGTCATAAGAGATTGGTTAACTTTAGTATTTTTGAAAAAAATATTATGTGACCATCAGTTTTTGTATAAGAAGAAACTTAGCTGGTTTGAATTTAACTTTTGTGGAACAGTGTGTAAAGATTGGCTTCTTTTTGCCAGTCAGTACATAGCTAGCTATCCCTGGCACTCACTGGCATATGTCTGTATGTAAAGACCTCGTACAAATCTATTAGAAAAATATACTCTAAAAGAAAAATGAGGCCAGGTGCAGTGGCTCACGCCTGTAATCCCACCACTTTGGGAGGCTGAGGCAGGCGGATCATGAGGTCAGGAGATTGAGACCATCCTGGCTAACACGGTGAAACCCCGTCTCTACTAAATATACAAAAAATTAGCCGGGCGTGGTGGCGGGTGCATGTAATCCCAGCTACTCAGGAGGCTGAGGCAGGAGAATGGCGTAAACCCGGAAGGCGGAGCTTGCAGTGAGCTGAGATCTGGCCACTGCACTCCAGCCTGGGCTACAGAGTGAGACTCCGTCTCAAAAAAAAAAAGAAAAATGAACAAAGAGCTAAGTGGATAAATGAGGCTGTAAATATTCCACTAATTTTGGGTGTTTTACACTTTAATATAGTAGGCCATTGCTGCTTGCTTCATCTTACATTCTTTTTTTTTTTTTTTTTGAGATGGTGTCTTGCTCTGTTGCCCAGGCTGGAGTGCAGTGGCACAGTCTCGGCTCACTGCAACCTTCACTTCCCGGGTTGAAGTGATTCTTCTGCCTCAGCCTCCCAAGTAGCTGGGATTACAGGCATGCGCCACCATGCCCAGCTAATTTTTATATTTTTAGTGGAGATGGGGTTTCGCCATGTTGGCCAGGCTGGTGTTGAACTCCTGACCTCAGGTGATCCTCCTGCCTCAGCCTCCCAAAGTGTTGGGATTACAGGCGTAAACCACTGCACCTGGCCTTATATTCTTTTTAAATAAGCTATAAGGGATTTCAGCAGGGAAAATTGGATTCCATTTTTAAACATGTTTTCAACCATTGTTTTTAGTTCATCTACTTTAAAAGTACAACTATTTTTTTTTTTTTTTTTTTTTTGAGATGGAGTCTTGCTCTGTCGCCAGGCTGGAGTGTAGTGGCACAATCCCGGTTCACTGCAACCTCTGCCTCCCGGGTTCAAGTGATTCTCCTGCCTCAGCCTCCCAGGTAGCTGGGATTACAGGTGTGCGCCACTACGCCCAGCTAATTTTTGTACTTTTAATAGAGACGGGGTTTCACCATGTTGGCCAGGATGGTCTTGATCTCTTGACCTTGTGATCCGCCCACCTCGGCCTCCCAAAGTGCTGGGATTACAGGCGTGAGCCACCGCGCCCTGCCACTAAAAGTGTAACTATTAATAATATACCGTGTTGCACCAACTTTAAGAAGCTCAAGCCAGACACTGTGGTTCACGCCTGACATTGTGGTCAATGGTCAACACTTTGGGAGGCTGAGGCAAGATGATGGCTTGAAGCCAGCAGTTCAAGACCAGCCTGGGTAACATAGTGAGACCCCCATCTCTTTTTTTTTTTTTTTTTGAGATGTAGTCTCGCTCTGTCGCCAGGCTGGAGTGCAGTGGCGCGATCTCGGCTCATTGCAACCTCCACCTCCTGGGTTCAGGTGGTTCTCCTGCCTCAGCCTCCCGAGTAGCTGGGATTACAGGCGTGTGCAACCATGCCCGGCTAATTTTTTGTATTTTTAGTAGAGACGGGGTTTCACCATGTTGGCCAGGATGGTCTCGATCTCTTGACCTCATGATCTGCCTGCCTTGGCCTCCCAAAGTGCTGGGATTATAGGTGTGAGCCACCATGCCTGGCCGCAATCCCCATCTCTACAAAAAAAAAGAAAATTTTTGCCAGACGTGGTGGTACAGGCCCGTAGTTCCAGCTGCTTGGGAGGCTGGGGTGGGAGGATTGCTTGAGGCCAGGAGGTTGAGGCTGCAGTGAGCTATGATCACACCACTGCACTCCAGCCTGGGTGACAGAGCGAGACCCTGTCTCAACAAACAAACAAACTGAAAAACAAAAAAAGTAGCGGCTCTTTAAGTCTTAGTTTTGCTAGAGTTCAGTTTTACCACATATTTCCAAGGGGACTTTCATCTAGAGGAAGGAAATCCATAAAGATATACTTGTTGGAAGGGAATATGATCTATATTTTATTCTATAGGCATACATACATACAAACTATGTATCATACATAGTTGGCCTTTGTAGCTGCTGTTCCACATCTGAGGATTCAACTAACTGTGGATTGAAAATATTTGAAAAAACAATAAAAGAAGATAATGCAATAGTTTAAAAAATATAAGTAAAAAAAAACAGTGTAACAACCATTTACATAGCATGTACACTGTATTAGGTATTATAAGCAATCTAGAGATGATTTAAAGTATATAGGAGGATGTACGTAGGTTATATGCAGATATATTGTTTTTTTGAGGCAAAGTCTTTCTCTGTTGTACATGCTGGAGTGTAGTGGCACAATCACGACTCTCTGCAGCCTCAAACTCCTGGGCTCAAGCAGTCTCCCTCTAGCTTCCCACATAGCTAAGACCACAGGCATGTGCCACCATGCCCGGCTAATTTGTTTATTTTTATAGAGACGGGATCTCCCTATGTTGTCCAGGCTGGTCTTGAACTCCTGGACTCAAGCCATCCTCTTGCCTTGACTTCCCAAACTGCTGGGATTACAGGTGTGAGCCATTGCGCCTGGCCACCATTTTATTTGAGGGACCTGGGCATCTGATGGTTTTGGTATTCGTGGGAGTCCCGGGGCCAGTACCCATGGGTACTGAGGGATGGCTGTATATATAATTATGTGAGTGTATATATGTATGTATATAAATTTGGGAATTCATCATAACGGAGTTCACTGGGGTGGATAGGCGAGACCAGGGTAGCCCGGAAACACCAGGCTGGTTACATTTGGCCTGGTCATACAATTTTCTCAGTGATACACACACCATTTTCTATGTGTATTATGATGTATAAAGTGTTGAGGACTACTGATTTATAATTTTTTAATGAAGAAAGATTGAGAGTTAATGACACTGAATATATGAAGAGATATTCAACAGAATCAAAAGCAGTTGTAATGACCTGAACAAAATTCCTTCATTTTGTACTTGGCCTAGTAGTTGCTTATTTGTAAATTATAGTCTTTCTAATAAAAACAGGGAGATAAAATTATCTTTAATTTTGTAGCATAGTATTGTTACGTTCTATGGGGATTTTACATTCTTGTTTTCTAGCAAATGTCCTGGAAACACTTCGAGGTGATGGAAATGTGTTAATAGCAGTGGACACAGCAGGCAGAGTTTTGGAACTTGCTCAACTTCTTGATCAGATTTGGAGGACTAAAGATGCAGGATTGGGTGTTTACTCATTGGCACTCCTAAATAATGTCAGTTACAATGTGGTGGAGTTTTCTAAGTCCCAGGTTTGTTCTCATGTTGTCACTTGTAATAAGTTTGCTACAGTGATTGGGTCTGTGGAAGTGGGCGTCTTAAATGTTTTTTGGATTTTATTTTTCTCTTGAAGAGATTGTTAATAAGATGATAACTTGGCATTAACCATTTACTGTCCTGTGTGCTTTAAATGTATTATTTAATTTAATCCCTATTTATTCTATTAAGTAGTTTCCATTGTGTCCCTGTTTTAAAGATTAGGCAAATTGCTTCCCTTCTAACTCTTAGTATCCCAGTCTGTAAAATGGGGACAAAAATAGAACCTACCTCATAGCATTGGCATGTTAGAATTCATTGTTCTTTCTTTTAAATAAGCTTTTTGCCTTGAAATAGCAATCTTTGGGAGTAAGATTTTCATTTAGAACATATACCTTGCCTTTTCAAAAAGATTTAAGGTGATTTATATGTGAAATATAATGCAAAATTGGTTTTCTTTGGGATGAAAGTGAGGGTGGGATAATCTAATGGGAAATGGAAGCAGAAAATAAGCTGCTTGTCAAAACAGTACAAATTTAAGCAACCAGTGGGGGTAAAAGATAGAACTTGAATTCCTTGACTATTAGAGAATATATTGAAGTTATAATATAGTATTTCTAATTCTTGTCATCTTTCCCCCCATGTTAGGTAGAATGGATGAGTGATAAATTGATGAGATGTTTTGAAGACAAAAGAAATAATCCGTTTCAGTTTCGCCATCTCTCTTTATGTCATGGTCTTTCTGACTTGGCCCGTGTACCTAGCCCTAAAGTTGTACTTGCCAGCCAACCTGACCTGGAATGCGGATTTTCAAGGGATCTCTTTATTCAGTGGTGTCAGGACCCTAAAAACTCAATCATTCTAACCTACAGAACTACTCCTGGGACTTTAGCACGTTTCCTAATTGATAATCCTTCTGAAAAAATTACAGAAATAGAGGTAAGCACTTGTATGTGAACTTTATCTTAAAACTGTTTGGGGGATACATTGTGCATGATGTAAAAAAATAGTGACCAAAAATAAAACTTGAAATTGTTTTAGGATTTTTATCAGAATTACTCTTGAGAGCCAGGAGTGGTGGTGTGTGCTGTAGTGCCAGCTACTCGGGAGGCTGAGGCGGAAGGACCACTCGAGCCCAGGAATTTGAGGTCAGCCTGGGCAACATGCCAAGACCCACCCCCCATCTCTTAAAAAAAAACTACTGTGGAAGAGAGCCTTTAATAGCACAAATTTCAGAGTTCCTTAACTGGAGGTTCTCATTCTTCTTTGAGATGGGGTCTTGCTTTGTTACCTAGTCTAGAGTGCAGTGGTGCTATCATAGTTCCGTGCAGCCTCAAACTCCTGGGCTTAAAGGATCCTCCTCCCTCAGCCTCCTAAGTAGCTGGAACCATAGACATGTGCCACCATGCCTGGCTATTTTTTTATTTTTATTTTTTGGAAAGACGTTGTCTCATTATGTTGCCATGGGTGGTCTCAAAAGAAATTCTCATTCTTAAACTTTTCCGTGGTACCCTCTAGTTTACCCAGAGGGTAAGCATATACAGGGTTTTCTCAATCTGTGAAAGGTTCCTTTCCTGTCTCTTGCTTAATTTAAATCAGACTCTTTCCTAAAGACGTTCTTTATCCTGTAGCCCCCTGAAGTAATTACTCTTTCTTTCAGTGTTTCATGTACTTTGAATGGAGTACACGTCTTCCTTGTTCTGTATTGCAGCTTCCTAGCTACTTATCTTCCATTTGCAGTTTTTGCCTTCAGACCTGCTGATATGCTGACCCCTCCTTGTTTCTGACATTTAATGATCTCTTGGTCATTCTGTTACTCATTCATCATTTGACCCTGATTCACAGTCTTCCTGTCCACTTGTGTTCAGGACTTTATTCTCATTGACTTTAGCATCCATGTGTATGATCTGTCTGGTTCTTCTCAGTTACTTGGCACCTTATTTCTTAATCTTTTCCTTCGTCTTACCTCAGACATCCATTCCTGCTATCATGCTATCTGCTCCTGTGGTCATTGCCTGTAACCTTCTTATGGCTGAACGGTCTCCAGTTCTCCACCTCAAGCATATCATTCTGAATTTACAGCTGACTTTCCCTATTATTCCCATGACAACAACTCTTCTGTTCCATTGGGACTTTCAGTTCGTGAACCTCACCTTTTACAGTCTGTCATCCTTCCAGCCTTAAACTCAGTGGTCCACAATTAAGCAAAATTTTGCAAATACATTTAACTCTCCTACACTTCTGTTTTAGTTGCCTGGAAAGGCTTTGACCTTAGTTAAACCATTTGCTTGGTTTGTGCCTGTACTTAAGCAGCTTTATGTTTCTGAAGTTAAACATTATGGTGTAGACAGATTTGTTTTCACATTCATAACTTCACATCTCAAAAGGGGACCCCATACCAGTACTCAGCATTTGGTAGGATGTTCCCTTTCTCACGGTAAGGTAATTGTATATCTTCTTTCTCCTCAAACATCCTACAGCTCACTCTCAGCCTTCATTCATAGCACATGATCTTGTCTCAAACTTAATGTAGAAGTCAAAGCAGTGAGTCAGGAATTCCTTTATCTTTCCACCACTAAATGTACTAACTTGATTCTGCATCTGCATTTGCTGCCTTATCTCTTGTTATAGGAACAAGACTATTAGCTCACTAACCAGTATACCCAAAGATCATTTGCTTAATAACCAGCCCATCAAATCTATCGATTTTTCAAAATTAGTATATCATTAAAGTTTGTAGCAATTGATATAGTGGGATGGTTAATAACTGCCAGAGTTGTACAAAGGTTTAGCTGACTAAACCTTAACATAGAACTGTAACAAACCTTAACATAAAGCAGTATCATAAAGCTGCTTCTCATTTTGTCTTTGTAGCACTCATATAATTATTTAATTAGAGACAGACTCTCACTCTGTCACCCAGCCTGGAGTGCAGTGGCACCATCATAGCTCACTGTACCCTCAAACTCTTAGGCTCAAGCTGTCCCTACACCACCCCCTAACCCACTCCACCTTCCAAAGTGCTGGGATTATACATGAACCACTGCACCTGGCCCTTAGCAGTCATTTTAAGGAAAGTTTAGTTTGTTAAAAGCTATGTGGTAGAGATATCTGTCTGCCAACTCTACTTAAGAAAATCATAACATCAGTAACTAAAATCTGAGATATATGTACTATAATTATAGAATTGTTGAGCAAGGATTCTGAGCAAGTATAGCAAAGTAAAATGGTGTCTTTGGGGTTATTTAGTAGCTCAGAAATACAAGGTTAAAAGAACTAAGAAATACTTGAAACAATTTCATCAGATAGGAAATACTGAATTTGAAAATTTTAATTACTAGAAATTCAATTAGGTCTAATAAACCATTTGAGGAATTAGTAAAAGAAAAATGGTTTAAGTTTGGAAAAAAATAGACAATGATGTTTAGAAGCATGCTAAAGAAATGAGAAACAGCCAAAACATCAAATGTTAAGTTTTTGACCTTTTTAATAACTAATGCTGATGCTCAGGGACCTTTTCTTGCTCACCTTCTTAGCGATAGTTCTTTTGCAGTTATCCCTCCTATCTTCATTATCTAGCAGTTTTCCCTCTACTTGATCACATCCAAAACAATTTTTATTCTTCCCCTACTCCCAATACTGTTCTGTCTTATCTCAGACAGCACTTCCCACATATTCAAGCCAAAAATTTGGAAGTTTAAAAAATGTTCACTGAATCGTAATATGTACCAAAACCTACGTTAAGTGTATAGCATGATGAACTTTTACAAAAATTGAATGCACCTGTCTAGCCTGTACCCTGATCGAGAAATAGAATATTTCTGTGGCATGTTGGGCAGATCCAACTAAGGTAAAAAATAGAAATGGTAAAAAAAGAAATAGAGGGCTGGGCGTGGTGGCTCACGCCTGTAATCCCAGCACTTTGGGAGGCAGAGGTGGGCGGATCACGAGGTCAGGAGTTCGAGACCAGCCTGGCCAACAAAGTGAAACCCTGTCTCTACTAAAAATACAAAAAATTAGCCTGGCGTGGTGGTGGGCGCCTGTAATCCCAGCTACTCGGGAGGCTGAGGCAGGAGAATCGCTTGAACCTGAGAGGTGGAGATTGCAGTGAGCCAGGATCGCGCCACTGCACTCCAACCTGGGTGACAGAGCGAGACTCCATCTCAAAAAACAAACAAAAACACATACAGTTCACTCTCTTAACCATTTTTATGTGTACAGTACAGTAGTGTTAACTATATGTACATTGTTGTATGACAGATCTCTAAAACTTTTTCATGTAGCAAAACTGAAACTCTGTACCTATTGGATAACAGCTCCCAGAGAGAGCTTTTAAACATTCATCATTTCATGTCATTCACTTGCTTAAATGGCTCCAAAGCCTTCCTTCTTCTCTTTCAATAAAATCCATGCTACTTACACAGGCTTCTTAGATCCCATATGATCTAATCCCCACCTACCTTCTGACCTTAGCTTATTCCACTTTCTCTATGCCCTACGGTGCATCAGGATCTTTGTACTAGCTGTTCTTCTGCCTATAGTGTTCTTTCCTGGCTTTGCGCATGGCTGGCTCCTGGTCATTCAGGCCTCAGGTTTAACCCCCTCAGGTAGGCCTTTGACTACAGATTTAAAATACCTGCCTGGTTTAGCTGCCCATCACCTTACTTGAAGTATTTTTCCTAGCACTCATCACCATCTGATGTATTTCTTTTTTGTTGTCTTCCTCTTCCCACCATCAACTAGAATATGAATTCCATGAGAAAAAGGCCCTTGTTTTTTGGTATCCCTAGCACCCAGAACTGTGCCTGACATATTGGAGGGCTTCAGTGAGTGCACTGGTTGAATTCATGAATAATCAAAAAAGTGAATATGGAATAAACTAGATTTCTGATTATGTTAGATAAGAAAAGTTTACCAAGTATGGTATTTTTTCATCTATATCTAATGCCCTTCTAAGTCAAGTCTTACTCATTTAGAAAAAGCAAAAATGAACAACGAAGGATTAATAGGTTGGAGTAGATTTGGATTAGAAAAAGGAGTAAGTTGGAGGTAATACGGTGAAGGAGTAGGAAGAAAAATATTTTTGAGTTGGTTATTCTAGAAATCTGTTTCTGAATAAGCCATTAATCTTACATATTTTAAATGAAAAATAAGATGGAGATAAAAATTTATTATAGCAACAGGCATAAACTAAATCACAGAGGTAAATACTTTGTTAAAGATTATTGGTGGGTAAAAGGCATCTATGTAGGTTGCTAACTGTTTTTAAAAAAAACCCACTATTTTCTGAATGAAACTTATTTTCAAATAAGTTATTAGGCAAATGTGAGATGCCAAATATAAACATGTATTTATTTGTTTATTTTAACTTTTTATTTTTTGAGACAGGGTCATGTCATTCCCTGTCACCCAGGCTGGAGTGCAGTTGCATGATCATAGCTCACTGCAGTCTTGAACTCTTGGGCTCAAGCGCGCCTCCTGCTTAAGCCTCCCAATTAGTTCGCACTGCAGGCATGTGCCGCCATGCCCAGCTAATTTAAAAAAAAATTTATAGAGATGGGAACTTGCTGTGTTGCCCAAGCTGGTCTTGAACTACTGGCCTCAAACAATTCTCCCACCTTGGCCTCCCAAAGTGTGGGTATTATAGGTGTGAGCCACTGCTCCTGGCCTTAAACATGTAAATCACCCATTTATTTTATACATGAAAATAATCTGATTTTGGTTTAATTTTTTTGTTTTTACTTGTCTCCCCTCCCCTTACCCCACTGGGCAGCCCCTGAACTAGAATAGTTTCAGAGAGATTCCCCCTTTTCCATTACTTTTAATTTTGAAAAAATTTCAAACAGGAAAGTTACAAAAATATTATACCCAGATTCCCCAATTGTCAACATTTTACTGGATTTGCTTTATCACTTATATACACATAAACACAATATTACTTTTTCTGAACCATTTGAAGAAAAATTGCAAATATTTTATCATTATCTCTAAATATTGCCAGTGTGTGTTACCTAAAAACAAGGGCAATCTCCAGCAAAACTGTGTTACATCCATTGAAATCAGGAAATCAACATTGATACCATCCTACCATTTCACCCATTGACCCCATTCAGCATTCACCTTTTACCGATGACCACAATGTCCTTTATAATTACCCTTTCCTTTTTTGTCCAGGTTCGCATCCATGACTACATACTGCATTTAATTGTCATAACTGTTGACATTTTTGAAGCATATATATTCTGGGTTTTTTTTTTCTTATTGATATACTAATACCTGGTTTTTATTTTATTTTTTTAAAGAGATGGGAGCAAGGTGTGGTGGCATGTGGCTGTAGTCCCAGCTATTGAGGCAAGAGGATTGCTTGAGCCTAGGAGTTTAAGGCAAGCCTGGGCGATATAGCAAGGCCTCTTCTCAAAAAAAAAAAAAAAAGAAAGAAATGTATATATATATATGTAGAGAGAGAGAGATGGGACCAAATTATCATGTATTCCACATACCCTGAGACTTGTATTTTCACTTGAGTCCTTCTTGAACAATGTAAGAAGATATGGGTCTACCTTACATAGTACCTGGTATATTACAAACATTTAAATGTTTTTGGATAAATAAATGTAAGCTTTTTAGTAATTTTATAATAGTACATTGTATATGTGTGCTGTGATTATTTAATCTCGTGGTTCTCAAAAGTGTGGTTTGAGGACGCCTGGGAGTCCCTGAGACCCTTTCAGGGAGTCCACAAAGCCAAAACTATTTTTCATAATACTGGTAAGATGATATTTGCCTTTTCACTGTGCCTACATTTGTACTGATGAGTAAGATCAGTGGTGCATAAAGTGCTTACACCTTGGCCTAAAACTCCACTAGTAGCCACTGCATTTTTCACCACCGTACATACACGTCATTAAAAAAAAAATGCTAGTTTCACTTAAGAATGTCCTTGAGAGGCTGGGCGTCATGGCCCATGCCTATTCCTAACACTTTGCGAGGCTAAGATGGGAGGTTCACCTGAGGCCAGGAGTTTCAGACCAGCCTGGGCAACAGCAACACTCTGCCTCTACGAAGTATAAAGGTATATTAAACAAAAGAAATTTGAAAGAGAATGTCTTTGAGGGGCCAGACATACTGGCTCATGCTTGTAATCCCAGCACTTTGGGAGGCTGAGGTGAGAGGATTGCTTGAGGCCAGGAGTTTGAGACCAGTCTGGGCAGCATAGCGAGACCCTGTCTCTACAAAAAAGAAAAAAAAGTCCTTGAGGGAATAGTAAAAGTTACTAATATTACTAAGTTCTTTCAGTAAAAGTTTTTTTGTTTTTTTTTGAGATGGGTCTTGCTCTGTCGTCTAGGCTGGAGTGCAGTGGTACGATCTCGGCTCACTGCAACCTCCGCCTCCCAGGTTCAAGTGATTCTCCTGCTTCAGCCTCCTGAGTAGCTGGGACTACAGGTGTGTGCCACCACGCCTGGCTGATTTTTTGTAGTTTTAGTAGAGACATTGTTTCACCATGTTAACCAGGATGGTCTTGATCTCCTGACTTTGTGATCCGTCTGCCTCAGCATCCCAAAGTGCTGGGATCACAGGCATGAGTCACTGCGCCTGGCCTAGTAAAAGATTTTTTAAAATAATTTGGGTGACAAGATGGGAAGTATTAATAAAGAATTTGCGTTGTGTACTAAAGTACAATGGCTATCTCCAAGAAAAACACTTGTATGTTTATTTGAGTCGTGAGTTAAACTAGCCACTTTTTTCTGGGAACACCTTTTTTTTGTTGGTATTTTTTTTTTCTTGTGTTTGAGACGGAGCCTTGCTCTGTCGCCAGGCTGGAGCGCTCGGCTCACTGCAACCTCTACTTCCCGGGTTCAAGCGATTCTCCTGCCTCAGCCTCCCAAGTAGCTGGGACTACAGGTGTGTGCCACGTTGCCCAGCTAATTTTTTTTTTTCATATTTTTAGTAGAGATGGGGTTTCACTATGTTGGCCAGGCTGGTCTCGAACTCCTGACCTCAGGCGATCCACCTGCCTCGGCCTCCCAAAGTGTTGGGATTACAGGCGCGAGTCACCGCACCAGGCCCTGTTTTGTGTGTGTGTTTTTTTTTTTTGAGTTTGGGTCTCTGTTGCCCAGGTTGGAGTGCAGAGGCACAATCATGGCTCACCACATCCTTGAACTTCTGCGTTCATGTGACCCTCCTGCCTCAGCCTTCCTACCAGCTAGGACTACGGGTGTGTTTCACCACACCTGTAATTTTTAATTCTTTTTTGTAGAGACTGGGTCTTGCTACGCTGCCCATATGGTCTCGAACTGGCCTCAAGCAATCCTCTCACCTCCGACTCCCAAAGTGCTAGAATTACAGGCATGAATCACTGTGCCCAGTCTGGAACACCATTTTTATGTGAAATAATGACAGGGTTATTCAGATTTGGGTATTTGGCAGACATTTTCTTGAAAATTAATACATTGAGCCTGTCACTCTAAAGAAAACAATTGACAGCATTTGTTGGCTTAAATCTGATAAAATTCTAATTTTCAAATGAAAATTTAGAATTTTGGAAAACTTATACCCAGCACTGTGAGATTGACAACTTAAACTGAAAAGACTTCTGATAAGATTGGTGGTGATATTTACAAATGTGATTTTAAAAATATTGTCAACATTTGTAAGATCTGGATAACTTGGTGAACTAGTATTTTCCAAATAACCAATTAATTATGTTAGAAAATAATGCACAAATTAAAAGATCCATTCAAAATTTAAAATACAGGCTGGGCACAGTGGCTCACACCTGTAATCCCAGCACTTTGGGAGGCAGAGGCAGGAGGATGGCTTCAGTTCAGGAGTTCAAGACTAGTCTGGATAACATAGCGAGACCTTGTCTCTACAAAAAATTAAAAATCAGCTGGGCATGGTGGTGCACATCTGTGGTCGCAGCTATTCAGGAGGCTGGGAGGTAGAAGGGTTGCTTGAACCTGGGAGTTCGAGGCTGCAGTGAGCAGTGATCATGCCACTGCACTCATCGTAGGCAACAGAGTGAGACCCTGTCTCAAAAACAAAACAAAACAAAACAAAAAACAAGAGTGTAAGATACATAAAAAAAAAAAAAAATTAACACAACAGAGTATAAAAAGTCTATTAGTATGGTTTCAGGTTCTGCGTTAAAACTAACCTTGAAGAAACTACCACTTTCTGAGTTTTAATGTAGTATCAAAGAATAATATCCATGAAAGGACTATTTACATATTTTTCCCTTTTCAACTATACATGCGTATAAGCCTGGATTTTCTTCATATACTTTAACCAAAACAACATATTGCAAGAGACTGAATGGAGAAGCAAATGTGAGAATCCAGCTGTCTTCTGTTGAGCTAGACATTAAAGAGATTTGCAAAAATATAGAATAATGCTATAGGCCAGGTGCGGTGGCTCATGACTGTAATCCCAGCACTTTGAGAGGCTGAGGAGGGCAGATTGCTTGACTCCAGGAGTTTGAGACCAGCTTGGGCAGCATGTCAAGACTCGGTCTCTACAAAAAAAATACAAAAATTAGCTGGGAGTGGTGGATGGCTGAAGTGGGAGGATCGCTTGAGGCTGGAAGATTGAGCTGCAGTGAGCTATAATTGCACCACTGCACTCCAGCCTGGGCAATGGAGCAAGACCCTGTCTCAAAAAAAAAAAAAAAAATGCCGTTCTTCCCACTATCTTTTTTTTGCTTTGGAAAATGTAATTATTTTTTGTAAAAATCTGTTAATGTTGCCATGTGGTTTTATTTATTATTTATTTATTATTATTTTTTCATTTTTGAGATGTAGTTTCGCTCTTGTTGCCCAGGCTGGAGCGCAATGGTGCCATCTCGGCTCACTGCAACCTCCGCCTCCCAGGTTCAAGTGATTCTCCTGCCTCAGCCTCCCTAGTAGCTGAGATTACAGGCATGTGCCATCACGCCCGGCTAATTTTGTATTTTTAGTAGAGATGGGCTTTCTCCATATTGATCAGGCTTGTCTCGAATTCCCGACCTTAGGTGATCTGCCCGCCTCGACCTCCCACAGTGCTGGGATTACAGGTGTGAGCCGTCGCGCCCGGCCTATTATTATTATTAATTTATTTATTTTTGAGCTGGAGTCTCACTCTGTTGTCCAAGCTGGAGTGTAATGGTGCGATTATGGCTCACTGCAGTTTCCGCCTCCCAGGTTCCAGCGATTCTCCTGCCTCAGCTTCCTGGGTAACTGGGATTACAGGCATGTGCCACCATGCCTGGCTACTTTTTATATTTATAGTAGAGACGGGGTTTCACCATGTTGGCCAGGCTGGTCTCGGACTCCTGACCTTAGGTGATCTGCCTGCCTCGACCTCCCAAAGTACTAGGATTACAGGTATAAGCCACCATGCCCTGCTGGTTTTATTATTTTTTAAATGAACAGATAAATATTTTAAAAATTGCTCAGTTTTAATTTCTGATAAGGTAGACATTGATAAATATAACCCACAAAAACAAAAAGCTCTTTGGGGTTCTCTAATTTTTAGGAGTCTAAGGTAGTCCTGAGATAAATATATGAGAACTACTGATTTAATCATTCCATTTTGATGGATTTTAAAATTTTGTCCAGTTTTTTACTACTATAAGCATTGCTGCAATGTACGAATGTACTTTTTTTTTACACATTTGTGATTGTTTCAGTAGGATAAATTCCTAGAAGTAGAAATACTGTGTCAAATGTCAAATTTTATTTTTAGATGTTAGCAAATTGCCTTTTAACATAGTTGCACTAATTTTCCAACAGATAATGGAAGAAGGTACTCTTTCCCCATGTATGGCATTGCCAATCTCATAGATGAAAACAATTATGTTTTTTATATTTTGTGCTTTTCAAAAATTAGTAAAATTAAGGATCTTTTCATGGCCAGTAGTTATTTGTCTTTCTTATTTTGTAAATTGCCTTTTTAAGTATCTTGTGCTTTTTCATGTGTTGATCATCCTTTTCTTAACTAATTTGGAAGAGCTCTTAGGAAAAAATCATTTTTATTGGTCGTAGTGCTGAAAATATTTTTCTGTTTCTTTTTTGTTTTTCTTTTCAGTTTCTTATTTTGAGATTTAAAATGTCAAAGGGAGTTTTTCTTTATTCATGTTGCTGTATTTATTTATGTTTCCCATTATGGCTTTTGGGCCTCACCTACTCCAAATTATAAAAATGCTTATCTGTATTTTCTTTTCCTGATTGGTGATTTTTAACCAGTTTGATTGTTTGGTTGATTGAGACAGGGTCTTGCTCTGTCAGACTGAAGTGATCCTCAGTCTCAGACTCAAGTGATACTCAGTCTCTGAGTAGCTGGGACTACAGGTGCATGCTACCACTACTGGCTTTTTTTTTTTTTTTTCTGAGACAGAGTATTGCTTTGTCACCCAGGCTGGAGTACAGTGGTGTGAGCACAGCTCACTGCAGCCTTGACCTCCCAGGCTCAAGTGATCTTCCACTTTAACCACCTGAGTAGCGGGGACAACAGGCACATGCCACCACTCCTGGCTTTTTTTTTTTTTTTTTTTTATGTGGAGACAAAGTCTCATTATGTTGCCCAGGCTAGTCTCAAACTCAAGTGATTTTCCTGCCTTGCAAAGTGCTAGGATTATAGGTGTGAGCCACCGTGCCCAGCCTCCCAGCTAATTTTTAAATTATTCCTAGAGACAGAGTCAACCTATGTTGCCCAGGCTGGTCTTGAACTCCTGGCCTCAAGCAGTCCTCCCACAGTGCTAGGATTATAGGTGTGAGCTACTGTGCCTGGCCAACCAGTTTGATTTAAATTAAACCCATTCTAGATGATGTGTGACAGCTCAATTTTAATACTAATCTAAATAGGACCTATAATTGTATGTAATGGAAACTTGATTAATTTCAGAGGAAACAATCAGTTTAAAGATGATAGAGCAATTTAGAGATGTGATGTATCTCATATCCCACTGCTTTAACCCCCTAATATTAACATATTAACATTTCCTTTTGTCTTTTATTTTTTTTTAGTTGAGGAAACGTGTGAAGCTTGAAGGGAAAGAACTTGAAGAATACTTGGAAAAAGAGAAACTAAAGAAAGAAGCTGCCAAAAAGCTTGAGCAGTCAAAAGAGTGAGTCATTTTCAGACAGATTATAAATTTATGGATGCAATTTGAGAAGAATGTGTCCTTGACTTAAATGTTTCATTGAAAATATTTTTAAATTTTCGTAAGACTTAATTTTGTTACAGACATCTTTCAAATGTCTAGAATACCAGATCCTGTCAGTGCTAATATTATTATGCATTTATTTGTTATGTTTTATAAAATGTCAGTCCAATAAAGTTGAATGTTATTCCAGTCATGCATCACTTAATGATGGGGACAGTTCTGAGAAAAGTGTCGTTAGGGGATTTAGTCATTGTGCAAACATTAGGATATATGTTTACACAAACCTTGATGGTATAGCCTACTGTGTATCCAGAGTATATGATATGGCCCATTGTTCCTAGGCTACAAACCTGTACAGCATGTTACTGTACTGAATACTGTAGGCCATTGTAACACAATGTTAAGTATTTGTGTATCTAAATGTATCTAAACATAGAAAAGGTACAGTAATCTTATGGGACCTCTGTTGTATATGTGGTCTATTGTTGTTGACCGACATAACTGTATATTATCATTTAATATTGAATTAATAATATTGAGTATGGATTCAGTAATAAATTGATAAATATTAATTTAAAATATCTTTGAAACTTTATGACCTTGATCTATTCTAAAATCCTCCTAGGGCAGATATAGATTCCAGTGATGAGAGTGATATTGAGGAAGATATTGACCAGCCATCAGCTCATAAGACGAAGCATGACTTGATGATGAAAGGTGAAGGCAGTCGTAAAGGAAGTTTTTTCAAACAGGCAAAAAAGTCCTATCCTATGTTTCCTGCCCCAGAAGAAAGAATTAAATGGGATGAATATGGAGAGATTATCAAGTATGTGAGCAAAACAAACTTTTCTCTCTTACAAATTGGAGGTATTAACTGTGTTATCATTTCATTTCAGTGAATTTGATCTTTCACTTGATCTTTCTAGTCACATGTATGGGGTTAGCTTCTGAGTACCTCAGCCTGAAGACACAGAAGACTTGTAACTTGAAACATAAAAATAGAGATGCTGAGAAACATCTAGAGAATATTGAGAGAAAACTGGCAGTTTATGACTTAGTTGTGTAAAGGTTTAAAAACATGATCACGTGATCAAGACTTTTTTCCCCCACTTAAAAAGAGAGGAAGATGTAGGATAGGAAGAACTTTGGGGCTGTGTGTGGTGGCTCATGCCTGTAATCCCAACACTTTGGGAGGCCGAGATGGGAGGATCACTTGAGCTCAGGAGTTTGAGACCAGCCCAGGCAATATAGTGAGACCCCCATCTCTATCTTTAAAAAAAAAAAAAGAACTTTGGATGGCTGGTGATTGCATTTCCAATGGATTATGTCTTAAGTATTATACAAGTTTTATGAGATTAAGAGGAATGTGAGATAGCATGAGTGAAATCATGGAAAAATCTACAAAATCTATACTGACTATTAGAAAAACAACTGCAATCACATGTTGTAATTGCAAATTTGAAAACACTACTATCCTGTGTGGAAAATAAAAAAAGAAAAACATGATACAGGCCAGGTGTGGTGGCTCACGCCTGTAATCCCAGCACTTTGGGAGGCCGAGGCAGGTGGATCATGAGGTCAGGAGTTCAGGACCAGCCTGGCCAAGATGGTGAAACCACATCTCCACTAAAAATACAAAAAAATTAGCCGGGCGTGATGGCAGGCACCTGTAATCCTAGCTACTCTGGGGGCTGAGGCAGAGAATTGCTTGAACAGGGAGGCGGAGGTTGCAGTGAGCCGAGATGGCGCCACCACACTCCAGCCTGGGTGACAGAGGGAGACTCTACCTCAAAAAAAACCAAAAAACGCAATACATACAGCCATCTGGTAATTGATATGAAATTGCATCAGCTTTGGATGAAATGTATATTTAAATCTTGAGATATGTGAGGACTCCAAAAATTATGCCACCTACTAGTCATATATGTTATGTAGTATTAGCTTGCTTTTTACTGCTTCTAATTAGAGACTTATTATTTAGACCAGAGGATTTCTTAGTGCCAGAGCTTCAAGCTACTGAAGAAGAAAAAAGCAAATTAGAATCTGGTTTGACAAATGGAGATGAACCTATGGATCAGGATTTATCTGATGTTCCTACTAAATGTATTTCTACAACAGAGTCTATTGAAATAAAGTAAGTGCTTTTGTGACATTTTGAAAATAGATTATAAGATAAAATTTCAAGCATTTGAATTATATAATTTACATTATGTCAAGCAAAATTTCTGAATATTCTTTAGTAAGTTTGTGCTTTTAAAATTTATTTTTGTATGAAGAGACTTGTGAAGTATGGTGGCATGATATTTTCTCTTCATTAATGGTATTTGAATGCCAAAGTAATTGAATTGGTGGTGGTGGGGGGTGCTTAAATTGTAACATTAAATTGTACATTTATATGAAGAAAAATTATTTTTGGCCTTTTTATTCTGTAAGCAGGTGAAAGGGAATAATGTGACTCACAGTTTAATTTTTCTGAGTAACTGCTTGTTTCATAAAATATACTCCTTAACTTAAACATCTCTAAGACCCTAATGTCTGGAAAATACTGTTGTGATCTGAAGTAGTTAGAAACCTTTTTTCTCCCGCTTTCTACTTAGTTAAATAATACCAGTAAGTGATCATTTTGGAATTTCTTTTAAGTCATCAGAGAACAAAGTTTTTTATTTGTCCAGTAATATCATTTAGTATATATTTTTGGGTGTAGATAAAATCTAAATAATACAGATAGGGCCGGGCACGGTGGCTGATGCCTGTAATCCCAGCACTTTGGTAGGCCGAGATAGGCTGATCACTCGAGATCAGGAGTTTGAGACCAGCCTGGCCAACATGGTGAAATCTCATCTCTACTGAAAATGCAAAATTATCCCTGCGTGGTGGTGCATGCCTATAATCCCAGTTACTTGGGAGGCTGAGTCAGGAGAATCACTTGAACCTGGGAGGTAGAGGTTGCAATGAGCGAAGATCATGCTACTGCACTCTAGCCTGGGCAAAAGAGCGAGACCCAATCTCAGAAAAATAAAAACAAAAATAAAATAAATCATACAGATACTATAACATGTGTATTTCTCAAATCCTAGTGTTATATATTGTATACATGATAAAAGCCATTTTTTTTTAGAATTATGAGAAAAGTAATCTTGAATAATCATATCTAATTACAGAGCCCGGGTTACCTACATAGACTATGAAGGACGCTCTGATGGGGATTCCATTAAAAAAATCATTAATCAGATGAAACCACGACAGTTGATCATCGTCCATGGCCCACCAGAGGCCAGTCAAGATCTGGCAGAGTGCTGTCGCGCCTTTGGTGGGAAAGATATTAAAGTGTACATGCCAAAGCTACATGAAACAGTTGATGCCACTAGTGAAACTCACATCTACCAGGTAAACATGCCAGGAGTTGCCATTGAGTAGAAATAAGTACTTTTTGTTGCAGGTTAGGACAGATAACATTAGAAATACCGAGATGTGTGAGACAGACATGGATGGTCTCCTGCCCTAGCAGACCTCATAGGGTATGGGGCTTAGAACAAGGAAATACCATTTATCATGTTGTTGTGCCACTGAGAGAAGAAGTACAGGATGCTATGAGAGTATCAAGAGGGGAAACCACCCACATTTAGAGGTTTAGAAAAGGTTTCCTACAGGAAGTGATAACTAATCCTAACTGATGTTTAGATGGGTTGTCAGGACAGACAGAGTAGGAAAGGGGGGGAAGAGCGTTCTAGGCAGAGGGAACCATATTTGCAAAAGTACAGAGGTGAGGAAAATGATTAAGAATTCAAAAGTTTTAGAAGAATTCCCGGATATCAAGGTTCTACTCCTAATTGGAACAAATGGAGATGGATACCAAATATAGGACTAGCACAGTAGAGAGATAAATTTTGTCTGGTAATGGGAGATGGTGTCAGTTTAAGGCCAGAGTGATGTCTATATCTGGAAGAAATGGATGTGCACATACCAGGCAGGAAATTTATTCTGGGCAGAGTAAGAAGAAGCAACCTTCCAAGAATATGGAGATGTGAAATTCTGTGGTATATTCAGGAAAGGACAAGCAGTTCAGTACCTACTGAAGTATGCCAAGTACTAGAGGATGGGAGTGATCAGTGGTTCTCAACCTTGACTGCACATAAGAATCATCTGGGGAGCTTCGTGAGGGTCAGAGGGACTCAGTTTTTCTGGTCTTAATCTTACCAGTTATGTTAGAAACACTGGATATGACGCTCTGATATACTTTTTGTTTTAATTGCCATGTGATTCCATTTTGTAGTCAGGGTTAAGAATCTCTATTTTGGAAAGTAGGCAGGGGCCCAATGATCTGCAGGTAATGAGGTCATTGCAGGTCATTGTGGGACTCAGATGAGTGAAAGATTTTCCAATTTTAACATATTACCAGAGGTAGAAAATGATAATAGGTTATATTTAATTTGTTAATATGTATTCTGTGGGTTTTATTTCTCTCCCCCTCCTTTGCATGTCTAGGTGAGGTTAAAAGACTCACTTGTCAGCTCTCTTCAGTTTTGTAAGGCAAAAGATGCTGAATTAGCTTGGATAGATGGTGTCTTAGATATGAGAGTTTCCAAAGTGGACACAGGGGTTATTTTAGAAGAAGGAGAACTAAAGGATGATGGAGAAGACTCAGAGATGCAAGTGGAAGCTCCCTCAGATTCTAGCGTTATAGCACAACAAAAGGCCATGAAAAGTCTGTTCGGAGATGATGAAAAAGAAACAGGTGAAGAAAGTGAGATCATTCCTACTTTGGAACCCTTGCCACCTCATGAGGTAAAAAAAGCATGTGCTTTTTTGATTTCTTCCTGAATTTGTCATCCTTCTAGTTTTCATGTCTTTTGGTTTTTTTCCCCCCTTCTAAAACTAAGTGGGTCTGTGGAACCTTTTATATTTTTAACCATTTAAAATATATGTCAGCTGGGGGCAGTGACTCACGCCTGTAATCCCAGCACTTTGGGAGGCTGAGGTGGGAGAATTGCTTGAGGCCAGGAGCTCTACATCAGCCTGATTATAGGGACACCCTGTCAGAAACCTAGTCGGCATGGTGGCATGCACCTGTAATCTCAGCTTAGAAGGCTGAGGCAGGAGGATTGCTTGAGCTCAGGAGTTCGAGACTACAGTGAGCCACAATTGTGCCACTGCATCTAGCCTATATGATAGAGTGAGACCCTGTCTTGAACATAAAATATGTCTCACATTTGGGCTGATTTTGGAGTTTTTAAAAAAGAGAACTTGTGACATGCTTCTGTGTGTATGTCTCTGTGTATATATTAATTCTATATAGCTAAGGAATGACATATCTTTAGCAAATCTTTTAAGGTACATAATTGTTTCATGATTTTTTTTTTTTGGTCTGGATTTTTAAATTTTAAGTTTGATGATTGTGAGGATCACCTGCCTGCTTCCAGTCAGGAGATTTATAGTTTTCTAAGAAAGTCATACTGTTTTTTTTTTGTTTTGTTTTGTTTTTTGAGATGGAGTCTCGCTCTGTTGCCCAGGATTGAGTGCAGTGGTGTGATCTTGTCTCACTGCAACCTCCGCCTCCCGGGTTCAAGCGATTCTCCTGCCTCAGCCTCCCAAGTAGCTGGGATTACAGGCATGAGCCACTGGGCCCGGCTAGTTTTTGTACTTTTAGTAGAAACGGGGTTTTGCCATGTTGGCCAGGCTGGTCTTGAACTCCTGACCTCAGGTGATCCACCCATCTCAGCCTCCCAAAGTGCTGGGATTACAGGCGTGAGCCAATGCACCCAGCCAATAGTCATACCTCCATTTTTTTATGTTATTCAGTTCAAATAACTTTTGGTTTTGATATAGTTAGAAATCTTTAAGTATAGATATAATTTAGTCTAGCATTTACATATTCTTGAGAGGTATCTAGTTAACTAGCAAGATTCTAGGTAATTAAACTTGGAAAAATATTAAAACTATGAATCCTACATGCATGTCAAGTGATGTCTTCAGCCCTACTATGAAATTAAGAATAGAGAGACAGCCTCTGTTGTTGGATTCCCTTCTAGTACAACCCTCAAAATTGGGAGGAGGAATAAGAATATTTTTTTCTTCTGTGCTAAAGCTAATGCTCTTCAAAGTAATGTCAAAGCAGAAAGCAGCAGCATTAGGCAAGAACCACTTTCGTTACTGATTGTAGAACCTATGGCATCCATTACATTTGCTCTGAGGAAGGAGGGACAGGGAAAATGGGATTGGGGAGGAAACGTCTTTTGAAGTAAGCAAATGACTGGGATCTAGAAAATGAATTTTTGGTTCAGTCCTGCCCATGGCACGCTAGTTGACCCCATTATGCAAGTGGGTGAGTGAAGAGCCTAACATTACCAAACGTCTCTGTTATGATGAGGCATGACTAACAAAACTGATTGTGAAACAGAAAATGTGAAGGGCTTTGTTAAATAATGTTAAATAATGGGGTAAAATTTAGAATAACAACTTGGAATGTGATTTACAGTCTTGAAATGATCTGTCAAAGGACTTCAGGGAATAATAGAAAATCTCTTAGAGATAATGTAGTATTTTACTTTATTCAGTACAGTTGTATGTCTGGTGTTTTACTTGAAGTTATTCTTTCCCCTTTGACCTTATCTAAGGTTCCTGGACATCAGTCAGTTTTTATGAATGAACCAAGGCTGTCAGACTTCAAGCAAGTTCTCTTACGGGAGGGGATTCAAGCTGAATTTGTAGGAGGTGTACTTGTTTGCAACAATCAAGTAGCAGTCCGCAGAGTAAGTGTGTTTTCAATAAGGGCTGAATTGAACACATACGTCTGATGTTTTGTCATTTTGAAATTCTGTAATTCTTGTTTGGTATTTTCACAAAACTGAAGATCAGTAATTTATATTCATGATCATGACCTCAAAGGCTTACAGAAGTCTTATTGACTTGAAGGCTTATGAAAGACTCTTGAAGAAATGATATATAATTTTATTGTAAATTTTAATTATTTGAATCTTCTGACATTTATGTCTATGTAAAATTCATGACTTCAATATTATATCCATATGCTGTGAATCAGAGCAACCCATGTCCTGACCAATCATAAAGTAATCTATTTCATATATTTCGGTTATTATGTCTGCATATTAATGAATAGAAAATGTACTAAAGAATTTTTTTTATTTGGTTTCTAGACGGAAACTGGACGCATTGGATTAGAAGGCTGCCTTTGTCAAGATTTTTATAGGATAAGAGACCTTTTATATGAACAATATGCCATTGTATAAAGGACATGATGTCAAGAAGTATCTGCTTGACCTTTCTAAGAAAAAGGGATTCTTATCTTACTCTGAGCTTTTGATGTTTTGTTTTGTAACATACAAAAAGAATCTGCCAGAAAAACTTACATGTATCAGATTTTTAAAAATATAAATAGAGAACATTTTGCAAATGCTCAAATGAGCATTCTATCTTTTGGCTTTCAGAGTGATAGAGCTCCTAACAGGTGTACAGGCCCAAGAGTTGAAGGTGATTGGTTTTCTTTACAGACTCCTTGTTCTCTAGAAGGGCTTTTTACTTGAATAAAACAATGCAACTTAGCAAACCAATTTATGGCCTTAGAGAAACATTTTTGCATGAGTTCTTACAAACTGTTTGTTATATTTTCTGGAATGATAAGTGAGAATTATTTAGAAAAGACATGCTCCAAAAAAAAAACAAAACTGATAAAACAGTTTTTCGAAACTTACTTTTAAAAGCATACGTGCTATGACTCTCTCCAGTTTGAATATGCAATTGTTTTCACAGGCAGGATGTCTGTTTTCTGCCTGTATTTCCCAGTGATTTACTCTAGGGTAAGGTAGTACACATTTGGTTCAGAAATTAATTTTTATTTCTCCTATATCTTGTTTTATCAAGATTTTGTTGTGGCATTTCAATGTAAATTATAACACCATCATTTGAGTATACATAATTCAAAAGAACTACTTGATGCAGTATAGTCTTAAGGGTTCTGCATACATTTTAGAAACATCTTAGCCGTAAGTTAGGTCCTGTGTTAAACTGTTTAGTGCTCTGTTTTTAAGAAAACAAATGTTGAACCTCACACTTTTATGTGGTGACAGTGTAATTTAATTAAAAGGTGTAAATGTTTTCATCTCTTAGGCTTGCTGTCTCCTAAGGTCACCCAAGCAGTGGTTGGATTTTATACACATTACTACTAAAATAATACTGAAGTTGGATAAGGTTATCCTTTCTGTATTTGCGTCTTTCTTGTGACTAACCACCCTGATATAGTATTAACCACTGTGTTCAAGAGTAAAAACAATATATGCAATTTTCATTGAACTTAAAGAGTGAAAACCATGTAAACTATTGAAACTATTGTAATCCATTAATGCTTTTTTAGAATGGCAGACCTTGATGTTTATTTCTCAAATGGTTAAGCCCTCTTCTTTACTCTTAATTTTTTTTTGAGACAGAGTCACCCAGGCTGGAGTGCAGTGGTGAGATTTTGGCTCACTATAACCTCTTCCTCCAGGGTTCAAGTGATTCTCCCACCTCAGCCTCCCAAGTAGCTGGGACTACGGGCACATGCCACTGCACCTGGCTAATTTTTATATTTTTGGTAGAGACAGGGTTTCACCATGTTGGCCAGGCTGGTCTCAAACTCCTGACCTCAAGCGATCCACCCACCTAGGCCTCCCAAAGTGCTGGGATTACAGGCATGAATCACCACAACTAGCCTACCCTTAGATTTTTGGAAGGATCGATCTTATTTAACTATGTGTGGAACAACCCAGTAATATCAGACTCGAATTACTATTTCATTCTATTTCAAATGCTTATAAAGCTACTATTGTAGATTATAGTGTTAATGCAAAGTTTACAGACTTTTGATATGGAAAACCAGATAAAACAATGTTACAAAAGGCAAATATAAAGAGTATGTTTTCTTTTTAGTGCTTTGGAAAAATTTCACTTAAACTCTTATTACTGTATAGATTAAGCCCTATAATGCTATTTATATTCCAGGGGAACGAAAATCTGAATTTGTTTTATGATTTAAAGCATCTGGTTTGCATATTGTATTGTAATACTGATACAGTTTGGCTGTGTCCCCACCAAATTGAATTGTGTTAATAGTTCCCATAATCCCTACGTGTTGTGGGAGGGACCCAGTGGGCAGTAATTTAATCATGGTGGTGGTTACCCTCATGCTGTTCTTGTGATGGTGAGTTCTCATGAGATCTGATGGGTGTTTTTTTTTGTTTTGTTTTTTGTTTTTTGAGATGGAGTTTTGCTCTTGTTGCCCAGACTGGAGTGCAATGGCACACGATCTCGGCTCACCGCAACCTCTGCCTCCTGGGTTCAAGCGATTCTCCTGCCTCAGCATCTCGAGTAGCTGGGATTACAGGCATGCACCACCACGCCCAGCTAATTTTGTATTTTTAGTAGAGACGGGGTTTCTCCATGTTGGTTAGGCTGGCCTCAAACTCCCGACCTCAGGTGATCCGCCCGCCTGGGCCTCCCAAAGTGCTGGGATTACAGGCGTGAGCCACTGCTCCTGGCCCAAGATCTGATGGTTTTGTAAGGGAATTTTCCCCCTTTGCTTGGCACTTCTTCCTGCTGCCATGTGAAGAAGGATGTGTTTGCTTCCCCTTCCACCATGATTGTAAGTTTCATGAGGCCTCCCCAGCCTGTGGGACTGTGAGTCAATTAAACGTGTTTACTTTATAAATTACCCAGTCTCAGGCAATTCTTTATAGCAGTGTGAGAACAGACTAATATGAATACCAATACTGAAAAATTGTTTCTTGCCTCACCTTGTCCTATGAACAGGAATTAAATTTTAAAGTATTGCCTTAAGATGGCTGTGCTAAATAATAATCATTGCAAGAGCAATACTTTTACCTGTTTCTAGATGACAATATTACTAAAATTTCTCAAATGAAGACTTTGTTTTAGCTTCAATTACTTCAGAAAATATAAATTTTAAAGATGACTATGAGATAAATCATGAACTCAGTGGAATTTTCAGATGAGATGGGGCGCGTTCAGGGTGGTATGACTGTAGACGGAATTTTCAGATCTTTGTTATTTAGAAGCAAGTATAGGTATAACGTGGACTATCAACTGATATCTGCAAATAATTTGGTTAAAATGAAATTTGATTGTAGTATTTGTTGCTGTAGGATTATAAATGTCAAATATCATTGTAAACATTTCTATATTTTTAGAAATATCTTGGGTGGCCTGAAACAGAAGTGAGGAAATCAATTTTTTAAGGTGAGCCATTTGGCTTTTTTAAAAAATTGAGATTCAACTTACATACCATAAAGTTCACTCTTCTAAAGTGTACAATTCATTGGTGTTAGTATATTTACAGAGTTGTACAACTATTACCACTATATAATCCCAGAACACTTTCATCACTCCAAAAAGAAACACCATACCCACTACCAGTCACTCCTCATGCCCCCTTCCTATGACCCCTGGCAGCCATTAATCTACTTTCTGTCTCCTTGAATTTGGATTTTCTGGACACTTCATAAAAATTGAATAATACAATATATGAACTTTTATGTTTGACTTCTTTCACTTAGCATAATGTTTTCAGAGTGCATCACTGTTGTAACATGTATCAGTACCCTTTTTGTGACTGAATATTATTCCACCGAATGGATATACCACATTTTACTTATCCATTCAACCGTTGATGTACATTTGAGTTGATTCCAAATTTTGGCTATTAAGAATGCTGCTCTGAACATTCATGTGCAAGTTTTTTTTTTTTTGTATGTACATATGTTTTCAATTTTCTTGGATATATATCTAAGAATTAGAATTGCTGGATCATACAGTAATTCTGCTTAACCTTTTGAGGAGCTGCCAGGCTGTTTTCCAAAGTGGCTACAACATTTTGCATTTCCACCAGCATGTGTTTGAGGGTTCCATTTTCTCCTCATTCTTGACAACATTTATTACTCCCTTTTTAAATTTTAGTCATCATAGTGTGGGTGAAGAAGTGTCTCACTGAGGTTTTGATTTGCATTTCCTTAATGACTGATGATGTGGAGCCTCTTTCCATGTGTTTATTGACTTTTTATATATTTTGGAGTAATATCTGTTCATATCCTTTGTCCATTTTCAATTTGTTTATGTTCATATCCTTTGTCCATTTTCAATTTGTTTATCTTTACTGTTGAGATGTAAGAGTTTTTTTATATATTTTCTGGATACTAAACCATTATATATTGATTTGCAAGTATTTTATTCCATTCTGTGGCTTGTCTTTTCACTTTCTTCGTAGTGTAGTTTGAAGCACAAAAGTTTTTAATTTTGATAAAGTCCAGTTTGTTTTTTTCCCTTCAGTTCTTTGTGCTTGGTTTTATATCTTTTTTTTTTTTTTTTTTTTTTTTTGAGATGGAGTCTTGCTTTGTCACCCAGGCTGGAGTGCAGTGGCGCGGTCTCAGCTCACTGCAACCTCTGCCTCCCAGATTAAAGGGATTCTCCTGCCTCAGCCTCCTGAGTACTGGGATTACAGGCACCCACCACCATGCCTGGCTAAATTTTTGTATTTTTAGTAAAGACATGGTTTTGCCATGTTGGCCAGGCTGGTCCTGAACTCCTAACCTCAAGTGATCCACCAACCTTGGCCCCCAAAAGTGCTGAGATTACAGGTGTGAGCCACCTTGCCTGGCCTTGGTTTTATATCTTAAAAGCTATTCCTTCATTCAAAGTCACGAAGGTTTACACTTAATTTTTTTCTATCTAAAAAACCATTGCTTCATCTAAAGTCATGAAGATTTACACTCTTTTTTTTTCTAACAGTTTTACAGTTTAGGCTCTTATCATTAGGTCTTTCATTTATTTTGAATTATTATCATTATTATTATTTTCTTTTTGAGGCAGGGTCTCACTCTGTCACGCAGGCTTGTGTGCATTGGTGCAATCACAGCTCACTGCAGCTTCAGCCTTCTGGCCTCAAGCAGTCCTCCCACCTCAGCCTCCCAAGTAGCTGAGATTACAAGTGTGTGCCACCATGCCTGACTAATTTTTAAAATTTTTTTGTGAAGACAGTTTCTCACTCTGTTGCCCAAGCTGGTCATCTCAAACTTCCAGACTCAAACAATACTCCCACTTTGGCTGCCCAAAGTGCTGGGATTACAGGCATGAGTCACCATTCCTGGCATTAATTTTTGTATATGGTGTGAGGTAGGGGTCCAGTTTCATTTTTTTGCATGTGGATATCCAGTTGTCCCAGCATCATTTGTTGAAAAGACTATTTCTTCATTGATTTTTTTCTGCCACCCCTGTTTAAAATCAGTTGCCCATGAGTGTATGGGTTTGTTCCTGGACTTGAAATTATGTTTCATTGATCTATATATCTATGCTAGTACCACATGTCTTCATTACTGTAGCTTTGTAGTAACTTTTGAAATTGGGGAAGTGTGAGTTCCCCAACTTTAGTTCTCCTTCAGGATTGTTTTGGCTATTCTGGGTCTCTTGCATTTTCATGTGAGTTTAGATTCTGCTTATCGATTTCTTTTTTTTCTTTTTTTTTTTTTTTGAGATAGCATCTTGCTTTGTCACCCAGGCTGGAGTGCTATGGCTCAATCTCAGCTCACTGCAACCTCCGCCTCCTGGGTTCGAGAGATTCTCCTGCCTCAGCCTCCAGAGTAGTTAGGACTACAGGCGCGTGCCACCATGCCAGGCTAATTTTTGTATTTTTAATAGAGATGAGGTTTCATCATGCTGACCAGGCTGGTCTCGAACTCCTGACATCAAGTAACCCGGCTGCCTCAGCCTCCCAAAGTGCTGGGATTACAGTCGTGAGCCACCATACTCAGCCTAAGATTCAGCTTACCAATTTCTGCAAAAAAGCCCACTCATTTTTAATAGGAGGTAAAAAGCAGTTGACATTTATAACTTAGAGTCTTTTAATGTTAGTGCTGAAAGGGACTAGAGAGCTCATCTAATTCAACCCACTTATTTTAGTATTGAATGAATGACCCTGTACAAGGAAAGGGATTTGCTTGAGATCCACACAGCTGTTTAAAGGCAGAGTTGGGATTGGAACCAAGTCTTAGAGAATCCATTGTTGCTTCTACACTGCATTATTGCTTTGGTTCCCTAGTGTACATTCACTTTGCTTAGGAGTGATATGTTCAGTTTATCTTCTCTAAGAATGGCAGCTGTTATTTAGGACAGTGGCATGCTGAGAAATAGATTGATTTCTATTCTATACTGTGTCCAGTAAAGGTCGGGGGAGAAAGAGTAAATCTTATCTTCTTCTGTACTTTTCTTTGATTAATGTAAGAGTCTAGAGTTTTATCAGAAGATTATTGTCCTTTAAAATATTGATGGACTGATTATCACTTAAAGGGTATAAACAGTGGGTAGTAATTCAGTGATTGAGAGGTTAATTGCAGGTTTTTTTTTTTTTTTTTTCTGGTAACCATAGAATGAATGTAGAATGAATTTGGATTCAATAATGGGAACTAAGGTCAGGCGTGGTGGCTCACACCTGTAATCCCAGCACTTTGGGAGGCCGAGGCGGGTGGATCATCTGAGGTCAGGAGTTCCAGACCAGCCTGGCCAACATGGTGAAACCTCATCTCTACTAAAATTACGAAAAATTAGTCAGGTGTGGTGACGGGTGCCTATAATCCCAGCTACTTGGGAGGCTGAGGCAGTAGAATCGCTTGAACCCGGGATGCGGAAGTTGCAGTGAGCCAAGATCACGCCACTGTACTCCATCTTGGGCGACAGAGCGCAACTCTGTCTCCAAAAAAAAAAAAAAAAAAGGGCAGGGGGAGCGGCTAGAGAAGGAACATTCAAATCTTCCCACGTGGGCAAGTTCCAAGCAAATGTTTATTTTTTTACCTCCTCTTTGGTTTTTGTCTCACTTGAAGCACTTTGTGTTTATGGGAAAATACCAAAAATTACCAAAATTTAAAAACCCAGGGCTTTGCTGGAAGTGAGGGTATCTTCTTGGCTTTTCCCTTTTCCTCCCCACCACTATACGCACATGCACACACAGCTCTATTTTTTGGTGCTTTTCGTTCATTATTCACTCCATTTCATTTTAGCTCTTGAAGTCAAAATGGGATTCCAAAGAGCAAAATAGAAGTTTGGAGAGTTTGAAATCTCTCCTCGTGGCTGGACGCCGTGGCTCACACCTGTGATCCCAGCACTTTGGGAGGCCAAGGCAGGCATACTGCTTGAACTCAGGAGTTCAAGACCAGCCTGGGGAACATGGTAAAACCCTGTCTCTACAAAAAATAGAAAAATTAGCTGGGCATGGTGGCTGTAGTCCCAGCTATTTGGGAGGCTGAGGTGGGAGGATCACTTGAGCCTGGGGAGGTTGAGACTGCACTGAGTCTTGAATGAATGAATCCATCTCTCTTTCTCTCTCCATATAGTCAAAGAGAACCAAAAATGTATGTGCTTTTTTTGTGAAATTGTTAAGGATTCCATGATCCTACTAAAATTTTTGATAATGATAATTTCAAGTGGAGAATATATAAAGGACTCGTGAGGCCTTCCTACCTCATTTTCTGAGGTTATGTTGACTTTAATATCCAATGTATCATAGGTGTTTTCTTTTTTCTCTGACAATTGTTATGTTAAAAACAAAAAGAAGCACATACTGTACAGTCAAAACTATCAGACGTAACTCTGTGGGAAACTTTATTCCAAGGGTGCTGCCACTGCCCTTGTTTTAAATATTTTTGGAACTTCATTTCTCTTCAGGTCTATTTAATAAGCTTGTTAGGAATATTGTAAATTATTTTAGAAACACATTGTGGTCTCAGCCTCATGTGGCATTGCCACTTGTTACTACATGACCCCCCCACACCCCCTAAAAAAGAAAAAGGACTTTAAAAACCCTCTCAGGACAAACATTTGCTACCGTGGTTGATTTTTTAATTTTACATTAACTATTTAATATCAGACTATAACTAAAATACAAGTAGTGGAATTATACTTTTATAAAGTATCAAATTATGTAGATGATGACGAAGTTATAAGGTTACTATAATTTCCAACTTCACCCATAGGTCATGGTATAGTTGAAATTTCATATTTAAATATCAAAACATAAATGTCTAAAGAGATTGTGTAAATTCTTTATCAGTTATAAGGAAAAACCAAATTCAAATTCTTAAGGTTTTTCTTATATGTGATTTTTTTTTTTTTTTTTTTTTTGAGACAAACTTGCAGGGAGAGAATTATGTGGCATGAGGAGGATTGAGAATGTTGTTCATTTTATCTAATTACTGCCTATTAAGAAAAGCTTCACATTTATTTCAGCTATTCTATTGAATACTTTTACCTAAGATAATGAAACCGTTAAGTAGAGATTTTTCTAATAGTATAAAAATCAGTGTAGGCCCAGCACAGTGGTTCACACCTGTAATCCCAGCACCTTGGGAGGCTAAAGGCAGGAGGATTGCTTGAGCTCAGGAGTTTGAGACCAACCTGGGCAACATAGTGAGAACTCATCTCTATTAAAAATCAGAAAAATTGGCCAGGTGTGGTGGCTCATGCCTGTAGTCCCAGTTACTCAGGAGGCTGAGGCAGGAGGATCCCTTGAGATTGAGGCTTCAGTGAGCTAATGATCGCGCCACTGCACTCCAGCCTGGGTGACAGAGTGAGACCCTGTCTCAAAAACAACAAAAATCTCAGTGTGACAAATTCCTAACAGCTCAAATACTACTTGTCTTATTTGTTAACTATTTTGAAATAATTTTAAACTTACAGAAAAGTAGAATAGTTCAAAAGATCCTGTATATCCTTCCCCTAGATTCTTCTATTGTTAACATCTTGCCATATTTTCCATACCACTCTCTAGCTATGTATTCACATTATTTTTTGAACTGTTTGTTACTAAGTTGCAATTGTGATGTCCCATTAGTACTAAATACTTAAGTGTATACTTTTTAAAAACAAGGACACTCCTACATAACCACAGTACTTAAAATCAGGAAACCAGCATTGATAAAATTCTACCATTTGATCCACGAACCCCATTCAAATGTTGCCATTTACTCCAAAAATATCCTTACAATAACCCTTTCCTTTTTTGGTCCACAGTCCAATCAGGATGAAGCACGCATTTAGTTACATTTTCCCTTTAGTCTTCCTCAATCTGGAGCGGTTCCTTGGTTTTTCCTTTTTTGTGACCTTGACATTTTTGAAGAATGCAGGCCAGGTACTTTGTAGAATGATGTGCACTTTGGGTTTGTCTGATATTTCCTCAAGATTAGATTCAGGTTGTGAATTTTTGGCAGGAATACCAGAGAGGTGATGCTGTCTTCTTCTCTGCATTGTATCAGGAGGCACATCATGTCAATTTTTTCCATTACTGGTGATGTTAATTTTTAACAGTTGGTTACGATGTTTTCAAGATTTCTCCACTGTTAGTATTTTCTCCACTTGTATTTGTTTTTTGGTATAAACTTAAAAAGTACAGCATGATGTTTTGGTATATGTATCCATAGTGAAATGATTATTACAGGTATTAATTAATGAGGAATTACGTATTTTGTGGGTAGCTATTTTGAGACTCTCAATATCCTATTTCTCAAAATTTTACCCTTTACTTTTAGCATCCATTGATGATCCTTGTCTGGATCAGTTATTGCCAAATGGTAGTTTTCTTTTCTTTTCTTTTCTTTTGAGACAGTGTCTTGCTCTGTTGCCCAGGCTACAGTGCAGTGATGAGATCATAGCCCACTGCAGCCTCAAACTCCTGGGCTCATGCCATTTTCCCCTCAGCTTTTGGAGTTAGCTGGGACTACAGGCATGCATCACCACACCCAGATTATTTTTAAAGTTTTTGTAGAAACGGGGTCTCTTCTTCCCCATTTATTCAATATTTATATCAGTATAGAACATGGGTCCCTGTTTTATCATCTGTAAGTTATGATTTATTTTGATGCCCCCATTGTCCAAGATTTGACTAGCGAGAGCACTTTCCAGCTAGCTCCTGTGTCCTTTGGACATACCCCATGGTTCATTGAGCACTTCCTTGCTTTCTGGCACCACAAGATGTTCCAGGCTCGTCTTCTATTTTCCCTACCCCGCTCCTGACATCAGCCATTTCTCCAAAGAGTCCTGGTTCATATTAGTGGAGAATGGTATTTAAAACCAAGATCCGGATGCTAAAGGCTGTGCTCATTGCCCCTGTGCTAGCATTGCCACTGTGCGTTCTCCCAGTGGACAAATTTGGAAATATATGCGTCTATGCTTGTTACCTCATCCATCCATATATATATTAAAAACAAGTACACACTGATACCTATTTCACATCTACTCCACAGAGTTTATTCTAGTCTTCTCCCTTTCCACAATTGTATCTTCTCCACCCTATATTTAAAAACTGGACTTCCAGAGTCTCCAATACATTGGCTTATTTGTTCATTTTCCCTGTGATTAACCAACCTCCTGACCACGTGGCTGGCTCCTTTGCTCCATCTCTGCCCCTCACCCCCTACCGTACATCACTGCTGTGAGGACCAAGTTTCCTCCCTTTCCTCGATCCATGACAGCACCTGCCAGTTGAACCCCACAGTGGGAATTTTAAAGAAGGCACTTTTGGCTCAGATGGCAGTGCCAAAGCAGGCATTCCAATTCACATGGTGCTCTAGCAATTGTGAAATAAACAGATTCTGAAGGTCTGTCCTGGACTGTGTATAGTCTTTGGGTTTTTGTCTTGCTTATTTTGTTAAAATGTTTTCCTGATGACTTTCTATTCTATAGTAAAGCCTTATACATAATGTTCAAGCAGGCGTCAGACAAAATAATGATCATTGTGGAGAGGAGTTAGGAAGGAAAAGATGAAAAGGAAGAAGGCGTAAACCCAATATTGAGAGGAGAAATGGGTACGGCAGGAGTAGCCGTCTGAATCCGAAATGCTGTCTGAGCCAGGACACATTCACAGTTAGAGATCTTAAGTAATGTGTTAATATTATTTTATAACTGTCCTTGCAAAAACAAAACAAAACTGCCTGTCAGTTCATTTGGATCATCCACCCACTTAAGTTTTAGGAGTGTCAGGACCAAGTTAGCTGTATTGAGTGCTGAGGTGTTCTTTTATTAAACAGTCAGCTATTCAATCTTAATAATTTGTAGTGGGAGGAATAATATGCCCCTGGACAAATAATTCCTTGGAAAGCTCAGGTTGGAGTCCAGTTACGTAACAACTGTGGGCAACCTGCATAATAATCATTCGAACTTATCTCTACCTGTGGGAAAATGGAGTCTTTGGCCATAATTATTTCCATTTCAGAGATTTGGTTCACCTAATGGGAATAATTGCTCAAGTGCCCTTTTTCTAAAAAATAACTGAGCACTTAGCAGTAGTAGGTGTCACGGAGTATTTTCTACCTACCAAATGCTGTGGTAAGCACTTCACATGCATTGTCTTATTTAATCATGACAGTTGTGGGCAGTTTGGGTACTGTTATTTCCACTTACAGATGAGGAAACTGAGGCTTATAGTCGTTGGTAGTCCTCCACTTCTCACACATGATACGCATTACAGTGTGTAGTGGTTTTGACATATCAGTTCTTCAGTTTTGAGCAAAAGAAACGATCTCTAGCTAACTTAGGAAAAAAGGGTTTATTGGGACAGTAACCACAGGTAGCTCTTTGGATCCAGGCAGCAGGCCCAATAGTCTTTTCTTTGAGACACAGTCTCACTCTCTTGTCCAGGCGGGAATGCAGTGGCACAAACATGGCTCACTGCAGCCTCAACCTCCTGGACTCAAGTGATCCTCTCACCTTAGCCTGTCGAGTAGCTGGGACTACAAGCATGTACCACCATGCTCAGCTAATATATATATATATATACATATATATATACGTATATATATATGTATATATATATACGTATATATATATGTATATATATACGTATATATATATATACACATATGTATATATATATATGTGTATATATATATATATATATATATATTTTTTTTTTTTTTTTTTGAGATAGAGTCTCACTCTGTTGCCCAGGCCGGAGTGCAGTGGCACCAATCTTGGTGCACTGCAACTCCCGCCTCCTGGGTTCAAGCGATTCTTCTGCCTCAGCCTCCCGAGTAGCTGGGACTACAAGTGTGCACCACCATGCCCTGCTAATTTTTGTATTTTTAGTATTTTAGTAGAGATGGGGTTTCGCCATGTTGGCCAGACTGGTCTTGAACTCCTGACCTCAGTTGATCCACTGTGCCTGGCCTAATTGTATTTTTTGTAGAGACTGAGTCTCACCATGTGGCCCAGTTGGTCTCACACTCCTGGGCTGAGTGATCCTGCTGCCTCGGCCTCTCAGTGTGCTGGGTTACTGGTGTGAGCCACTGGGGCCTCCCCCAGTAGGCTTTCAAGGCATTCCTGAGGGAATGAATCAGGTCCCTCCATGTATAATGTCACGAGGGAAATCCAGCCTGGCTTTTGTCATGGCTAGAGAGATGAACATCCTGATTGTTAGTCTTACCAGGATTAGACACAGATAGGGGGACTCTAAGAATTTAAGGATCTATTACCAAAAGGTGGAAGAATGGATGCTGGGAGGCAAAAAATAAATACTAACTCTGTAGATGTAGTCCTAAGAGTGCAGGCTCTGGAGTCAGGGGCTTCAAATGCCAGGGCCACCACTTTCTGTGTGGATCAGGCCAGTCACTTTATATCTTAGCATGTCGAATATATGGGGATGGTCATCATAGCACTTCCTAGGGTCATGTGAGGACTAAATGATGTGAACCGTGCAAAGTAGTAGAGTGTGGCACACAGCACCTTAATATATGTTAACAATTATTAATTGCCTCATTCTGTCTTTAGTACATCTCCTAAGGCTAGGTATCATCTCCATTTTTGCAATTTAAAGAAGCTTGCTCTTGGGGCAGGGGGTCCAAGTGGCTTTTTCAGTCACACAGCTGACTACTGGTGAATCAGTACCTTTACCATGCTATGTTACCTACCAATAAGTGCTCTAGTATTTATCCTTTTAGCTTATAGATAAGAATCCTTTAAGATAACTTCCAATGTATTATAATTTCCTCTAGATAACAGTGCAATTTATACCATATGACCTAATAGAGGTCTAACACATTTTTATCTTTAGACATTTTCTAAGACAGTTTTTTTTTTTGAGATAGAATCTTGCTATGTTGCCCAGGCTGGAGTGCAGTGGCACAATTTTGGCTCAGTGCAACCTCCACCTCCTGGGTTCAAACGATTCTCGTGCCTCAGCCTCCCGAGTAGCTGGGATTACAGGCACCCGCCACCACACCCAGCTAATTTTTTGTAGTTTTAGTGGAGATGGGGTTTCACTGTGCTGGCCAGACTGGTCTCGAACTCCTGACCTCAGGTGATCCACCTGCCTCAGCCTCCCAAACTGCTGGGATTACAGGTGTGAGCCAACATGCCTGGCCCTAAGACAATTTAAATACAGCAAACTTTCTGGTTTGGTCAATGTGGTAATGCATGAATCTAGAGATACTGAATCTTATCTTTACTGCTGATTTTATGCTATTTCCCATAGAATAGCAGAAAACAAGTATCCCTTAGTCAAAAATAAGAAAATCCACAGGCTGTATGAGAATCTTATAACATGTTTATCCAGGAATGCTTATATGTTGGTTCCAAAGAGTCATTGAACAATTTCTCATAAAATCTTTGGATAAGAGGGAGAGATGAGGGTTGCGTAGGGATTTAATGAAGTGGGTGTCTAACCCTTCCAAAGCTGTTTTCAAAGGTTGCTCATTGATGGATCTATGCTGGTGTGAAATCACAGTTTCTGCCCTCATTTTACCTTATGTGACATTTTAATAAATTTCTGATTTGAGGATATTGGTGGCAGGTTAAGAAAATTTGCAAGTGACCTGCCACTGGAAGAAGTAGCTCTTGTATGAGAAGACAAAGTTGGTACCAAAAGGGATCCTGACAAATTTGGACAATGGGCTAAACCTAATAAAATGAAATGTCACCTGTCTTTCTAAACCAATGGTACAAAATAATGGAGAGATAAAGTCTAGAATTTTAGGTTTTACAAAAAAGGTTTTGTTGGACTATAAGCTGACTATAAAGATAGCAGCCGAAAAAGGTAAAGGACTTAGGGCCACATTACTAAGAAACGAACAGACTCTGTAATTGCTAATACACTGTTTAAAATAAAGGTCGTGGTGGTGCTGCTTCATTCTACTGATAAGAAAGACCCTGAATAAAGCCCTTCCTTCAGGAAACACTCTTCCTTTATTTTACTTTCCACTCTAACGAGTAGTAAATGCACATTATGGAAAATTTAGAAGGCATAGAAAAACAAACAGGAAAGTGCCACTAAATGTAGTACTTTTATCATTTTGTTGTATCTCCATCTTTTTTTCTGCGAAATGTTTATATAATATGTATATAATTTTGTATCATGTCTTTAAAAAAATCTTCCATGTTTATAAACATTTTTTGTCTTTAAAGCATCTTTTAATGGCTGCAAATACTCCATCATGTGGCTATATCGTTATTTATTCAGTTCTCTTCAATTTTTGGATGGTTTCCAATTTTTTCTCTGTAATCTGAAATGCAGACATTTGTGAATAAAATTATGCTTCATGGTGTATACTAGCAAATCATTGCAAATAGGGTAAATCCCACTTCTTTTTCTTTTTCTTTTTTCTTTTTTTTTTTTGAGATAGGGTCTCACTCTGTTATCCAGACTGGAGTGCAGTGGCTCAATCTGGGCTCACTGCAACCTCTACCTCCCGTGCTCAAGTGATCCTCCCACTTCAGCCTCCTGGGTAGCTGGGACTATAGGTGTGCATCACCAAGACTGGCTGATTTTTGTATTTATTTATTTTTTTTTAGAGATGGAGTTTTGCCATGTTGCCCAAGCTGGTCTCGAACTCCTGGGCTCAAGCGATCTGCCCACCTCAGCCTCCCAAAGTGCTGGGATTATAAGTGTGAGCCACTGTGCCCAGCCCCTGAGTCCCACTTTTTAGGAACATTAATAACGGACTTAGGCCCAGAGGGGAGAAACTAGCTTGTTGAAGGACCTGGAAACAATAACAAATAGGAAGTAAGGGTATTTGATTTAGGTTGGAGTAGGCAGTAGGGTTCATTTTTGGAAGAGAGAGAACCTTATGAAGGAATGAGCTCAGGGTCACTAAAAGCATCCACGAAGCTGATCAGGTAAATTGCAGCATTCCTTCATGCCCAGTCATGCCCTGGCTTTGTGTGTTCTACATGTAGTAAACTCTCTTTCTTTGGGAAAGAGGAGGTAAGTCTTCAACATTTACCAACTAAATGAGAGCATCAGTAGTCTACCACCGTCATCCCCAAATACATCACTGCTTGAAGAATTTGCTTCCTGTGCCAGCATCTTATATGTTAATTATCTCCATTTGCCTTTCCTCCTCCTATTTTTTAAATAAGGTTTCTTTCTCTCTCTCATAAAACTTATGAGACCATATTAGACCCTGATCAGCCGGGGAAAGACAGAACAAGGTTTTAAAAGATTTGTTAGAACTGTCACTTTCCTCATTACCTTATTGCTAATTATTATTACTATTTTTTGAGAGAGCATTTCGCTCTTGTCACCCAGGCTGGAAGGCAACAGCACTATCTTGGCTCACTGCAACCTCCGCCTCCCAAGTTCAAGCTATTCTCCTATCTCAGCCTCCTGAGTAGTTGGGATTATAGGTGTCTGCCATGATGCCCAGCTAATTTTTGTGTTTTCAGTAGAGACGGGGTTTTGCCATGTTGGCCAGGCTGGTCTCAAACTCCTGACCTCAGGTGATCTGACTGCCTCAGGCTCCCAAAGTGCTGGGATAACAGGTGTGAGCCACCGCACCCAGCCCTAATTATTATTTAATATGTTTCACAATGGGAACAAGCAGGGCTGTTGTGGAACTATCCAAAACTCACCCATAGGCTTTAGCCTCAAGCAGACATCCCAAGAAATGCCAGTGCTCACGTTTTGGGTGAATTCTTCATTCTATAACTTAGGTTTCCTTGGATGTGAGGCCAGTGTCAGCTTAGTTAGCTCTGGAGTGCTCTCAAAGGATTAACTTCTACTGGCAATTCCATGGAAATCAAAGGACAGCAAATGCATTGTAAGCCATGTGATAGGGCACGTTATACACTCTTTAATACGCTAGGCCCAGTGTTTCCATTTAGTTGCTGGCCTAGACTGAAGAGCACTATTACTGAGCACTTACTATGCATCATATACTTACCATCCATTACTTTGGTTTAATCCTTTGCTAGTAGCCCATGCCAGATCTAACCAGTTATCCCCACTATACAGATGAGTAAGTGAAGACCCAGAGAGGCTGAGCATTTCTCTGGGTATCAATCACTAGTAAATAAGAGCCATAGCCAGGATATGGATTCGAATATTTGTGTATTCCAAAGTTCACACTCTTGGGCTATGATAGTTAAGGTTTTCAAGGGAGTAACTACAATTGTAGACCTAATGTGGCAATAAATAGGCATTCAAAAAAGAGGAATCATTTGCATAGATTGAAAGGAGACTCATAAAACAAGACGAGTGTATTTCCTATACTTCTGAAAAGGAAACCTCCATGCTTCTCTGGTCGTTGGATTGAGAATTCAGGATCTTTTTATGTCTAGGGCTTTGACTTGCTTTTCCTCACCACCCTTTCAAAATAGAAACAATGGTCACCTTAGTTAAAGCTGGGGTTTAATCCAGAATTGCATGGTGTTTTCTTTGTTCTAAATGCTTTCACAGCGTGATGCTGCTCTACCTGTCCCGCTTCTGGAGCATTTTTCTATTGCTGTTAGAGCTACTCCAGACAGATGTAAAATTTTGAGATCTCTGCCTTTGAAATAAAGTAGGGAAAGGACTAGTGCCAAATGCGAATTCAGAAACCAAGGAAACTTCCAGACTCAGCAAGGGGAGATGTACAAAACAATTAGTAGTGGGGTATTTGGAGTTGCTAACCTCAGCGTCCATTCTAATTCCCTTTCTGACTGTGAAGGCGTCAAAATAGCTAAGGAAGATAGGAAACCTAACATTTGGGCTTATTATATGGCAGATGCAGGGCTAGGCACATTATTACGGCATTGTTTGCAATAGCAAGCCCAACTACATTCATAAATAGGGGAGTAGTTGAGCTGATAATGTATATCTATATGCAGGATATCTAACACATTAAAAATAATTTAGATTGAGAGATGGATATTGCATACTAATCTGGAAAGATGTTTATATTAAAATGACAGTAAGTTGCAGAATAACATATTTTCTTTTTTCTTTTTCTTTTTCTTTTTTTTTTGAGACAGGGTCTCACTCTGTCACCCAAACTGGAGTGCAGTGGTGTGATCTCGGCTCACTGCAACCTCCACCTCCCAGGCTCAAGCGATTCTCTGGCCTCAGCCTCCCGAGTAGCTGGGATTACAGGTACATGCCACTACTGCCTGGCTAATTTTTATATTTTTAGTAGAGACAGGGTTTCACCATGTTGGCCAGGCTGGTCTTGACAGAGTAATATATTTTCTAAAGATGTGTGTGAGGCTGGGTGCAGTGGCTCATATTTGTAATCCCAAAACTTTGGGAGGCCCAGGTGGGAGGGTCACTTGAGGACAGGAATTCAATACCAGCCTGAGCAACAAAGTGAGATGCCCATCTCAGAAAGAAAGAGAGAAAGGGAGAAAGGAAGGAAAGAAGGAAGGAAGGAAAGGAAGGAAGGGGAGGAGGGAAGGAAGGAAGGGGAGGAGGGAAGGAAGGAAGGGGAGGAGGGAAGGAAAGAAGGAAGGGGAGGAGGGAAGGAAGGAAGGAAGGGGAGGAGGGAAGGAAAGAAGGAAGGGGAGGAGGGAAGGAAGGAAGGAAGGGGAGGAGGGAAGGAAGGAAAGGGAGGAGGGAAGGAAGGAAGGGGAGGAGGGAAGGAAGGAAGGGGAAGCAAGGAAGGAAGGAATGAAGGAAGGAAGGAAAGGGAAGCAAGGAAGGAAGAAAGAAAGGGAAAGAACCTATATATTTAAATGGCTGAGGAAAGATTCTAACCCAGGTCTGCATTAAAGATGAAAATTTTCCACATGTTCAATGAATTTTACTAATTCTTTTTCCTCAATGAGTACCTAAAGCTGAAAGAAAATGATATGGATGTCACACGAAAATCCTTACCTCCTCTGTCCTCAGTGCCAGTATACAATGGAGCTGAAGAGAGGCAGTAGAGGAGGTGATGGAGAAAGAGGGGAGGAAGAAGAATGAGCAGGAGGCAGAGGAGACTGCCTGGAGGCATTTCCCCAGGGTCCCCCACTGCCTAGCCTTGCATGAAGTGGACCCCTGTCTCTGAGGACATCGCAATGTAGTCCAATCTATGCCCCTCTCATTTCCAATACATGATTCATTGCATTTTTAAAAGTCTGGACAAGTTCTGATATTAAATACGGTTTTATGTGAGATGATTTAAGAACATGTACACTTTCTTTGGCACCAGTATGTAGGGTCTTGTAGGCCTTGGCTATCCAAAATGAATGGCAGTCATGGTGAGTGAGAACAGATGAGTACTTGGTGTAGAAAGAACACTGACTAGAGATTTGGAAGGCTTGATGCTCCCACTTTCTATGGGATCAAATCTCTGCCGTCTCTGACTCATGGTTTATTTATCTGTAAAATGGACCTTGGGTGATGATATGGTTTGGCTGTGTCCCCAACCAAATCTCATATTGAATTGTAGTTCCCATAACCCCCATGTGTTGTGGGAGGTAATTGAATCATGGGGCTGGTTACCTCCATGCTGTTCTCGTGATAGGAAGTGAGTTCTCATGGGATCTGATGGTTTTATAAGCATCTGGCATTTCACCTGCTGGCACTTCTCTCTCCTGCCACCTTGTGAAGAAGGATGTGCTTGCTTCCCCATCTGCCATGATTGTAAGTTTCCTGAGGCCTCCCCAGCCCTGTGGAACTGTGAGTCAATTAAACCTCTTTTCTTTATAAATTACCCAGTCTCAGGTATTGCTTCATGGCAGGTGAAAATGGACTAATACAGGTGGGGTTAAACTGGATAATTTATGAGATCTTTTTCTACCTTATGATTCTGTCATCTAAGACAAATATATTGTGCTGCTTAGGGCATGCCAAAAATAGATAGGGCACGTATTTTTTAGATCCAAGACACTGGGGAATAGGTAATAAAAGTGAAACCTGGTAAAAGAGTGCCTTTCTGGGTCTCCACAGCTGTCATCCTCCACACGGCCCTCCCCTTCCTCATTACCATCATAATTTACTGAGTAGAAAACAAATACTACATTAATTCAGCCCACTGTTCTCAGCAAAGAAGAAAGCTGTGTACATAATTTTAACACTTACAAAGAACATTCCTTTGTTGGATGGATTTACTATAGATCTCCTCAAACCTGAACAGGGGAAAATCTTGTACAAATGGCTGTCCCCTGGAGGTATTTTCATATTGAAACCATATTCTCTTCATAATACATTGGTTTTATTGGTAGTTTTCAATGGTGGTAAACCTAAAGGTTTCAGCCTGATCTTAAGAAGGGTAATTAGTTGGAGTTACTAAAAATGCACCATCCTACAGATTTTTGAAAACTCATGCAGGGCTTCAAAAACATTAATTCCCCCTTTAAACTCTTTCTTTCTTTTTTTTTTGAGACAGAGTCTCATTCTGTCACCCAGGCTGGAGTGCAGTGGTGTGATCTTGGCTCAGTGCAACCTCTGCCTCTCAGGTTCAAACAATTCTCCTGCCTCAGCCTCCTGAGTAGCTGGGACTACAGGCATGTGCCGCCATGCCCGGCTAATTTTTGTATTTTTTAGTAGAGACAGGGTTTCACCATATTGGCCAGGCTGGTCTCGAACTCCTGACCTCATGATCCATCTGCCTCAGCCTCCCAAAGTGCTGGGATTACAGGCATGAGCAACTGTGCCTGGCCCTTTAAATATTTGAGAGAAATGAAATATATCAGTTCATCAATATCCCCTTCTGGAAAGGATGTAGATATACAAAAGAAGAGCTTTTTATTGGGAAGAGCTAGGCTAAAGAAGGACACCATCCAGAGAAATTGCTGTTTAAAAAATACCATGAAGCAACCAAAGGATGCTTTGATTAACAAAACAGCCCGAAGACAGATTTGCTTCCTATGCAATGCCTATGGAACTGCTCCCATCCACTCTGGAACAACCTGTTATCAGAAAATCTAGAAATAGAAATGACTAATGTCTATCTTACATTGTGCCTCTTAACCCTCAAGTTACCCCAAAAATGGGGCTGGTGCAAGTTAGAACCATTTATTGAAAGTGGCCTACATGCAGAGTGCTGGAATCTGGGGGAGGAAAAACAAATCAGGCACAGTCTTGGCACTGAATAGTTGTATGTGTAAGAACATGGACAGAGCAGTCTCTTCAATCAATCAGAACTGGACAGATAGATAGATGCTCAAGAGCGGGGCAATGGAAACAAACAGGGAAGCAGGGAGAACTATTAAAGTACCTCGGTTGGGGTAACCTTAGAAGTAGAAATCAAGGCTGGGCCCTGGATGGCTTTCCCTTTGCCTCCCAGCAAATCTAAAGGAAGAACTTAGGGAGGCTCGACCATTGACTTACTGTGTACCTGGGAATATGTTCTTTCTAAATGAAAGGTGTTGCTTTACAGGGGCGGTCGTGGGTGATTTGCCAGAAATGCAAGGCATGGTAGGATGGGGGCAAGCTGGGATTTCTGACAATGAGTGTGAATTTAAAGCCAGAGAGCTGATGGACTGAGTTTTGCTATCAGTTCAGCCATTTTAAGGCATGTGAATGAATTTGTCTCCACCCATACAGAAATGGGCCACGAGATCTGGAGTCTGCGATCTGGTTATGGGACCCAGGGCAATGCTGCTTTGCTTCAGCTGAATGGTGAGCATGGTGACTGTAATGGACATCTGCAGCTTCTGCCTATCCAGCATCCATTCCTCCTCCTGCTAGTAACAACACCTGGTTTTCCTCTGAGAAACCAATCCTTTCCCTGCACTGAGGGGAAGGACCACACCCCCAGTGCCAGCGGTGAGCCTGCGACAGACACAAGGCAGAGCTGCCTGGTTGGTTCAGGGCTGAGAATGTGACTTGGTCCAGGCCAAGGAGTCCCAGCACCAGACCTTTAAAAACAGTGGTGGGTGGGCTGGGCACGGTGGCTCATGCCTGTAATCCCAGCACTTTAGGAGGCCGAGGCAGGCAGATCACCTGAGGTCAGGAGTTCGAGACCAACCTGGCCAACATGGTGAAACCCCTTCTCTACCAAAAATACAAAAATTAGCTGGGCATGGTGGTGCACGCCTGTGGTCTCAGCTACTTGGGAGGCCGAGGCAGGAGATTCGCTTGAACCTGGGAGGTGGAGGTTGCAGTGAGCCAAGATTACGCCACTGTACTCCAGCCTGTGTGACAGAACCAGACTCCATCTCAAAAACAAACAAACAAACAAACCAAAACAGTGGTGGAAGAGGACCTTGTCTTCCACCAGGCTGCAAAGCTGGCAGGATCCAATCCTGGGGGTGGTGATCATCTTTGCCTCTTTGTCACATCTTGGGGGCAGCCTACCTGAGAATGTCACCCACACAGGAGACAGGGAGAGAGTATGATATTGTTTGAGGTTCCCTCAATCCACCTCTTGAACTTATTATATGAACCAGTGAATTCCCCCGGCCTTTGTTTGTTTGTTTGTTCGTATGAGCTAGTTTGAGCTGGTTTTTCCAAAATTTGCAATAGAAGAGTTCTCACTAAAAAGTGCCCACCCCATAGAACCAAACAACTGTGAGAGCCACACAAATGTTTGTTAGTTTTTATTTTTTTCTAAACCTAAGCTTCCTCTGACCTGTAAACTGGAGATAAGTGTCCTGTTTACCATGCAGGGTTGTTGGGGATGGGAATCAAATATGACAGACCAACAAGCACTTTGAAAAATCAAAACATCACACAACAATAGTGGTAGATAATTTGCAGTCAACTGTTCTCTCTAACCAAAAAGTCTTCAGAGAATTCTAAGTAGAGCAGAAATATTGCCAAATCAGATATTTTCCATATATATATATATATATATATATTTATAGTTCAAAAGATGAAACCAAATGTCTTTTTTTTTCAAGACAAAGTCTCGCTGTTGTCCCCCAGGCTGGAGTGCAATGGCACAATCTCGGCTCACTGCAACCTCCGCCTCCCGGGTTCAAGCAATTCTCCTGCCTCAGCCTCACCAGTAGCTGGGATTACAGGCGCCTGCCACCACGCCTGGCTAATTTTTGTATTTTTAGTAGAGACAGGTTTCACCATGTTGGCCAGGCTGGTCTCGAACTCCTGACCTCAGGTGATCCGCCCACCTCGGCCTCCCAAAGTGTTGGGATTATAGGCGTGAGCCACCGCAACCAGCAAAACCAAATGTCTTAAAAATAATTTTTTTCTTTTCTTTTTTTTGAGACGGAGTCTCACTCTGTTGCCCAGGCTGGAGTACAGTGGCGTGATCTTGGCTCACTGCAACCTCCGCCTCCTGGGTTCAAGCTATTCTCCGGACTCAGCCTCCCAAGTAACTGGGATTACCGGCACATGCCACCACGCCTGGCTAATTTTTTTTTAATTTTTTAGTAGAGACGGGGTTTCACCATGTTGGCCAGGCTGATCTCGAACTCCTGACCTCAGGTGATCCGCCTGCCTCGGCCTCCCAAAGTGCTGGGATTCCAGGCACAGGCCACGGTGCCTGGCTGACATCAGCATCTTCATCCTCATTCCCTGGAGTCCTCTAACAGTTTCATACCTCAGTACACATTGGTTGAGAGGCCACATCTTTTGAAACTATACATGATGCTGTCATCAGATATACAGGGAATGATTCTTCCTGTGGAAACATATTTATGACTTCTATATCATAAGCACTATAGTCTTTTAAAAGTGTGTGTGTTATTTTGTTGTTGTTGTTGTCGTTGTTTTGAGATGGAGTTTCGCTCTTGTCCCCCAGGCTGGAGTGCAATGGCGCAATCTCAGCTCACCGCAACCTCCGCCTCCCAGGTTCAAGTGATTCTCCTGCCTCAGCCTCCCGAGCAGCTGGGATTACAGGTATGAGCCACCATGCCTGGCTAATTTTGTATTTTTAGTATAAATGGGGTTTCTCCATGTTGGTCAGGCTGGCCTCGAACTCCCGATATCAAATGATCCACTTGCCTCGGCCTCCCAAAGTGCTGGGATTACAGGCATGAGCTACTGCGCCCGGCTGTGTGTGTGTGTGCTTTTTTTTTTTTAACAACTTCTCACAAAATTGTAAGGCCCTTCCCTGTAAGGACTAAATCAGCATTAAGTATTTCTGTCTCCTTTTTCATTGTTTCTATCGTGCGATTATCAGAATCTTTACAAGCATTTCAAATTGTCATTGACTGATTTTCTTCAGACTAATGTATCTTCTTAGTATTTTAATGTTCAAGATAACAAGAGAGCTTTTTCTGTAACATGCTAGATTTTGTAAGGACTTGAATATAAGGCAGCTCCCTTTTTCTGAGGGATAGTTTGGGGAGAAATCTTAAGTTTGTGTGTCCATAGAAATAGCTTAAAAACAGTCACTGGGAGAACTTAGACCTTGCATTATTCCTACCTCCCAATCAGGAATCTGACAGCTGCCCTGTGACAGGTCAAGAGATCCTTGATGCTTATGTTTATATGCCAGGAACAAGAAGTATTAACATGCTCCCCACACCCTCGCCTAGTGGGCAGCTTCTGGGCCTAGGTGGTTGGTGTGCTAACTATGATGGTGGATGAAATCAAATAAGTTTTAAGGGTCAAAAAAATGTAGATTGAGACTGGGTGCAGTGGCTTATGTCTGTAATCCCAGCACTTTGGGAAGCCGAGGTGAGTGGATCATATGAGGTTAGGAGTTCGAGACCAGCCTGGCCAACATGGTGAAACCCCATCTCTGCTAAAAATACAAAAATTAGCTGGGCGTGGTGGCGGGCGCCTGTAGTCCCACCTACACAGGAGGCTGAGGCAGGACTGTCACTTGAACCCGGGAGGCAGAGGTTGCAGTGAGCCGAGATCGCGCCACTGCACTCCAGCCTAGGCGACAGAGCGAAACTCTGTCTCAAAAAAAAAAAAAAAATGTTGGTTTTTTTTCTAAAGGGCAAAAATCTGCCTGCAAGAGAAAAAGGGTAGATTCTGAAATGTGAGGAATTGTGAGAAAGGCCTTCATAAGGTTAGGTTAGGTTAGGTTTTCTTTTAAGTTTTGGGAATTCAAGGTGAGAAAAAGAAGGGAGGGAGGGAGACACAGATTGAGCCTGAATGGAGTTTCAGCACAGCTTCCGGTTGATGTTGCAAGAGATACAACTTGTGTCACACAAGACAAGCAAGAGAATGTAATTTCTTTTTGGCAATTTTCAAAAGATGAGAGTAAATAAAGACTTAACTTGGCCGGACGCGGTGGCCCACGCCTGTAATCCCTGTACTTTGAGCATTTTCAGAGGCCGAGGCAGGCAGATGATGAGGTCAGGAGATCTAGACCATCCTGGCCAACATGGTGAAACCCCATCCCTACTAAAAATACAAAAAATTAGCCAGGTGTGGTGGCACATGCCTGTGCCACCAGCTACTCAGGAGGCTGAGGCAGAAGAATCGCTTGAACCCGGGAGGTGGAGGTTGCAGTGAGCTGAGATCGTGCCACTGCACTCCAGCCTGGGCGACAGAGTGAGACTCCGTCTCAAAACAAAAACAAAAACAAAAAAACTTAACTTGCATTCCGGTTCATTTTGGGGTTTCTTTTAAGAGTGATAGCGTGCTATCCTCCAGTTCATTTTGGGGTTTCTTTTAAATGTGATAGCGTGCTATCCTCCAGTTCGTTTTGGGGTTTCTTTTAAGTGTGATAGTGTTCTATCCTCCAGTTCATTTTGGGGTTTCTTTTGTGAGATGGGTCCCATATGCTGCTTGGGTTTGTGTATTTTTACTTATTATTTTAGGAAACTTAAATTTGCTGACTGCTTTATAATTTTTACTTTATTTTTTATTTTTATTTATTTATTTGTTTATTTTGAGATGGAGTTTCACTCTGTCCCCCAGGCTGGAGTGCAGTGGTGTGATCTCGCCTCACTGCAGCCTCCGCCTGGGTTCAAGCAATTCTCCTGCCTCAGCCTCCCGAGTAGCTGGGATTACAGGTGCCAGCCACTGCACCCAGCTAATGTTTGTATTTTTAGTACAGACGGGATTTTGCCATGTTGGCCAGGCTGGTCTCAAACTCCTGACCTCAGGTGATCTGCCCGCCTCGGCCTCCCAAAGTGCTGGGATTACAGGAGTGAGCCACCGCGCCCGGCCAGAATGCTTTATCATTTTTACAGTGCATTGTTATTCAGCATCTCATTGAAGATTCTCCTCAAATGGATTTCCCGTGGCTGTTTCTGGTTTTTGTTTGTTTGTTTTGTTTTATATTGAGATAGGGTCTTGCCCTGTCACCCAGGCTGCAGTGCAGTGGTGCTGTCATAGCCCACTGCAGCCTCGAACTCCTGGGCTCAAGTGAGCTTCCCACCTCAGTCTGTGGAGTAGCTGGGACAACAGATGTGTGCCGCCACACGTGGCTCATTTTTAAGTGTATCTTTAGAGATGGGGATTTCTTTTTTTTTTTTTTTAGTATTTATTGATCATTCTTGGGTGTTTCTCAGAGAGGGGGATGTGGCAGGGTCATAGGATAATGGTGGAGAGAAGGTCAGCAGATAAACAAGTGAACAAAGGTCTCTGGTTTTCCTAGGCAGAGGTCCCTGCGGCCTTCGGCCCTGTTTGTGTCCCTGGGTACTTGAGATTAGGGAGTGTTGATGACTCTTAACGAGCATGCTGCCTTCAAGCATCTGTTTAACAAAGCACATCTTGCACCGCCCTTAATCCATTTAACCCTGAGTGGACACAGCACATGTTTCAGAGAGCACCGGGTTGGGGGTAAGGTTATAGATTAACAGCATCCCAAGGCAGAAGAATTTTTCTTAGTACAGAACAAAATGGAGTCTCCTATGTCTACTTCTTTCTACACAGACACAGTAACAATCTGATCTCTCTTTCTTTTCCCCACATTTCCCCCTTTTCTTTTTGACAAAACCGCCATCGTCATCATGGCCCGTTCTCGATGGTCGCTGTCTCTTCGGAGCTGTTGGGTACACTTCCCAGACGGGGCGGCCTGGCAGAGGCGCTCCTCACTTCCCAGATGGGGCGGCCGGGCAGAGGCGCACCTCACTTCCCAGATGGGGTGGCGGCTGGACAGAGGCGCTCCTCACCTCCCAGATGGGGTGGTGGCCGGGCAGAGGCGCTCCTCACATCCCAGACGGGGTGGCCTGGCAGAGGCGCTCCTCACTTCCCAGATGGGGCGGCCGGGCAGAGGCGCACCTCACTTCCCAGATGGGGTGGCGGCCGGACAGAGGCGCTCCTCACCTCCCAGATGGGGTGGCGGCCAGGCAGAGGCGCTCCTCACATCCCAGACGATGGGCGGCCGGGCAGAGGTGCTCCTCACCTCCCAGATGGGGCGGCTGGGCAGAGGCGCTCCGAGATGGGGATTTCACTATGTTGCCTAGGCAGGTCTCAAACTCATGGCCTCAACTGATCCTCCTGACTCAGCCTCCCAAGTTGTTGGGATTACAGGCATGAGCCACTATGCCTGGCTCCTCTTCTGTTAATGGGGCTCAGGGCAGGGATCACCCAGTTGATGAATGGGAGAGCTGAGGGCGGGGTCCAGGGCTCCACCATCTCTCTTCTCTTTCCTCCCAGGGCTCTTCCTGCCTTTCCTCCCTGCTCTTCAATCATCCCTTCCTGGCCTTGCCTGCTGCATGCCAACCCCATTCTATCTGCTGTCTGAGTTCGCTGCAATTACAGTGTCCCAAGGTAGCCTGAGGCAAAGTCTGATTCCCCATAAATAGCCCATCACTGATGTGTGTGTCTCTGCAAAGCTGGCCTGCCCATTTCTTCTGTCTTACACACCCCTAAGGAAGGCGGGTCAGGTGGTGGAAGACATGGGATTTGGTGGCAGAGCAAAAACCTCAAAAACTGCTTGCCCTTATTTTCCCCATGAACTTGACTCAATAACCTATACCAAAGTTGTAGTTTCCTAATCCATAAAATAGGGATTACACCACATTTCATCCATTCCAGGAAGCGCATATGCCCATATTACAGCACCTCTGAAACTGGGAAAGTGTTACAATTGTTTGCACATCAAAGTTTCATTAGAGGTTCTCACTCCCTTTTCTTAGTGGTATATAAAATAATGGTGCGTCGTAGAGTTGATGAGAAATGGTAATGTATTTACCCCTTAGGGTTATTATGTGGGCTTGAAATCACAAGAGTGTGACAAAAGAAGAATTCATCTGATATTTCAGTCCTCTCCAGTCTCACCAGGAGAGTGTGTCCTGGTAGTCAGAGAAAGGCCTGTGACTTACTTGAATTCAGAGATTTTTGTTTTGTTTTGTTTTTAATAGAGATGGGGTCTCGCTGTGTTGCCCAGGCTGGTTTTGAACTCCTGGCCTCAAGCAATTCTTTCACCTTGGCCTCCCTAAGTGCTGAGATTACAGCCTGAAGTCAGTTTTAAGTAGTGGAACTAACATGAAGACCCTAACTCAACAGGAACTCTTATCTACCCTTCTAGGCCCCTAAGCTGTTATGCAAGACTTGGGGGTCTCTGAGCTGGTGGGATCATCCTGCAGGAAGCCTGGCACCCCTGATCTTGAGGGGATGCACTTCTGGTGGTGGGGTATGGATCCTGGCTGGGGACTGGGCCTGTGTGTGCTGCAGGGAAGCGAAGTCTTCTGCCTTGCCTCTGCTGGTGCCTGGGGAGGAAGCTCTGGGTCCCAGACTGCCCCTGTGGCCAGCAGACTTATGAGGGTGGCACCAGGCAGAGTTGGTGCAGGACAGTGGGGAACCCCAGGGTTTCTAACTGGAGAAGCCAGGGGGCCCGAAGCTCAGAACTTCTCTGGCCCCATTTGGTGTGGAGGACTCTGACTCTTGAGAGAATGATGGAGGTGGGGGCACAGGTAAACAGTGCCCTCCTCAGTAATATCATAGCCAGGGGATACTCTGGGCTCAGTGCCATTCTGACTACCATGAAGCAGTACTGGGAGTGTTAGCCCATGAGCTCCGAAGCAAGACTACAAGACTAGCCTTAGATGTTTCTGTGCCTCAGTTCATCATCTGTAAATTGGGGTTATAATATTACCTACTTTATATTATTGCAAGGATTAAATGAGCTTATAGTTGTAAAACACAAAGAACAATGTCTTCTGGAAAAATAAGTGCTCAATAAATGCAAATTATTTATATTATTAAAAGTTTGAATAATTCTGATTGTGTTGATTTCATGTGGATTCTGTAATTTACCTTTGGAGGTAAGTTGAGTTACATCCTTTGCATGTCCTTGGGAGGAAAGTCTGTTGCTTGTTAGCGGTCAGTCCTGTACATCATCCTCATCTCCTCTTTTATGCATTTGTTAATTCATTCATCATTTATTCATTTATATTAGTCCACTCTCACATTGCTATAAAGAACTACCTGAGACTGGGTAATTTATAAAGAAAAGAGGTTTAATTGGCTCACGGTTCTGCAAGCTGTACAGGAAGCAAAGTGGCTTCTGCTTCTGGGGAGGCCTCAGGAAACTTACAATCATGGCAGAAGGCTAAGGGGAACAAGGCACGTCTTACATGGCTGGAGCAGGAGTGAGAGAGAGAGAGGAGGGAGGTGCCACACACTTTAAAACAACCAGATCTCATGAGAACTCACTATCGCGACAACAGCACCCGAAGGGAGATGTGTTAAACTATGAGAAACTGCCCTCATGAGCCAATCACCTCCCACTAGGCCCCGCCTCCAGCATCGGGGATTACATTTCAACATGAGATTTGGGTGGTGACACAGATCCAAACCATATCATTGTTCAACTGTGAATTCTGTCTCTTCGCAGGTGACAATTTGGTCTCTTTTTTTGTTGTTACTGCCTTGAAACCTGGTAGGAATTCCAAATGGATCCTTTCTTCTCAATCTTTTCCCTTCCCATTTGAATCATGCTGTCTCAGAGCATGCAATCTAGGCAGCTGAACAGGTCACTGGCCCAGCACTCTCATTATACAAGTGAGGAATGAGACCCAGAAAGGGAAGGTGGATTGCCCAGGTCTCCTGGTGAGTGGCAGGGCAGGGACCCAGCCAGGTCTCCTCATTTCCGGATGACACCAGCCATCGTCTGCAGAACTGGTGCATGCTGGCTGTAACCCTGCTGGTGAGAGGTCCTGGAGGAGGGCCAGGTGGGGAACAGGGCAGTGCTGGCCTTAAAGGTATTGCGTCCTTAGGTGAGGGTATCCCCTCAGCTGGCTTCTCTACCTCATGACTGACTCTTCCTCCTGTCAACCATTTGTAAACATTTAGAGCAGCAAGTGCCATTCTCAGCTAAAGGGAGCACCAGTCCTTTGCAGATGGGAGCTGCTGGGCCTCTGGTTGGAAGGTTGCCCTAATCCTGCTCTCTCCCACTCTAATTCCCTGCAAATCTTCCCAGGCTGGCCTTAGCCTACTTCCCTGGCTGGCCTTAGCCTACTTCCCCGGGCCTGTAAGGCATATGAGGTAAGCCATTCAGCTTAACGCTGGTGTGGAGACACTCAGAACTCACAACATGTTGCTGGCACAAACCACCCAGAAGGGCGAGTGCTGGCACTCCCGTTTCACAGACCAGGAACTGAGGCTGTGCTCGGCTAAGTCGCTGCCCTGGGCCATGCAGTTCTGAGATTTGGATTCTGACACTGCACTACGAAGCTCTGACTGTGGCAAAAAATCTCTCGCTGTGAGGTGTTAATTATCAGTGAGGCCTGCTTCTGCTCCTGAAGCCTGACTGCCTTCCTGGGGATGTGCTGGCTGTGGAGCTGGCCTCCCTGCAGCCCCTGAGGGGAATGTCTGCTTATTTTTCCTGAAATGACAGGTGCAGCATGCCTGCTCATCACCATTGTAAAGGCTCACTTGGGAACATGCGCCATGGAGCCCACTTTAGCCTGGCTCCTGTGCACGCTTGCGCTGGCCAGCCTGTGGGTGGGTGGCTTCTACATGCTGGCTGGACCACCTGCAGCAGAAGAGCTGACTCAGGTTTGTCAGAGGCTTCAAGAGCTGTTCACTCATTCAACAAACACTGATCTAGCACCCACTATGTGCCAGGCACTGTTGTGAGAGGGTCAGGAATGTTAGTTCTCATAAAAACTCTAGGAAATTGGTTCTGTGATTATCCCCACTTCCTCTGTTTATGGGTGGGGAAACTGAGGCACAGAGAAATGAAGTTACTTCCCAAGGCCACACGGTTGGCAGATTGGCAGAGCTGGGATTTCACCCACAGTATCTGACTCCAGAGCCCTCATGCTTGGAACCGCCACACTGTGCAGTCACTGTTGAAAGTCTGCTCCCACGCAGCCCTTAGAGATGGCTGGGATAGAAATGGCCAATCCCCCAAAATATATACTGACCAGAAAATCAATACCCGAAGTACAAGGGAGAAAGGCAACAGTGCCCAAAGCAAAGCACAGCTAAAGCTTCTGGGACTTCGGAGCAAGGGAGACACATTTAATTAGCTAATTCAATATATATGTGTGTAAGTATATATATATTGCTTGTTTTTTTAGTAGTTGTTGTTTTTTTGAGACAGAGTCTTACTCTGTCACCCAGGCTGGAGTGCAATGGCACAATCTTAGCTCACTTCAACCTCTGCCTCCTCTCCTGCCTCAGCCTCCCGCGTAGCTGGGATTACAGGTGCCCGCCACCATATATGGCTAATTTTTTGTATTTTTAGTAGATATGGGGTTTCACCATGTTTGCCAGGCTAGTCTTAAACTCCTGACCTCAAGTGATCTGCCTGCCTCGGCCTCCCAAAGTGCTGGGATTACAGGTGTGAGCCACTGTGCCTGGCCATATATTGCTTGTTTAGCTTTATTTGTTCACTTCTCTATTGTCTGTGGCCCCACACTCAAATGTAAGCTCCATAAGAGCGGGAACTTTGTCTTGTCACCTCTGTATCCTCAGCACTTGCAATAGTGCCTGGCAGGTAGTAGGTGCTCAATACATACATATTGTTTGATAAATGTGGCAAGTTAAAGATAGCCATAAATTCTTTGCTAATTCTCTCATTTGAAACATGGGTCTAATTCTCCTCCCTTTGAATTCAGGCTTGCCTTAATGACTTGCATCACCAATAGAACATGGCAGAAGTGATGTTCTGGGACTTCTGAAGCCAAGTAGCAAGAAGCATTGCAGGTTCCATTGGGGTTTCTTAAAATTCTTATTCCAGGAATGCTCCCTCTTAGAACCTGGCCTTCTTGCTTTGAACAGTCTGAGGCACATGAAGAGGCCACATGTAGGCACGTCAGTCAACAGCTACAGCAGAGGTCCCAGGTGACAGCATCAACTGCTAGTCACAATAGTGAGCCAATTTGGACATCCAGCCCAGAAGAGAATTCAGATGACCACAGCTCCAGCCAACATTTGATTACAACTACATGAGAAACTCCATATGGGAACCACCCAGCTGAGCCCAGTCAATCCAAAGGACCATGAAACAGGCAAGTGGGGTTCTGATGTGGGATGGGAGGGGAGGCGGCAACACACCGAGGATAAAACAGCATGTATATCCTGGGCTCATTTAAGTAAGATCATATATGTATGTGTGAGCATGTATGAAGAGGGGCTTGGAAGATAGATGGTCACCAAATTGTTAATGGCGGTTATCTCAGGATGGTGACATCCAGGTGACCTTCGCTCTCTTTATATCTTAATGAACTGTTCAGTTTCTTTACAATGGGTATATATTATTTACATAATTACATATAATCAGTAAAGTGACTGAGGGTGGAGTGGGAGAAAAATAATAAATTGAAGTCAAGCTATTTATACAACACAATGGATACGTTTGAAGATTGTTATGGTGACTATGTTTGGGCGGTAAAATTAAGAGGACTTAAAATTTTCATCATTAGGCTTCTGTTCAGATCAGGTGAGGTTAAGGAACTTACCCAACATTGCAAGGCTGGTATATCAGTCAGGGTTTCTACTTGAAACAGACACCATCTCTGGCTGCTTTAAGCATAAAAGAAATGTACTAAAAGGTTGGACATCTATTCATGATAAAAACTAGAGTTTACTAAAGTGAAATTTCCTCACTCTAATAAAGAGCATCTAAAAAAACCTATAGCTAACATCACATTTAGTGGTGAGACACTGGACACTTTCCTTCAAAGACTGGGGAACACGCAAAGATGTCTGCTTTTACCACTCCTAGTTAATATCTTAGTCAGTACAATGAGATCAGAAAAAGAAATAAAAGGCATAAGAATAAGGAAGAAATAAAACTATAAACAATATGGTTTTCTACATAGAAAAGTCCAGAGAATTTCCAGACACTATTAGATGTAACAAGTCAGTGTAGCAAGAATGCAGGATACAAGATAAATATACTAAAATCTATGTATTTATTTAGTTGGATTTTTTTATGCTAGCAATGAACAATTAGAAATGAAAGTTTAAAAAAAGGTACCATTTACAAGTACCAAAAAGCATGAAGTACTTAAAGATAAATAATGTGCAATATTTGTAAACTGAAAACCACAAAACACTGATGAGAGAAATTTTAAAAAGACTTAAGTGGGCTGGGCGAGGTGGCTCACGCCTATAATCCCAGCACTTTGGGAGGCCGAGGTGGGAGGATCACCTGAGGTCAGGAGTTCAATATCAGCCTGACCAACATGGAGAAACCCCCTCTCTACTAAAAATACAAAATTAACCGGGCATGGTGGCTCATGCCTGTAATCCTAGCTACTTGGGAGGCTGAGGCAGGAGAATCATTTGAACCCAGGAGGCGAAGGTTGCAGTAAGCTGAGATTGTGCCATTGCACTCCAGCCTGGGCAACAAGAGTGAGGCTCTGTCTCAAAAAAAAAAAAAAAAAAAAAAAAAAAAAGACGTAAGTGATATATACCATGTTAATGGATCTGAAAACTCAACACTGTCAAGATGCTAGTTCTCCCCAAATTGATCTCCAGGTTCAATGCAATCTCAATCAAAATCTCAGCAGGCTTCTTGGAGAAACTGACAAGCTGATTCTAATATTTATATAGAAAAGCAAAGGACCTAAATTGGCCCAAACAATGTTGATAAAGAACAAAATTGTAGGATTCATACTACCTGATTTCAAGACTTATCATATAACTATAATAATCAGTACAGGCCGGGCACGGTGGCTCACGCCTGTAATCCCAGCACTTTGGGAGGCCGAGGAGGGCGGATCACCAGGTCAGGAGATCGAGACCATCCTGGCTAACACGGTGAAACCCCGTCTCTACTAAAAAAATACAAAAACTTAGCCGGGCGTGGTGGCGGGTGCCTGTAGTCCCAGCTACTCGGGAGGCTGAGGTAGGAGAATGGCCTGAACCCGGGAGGCGGAGCTTGCGGAGAGCCGAGATCACCACTGCACTCCAGCCTGGGCGACAGAGCGAGACTCCATCTCAAAAAAAAATTAAAAAAATAAAAAAATAAAAATAATCAGTACAGTTTGATATTGGTGAAAGGGTAGATGCATAGATCAATACAACCAAAAATAGAACCCAGAAATGGACCCATACATATATCAATTGATTTTTGTCATAAGTGCCACAGCAATTCAACAAAGAAAGCATAGTCTTTTCAACAATGGTGCTGGGACTGTTGGACATCTATAAGCAAAAAAAAAAAAACCTCCATCCATACCATACACAAAAATTAATTTGAAATAGGTCATAGATGTCAATGTAAACTACAAAACTTCTAGAAAACAGGAGAAAATCTTTGATACTTTGGGTCAGGTAAATATTTCTTAGGAAACAAAAAGCATGAATCATAAAAAAATAATAAGATGAACTTCATCAAAATTTAAAACTTCTGCTTTTTGAAAGACTTCTGAAAATAAAAAGGCAAGCCACAGACTGGGAGGAAGTATTTGTAAAAAAAAATCTGATAAAGGGCTGGTAACAATAATGTATAAAGAACTCTTAAAACTCAAAAATAAAAAAAAAAACAACCCAATAAAAAATTACCAAAAGATTTGAACAGATATTTCACCAAAGAAGATATGAGAACAGCAAATAATTACACGAAAAGATGCTCAACAGCATTTGTAATTAGACAAATGCAAATTGAAATCATTATGAAATATCACCACACACCTATAAAATGGCTCAAAAATGTTTTTAATTTTTAATTTTTTAAAATTTCCATAGATTTTTGGGGAACAGGTGGTATTTGGTTACATAAGTTCTTTAGTGTTAATTTGTGAAATTGTAGTGCACCCATCACCCAAGCAGTATACACTGTACCCAATTTGTAGTCTTTTATCCCTCAGCCACCTCCCACCCTTTCCTCCAAGTCCCCAAAGTCCACTGTATCGTTTTTATGCCTTTGCATCCACATAGGTTAGCTCCCACTTATGAGTGAGAACATATGATGTTTGGTTTCCATTCATGGGTTACTTCACTTAGAATGATGGCCCCCAATTCCATCCAGGTTGCTGCGAATACCATTATTTTGTTCCCTTTTATGGCTGAATAGTATTCCATGGTATATATATATACACCACAATTTATTTATCCACTCATTGACTGATGGGCATTCAGGCTGGTTCCATATTTTTGCAATTGCAAATTGTGCTGCTATAAACATGGGTGTGCAAGTATCTTTTTTGTATAATGACTTCTTTTCCTCTGGGTAGATACCCAGTAGTGGGATTGCTGGATCAAATGGTAGCTCTACTTTTAGTTCTTTAAGGAATCTCCACACTGTTTTCCACAGTGGTTGTACTAGTTTACATTCCCACCAGCAGTGTGGAAGTGTTCCCTTTTCACTGCATCCCTGCCAACATCTACTATTTATTTATTTATTTATTATTTTTGAGGCGCAGTTTTGCTCTTGTTGCCTAGGCTAGAGTGCAATGGCGTGATCTCAGCTTACTGCAACCTCCCCCTTCTGGGTTCAAGCGATTCTCCTACCTCAGCTTCCCGAGTAGCTGGGATTACAGGCGCCCACCAGCACATCCGGCTAATTTTTTGTATTTTTAGTAGAGACGGGGTTTCACCATGTTGGCAAGGCTGGTCTCAAACTCCTGGCCTCAAGTGATCCGCCCACCTCGGCCTCCCAAAGTGCTGGGATTACAAGCGTAAGCCACCGCACCCTGCCTATTTTTTTTTATTTTTTGATTATGGCCATTCTTGCAGGAGTAAAGTGATATCGCATTGTGGTTTTGATTTGTATTTCCCTGAACATTAGTGATGTTGAGCATTTTTTCATATGTTTCTTGGCCATAAAATGGCTCAAATTTTTTAAACCTGATGATATCAAATACTGGTGAGGATATGGAACAACTAGAACTCTCATATATTGCTGGTGGAAATGAAAAATGGTACAGCCATCTTGGCAAACAAACTGTCAGTTCCTTATAAAGTTATGTATATGTATATATTTACTATTCGATGCAGTAATTCAACTCCTTGGTATGTATCCAAAGGAAATAAAGAAGTGTGCACACCAAAACCTATATGTGAAAGTTTACAGCAGCTTCATTCATAATCACCCCAAGCTGGAAACAACCTAAATGTTCATAACGTCCATCGACTGGTGAAAAGATGAACAAATTCTGATAAATTCATAAAATAAATGGAATTACTGCTCAGCAGTTAAAAGGTACAAGCTACTTACATATGCAACAATGTGAATGGTTTAAAAACATGATGCCAAGTAAAAGAAGCCAGACTCAAAAGGCAGCACACGGCATGATTCCATTTACATAACATTCTGGAAAAGGAAAAACTGCAGGAAGGAAATCAGGTCAATTGTTGCAAGGGTCTGGAGGCTGGGAGAGGGGAGTGACTGCAGAGGGGCAAAGGGGAAGTTTTTGGTGTGAAGGAAATAGTCTATACCTCAATTGTGGGGGTGGTTATGCAACTGTATAATTTTGCCAAAATGTATAGGACTGTACACTTAAAAAGAGTGAATATCACTTCATATGAAATATACTGTAATGAACCTGAAAAAAAAGAAAGGTTGTTGGGTGGGCCAGAGAAGCCACAAAGGCCATGAAAATGCCTGAATCACAGTGCACACAGGCTCAGCCAGCATCATTGAGTGTTCAGCCAGGAAAGCAGAAAACACCCCAGGTTTTCAAGCAGAGACAGTCAACACACAGGCTGAATTCAAGGAATACATGGGGCCTGGGTCATGTTCCCGTGCCTTAGAAGTGAGGGAGGCAGGGACTGGAAGAATCTGGCATTTTCTTCCTTTTTTTTTTTTTTTAGATGGAGTCTTGCTCTGTTGCCAGGATGGAGTGCAGTGGTGTGATCTCAGCTCAATGCAAACTCTGCCTCCCGGGTTCAAGTAATTCTCCTGCTTCAGCCTCCCAGGTAGCTGGTACTACAGGTGCACACCACCACACCCAGCTAATTTTTTGTATTTTTAGTAGAGACGGGGTTTCACCATGTTGGCCAGGATGGTCTCAATCTCTTGACCTCGTGATCTGCTTGCCTTGCCCTCCCAAAGTGCTGGGATTACAGGCATGAGCCACCACACCCTGCCAGAATCTGGCATTTTCAACTGCTAGAGTGGGAGGCAGGCTCCACCTTTTCAGATGGGAGATTCACCATAAAATAAAGGGGTTTGGATGCTGGGAAACAGAATAATAAATGTCCACCATGGCCAGTAAGTATGAAAGTTGGGTTTCCAACTGTATCTTTCCAACAAGGACCAAGCAGTTAACTGCATGCTACGTAGCAGATCTTAAGGCAATGCCTAAATGATGCTCCCAGTATCCAGAGCCACTTAGTTCCAGGTTAAAAACTGTGGACAGACAACCACATGCCACAAACAAAAACTAATTTGAGGCCGGGTGCAGTGGCTCACACCTGCAATCCCAGCTCTCTGGGAGGCCAAAGCAAGCAGATCACTTGAGGTGAGGAGTTCGAGACCAGCCTGGCCAACATGATGAAACCCTATCTCTGCTAATAATATAAAAATAAGCCAGGTGTGGTGGTGTACACCTGAAATCCTAGCTACATGGGAGGCTGAGGCAGGAGAAATGCTTGAACCCGGGAGATGGGCGTTAACAGTGAGCCAAGATCACACCACTGCACTCCAGCCTGGGCGACTGAGCGAGACTTCATCTAAAAAAAAAATTAATTTGAAATAGGTCATAGATGTAAATGTAAAAGCTAAAATTATAAAACTTCTAAATAACAGGAGAAAATCTTTGATACTTTGGATTAGGTAAAAAAGCATGAATCATAAAAGAAAAAAATAATAAGTTGCACTTCATCAATATTTAAAACTTCTGCTCTTTGAAAGACTTATGAAAATAAAAAGACAGAATTTCCTCCCAGAAAAGAAATACTTCCTCCCAGTCTGTGGCTTGTCTTTTTATTTTCATAAGTCTTTATGAAATATACACATGCACTCTGTCCACCATGAGAGTGGAGAGCTCGGGGCTTCCCGATGGCTTCAGCTGGTCCTGTCAGCCCTGCCCACACTGAGGTCTCATCAGGGCCCTTCATTACCATGTAAGGAATGTCCTTTCCTAGGCCAGGCTCAGTGGCTCACACCTGTAACCCCAGCACTTTGGGAGGCAGAAGTGGGCAGATCACTTGAGGTCAGGAGTGTAAGATCAGCCTGGCCAAATGGCGAAACCCTGTCTCAACAAAAACTACAAAAATTAGCCAGGCGTGGTGCGTATGCCTGTAATCCCAGCTACTTGGGAGGCTGAGGCAGGAGAATCACTTGAGCTCGGGAAGCAGAGGTTGCAGTGAGCCAAGATTGTGCCACTGCACTCTAGCCTGGGTGACAGAGTCAGACCCTATCTCAAAAAAAAAAAAAAAAAAAAAAAAAAAAAAAAAAAAAAGAGGTATGTCCTTTTTTGGCTTAGGAGCAGACAAGTCCCCTAATAACAGAAGGAGGAGCAGGAGAGGCACCTCCTCCCTGCACCCACATGCCTGAGGCTGGAGCTTTGAGTCTAATCAGTATCCAGAAGGAACAGGAAGGAGGAGACGAAGGGCAGGGTGGTATGAGGAGGAAGAGAAGAGGCCAAATTGAGGTTTTGAAATAAAAGGGCTTTCCTCCCCTCTGTCCTCCTTAGCCTGTTCCCAGAGAAGCTCTGGCTTAACGCTGGCCAGGCTTCTCCCCCTTCCTCAGGTCTCAGCCTCTGTTGACCCCCGACGCTGCTTAGCGATCTGTCTGCTTCCTCCCTCCAGCGATACCTGGATTTCTTTCTGCCTAATTCTTTCTATCCCTCAGCGCATCCTCTCAATACTCAAACAGTCCTGGGCCTCATTCTCCAAACGCCCACACACCTACAAAACAACACCTGCAGCCTCCCTTTTCAAACAGAATAACACAGCTGTGAGAAAGGTGCGGACTCCCTAATTCAAAATCAACAGAGCCTGAGCGTGCCTCGGGAAAAGGGAACCCAAGAAGAGCAGAGAGGAGAGGGAAGAAAGATGCAGGGAAGCGCTTGGATGTACCATCACCTCAGCCCTTCTTCCTCTCCCCCAGCAGAGGGCTGACATGGCCAAATACATGACATTACCATCCTCCTTTGCAACAAAAATAGGCGCATATGCTCTAATCTTGGCCAATGGGACCCATAGGAGGAGGGGTTTCTTGGTGTCCTCTGGGTAAGCTTTTCTTCCCTAATTCAAGGAGATGCCTGGGTGGAAATGCTCTTCCTCTCCAGCCAAATACTGTCATATCCATACATGATGTTGGAACCATCGTCTTGGGACCACAAGGACAAGCTTAGGACCAAGCCATTATGCTGAGGAAGGCTGAGCAGACACAAGGAAAAAGAGTCTGGGTCTCCGATGACATCCTTGAGAACCAACCCTGGAGCTTCCCTAAGGTAGGTTTTCTGATTATGTGAGACAGCAAAGCCCCTTATTGTCTAATCTCCTAGCAGTTGGGTATTTTGTCCCAGGCTGGAGTGCAATGGCACCATCATAGCTCACTGTAGCCTCAATCTCCAGGGCTCAAGTGATCCCCCTACCTCAGGCTCCTGAGCAGCTGGGACCACAGGCATGTGCCACCACACCTGGCTCATTTTATTTTTGGTAGAAGCAAGGTCTTTTTATGTTGTCAAGGTTGGTCTCGAGCTCCTGGGCTCAAGTGATCCGCTTGCCTCAGCCTCCCAAGATGTTGGGATTACATCCCCAGAACTTGCAGGGTGCCCAACATCATACAGGAAATGCTTAATACACGTTTTTTAGAGCAGACGTTTCATTATATCTCTCTTTTTTTTAGTTTTTTGCCTAAAAAACTACAAAGATGTGTGAGACACCATGCTCGGCCAGTTGAAAATATTCTGACAGACACAGAGAAAAACAGTATTTGCTAAATTTCCTTGTTTGTAAGACTGCCCCAGGGCTTTATATAAGGTAATTGGCACATTACCCCTGTTTTACATGGGAGGAAATAGAGTCTTAGGTTAAATAGCCTGCACAAGGTTACAAATTAGGTGCCAGAGGCAGGACTCTAAGCTATTGTGACTTAAAAAACAGAACAAAACAAAATGTATTGTCCATCAACAAATGAATGGATAAACAAAGTACAGTTTATCCATACATGGAATACTATTCAGCCTTAAAGAGGAAGAAAATTCTGGTACATCTTACAACATGGATGAAGCTTGAAAGCTGAGTGAAATAAGCCAGATACCAAAGGAAAAACATTGTATGATTCCATTTATATGAACTATGTAGAGTAGTTGAATTCATAGACATGGCAAGTAGAATAGTGGGTACCAGGGACTAGGGGAGTGGGAACGGGATGTGATATGGTTTGGCTGTGTCCCCACCCAAATCTCATCTTGAACTGTAGCTTCCATAATCCCCATGTGTTGAGGGAGGGACCCAGTGGGAGATAATTGAATCATGGGGGCAGGTTCCCCCATACTGTTCTCATGATAGTGAATAAGTCTCATGAGATCTGATGATTTTATAAGAGGTTTTCCCTTTTGCTTGGCTCTCATTCTCTCTCTTGCCTGCTGCCATGTAAGACGTGCCTTTTACCTTCTGCCATGATTGTGAGGCCTCCCCAGCCATGTGGAACTGTGCGTCCATTAAACCTCTTTTCTTTATAAATTACCCAGTCTCAGGTATGTCTTTATCAGCAGCATGAAAACAGACTAATACAGAGAGTTACTTTTTACAGGTACAGAGTTTCAGTCTGGGAAAATAAAAAAGTTCTGGAGCTGGATGGTGGTGATGGATGGGCAACACTGTGAATGCACTTAATGCCACTGAACTGTCTGCTTAAAAATGGTTACAATGGTAAATTGTATGTTATGTATATTTTATCTCCAAAGAACTAAAAAAAGAGATGAAATGAAACTTCTGCTCTAAGGAAAAGCAAAATGTATTAAGCATTTCCTGTATGATGTTGAGCACCCTCCAAGGGCTGGGGAGGTAATGCAAAGGAGACCGATGAATCTGGGGTTTTGTGGAGCTTCCATTCCAGTAGGAGAGGCTGGCAATAAACAAGTAAACTAACAGGACCATTGCAGGTTAGTGATCATTGCTAGAATGGTAATAAATAGGTGCTATGATGGAAAATAATTGGGGTTTCTGGTGTGTGTTAGGCAACATTTTAGATAGGGTAATTAACTTCATTGAGGAGTCACATTTGAACGAAGCCTTGACAGATGAGAAGCAACCACCATGATTATGTGAAGGCACAGGGAAAGGCTTTCCAGGCAGAGAGAGTAAGAACGGCAAAGTCCCTGTGGCAGGAAAGAACTGGGGACACTTGAGGCCATTGTGATTGGAGCTCAGAGGCTTGGGTTGGAGAAAGTCAGAAGCCAGATCCTGTGGGGCCTGGTGGGCCATAGTGAAGGGTCTGGATATTATTCTAATTGAGATGAGAAGTCACTGAAAGGCATGATCTGATTTACATTTTTGGCAGGTCTCTCTGGACACTGCAGAAATTGGATTATAAGGAGCAAAATGGAGGCAGCAAGACCTGTTGGGAGGCCATTGGTGTGGCCCCAGAGAGAGCTGATGGTGGCTGGGAATTGGGGGTGGTTTAGAGAGAGGTGAACAGATTCCACCCAGGTTCTCAAGACACAAACAACAGGGCCTGCCAATGGGTTGGATGTGCAGGCTGCAGAAAAGGGAAGAATCAAGGCTGTCTCCTGGGGGTGGGGCTTGGGCAACGGGACAGGGGATAGGGGTATGGTGAGGCCTCATGGAGAGGAAGAGGTTCAGAGCAAAATCAAGAGTTCTGTTCTGGAGTCTCGAAACAGTGCACTCTTTTCCTCTTTCCACTCCACTCCATCCTCTTCCTAAAGTTAATAAAATCAGAACGTTAAACCTGGAGTTATTACGGCTCTGTAGGCAAATCTAAGTGGTGGGCGATACAACGTGGTACTAAGAAACATGCGAGAGTCTCATGGACAGCACAAGCTCCAAGGGAGCATTTTCTCATCACCTCAATAGTGTTTAGAAAAGAGAGGTGCTACCATTTGACCACTGGGGTTGGTACATTAGCACAGTGTCTTGGATAGGGCTTTCCCAGGAGCAGATCCTGAGACGAGGGTGTGCGCGCAAGGAGTGTGATTGGGAGGTGACCTCAGAAGGCACTGGCAGGAGAATGGGTGCATGAGGGAGGGAAGGGATGAACCTAGTCAGGATTTGCTAACAAGCAGGTTATACTGTGGACAGCTGGGTGTGGTCCTGCTGGGACATCTGGGAGAAAGCATAGATTGTGCACTGAATTGTCTCCCCTGGGACAAACACTGGGCTATTTATCTTCCAGGTCCTGCTCGTCATTGACTGAAGTGTGGACCTGGGGGCATCAACTCTCCAGCATCTGTTGACCCCTCGTGCTGGGCCTCGGAGAAAGGCAGCAGGTGGAGCATCGCAGGTTTTTCGGGAGAAACCTGCCGGTGAGTGCCAAGGGGACGTGGAGGGGGCCTTGATGGTTTCTGTTATTGCTATACCAGTATCATGCTTTTACTTCTGCTAATTCTTTACAGCAAGTCTCAAAGCTATTAGATGGTACTGTTCAAATTGTAGTCAATAGATCTGTGTCAACAACTGTTTGTTACCATTTGAAATAAAGAATTTGTAAATCACTCCCTTGCTTGCTATAAAAAATTAGCTGGTCTAGACGGTGTGCCTAGTGATGAAAATGAATTTACATTCTAGTGAAAGCTCCTTATCATATTGCATACTGGGAACAAACACCTCACAGACTGGCACATTCTGCAGCACTGTGCTCAACTGTGAGATCCCTGAGGACAGGTCCCATGCACATTCATCTCTGCTTCCTCAGGGCCTGGCACAGTGTCTAATACGGAGGAGGCACTTGGTGGGTCTGTATTGTCCCATTGTACAGATGAGGAAACGGAACACGGAGGCAGTTCTATAGTCAGGATGTTTGTCCCCTCCAAGTCTCATGTTGAAATTTGATCCCCCATGTTGGAGGTGGGTCCTAAGGTGGGGTGTTGTTTGGGTTGTGGGGTGGATCCCTCATGAATAGATTGATGCCCTCCCTGTTGGGGGAGGTGGGGGAAGTAGTTCTCAGTCCGTTAGTTCCCTTGAGAGCTGGTTGTTAAGAAGAGCCTGGCACCTCCCCGCACCTCTCTTGCTCCCTCTCTTGCCATGTGATCTCTGCACACACAGGTCCCCTTCCACCATGAGTAGAAGCAGCCTGAGGCTTTCACCAGATGCAGAACCATGAACCATGTAATCCTCTTTTCTTTATACGTACCCCAGCTCAGTTTATGTATAGCAACACAAAATGGACTAAGACAGGCGGCCTCTCATCTCTGGGGCTTGGTGCCTCCAAACCTCAGTGCTGCTTCCTGCTGTGACAGATCCATTTGGTATGAACTCTCTCCTAGGAGAGTGACACAAATCGGATTCAAGTTAAGTGTCATTCCCTCTCCCACTCTAAGAGTTGTGTCTTAGGCAGTGTCTATTTCTAGGGACAACTCAACAGCCAAAGATCTTTACCATCTCTGCTTCTGCCTGACCAGGTTTCATCCTGTTCCTAGGTGGACACCATTGAACACTCTCTTGATGAGACTGATGCTGATTCTATGATTCCACCATGAAATGGGAAATCCCAGGTACTGAGGCATTGCCTTTTGGTGGTTATTCTTTTCAACCACACAAGGCTGGCAAAGGACTCAGAAACTCCTGAGAGTTCCCAAAGAAGCAAAACTTTAATAATTGTCACAGTAACTCATGGACAGATGAACGAGAGAAAAGTCACAGAAGTGGTGATGGGAGAAAGAAGGAGGGGATAAGGGCAGAAAGAAGAGAAGCAGAAAGATGGAAACACTGTTCACTGGTAAGTCATCTGTTGGGACCTTTATGGTTCAGTATCTAGGACTGTTATTTTCCTAAAGTTGAGACAGCTGACTGAGATTCAGTATTTTCACAATTTCTAGCCAGGGGTGATAATCTGACTCTGCCATGGGCCAAATTCCACCACTACAGACTTTTGTTTGGCCAGCAAGGCATTTAAAAAATATTTGCATTTCCAATGGCTAGGCTAGGTTAGGTTACACTGCAGTAACAAGTAACTCCAATGCCTTAGGAGCAACACAACTAGAATTTATTTCTTGTTCATGTCACATGTCCGAGGATGTATTCTTCTCACAGCATCCACTCACGGACTCAGGCTCTTGGCAGCTTTCTCTTGACATGGGCTTGCAGGGCCACTGACACAGTGAAGGGAAGGAGGCAGAGTGAATGGCTCACTGGTTCTTGAATCTTTGTCCTGGAAGGCCACGTGCCCCTTCTGTTTAGACTTCATTGTCGGGGCAAGTTGCATGACTCTCCTGACTTCGAAGGAAGAGGGGAAGGTAAACCCTAGCAGATGCCTGGAGAGCTGATCAGCTCTAATGGGGCACAGCACTGATGACAATCACAGCTGTGCCCTCTGCAGCTGGCATGATCCCACCCCTCCCTATTGTCTTGCATTTTATGTTACCTGTCAGTTCCAAAAGGCACTCTAGTTTGCTAAGCCCTGAGCAGGAGAACTTGAAGCATTCCATGCCCAGCTCTCTGGCACTCACCATTTAATAACTCAATCTCACTCCTCAGGCATAATCACTAGCCTGTTGTTCCTTTTAACTTGCCCACTCTACCAACTGTTCATGTTGGGTTGTTAGCTATTTACTGCACCTGCACCTGGGTCCTTCCATCAGCATCAGCATCAGCATCAGCATCACCTGAACTTCCTTATTCCCTCTTTTTTTTTTTTTTTGTTTTTTTATGGAGTCTTGCTCTGTCGCCAGGCTAGAGTGCAGTGGCTCGATCTTGGCTCACTGGAACCTCTGCCTCTCAGGTTCAAGTGATTCTCCTGCCCCAGCCTCCCGAGTAGCTGGGACTACAGGTGCATGCCACCACGCCCAGCTAATTTTTGTATTTTTAGTACAGACAGGGTTTCACCATGTTGGCCAGGACGGTCTCGATCTCTCGACCTCATGATCCACCTGCCTTAGCCTCCCAAAGTGCTGGGATTAGAGGCTTGAGCCACCGCATCCAGACCCTTATTCCCTTTTTATCTGGACTACTGTCTGTTGCCAATCAGTGTCCTCTTCAGTCACCATGGTCTCTCAGTATAGGAGGGCTTTTGGAGGGCACCTTCCACTGCTTCCTTCCCCTGGCCTAACCCCAGCCTCCATTCCTCACAACTCCACCATGGGCAGGTCTAGAACCAGCCCCTCTCCCCTCCCAGTCCATCTGTCCAATTAGACAGGACCATGAACATCCCTCCTGAGATGTTCGCATTCCAGACTACACTAAAGCTATAGCCACATAAACGATACAGCCATCCACTGTTTCCATACGCTTAGCCCCCCAGGAGGTATATCTAAGGTTGACATAACACCTGCATCCAGGCCAGGTGCGGTGGCTCATGCCTGTAATCTCAGCACTTTGGGAGGTGAGGCGGGCGGATCATGAGGTCAAGAGATCGAGACCATCCTGGCCAACATGGCGAAACCCTGTCTCTACTAAAAACACAAAAATTAGCTGGGCATGATGGCGTGCGCCTGTAGTCCCAGCTACTCGGGAGGCTGAGGCAGGAGAATCGCTTGAACCTGGGAGGCGGAGGTTGCAGTGAGTCAAGATTGTGCCACTGCACTCCAGCCTGGTGACAGAGCGAGACTCTGTGTCAAAAAACAAACAAAGAAACAAACAAAACCCATAAAACACCTGCCTCCGTTCTGCCCCAGTAAGTGTAGAGATATTATCTGTTCCTACTTGAGGTGCTGACCTGAGCACCACCCACAGCGGGTGAAGGGTGGAAGTGAGGGGCATTTCCAGAATAAGAGGGTGTTGGGACCCAGATGAGCTGGTGAACCATTTGCTAATGACAACACAGCAGGGCGTGCTGGGATGTGAACCTGAAAACTGTCAAGGGGAGCCAAAGTCAAGGCCAGGAAGACAGTGCTAAGTGCAAGGGGCAAGGAGAGGATGGGAACCCAGGGCGCAACCCGGGAGGGCCTATGCCAGGAGGCTCAAGAGTAGAATGAGAGGGAGGGTGTGGGTGGACAGGGCAAGGTTCAGACCCAGGCTGTGAACAGCCCAAGCACCCTGGGCCACCTCACTTGCCTCCCTGGCCCTCCACACCTTGCAAGCACTTCTAATCCAGTGTCGAGAAAAGCTGACTGAAGAAACAGAGGCAAACAATAGCTGAAAATCTGTGGGCCTGTTGCTGTGGTGGGTCGGCGACGTCTGAGCAAGTGCAGTGAACCAAAGGGCGGGACCAAGAACCACGCCCCTGAGGGAGTTTGGCTGGAGGGGAGGGGTTTGGAATGGGCTCCGGGCTCTGCAGAGGAAGAGAACACATGTGGAGTCTCAGGTCCCCCTTGGCCTGGCCCTGCCCAGGCAAAGCACAAGGTACTCTTTAGGGACACAAGGGCACTGGCAGGGCTGGTTTGATGCCTGATGTGAGCCTAGGTGAGGGGGAGGGGAGGAGGAAGAGAAGGAGGAAGAGGGGGAGAACTCTGCTCCCCGCTGGCAGATCCCAGGGGGGCTCCATGAGGATGCCCCAGAGCAGCACGCTCTGTGGCCCTTTGGACCGACCGGCAGCTGGGGAGCGCTGTGGGACAGCTCCCTGAGTGACATTTCCCCATGGGTGCCTGTGAGAATGGCTTCCCAGGGAGCAGGCCTCCGCAGACCTCATCTGGGTCCCAACACCCTCTTATTCTGGAAATGCCCCTCACTTCCACCCTTCACCCGCTGTGGGTGGTGCTCAGGTCAGCACCTCAAGTAGGAACAGATAATATTCCTACACTTACTGGGGCATGGTATGGAGTATGGAGGGGTCGCCTCCGGAGCTCCCCAGGCTGTTGGAGGTATTGCACAGGGGTGCTGCTATGATGCTGTGGTGAGTGGGGGAGCAGCTCTTTGCAGTGGGGCTATGTCCTACTGGCTGAGGAAACCTCAGGTAACGTGAATGCCTCACCTGGAGCCTGCAGTTTCCCTAAGGAGGTGTGGAGCCTTCACAGGCAAACCTCGGCCTCTCAAGGGTCTTTGTGCATCCTTTGTGGTCTTAGGGTTGGAGGGTGGGGGGAGACTTCTGTCTAAAAGGTTGTACTGCATCCAACATCAGGGCAGCACACCTGGTTCTCTGCATGCCGGGAACGCCCCAGGGCTCTGGCTTGTGCTCCCAAGCTCCCTGCATGGTCCCATCCACCAGGCAGTGGGCCGTGCACCACATGCACTTGGGTTTAGAGGAGGGGTGGGTGAGGGCTCTTCTGTTCTATCCCCGTGTGCAGTCAATTTTCCTTCTCTCGGTTCCCTTCAGCCACATTTTTCCTTTTGTCTTCTTACCATGAAGATGGGAAGATCACAGAAGCTCTGTGTGCTGTCCGAAGGCGATGTCTTTTAGCAGTGTGCCCAGTGGAACCTCGCAGAATTCTCAGCATTATCCCTTTTCCCCCATCTCTTGGAACCAGAGCAGAGTGAAGAAGTCCTGTCTCCCATGTTCTGCCCACCCGTGGAAGGCCCCAGGGATGCCTGCCGCCCACCGTATGCAACACCTTGAGCTTCACTGACCCACCTAGTTCCTACTGTCTTCAGTGAAGCTTGAGACAGGTCCTAGAATTCCCCCTAACTTTTTTTTTTTTTTCGGAGTCTTGCTCTGTCACCCTGGCTGAAGTGCAGTGGTGTAATCTCAGCTCACTGTAACCTCCACCTCCCAGTTTCAAGCGATTCTCCTGCCTCAGCCTCCTGAGTAGCTGGGACTACAGGTGTGCACCATCACACTCACCTAATTTTTGTATTTTTAGTAGAGACGGGTTTTCACCATGTTGGCCAGGCTGGTCTCGAACTTCTGACCTCCAGTGATTTGCCTGCCTTGGCCTCCCAAAGTGCTGGGATTACAGGCATGCGCCACCGCGCCTGGCCTTAGAATTCATTTTATTTGCATCTCTTTGAGTGTATTTGCCGTCTTTAGGGCTTCAGCAGGTAAAACTCCAGTCAGCAGCCCCCTTGCTTTTATAAAATAAAAGGTGCAACACGCCTGCTGAAACAAGGTTATTTTGCATGCACAGTTATTTTTGTTCTTGTTGTTTCTTTTTGGCTTACATTTTTAGCTACATTTCCAGAACCCTGAGAGAAAGTGGCAAGAAACTCTCTGGTGACCGCCATACTCATTTTGCCTGAGAGATGCTATAGAGAAACTCCCTCATCTCTGTAGGTACGGTCTTGTCATGTTCTGATGATGCGCGTTTTCGAGGTGAGATGCTGCTAAGCTCGTACAGAACAGAAAGAGGTTGACTCAGAAGCGATTTACGACAGGACTGGAAGGAAGCCTGCCGAGGCAGTTGCCGAGGGCCTGTGAAGAAGTGCTGAATACGGAAATCTTATCATTGTTTAAAAATGAGCAAACTCAGAAACTCCGGCTTCATAGAGCTCGGCCTCAAACAGCAGTGGGAGGCAGCTGGGAGAGGCCCGCCTGTGATCATAACACCCAGAAGGGGCTCGGTCACTCTCTGAGATCCCAGCCATGGAATACAGCAGATTACAGGCCCAGCTCTGGCTGTAGCCTGGAAGGCTGGCACTCTGGATGCCAGCACAGGGCCAGAGGGTCTGGCAGCAGAGGCCAAGTAAGGGAACGAAAACAAAGGGGCAAGGAATGAGGATGAAGGCTGTGTTTGCCTAGACAGTGCCTGACACATTGCAGACGTGCAGTAATGTCTGTGGAATGGAGGCACAAATGGATGAACACCTCCTCCACCATCCAAGTACATGCCACCATTCTATGTACTTGGGATACATCCAGAACAAACCAAATAGTCCAACATTTCTGCCCCTGTGGAACTTCTATTCTAGAGGCAGGGGAGACGGATGGCAAATATAACAGACGCACATGCGATGTAGTGTCCTAGAAGGAGACAAGTGTTCTGAAAACAATCAAGAAGGCTAAGGGGGCTTGGACATGCTGGGGGCTGGTGGGTGTTGCAAGTCTTAGTGGGGTGGTCAGGGCAGGCAGTGCCTCACATGCCAGAGCTGAGTGAGGCCTTGCAAACGGGTGAGAGAGTCAGTTGTGTGGATAAGAGTATCAGGCAAGAGGAGGTAAGAGGAGAAAGCCTGTGCAAAAGCAGGAGTGATCGAGAGGGAGAATGATAGAAGACACAGTCTGAGAGACAAGAAGGAAATCAGTCAAAATCCTGGCAGGAAGCAGATGGCCTGCTCACATTGGAGGACTGGGGGGACTTTACTTAAAGGACCATTGCAAAGAGTAGGCAGATATAGAGACACCCCAAGGAATAGCACAGCACCCCCCACCCCAGATGCCATGGCCACCCCTGGAATTAAAGGGGCAAGAAAAGAGAAGCTACAGGAACCTAGGGAGAGAGGAGAGGGCTGCTTCCTGGTTGATTGACAACTGCTGGCCCTTGGGGACCCCTGCAGGGAGAAAGCTGGGGGGAATAAGTACCCCAACTCCACTGTCCTCTCACCCAATCTGTTGCCCAGGTTCTGTTATTGTTGGAGCCCAGTGCAAAGCTAGAGAACCCATTGCAGGTTGGCCTCCTAAGCCAGAGACCTGCAGAGAGCAGAGTGGAGAAGGGTGGGGGGTGGACATGGAGAGGCTAACCAGAGGCACCCAGACGGTGTAGGGCGCTGGGGCCAGCGAAGGACTTTGGCTTCCCCTCTGAGTGAGACACAAGCCCCTGGGGGTGCTGGACAGAGTGACAGGATCTGACATCATAAATAAGCACCAGCTGCCAATCATTAGTGACCAGGAGCTGAAGAAGGGAGGTGGGTGGAGAAGGAGGCGCAGGGAATCAGAGCGGGTGGTTTGCGCAGGCTAGGTGGGGAGGGAGAGGTGCACAGTGCCCAGCACCTCCAGCCCGAAGCAGCTTGGATCTACCAGGGCTGTTCTCCTCCTCCCCACTGAGAGGAGTGCTCTGGATCTAAGAGTTTACTCTCCACCCAGTGAGGTAGGCCTGGGCCCCACAAAGGACTGCCACAGACACCAGGTATGTGGCTGTGGCCCTGAGCCATCCCAAGGGGACCTTATGAAGCCCCCAGTGCCAGCATGAGTTGGACTATGTGTTGCCCTTTGCTTACTGTTGTGGGCTCAATTGTGCCCTCCCAAAATATGTTGAAGTTCTATCCCCCAATACCTCGGAATGTGACCTCATTTGGAAATAGGGCCATTGCAGATGCAATTAAGATGAGGTCACCCTGGAGAAGGGTAGGCTCTTAATCCAATATGACTGGTGTCCTAATGAGAAGAAGGAAGAGAGTGTGGAGATAGACATGAGACATGAAGGGAGAAGGCCGCGTTTAGTCAGAGGCAGAGACCTGAGTGATGCTGGAGGTTGGTGGCTGCCATCAAAAGAAACCAGAAGAGGTGATGAAGGATTCTGCCCAGAATTTCAGAGAGAACACAGCCCTGCTGACACCTTGATTTTGGACTTCTGGCCTCCAAAACTGTGAGAGAATCAGTTTCCATTGTTGAATCCATCCAATTTGTGGGGCTTTGTTCTGGCAGTCCTAGTGTGCTAGTCCATTTTCAGTTGCTGATAAAGACATACCTGAGACTGGGTAACTTATAAAGAAGAAGAGGTTTAATGAACTCATAGTTCCATGTGGCTGGGGGGGGGCCTCACCATTATGGTGGAAGGTGAAAGGCATGTCTTACATGGTGGCAGACAAGAGAGAATGAATGAATCAAATGAAAGGGGAAACCCCTTATAAAACCATTAGATCTCGTGAGACTTATTCACTACCACGAGAACAGCATGAGGGAAACCGCCCTCATGATTCAATTACTTCCCACCAGGTCCCTGGCACAACACGTGGGAATTATGGGAGCTACAGTTCAAGATGAGATTTGGGTGGGGACACAGCCAAACCATATCACCTAGGAAACTGATATGCCCACTCTCTCAGTTCAGATGCCCAGTGAAGGGCTTTCAGGCTGCTTGGCTGATGTCTGGCTAAATTGTGCTGACTTCCCAACTTGGGTTCTTTTCCTGGGCGCCTGTGATAATTTCACAGCCAGACTGACCAGGAAGAGGTGGCCCTTTGCTTGGCAAGCCCTGGCCCTCCCCTATTGGTCAGGGCCCTGGGTTGCCTGGGGGGCGACAACTGCAAATAGCTGCCTGGCCAGGCACTGACTGCAGGATGAAGGTGCAGTAATTGTGCAAGATGCTGTGAGGCCTCCGGTGGGGGGCTACAGAAGACACTGAGTCCAGCATGAATCTGGCATAGAGTTGGCATTCAATAAATCCTTCATGAACGACCTTTTCTGGACTTTTGAGCTGGTGTTGTGGTTGAACAGTGGCCTCCAAAAAGATACGTCTGTGTTCATATCCTGGGAATCTGTGAAAGTGACCTTTATTACAAAATAGGTATTTGCAGATGTAATTCGGTTAAGGATCTTGAGATGAGATCGTCCTGGATTAACTGGGTGGCCCTAAACCCAATGATAAGTGTCCTTATAAAGAGACAGGAGAGAAGTCACAGACATCATGCAAAGATGGAGGCAGAGATTGGTGTGATCTGGCCACAAGTGAATGAGGCCAAGGATGGCTGGCAGCCACCTGGCGCTCGCAGAAGCAAGGAAGTCTTCTCCCCTGGAGCCTTTGGAGGGAGCCTGGCTCTGCTGACACCTTGACTTCAGACTGCTGGCCTGCAGAACCAGGAGAGAATAAATTCCTTCAGACACGAGTGGCTTCTCCATCGTCATCAGAGCTGGTCTTTCCTTTAGCTAAGGTTACCACCTCTGTGGAAGCTAACAGAATGTCTGAAGAAAGCCCAGGGGTGGGACTGAGTTGGTGGACTCTGGAGGGATCCATTCTAAGGAAGGTCAGAGAGAGTTGGATGAAGCCAGGGGCGAGCATAGCGCATTATTAAGCATGCGTGGGCATTTGTGCTCCTGTCTGCCTGGCTCTGGTTTGCTTCTCTTATTTGTTATTTGTCTTGATCCTGGTTCATGCCCCTGATGAAAATGTTCTTTAATGAAGAGTTTCACATGGAGAGAAATGGCCTAGTTATGGGTCCATCTCAGGGGGACATTCTCTTCACAAAGACAGTTTCTCATCTTCCTGGGATCCCATTGGCGGTGGCACAGGCTCCCTGGGCCACCAGGAGGACTGTTTACTTCTGTTTCCTGGACAGCTGGCTTGGCCTGGATGGACCAGAGCAGGTTCCTCACCTCTCTGCTGAGCGGCTCTTCCCAGGGACAGCAGGCTGCAGTCCTGATAAGGTTTGGCTGTGTCCCCACCCAAATCTCATCTTGAATTGTAGCTCCCGTAATTCCCATGTGTTGTGGGAGAGATCCGGTGGGAGATAACTGAATCATGGGGTGCTTTCCCCCATACTGTTCTGGTGGTAGTGAATGAGTCTTATGAGAGCTGGTGGTTTTATAAGGGGAAACCCCTTTTGCTTAGCTCTATTCTCTCTTGCCTGCTGCCATGTAAGATGTGCCTTTCACCTTCTGCCATGATGGTGAGGCCTCCCCAGCCATGTGGAACTGTGAGTCCATGAAACTTCTTTTCTTTTATAAATTACCCAGTCTCAGGTATGTCTTTATCAGCAGTGTGAAAATGGACAAATACACTGCCATCTCAGGCATTCATAACGAGGCAGCTTGAACCAAGGCTGGGGCCTCTTTCCCATGTTCCCATCCAGCTGGCCTTGCCGATCTTGCCAGACTTGGAGCCCAGTGCAGAACATGAGTTCCCCGCCTCCACCCTCCCCACCCACATCTGCTTTTTTGGACTGAGGGTTCTTCTGACCAAACGAAAACACAAGCATGGTATGAAGAAGAGATGAAGGACCTGAGGATGTTGATTTAGTCTAGAAAGGAGAAGACAGAGGGACCCACGAATGCAGCCTCAGGTATGAGAAAGTTACTCTCTTCCCATAGCCGAAGATTAACTAGGGCTGTTCTGGAAGGTTCCTGACCCAGAGTGGGTCAGACTCAAGAGATACATTTTAGCTTCATATGTAAACACAAACTTGACAAACTCTCAGAATGCAGTGGTTGTGCATGGAGAGCTTTCCCCATGCTCTGCCGGTCTCTGTGGTGACTATCGAAGCCCAAAGCCTCCGTGGAAGGGGCAGGTCCTGACACTTCCATAGACCCTGACCACCGAGTGGTGGATGGATGGGATGAGAGCCACCAGCTGACCTGGGGCCAGCCCGTCCTTTGGCTGACAAGTGACCAACCAGGTGCTTTCCCTTAAGAATTTGAACTAAGAGACATAGATTTGTCCATGGAGGGGCCGGGGAGGCGCTCTTGCAGGAGGTGATGCCATCAGTGCCCCATGCATGTCCCCTCCAGTCTCACCTCTGCACGCTAAAGGTGGCTTCGTGGCCATGCCAGTGTGTGCTCTATCAAGTTAATGACCCTAGAAGTAGCCCTTGCCATGATGAGCTGATTTAGTGGGTAAATGCCGGCTTCCTCATCCCTTGGTTGGGATAACTCTCTTTTCCAGAGTTTCCCGGCAGGATTGAGTTTCAGTTGTCCGTGGTGGTAATTCGTTTGATAATGTCTTTTTATTGATGTCCATCTTCCCTGTCTCACTTCCTCACTCCCTTACAAAGGGATTCCTTTCAAATAAACTACTTGCCTAAAAGGTTTTTTTTTTTTTTCAGGGTCTACCCCTGGAACAACTCAAACAAAGATGGGATTGGATCTACTAGGTCATGTAGACTTGAGGCTGGTGACCATGTTGGGTCAGATATTAGTGGGAAGGCAAGCCTGGAGAAAGATGGGGTGGAAGGAACCTGACTGTGAAGGTCCCCATGGCCTCTGAGAGACAAGGAGATAGAGGCCAGAAGTCACCTGCGAAACAGAGGGAAGAACTCTGAGCCCACACACCCACAATCTCCTTGTCTTCTGCTACATGGCTTCTGTTCCTTGCAGTCAAAGCATCTTAACAACAGTTAACTCTATAAAACTTACTATATGCCAGGCACTGTCTTAACCTCCATGCCAGCAGGGTAGCCAGATTTAGCAAACAAAAATCCAGAATGCCCAGTTAAACTTAGGACATAGTTATACTAAACAAAATATTTGTAATCTAAAATTCAAATGTAATGAATTTAAATTTAATCTGGCAACTCTACATAGTATCATATAAGGCATATTCTCTTATTGTTTTACAGCAGAGGAAACAGCAATTGAGTAACTTATCCAGGTTCACACAGCTGCTAAACAGTAGGGCTGGGCTGGGCCCCAGGCAGTCTGACTCCAGAACTTGGCCTCTGAGCTGCCTCTTCAGTACCTTTACTGGTCCCATATCAACCAACAGTGAGGTGAGCTGTCTCTCAAAGGAGTGAGTTTCTCATCACTTGTTTTTTGTGGCCAAGCAGTTGAGGAGCATCATGGGTTGGTGTTTGATTTCTACCTGGGAAATCTTTAAGGCAAGAGAGATGAATCTTAGTGTTGCCTTGGCAGAGGAGCAAATGGGAATTGCTGCTCTGCAGGGACCAGAGCTTGTCCGAGCAAAGGATGTGTGCGTTTTCCTATGAATCGGTTGTAAGCCATTGGTATGCAGCCACTGTCCCTAGTTTGCCCAGGATGGCTCCCGCTTAGGCGTGTCATCTTGTAGTTCCATCCGGTTCGCCATTTTACTTCCAAGCCAGGTGTATTATAATAATAGTTGCATTCAAGCAGACTGGATAGGTTTGGTAGACCACTTGATACTTCTAGCTCCACACCATGGCCTCATCTAGTTGTGTGGACCACATGTGAACCCTTTGCTCTGTGGTTAAATTCAGAAGCTTCCTAGCAACATCTCTCTTTGTTGCACAACATAACCAACACCTCTCTTGTAAGGACAGCACACAGGGCGTTCCCAAATGACATGAGTGACTCGGTAAATCTAACTGCTGCCAGGCGTGCCTGGTGGGAGGAGAAAGGATCTGACGTGATGCTGCTGACCTCATGGGCAGTTGGCATGCCAGCCGGTTGTGCCAATGGCCTGTACCAATAGCTTGGACTATGGCCTGCAAAATGCTCAAAGCCACCAGGCTGCCAGTTGATGGTGTCAGTGGGAAGATGGGAAATCGTAGATTAGATATGTATAAAATATGTGTGGGAAATTCAGGCTAAACAGTCCTACCTGGGGCGGGGGGTGCTATATAGAGAGAAGACTGAGTGCTTTTGCTACAGTTGCATTGTCATTTATCACATGGTGCCACTCCCCTTATTCATTGTATTGTTTGTTGATGATTTTTACATTTTTCAATAAACCCTTCAGGCCACAACGAGCTCAAAAACATTTCCATGCGTATTTAGTAGAAACTCGAGTATCACATTTCTGTTTCTCAAGCAAGTTGATAATGAACGTGACCTAGCACAAAGTGTTGATGTTTGCCAGCGCACCACAGTGGCTAAAGTCACCGACCATCTGAAAACCAGTTAGTCACAAATCTACCGCAGAAGCATCAACATCTAAGGTGAAAGACAGTGGCTGTTTGTAGGAGACAGTGCCCAGAGGAGATGATTTAACACGTGCAGTTACAGAAAAATACACTCACACACCACTTTGCACACCGGGATTTTTTGTTTATATCAAATGGTTGTTCTTTAAAATTAATCTTGTTCATTTTGGGGGGAAAATATTTGAATAGACATTACTCCAAAGAAGATATACAAATGGCCAATAAACGCACAAAAAAGATGCTCAACGTCTCTAATTTTTAGAGAAATGCAAATCAAAACCACAGTGAGATACACCTCACACCTATCAGGATGGCTTTTATCAAAAAACAGAAAATAGCAAAAATAACAAGTGTTGAAGAGGATAGGGAGAAATTGAAAGCTTTGTGCATGATGAGTGGGAATGTAAAATGTTACAGCCAGTGTGGAAGTTCCTCAAAAAGATAAACCTAAAATTATCATGTGATCCAACAATTTCTCTTCTAGGTATAAGCCCAAAAGAATTGAAATCAGGAACTCAAATGGATACTGTACACCCATGTTCACAGCAGCATCATTCACAACAGACAAAGCGGAAGCAACCCAACTGTCCATCGATGGATGAATGGATCAACAACATATGGGATATACAGAGAGTGATTGTTATTCAGCCTAAAAAAGGAAGGGAATTCTAACACATGCTACAACATGTACGAACCTTGAGGGCATTATGCTGAGTGAAAAAAGCCAATAACAAGAGGACACATATTGTATGATTCCACTTATATAAGGTACCTAGAGCCGTCAAATTCATAGAAACAGAAAGTAGAATGGTGGTTACCAAGGGCTGGGGTAAGGGAAATTGGGAGTTAGTGTTTAATGGGTACGGAGTTTTAGTCTGGGATGATAAATAAGTTCTGGAGGTGAATAAAGGTGATGGTTTCATAACAATGTGAATGTACTTAACGCAACGAACCATAGTACACTTGAAAATGGCTACAGTGAGGCCAGGCGTGGTGGCTCACGCTTGTAATCCCAGCACTTTGGGAGACCGAGGCGGGTGGATCACCTGAGGTCGGGAGTTTGAGACTAGCTTGACCAACATGCAGAAACCCCGTCTCTACTAAAAATACAAAATTAGTCAGGTGTGGTGGGGCATGTTTGTAATCCCAGCTACTTGGGAGGCTGAGGCAGGAGAATCGCTTGAACCCTGGAGGCAGAGGTTGTGATGAGCTGAGATCATGCATTGCACTCTGGCCTGGGCAACAAGAGTGAAACTCCGTCTAAAAAAAAAAAAAAAAAAGGCTACAATGGTAAATTTTATGGTATGTGTATTTTATCACAATAAAAAAAAATCAATCTTGTTCATTTTATATTCCAAGTTTTCTTGTAGATGTACAAAGAGAAGTGGTCAACTTAATGTGTTGGTTTCATTGGCCGAACAACTTTGCACACAGATAAATGACGCTAATTTGTCATTAATGTTATCCGATGTTCCAAGTATAAGCTAACTCTCATAAGGGTTTGATATTTTTCAGCCAACTCACAGAACCAAAATAAAGCTTTGGGAAGTTCACTTTGTCAAAGATGAAACGTTCAAAATAAATGTAAACACTATTTTAAATTTAGTTAAAATGTTCAGCCTTGAAGATAAGATTGTTTTTGTGGTCTTAATACAAATACATATTTTGCCAAATCACAGCTTCATGATAAAAACAGCGTTTTGCTAAATTTAACTACCAAGTAGCAATGACCTTGGAATTGGTTGTAATGAACATGTAATTTCTATTTTATTCAAACCAGCTGTGATAATCTACCAAGTGAAATACAAGCTGCAGTTGTTAAATGTTACAAATATTTTTATACCTACTCAGAGTAACTATGATTAAGCTGAAGTAGTATTTTAAAAAAAAACAACTTTGGCAACATAGTATATGTTTTTTTCTTTGCTGCAAGTCATTAAACAGATTTTAGAAATGTTTCAGCTTTTGCAGAAGTACTTTGTTAATCAGCCCAACAGCTTTCTGATGATACCAAACTTTTTTTTTTTTTTACATTTTGGTTAAAAATACATATATTTTGGTTAAAAATCATTTGGAAATATTTAATCAAAGTACTCAGTGGATGGCGCACTAAAATAAAACATCATATTTTAAAACTTTTAGCACATTGCAAGGATTGAAAACAAAGCTTGCAAGAAGAAATGGAGACTTATCCCCCAAAAAGCAAGAAAGGAACTGGACAAATTGAAGGGTGAGAACATCCGTAGTATAATCCACTATTGTGCTTTAGCAAATTGTAACTTGAAAAGGTGCTCAACATCATTGATCATTAGAGAAATGCCAATCAAAACTACAATGAAGTATCATCTCACCCCAGTTAAAATGGCTTCTATCCAAAAGACAGGCAATAACAAATGCTGGCGAGGATGCAGAGAAAAGGGAACCCTCGTACACTGTTGGTGGGAATGTAAATTAGTGCAACCACTGTGGAGAACGGTTTGGAGTTTCTTCAAAAAACTAAAAATAGAGCTACCATATAATCCAGCAACCCCACTGCTGTGTAGGTACCCAAAAGAAAGGAAATCAGAATATTGAAGAGATATTTGCATTTCCATGTTTTTTCCAGCACTATTTACAATAGCCAAGATTTGGAAGCAACCTAGGTGTCCATCAACAGATAAATGGAAAAAGAAAATGTGGAACATATATTCAAGGGAGTATTATTCAGCCATAAAAAAGAATGAGATCTTGTCATTTGCAACAACATGAATGGAACTGGAGATCATTATGTTAAGTGAAATAAGCCAGGCACAGAAAGACAAACATCACATCATGTTCCCACTTATATGTGGGATCTAAAAAGCAAAACAATTAAACTCATGGAGATAGGGAGTAGAAGGATGTAACTGAGGCTGAGAAGGGTAGTGGGGGAAGGGGGTAGGAAGAAGGTGGGGATGGTTAATGGGTACAAAAAAATAGAATGAATAAGACCTAGTATTTGATAGCACAATAGGGTGACTATAGTCAATAAAAATTTAATTATACGTGTTAAAATAACAAAAGAGCTGGCCAGGCATGGTGGCTCATGCCTGTAATCCCAGCGCTTTGGGAATCCCAGCACTTTGGGAAGCCCAGTTTTGTACCCATTAACTTGAGATTTGGAGTTCACCTGAGGTTAGGAGTTCAAGACCAGCCTGGCCAACATGGTGAAACCCTGTCTCTACTACAAATACAAAAATTAGCCATGTGTGCCTGTAATCCCAGCTACCTGGGAGGCTGAGGCAGAGAATTGCTGGAACCCAGGAGGCAGAGGCTGCAATGAGCTGAGACTGCACCACTGCACTCAAGCCTGGGTGACAGAGGGAGACTGTCTCAATAAATAAATAAATAAATAAAGAGCGTAATAGGATTGTCTTTAACACAGACATTCTCCATTATGTGATTATTACACATTGCATGCCTGTATCAAAACATCTCATGTACCCCATAAATATATATACCTCCTATGTACCCGCAGAAATTAAAAATGAAAAAAACACAAAATTTTAGATGTCAAATTAATAAAGGCAGAGTAAGAAGTTTTTTAAAAAAGAAAATCTTAACTTGAGGGGAGAGGGGAGAATCTTTTAATAGAGCTGCTGCTTCTTCTTTTTTTTTTTTGAGACAGGATCTCACTGTCTCACCCAGGCTGGAGAGTGCAGTGGCACCATCTCAGCTCACTGCAGCTTCCACCTACTGGGTTCAAACAATTCTCATGCCTCAGCCTCCTGAGTAGCTGGGATTACAAGTCTGTACCACCACACCCAGACAATTTTTTTATATTTTTAGTAGAGACAGGGTTTCGCCATGTTGGCCAGGCTGGTCTCAAACTCCTGCCCTCTAGTGATCCACCCACCTTGGCCTCCCAAAGTGCTGGGATTATAGGCATGAGCCTCTGCACCTGGCCAGAGCTTCTATTTTTAATTGTATAAATTTATATTATGTACCAGAATGGAATAAAATTAAGAAAGGCCTACAATTTAAATTCGGCAAAACATTAAAATACTCATGAACAGAAATCTCTTATTTGATGCTTTTTCATCTTGTAACAACGTTTATCAAAGAAAGGTATTCTGAAAGAATACAAAAAGACCCTGGGAAAATATTTGGGCTGAAATACATATACATTTCAATATGAGATAAATAAGAAATGAGAATATCTTTCATTTAGCAGAATTTCCTTTAAGCTCACCAGGCACCTCAGCACCAGTAAATAATATTTTTTCTCAATTAAAAATATCATAGGCCAGCTGTGGTGGGTTTCACCTGTAATCCTAGCACTTTGGGAGGCTGAGGTGGGTGGATCATCTGAGGTCAGGAGTCCAAGACCAGCCTGGCCAACATAGTGAAACCCCATCTCTACTAAAAATAAAAAAATTAGCTTGGCGTGGTGGCGCACACCTGTAATCCCAGCTTCTCAGGAGGCTGAGGCAGGAGAATCACTTGAACCCAGGAGATGGAGGTTGTGGTGAGCCAAGATCACACCACTGCACTCCACCCTAGGTGAACAAAGCGAGACTCTGTTGGCCAGGCTGGTCTTGAACTCCTGACCTCAAATGATCCACCTGCCTCAGCCTCCCAAAGTGCTGAGGTTACAGGCATGAGCCACTGCACCCGGACCGAATTTTATTTTACTTTTTTTTGAGATGGAATCTCGTTCTGTCACCCAGGCTGGCGTGCAGTGGCACAATTTCAGCTCACTGCAACCTCCGCCTCCTGGGTTCCAGCGATTCTCCTGCCTCAGCCTCCCGAGTAGCTGGGGTTACAGGCATGCACCACCATGCCTGGCTAATTTTAGTAGAGATGAGGTTTCACCATGTTGGCCAGGTTGGTCTCGAACTCCTGACCTCAAGTGATCTGGCTGCCTTGGCCTCCCAAAGTGCTGAGATAACAGATGTGAGCCACCACGCCCAGCCACATTTTATTTTCAAACACAGTTTTTGAATAGAATGATTTCATAGGTCCATTAATGTGATAAAACCAATTTGTTTGTCTCTAAATACTTCTATGTAATTTCAATTATGTTTAGGGTCTCCTACTCCCATGGCAGAGCGATAAGTCTGTAGAGTTTAAAATCCTGCTCAAGAAGGCTATTTGGAGGGGCCATGGGATGTTCCGGAGACTGTGTGAAGTCCGTGGGCAGCAGGAAAAAGGGGAAAATGCATTGCCCACCTCAAGATGTTTGCAACTGCAGGGCCGCAGTGGGCGTTGCCAAAGAACACGAGGCCGACGTTGGGGAAAGGTTGTCAAATTCCATCAGACTCAGAGAGCTTAGAGCCACTTTACTACAGTACCAATCAAGTGCAAATTTTCTTCCTCTTTCTCCCTGCTTTCCCTCCTCATGCTCCATCCCAGATGGGCCAGAAACCAGAAACAGAAGTGAGCAAACCAGGGAGGAAAAAGGAGGGAGAGAAGGACACTGTCTGCTGTCCCCAAGGGGGGTGATCTTCCTGCAGGTGGCTGTGGCAAGAGCAGGGGCAGAAGGCTCATCTGTGAGTCAAGACTTAAGCGTGGATTGGACTGGAGATTTGATTTTCTGAGTGGAGACCATGTTTGCAAACAAAGCTAGCTTCAGGTGAGGCGCAGCGGCTCACGCCTGTATTCCTGGCACTTTGGGAGGCTGAGGTGGATCAGCCTGAGGTCAGGATTTCAAGACCAGCCTGGTCAACATGGTGAAACCCTGTCTACTGAAAATACAAAAATTACCCCAGCATGGTGGCCGGTGCCTGTAATCGCAGGTACTCGGGAGGCTGAGACAGGAGAATCGCTTGAACCCAGGAGGTGGAGGTTGCAGTGAGCCTAGATTGTGCCACTGCACTTCAGCCTGGGCGACAGAGGGAGACTCTGTCTCAAAAAAAAAAAAAAAAAGGAAAGTTACTCTAGGACTTTTTAAAACCAAAGAGTAAACCAAAATCAAAGGGCTAATTAACAGGAATGAAGTACTGATCCATGCTACAATGTGAATGGACCTTAATAATAATATTGTCCTAAGTGAAAGAGGCCAGACACAAGGCCACATAGTGTATGGGTTCATTGATATGAAACATCGGAAGAAGTTAATTCATAGGGACAGAAAGCAGACTCATGGTTGCCAGGGCCTGGGGGACGGGGTAAGGGGACCACTAGTGGGTACATGGTTTCCTTCCAGGATGATGTAAATGTCTTGGAACTAGACAGAGCTGGTGGTTGTATATCACTGGGAATGTCCTAACTGTCCCTGCATTGTACCCTTGCAATCGTCAATGTTTAATTTTATGTCATGTAAATTTTTTCTGAATTAAAAAAACAAAACCAAAGGCTGCCCCAAATGTTCATCCAAGTATAGGAGAAGATGCTCCCTATAGGCAAGATTAAAGGACAGTGCCAGACAAAAAGTTGTAAGGAGAGTACCCCATACACTCTGCATCTAGCATACATTACTACATAGAGCTACATGCATAAAACCACATCAACAGTACTCTCTGGAGATTTAAAGAATTTCCAAGGGCAAATCTGGACTCTACTGGAATTTCACCTAATATGCTGACTTCAGAAAAATAACTTTATATCCTCTGAGCAGCAGTGAGGCATTAGGCAGGCGGTGGCAAGACAGAAACTCCGAGAGTGTGTCTCCCTGTGAGCTAGGTCTCATTAGTAGGAGAGTTCTAGACTGGGGTAAAGTTCTGCAAAACTGTTGCTGCGGACCCTGGGCCACTTTGGACCCAGAACCAGCCAGACCTCCCTGAAGTTCCTCCTGAGACCCAGCTCTTTGCTTTGTACTGAGTTCTCCTTCCTGTGAATCCTGGCCATAAATCCCCAAATTCCTACAGGGGTTCTGTGCCTAGCAACCAAAGTCGCTGGACGGCATAGTCTAAGAAGCCTGCTGACTTGGAAGAAAGCCCTTGCTCCAGAAGAGAAGTGACTGGCAGCTGGCAGACATCCTGGGTATCTGCACTGGCTGTTGTATGCCCAAGAGAAGATATGCAGACTGTTTTAAAAACTGGCAGGCAGATGCTAAGTTTTAAGCTTACAAATGTGCATCAAAATAGGAAAGGATTAAACCAGAGAAGCAGGGAAATAATTAGGATCCAAACTCTACTACTAACTTAGATGAAGAAATCACCTCTTCATGCCTCAGTTTTCCCTTCTGTAAAGTGGGAATCCTTTTGATTTCACCACATGGTTAGTGATGTAACATGTATAAAATGTGAAAAATGATCTATCATGTATCATTTATAAAATGACACACATACATATGGAATGGCATTGAAAAGTACAAAGTGTAAATATAAAATGCAAGAGTTTTACCCAGGTAGATTTATGCAGGAGCTTATTCAGAAATACACCTACCTTGGTCAGGCACGGTGGCTCATGCCTGTAATTCCAGCACTCTGGGAGGCTGAAGCAGGTGGATCACCTGAAGTCAGGAGTTCAAGACCAGCCTGGCCAACATGGTGAAAATCCCATCTCTACTAAAAATACAAAAATTAGCTGGGATGGTGGCGCATGCCTGTAATCCCGGCTACTCAGTTGGCTGAGGCAGGAGACTCACTTGAACCTGGGAGTCGGAGGTTGCAGTGAGCCAAGACTGCACACTGCACTCCAGCCTGGGTGACAGAGCGAGACTCCATGTCAAAAAAACCCCACAAAACAACAACAACACCAACAACAAAAAGCCTACCTGGTGGCAAGACAGGGCTGTCAGTGTTTTGGGATAAGGGGGCCAGCAGATGGATCTATAGTCAGGCTTGATTAATTTACACAGGACTTGCACATCTGTCTGGGATGCATACAGATCCCATGTTCTGAATTTGTCAAGACCAAATTAGCTAGAATGGTAAGCCTAAATGAGAAAAATTAATCATCAGCCCCTCATTATGGTTGCTTTTGCTTTTCAGCATTAATAGACACTAGGATTACAAATAATACAACATATGCAATTTTTAAGTTGGGTATTAATTAGTGCAAAGAACAAGTTTGGGGGTATTTCTTCTTTCTTTACCAAGCTAGGAAGGTGAAGGATTTCTATGGCAGTTTGCTGATTTCGAATTGAGAGTTTGACCTTTATGTTCCATTCTGTACCACTCAGGATGACATTCAATTCAACTCAGTAGTGTTAAAGCAAACTAAATACGGCCTGAGAATGACTCAGTACTTCTATATTTGTGAATGAACTGTAACCTAGCTTAATAGTCATACATAATTGAAAACCTAACTTAATAGTATGCATCTGTAACGATAGCCAAGTGTTAGCCAATCCCAGCGGCCATACTTCAAACACTCATAGACTGCTGAGTGTTCAAACTGCCTTCATATAAGGCAAATGCTGAGCTGTAACCAGTCTCGCTGTTTCTGTACCTCACTTCCGATTCTCGTATGTCACTTTACCTTTTTTGTCTATAAATTTGTTCTGACCCCAAGGCAACCCTGGAGTCTCTGTGAATCTGCTGTGATTCTGGGGGCTGCCCGATTCATGAATGAGTCATTGCTCAATTACACTCCTTTAAATTTAATTCAGCTATCAGTAGATAATGAGTTTCTACTCATTATCCCCAGCCCTGGGGATCTCGCACTGGGAACAGCGAGGTGAATGAGACAGTTTACCTAAACTTCAGGTTGCATGCCGGCTCTTGGAGATAATCCCAGACTTAGCCCTGGAGTTTGAAGAAGGTGGATAATCCAGACCTGCAACAGACATACTTACCATGCTCCACCATGTATTCCGGCCAAGGATTTTCATGGAGTTAGCACTAACAGAGGTAGACACCCAAGCTGGAAACTGTTTCTTTGAGTAGCTACAAAACTCCTTGTGTCCCTTAAGGATATCCCGAATTGAGAGTCTGGTATTTAAACTGACAGTCACTCATCTCATTGAAGGGCAGACATCTGAAATTAGAATGCAGAAAGATCAGGAAAGCAGAAGATGACATTTTGCATGCTTTCAGGAGTCCAGGCAGTGTGTTTTAAGTCGCTACACTCATCTGCATGATAGTTAAAGGAGTTTTGTTTGTTTTTTAAACAACCACCCAAACTCCAAACCAATTTTCAGCCTGAGTACTCCCCATGAGTTTGCTCCAAATACTAAACAGATGGGCTCTGAGTTGAGTTTTCCTGAAGCTATGCCTTGTCCAGCTCAGAAATACAATAAGCAAGACTCACCCAAAAGTCTAAGAACATTGATTAAAAAAAATTTCCCCCAAGGACCACAAAATACCTGCCCTGATTTGCCTGCAAATTGCGGTGTTCTTCAGGGGCTTCCAGTTTCCTCTTGGCTAAATAAGAGACCAGCCAAACCCAGAGATTCTCAGGTGTTTGTTTCCCAAACAGTTCTGGTCAGCACAGGCTGAAAAAGGCTGAGGATTCAATTTTGCTATTTGGTGAAGGAAACGAGGGAACATCCTCTTATGTTGTGTCAAGTACTGAGAGGAATCAAATTTTAGAGCTGGATGACACCTTAGACGCAGTCCAATGACCCCTCTTTATTTTTTATTGTGGTAAAATATACATAACATACAACTTAGCATTTTAGCCATTTTAACTGCACAGTTCAGTGGCATTAAGTACATTCACATTGTTGTGCAATCATCACCACCCTCCATCTCCAGAACTCTCTTCATCTTCCCAAACTAAAACTCTGTACTCATTAAACACTCACTCCCAACTCCCTCTGCCAGCACCTAGTAACCTTCCTTCTTTCCTTCTTTCTTTCCCTCTTTCTTTCTTTTCTCTTTCTTTTTCTTTCTTCTCTTTCTCTTTCTTTCTCCTCTTTCTTTCTCTCTCTTTCTTTCTTTCCTCTTTTCCTTTCTTTCTTTCCCTCCCTCCCTACCTTCTTTCTTTCTTTTCTCTTTCTTTTTCTTTCTTCTCTTTCTCTTTCTTTCTTTCTCTCTTTCTTTCTTTCTTCTTTTCCTTTCTTTCTTTCCCTCCCTCCCTACCTTCTTTCTTTCTTTTCTCTTTCTTTCTCTTTCTTTTTCTTTCTTCTCTTTCTCTTTCTTTTTCTTTCTTCTCTTTCTCTTTCTTTTTCTTTCTTCTCTTTCTCTTTCTCCTCTTTCTTTCTTTCTCTCTCTTTCTTTCTTTCTTTCTTTCTTTCCTCTTTTCCTTTCTTTCTTTCCCTCCCTCCCTACCTTCTTTCTTTCTTTTCTCTTTCTGTCTCTCTCTTTTTTCTCTTTCTTTTTCTTTCTTCTCTTTCTTTCTTTCTCCTCTTTCTTTCTTTCTCTCTCTTTCTTTCCTCTTTTCCTTTCTTTCTTTCCCTCCCTCCCTTCTTTCTTTCTTTCTTTCTTTTTCTTTATTTCTTTTCTCTCTCTCTCTCTCTTTCCTTCTTTCTTTCTTCAGACAGGGTCTCATTCTGTTGCCCAGTCTGGAGTGCACTGATGCAATCATGGCTCACTGTAGCCTTGACCTCCTGGGCTAAAGCGACTCTCACACCTCAGCCTCCTGAGTAGCTGGGACTACAGGTGTGCACTACCATGCCCAGCTAATTTTTACAGTTTTTGTAGAAACGAAGTCTTGCTATGTTGCCCAGGCTGGTCTCAAACTCCTGGGCTCAAGTGATCCTCTTGCCTCAGCCTCTCAAAGTGCTGGTATTATAGGCATAAGCCACCATGCCTGGCCCAATCTACTTTCTGTCTCTATGAATTAGACTACTACTCACTTATATAGGTACCTTACATAAGTGAAATCATACAGTATTTCTCCTTTTGCGACTGGCTTATTTCAGTCAGCATAATGTCCTCAAGGTTCATCCATGTTGTAGCTTGTGTTAGAATTTCCTTCTTTTTTTTTTTTTTTTTTTTTTTTGACAGAGTCTCACTCTGTCACCCAGGCTGGAGTGCAATGGCACGATCTTGGCTCACTGCAACCTCTACCTCCTGGTTTCAAGCAATTCTCCTGTCTCAGCCTCCCAGGTAGATTACAGGCACAAACCACCATGCCTGGCTAATTTTTGTATTTTTAGTAGAGATGGGGTTTCACCATATTGGTCAGGCTGGTCTCGACTCCTGACCTCAGGTGATCCACCCAGTTTGGCACCCCAAAGTGTTGAGATTACAGGTGTGAGCCACTGCGCCCAACCAAATTTCCTTCCTTTTCTTTTTTGATTATACTTCAAGTTCTAGGGTATATGTGCACAATATGCAGGTTTGTTACATATGTATACATGTGCCATGTTGAGTGTGCTGCACCCATTAACTCATCATTTACATTAGGTATATCTCCTAATGCTATCCCTCCCCCCTCCCCCCACCCCACAACAGGCCCCGGTGTGTGATGTTCCCCACCCTGTGTCCAAGTGTTCTCATTGTTCAACTCCCACCTATGAGTGAGAACATGTGGTGTTTGGTTTTCTGTCCTTGCGATAGTTTGCTCAGAATAATGGTTTCCAGCTTCATCCATATCCCTACAAAGGACATGAACTCATCCTTTTTTATGGCTGCATAGTATTCCATGGTATATATGTGCCATATTTTCTTAATCCAGTCTATCATTGATGGACATTTGGGTTGGTTCCAAGTCTTTGCTATTGTGAATAGTGCCGTAACAAACATACGTGTGCATGTGTCTTTATAGCAGCATGATTTATAATCCTTTGGGTATATACCCAGCAATGGGATGGCTGGGTCAAATTGTATTTCTAGTTCTAGATCCTTGAGGAATCGCCACACTGTCTTCCAGAATGGTTGAACTAGTTTACAGTCCCACCAACAGTGTAAAAGTGTTCCTATTTCTCCACATCCTCTCCAGCACCTGTTGTTTCCTGACTTTTTAATGATCGCCATTCTAACTGGTGTGAGATGGTATTTCATTGTGGTTTTGATTTGCATTTCTCTGATGGCCAGTGATGGTGAGCATTTTTTCATGTGTCTGCTGGCTGCATAAAAGTCTTCTTTTGAGAAGTGTCTGTTCATATCCTTTGCCCACTTTTTGATGGGGTTGTTTGATTTTTTCTTGTACATTTGTTTAAGTTCTTTGTAGATTCTGGATATTAGCCCTTTGTCAGATGGGTAGATCGTAAAAATTTTCTCCCATTCTGTAGGTTGCCTGTTCACTCTAATGGTAGCTTCTTTTGCTGTGCAGAAGCTCTTTAGTTTAATTAGATCCCATCTGTCAATTTTGACTTTTGTTGCCATTGCTTTTGGTGTTTTAGTTATGAAGTCCTTGCCCATGCCTATGTCCTGAATGGTGTTGCCTAGGTTTTCTTCTAGGGTTTTTATGGATTTACGTCTAACATTTAAGTCTTTAATCCATCTTGAATTAATTTTTGTATAAGGTGTAAGGAAGGGATCCAGTTTCAGCTTTCTACATATGGCTAGCCAGTTTTCCCAGCACCATTTATTAAATAGGGAATCCTTTCCCCATTTTTTTGTTTTTGTCAGGTTTGTCAAAGATCAGATGGTTGTAGATATACAGCATTATTTCTGGGGGCTCTGTTCTGTTCCATTGGTCTATATCTCTGTTTTGGTACCAGTACCATGCTGTTTTGGTTACTGTAGCCTTGTAGTATAGTTTGAAGTCAGGTAGCGTGATGCCTCCAGCTTTGTTGTTTTTGCTTAGGATTGTCTTGGCAATGCGGGCTCTTTTTTGGTTCCATATGAACTTTAAAGTAGTTTTTTCCAATTCTGTGAAGAAAGTCATTGGTAGCTTGATGGGGATGGCATTGAATCTATAAATTACCTTGGGCAGTATGGCCATTTTCATAATATTGATTCTTCCTATCCATGAGCATGGAATGTTCTTCCATTTGTTTGTGTCCTCTTCTATTTCGTTGAGCAGTGGTTTATAGTTCTCCTTGAAGAGGTCCTTCACATCCCTTGTAAGTTGGATTCCTAGGTATTTTATTCTCTTTGAAGCAATTGTGAATGGGAGTTCACTCAAGATTTGGCTCTCTGTTTGTCTGTTATTGGCGTATAGGAATGCTTGTGATTTTTGCCCATTGATTTTGTATCCTGAGACTTTGCTGAAGTTGCTTATCAGCTTAAGGAGATTTTGGGCTGAGATGATGGGGTTTTCTAGATATACAATCATGTCATCTGCAAACAGGGACAACTTGGCTTCCTCTTTTCCTAATTGAATACCCTTTATTTCTTTCTCCTGCCCGATTGCCCTGGCGAGAACTTCCAACGTTACGTTGAATAGGAGTGGTGAGCGAGCACATCCCTGTCTTGTGCTAGTTTTCAAAGGGAATGCTTCCAGTTTTTGCCCATTTGGTATGATATTGGCTGTGGGTTTGTCATAAATAGCTCTTATTATTTTGAGATATGTCCCATCAATACATAGTTTATTGACAGTTTTTAGCACAAAGGGCTGTTGAATTTTGTTGAAGGCCTTTTCTGCATCTGTTGAGATAATCATGTGGTTTTTGTCTTTGGTTCTGTTTATATGTTGGATTACGTTTATTGATTTGCATATGTTGAACCAGCCTTGCATCCCAGGGATGAAGCCAACTTGATCGTGGTGGATAAGATTTTTGATATGCTGCTGGATTCAGTTTGCCAGTATTTTACTGAGGATTTTTGCATCGATGTTCATCAGGGATATTGGTCTAAAATTCTCTTTTTTTGTTGTGTGTCTGCCAGGCTTTGGTATCAGGATGATGCTGGCCTCATAAAAAGAGTTAGGGAGGATTCCCTCTTTTTCTATTGATTGGAATAGTTTCAGAAGCAATGGTACTAGTTCCTGTTTGTACCTCTGGTAGAATTTGGCTGTGAATCTGCCTGGTCCTGGACTTTTTTTGTTGGTAGGCTATTAATTATTGCCTCAATTTCAGAGCCTGTTACTGGTCTATTCAGGGATTCAACTTCTTCCTGGTTTAGTCTTGGGCAGGTGTATGTGTCCAGGAATTTATCCATTTCTTCTAGATTTTCTAGTTTATTTGCATAGAGGTGTTTATAGTATTCTCTGATGGTCGTTTGTATCTCTGTGGGATCAGTGGTGATATCCCCTTTATCATTTTTTATTGCACCTATTTGATTCTTCTCCCTTTTCTTCTTTATTAGTCTTGCTAGTGGTCTATCAATTTTATCTTTTCAAAAATCCAGCTCCTGTATTCATTGATTTTTTGAAGGGTTTTTTTTGTGTCTCTATTTCCTTCAGTTCTGCTCTGATCTTAGTTATTTCTTGCCTTCTGCTAGTTTTTGAATGTGTTTGGTCTTGCTTCTCTAGTTCTTTTAATTGTGATGTTAGGGTGTCAATTTTAGGTCTTTCCTGCTTTCTCTTGTGGGCATTTAGTGCTATAAATTTCCCTCTACACACTGCTTTAAATGTGTCCCAGAGATTCTGGTATGTTGTGTCTTTGTTCTCATTGGTTTCAAAGAACATCTTTATTTCTACCTTCATTTCGTTATGTACCCAGTAGTCATTCAGGAGCAGGTTGTTCAGTTTCCATGTAGTCGAGCGGTTTTGAGTGAGTTTCTTAATCCTGAGTTCTAGTTTGATTGCACTGTGGTCTGAGAGACAGTTTGTTATAATTTCTGTTCTTTTACATTTGCTGAGGAGTGCTTTACTTCCAACTATATGGTCAATTTTGGAATAAGTGTGATGTGGTGCTGAGAAGAATGTATATTCTGTTGATTTGGAGTGGAGAGTTCTGTAGATGTCTGTTAACGTCTGCTTGGTGCAGAACTGAGTTTAATTCCTGGATATCCTTGTTAACTTTCTGTCTCGTTGATCTGTCTAATGTTGATACTGGGGTGTTAAAGTCTCCCATTATTATTGTGTGGGAGTCTAAGTCTCTTTGTAGGTCTCTAAGGACTCGCTTTATGAATCTGGGTGCTCCTGTATTGGGTGCATATATATTTAGGATAGTTAGCTCTTCTTGTTGAATTGATCCCTTTACCATTATGTAATGGCCTTCTTTGTCTCTTTTGATCTTTGTTGGTTTAAAGTCTGTTTTATCAGAGGGATTGCAACCCCTACTTTTTTTTGTTTTCCATTTGCTTGGTAGATCTTCCTCCATCCCTTTATTTTGAGCCTATCTGTGTCTCTGCACATGAGATGGGTATCCTGAATACAGCACACTGATGGGTCTTGACCCTTTATCCAATTAGCCAGTCTGCGTCTTTTAATTGGAACATTTAGCCCATTTACATTTAAGGTTAATATTGTTATGTGTGAATTTGATCCTGTCATTATGATGTTAGCTGGTTATTTTGCTCATTAGTTGATGCAGTTTCTTCCTAGCATTGATGGTCTTTACAATTTGGCATGTTTTTGCAGTGGCTGGTACTGATTGTTCCTTTCCATGTTTAGTGCTTCCTTCAGGAGCTCTTGTAAGGCAGGCCTGGTGGTGACAAAATCTCTCAGCATTTGCTTATCTGTAAAGTATTTTATTTCTCCTTCACTTACGAAGCTTAGTTTGGCTGGATATGAAATTCTGGGTTGAAAATTCTTTTCTTTAAGAGTGTTGAATATTGGCCCCCACTGTCTTCTGGCTTGTAGAATTTCTGCCAAGAGATCCACTGTTAGTCTGATGGGCTCCCCTTTGTGGGTAACCCAGCCTTTCTCTCTGGCTGCCCTTAACATTTTTTCCTTCATTTAAACTTTGGTGAATCTGACAATTATGTGTCTTGGAGTGGCTCTTCTCGAGGAGTATCTTTGTGGTGTTCTCTGTATTTCCTGAATTTGAATGTTGGCCTGCCTCGCTAGGTTGGGGAAGTTCTCCTGGATAATATCCTGCAGAGTGTTTTCCAACTTGTTCCATTCTCCCTGTCACTTTCAGGTACACCAATCAGACGTAGATTTGGTCTTTTCACATAGTCCCATATTTCTTGGAGGCTTTGTTCGTTTCTTTTTACTCTTTTTTCTCTAAACTTCTCTTCTCGCTTCATGTCATTCATTTGATCTTCAATCACTGATACCCTTTCTTCCACTTGATCAAATCGGCTACTGAAGCTTGTGTATGTGTCACGTAGTTCTTGTGCCATGGTTTTCAGCTCCATCAGGTCATTTAAGGTCTTCTCTACACTGTTTATTCTAGTTAGCCATTCGTCTAATCTTTTTTCAAGGTTTTTAGCTTCTTTGCGATGGGTTCGAACATCCTCCTTTAGCTTGGAGAAGTTTGTTATTACTGATCGTCTGAAGCCTTCTTCTCTCAGCTCGTCGAAGTCATTCTCTGTCCAGCTTTATTCCATTGCTGGCAAGGAGCTGCATTCCTTTGGAGGAGAAGAGGGACTCTGATTTTTAGAATTTTCAGCTTTTCTGGTCTGGTTTCTCCCCACCTTTGTGGTTTTATCTACCTTTGGTCTTTGTTGATGGTGATGTACAGATGGGGTTTTGGTGTGGATGTCCTTTGTGTTTGTTAGTTTTCCTTGTAACAGTCAGGACCTTCAGCTGCAGGTCTGTTGGAGTTTGCTGGAGGTCCACTCCAGTCCCTGTTTGCCTGAGTATCACCAGTGGAGGTTGCAGAACAGCAAATATTGCAGAACGGCAAATGTTGTTTCCTGATCCTTCCTCTGGAAGCTTCGTCTCAGAGGGGCACCTGGCTGTATGAGGTGTCAGTCGGCCCCTACTGGGAGGTGTCTCCCAGTTAGGCTACTTGGGGGTCAGGGACCCACTTGAGGAAGCAGTCTGTCCATTCTCAGATCTCAAACTCTGCACTGGGAGAAACACTACTCTCTTCAAAGCTGTCATATAGGGACGTTTAAGTCTGCAGAAGTTTCTGCTGCCTTTTGTTCAGCTATGCCCTGCCCCCAGAGGTGGAGTCTACAGAGGCAGGCAGGCCTCCTTGAGCTGTGGTGGGCTGCACCCAGTTCGAGCTTCCTGGCTGCTTTGTTTACCTACTCAAGCCTCAGCAATGGTGGGCACCCCTCCTCCAGCCTCACTGCTGCCTTGCAGTTTGATCTCAGACTGCTGTGTTAGCAGTGAGCGAGGCTCTGTGGGTGTGGGACCCTCCGAGCTGGGCGCGGGATATAATCTCCTGGTATGCCATTTTGCTAAGACCGTTGGAAAAGCACAGTATTAGGGTGGGAGTGTCCCGATTTTCCAGGTACCATCTGTCATGGCTTCCCTTGGTTCGGAAAGGGAATTCCCCAACCCCTTGTGTTTCCTGGATGAGGTGATGTCCCGCCGTACTTCAGCTCACACTCTGTGGGCTGCACCCACTGTCCGACAAGCCCCAGTGAGATGAACCCGGTACCTCAATTGGAAATGCAGAAATCACCCATCTTCTGCGTTGCTCATGCTGGGAGTTGTAGACTGGAGCTGTTCGAATTTGGCCATCTTGGAACCTCCCCCCAATTTCCTTCCTTTTTAAGGCTGAATAATATTCACTCTACGTATATACTACATTTTGTTTATCCATTTATTCATTAATGGACACTTAGGCTGCTTCCATCTTTTGTTTATTGTGTATGATGCTGCTGTGAACATGGGTGTATCATATCTGTTGGAGTTCCTGATTTCAATTCTTTGGATATATTCCCAGAAGCAAAATCGCTGGATCATATGGTAATTCTATATTTAACTTTTTCAGGAACTGGCATACCATTTTTCACACTGGCTGCACCATTTTCCATTCCCACTAGCCATGCACAAAGCTTCCAATTTCTCCACATCCTCCCCAACACTTGTTGTTTTCTGTTTTTTGGTAATAGCCATCCTAATGAGTGTGAAGTGGTATCTTAATATTGTTTTGATTTGCATTTCCCTAACAATTGGTAATGTTGAGCATCTTTTCATGTGCCTATTGGCCATTTGTATATCTTTGGAGAAATGTCTATATTCAAGTCATTTGCCCATTGTTTAGTTGGGTTCTTTGTTTTTGTTGTTGTTGTTGAGTTGGTACCTTGTTTTATGTAGGAGAAAGATGGGTCATAGAAAGGGTACACTCAATCAACAACACTTCGCTGGATGTTGTCAGAGCCAGGGCCAGAATCTAGGGGCCCCAGCATCCCAACAGGGCTCTTTGTCACCCTTTGTTCATTACAGGGGAGGAAACAAGTCCAGAGGGTGAGGAGACTTTCTTAGGGCTGTAGCCTTTAGGGCACAATCCACTGCATAACAAACTCCAGTTTCTGTATTTTGCCAAGTGATTGCAGCCTGGTTTCTCATCCCTAGTGTTATGGACTGAATTGTTTCCCCTCAAAATTCATCTGTTGAAGCCCTAACCCTCAATGTTACTGTATTTGGAGATGGGGCCTTTAAGGAGGTAATTAAGGTTAAATGAGGTCAAAAGGATGGGGCCCTAATCAAATCAGACTGGTATCCTCATAAGAAGAGGAAGAAACACCAGGAGTGCGCACGCACAGAGGAAAGGTCATGTGAGGACACAGCAAGAAGGCAGCCATCTGCAAGCCAGGAAGACAGGCCTCCCTGAAAACCAACCTGCTGGCACCTTGATCATGGACTTCCAGCTTCCACAATTGTGAGAAAAGAAATTGTTGTTCAAGTCAAACTGTGATATTCTGTTATGGCAGCCCTAGCAAACTAAGATGCCTGGATTAGAAAAGCTACAGATGGAGGAGAACTCAGAGATAAACGCCAGGGTGCATGGATGGTCGTTTTGGCCAAGAGGATCCCATATAGGCCAGGGCCACGTTAAATTTTTCTGGAAGCTTATAGGCTTCGATCTGATGTGCAAATAATCCTCTTCTGGCAGAACACAACTTCCTGATGTTGAAAATAAAGAGCTTAACAAAGCCTAGTAAAATAATTCCAAAGGCTTCCTGGATATCAAATAGCCCTCACTGAAAAGCACTTTGATGATTTAAACGTCCCAGACATGTGCATATTAGATATTTCCCTCAAAGTGCAGATGGTTTTGCCACTGGTATTGAACTCTTCCTCTTCTGTTCTCTTCTCCTCATTCTCCTCATACTCAATTTGGGTGGTTTATCTTGGCCATTTCTGATGTCTGTATGTCAATCTTTCCCTCCTTGTCCTCCAGATTAGCTGCTTTTCTTTCTCGCTTTCCTCCTAAGATTGCTTATTTCTGTAAGATCTAGTTAGTCTTCAGATGGTCCGGGCTGCAGGCAAATAGAATCTAGCAAGCAAGGGTCAATGGATGGAGGAAGTTAAGAGCAATTGCCAAGTGCACATGGGTGGGGCAAACTGGGCATTGGCTGGCTCTTAAGGATGGGCCTAGGGTGGGATCTGGCATTCCCAGTGGGACACTGAGGCAGAACCCTAATCAAGGAGTAGGAATGGGTTCAATACCATGGAGGTTGCCCAGCATGGTGCAGTAGCCCATGTCTGCAGACTCCATTTTCTAAGCCACTGACTTCATCCCTCACCCTTTGCTCTATTTTCCCAGGTTCTAGCCCCTGGCCTTGCTGCCAGCCTTCCTGCTCACCTCACTCACCCGTCCGGTTTCTTTGAGTTTCATGCTAGGTAGTCTTTCATCTCTTTCTTGGCTTTCTCTTCTCACTGGAGACTCTCAAGGCAATTTCACCATCCCAAGACTTCTCTCAGGGTCAAGAGTAGGATCCCAATAGGAGGCAGGGGATGGCAGAGACTCACCTGTCTAAGCTTCTTAGAGTAAGCTCTGGCACATGCCACATGAGCTCGTGGTGATGTTCCACACCCAAGGGTCTCTGAAGGTTTTACCTGCTGAGTTAGTAACTGGGTGGGATGGGAAGACCTAAGGAGGTAGTAAACTTGGAATTTGTACTCAGCAATGAGGACTCCAAATTTAGAGCTCACTCTACTATAGCACTTCTCAACTCTTTAAGGTGCGCCGGAATCTTCTTAACACACAGATTCTGATGTAGTAGGTCTGGGGAGGGGTCCTGAACTCTGCATTTCTAACAAATCCCCAGGTCTTGCCGAAAAATTCCCAGCTGCTAAGAACAGCTCAAAGGTAGTTCATGCACTTTCGGGCCCCACTGCATCATGTTAAGGGATGGGTACCCATGCTGGAATTTCAGGTACCATGAAAGCCTGGAATATTTTTGAGTACCGTGGGCCTCTAGTCAGACGTGGTAGATATCTGGTACTCCTTCCCTGCATCTCATCAGGCTTGGATCTGTAGAGAGAGGTTTGCAAGCTCCAGCTGCATTAGAATCGCCTGGAGAGCTTGTAAAACACAGCTGGCTGGATCCCCCTCCCAGACTTTCGAATTCAGTAGTTCTGGGGTGGGGCCCAAGATTTTGCATTTCTAATAACTTTCTAACCACTGCTGTAGAATAACTGAACCAGGGCACCACGTGGGCCCTACAATAGAGGACCCGACAGTGCTGAACTTGAATCTGACTCTGCCCTTTACGAACAGCATGATCTCGACCAAGTCACTCCTGTTCTCTGAGAACACTTTTTCCATCTACACAAGGGTGATAATGCACCTCACTCGGCAGGGTTGCTGAGCAGATGAGAGTTAATGTTTGTGAGGGCTTTCCCAAATGTTTGTCCTTAAGGCTGATTTCCCAGTCTGTACTCAAGGGTCCAGCTGCCGCTGTCACACCAATTAAAAAGCTGCTTTCAGTCCATCAGTTGTTTTACTTGCTTGACTTACCCTGTTCATGGAATCAAGTGGATTCACCAAATGAATTGAAATTTCTTTTTTCAAGACACTGTTTGGGAATGTGGGGTCTAGAAGACTCACATCCTAATCACCTGGGGCTTCTCAAACTTCAGTGTGCACACATTGCCTGGGGATCTTGTTTCAATGTAGATTTCTACACAGTATATCTGGGATGGGGCTTGAGAATTTGCACTTCTATTGATTGATTGAAACAGGGTCTTGTTCTTTTTCCCAGTCTGAGGTGCAGTGGCACGATAGCTCACTGCAACCTTGACCTGTGGGGCTCAAGCGATCCTCCCACCTCAGCCTCCTGAGTAGCTGGGATTACAGACATGAGCCACTGTGTCTGGCCAAGAATGTACATTTCTAACACACTCCTAGGCGGTGCTGATGCTGCTGGTCCCAGGACCACACTTAGAGTAGTAAGAATTCTAGAACAATATCAACACAAAAATTTCCTTTCTTTCTTTTTGAGACACAGTCTCTGTTGCCCAGGCTGGAGTGCAGTGGCATGATCTCAACTCACTGTAATCTCTGCCTCCCAGGTTCAAGTGTTTCTCCTGCCTCAGCCTCCCAAGTAGCTGGAATTACAAGTGCATACCACCATGCCCAACTAATTTTTGTATTTTTAGTAGAGATGGAGTTTCGCCATGTTGGCCAGGCTGGTCTCGAACTCCTGATTTCAAGTGGTCTGCCTGCCTCAGCCTCCCAAAGTGCTGGGATTATAGGCGTGAGCCACCACGCTTGGCCCAATATTAACATAAAAATTTACTGGCCCTGCCTGGACCTATCCTGTAATTTCCTCAGGTAATCCTTTGGTGAACTAAAGTAGGAAAGCCATTCTCTCAGTGGTCACCTTACTCTTTTGCTTTTTAAATTTAAGCTACAGCCCAAACAATGGGAGACTTCAACATCACACAGCAATTCTACACCATTTCAGGAAGCACAGGTGGCTCTGAGTCTCACTTCTGTCACGTACCAGCTGTGTGATGATGCTGGCAAATCATTTCACTTTCATTTAATTCTTCTGAAATAATCTGCTCCTCTGCAGAGTGGGAAAAATACCTGTGCTTATAGTGGGTCATTGTGAGTCTGGATGACCCACTGTCCAAAAGTTCTTTGGAAATTGTTAATTTGCAAATGCGAAGGATTATCTTAAAAAATGGAAAAACTTAGGCAAAACTTCCTGTCTCAGCTTATGAAAAACTCATTTTATGCGGGCCCTTTGCCTACAGTGAATGAATGCAGAGAACAAGGAAAACAGTAAAACATTTGGGTGTTGGTCCTAACTTAATCCAGCCATAAAGTTACAAGACTTTTGAATTTTGACCACCTTTAAAAACAGACAGTTGGGTGTGAATATATCTCACTTAAAGGTTGTTTAAATCGTTAGAGGTACATTACGTTAACACGTGCAACAGCTAGAGAGTAACTGGTAACAGCAGAGGCCTTCTCCAGCTTAAGAGTTAGTAAGGTTTCAAAAGCAAGTCTCAAACCCCTGACCTAAAGTGATTCACCTGCCTCGGCCTCCCAAAGTGCTGGGATTACAGGTGTGAGCCACTGTGTCCAGCCCAAAAGCAAGTGAGTTGTTTGAAGTTTCAGAACTAATTTCACAACACAATTCATGTTGTAAATGTTGTTTGAATTCCTAAGATAGCTCACAAGCCAATTTGCCTATTACCATAGCTAAATTCAGCAATTAAAAAGTAATATTAATAGTAACAATGTGTAAAGAGCATTATGGTTTACAAAGCATTAAATTTTTTTTAGAGATGAGATCTCGCTATGTTGCCAAGGCTGGTCTCAAACTCCTGGCCTCAAGCGATCCTCCTCCCACCTCAGCTTCCACTGTAGCTGGGATTACAGGCATGGGCCACCATGCCTGGCTACAAAGCATTTCTATGTCCAGTAACTTGAAACCCTCAGCTATATTCTATGATAGGATCTTACTTTCTTTCCATTTCAAAGATGAGAAAACTGAGGCGTAGAGAGGCCAAGACCTTGTGCCTCACCTGCCGATTTCAAGATGTACATCTTTACTGTCTTCTAGAACCAGTCCCAATCAGCATCATTCTAAGTGTTCCACCCTGGATCCCCACGGGCACACTTGTGCCTGCATGTGCAGGATCTGGGGATTCCCCTATCACCTGCACAGACTCCCACCTGGGTCAGTGGGAGATTCAGCAGCACAGGGCCAAGGGCAGAAGTATTAGGAGAGAGAGAGGCAACCGTAGTATTATAGTTTTTGAGGGATGCCTGTTGCCCCTTGGGCTCCTAGTTACACTTCCTTTAATTCCAAGGAAACGGACTCATCTGTAATTAGAAGCAAAGTTACTGATTCTAATTTAAGCAAAAGAATGGGTGTATTGCTTAGGATTCATTCTGGCTGCTAATGACTGAGACCCGTAATCATATTAGCCTATGTAGGATGGAAGACTTTTTTTTCCCTCTCTCCTAAAGCCAGAAGGCAGGCGGTGCAGGGCTGGTATGGCAGTTTCATAAACTCCTTAGGAACCAGGCTCCATCTACCTTTCTCTCCACCATCTTCAGGGCTGGTTTCCATCCTCAAGTTCACTTTACAGCTGCAATACAATCACTGTAGATCCAACCGTCACATCGGTATTCCAGGTAAAAAAAGGAAAGAGAATAGACAAAGTGCATCTCCCAGAGGAGTTAGTGCCTTTAAAGCTGGGGGTACATTTACACACACAGTAAACTCCATCTTGTTTCTCTAAGGAAAAAGGGAGACTAGGTACTGGCATCTCTGCCTTGTTGGAATTCTGGTGTCTCCTGGAACTGAAGGATAGGACCAGGGTGAATCTGAACATCTCAGGAACCCACGGAATGTCTCTATAGGGGGCTGCTGTGGGATAACTCTGCCTTCACTCCTGGAGAATATCTACTCAAGACTCAAATTCCCAGGAGAAGGAGAGCCTAAATTTAAGTTTAGCCTAGCTGCCCATTGGATGGTCAGGGAAATGAGGCTTCACAGTTGACACGCCTCCAATTCTATGGACTGGGGCAGGATCCTTCCCGAAAGAAAGGGATTTGGGAAGGAAAAAGTCACAAGTGTCTTTCTAGCTTCATCTGTTGTTCCATTTCATCCTCCCTGTTCCAGCTCTAGACTCTTCTGAGCAGAGAGAAGGCTTGTAGGGGTGTGGCACAAAAAGAACAGGGCTCTTGAGGTCTACATATCGGGTTAATCACGGTTCGGCCACTGGCCAGCTCTGTGATGTTCCCATCACTTTGCTGGGCCTCAGTTTCCTCAGCTATTAGAATGAGAATAATCCTAGCCACCAGGCTGTGGGTTGTGAGGATTAATGTAGGAGTCATGGCGTTTTCCCAGTCTCTTTAGTTTTGAGTATGAACGGGTCACTTTGACAGTGGCAACCTAAGTCTTGCAGATTGTCCATGACGTGTGATGCCTCCTTCCCCTGCTTCAAGGACTAATGAGGGCATCTGGGGATGCCTTGCACATGTGCTTACTCCCGGCATCGGTGCTGCCTTGCCAGGCACCTGGACCATGGTCCTTCACTGGGCCCGGGAGTCCTCAGAATATCAAAACGGAGCTATGGTCTGAGGACACTGTAGGTAAAAAGCTCTTCTACCCTCTTTTTATGTTACTCTCAGTAGGAGGAACCCCAACTTAGCACTCAGGCCCACAACTTTTAGAGTTTTCTTATAGCCTCTTATCTCCCCAAGACTCAGACATGTATCCATGGGGCAGGGCGTGGGGCAGAGCTGAGCTTAGGTTTCTTGGCTGGGTCACGATGGCTAAAGTTGTTCGTTGCCTAACCAAAAATCTGCCCTCTCAGTTCTCCTTAAGAAATGAATTTTGATTCCCAGTTGGGCCTCTTGCCGCCTGGGGCAAAAGAGAAGATTTCTCAGCCTCCCATGGAGCTTGGTATGTCCATGTGATCAAGTTCTGGCCAACAGGATGTAAGCAAAACTGCTGTGTGTAAGGAAGTCTGTTTAAAGAACCGACTCACCTCGAAGCATGTCCCTTTTTGCGCTCTTCCCTCTTTCTTTCAGCCAGCAGCCTGAGATGCAATGGCTGGAGCTCCAACAGCCATCTTGGACCATGAGGAAAGCTTGTGGATGGAAGCTATGTTCTCAAACAGTGAAGCAGAAATATTGAAACCTATGTTCTTAATGACACGGTGGGATCAGACCAGTACTGGGCCATTGGTTCTGGACCTTATTTGCCTGAAAGAAAAATAAATTTCTTTTTCTTTCTTTCTTTCTTTTTTTTTTTTTTTTTTTGGAGACAGGGTCTCATTCTGTTGCCAAGGCTGGAGTGCAGAGGGGCAATCTCAGCTCATTGCAACCTCGACCCGACCTCCCAGGCTCAAGCAATCCTTCCAACTCAGCCTCCTGAGTAGCTGGGACTACAGGTGTTTGCCACCACACCCAGCTAATTTTTGTGTTATTTGTAGAGATGACTTTTTGCCATGTTGCCTAGGCTTGTCTTGAATGCCTAAGTTCAAGTGATCCTCCCATCTTGGCCTCCCAAAGTGCTGGAATTATAGATGTGAGCCACCACATCTGGTCAGAAAATAAGTTTCAATTTTGTTTTGTTTAAGCTATAGTTAATTTTAGGGATTTTTGCCCCCTGCTATATTCAGCTGAAGTGAATCCTAATGGATAGTACCCTACTTATGCCATGTAATTCCTTTTTTCACTTCGGATGGATTCTCTCCCAGGAGACCTCTTAGTCCATGTGCAAATAGATTTCTAATGGGTTCCTACCCCATGGTATTCCAGACACGTCCAGGTCCACCTGAATCAAACTGGGACCCTCACATCAGAGTGGCATATCGAATGTACCCATCACATTTTAGCTAGTATTATAATACATGGTCAGGCACCATTCCTAGCACAAAAGGCTCAAAAAAATTAGTCAGCTCTTTCTGCTTCCTTTATATGTGTAGGGAGTCACCTCCTTCTACCTGTTAGGTCTGGGCTGTAACCTAGGGGAGCTGAGCTAGGAGGTAGAGAAAATTCTAGATAAGCAGCTATGAACTGATTTGTTCCCTAAAAGTCAGTTTCTACTTTTGCTTCCCCTTTAGGATGCTGCTGGGCCAGATCCCAAGCTCATCAACACTTCCTGTGTAGCTGTGGGAGTGGGAGTCCCAAAGGAAGATGATAAAGCCTCTATCCTCAGTGGTACTTTGCCAAACGGGGACTAATAACACCAAATGATTTGTGTTGGGACTGGGAGAGTCCCAGGAGCACCATGTCAGCTCAAACCATCGCTCCAACAATTCACTATGACCCTCTGAGGTCTGACTTGTCCCAAATAGCCCATAGGTTTCCTGGGTTACCTACCTTGGACCTCAGGACTCAGAGAAACTCTCCACTTCCATCCCCCACCCCCTGCTGACCTGAATCTAGGCAACTGCTGAAGCAGAGGTGCCTCATTGCTATTAGGCTCATGGGTGGTTAGAGTGACTTTTGTTGTTTCAATGTATTATTTTTTTAAAGCAGGAAATCAGATCTCAGCCAATTGTAGAAATTCAGCTTGTTAAATGAACTTGAACTAAGGAAAAGGGGAATAAAAAACCATCCCAAACAAATGGAATGAATGGGGCCAAGTCAAGAGATGGCTTCCTTCCATGTCTCAGCTAAATGCAGGAAGTATGCTTCTCCCGGCCCTGGATCCTGAGGCTGGGGAGTCGTTATTCCCCCCTACCCTAGTCCCCATCTCCCTCTCACTCCTCACCCCAGGCCTGGCTGAGGAGTCTGGGCTTTATCTTCCACCAAAGTCACCTGAGGAATCTGGGGACCAGGCTCAATCAGGGGACCCCAGTGAGTGGCTATCCTGAGGCCCTGCAGCCCTCCTTCCTTCCTGGAGTCTTAAGAGTTAAGGCCTAGGAAGGTCTTTGCTTTGCAGAGACTCTCAGACAACAGAAGGGGAGGCTGAGGTGTGGAGATCCAGAGGAGGCTCAGGCAAGGGGTCCCAAACCAGTGTTCCTAAGGAAAATGCTCCTAGAAGCATTCTTTGTTGTTCCCTTCACAAGGTGCTGGCTTAACTGTGGAGTCCCTTCACCAGTTCCACTGAAATAGACATAGTTCCCCTTACTCATTCCTCCAAGGGAACAAGATTTCCTGGTAGCCACCCAGCTGTATTTCCTAAAGCTGGCCCTGGAAGACTTTATGGACTAAGTGTTAGAAAGTCTTGGAAAATTCTAGCATGCTATCATATTCTGCGCTATGCACACACACTCTATAAAAGTAAAAATTAGCTGGTACCTGGGGAGACAGCGCCTTGGGGTGTCTTGCACCACAGCCCAAGAGAGCTCACAGGTTTTCTTCATTATACATAGGACTCATCAGGCAAGATTTGTTTTTATGGCATCTAACTCTCCATTTGAAAGGTTAATGCAAATCCAGTGACAAATTAAAATATCTCTTTAAAACTGTGATGGTGAGAGGATCTTGAGAATTTCTAATAGGTAAGGGATGGTAAATGGAATCTAAAGGTATTCTTTATTACCAATTTATAATATGCAAACTATCACTGTCAGTCTATTTAATTTGTGTATTAGTTATTTATTGCTGCATAACAAATTATCTCCAAACACAGTGGCTTAAAACAGCATTGATTAGCTCATAGATTTTGTGGGCCAGAATTTAGGAGTGTCTGGCTCAGAGCTTCTGGCACAAGGTCTCTCATGAGTTGCAGTCAAGCCGTCGGTTGGGGTTGCCATCTCAGATGAAAGCTCAACCGAGGTTGGGATCTGCTTTCAAACTTACTTCCATGCTTACTGGAAGTCCTTGTTCCCTCACTCACCATGTGAACCTCTCCACAGCTGCCTCACAACATGACATTTGACCTCCCCCAGACTAAGTAATCCAAGAGAGACAGAGGCCCCAAACAGAAGCCACAGTCTTTTAATAACCTAATGTTGAAAGAAACATCCCTATTAGTTTCACCATATTCTATGTTAAAAATGATCATTTGATCCAGGCCACACTCAAGGGAAGAAGATTAAATAAGGACATTGTCTTTGTGTGTTTTGTAATGCTATAAAGGAATACTGGAGACTAGGTAATTTATAAAGAAAAGAGATTTATTTGGCTCAGGATTTGGCAGGCTGTACAAGAAACACTGTGAGAGCATCTACTTCTGGTGAGGCTTCAGGCTGCTTCCACTCATGGTGGAAGGTGAGGGGAGACAGCATGTGCAGAGATCACATGGTGAGAGAGGAAGCAAGTGAGAGTGGAGGGAGACACCAGGCTGTTTTTAACAACCAGCTCTCATGGGAAAGAATAGAGCGAGAACTCAACCCAGCCCACCCAACCCCTGGAAGGGGATTAATCTATTCCTGAGGGATCTGCCCCCATGACCCAAACGCCTCCCATTAGTCCCCACTCCAACACTGAGGATCAAATTTCAACATGAGGTTTTGGGGACAAACATCCAAACTATAGCATCCCACCCCTGGCCCCCAAAACTTATGTCCATCTCACATTACAAAATACAATTATTCCTTCTCAATAGTCCCCCAAAATCTTAACTTATTTCAGCATTAACTAAAAAGTTCAAAGTCTCTCCTGAGACTCAAGGCAATTTCCTTCTAGCTATGAGCGCATAAAATAAAAAAGTTATTTATTTCCAGGATACAATGATTGTACCAGCATTGGGTAAATATTTCCATTCCAAAAGGGAGAACTCACTCTGCCAAAAGAAAGGGGTAAGAGGCCCCACACAAGTCCAAAACTCAATAGGGCAGACAAAATATCGTAGAGCTCCAAAATCTCCTGGGACTCCATGCCATGTTTCCTGACACACTGGTGTGAGGGATGGGTTCCTAAAGCCTTGGGAAGGCCTACCCCCATGGCTGCTCTCATGAGTTGGAGTCTGGTGCCTGTAGCTTTTCCAGGCTGAGGGTGCATGCTGCTAGTGGTTCTGTAATTCTGGGGTCCCCAAGGCAGCCCCATTCCCTAGGGTCTCAGGCTTTTTGATACATCCTCTGAAATCAAGGTGGAAGCTGTCACACCTCCATGGTTCTTGCATTCAAGGTGCCTGCAGACTTATCATGTTAAAGCTGCCAAGGCTTACCACTTGTGCCCTTTGGAGTGGCAGCCCAAGCAGTACTTGGGGTGGTTTGGACCTTGGCTAAAGCTGGAGTGGCCAGTATTGTGGAGCAGCCTCTTGAAGTGGTGCAGGGCAACAGTGTGTGCTGGGATGTCCCACAGAACCATTCTGTCCTCCTAGGCCTCTGGGCCTGTGATGGGAGGGGTAGCCTCAAAGACCTCTGAAATGCCTTTGAGGTCTTCCCTCCATTGTCTTGGCTATTAGCATCTGGCTCTCTTTTATTCATGCTAATCTCTCCATGGTTGTTCCATAGTACTCTTGGATTCCTCTCCTGAAAATGCTCTTTCTTTCTATAACACAGGGTCAGGCTGCAAATTTTCCACAATTTTATTAATTCTTAATTATAAATTCCACCTTTAGGTCATTCCTTTGCTGCTGTATCTGATTGTAAGGTGTTAAAAGTAGCCACACCATTTCTTGAATGCTTTGCTGCTTAGAAATTTCTTCTGCCAGACCCTAGGTCATCAATTTTAAGCTCAGTCTTCCACAAAGCCCTAGGGCATGGACACAGTGTAGTCAAGTTATTTGCTACAGTGTAACAAGGGTGACCTTTGCTCCAGTTCCCAATAAATTCCTCATTTCCATCTGAGCCCTCATCCCCACGGCCTTTACTGTCTATATTTCTATTAGCATTTTGGTCACAACCACATAACTAATCTCTAAGAAGTTCTAAACTTTCCCTTATCTTCTACATTTTTTTTTTTTTTTTGAGACAGAGTTCACACTGTCACCCAGGTGGAGTGCAGTGGTGCAATCTTGGCTCATTGCAACCTCTGCCTCCCAAGTTCAAATAATTCTCATGCCTCAGCCTCCCAAGTAGTTGGATTACAGGCATGTGCCACCACACCTGGCTAATTTTTGTATTTTAGTAGAGACAAGATTTCACCATGTTAGCCAGGCTGGTCTTGAACTCCTGGCCTCAGGTGTTCTGCCCACCTTGGCCTCCCAAAGTGCTAGGATTACAGGTGTGAGCCACCGTGCCTGGCCTTCATGTATCTTTATAGCAATGTCCCACTTCTCAGTACCAATTTTCTTATTCCATTTAGTATTGCTATAAAGGAATACCTGAAGCTGGGTAATTTATAAGGAAAAGAGGTTTATTTGGGTTACATGTTTGCAGGCTCTGCAAGGAGCATGGCACCAACATCTGCTTCTAATAAGGCCTCAGGCTGCTTCCACTCATGGCAGATGGTGATGGGAGCCAGTGTGTGCAGAGACCACATGGTGAAACAGGAAGCAAGACAGAGAGAGGAAGGAGGTACCAGATTCTCTTTAACAACCAACTCCCATGTGAACTAATAGAGCAAGAACTCACCCCCACCCAGGGAAGGGATTGATCTATTCATGAGGGATCCACCCTCACGACCCAAACACCCCTCTAGAGGCCACCCCACCAACATTGGAGATCAAATTTCAACATGAGACTTTGGGAGACAAATATCCAAACTACAGCAGGCATGAAAACCAGGAGGCAGGAATCACTGGGGGACACCTCAGAAGCTGCCTTCCACCCTTCCACCATTTCTATCTTTTCTTTCCTTCTTTTTTTGTAAACATTTCAAATACAGGATTTCTTTGGCTTAATCATCACCTTGGTGTGCCTACTGTTTTTCTGAGGTTCTCAGGAACCTAAGTCTTGAGGTTAGAGAGAGAACTCTATCCTGCAGTTAATAGGGTCTTTAAAATTCCCCTGCTTTTGGGATAAATGTTCCACAGGTTGAATTTTCCAGACAACTGAAGGTTTTTCCTTTTATGCATCCAAATTCTTCCCATACTGTACAGGAGACCCAGGTTATTCTGGAATATAATTCCCCAAACCATGGAGATCTTGACCTCAGTTGAGCTTTCATCTGAGACAGCAACCCCAACCAACAGCTTGACTGCAGCTCATGAGAGACCTTGTGCCAGAGCTCTGATTATGGAAGGAAAGGTATGTACCTGTGACTCAGCAATTGTAATCCCACAGTGCCCATTTCCTGTCAACATCCTCACACATTAAGCTAAATGTAAGTTTTGCTAACATATTCTCTCTTACTTGATTAATAATATTTGTGCTGGTTGGAACAATTGCTGAAAGAGCTTCAAGAATCCATTTTTCTTGTTTCTAAAGGACTTGGTTATGTTCTAGCTATGAGCCAACATTGAATTAAGCATTTTTTTCTTTAAATTCCTCCAAGCATTTATTTCCTGTGAAAGAACCATCAATTTCTTAGTCATCCTCACTTTCTCTTCACTTCTATGATAGCTTTAGAAGTCAGCTTTCTTGGCCGGGTGTGGTAGCTCATGCATGTAATCTCAGCACTTTGGGAGGCTGAGGCGGGAGGATCACGTGAGGTCAGGAGTTCGAGACCAGCCTGGCCAACATGATGAAACCCCACCTCTACTAAAAATACAAAAATTAGCCCGGCCTGGTGGCGCATACCTGTAATCCCAGCTATTCGGGAGGCTGAGGTAGAAGAATCGCTCAAACCTGGGAGGTGGAGGTTGCAGTGACCTGAGATCATGCCATTGCACTCCAGCCTGGGTGGCAAAAGTGAAACTCTGTCTCAAAAAAAAAAAAAAAAAGTCAGCTTTCTTTGTTCACTTTTCCATTTCACAACATCCTCTATGAGGCAGTACCATGGTTACGAGGGGAGGTTCTGGAGATACACAGTTTTGGCTCTGTCACTTGCTGTGTCATTGCAGGCAAGTCTCTTAACTTCTCTGGGTCCAGTTTCCTTATCTGTAGAATGGGGCTTGTTGTGGTTTCTACTCATAGGGCTGTCGTGAGGAATAAATGGAAGGATCTGCATACCTGGAACACAGCAGATGCTCAAAAATGTTAGATGCCATGATCAACGGTCATGGGAATAACAGAAATCAACAATGCCACACTAAAGGGCAGGTCTGGTCATTGACAGGTATACTCAAGGGCATCCTGGCATCCAAATTCTTGCCCCAACTAATGGGCAAATCACTGCATGCTCAATCTTCAGGGTTGCTCGTGAGTAGAGAAGACAGCAAGGATAGACTCTACTGGGTACTTCCTGCTGCAGAGGGAGAGCGCCAGGAGCCCCAGGGGACCTTTCTGTAATGACTCAGGGTCCTCCTCAGAAATCGCCCAGGTGCCACTGCCCAGGACTGGGATACAGGGGAGCCCTCGTAGGTCTCCAAGGCACGCGTTCAGAATGGGTGGGGCACTCGCATGTGATGAGTTCCTGTGCTGGCTTTCACAGCTTTCTGCCTTCTCTGTCCCTGCCAGATGTTGCTTGTTACCGTCAGTGTGCCTGCTTCCGGCCGCTGGCTTCCATGGGCTGGAGACTGGAGAGCGGAGCTGCTTAGAGTTTTCTGTAAAAGACAAGCCTTAGAGGGAGGGCCTGAGGGCTATGCCATGAGCAAAGCCTTGAGCTGTTTTAGGCTGTGTACTGGGGTGGAGACTGCTGTGGGCAAGGAGTTGACCTGGTCTCAAATCATTATTTAAAAATATTTTAAATATTGACTGGATGCAGTGGCTCACACCTGTAATCCCAGCACTTTGGGAGGCAGAGGTGAGTGGATCACTTGAGGCCAGGGGTTTGAGACCAATCTGGCCAACTTGGCAAAACCCCATCTCTTCTAAAAATACCAAAAATTAGCCGGGTGTGGTGGCACGTGCCTGTAGTCACAACTACTCGGGAGGCTGAGGCATGAGAATAGCTTGAACCCAGGAGGCAGAGGGTGCAGTGAGCCAAGATCACACCACTGCACTCCAGCCTGGGCGATACAGCGAGACTCCGTCTCAAAGAAATTTTTTAAAAAAATATATTGTATAGTAAAAATTGGCTTTTTTTCTTCCTTTGGTGTACAGTTCTATAAATTTTAACACACGTATAAATTTGTGGAACTACCACCACAATTAGGATACAGAACAGTTCCATCACCCCAGAAGGTTCCCCTTACAGACACACTCTCCCTCCACCCGTAAGTCCTGGCAGCCACTGAGCTGCTCTCACTACTACAGTTTTGTCTTTTTGAGGATGTTACATAAATGAAATCATATGTTATGTAAGTTTTTGAGATCAGCTTCTCTTCCTCGGCTTAAAGCCTTTGAGATTCATCCAAACTGTTAGGTATTAATAGCTCATTCCTTTTTACTACTGAGTTGTATCCCTTTCTATTGTTTAACCATTCACCAGGTGAAGAATATTTGCTTTTTTTTTTGAGCTATTATTTGATCACAAATAAAGCTGCTATCAACATTTGTGTGCGAGTTTTTGTGTGAATATAAGTGTTCATTTTTCTAGGGTAAATATCCAGGAGTGGGATTGTTTGATCCCATAGAAAATTCATGTTTAGGCTGGGCAAAGTGGTTCATGCCTGTTATCCCAGCACTTTGGGAGGCTGAGGCTGGCGGATCGCTTGAGCTTAGGATTTCAAAATTAGCCAGGCGTGGTGGTATGCACCTGTAGTCCCAGCTACTCTGGAGGCTGAGGCACGAGAATTGCTTGAGCCCAGGAGGCAAAGGTTGCAGTGAACTGAGATCATGCCACTGCACTCCAGTTTGGGTGACAGAGCAAGACCTGTACCCTGTGCTGGGATTATAGACATGAGCCACTTCGCCCAGCGCAAACATATTTTCTATATTTTCTATATATAGAAATATTTTCTATATTTTCTATAGGCTCAAACAATCCCACTCCTGGATATTTACCCTAGAAAAATGAACACTTACGTTCATACAAAAACTTGCACCCAAATGTTGATAGCAGCTTTATTTGTGATCAAATGATAGCTCAAAAAATCCAAATATTCTTCACCTGGTGAATGGTTAAACAATACGGAGGGATACAACTCAGTAGTTAAAAGGAATGGGCATTAATACCTAAAAAAAAAAAAGAAAAAGAAAAGAAAACGTATGTTTAACTTCATAAGAAACCACCAAACTATTTTCCATTCCCACCAGGAATGAGGGTTCTAGTTGCCCTGCATCCTTGGTCAGCACTTGGTTTTGTCTGTCTTTTTAATTATAACCATCACAGTGGGTTTGAATTGTTATTCCATTGTGGTTTTGATTTGCATTTCCCAAATAGCTAATGATGTTAGATACCTTATTTTGCCATTCTTATATTCTCTTTGATGAAGTATCTAAGTCCCTTGTATTTTAAAAAATTGAATTGTTGATTTTCTTATTGTTGAGTTTTCAGAGCTCTATGTATTTTGGATACAAGTCCTTTGTTGGATATGAAATTCAGCAATGCTCAGGCAAATTATTTAAGCACTTATGCCTCCCACCTTATTAAATGGGGGACAGTGCTATTTTCCTTACCCGTCTCGCTATGTTGCCGTAAGGATCAAATGGTAAAAGGAATGTGAAATTAGAAATTGGCAAGCGATTATCATTGCTGTTTGGATTACTCGGGAGTGGGATTACATTTCACTTGCTTATTTGTTCTTAGCTATGTTTTTCATATAGGTTCTTATGATGAATGGTCTGTGGCTAATGGTGTTTTTTAAATTTGCATAATATTATGCCCCATCCAAGCAGGTACTTGACACATTTAAAAGGTTCATGATAAAGGGGAATTGTACAGAGAAATGGCCTTGGCTGACAGTTGTGCTCTGGAGCACAATTTCCTCATAAAGAGCCCTTGAAGACTTGGCCAGGAAGGTGGTAGAGGTCGGAGGGTTGAACAGTTGGCATGAAGTGCTCCTCTTCACGCGCTCAGCCCAGACTTTAGAAAGCAGCTCCTGGCTGGGCGCGGTGGCTCATGCCTGTAATCCCGGCACTTTGGGAGGCCGAGGTGGGTGGATCACCTGAGGTCAGGAGTTTGAGACCAGCCTGGCCAACATGGTGATACCCCATCTCTACTAAAAATACAAAAATTAGTTGGGCATGGTGGCAGACGCCTGTAATCCCAGCTACTCAGGAGGCTGAGGCAGCAGAATTGCTTGAACCGGGAGGTGGAGGTTGCAGTGAGCCAAGATCACGGCACTGCACTCCAGCCTGGGCAACAAGAGTGAAACTCCATCTCAGAATAGAAAGAAAGAAAGGAAGGAAGGAAGGAAGGAAGGAAGGAAGGAAAGAAAGGAAAGAAAGAAGGAAGGAAGGAAGGAAAGAAAGAAAGAAAGAAAGAAAGAAAAAGAAAGAAAGGAAGGAAGGAAGAAAGAAAGAAAGAGAAAGAAAGAAAGAAAGAAAGAAAGAAATAAAGAAAGAAAGAAAGAAAGAGAGAAGCTCCTGCCACTGCCCAGGGGCGAGCCCAGTGCTCCTGCCCAGAGAGGCTCACCCGTCATCCCTGAGAATTAAAGAGCCGTGTTAAAGAGTGGATTTGCCACTTCCCCACGCGAAAGGAGGATCACTGGACTCCGTCCTCTGAAGCTCCCACTGCTTTGTGGGCTCCCTTGTGAGTGAGCCCAAGCTTGAGCCTGACTAGCTGGAGGCAAGAGTGGTAGAATATATGTGCTCATGTGGTGAACACAGCAGTGGCCTCTCCAATGCCCAGTCCGCCCCTGGCACAGGGGACAGTAGGACTTTAGTTTGAACAATCACCTTCAGTTCAAGGAGTGCTCCGGTGCCGGGGAGAATAATCCCATCTTCCTTGCTACTGACTAGTTCTGGAATGGGCATGTGTGACCTGATTCTGCCATAAAATGAGATGCAGGAAGTGGTTTGCTGAAAGTCTCTGGGAAAATGTTCTTCCATTTGTGGAGGGATGAGAAGCCAGATCCCTTCTCTCTCTGGCTCTCCTTATCTCTCTGTTTCTGTCCCTCTCCCTCTGTCTCTGTTTCTCTCTCCTCCTTTGCTGGGATGCTAGTAGTGGTGCTCATAGGGGCCCAGTCTTCTGCCATCAGTACTGAGAATGGAAGAACAGAGACCTGGAAAACAGCCAAGCCCTTAGTTACAGCCTCAAACTGTGCAGTCCACTAGCCCGAAGCCCCCATCTGGATGTCCTTCTAAGCAGCCAACACTCTTCTTTCCTGGTTAGCTCATTTGAGTTGGGATCTTTATCGTTTGCACCCCAAAGTGTAATAATGGTCATAAGCTGTTCACCTCCGCAAATTCAGGAGCCCTCCTTCATTGAGTAGTTAGGCTTCAGAGATGCATCAGAGAAGTTACGGGGGTGGAGGACCAAGGCAGACAACAATGATCTTTTTTCTGTTCAATGTCTTGACATCAAGATAGTTTTATGGATCAAGTCTTAGCTTTTTTTTTTTTTTTTTTTTCTATTTTAGCATGGAGGCATTAAAAAATCACCTAAACCTTATTAACTTGGGTTACATGGTGGGGAGATTCTGCAATACAGCACCTAGTCAGAAGAGTGCAGTTTTCTTCTATTTTAAAGTGCACAGAAACTGGACCAACCCCGGGTGGTGGTCCTGCTGGGCCTGCTTTAGGAAAGACACAATTAACATATTGTTGCTATGCCAACACTAATAATTTCTTTGGGGATTTTTTTCTTCACATATATAGGCATTGTGGCTGAGTCAGTGGTGTAAACGAGGTAGCAGTGGCGGTGGAGGGGCGTTTAACCTATTTCAGGGAACAGACTGTTTTCAAGGACTTAAGTGCTGGCCATTGGCAGAAGCCCACGGTGTTAATTATGCACTCATTAAAGCAGGCTCTGCAACGCCAGCCCTGGCACTGCCCAAATGTTCACAACTTTTCCATCTGAGGAATCCTGACGAACAATGCTCCGAGGCATACGCACGGGAAGGCGGTGGTGCAGGCGGCTGGACTCACGTTCACTGGCGACTGCACAGCAACGCATATGAGATGCTTTGGAAGAAACTTGTCATGCCCGTGTATTAGCAGAGGATTTCTCATTTGACGGAGTGTGGCTGTGGCTGAATTTGGGCTTTTTTTGTAACCACTAGTTACCAAGGCTCTATGTGTGTGTGTGTGTGTTTGTGTGTGTGTGTCTGTGTGTGTGTGTGTGTGTGTGTGAGAGAGAGAGAGAGAGAGAGAAAACAGAAGAAGGAGGGCAAGAGGTACAAAGAGAGAAGTGGAGGGGAAGAGGGAGTAGGAGAGAGAGAGAGAGACAGAGAGGGAGAAAGAGAGAGAGAGAGACAGACAGAGAGAAAGAGAGAGAGAGAGGGCATGATCATCAGCCAGCCAGCCAGCAAGAGCCTGCTGGGTTTGTGGGGTTTCTCCCAAGCCCCCAAGCCCCTGAAGGAGACTATAAGTCCTTGGCCCTCTACCCCACTCCAGTTTTCCTCGCTGACCTCTGAGATTGTTACCAGAAATCTTGAGGACAGGAGCAAATCAGGCTATTGTTTTCCTTAGCAGGAAAGACTCTCATTTTGAGAAAAGCAGCCACCTAATATTTAAGGTGCTGCATGGAGCAGGAGACGGGGTAGGTCCCTTTTAATAAATATAAAATGACAGGCGGGAGCGGGGATCCCTCAGCTCGTGCCAGGTGATAGAAGCATTTCCCTGAGCTACCTGAGATCCAGGTTTCCCTCTTTCTTCCTTCATCAAGTATGTCTTGAGCACCATCTGTGTGTCAGGCACTGTGCAGTGTGGATGCAAATGAATGAAGCGCAGAACCTGCCCTTGCGTGTGTGCCCTGAGGGACACACACACACACACACAGCTCTAATGTGTGTGGAGATGCACAAGGAGTCAGGAGCACAGAGGAGGTGGAGGACTCAGGCTGGAATTTGAAGGTCAAGTAGGCGTTCCAAGCACAGCAGGGGAGAGCCAACAGCGTGGGCAAAGGCTTGGCAGTGTATGCGTAGGCGGCTCATTTGGGGACCGAGACGGCCCTCACCTGGCCATGTGGTGCGGTGGTTCAGAGCATGGGCTCTGCGGGTGGATTGGCCAGGTTTGGAGACTGCAGGACCTTAGGCACTTTAACCTGTAAGTCTTTTCTGTAAAGCAGGCATAATGATCCTCCTGGCAGGGGGCCGTGATGATTAAGTAACATAATGCGGATGAAGTTCTCAGAGCGGTGCCTGGCAGGTACTGAGCGTGTCATTCATTCCTGGGGTTTCATCTGCATCACTTCGCAGAGGACCCTGCCTGTGCTTTGTTACTTCCTGAAGCCGATACTACCCTTGATTCTTCCTCAAGCCGCCTTGGTCCTGTTGGGGAACCAAAAGTCTTGATCATGGAAATGATAACCTATATGTTTTTTTAAAGTGAAGTTCAGAGAGGCATTATGCTGAATTGAAACTATCTATATAAATTCATAATCTCAAAAAGAAATGTTCCAGCTTTGTCACTACCAGGAGTAAGTCCCAGTGCAGCCAGATTTTGATTTTTTTTTTTTTTGAGATGGAGTCTTGCTCTTGATGCCCAGGCTGGAGTGCACTGACGCGATCTTGGCCCATTGCAACCTCCACCTCCCGGGTTCAAGCGATTCTCCTGGCTCAGCCTCCCGAGTAGCTGGGATTACAGGCTCCCGCCACCATGCCCATGTAATTTTTGTATTTTTAGTAGAGACAGGGTTTCATCATGTTGGCCAGGCTTGTCTCGAACTCCTGACCTCAGGTGACCTGCCCATCTCGGCCTCCCAAAGTCCTGGGATTACAGGCGTGAGCTACCGCACCCAGCCCGGATTTTGATCTTTAACACTTGTTCTCTATTAATGGAATCAGGACTCCACAGATTTCTTGTGTTGAGGCAAGAGGAAATCAGGACAGAAAGTTCTGGATCATCTTTACAGTCGCCAGAAAGGAAGAATGCTTTCAAGGATGCCAGGGGCATCCTAAAGGTGTTCACACGACAAGTCTGACAATTTGACCATCTAATAATGTGACTCATTAGAGCAAATACATGAAAGACCCTGAGCTCCTGACAATCTGCAAACGAGAAAAATGACTGTACCGTTGTACAAAAGGATTATTTGAGGGGAATGACGAGGAGGATATATTTTTTTAGTTTAACAAGTAAGGGAGCGTTCACAGGTATGAGAATGTGGTCCCTTCTGTAAAGCGCATGACGGTTCGTAATGACTGGGGATGTGCGTGAGCCTCAGCTTCACCCCTGGCCTTTTTCCTCCGCGGTTCTGGCTCCTACACGCTGCGGTCCTCAGGCCTCTGGCTGGGCGTGGCCAAGTGGGAGGGAGGCTGGAGGGGAAGGAAAGGAAAAGCCAGGCTGAGTCTCTCCATCTGCTGGCTCCATCCCCAGCGGAGTCCCGGGGAACTGGCTGCATTCTCTCCTGGCATCCGCTCCATAGCTACGGCTGCTGTCCTGTGGGAGCCACCACCGCACCAGCTTATTCTGGGGGACCCCGGCACAGGGGCTGCAGCAGCACTCCTTCCAAGGGTGTTAGCGGCTTCCTGCTGTTGCTAAAATCTGGGCCGCTTCACCGTCCCCTGATTGGTTTTTCCGCTATGTAACCAACTCCCTTCGATACATCCCCTCCGTGTAAATTATTGAAATGACCTCTATCTTCCTGTTTAGCATCTGATAGAATATGTCATCGTTTCTTCCTGCATAAGCGGGAAAGAATAAACGCCAGGGACTGTGAGTAAACCAAATAACCCCAGAATAAATAAACACAATAGCAAGGGCAGGAAGGGTCAGTGAGCACGGGGTGGGGGGTGGGGTCCAACATAAAATCCAGGCGGAGAGGGACCTCAAGCTGAACCGCACAGGCAGGCACGCAAAAAACAAGCAGAAAGAGGCTTCCACAGGACCCTCCCAGCGACAAATCAGCCAAACGTCCTGAGGAGGAGAGCTCACTTTGCAGATTTGATCCTTCCTCCAGGAGGAGATGGCATTTTTACATGATCTTATATTAATTATCATGAAATTCTAATAAAGAATATGGAAGTATTAAATAATATTGTTGGACGAGGCCAATCTATCATAACGATAGGATAATGGGCTCAATGCTATCAGCCAAGAGGCATTGGCAGGCGGGCTCAGTTCTGGGAATGATGTGGAGAGCGGTGGCACTGTCATGTCCCGTTCATCTCTCCTTGGCCCACATCATCACCCTAGTCTGTTGTGCTGGACAGCTTCCAGCTGCAAGACCTGCAGCTCCACCTGCGGCTGTCGCTGGCCACTGGAGCTTGCTTGGCCCATGTGAGGTAGGTGGGACGTGTACTAGTCCCGGAGCAGCCTTCAACCAATATCTCATGGGAATGGCAGATAATATTCCAACACCTTTGTCTCTCCTTGGGATAACTCGGAGATGTTATTTCCTATATTTCCATGCAGGCCTGAGCCCCGGTTACCCACAGCGGTCATCTGCTTGCCAGTCCACCCTCTGGCGATTCCTCCCTTTCCTGTCTCACATCCCCACTCCCTGCCAGGTGAATCCTAGAGTCACCTCTCAAAGGAACGACTTCCACTCATATCCTCGTCTCAGTGTCAGCCTCTGGGGGAGTCCAGCCTAACAAACCATTGAAAAAAATAAACTCAATTTGGAATAATTTCAGATTTATAGAAAAGTTGCAAAGATAACAGAGTTCTAGTACACCCCTCTCCCAGTTTCTTCTAATGTTGACTTCTTACATTACCTTGGTATATCTGTCAAAACTGAGAGATTAACCTTCTCTTATGTTAACTATGAATTAAACTCCAGATGTTATTCAGGTTTTATCAGCTTTGTCTATGGACGTCTTTTTCTGCTTCCAGAATCCTATCCCGCATACCACATTGTATTTAATCAGTATGCCTCCTTAGTCTCTTCCGGTCTGTGATGGTTTCTCAGTCTTTCCTTGCTTTGCATGACTTTGACGGCTTGGAGGAGGACTGCTCAGATATTCTGTAGAATGTCCCTCAGTGTGGATCTGTCTGATGTTTTCCTTAGACTAGAGGGATGAATTTGGGGGAAGAAGACCTTGCGGCAAAGTGCCCTTCTTTTTACATCATATCAGGAACGACACAGAATTCTAAAACTTAAAAAAAAAAAATTCACAGAAAAAGATGGATGCTTAAAATTCCCAAGCCATCACAAGAAAAACTTTTATAAGAAGTGATCCAGCCTGGAGACCCAGGACTCGTGTTTGAATCACCTAACATTTTTTTTAAATTTAGATTTAGGGGGTACATGTAAAGGTTTGTTACATGGGTATATCATGTGATGATGAGGTTTGGGCTGCTGATGATCTCATTGCCCGGGTAGTGAACATCGTACTCCATAGGTAGTTTTTCAGCTCTTGGTCCCCCCACTGCCGCCCTTCCTCCCCCTTTTTGGAGCCCCCAGTGTTTATTGTTTCCATCTTTGTGTCCGTTTATACCCAATGTTTAGCTTCTGCTTATAAGTGAGAACATGTGGCATTTGGTTTTCTGTTTCTGTGTTAATTTGCTTAGGATAATGGCCTCCAGCTGTATCCACATGGCTTCAGAGGACGTGATTTCATTTTTTTTAATGGGTGCATAGTATTCCATGGTGTATATGTACCATATTTTAAAAAATCCAATCCACTGTTGATCGGCACCTGGGTTATGAATCACCTTACGTTTTGTATTCAGGCCCCATGCCCTAGTCAAGAATAAATTGGCCAATAACCCAATTCTAGGTCCTCAGCTTGTCTGAGAAAGTGTCCTCTGTCTTTGGGTCTGGTAAGACTAACGACCCTCTCCAGTCCCCTTGCACCCTGGAAGGACTAAAAGTGTTACTGAAACCCTAGGATGATATAAAAATAATGTAGTAAATAATAATGTAATAAACAATGTATATTATTTATTACATTGTCTCAGTATCTGCCTCTGGGGGAGCCCAGCAGTCCTCCTCCAAGCTGTCAAGGTCATGCAAAGCAAGGAAAGACTGAGAATGTAATAAATAATTATAATAAATAATAAGTGTAGCAAGAATCCTGGGAAGGCAATATATCAAGTGCAGAATAATGCACTTGATATTATGGCTATGGTGTGGATGCTTTAGAGTGAGCATAAGCATGAGTTTATGTGTAGCTATGATGTTTCTGAGTGTTTTGTCTGCTGTTTGAGGCATGGAAGTATTCAAAAAAATCAAATGCACTGTCTGTAATTGCATTTTAACTTGTTTAGAATATTTAGGCCAGGCATTGTGGCTCATGCCTGTAATCCCAGCACTTTAGGAGGCCGAAGGGGGCAGATCCTTTGAGCCCAGAAGTTTGAGACCAGCCTGGACAACTAGGGAGACCCTGTCTCTACTAAAAATACAAAAAATTAGCCAGGCGTGGTGGCACATGCCTGCAGTCCCACACTCAGGAGGCAAAGGTGGGAGAATCACCTGAGCCTGGGAAGTTGAGGCTGCAGTGAGCTGTGATCATGCCACTGCACTCCAGGCTGGGTGACAGGAGTGAGACTGTGTCTCACACACACACACAAAAGAACATTTAATTCATCAAATTTATAATTGACAAAAATTGGTTTTCTGAGTTGTTAGATACAAGTATAACAAATTAAGCAACAAGGAAAGTTCAGGCCAGGTGCAGTGGCTCACGCCTGTAATCCAGCACTTTGGGAGGCTGAGGAGGGTGGATCACCTGAGATCAGGAGTTTGAGACTAGCATGGCTAACATGGTGAAACCCTGTCGTCTCTACTAAAAATACAAAAAAAATTAGCCAGGTGTGGTGGCACATGCTTGTAATCCCAGCTACTTGGGAGGTTGAGGCATGAGAATCGCTTGAACCCAGAAGGCAGAGGTTGCAGTGAGCCAAGATCGCCCCACTGCACTCCAGCCTGGGTGACAGAGTGAGACTCTGTCTCAAAACAAAAACAAAAAAAAAAAGAAAAGAAAAAAAAAAAAGGAAAGTTCACACAATTGTGGGAGCTTCTTTCCCCAGTAAGAAAGCCCCTTGAGTGTTGAGTTGAGTCATCATCTATCAGCGGGTTACAATGGGACTGATGGCCTCCCCACAACACTTCCTCATCCTTAAAGCTGTCAGTTTTCAGGCTGCTGCAGTAATAAGGCACTGTCATGGATGCTTTAGCATCTGCAAGTCTTTCATCCCATTTTATCCACACAAGATCCTGGTGGTATTATTCTCACTGAACAAATGAGAAAGCTAAATATAATTTAGAATGCATTTGGCTGCAAGAAAGAGAATAATGAACCCAGAGTGACTTAAACAGCAAGGAATTGATCTCCTTGAAAAGTAGTCCGGCTAGCTGCAGGGCTGGTTAACTCAGGAGCTCCACCACACCCAGCCCCAGCTCCTCATAGTCATAAGGTGGCTGCAGCAGTTCTGGGCATCCAAGTGTCTTCCTGGAAGGCAGGTTCTCCTGTGGGGCTGTGGTATCAAGGGAAGAAAGCCTTTCTCAGCATCCCAGTGGTGTCTTCCCTTCATTGGCCAGGCTTGAGTCCTGTACTCAGGTCTCAGCCAATCGCTGACAGAGGGGCGGAGTTACCATGGCTGACTTGGACTAGTCCTTCTCCAACCCCGGGGGCTGGGAAGGTGAACCTCCAGCCACATCAGCAAGGAGGACAGGCACAGCAGCACTGACTATGAGGAGGTGGCCCAAGTGTCTGCATAGGGAGGCCCAGAGAGGGACAGGGTTTGCCTAAGCTCACCCTGCCAAGCCTGGACTGGAATATTAGGTTCTGCCTCCCTCTTGATGTTTTCCAAAGACCCCCACTGAGTCCTTAGAATGGGGTCATGCCTTTATATGGCCGTCAACTTGGAAGGAGCCTCCAGGGACTTCTGAGCCAGCCTCCCTCTGACTGGGAGGTGAAGTGGGTTGAAATTGCTCCCTACAAAGGATTGCCTCGCTTCTTCCCGAAGACTATCACAGCTCCCAATGCCCTGAGGTCCAACTAGTCCATTCCTTTTATTGCACAGATGGGAATACTGGGGTGGGGCAGGAGCAAGGGCTCAAGGTCACAAAGTGAGGTGACAATAAATTGCCCTCTCTACTATTCCTGGTTGTTTTGTGGGTGGACACAAACAAAAGTTAGCAGGAATGGGAGGCACTTCAGCATTTGAAAGCATCAAGTATAGAGCTGGACTCAGGGCTCAGCCACCCACCAGGTAGGTGACCTTGAGCAAGTTACATAACTTTTCTGTTCCTCAGTTTTGTCATCTGAAAAATGGGCATAACAGTAGGACTGCTTCCTTGGCATGTTGTAAAGAATAAGTGAGTCCATGTAAAGGGCTTGGCACACTTAGTGAGCTCTGTAATTACTGCTCTCCTACTGGGCACCCAGCATCACGTTATATGCGCTGCAATCCATCTAATCTCTATGCCTCCTCTGTTATTAGCAGACTTGTTTTACAGACGAGAAAATGAAACCACAGAAATGTCAAGTGACTTACATGAGTCCCTTGGCTGAGGCCACACTGAGTTTCAAACCCACATCTGGCTGCCTCCAGAAGCCCAAGCCCTTAGCTGCCTTGCCATTCTGTCCCCACCACATGGCGTTCTGCTTCTTGGTTCCTCTATGGCAAACAAAGAAACCTAGGCCCAGGGAGGTCAACCCATTGTTCACAGTCACCCAGCTAGTAAATGAAACAGGAATTAGGATGCACGAGTCCGTCCATGACCCCACACTTCCTCTACAGGGACAGAAGCTCTGTAGCATCCTGCAGCAAGATTGTTCTCAGCCACCCTATCAGGCAGTTCCTCCTTGTGTCAAACCAAGATCTGTCCTGCTTTAGTTTATGCTTATTTTCTTTTGCTGCATTCTTGAAAGAGGCCTTTCTCTGGTCTATTTGAATCTTTAGCTTGTGACCTACCTGCCTACTGCCCAGCTCTGACCTGTCTGTCCCCACATGTCCACTTCAGCACCTCTCCTTGAGATGAGGCTAAGGCTTCATGAGCCACCTTCAGGGACAAGTGGACCAAGGGTCTCTAGGGAGTGTCACTCCTCCCGCAGTCTCTGCTGAGCCTCAGTGGGATCTGGTTTTTTTCTCAGGCCTGGCAGTGAAGTGCCTCCTTCCTGATGTCTTTTGTCCATACTTCTCCGGACCGCCACCTTCCCACCTTGCTGGAGATTCGTGTGCTCTTTCTGATATGTGATCTGGGGGTGGGCGAGAGTGTCCTCTAGACCTGCTCTGTCCAATGAGGTAGCCACTAGTCATGTGTGGCTATTTAAATTTAAATTAATCAAAAGTAAATAAAATTTGAAATTCAGTTCTGTAGCCATACTAGCCACACTCAAGTGCTTGGCAGGCCTCTGAGACTAGGGGGCTATGGTATTGGACCCGGCAGATACACAACATTTCCATTGTCGCAGAAAGCTCTAGAGGACAGCCCTACCAGTGCTTCTCAAACTCAAAATCATTGAGTTTGCCCAAGGTCACCTACCGGTGGGTGGCTGAGCCCTGATTCTAGCTCTATAGTTAGTGCTTTCAAACTCTAAATTGCCTCCCATACATACTAACTTTCGTTTGTATCCACATACAAAACCTCCAGGAATGGCAGAGAAGACTTGTTAAAACACCACATGCTGTGGGCCTCACCTTAGAGTTTGTGCCTCAGTAGGTCTTGGCAGAGTTGGAGGATTATTTCTAACAATTTCCTAGGTGAGGCTGCAGCGGCCGGGCTGGGGACCCTGCTTTGAGAACAGCTGCTATTCACCCAGCACTGGGAGAGTCTGCTGAAAAGACTCCGTGTGGTGATCTAGATCTGAGGGTGGTGAAGAGTCACTGGGGACACAACTTTTTCAGCTGAGGTTAGAAAAGGAGACTGAGACCAGCTTTCCAAAAAGCGAGCATTGGCTGGACAGTGGGGTACTTGGACGTGCCGGAAAAACCTCAAAACCCAAACAAACCCAAAAGAATAATCCTGGACCCCCAGGGATTGTCTGGTCTTCATTTCCACTCGTCTGTAATTTCTGAGAGAAAACGACTTCAGTGTCAACCCTGATCACTGTCCTTCTCCAGTGACAAATACCAAGCAAGGACCACACCCCAGTGTCATCTCAGACATTAGTTCTTGGTTCCAGTTTTCCTTCCACCTTGAACTTTCTCAGACCTGCTGATACTCAGCACCTTCTTTCTTGGAGAGACTGTGTTGGGGACAGGAGGCAGAGCACTGGATTTGGAGTTATAAGATTTGAATTAAAGTCGCTGTGTGAGCTTGGGCAATGCCCCTCTGAATTTCATTTCTATAGAGGCAATAATCTTATTTACTTTATAAAACCACATTATGTTATGCTCACATGGTATCATATGTGAATTCTTGTTTGTAAATCACAGAGTACTTTCTAAACCTCAGGTCCCATAGGTTGGAATGTAACTTTTATAGCACAGGCTAAACACACACACACACACACACACACACACACACACACACAGACATATATTTTTGAGACAAAGTCTTGCTCCTTTGCCCAAGCTGGAATGCAGTGATTCAATCATAGCTCACAGCAGCCTCAACCTCCCAAGCTCAAGTGATCCTCCTACCTTACCCCTTACCCTCCTGACTAGCTGGGACTACAGGCACATGCCACCATACCCAGCTAATTGTTTTTGATGTTTTTATTTTTGTAGAGATGGGGTCTCACTATGTTGCCCAGGCTGGTCTTGAACTCCTGGGCTCAAGCAATCCTTCCACCTTGACCTCCCAAAGTGAACACAGGTTATATTTGATCAGAATTATTTGTTTCTATGCACATCTCTTGACAGCCTGGGAGCTCCTTGAGGCAGGGCTCTATTAACCTTTTTTTTTTCTTTTTTTTTTTGAGACAGAGTCTCACTCTGTCGCCCAGGCTGGAGTGCAGTGGCATGATCTCGGCTCACTACAAGCTCCACCTCCCGGGTTCACACCATTCTCCTGCCTCAGCCTCCCGAGTAGCTGGGACTACAGGTGCCCGCCACCACGCCCGGCTAATTTTTTTGTGTTTTTAGTAGAGACGGGGTTTCACCATGTTAGCCAGGATGGTTTTGATCTCCTGACCACGTGATCCACCAGCCTTGGCCTCCCAAAGTGCTGGGATTACAGGCGTGAGCCATGGCGCCCAGCTGGCTCTATTTATCTTTGAGCCCCCTAGTGCTTGATTTCAGGCCCAAGCAAATATTTATAAAAATAATGATTATCATACTAAAACATCCTGCACTTACTGTATGTCCAGCACTGTTCTAATGTATTGATTCATTTAATTCTTACACCACCCCCAAAAGATAGTACTATTATGAAATTACATATAATAGGTGCCCAGTAGACATCTATTAAATAGTGGAGGGCAGCACTTCTCCAAATTTAACATGCATAGGAACTATCTGGGAATCTTGATCTTGTTAAAATACATATCCTGGCTGGGAGCCTATATCCCAGCACTTTGGGAGGCTGAGGCAGGAGGATTGCCTGAGCCCAGGAGACGGAAACCAGCCTGGGTAACATAGACCCTGTCTGTACAGAAAGGATGGCTAATTTTAAATTTTTTGTGAAGACAGGATCTCACTATGTTACCCAGGCTGATCTATTAGCTAGATGTGGTGGCATGCACCTGTAGTCCCAGCTACTCTGGAGGCTTAGGTGGGAGGATTGCCTGAGCCTAGGAGGTAGAGGCTGCAGTGAGCTGTGATTGCACCACTGCACTCCAGCCTGGGTGACAGAGCAAGACCCTGTTTCCAAAAAAACCCCAGGCCCCCCAAAACAACACGCCATGACACTGCAGGCCCCGAGTGGAGTCCTGTATTTTCAACAAGCTCTCAGGTGATGCTGTGGTCAGAAGACACTATCAAAGATGTAGATCATTTAACATTTTCTCAAATAGAAAAACCTCCAGTCCCCTGTGGGACAGAGGCAGGGGTGGGAAGCACACTGGGAAAAATAACTCACCTCTTACTTTGGGAGTGAGAGGATTACAGACCCTCAGGACTGACATTCTTTGAGGGGACCGGGAAGTCAGTCCACCAAAGGCAGCTTTTCAAGTCTCGTTGGAACAGCCTGTTCTCACGGTCTGCAGGAAAGAAACAGGGCAAACATTTTCCAACATTAGGAACAGAGCTTCGGACTGGGGCCACGTGTCTGGGCTTAACACGGTGCCTGGAAACAGCTGCTAAATTGCCTGGCGTCTCCCATCCAGAGGGGGCTAGGAGCCCTTCCTAAGGCAGCACCAGTACAGGTGGAACTGAGGCCAGCTCCCCTAGAGGGTGGATGGCTGCCCAAGGGCAGTGGAAGGGGGTGTGCAGATGAAACGTGGCCTTTGAGTCAGACAGAGCTGGCTTCAAATGCAGCTTTGCCACTTACTAGCGGTATAACCAGAGGCAAGTTACTTCTCCTTGCAGTTTTGTTTTCTCATTGCAGCCCGGAAATAATACCAACCACACGGGTTTGGCTAGGGAATGGAAACCCCTGGAGAACTTCAAACAGAGCTACTTTAATACAGGGAATTGGTTACACAAGTGAGGGCAGAGCTTGGAGGCCAAGTGGGGGAGGGCGAGGCAATCCAGAGACCAGCAGGAACACAACTGTGAGCTGGGGGGCTGCAGGGAGGAGGTGGTGTTACTGAAGCCCAGGGGTCAGGTCATCAGGTGGGGGCTCGACCCACAGGGGGCTGGTCCAGTGGCCACACACAGCTCTTGCCGGGGTGCTATCTGAGGCAGAGAGGGAGGAGGAGAAATAGCTCAGCTTCTCCCTGTCTCTCACCCTCCAATCTCCCACCACTGCCTCCATTGGCTGGACCCACCCAGCAGGAGGCTGGGAAATGCGGCTGGCAGGGGAAGTGGCTGAGGGCCAGTAGGCTCAGGACCTGCACAGGATGCCTTGTGTAAGGCATCGGCAGCACGTTGTTTGGCTCATCGACAAAGCAGGTGCCCTTTCCTGTGCCCTGGAAACAGCCAGCCTCCCTGGGTTAACCGTGTCTTCTGTGATGATGCTTTGGCCATCTGCAGTTTCTTTCTCAACATCCCTGTGTGTTGGGAACTCCAGGCTCTGTAACTCAACTGACTTCTTTTCCTCTGGCCTTTTGGGATCCTGGGATGTGTAGGGGAGGATTCTTCCAACCAAAAGACCACCAGGGGCCAGGGGAAGTGACTGAGGCTGAATGCAGGGACGCTGGCAAAGGGTGAGGGCCTGGACAGGCCTGACTGTGTTGTTTGTCCCTTCATTGGTTCATTCATTCATTCATTCATTCAACTCTTAACAATCAGCTATTGATCTAGAACCACACTAGATGCTAGGACTGCAGATGGTGTCCCAGTCTGGTGGGTAAGACATGCTTGTAAATTTCAGTCAGGGCTATTTTGGTTGTAATAAATAGAAGCCCATTCAAAAAATGCAAGTGAGAAGGAGTTTTCTTGAAAGGGATTAGGGAATCTGATGGAGTTAATTGAGGAAGTGCAGGTGGGCCTCCCGTGAACTGTCCTCATCTTCTCTGCCTCTCTGAGCTCCACCCGCCTCTGCAAACCAAATCACATGTTGTTTCTGCTCCCCTAATTCTGGGTGACTTTTGACTCCAAAGGGTGTCAACTGGGTCAGACCACGACTCCTTGAGACCATGTAAGTCCAGTGCATTCTTACCAATTCACTAAAATTGGTGGCCCCTTAGGTTAAATTATTGAGAGAACTTAACCCGATCAGCTCACTTGAGTCAGACTTCCTGTCCCATCAGGGTGGCCGGGACAGGCCAGGTAGTGGGGACAGGGGAAGGGTCTTACAGCTTGCCCTTTGGAGAAGTAGGATCTGAGAAGAGAGTTATGGGCAGGGCAGGCAATGAAACACGTTTCCTGCTGGAAATAATTGTAAATCTGGCCTAAGGGGAAAATGGATTCAAAAAAGCATTTAAAATAATAATAGTGACCGTTTATCAAGACTTTATGTGTCAGACACTGGAAAGTGCTTTTTATACATTTACCTCTTTTAACCCTCAGAAGTCATTATTATTATTATTATTATTATTATTATTATTATCATCATCATCCCCATTTGCCGATTTTACAGATGAGGAAGCTGAGATGTAGGAGGTTAGATAAGGTTGCCTGGAGTCAGATGGTGGAGGTAGCAGCAGCAGGCACAAAACTGTCACTTTGGCAATTTTGTTCCAAACTTGGAACAATACAGAGAAGCTTAGCATGGCCCTGCGCAAAGATGACACACAAATTTGTGAAGCATTCCATATATTTTAAAAATTTTCTTCAAAAAATTTCTTGGCTGGGCATGGTGGTTTATGCCTGTAAGCCCAGCACTTTGGGAGGCCGAGGCAGGTGGATCACGAGGTCAGGAGTTCAAGACCAGCCTGGCCAACACGATGAAACCCCATCTCTACAAAGAATACAAAATTTAGCCGGGCATGGGTGCGCCTGTAATCCCAGCTACTCCGGAAGGCTGAGGCAGGAGAATTGCTTAAATCTGGGAGGCCGAGGTTGCAGTGAGCCAAAATCACACCACTGCCCTCCAGCTTGGGTGACAGAGCAAGACTTCCATCTCGAAAAAAAAAACAAAATTCTTGTCTCTGAGCCATGTGCCCTAGACCTGTGCTTGGCAGCTTCCGCGGAGAGCAGAAGCCGGCGATCAGGCCGTTTTCTCCCCTGCGACCTCCAGAAACGCTCTCCAGACAGACATTTTCCTTTCCTGTGGCTGCAGAGATCACTAGCCACCTTTGGCAGGACCTCTCTCTCCCTTTCCCTCCTTTTGTTAAAGGATTTCAGGCGCACGGACTTGGGGGGCTGATGTCCTCCATTTGATGGCTCGCTGTCACCACCCATCTGGACTCGAATCCTCTTTTGAGATTATCGTGGTTGTGTCTTTCTCCTTTCTCCAGGTCTAATCCTAGTCCCTTCCCCCATAGGCATCCGCTCCGGGGTAAACAACACAGGTTTCTTCCAATTTCCTTTGTGTGTTGTTCATTCGTATATGTCATGTTTGGAAAGTGTATGTGTTAGGGGTTTATTTTTCAGGGGGGATGTTATTTTTAATTTTTTAAGGTCATAAATAACACTTTCTTTTCTTTTAACTTTTAAATAAACTTTATATTTTAGCATAGAATTGGAATTACAGAGATGTTGTAAAGATACTGCAGGGAGTTCCTAGATGCCTTGTTCTCACTTCTGCCTACTAACATAGGGTACATTTGTCAAAATTGATGAACCAATATTGATATATTATTAGTAACTCATCTATACTTTTTCAGATTTCCTTAGTTTTTTGTTGTTGTTGTCGTTGTTTTCTGAGACAGGGTCTCACTCTGTCACCCAGGCTGGAGTGCAGTGGCACAGTCATGGCTCACTACAGCCTCCACCTCCCCGGACTCAGGCGATCCCCACCACCTCAGCCTCCCGAGTAGATGGGACTGCAGGTTTGAGCCACCACGAATGGCTTTTTTTTTTTTTTTTTTTTTTTTTTTTGGTAGAGATGGGGTTTTGCCATGTTGGCCAGGCTAGCCTGGAACTCCTGGGCTCAGGAGATCCCCCGCCTGCCTCGACCTCCCACAGTGCTGGGATTACAGGTGTTGAGCCAGCACACCTGGCCTTATTTCCTTCGTTTTTACCTGGCGTCCTTGTTCTGTTCTAGGATCTCATCTAGGAGACATTACATTTACTCCTGAGGCTCCTCTGCTGGGACAGTTCCTCAGGCTTTCCTTGTTTTTTGATGATCTTGACAGTTTTGAGGAGTACTGGTCAGGTGTTTTGTAGAATGTTTCTCAGCTGGGATTGGTCTGGTGATTCTCTCATGGTTAGACTGGGATTATGGGTTTGTGAAAGGGACACCACAGAGGTGCAGCACTATTTTCATTACATCATATTGAGGTCCCCCTTGGCTGGCAGTTACATCACTCCTGTCTCTGCCTCTGTGGTCACACCCCTCCTCCTCTTCTCTCTGTCAAATCACCCTATATCTCTCTTCTGAGGATACTTGCATTGGATTTAGGGCCTACCCACGTAATTCAGGATGATCTCATCTCAAGGTCTTTAACTCAACCTTCTACAAAGACCCTTTTTTCCAAATAAGATCACATTGACAGATTCCAGGAATTTGGATGTGGACTTCCTTCTTTTTTGAGATAATGTCTCACTCTGTTGCCCATGCTGGAGTGAAGTGGTGCCATCTCGGCTTACTGTAGCCTCTGCCTCTGGGTTCAAATGATTCTCATGCCTCAGCCTCCGGAATAGCTGGGATTACAGGTGTGTGCCACTACGCCTGGCTAATTTTTGTATTTTTAGTAGAGACGGGGTTTTGCCATGTTGGCCTGGATGGTCCCAAACCCTTGGCCTCCAGCGATCTGCCCACCTTGGCCTCCCAAAGTGCTGAGATTACAGGCATGAGCCACCGTGCCTGGCCTGGACTTACCTTTTTGAGGGCTACCATTCAACCCACTATTCCCACATGTCAATTTTATCTTTCATGAATTGTGCTTTTGGTGTATCTTAAAACTCATTGCTAAACCTAAGGTCATGCATATTTTCTCCTAAAAGTTTCATAGTTTTGCATTTTACATTTAGATTTGTGATTCATTTTGAGTATATTTTGTGTAAGGTGTAAGGTCTGTGGCTAGGTTCATTTTTTTTTCATATGAATATCTCTTTGATCCAGCCCTTTTTGTTGGAAAGACAATTCTCTCTTCATTGAATTGCCTTTGTGCCTTTGTAAAAAATCAGTTGAATACAGTTGTCTATTATTTGTGTTCTCTTCTGTTCCATGGATCTATGTTTCTATTCTTTCACCAATTTCAGCAATCTCGATTGTTGTAGTCTTATAGTAAGTCTTAAATTGGGTAATGTGAGTCCTTTGTTGTTCTTCAGTATTGTGTTGGCTATTCTAGGTTCTTTGCCTTTCTATATAGATTTGAGTCAGTTTGTTGATACCTACAAAATAGCTTGCTGAGCTTTTGACTGGGAATCTGTATCAAGTTGGGAAGAATTGACATTTTACCAATATTGAGTCACCAAATCTATGAACATTCCAATCCAATCTTCATTTATTTTTTATTTCTATTTTTTGAGACAGAGTCCCACTCTGTCGCCCAGGCTGGAATGCAGTGGCGTTATCTCACTGCAACCTCTGCCTCCCGGGTTCAAACGATTCTCCTGCCTCAGCCACCGCGCCCGGCCGCTTTTACTTTCTTTACATAAATCTAAGTTTCTGATTGATATCATCTTCCTTCTGCCTGAATAATTTCTTCTTCCTTTTTTTTTTTTTTTTGAGATGAAGTCTCACTCTATCACCCAGGCTGGAGTACAGTGGCACAATCTTGACTCACTGCAACCTTCACTTCCCAGGTTCAAGTGATTTTCCTGCCTCAGCCTCCCGAGTAGCTGGGACTACAGGTGCATGCCACCATGCCTGGCTAATTTTTGTATTTTTAGTAGAGACGGGGTTTCCCCATGTTGGCCAGGCTGGTCTGGAACTCCTGGCCTCAAGTGATCTGCCTGCCTCAGCCTCCCAAAGTGCTGGGATTACAGGTGTGAGCCACCATGGCTGGCTAATAACGTCTTTTAACATTTCTTGCAGGACAGATTGTGGGCAACAGAGTCTGTCAATTTTTGTTTGAGAAAAATCTTTATTTCTCCTTAATTTTTAAGGATAAATCTGCTGGATATATATAGAATTCTAGGTGGGTGGGTTTTGTTTTCAATCTCGCACTTTTAACTTCTGTGACACTGCTGGCATTCATTCACTTTAAGTGTTTCTCCTCCTCTTTGCATAGTTTTATATCAAAAAGTCAGCTGTAACTCTTAACTTTGTTCTTCTGTGAGTTTCGTATTTCCTACATCCATCCTTCTCCAGCTTCTTTTAAGATTTTTTCTTTGTCTTTGGTTTTCTGTAGTTTATTTATTTTTTGAGGGGCATGGCTTGGAGAGAGACAGATAGCAGTTCTTTTTTACAGATTTTTATTTTATTTCAGTAGTTTTTGGGGAACAGGTGGTTTTTGGTTACATGGACAAGTAACCAAAATCTCAATTCAAATCTCTACCCAGCGTATAGTCTTTTATTCCTTACCCCCTCCCAGCCTTCCCCCGAGTCCCCAAAGTTCATGATATCCTTCTTATGCCTTTGCATCTTCATAGCTTGGCTTAATTTATGAGCGAGAACATATGATGTTTGGTTTCCCATTCCTGAGTTACTTCACTTAGAATAATGGTCTCCAATTCCATCCAGGTTACTGTGAATGCCATTATTTTGTCCTTTTTTATGGCTGACTAGTATTCCATTACACACACACACACACACACACACACACACACACACACACACACACACACGTATCTCCCATGGAATATATGGAATGTATATCCTACCCAGTAATGGGATTTCTGAATCAAATAGTAGTTCTACTTTCAATTTTTTCTGTAGTTTAAATATGATGTACCTAGGTGTTTTTTGTTTTGTGTTTGTTTGTTTGTGTACTTATTCTGCTCGGTGTTTTCTAAGCTTCCTGGATCTGCAATTTGGAAAACAGTAGTAGCCATTATTAGCTCAAATACTTCTGCTCCATTTTCTCTTTCTTGTCCTTCTGCATTTCAGTTATGCATATACTACATTTTTTGATATTGTCTCACAATTCTCAGATTCTCTCTTCTGTTTTTGTCATTCTTTTTCTTTCTCTTTGCATTTCAGTTTAGGAAGCCTCTACTGACTGATGTTCAAGGTCCTTGTTTCTTTCTTTGACCATGTTTACTCTGTCGATGACCCCATCAGAGGCATTCTTCATTTCTGTTACAGTGTTCTTAACTTCTAGGATTTCTTTTTGATACTTAGAATTTCAACTCTGCTTACATTATCCATGTGTTCTTGTATATTGCCTACTTTATTCACTAGGGATATTGCATATTAATCACAATTATTTTAAATTATCTGTCTGATATCCAACACTTGTGTCATATCTGAGTCTGGTTCTGATGATTGATGTGCCTCTTCAGATTGTATTTTTTTTCTTACCTTTTGGTATGCCTTGTAATTTTCTGTTGAAAGCTGGATGTGTTGTATTGGGTAATAGGAACTGAGGTAAAGAGGTTTTTAGTGTGGAGATTTGTGTTAATTCGTCTAGGAGTTGTGTTGTGTTTAATCTTTAATCTTGATGTGTGATCCAGAGTCTTTAAATTCCTCTAGTGTCCTTGTTTTCATCTCCTCTTGACATTGGGTGTCCCTAAGTACTCCTCCTCAGAAAAAGTCTGTGCCTTGCAGCTCTTTCTGTTGTTATATTGGACTCTTCATGTGGTGGCTTTGCTATTCGTTAGCTTTGTGACTTTGAGCATATTTCTTCACTAAGTCTCTTTCCTCGCAGGTAAAATAAGAACAATATTCTCTTATAGAACTGTGCTGAGGATGAATTGGAATACTAAATTAAAACACTGAGCACTGTGCCTGATATAGACTAGATTCTTGATTGAATCAATGGGCCTGTTTGGCTCAAAGTCACTAATTGCTACTTGTTTCGTTGGCTAGTGACACAAGTATTGCTTATCCCCCCTCAACCACGTAGTTAGAATCAGAACTCATTTCTCGTCATCCCAGTGGCTCAGCAGTATGGATGTTGCAATAGGCAAGTTGTTAATAATAAATGAACGGTGCCTTCCAGGTACCCCAGATACTTTAAGCAGCACCTAATTACATATTTAAGTGTAGGACCTGCCGGAACCATCTCCCTCTCTTGAGAAAATAACGACCTCTCTAATTGCACACTGACCCAAGATACATTCTCCCAAGTAAATAATACACTGTTCAGAAGCATCCTAATTAGGTATTTACTTCAGAGATGGCAATGGCTTCATCTTGCTCCCCAGGGAAGTATTAAGCATCATATCAGGGCTGATAGAACTGAAAAACAAACTGGCCTCAAGAAAAACTGTGTCAATGATTTTCCATGAGAAGATAGAGAGCTGGGACTCCAGGAAGGAGAAACAATTGGCCAGTACTAGGGTTAGGCGGCCTCTCTACATGGATGGAGGCAGCTTCTCTCAAAGACAGCCAAGAGTCAGATGGACAGGCAGGCCCCCTTGCTCCACCCTCCTAAATTAGGAGTTGAGGCTGTGTAGCGGATGCCTATTGCCCAGGCTCAGATTGCTGAAACAACAGCTGGCCTAGGAGCTGGGGCTCTAACCATTAGGAATCGCTTGCTTGCTGGAGGTGGTGGTGGGGTGAAGCGTTCTCTGTATCCTTCTTCCAGTTCTCACTGTCCCTTGGTCACCAGCAACTCCTAGAGGGAAAGGGAGCTTCAGACAGCCTTGGCTGAAGAAGAGAAAGTGACCTGGTGGCCTCCTCCTCTTTCTTTCTTCTCTCTCCCTCCGTCTCTTCTCTTTTGCTTCTCGCCGTCCCATTTCCCATTCTTCCTTCCTCTCCCCTTCTTCTCTCACTTATCTCTTTCCTCTTCCACCTCAGTTCTCACCTCTCTTCTTCTGTCTTTCCCTGTGTCCTCCTTCTGCCTCCCTTCCTCCTCCAGAGGAAGAGGGAAAATCCACTCCATCTTCTCACTAGAAGCTTGCAGGAGAGCTCAGTCCTGGAGCTTTGCTCTTTCACGTTTGGGCATCATCCACTGAGCCTCAGGGTGGAAGTCATAGAGCCCTCCTGGACGAAGACCTCTGTGGATACACTGTGAAGTACATGGGCTGCCCTTGGGATCTTCTTGCAGATTACACACTCAGATGGGGAGGACTCTTCTCAGTACAGAGGGGCAGCAGCAGATACAGTCAATGAAGGGAGCCGAGGAGCACCTGGATCTCCTTCTCATCTTTGCTAGTTCTGCAATGGCCCAAAGAATATGCCCTTTTATCTTCATCCGCAAAGCCCTTCTCATCTAGCACAGAAAGGTGCTATCTGCATGGACAGAGTCAAAGGGACCTGAAAGGTTGCCTAGTCCTGGAATTTTTAACGTGGGTTCTATGGACTGGGGAGTTGTATTAGTCTATGGGGGCTGCCATCACAAAACCCCACAAGCTGGGGGGCTTAAACAACAGAAATGTATTTTCTCACGGTTTTGAAGACTGGAAGTCCAAGATCAAGGTGTCAGCAGGATTGGTTCCTTCTGAGGCCTCTCTCTTCGGCTTGCAGGTGGCTGCCTTTTCTCTGTGTCTTCACATGGTCTTCTCTCCGTGCCTGTGTCCTAATGTCCTTTTCTTATAAGGACACCAGTCATATTGGATTAGGGCCCACTATATGCCTCATTTTACCTGAGTCATCTCTTTGAAGGCCCTAACTCCAAATACAGTCACATTCAGAGGTACTGAGGGTTAGAGCTTCAAAACGTGAATTTTGGGGAGGACATAGTTCATGGATAAAATTGGGGGGTAATAGGCCAGGCACAGTGGCTCACACCTGTAATCCCAGTGCTTTGGGAGGCCAGGGAGGGCAGATCACCTGAAATCAGGAGTTCGAGACCAGCCTGACCAACGTGGTGAAACCCCGTCTGTACTAAAAATGCAAAATTAGCCGGGCATGGTGGTGCACACCTGTAATCCCAGCTACTTGGGAGGCTGAGGCAGGAGAATTGCTTGAGCCCAGGAGGAAGAGGTTGCAGTGAGCTGAGATTGTGCTATTGCATTCCAGCCTGGGTGACAAGAGGGAAACTCTGTCTCAAAAAAACAAACAAACAAACAAACAAAAAAAAAACAAAAGAAAAGAAATTGGGGGAAAATGGAAAGGGAACAATTATATTTTTATTTTCACTAACTTTCAGCTGAAGTGTAGCATTTCCTTCCTACATTACAAATGTAGCCAGCAAGCCACAGCAGCGTCAGGAGCTCCTGTGACATTACTGTTAAGAGAAACCACAAACATTACATATCAATTATGGTTGTCACAGACATCTTGAAATATTGTTTACTCTCACAACTACTTTAAAATTACAGTTATTACACCTATCGCTCAGGCTTGTTTTTAATTGCATTTATTAAAGAGTACATATATTGCCACATAACAAATTTGTTTTTACACTATGTTTATAATTGTATTATAATTGGTTTCCCTTGTAAATCCTATTTCATCTCATGCATTTCAAAACACTGTTCGGAGAAGAAATTCGTAAGCCTCATCAAACTGTCAAAGGGATCCAACAGCACACAAAAGAATGCTAGACCTAGTTTCAACTCTTTTTTTTTTTTAACAATGGAGGAGAATGGGGTCCAGAGAGGGCAACTTAATTGTCTGTGGTCACACAGCTAGTTATGAAAGGTTTGGGACTACAGTTTAGGTCTTAGGATTCCTTGTTCACAGCTTGGCCCACTGTATCACATTTGCTAGTTGTTCTTCTACAACGAAGACTGATATATAAAACTATTAGCCATGATATGAATTTTCTAAATACCTTCAGATTCCTAGATAGGCTTTATGTTCCCCAAAAGTCCACCCTTCTGGGTTAGCCTTCCATTTAACAGCCATCTAGCCCAGTCCTCCTGAGAGATGGAAGGAAGTCCAGCTTTTACCTCCACTCCTGACCTACTAGTGGATATCTCGGAGGAAGGCTTACAGGGCCCAAAAGTGGGTCCTGGTTTCCTTCATCAGCCCATCCAGTGCAGCAACCAACTCACCCTGGTTTGCCCGGGACTCTCCCCAGTGTTGGCCCTGAAAGTCCCATGTCCTGGGAAACCCCTCAGTTCTGGGCATATGGGTGGCTGGCCCCTCCCGCTTAGCCTCTTGCTGACAGCTGCTCTACTCAGGGGTACCTCTCACCATCTCATCCTGGCCTGTCCGGGCTGCTCCCTCCTGGCCCACACTGCAGGGGTTCTCACAGCCCGGCTGAAACCAGGCTGCCTCTTGCTTCGCAATCTCTCTGAAGACCGGAATTAGATTGTGAGAAAGAGAACAAGGTCATGTCTGAGAGTGGATGTCCAGGCTCCTGGCTGCCTGGGACCCTCATCCACAGGCTGGCTCTCTCTCCTCAGCTCCCACCTGCTACTTTTGGGTGTGGGTCAACCTCTGGGGTGGAGCTGGCAATCTGTGCACTAACAAGCCCCCCATAGGGGTTTCAGAGGGGCTGTCTGTGTCCCTCCCCAGTGCCCTTTACAGATCACTGCAAGCACCCCCAGCCGCTGCAAGTGCCAGCTGTTAATCCCTCACAGCTACCCGCTTCTCTGGAGAATCTCCCTGTCCCAGGAACCTGGCTCACCTGGGAGAGTACGTCCTACCAGCACCTCCACAGCTCTTGGCCAATGGCTGGCATTGATGCCAAGAGTCCCCCACTTTGCCCCTGGGCACGGGGCTGGCTCTGGGGCACAGTGCAGGAGCCCGAGCTCCTGGGGGCTTAGCCTGACACTCATCCCCAGCTGAGTCCATGCTCTCACTTAGGATGTCCCTCCCCTCTCCAGCCCGCCTCACCTTCCTTCTCCTGAGACCGCCCCCATAAATTGCTTGAACAAGAAACCCTGTTTCTGGCTCTGCTTCTAGTCACCAAAGTCAGAGGCTTCTCCAAGGAAGGAAAGCTTGAACGGGACTGCTGCGATTTCCTCCTAAATGGTCTCCCTGCCTCCTCTCTCTCCACTCCCCACTGTCCAGAGTAATTTGTCCAAAATGAAAATCAAATCATTCTCCATCCTACCTTCATCTCTACGAGGCAACCCACTCAACCCTGCCCATGGCATACAAGACCCCTTTTATGGCTTGTAAAGTTTTTGGGCTCTGACCCCACCAGATTTTCCAGTCCCAGCTCCCCACACTTTCCCCAGGAACCCCACATCCCAGATGTACAAGACCACCAGTGTCCAACCCGACCTTGCTGGCACACACCCCCATGCCTGTACACATTTGATTTCCTCTGCCTTTTCTGACTGTGGGCTTGTATTGATCCCCATACCCAACTGTAGCAGGTGGGGGCTGAGGAGAGAGAGCCAGCCTGTGGATGAGGGTCCTGGGCACCCAGCAGCCTGGATATCCACTCTCAGACATGACCTTGTTCTCTTTCCTACAATCTAACTCCCAAGTCTTCAGAGAGATTGTGAAGCAAGAGACAGCCTGGTTTCAGCTGGGCTGTGAGAACCCCACAGGGTGGGCCAGGAGGGAGCAGCCTGGACCGGCCAGGATGAGGAAAGGCAGAGGAAATCCCACTGGGTGTGTTATCAGTGACTGGAGTCACTTTTCAGTGGCATGGGGAGTGAAATATGGGGACACTAAACTGGCTGAGGAGTGAATGAAGGTGGTGGTGCTGTAGAAGGGAACATAGAAGCGATTCCATGAAGCTGGGCTATAGAAGACAGCCAGGCACTCCTCAGGTCCCCCACCCCACCGCTCAAGGTCTTCACTGGGACTAGGAACATGTTGTTGTCAGGCAGGACATCTGGCCACAGCTGGCTCCAGGCAGGTGCATCAACTGAAGCAGAACTACCTGGACCTAGGGAGACTCTAACAGTCACCTCCACCTCACATGCCCCCAGCTTTAACCGCCTGAGCTACCTGTCAGCACAGACGGTGACGACATAGAGAAATCTATACACAGACGCGTGGATACAACACATTCCTAACATTCTCAGCCTCACACCTCAGTGGAGTATCAGTAGATCATTTTTTATACATACCTGGACAGAGGGTGATCATTTAATATGGCTGGCATTATTTGAACATGCATTTTTCACTTGCGGAGAGGCAAGTATGCTCACCGCGGCAGTTTTTTGCAACACTCTAAAGAGATGGCCCAATCAATCACTTCTGATTCCTTGGCTGTTTATTGGAGCCATCAATCACGATGAACACTCTTGGCGTTAATGGGAATGTCATCAGCACTTCTGTAGGATTCTCCCTGCAACTCGGCTTTAAATAACAAGATTATTATTTTTGACATGTTATTCAAGCTGGGATTTTTTTCCCCTCTATTGCTTCATATCTGGGAGACCCTCGCCTTGAAAGCACTTGTCTTTCTGGTCCAAGACAGGAGGGGCAGTCGGCCTCAGATTTGGGAGGTGGAACTAGGCCAAGATGACTACCCAGACTAATTAGGGGTTGGGCTTAATTACAGGGGTTCTAAAATTTTTGCAGAGGCTGCAGAACACCTCTCCCGATGTGGAATAATGATCTTGTTCCCCAGGCCAGGGGTAGCTGTGGGCTTGGGCTTCCTTGGGGATCTGACAAGTTGCGGGGTCTTCCGAGGAACTATGTGGGTGTAGTACTGGTAATCTTTGCGATCTGTGAACTGGGCCTTTTTAAATAATAAAAAGGATGTAAAAATATCACCCAGCATTTAGGACGTTTACCTCCCAGGGGTTATTCTCTTTGATCAGGAAAATCTATGAATCAAAAGAGCAAGCGTATGTGTCCCAGCCCAATCCCTGAATGAGCGTTCCAACAGACAGGGCAGGAATGAATGAGTCGATGGCTGAGGGGTGGGCGGATTTAGGAGTGGGTTGGGGTGGGCAGCACGGAACAGGAGAGCACATGGAACCCTGGGCTGGGGTGTGGGACAGGGACCCTCAGTGTGGCAGAGTCTGGTTTCAGTCTCCAGCACCATAATTTTGTCAAGTCAGCCTTGACTTTGACCTTTGGTTCAAGAACTCTTCCAAGACAGCTGTCCCTGTCAGCCCTCCACCATTGCAGGCCTGTCTGGCCAGTTCCAGGATTCCTGCATCGCTGTTATGTTTCTCCTTTTGCTCATTCCCCTGGGAACCATTGGGTGAAGTGCATCTGTGCTGTGGGGAGGGCAGTTGGGCAAGGAGAATGACGACCAGGATTCCAGCTGACGTCTTGTGGTCTCAGCTACAAGATCCAGAGAGGATGGGAGCCATGGTGTTGACGGTGTGGTTGGGATGACAGCATCTTCTGGGTCTCCCTCATTTGCGCCATCTCCCATCCTCATTGCCACTTCCAGGGAAGCCTTCTGGAACCACCTTCTCTAGCCCCTTGGTTCCTGAAGCCCTTCGTTTATACCCGCAGCAGCACCGCCTCCATGAAGCCTTCCTGCTCCCCCGACTGTGTCCTCTGGCCTCCTCCCCCATTTTGTCTGGGCCTCTCTTTAGCCCAAATCACAGTGAGCAGAATTTCTCAAAACAAGGTCCATGGACAGCAACAGAACCACCTGAGTTGGTTGCTGGAAATGCAGATTCCCAGGACTCAGCTCATACCTATCTAAATCTCAGGGGTGGGGCTCAGGGATCACCCAAGACAGGCGATTCTTATCTTTCTTAGGCTTACTCAAGTGTGCGGATTGCAGCACCAGGCTTAAGGCTACAATCAATTGTTGGCATAACCATCTCTTGCCCCAATTTCCCCCACCTCTGGAACAAATCAATCTAACAACTGTCTCTCCAGTGCCCACTGTGTGCCAGGAGCTGTGATAGATTCTGGAAGACAGCCTGGGGGCAGGGAGACCAGGATGGACTCGGGAAACCAGAGGCAGATGAGAGGTGAGGAGGCTGGGGAGGGCGGGGTCGGATCTGAAAGTGCTTGGATTTGAGGTCAAAGCCAAGCACCGCCCCCAAAGTGTCTGGGGAAGGGCTCCACAGAGCCTGGGGGTGGGGAGGGGCAGGGCCAGGGGCTATTTCTTGGCTGGCAGCCCCAGTGTGCAACAGCACTTCCCTCTCCCAAGCGTCTGGGCTCCTCCACTCCAGGGCCAGAGAACATTAGTGCCTGGCTAGAAAAGGGTGGTGGCCTGACCAGAGGAGGTGGTCAGGGACCCCCCACCCCAAGCCCAGTCAGGTCAAGAAGGCTGGTCTCCAGTCTGGGAAAGGGAGGGGACAGGACAGGAGAGTTCAGATTCCTGAGAGCTGTCACAGGAGAGAACTTCCACCTTTCATCCACAAAGCAGCACATTCTAGATTGTTATTCCAGGTTACAAGGGAGATAGCCTTCCATTCTGTCTAAGAATTAATTTTAAAAATTATTTTATTTTATTTTTTAGATGGAGTCTTGCTCTGTTGCCCAGGCTGGAGTGCAGTGGCACGATCTCGGCTCACTGCAACCTCCGCCTCCTGGGTTCAAGTGATTCTCTTGCCTTAGCCTCCGGAGTAGATGGGATTACAGGCACCCACCACCATGCCTGGCTAATTTTTATATTTTTAGTAGAGATGGGGTTGCACCATGTTGGCCAGGCTGGTCTCAAACTTCTGGCCTCAGGTGATCCACCTGCCTCAGCTTCCCAAAGTGTTGGGATTACAGGTGTGAGCCACTGCATTCAGCCAAGAAATAATTTTTAAATAAGAGTTACGTAAAGATGGGACCAGAAATGTGGAACAGTTGTATGTTTTTGCATTTTATCCAACAAACATATAACACTTACTCTGTGGTTGGCACTATTCCAAGCACTTTACAAATATTTATTCATTTAACCCTCATAAAAACCCTGTGATGTAGGAACTCTTGTTATCCCCACAGCATGGAGGAAACGCATGTATCCTGAAGGCCTTTGATGAACATATTCATTCGTCCCCTCACTTGTTCCCTCACGTGTGGTTTATTCATTCATTCACATAAATTCCACGCAGTCACTGGGATGTAAGGAGCATCATTAAGGTGCTTGGGCAGAGCCTGCAGTTCAGGGCATGATGATCACATGATAGGGACATTTGAGAGGGGACTTTGGCATTTGGTGAGGTGTTGGACTGGAAGATGCACGGGGTGGCGTCTGAACCTGAGGTTGTGCTCCTGATAATCTGAGGTGCATGGTGGGACACCCCAGGGGACAGAGAGGGCTTGAGGAGAGCCTGGACCCTCTGCAGAGCAAGCTCCTGGTGTGGTGGGTGATAAGCTCTTCTTTTTCCCATGGCCCCCCACTGACACCACCTGCCTCTTCCATGATGGCTAAAACCAGGGTTCAGGCCTGGCTCCTCCCCTTCTTCCTGAGCAAAGCACCCTGAGTAAAGCCTAGGGTTGGCTGGTGCCTTTTTAACCAAAAGCGTAAGAAGACGACGTAGCTAACTTGCTGTGTGCTTTTTGGCATGCGCTTTGCCTTCTCTAACTCCAGTTACCTCATCTGGAAATAAGGAGAGTAGACCAGAAGTCCCTTCAGCTCCAACAGTCAGGGCTGTGTGGAACTGTAGGCTGCTAAGGGTTTGCAGGGGCACACTGGGATCACCCAGGTGAGGGGTCTGGGGTCATAGGCTTACTCTAGGCTCTCCCCAGAGTCTCCTTCTTCTCCTTCCTGCTGTCTGATGCCAGATCAATGCTCCTATAGGGTGGACTCCCTCCCATCCCAAATTCTCTACTGGTCCTGAGGTCATTCATGGCTCTATTAACTTGCCTACACATTTGTGGGCCACCTGCTGTGGTCTCCTTTGCTCTCTGTCTGTATTAGTCAGGGTTCTCCAGAGAAACAGAACAAATTGGGTATATGTATATACAGAAGAGGAGATTTATGGGGAATTGGTTTACGTGATTATGGAGGCCAAGAAGTCTCACGATCTGCAGGTGGCAAGCTGAGAAACCAGGAAAGTAAACGGTATCATTCAGCTCAAGTCCAAAGGCCTGAGAACTTGGGGCTATAACTTGATGGTGTAACTTCCAGCTTGACGCTGTAGACATAAGAAATGGAGTGCGGGGAGGACCACTTTGGGACTTTATCAGTCCCAAAGCCCAAAGTCCCAAGAATGAGATGCTCCAATGTTTAGGACCAGAGAAAATAGATGTCCCAGCCCAAGGAGAGAGAGTGAATTGATCCTTCCTGCACCTTTTTGTTCTACTTAGGCCCTCAATGGATTGGATGATGCCTCCCACGTTGGTGAGGGAGAATCTTCTTTACTCAGTCTACTGATTCAAATAATAATCTCTTCTGGAAACACCCTCACAGGTACGCCCAGAAAGAACGTTTTACCAGCTATCTGGGCTTCCCTTAGACCAGTCAGGTTGACACATGAAATTAACCATCATACAGTCCCAGGCCTGGTATACAGCAGGTGTTCAATGAGTGTTGGTTGAGTGAGTGAGTAAATGAATGAGTGAATGAACGTAGTCTAACTACTTATTGCTTATTTTCCCTGTTTGATCTTCATTCATCTCTCTGGCTTGGAATGGCCTCCACCTACCCTGTTTTCTGGTCCCTACTTCACCATCTTTTGAGATTCAACTCAAATGTTGCTGTTTGTGTCTCGTTTTTGAACTTTCCGAGAGCCAAGCATGACCCTGTCACTCTGTTTTAAAACCTTTAAATGCCCTTCCATGGTTACCAGCCCATTCAACAACTACTTACAGAACTCCTTCCTGTGCAAAGGCTGTAGTGTGTCTCCCAGTGTCTGGGACTGATCCTGACACGGAGCTTACATTCTAGTGGGGGAGAGAGGCACTGCCCAAGTCAAAATAAAGCAGAACATTTCAGATGGTAGCCCTTGGAGCCTATGGTCTTGGATTGGCCAAGAGAGGGCCCACAGCAAGTATTTCTTCTAGCCTGTAAATTCTCATCCCATCCACCTCTGCTGCCTCTGTTTCTTTCTCTGAACCTCTTTCTCTCCCTTTGATGTACACGGCTGTAGTTTTCTCAGAAGGTCACAGGAAGCTAGAAGCAGCATCTGAGTCAGTAGTTTACACCAACTTGAGGAGAGCTCCCAAGGGCATGAAAGAGGTGCTGGTTTTGTGGTTAGTAAAGGCCTTGATCCAGTGTTCTCAGGCAGGCAATGCTTGACCAGGGCCTGATAGAGAAAGGCAACTGGGCTCCTGGGGCCCCTCTCAAGGGCTGCCTGCCCTGCTCTCCAGCCTCTGTCTTTTCTACTTCTTTCAGATCAGGGTCTGTGGTGAGCCCTAGGGGAATATTTTTTTTTAAGTCCTAGGATCCAGGAGAGCTGGGTTCTAGTCCTATCCCTGTCCAGGCAGACTCAGGAAAATCTCTTTGTGGGCTCCAGTTTCCTCATTCCTGAGATGTTAGGGTTATGTGAGATGACCTCTGAGGCCCCTTCCAGCTCCAAGATTCCACCAGGCATCTAAATGTCCCTGAAGTTTGGGGAGTCATTGTTCTTCAGCATCTCCTCAGGGGCAGCCTGGGCTGAACAATAGTTTTGTGACTTGAAAAGTATTGGAAGTGGAGGTTATCCATTCAATCAAGACTTTTAGATGATCTGTTGTATCTTGCAACACCTGCCCTCTTCATCCATTTTCTGCTATTGGTCATCAAGAGGACGGTGGAATTCCCAGATAAGAAGAAGAAAGGCAGAACAAACCTGCAGGTCCCTACTGTGGTGGTCACTGGTGTGGATGCCAGATACATCCAACTCTCTGCCTTCTGTGTAAGTAGTAGTGTTGCATTTTTTGATCCCTATGTGTTTGGATTGGGCTGTGTTAATTGACAGTGGAAATTCTTCAGAGCTCTTGACAATGTTTGAGAAGGACTCTGCTCGTCAGTCTGGGTCTGTGAGTAACCACACTAAGCAGAGCATCAAACTGACCCTAGACAGACATAGAACATGAGAGAAATGCCCTTTGTTTATTTGGGGTCACTAAGTTTAGGGGCTCTTTGTTATTGCAACATACCCTAGCATGTCCTGACTGTTACACAAACCTAGATTCTGACTAGGTCAGTGGAGAACAAGGTTACTTTTCCCTGAGCAACTTTCATTAATCCTTCATTGGCAAGAGCAGTAAACAAAAGATGGCTACTAGAAAGCCTAAATGGGTGTTTCCTTCCCATCTTCAAGCATGCAGTGCCAAGGATAAAGAGGCCTGGGAAGTACACTCTGAATGTGCAGATCTTTGCAAATTCCTACTGCACAGTTCAGACTCTTTAAGATGTAGGCCCTGTGTGTACTCCATCTCACCTCCCTCCAGCCTACTCCACACCTAGCACAAGGAGCTTCCTTCCCCTAGTAAGATTTTTCTGAGACAGATGGATGAAAAAGCAGCCAAAAAAAGAAAAATAAGACTGCTTGAACTTTCAGGGTTGAATTTCAAGGCTTTCCCTCCACTTATTATTTCGCCTGTCAGAAAAAAAAGAAAATATTCATTAGAAAATTATCTTTAAGAGTTCTGCTATTGTTTGAATGTTAAGTGTAATGGTATTGGGAGGTGGGGCCTTTAAGAAGTGATTAGGCCATGAAGGCCTCACCAGAGTGGGTTTAATTCTTTAATAAAAGGGCTTTTAAGAATGGTCTCTCTCTCTTGGCCCTTCCACCTTCTGCCATGTGATGCCTTCAGCTATGTCATGATGCAGCAAGAAGGCCCTCGCCAGATGCCAGCACCTTGATGTTGGACTTGTCAACTTTGAGAACTATGAGCCAATAAATATCTGCCCATTATAAGTTACAAATTACCAAGCCTGTGTGGTATTCTGGTAGAGCAACACAAGAGAATTAAAATAAGCCCCATGTGAGGGACGAGAACCTTTCCCACTGCTGGTAACATTGGTAGATGATGTCATTTATTATGTATCATATCAAGAGGGATTATTATTGCAGTCCAATCCTCTGTTTCTCTGAGATTTTTATTGCCAGGAAATGCTGATTACTTACACAAGAATTTTGATGCTTAACCAAGACCCTATAGTGGATGATTTCAGAAAAGCAATTGTATGGACTTAGGAAGAAATTTTAGCAGACATTTTTCTTTTAAGAAAACTTTACAAATATAAATCTTTCATGTAACATTGTGTTGGCTCATTCTACCTAAAGTAGAGTTTGGGGCATGGCCAGCATAGGTAGAACCAACTGTATTTCACTTGGTAAGAGGTGTCTGTGCAGTCATAATTATCAATGATAGCATTTTTATAAATCCCCTGATCATGTCCCTGGCTGGTTCCCAGGTTTAGAGCTAGAAGACTTTGCTTCAAGACCCACTTCAGCTGCTTACCAGCTATGAAACTCTCAGCAAGTCACTTTATTTTTCCAAGACTCGATTTCCTCATTAAGAAAATGGATATACATTCACTTACTTCTTGAGGCAGTTATGGGGCCACACTGCTTCTAAGGCATAGTTCTGCTCATGGTCTTCCACGTTCAAATCTTCCTTGGCTCCCCAATGCCTTGCTGTGCTGCCCAATACAATAGCCACTAACCACATGTGGTTTTTGAATTTTATTAATAATTTATATAAATTAAAATGAAGTAACATTAAAAACTGAGTTTCTCGGTCACACTGGCCACATTTCAAGTGCTCCTTACCCACACATGACTAATGGCTACTGTATTTGTGCAGATATAGAACATTTCTCTAAGCACAGAAAGTTCCAGCAGTCAGCAGTGGATAGCACTCATTTTCAAAGGCTTTGTTAAAAGGAAGTCTTGTGAGAAGGTCATTTTTATAACATAGCTCAGAGGAGAGGTTCTGATTGAAACCAAGTTGGGAGCTCAGAGTCCAGCCTGTCTCCTACCTCCCCTGGCGGCCCCTCAGGAGGGGGTCAGGAACCCACAGAGGCCTGCAGAGCAAAGTTGCAAAATGGCTGGTTCCCAAAATAAAGCACAGCCCCTCTTTTTTGTGGCCTGTTTTTAGCCCCACACAGCCTGTATCTGTATCGCTTTCCCTTACCCCGCCTCCCAGCACAATGAGAATGTGCCCTTCACTCGACTCGGCCGGTTAACATGAATTCATTTTCCAGGACACCGTTTGAATGCCACGAAGCAAGCCCAGCTCCACAAGTGGGGTTAGTCACTCTGTGTGCATCTTTTGCTGGAGCATTAATTGCCCTGCAATGAGCCTGTCTCTCTGACTAGACTGTGAGCTCCTGGGGCTAGAGATGGCATCTTCTTGTCTACATATGCTGGGCATACAGGCAGGACCCAGGAAATGCTAGTGGAATGAATGAGCGAAGTTACGTGGGGCCAGGATTTTGTCCTGTTCTCTCAAGAGAGTAAACTCATATGGGCCCCCTGCATAAGCACAATCCAGTCACTGTGCTGGATGGCAAGGGTGTCTATCATCTCAGATCTGTCCCTGTGCTGGTGGGAAAGGACACCGTGGCTGACTGAGCGTGGCCTGCAGTTCAGTAGCTCCTCATTTCCCCTCCCACAAATATTCGTTAGGTGCTTACTGTGTGCAAGACACCGTGCTAGTTAGTACTGGCTGGGGACAGAGCCTGACAAAGCAACGCAATCCCTTGCCCTTGTAGACTTTACGTCTTAAGTAAAATAAAACAATAATAAATAAGTAAAACACATGTTGTGTCAGATGGTGCCATGGAAAAAATTGAGCCTGGAAGGAGAGGGGAAGGAAAGTTGAGGTCAGGTAGCGGTAATAAAGGGGTCACAGTTTTAAGTAGGGTAGGCAGGTAGACCTCATGAAAATATTGGCTGGGCGCAGTGGCTCATGCCTGTAATCCCAGCACTTCGGGAGGCCAAGGCGGGCAGATCACGAGGTCAGGAGTTCAAGACCATCCTGGCTAACACGGTCAAACCCCGTCTCTACTAAAAATACAAAAAATTAGCAGGGCGTGGTGGCGGGCGCCTGTAATCCCAGCTACTTGGGAGGCTGAGACAGGAGAATGGCGTGAACCCAGGAGGTGGAGCTTGCAGTGAGCCGAGTTGGTGCCACTGTACTCCAGCCTGGGCCACAGAGCGAGACTCCGTCTCAAAAAAAAAAAAAAAAAGAAAATATCCAGTGGGAACAAACCATAGGGGAATGAGTACCCTGAACTTGCCAGTGCTCTTGACAGGGTTGGAGGGGGGAGTTGGCTCTGGGGTCAGCAAAGCAGCTGACCAAAGAGCCCATCTTGAGGCCACTCCTGAACGGCCCGTGTGCTCTGGGAAGACATGTCCATGGGGATGTGGGCAGGAAGGGAGCCGGAACATTTGGAGGCTCAAGTTGCTTTGCTGCGGGACCCCCTTGCCTAAGCATAAAATAGAAGGTGTTTTACGTGAAAGGAAACTCAGCTATCTCAGGATGTCAGGCTCTAGAGAGTGGGGCCAGAGCCCTCTGCAGCTGTGCATGGAACACCAGAAGTGGCAGTGGATTACATGTGGGGAGTCTGGCCCTCACGGGGCACCTGGTTTTCTGCCCCACCCTCCCGACAAGCAAGATGTGAGCAGAAAAATACTAGTTTCCAGACATGAGTCAGCACACTGGGTGAGTCTATGAACTCCAGGCCATAAGTTTGCCTTTGGCCAAGCAGATGAGGCCCTAACCCAGAGATGTGGGTAATTAACATAATTTGCGTAATTAATTGGCCTGATCTGGTCTCATCTGGACCATACAGGTCTGGCTAACATTTGAGATATCATTAGAGGTTATTACATGTTTCCCTATTGACTTTGCTTGTGGGAGACTCTTTTTGAGTTTACCTGGTGGGGTGAGAATTACTTCATCGGGCTTACAGAGTGAAATGCTGTGTCTGTATTTTCAGCTCAGTGGTATGCGGAGAAGGAGACAGGAGGCTGCGAGATTGGCTTCTGGTAATCCTAAGGCAATTTATAGAGGGGCAGACAGTCAGTCTAGACCATCTTCAAAATCCCATCTGTATTAGTTTGCTGGGGTGGCCATAACAAAATGCCACAGGCTGGGGGCTTAAACAACAGAAATGTATTTTCTCAGTCTGGAGGCTGAAAGGCTGAGATCAAGGTGTTGGCAGGGTTAGTTTCTTTTGAGGCCTTTCTCTTTGGCTTGGAGATGGCTGTCTTCTCCCTCTGTCTTTGTGTGGTCTTCCTTCTGTGCCTGTCTCTGTCCTAATCTTCTCTCTGTTTTTTGTTTTTCATTTTATTTTATTTTATTTTAGTTTTTGAGACAGGGTCTTGCTCTGTCACACAGGCTGCAGTGCCATGGCGCGTTCATGGCTCAATGCAACCTCGACCTCCCAGGCTTAAGCGACTCTCCCATCTCAGCCTCCCAAAGTGCTGCAATCCCAGGCATGAATGAGCCACCATGCCCGGCCAATCTTCTCTTCTTATCAGGACATCAGTCCTGTTGGATTAGGTCCCACCAGTATGACCTCACTTGACCTTAATTACCTCTTTAAAGACTCTATATCCAAATACAGTCACATTGTGAGGTATGGGCATTTAGGACTTCAACATGTAAGTTTTGGGGGACACGATCCAGCCCATAACATCATGCAGTCCCAAGATGTAGAGAGTCTGGGTTCCCTCTCTGCTGCCAACTCCCCACAAACCCATGCATGACATATCCTTTCTGGACCCCAATTTTTCCATCTGCTCTGCCTCCTTCAATTGAGAGGCTCAAATTACTTAATGTACAAGCAAGGGCTTTGTAAACCTCATAGCAGTGGACCCCAGAGGTGCAGCACCATCCCTAAGGAGCGTTTTGGAAATCTGTGGGTGCATGCGTTGGGTTGTCACAATATTTAGGGGGCTTCATGACATTGAGTGAGCAGGAGCCAGGGAGATGTCCAGCGGTGTGAGAGATGGTCACACAGGATGAACTGTCCTGTGTTATTCACCACTTTCTAATATCTTTTGTGCATTTATATAGCTGAAAGAAAACCCCACAATCATTGGAACCTAGTACCTAATTCTGTTTTACATATAAACACAAAGAATTTATTTTTGCAAAATTTAAATGTATCCTTTTTACAGAAAAGCACAGTCAACCAAATAGAGGGAAGATTGTACCTTGTTTTGTTTGAAACTTTAATAGAGTATGCACCAGTTCAGAAAATGCATGTTGATATGGTTTGGCTGTGTCCCACCCAAATCTCATCTTGAATTCCCACGTGTTGTGGGAGGGACCCGGTGGGAGATAATTTAATTATGAGGGCGGTTTCCCCCATACTGTTCTCGTGGTAGTGAATAAGTCTCACGAGATCTGACGGTTTTATAAGGGGAAACCCCTTTCGCTTGGCTCTCCGATTCTCTCTTGCTGCTGCCCTGTCGGAAGTGCCTTTCACCTTCCGCCATGATTGTGAGGCCTCCCCAGCCACGTGGAACTGAGTCCATGAAACCTCTTTTGCTTCCCGGTCTCAGGTATGTCTTTATCAGCAGCATGAAAACGGACTAATACACCTGTCTTCTACAACGCACATTTAGAAAATGTGTCTCCAATGGCAGCGCTGTTTGGTGCTTGAGTCACAACGCAACATTGCCCCGCTGCTCTTTGCGTGTAGCTATCTCATCCACCATAGTCCTACATGCAGGTGTCTACCTCATTATGTTTTCTACTATAGCTGTGAAATATAGAATCATGATTTGCTTTTCTTCTGTGCTTTCTCTGATAGTCAAGGCAGTACATATTTTTTTTGAAATTATGAATTGGGTTGTTACATTATCCGTGAATTTCATTCAAAGATAGTTAAAGTGAGTGTTGAATATACATTTAAATAGGGGCGATTACATAGGGGTTGAGACGCCGTGCTCTAAGGCACCACTGAGCGCCCTCTTTTGCTGGGTAGTTCAACAGTGGCTGTCTTGGGGATTGGCTTTTCTTCAGCTTCCTGGCATAGCTGCACCCCACACAGCCCAGCATGAGTGCATGGCAGCAAAGCCCTCTCCAAAGGAAGGCATCTTCTTTGCTTTTGTCATTTCTCCTGTCTCTAACACCAGTGAGGTGCTGGCATCTGCACTGGTCACTTATCATGAGTTTAGATGACAAGGTTGGTCACCGTGGAGGCCTCTGGACCTCTGTCCTCCTGCTCGCTGGCACAGGAGAGCTTGTGGGTGAGGGCCCATGGTAGAAAGAACATTTCCCCTGAGCCCAGTTACCTGGGCCAAGTAGCTGGCTACAGCCTGGAGAAGCCAGGTCCCCTGGAAGCCGGGCTGGGGCGGAGCTGTGGGGACTGGCATGGTCATCACGACGTCACTGGGTGGGGCAGGGCGTTGGCGGGAATCCACACCAGGGCAGGCCAGCTTGCCTCCCTGGCCACTTGTTTGTGTTCCAGCTTTGCTCCAAGCCTGGGTCCAGCCCCTGCCCCACTTTGGGGCTTCGGGGTTAACTAGTGGCACATTTAAATGAGGTCTGGCTCCCCAGAGACAGTCACCCTCTCCTGGGCGCTGCCTCTGAGCAGGCAGATCCTGCCCCAACCTCTCTCCCTGGCCCAGATTACCTTACCTGGGCTTATTGCTCCAGGAAGACATGGAACACCCACCAGAGAGAGGCCTCCTTGGTGTCTGTCAGATCCTGTCCTCGCGGATCCCTTGGGGGACCAAGGGCCACGTTCTGTTGTTTCTGCACCCCTACTGGGAAACACCAGGAGGATCCTTCCTCCACTCCCTCCTCCTCCAGGCCTCCATCTGAGAAGTCCCAGACACAAAGCCATGCTCCTTCCTTGCCTACACACTGCCTCACCCCCACAGCAGCCCTGCAGCTCCTATGGAGAGCGTCCTCCATGATCTGCGGCAGTGCTTGTCAAAATGCAGATTTCCAGGTCCTACTCATAAATTCTGGGGGTGCAGCCCTGGAATCAGAATTTTGATATAAGCTCTGAAGATGATTCTATAGCTTTGGGAGCCCCTGGCTACAGTATAAAGCTCAAAAGTCTGGATGGCACCTGTGACCTACTCAGTTGGGTTCTCGTCTATCTATCCAGCCTCCTTTGTTGGAACCCGGCTCACATTGAACTTGTCATTGTTCCCCAACATCCTGGGCTCTACCCTTTTCCAATTCCTCTACACATGCTCTTCCTTTTGCCTGGAGGACTGTCTTTCCTGTTCCCACTTTGCAAATGCCTACCTATCTTTTAGGACAAGATCAAACAGCACCTCCTCCGGAAGCCTTCCTGCCTCCCTCCTGATGAGCGTTTGCTTCTGCAGCGTGATGTTATGCCGTGATTACAGCACTTCCCACCATGCTCTGTCTTCGTCCCTTTACCCCCACACAGCAATCGCCCCCATCCAATGTCAGCCCCTGGAAAGCAGGGCGGGTATCTTATTTATCTTTAAAATGCCAGCAACTACCACCATTCCTGGTATAGAGTGGATAGTTGTAAATATTTATGTAAGTTTAAGTGGTCTCTGGGACCCTGATTTTCCATCTTTTCTTAAATGGGATTCTGCCTTAGGCTGCTGGGCTTCATTTAAACCTCAGTCATTAAAAAGCAGTTCCTTTGTTTCCTCAGCATGGTTCATATTTAGCCAAAGAGATTTATTTCTCCAATAAACCCCACTCTCCAAACAGCCACATTCATCTGTTCCTCCTACTGAGAAATGAAAGGGAGTCACCGGCTGCACCTAGAACTCCTGTGTCAGTGAATGCAGAAAAGAGGACCAGGAAAATTCATTTAAATCTTACTGCCAGCTGGTGATCAAGTGGCTTCCCTGGCATTCGTCTCCTGTGTTTGCAGGGTTAAGTGAGACTCTTTGGGAGGTGGGGGAAAAATTCAAAACTCCTTTTTTGTTCTATCAACTGTTTTTAATTTAATTTAATTTTTTAACAGGATTTCGCTCTGTTGCCCAGGCTGCAGTGTAGTGACTTGATCTTGGCTCACGGCAGCCTTGACCTCCTGGATTCAAGGGATCCTCCAGCTTCAGCCTCCTGAGTAGCTGTGACTACAGGCACATGCCACATGCCCAGCTATTTTTAATTTTTGTAGGGTTGGAGTCTTGCTATGTTGCCCAGGCTGGTCTTGAATTCCTGACCTCAAGCGATCCTCCCACCTTAGCCTCCCAAAAGTGCTGGGATTACAGGCGTGAACCACTATTCCTGCACTTTCTTTAATCTTTAATATGAAAACAGGCAATCTCAGGTTTGTGTTCTAAGCAGGTGGCTAACCCATCAGGGATTTTAGTGATGACAAGGATGGTTGTTAGCAAACCCATAACTCCATAAGAGACCAAGCTGGGGATATTTCCCAGCTCCTGGTGACCCAAGACTGCTGGAAAATTTCTGCCTCACATTGTGAATTCAGGTACAAATTCAGTCTGGAGAGGTGAGTGGGGCTGAAAGTCATCTGATTTTTTTCAGGACAGATCTCGTCCCTTTTGTTTTTCCTAGTCAAGAATTTTATAGCTCTAAGGTTTCCTGCTGCTAAACTGTTTTCATAGATGCAAACCAACTGATCTGGTAGAGAGGCTATTGTATTCTCTGCCAACTGATTTCCAGCAGAATTAAGGGGCTTCAGGGAAGGGAAGTATGGCAAACACTAATTGGACTGGCTGTGCACTGAGTTGGACACAAACAATATAGTCTTGCTCCTAGAATTTTGAAACTTCAGAGTGTGAAAGGAACTTTGAAGGTCACCTTGTCCAACCACCTCCCCACTCCATGCTTGAATTCCGTTTGTGACATCCCCAGCAAATGAGGATTATCTAGCCCTTGTTCAATCTCTTTCAATGCCAGAGAACTCATTACCCTTGGAGGCAGCCCATTCCATTTTCATATTGCTCTACTAGCCAGCTTTTTCATATGCTAGGCTGACATCGGCTTCTTGCCTCTCTGTGACTTCCAAGGGTTGGACTTGCTTGTGCCTGCTTATGTACATAGAGAAAGTCTTCAAAGATTTGTGGTTCTCTCCTGTCTAGGGTCATCACGTCTGGTTCCCACACACTACCTCTGTGGATGATGGGAATCTACGTTATTTTTATCCTTCTTCCACATTATGGAGGTATCTGACAAAGAGCCATTTGGGGTGAACTATCAGTGCATAGTTCACTTCTCCCCAAGATGGGCATGTGACTTCCATGCACAGCCATCCACACCAGAATGGTGGCTGCCACTATTTCAGTACCTGGCATAGTGCTAGGCACATAGGGATACCCAAATAGTTATTGGATATATATGAGGATGGATGGATGGATGGTTGGATGGATGGATGGGTGATTGAATAAATAAATAGATAAATGGATGAATGAATAAAAGAATGACTCAGTACATGGAGAAAGCAAACTTGGAAATATTTAGATCAATCAATATCTATGGAAGCTCCTCTATACCAATATTGTGCTGTGTAAGGGAAGGGAGTGCTGGGAGACAAACGAGGTGTTTACAAAGAAGTACAGACATAATCTTTCTCCTAATGTTGGAAACAAGCTAGACCCAAACCTGTGAAAACTTCTCCCTCTCCAGTTCTGATGTTTATGGACATGTTGCATAACAACTCACCAGGCCAGGCATGGTGGTTCCTGCCTGTAATCCCAGCTACTCAGGAGGCCGAGGTGGGAGGATCACTTGAGCCTGAGAGGTAGAGGCTGCAGTGAGCTGTGATCACACCACTGCATCCAGCTGGGGCAACAGAGTGAGACCCTGTCTCAAAACAAAAACCAAAACAAAACCCAAAAGCCAGAAACCAAAACCAAACAAACAAAAAATAACTCACTAGCAACATAGTAATTTGGGATTGAAGTTAGAGCTAGAAGGGATGTTATTGACGAATGGGTCACATCTCCTATTTTGCAGTAGAGAGCTGGAGAGGGAAATGACTTACCCAAAATCAGGACCAATTCTGGAATCCCTGTCTCTTGGCTCCTACACCTCTTTCCAGTATGCTTTCTTTGTTTGGAGATTATTTTGTTTTCATCCAAATTTCTGTGTATTTGCTCCAAAATCGGCTTTGCATTGACTGTGTAGACCTGGCTTTGGATTCCATAGACAACATTTATACATTCACTTACTCATTCTCCATCCAGCCACACTTGGGGAATATCTGTTATGTATGAAGCCCTGTGCTAGGCTTTGGGAATAGAAGAATGAGACATGGCCCCTTCCGTGAAATAATCTAGCAGAGAGAAAGACCCATAAATAAGCAAAAGGCAATGTACTCAGGCTACAGAAGAGGTGTAGGTGCCCAGAAAAAGGAACAGCTATCTCTGCTTGGGGACACAGAGAGGACCTTCCAGGCTTGATAACAACTAAAGGGGTCTTGAAGGATCAATAGGAGTTTGCTGATGGATAAGTAGGGGAAGGCATTTAAGCAGAGAAAAGGCATTTGCTGTGGCAAGAGGCTTGAAAAGACCTAGCACCTGCTACAGCCCAGGGGAGGGAAGGAGCGTGGAATGTAAGTTCACAAGCAGACCAGGCCCATACTCTAAAAGGGTCTCCCGAGGCCCACCAAAGGGCAGTGTAGGATGGCCTTAGACATTCCGCAATGATTTATTCTTGTGTCCTGATGAAATTTTGGACAGCAAGAGCCTCAGAAAATGAGTCCATTTGAAGTAGGATTCTTTCAAAGACTTCAGTATAACTTAGGAGTTAAAGAGTAAGCTACAAGTCATAACTAGTTGTGCAAAGTGCAATGCTTTGCAGAAATTATTTAGATTTTTTGGCTTTCCCTTTGATCATTAGTATCAAGGTGAAACAATTCTCCATGTGTGTATATTATAAATAACGTTGAAGTTAGTCTCCCTGGGTTTTTATGTAAGGTTCGTAACAACCTCTATGTGGAAGCCAGCATGAAGTTGAAGAAAGCTTCATGTGATTTAAATTTAAAGATGGGCCAGATATGACCTGTGATCAATTTTCAGCGGCTGTTGTGCACTTGGGTTGCAGAGACATTAAGGAAAGCTTGTAAACTACCTAAGAGAGCACTTAAAAATCTAATAAATAAGAAATACAATGCCACTGTCAGAAGCCTTGATGGAGGTTGGGGGGAGCCAGAGAAGTAATTTGTGCAATAAGTCCTGTGAATTCCCATTACTACTACTACTTTTTTTTTTTTCTTCAGACAGGCTAAAAATAGAAGCCCCAAATAAATATACATCAGAGGTAGAAAAGAGAAACTGGTGATTTTGAGTGAATTGCTGCTTTATGGCCTAAGCCAAGTTACAGAAATTGGAATCAGAGTGGCACCACCATGTTTTCTAGGGAGCCATATTTAATTTGCTAAAACTTCTAAAGGGTAGCCGGAGAGAAAATGTTACCATGTCCCCTAGAAACAAATCAAAATGAACAAGGTAAAACCCGGGGCGTGTGAATCTAGTCCCCACTTGACTGTTGTCTCCTGGACATCCCATGGTCTGAGTTCTCCTTTGCGATCATTAATGACCATGACTGAAGGCATCTCAGTTCTGATGTCTGTATACCACCACCCGACTTCTCCTACCACGATGCACGGACTCTTCCCAAGACCACCAATGGCCTGCTTTTTGGTGAGGAGGTCTTATTTTCTCCCCCGCTGCATGTAGTTCACCCCTCCTTCCTTGAAATGTGCCTCTCTTAGCTTCTAAGATACTCATAGCTCATGTTTTTCTTCCTACTTCTTGTCCTCACCTTCTCAGTCTCCTTTGCTGGTTCCTTTTCTTCCACTCACATTTGAATGTGAAAGGCTGTCCTCCACTCTTCTCTCACTCCACACACTCCGAGTACCTTTGAGATGCCCCCATTTCTGTCTTTACCCAATCTATGTCTCAGCTCAATGTTTTCAAATTCCTTCTGGATCTGTGTTTCTCATTATGGTAGCCACCGGCCTCATGTGGCTACTTAAATTCAAATTCTTAAAATAAAATAAAATGAAATAAAGGTTGAGTTCTTCATTCACATAAGCCACGTGTTAAGGACTTGATAGCTGCATGTGGCTACTGGGTTAGTCAGGGCAGCCATAGAACGTTTTTACCATCGCAGAATGGGCAGCACCGTTCTACTTCTTACCACCTGAATAGTCCACAAGCACCTCAAACTCATTGTGCTGCAAACATATCATCAGCAGAATGTTGGTGTATGTGGAAAAGTGTGGCAAAGAGAAATAAGGGAAGGAGGAAAAGGATCCTTTCAGTTATTAAGTTCTATAACATTTGTCTCAAACAGACTTCAATAATAAAGGGGGTTTGGCTGGTCATGGTGGTTCACACCTGTAATTCCAGCACTTTGGGAGGCTGAGGTCGGCGGATCACTCGAGGTTAGGAGTTCGAGACCAGCCTGGCCAACATGACGAAACCCCGTCTCTACTAAGAAATACAGAACAAATTAGCTGGGTGTGGTGGTAGGCACCAGCTACTTGGGAGGCTGAGGCAGAAGAATCTCTTGAACCTGGGAGGTGGAGATTTCAGTGAGCTGAGATCGTGCCACTGCACTCCGGCCTGGGCAACAGAGCAAGACTCCATCTCAAATAATAATAATAATAATAATAATAATAATAATAATAATAATAGGGGTTTATTGAGCCACATAACTAAATGGTCCAAAGGAAGTGTGGGTTTTGCAGGAGACATGATCCAGCTACTCAGCAATGTTATCAAAGACCATCTCTCTGTGCTATGCTCCATGGATAGTATTGACTTCATCCAAAGGCTAGCACCACTTGTGGATACAAAGTGGCTGCCAGCAGCTCCCAAAGTAGTAACATTTCTTACTCTTGTCCAGATGAGGATAGAGGGTCTTCCTCTCAGCATCTGCAATTAAAGTCTTAGATCCTCTCTGATTGGACCAGCCCAAGCCACATGACTATGTCTGAGCCAATCACGATAGCCATGACCAGGGCCATTGAAAGCCTCGTGTTCCATCCCTGGAGCTGGAGTCATTTGGAATAAACTTTCCCTGACTCACAAGGATCCTCAGAAATTAGGAGCTGTTGGGAGAATGAGGAATGACCTGGATGCTGAAGAGGCACCCACAGATATCTAAGAGAGAGGGGGAAGGTATGATTTTAAAAGGAGATGGAAGTGTGTTAATGTTGAATGTCCTTTTTTTTCACATTTTACAACTGGGACTTTGGTACTTTGAATTGACTGGAAGAAGACCAAGCAGCAGCCACCACAGAGCCAGGCGTCTTTTGGTCTGGGACCGGGTTCCTTCTGTCTCGTGTGTTTCGTAAGGAAAGCTTTTGCTTCCCAGCTGCAGAAATGTTTTCCAGGGGGGACTAGAGGACCAGAATGTGCGGTATTTCTTTCAGAGCTCAAATAGAGTGAGTGGAGAGCATATGTATCAAACATTTACTGTGATATTTTTTTTTTTCTCAAAATGGGGAAATAAATACAAAAAATCAACAGAGGGAATGAAAGCAGAGAAATAGCCCAAAAGAATACAGTACCATACATCTCCAGTTTAGACTGGCAAAAAGCAAAACTGCTTCTAGAATGGTACAGGAAATTGTGTGACAAAATTAGAATGGGCAGCTTTCCTATTAATTTTTACATCGCTTTATTTGTTTGCCAGTAATTCATATCACCTATAACAAAAGCACCATCTTCCTGAAAGTTCTGGTAAATATACACTTCAGTTCACCGGGCAGAGGTTGGTAAAGCCGTGTCTTTTCAGAAAGTGTGAATTAAGACAAGTATTCAAATGCATTAGACCAAGGCTACTATCTTTCATAGCTACATATAATGAACATCTTCAGTGTAGGATGAGTGGCCTCGCAAACTCCATGAACAAATAGTCACTTTATTTAGAGAACCTTATAAACCTCCTTTAGCTTTAAGTAGATTGTCACACCTGGAGGGTCTCTATTGGAGGAGCTTCAATTTTCTTATAAGAAATGTGCTGAGAAGAATTAGCCAAAGGATATTGAAATTCCCTTCTTGCACAAATGCAGAAAAGTATTTTTCTTTGAAGTTCCTTGAGATTATGTTTTTCAAAGCCAAAGCATTTGAAATATGTCCATCAGGGGAAGCCTTTCTGACAATTATTTATGAGACTCTGAGAAGCGGTGGAAGAGGGGACAGAAATTTTAGAGGTAAAATTGTGTTCCTTAAAAAGATATGTTGAAGGCTGGGCACGGTAGCTGACGCTTATAATCCCAGCACTTTGGGTGGCTGAGGTGGGCAGATCACTCAAGGTCAGGAGTTCCAGACAAGCCTGGCCAATTTGGTGAAACCTCATCTCTATTAAAAGTACAAAAAATTAGCTGGTTGTGGTGGCATGTGCCTGTAGTCCCAGCTACTCCGGAGGCTGAGGTGGGAGAACCACTTGAGCCTAGGGGGTAGGGGTTACAGTGAGCCGAGATCACGCCACTGCACTCCAGCCTGGGTGACAGAGACTCTGTCTCAAACAAAAACAAACAAACAAAAAAAAAACAAAGGTGTGTCGAAGTCTGATCCCTGCTACCTGTGCACGGGACCTTATTTGGAAATAAGGTCTTTGCAGATGTAATCAAGTTAAGATGAAGTCATACCAAATTGGGGTGGGCCCTAATCTAGTGACTGTTGTCTTTATAAGAGGTCATTTGGACACAGAGTCGTGGACATAGAGAGGAGAGCAACCTGTGATGATGGGAGCAGAGATTGCAGTGGTGCGCCTGCAACCAAGGAACACCACGGACTGCCCACAACTACCAGAAGCTTGGAAGAGGCAAGGGAGGATTCTTCCCCAGAGTCTTCAGGTGGTGCACAGTCCTGCTGACACCTTGTTCTTGGACTTCCAGCCTCCAGAACTGTGAGAGAATGAATTTCTGTTGTTTTAAGCTGCCCAGTTTGTGGTCATTTGTCATGGCGGCCCTACGGAACTAGTACAGCCTGGACAAGCTCTAAGATCTTCTTCCAGGCAGAGCAAGACCTATATCCTCTCCCGCCTTGACTCTGCAGATAAACACATGTCCTCAGCCAACCAGATGGACTCAAGGTGACCTCACAAGTGCCTCCCTCTCCTGCTAAGGCCACCTGCCAGGGTCACTGTGTCACTCAGATTCCCAACCTCAAAGAACCCCAACCTTTGGAGTCAACTCTCATCAACCAGACACCATAATTTAATTAGAAAAGGGGAGATTTAAGATAGAAAAACAATACAGGACATGGGTTTTCTGAGCATGAAATAGCTCCTGAACCCAAGAAAAATTTCATGTTCCAGTAGAAGGGCATTGATGACAAAGCCTGCTTCTGCCGTTTACTTGCTGGGGCTTTGGATAAGACACTTGAGTGCTGTGAATATCAAGCTGGTCATCTTTAAAATGGGTCTATCATTCCTGCCTGGCCAATTGCTTAGGGTTGTTTGGGGAACAATTGAGAGAGACCGTGAGTGAACCAGGTTGAAATGGAAATTGCATATGAGTCTGAGGCATTGATTTTTATTAGGGAGGCTACAAAACCCAGTTTTTAGTGAGAGAGGGAGAAAGTATGAGAGGGAGATGCTACTGGAATTTAATACTAGTGAGTTTCTCAGGCAGAGCTCAGGATGAAGAAATTTATTTGCTCAAGGTCAACCAGCAAAAACTGGAAAAGACCTACAACTAGAATTTGGGGTATAAAATTGTATACTTGCTCCTGTTCTACCTTCTCACTGACCCCTTCCCTCCAACCTGCTCTATGTATTTTCTTTTTGAGACAGAGTCTTGCTCTGTCGCCCAGGCTGGAATGAAGTGGCACAATCTCGGCTCACTGCAACTGCTGCCTCCCAGGTTCAAGCGAGTCTCCTGCCTCAGCCTCCCAAGTAGCTGGGGTTACAGGCGTGTGCCACCACGCCCGGCTAATTTTTTTTTTTTTTTTAGTAGAGTTGGGGTTTCACCATGTTGGCCAGGCTGGTCTCAAACTCCTGGCCTCAAATGATCCACCCGCCTCGGCCTCCCAATGTGCTGGGGTTACAGGCATAAGTCACTGCGCCTGGCCCATATTTTATTTTCTAAATTGTTTTTTCTAATTGAGGAAGCTTTTATTCCTCCTTCTCCCCTCTCAATTCCTGTCCCTCTCTCTGTCCTTCCTTTTCCCTCATCCTCTTTCTCTTCCTCTCAAACCTCATTTTTCCTTTGAAAAGTTTCAAGTAGAATGAATTCAGTGTTCTCAGCCGAGTTCCAGCATAAAGAGCTCACTATGCACTTCGACAGAATTATCTCCTTTGAAGAATGCCCACTTTAATCTCCTCTAAGACAGGTTTTTGTGGTGTTAGAACAAAATGACATAATACTCTTCAAGCTAAAAGGCTTATTAAGTAGCATTCAGAAAATCCTGCAACTTCCTCGTAATTGGAGGCTTAATTGGGTGGGTTTAATAGCATTTGGTTATTAGGGCTAATCAAATATTCCAGAATAATTGACTCAACTTTTTTTTTTGGGGGGGGCAATTATCATCTCTAATATTGTTGTGATTAAAAAGATACATCTTGGCTGAGTGAAGACATTGTTCTATGTAATGCATGTCTCAGTAGGGTTGGAACCAACATAACCCTGGGCCAGCAGCTTCATGGCAGATTTAGTCATAGCACATGATCATAGCCCAGGAGAGCATCTCTTTCGTCTGAGGTCTCTTGTGATGCAATGAAAAGCTTGATTGTTTCCAGGGAACCTGTTTCAAGACCTGATTATGGGTATGGGGGAGAGACAGTTGGGTTAGACCATGTCATATCGTTTCATCAGGGAGATAATAACCACCATTCTAGGCTGGGAACTCCTCCGCCCCTTAATAACCATGGGACTTCAGGAAAGGGTGGGGGTCCCTGGGTTCTCAGCAGGGGAAGGAAGGATAATAATTCCCACCTTTACCTCTCACATGAGGAAAGGAGTATGAACAGCCTTGAAATTAAATTGCAAAACCCTATGGAAATAGGAAGGGCTCCTGTCAGTGCAGTAAATCATCTTGGAGGGATTCGAATGGGGTTGGGAGAGGTTCCCTGTACTACTGCTTTCTTTGACTTGAACTCCAAATGCGTCCTCCAACTTAGTCCCTTCTCAGGAGCTGGCCTTGACATTCCCATCCAAATAGGACGCTTTGGTCCTCCTGACATGCCCTCCCTCATTGATTTTGCACCAGAGAAAGTGCTATACCCCAAGGTCTCCCTTAGCAAACCTAGTTTGTCCATGCTTGTCTCTCTGGCCCCCTTTGGTTCGCCTGCCCATGTGGCTACCCAGGTCTTCCTCCCTGAAGGTGAAGCCTTAGGGGACCAGGTGAGGGATATGGGGTCCTGACTGCAACACTTGGAGCACCTCAGGACTCTGCTATCACCAATTTAAACTCTCACCTGCTGTCCAAGCCACTGCCACCCCTGTGCTGTGATTTCTCAGGGATGGTGGGGACCACGCTTGCGTTTCTGCCTTTGACCAGAACCAGGCCACACACCTTACTCCTGTCAAATCACTCTTCCTTCCCAGGAGCTGAGGAAACGTAGGGGGTGAGAGGAAGGTGGCCCTTAGGTTCCAGAGCATCTGTTCCCGCAGCTGTGAGGTCCCTGCTGTGGTTCTCTGACATGACCTTCCCCTGTGGGGGTGGGAGGGAGGAGCATTCCTCAAAGGTGCCCTTGGCTGTGGCCAGAGCCCCCACTTCCCTGTGCTTTCACCTGTTCTGTGGAGCTGGTAAGGGGAAAAGCGGCAAGGACATAGCAACCCAGGAAGATCTGGGGACTATTCTGCTGGCAGTCCTTCATGAGGAGAGCTGGGTGTCTTCACTCCTGCCAACTCCTGCGTCCACTTCTACCCCCCAGTGTCAACTTCCAGCAGAAAGGAAAACCTCTTCGCTCTAAGAGCAGCTCTGGGTCAGCCTCCTAGGGCAATGAAAATCATCCATGGCCACCCATTCCCCAGTGCAGCTCTAGACTGTGGGGAAATGTGTTAAATCAAGAATGGGCACATTGCTGGGTGTGACAGCTTACACTTGTAATCCCAGCGCTGCAGGAGGTGGAGGTGATGATGGGAGGATCGCTTAAGGACAGGAGTTGGAGACCAGCCTGGGCAACACAGCGAGACTCTATCTCTACAGATAATTAGCTGGGGGAGTGGCACATGCCTTTAGTCCCAGCTACTTGGGAGGCTGAAGTGGGAGGATCACTTGAGCCCAGGAGTTCAAGGTTACAGTGAGCTGTGATTGTACCACTGCATGCACTCCAGCCTGGGCAAGAGTGAGACCAACTCAAAAAAAAAAAAAAAAAAAAAAAAAAGAAGAACAGGCACGTCCGTCACACTGGAGCCTGTTCAGGGGGCAAGAATTGAACCTGGGCTTAAGAATCTGGGAAATATAAAGTTTCCTGTGAGCCGCTCCGTCACAACACATATCCGGTTCTTCGGATTCTCAAGACAGAAGCCTGGAAGCCACCCCAGTTCCTCCATCTTCTGCTGCCCTAAGCCCTCTTCCAATCAGCCAGTGACTCCAGTCAATTCCATCTCCTACATTTCCTCCAGGTCCATGTCCTGATGTCTGGCCCCAGCATCAGGTCTGAGTCTGCAACTGGTGTCACTCCTCTGATTTGCTTCTCTGTCATTTGCCCTCTGTCTTCAGTCCATCCTCCCACACTGGCTGCATCTGACCATGTCACTCACCTACTCAGAACACCTGGGGAGCCCCTCTTGTCCCCAGACTCCACTGCCCAATCCCCACAGCCCTGTAGGGCCTGGCCTTGATGGCAGGGGTTCTCCTGGAGCAGCCCTGGCCCTTAGCCCTCACATTCTCTCCTGCCATGTTACTGTACTGCCTCGGCTCAAAAGCGTGTCTTCTTTTTTCTACATTGTAACATTTCTGAAATTTCAGAATGCATCTGGCACAGACACATGCGTCTGAAAATGGACAGATATCCTCAGTTTTTCGGTTCCTCTCTACCCTGAGAAGTTGTTAAGAAATCACTATAATCATTGGTGTGGCCGGAGTGACAATCACTTTGGCAACGAGGCAGGAAGTAGAGAGAGATGCTGTCCTCTGAGATTTGGACTTCAACTAGTGGAGCCCCTGAAGGAGAATGAGAAGGGTCACATTTGTGTTTTGGGCAAGATCTGTTCTGGAAGTCCTGTGAAGAATGGATTGGAAAATAATGAGAGTGGAAAGAAGATGGGTGAGAACCAGATCTTAGGAGCAGAAATCCCTAGAAGGCACATTGTAGATGGACGTTAAAGCAATGACTTGTTTGTGCTCAGTGAGTGCACGGAAGGGATGGGCACTCTTTTTCTGTAAATGCCTGGATAGTACGTATCTTAGGCTTTGCGTGCCATACCATCTCTGTCACAGCTGCACACCTCTGCCAGCGGAGTAGCTCAAAGCAGCTGTAGACAATTTGCAAAAGAATAGGTATGGCTGTGTTCCAGTAAAACCTATTTATAAAAATAAGTGGTTTGCTGACCCCCAGTGCAAGGTGACACTCAGGATTTTCTTGACCAGAATTCTGTATTAACCAGAGTCTAGGAGTGGTGCAGATACAGAGGGGTTATTAGTCAGGGACCTCAATGGAAAGCATCAAGGTAAAGGGCCTATTAATGAAGGTATGAGTGCAATAAGGGAAGCAACAAGGGGTGCTGAGGCCCCCGGGGACCCACAGCAGCAGGAAGCCATCACCATCCTGAGGCCAGAGGGGCAGGGAGAGGGAGTGGTGCTCGTAGAACCCAGGTGAGAGCTATGTCTTGGGAGAGGAGCCACCTGGCAGGAGCCGAAGCTGTGGTGGGACGCAGTCACCGTAAGGACTGTGCCCAAGCCAGGAAGAGAGGGAGGGGAGGAACAAATGGCCCGACCTCCCTCTCTGCTGTTTGTTTTTTCCAGAGTTGCTATTTGCCTCATTGCCCAACCTCAGCCCCATTTTACTTGTGGTTTATCATCCTGCCTCTAAGCTGTTACGTATCTCAAACTAATGAATGTTGTTAAGAAAGAAAAGAAAAAAAAATCCAGAGAACTTAAAATCTAGTAGAAGAGATAGGCCTGCTGACGAACCAGAGCAGGGATTCAAACACGTTATAGGAGAGGCATGAGCCAGGAGCCACACGAATGCAAGAGGGCTTTCCATAATCCTGCTTTAGTAACTGAGCACAATGTCTGAGTGTCCTGTCCTTTCTACCCAGCCTGCATTTCCCCCCAATCTAAACTTCACTTTTTTGTTGTTTATTTGAGGTAGAGTCTTGCTCTGTCGCCCAGGCTGGAGTGCAGTGGTGTGATCTGGGCTCACTGCAGCCTCTACCTCCCAGGCTCAAGCAATCCTCCCACCTCAGCCTCTCGAGTAGCTGGGACTACAGGAACACGCCACCCTGCTTGGCTATAAACTTCACATTTAATTTGTATTTATATCCTCTTACTGTAATGTTCATGGGTGCCAGGCACAGTTTTAGGTACTGCAGATCATTTGTAGGTAATTAAGATTCCAGGAAGTCAGGCCAGGTGCAGTGGCTCATGCCTGTAACCCCAGCACTTTGGGAGGCTGAGGTGGACAGATCTCTCGAGCCCAGGAGTTCGAGACCAGCCCGGGCAACATAGTGAAACCTGTCTGTACAAAACAACAACAAAAAAGCCAGGTGTGGCAGCATGTGTCTGTAGTTCCAGTTACTCTGGAGGCTGAGGTGGAGGATGGCTCGAACCTGGGAGGTGGAGGTTGCAGTGAGCTGAGATGGCGCCACTGTGCTTCAGCCTGGAGGACAGAGTCACACTTTGTCTCAAAGAAAAAAAGAAAAGAAATCCAAAGAACTTGAAATCTAGCAGAAGAGACAGGCCTGCTGACGAACCAGACAGAGCAGGGACTCAAACATGTTATGGGAGCGGCATGAGCCAGGAGCCACACATGCAGAGGGCTAAATTTGGACTGGTCTGAGGGAAGGCTTTGCAGAGAGGGTGACATCTGAACTTGACCTTGACGGGTGGACTACGGTTTTTGCAGGCAGAGGAAACAGCTTGATCAGAGGCACAGGGCTGAGAGGGATGTATTCTTGGAGGACCAGGGGCTGGGGAGAGACAGAGCTGGAGCAGGCTACATGGGTGCGGTGGAAGGTGGAGAGTGGCTGAGATGAGATTAGAAAGGCAGGCAGGGGCTAGGTCACAAAGGGCTGTGAATAGCCTGCCCAGATAATTCGGTCTGATTCTGTAGGGCACTGGGGACTGAACAGAGACAAATAACAATTGAGCCCATACCTTGAATACTAAACTCTCATATTAACATTTTAAAAAGCATTCTCTCTCAAATTCTGTCCTCTTCCCTCTTTGCTATGACTTTTACCTCAGCTTCATCTATGTCTCAGATCCTGTCCTCACTGGCCCCCTGTTCTGTTCAACTGTTTCTTTTTTCAACCACAACTGTCCTTCCAAACAGTTAAATATGAATTTTGGATCTCATTTATCTATTTCTACTTATTGCCAACTGTGGTTGGAAGATTTGCATGATGAAAAGTGAGAGGACAAAATTGTCTTCTCCTTGGAGAAATAATCTGTGCACCTGCCATTTGGAAATTATTCATGCTTTGTGAGAAAAGTTACAAATTACTCCCTGGAATGGAGCTAATGTACCCATCCACAAGCGACCTCACCTTCATCTGGGTACTTTATTAGCTGGAACGCCCCATCAACACGGCCTTGGGGAGTCGTAGATCAAGGTCACTGTTAGGGCATTCGCTCATTCACTTATTAAATATTTATTAACAACTGATTATGTGCCCCGCACCATACAAGATGTACTAGGAGGCACACTCGTGTGCATCAGAAAATACAAGTCTTCCCTCCCTAGAATATAAGCTCCATAGAGCAGGGGCTTCGTCTGATTTACTGCCTTATTGCCAGTCCCTGTAGGAGTATCCAGCGCACAGTAGGGTCTCAATCAGTACTTACTAAATGAAAGAAAGCTGTTATGTTGTATTGGAAAGAATACTGGAAATCCACGCTTGAATCCTAGAATCTGATTATGAGCAAGCCAGTTTCTTTATCTAGAAACTGACTTGCTTAATCAACCTTTAAAAGTTAAAGGTTTGCTCCTAATAATATTGACTGCATACAGCTCCCTATCAGATCCCCTACTTATATCTTTATTTTTCTGAATGGGAGAAACCAATCTAACAAAATATTTTAAACATCATGGTTTCTAAAATATCACCGTCTACTCTATGGGCCCCAGATAATACTAATTAAAACCATAAACAGGGCAAAGTAAGAATCCAACTGAATAGAGGCAGTAGAATATAGGATGAGTAATGCTTTTCCCTTTTCCTTTGTTGGCATAGCTATCAGGAGGCAGAGGAGGGATAGAAGCCCCACCAATTCTCACTCTGCCATAGCTGAATGAAGCCAGTTGATGGAACTTTCTCCAGTCCCCTAGTTATACAATCTGAGAAGTGGAGCACTCAGCTTGGCCTGCCACTGCCACGCCACTCTGCCTTTTGGTCAAGTGAGCCCTCACAATGGCGGTCAGTGAGCCTGCTCTTCCTGGGTCATTGTAGCAGTTCAGATAATAGGCCCACAGACATCAGCCCTGCATTGATCCCCTTGACAATGGCTCAGTTCTGCACTGTGGCATTATGCAAAGCCCACTCTGAAACAAATTTGCCTTGAAACACATACAGATGTGCCTCCCACCCCCACCGCTGCTGGAAACATTGAAAGACATCTCAGCAAAACGAAGCTGGGCTATAACGAGAGGGGGGTTTTCCTGAGCACGAACCAGAGGCCAGCAGAATCTCAATCAATATTCAAATGCCAGGTGAGTTTTATAGGCAGGGGCAGCATGCGGACGCCATGTCCTGCCTAGTTTGCAGACTTCCAGCTAACATGGCTTCAGCTAGACTTGTCATACCTGTAGGTGGAGGAGGTGGTGCAACCTGAGATGCTTCCCAATGTCCTGTTTAAAGAAAAATATCATCCTCCTTGCCCCTGACAATCTTCCTTCATGCCCAAAGTGTCCAACATCAGTCCTTTCTTTTCTGGGTCTCTAAAAGTTCCCTTTAAATAATAGAAGCATAGACGTGCTTGTTGTTGTCACTGTCACCATTATTGTCATCATCAGATGTGCTATTTACACTTAAACGGGCTTTTGCCATTTTGTTATTGGACTCTTGCAATATTCTTATTGAACGATACAAGGCAGGGACTCCGACGTGTATAGATGAGGAAATTGAGACTCAGATGGGTCAAATGACTTGCTTAGGGTCAGTAGCAAATATATGTTAGAACCAAAGACTCCTCTGGTTGGGACTGACTCAACTCTCATCTAGTCCGAGTCATCTCTTCTACACTATTCCAGACCTAACTTCTACTTGGATGCTTCCAGCAATGAGGAACTTACTTCCTCTTAAGAAAACTGCTCCCTTCCACTGCTGGTTAAACCTTATTGTTAGTTCACCTTTAGATTGGGGAACGCAGGTCTGCCTTCGTGTATCTTATACCCAACACCCTTAGTTCTGTCCTCTTTGGCTGCATGGAATAAGTGGAACTCTCCTCTATGGCAGCCTTTGTATATTTGATGATAATTCCCTGGCCTTCCCAGGTCTTCCTCTTCAAGCCAAATGATTCCCTAAAGTTTTGAGATACCCTCGCTATCATTATTTTCACTCTCCTTTAAATGTGTTCTAAATTGTTAATATTCCTTTAAACACGGGACATCAGAACTTAACATGAGAGTCTACCTGGGACCTGAAAAACAAAGTAGAACTGTTAACCATCACTTCTTTGGGTTTTTTGTTTGTTCATTTTCTGTTTTTTTGAGACAGGATCTCACTCTGTTGCCCAGGCTGGAGTACAGTGGTGCAATCACGACTCTCTGCAGCCTCAACTTCCTGGGCTCAGGTTATCCTCCCACCTCAGCCTCCCAAGTAGCTGGGACCATAGGGACATGCCACTGTGCCTGGCTAATTTGTGTGTATATGTGTGTGTGTATTTTTTGTAGAGACGTGGTTTCACCATATTGCCTAGGCTGGTCTTGAACTACTGGGCTCAAGTAATCTGCCTGCCTCGGCCTCCCAAAGTGCTGGGATTACAGGCCTGAGCCACCATGCCTGGCACCATCATCTCTTTGGATAGGACATTGCGCTTCTATGAATGCCATAGAGCCTGCATACATTATTTTTTATCTAGGTTTCATCTGGAATCATGGGATAGAGAGAAGGTAAGATTTGATAGGAAGAAATCAAGAAAGCCTGAAGTGTTGCAGTAGAGAGGCCCTGGGGACATTACAGTGGGGGTGTCGGGAGTGCTGCAGGCTGCTGAAAAGAAGAGTTGGACACTAAATAAAGAAGGCCCATTCTCACAGGCCCTATGCCCCTTTCCCCTTGCTCTCCTGTTCTGTGCATATGGGTCCACCAATGCCCCGACTTCCTCCTCCTCTTCTTATCCTTCTAAATAGAGACACATTCTCCCTCTGTCACTCAGGCTAGAGAGCAATGGTGCAATCATTGTTCACTGCAGCCTTGAGTTTCTGGGCTCAAGCAATCCTCCCACCTTAGCCTCTTGAGTAGCTGGGACTATAGGCACATGCCACCATGCCTGGCTTATATATATATATTGTAGCTACTAGATCTTACCATGTTGCCCAGGCTGGTCTCAAACTCCTGGGCCCAAGTGATCCTCCCACCTCAACTTCCCAAAGCATGGGTATTACAGGTATGAGCCACTATGCCTGGCCTAATGCCCCTACTGCAGGGAACCTCATTTGCTGACTAGGCTGCTTCAATCCCCCTTATTGTGATGGCCAGGGTGACCAGAGGACATGTTCAGCAGAAATAGCTAGTGGTCCAACAAAATCTATTCTCTCCTTCCATTATTTATAGAGTTGTAGTTAGACTCTATCTAACTAGAGATGACATTTTCCAGTCTTCCTTGTGGGTGGATATGGCCATGTGACTAGCCTTCAGTGGAATGTGAGCCAATTCCTAGATTGGCTGTTAAAAGACTGGTCAGCCTCCTCCATGTTCTCTTCTCCCTCTCCCTATCCCCTCTAGGTGGAAGACAGGATGTGGCAAGGACCCAGCTGCAACCATACCAAAGAGGATAGCACAGTAGGGCAGTGTTTCTCAAGCTTGAGCTCATCCGAGTCACCTAGAAGGCCCAGATTCCTGGGCCCACCCCAATGTTTCTGGAGTGTGGCCCAAGAATTGCATTTCTGAGAAGTTCCTAGGTGATGCTGCTGCTGCTGGTTGGCAAGCCACACCTTGAGAACTTCTGCCTCAAGGGATGGGGAAGCAGTACAATGAACCTGGGTCCCTGAATGACTTTGTGGAGCTGGGCTGGTCTACCAGTCTAGACCAAACTCTTAAGTAAGAGAGAAATACTCCTTTGTTTTAGGGTTGCCAGATCTAGGAAATTGAAATGTAGCATTCCCAATTAAATTAGAATTTCAGATAAAAAATGAATGAATTCAAATATTGCATAGGGCATATTTAAGCTAAAAGTTGTTATTTATCTGAAATTCAAATGTAATTGAGTATCCTATATTTTATCTGGCGATCCAATTCTTTGTTCTTTAGGTCAGTATATTTTGGGGTCTCTTTGTCACAGCAGATTAACCTTCCTCATCAATACAACATCAAGACCCAGGGCTAAGTACTGGGTCTCACACAGGGTCCTGAGCATCTTGCCTGCTTTGGTGTCCCCATAGTGATCATGAGGATCCTACCTGCTCTTTCCTCTTGTCTTCTCTGGACTCTAGTTCTCTTAACTGGATTTGTGCTTTTCTCTCTGTACCATTGTCTTGCTCCAGTAACTGCCTGGAAGCTCAGTCTCCGAGAGAATCAGAGCCATGATTGTTACTCAGCACCATTCCTGGGTGTTGGGATCCTGGCCCAACTCCCAACTCTCTTTCCATGTTATTATTTATACCAGAGTCTCTCTTCTTAGACTGTGAACATCCAGAGGGCAGAGCCTGTGTCTTTTAAGTCTCCGTCTCTGCAGCCTTGAGCTCCTGGGCTCAAGCAATCCTCCCTTGCTGAGTTCTAGGCATAATGCCTAGAACAGAGGAAGTCACCAATACCTGATTGTTAAGTAAAAAAATGCTGCCTTGTGCCCAGCTGGTCTCCTGGTGGCATGCCGGGAGCTCCAAGCTTACCAGTACGGTTGACTTAACAGGGGCTTGTGTTCAGGCTCCATGGGTGTGTGGAATTGCATTACCGTGCCCTTATGCAGTCATTGGTGTGCTGAGCTTGGAGGTTGCTGGAGAAGAACTGGGCAAGGAGCAGAGGAGTCTCCTTTGAGGAAAAGGGCCAAGACCCCAGCCCCACCCCTTTGAGGTGACTTTGATCAGGTGGCAGGAAATGGCAATGTAGCCCCTGAGATAGAATTCTGCAGGAGGCAGGAAATGGTAGAGACAGTATCAAAGGGTTGACCCGCAGCAAAGGCCAGAGGTAAGAGTAATAGAAGGTGAAACTCTACCAGACAACTTTCCCAGGCAGGCTCTACAGGGTTTGTGTACAGGGTTTGTGCCCCAGGAAAGTGGTTGGAGAAATGGCTTTGAAGGATCCAAATGCTGGGAGCCCAGGCCAGCTCTGCATGGGACTCTACAGTCAGGGGTGGCCTGCCTTACTCCCTGAGGAGCTACCATGGGCTGGGCAGGACCCACCCCTGCCAGGCAGCATGATCCAGAGCATTACGTGTCCCCAGCAGTATCACGGGCTCTGCCTGTCATGAGGGGCTGCCCAAGTGTTTATGGGGTACGACGTGAGGACAGACAGGACTGGCCCCTCTGGACAGAACATACAAATCTCACTGAATGCCTGGGTACATAGAGGCACCTCTTGAGAGATTCTTGAGCCAGTCAAGGTGGCGGGTCCAGAGAAAGCCTGATCATCTGGTAAAATTGGTGAGGAAAAGCACGAGCTGATCCCTGGCCCCTGCTGTGGAGTTATTATATTTGCATTCCTGAGCTCCGGGATCAAGACAATGCCAGTGACTCCAGATTTTGTTCCTTTCAATTCTCTGAAGCTGGACTCTGCTCAGATCACCTGATGGGACTCTCCCCTTGGACTTGGGGTGCTGGCCACCCCTGACCTGAGAAGGAGCTGTGATTCCTCTGTCCACCCAGCAGAAGCTCAGCTGTCAGCCTCTCTTCTGTCCAGCTGGGATGTCTGTCCAGTGCTCGTCTGGCCACGAGCCCCCATGCTGGCCTCGCGGGGAGGATCCAGAAGGCAGGGCCCACACTCACTGAATGTCTCCTCTGCCCAAGGCATTGTGCCAAGCACGTCATGTACTCGCTCGTGTTTTTATCCATTCATTTGCTTTATTCATACAGTTATATCTGGATTCGTCTCAAAAAAATTTTAAGGTAAATTTGTTTTTCAACCTTCACAAAAACCCTGAGAGGTAAGGATTATTATTTCCATTTTAAAGACCATGAACTGCTGCTTAGAGAGGGGCAGTCACACAGTTAGTGGGCACAGCTACTGGCAGAACTGGAATTTGAACATTGGTTGCTTTGACTCCAAATCATATTCTCTTTTTTTCCTGAATAGACTTAAAAAAATATGAAGCATTTGATATATGCAAAAGGACACATGTAATGTATATGTAGGTTATAAAGCACAACAGTAACATGCCTCCCCTGGAAGCCCGCCCCCTCGGGTTTTCTATGGGCCATACGACCTCCAAAGGAGCATTGCTGGGAACTTGCCAGGAACCAAGCAGAGCCAAGTGTTCTCCAGCCATTTTGTCCTGGGACCCTCCCATCTCCCTGGGAGGCAGGCATTTCATCCTCAATATACAGATGGGGAAACTGAGGCACCGAGGCTCTCCCACTCAGGCCAAGGTTCCAGGCGGGAGGATGTGGTAGACGGGAGTTCAGCCCGGTCTGTTTGACACCCCCCAAAGCCTAGGGCTTCCACATCTGGCTGTCCCTCACACACTCTGTGGACATTTTTGAGAATGTAGATCCTTGAGCTCCATCCCTGATCTTGTAGATCAGAATTTCCAGAGCTATGGCCCAGGGAGGTATCATGTTCAAAACTCCCCCAGTGACTCTGTGCAGCTGCCCACAGGCAGCAGTGGGCGATGAATGTTAGTGAAGTGCTACGAGTGGCCGGGAGAGGTGAGGATGGAGCTTTGGGCAAGACTACCTACCTGATTCTGCTACTCATGATCCTCAGTAACCTGCAGCCCAGAAGAGGGCCTTGGAGACCCTCTGGACAGGAACACACAAACCCTTCCCCCAGGCAAAGAGTGCAGCACCTCAAAGGCTGTCATCGTCACATATGATCAAGGTCACTTAATAAATGAGTATTGAGGGTTTCTAATATTTGGTGTTCATAAGGTAAAAGGAGCCAACATTGGAATTTACTGAGGACTTGAACACAGTGTTCTACTTAGAAGCCTGGCTGCCATCTGGCTCTTGGCAACAGAGGTGGCTGGGAATCCTGCAATTTGGGGGAAGGCTACGCATTGCTGGCATCCCGTTAGTGCTGTCTCAAGTCGGCTATGCTTTTCAGTCATTGCTCTTCTTGCTCCTTGGCTGTATGTTACAGTGAATTCAGCTTCACCCATCTCCATGGTGTTTGTCGGGGGTTGTTTGGTTAACTCTGCAGTGTGTAGTGATGCCCATTTTGCATCAACCATCTGGGGAGTCTATAATTTTCCAATGACTAGACTCTAGTGTCATAGATACTATGATTCCCATGGGAACCTCCACGTGCTGGCTGCAAAGGCGGATGCATGCATGCACCTCTGGCTTCCCCAAATTTGCTTTATGGCAGCATTTCCTATTATCACACAGTACCTTTTCCATGGAAAATTGGGACTGGATGAGGCAGTAGACCATGAGGTCTTTTGTCCTGCTCCAGTGGGTTACCCATCAACAAAGTTTGAGAGCCATTGGCTTAGAGGCAGCAACTCTCAGAGCTGGGAGAAGCCCCAGACCCAACGTCAAGGAGCCTCTGAATGTGCTACAGTTTCTTTAATCAGCTGGAGGTAGTTTCCTCCAATTTTTAAGACTATGGCCCAGTACATGGGCAGTGGCTGCCTTGAGGGGCTGTCCAATAATGTGATATTTCATTTACAGCAGTAAAGGAGCATAGCTTGTGAATGTTAATATTGGATTATTTCCCCTCATAGTTAGCTGCCTCCTCACTTCACTGTTTCCATGGCAACACTTCTCAAACACCACTTCATACTCTGAATACACAATGTAAACAATCTGCAGTTGAACATTTCCCAATTTAGGGGTTTGGAGCCCAAGTCAGCAGGCCTGCCGTTCGGAAGCTGCTGAGAAGCGGGAGGCTGGCGGAACTCACAGCAAGGACTGCCAGAGCCAGCCTGGGCTGGAGGGCAAAAGGTCACTCCCTGAGTATTCTGCTTTTTCTTTAGGGGGCATTTAGTACAGGAGGGGCTTGGAGTGACTTATAGAACTGGGAGGGGCTCCCCGATCACTTAGAGATGAGGAGCTTCAAGCTCCAAGAAGTGAAGTGACTTTCCCATTGTCACACAGGTTTGTGATGGAGCCAAGACCAGAACGAGGGCTTGTCCAGGCACTACAAATGCTCACCCAGTGTGTGCTCCTGAGCATCCCCACCCAGCACCCCCACCTCCCACCCCATGGTCATGGGTATTCCTTCCCATTGAGTCTAGAGACTGAATCATACTTCTCAATTTCAACACAACATCTGTCAGCCCATATGGACACCACTGACTGGCTGCAAGGGCCTCAACTGGGCCTGCATGCAGGCAGCTCCATGGGCCCTGGTATCTCTACTAAGGAAAGCAGGGACTCAGCTTACTGTCCTGGGAGCAGCTCCAGACCCCCACTAAAGGCATCATTATTTTCTTTTTATCAAAGGAACTATTTTTATTTCCAGTGTCTCCCCACACAGAGTAATGCATGCAATTTCCACATGGTTATAAGCAAAGCAAGGAGATTGTTGCTTTGTTTTTGTTGTTTTTTTTTTAATAGGAAAACCTCAGACGATTTCCTTTTAACTTCTTAGCAATCCTTAGCATCCTTTGACTTCTGAGCAAACAATCATATGGTTGCTGTGTCTTTAGCAATGAGCCAAAGGACACTCATGACCTAGGGAAGTTAAAAAGAGACTCAGAGAGTGTTTGAGAAAATGCGACCAGCAGGTGCCCTATGGGGATGGGCTGTTGGGAGGTGCTGGGGAGGGGATATCCGTTTAGCTGCTGACTGGGCTTTGGAGTGAGGGAGGATGGAGTCCATCCTTTGAAGATTTTAAACAGACAGCTTTTGAGCACAGTGTATCCCTAATACAATGGGGGCAGAGCTTCTATCTCTCTGCCGATATCCTGGGGACTCAGTGTGTATTGCACTCACACCCATCAGAGCCCTTTCTGCTCCTATTCATTTGGTTTGGGTTGGTCACAAAGGTGTGTGCCTACTGTGTGTCCTCCTAGGCATGGCCCATTGGGTCTCCCCACTGATGCCAGGTAAGATCACCAGAAACGTAAGAGTGTCCCTGAGAGCCAGGTCTAGACTCCAGCTCCCATTCTATAACCCATGCTGGGCTGGTCCTGCTGGGCCTTCATCATGAGCACCCCAGGCCCTCAGAGTATTACCCGTGGGACAAAATCCACAGGCACATCAGGGCTCTGATGAGCTGATGAGGGTGTTGAGTATTAAACCGGGACCACTGACAATGCCCCCACCCTAAGTGAATCAGACATAGCTATTTCTGTCTTCTGTTCTCCAGATTGCCCCCCATCCCCAAAGAAGATGCTTTTACTGAGGCAATTTTGCCAGATAGAGCTATGAGCCAGAAGACCAGGCTTTCAGGTCTGGCTCTATCACTAACTCACTGGGACCGTGGGAAAGTCAAGCCCCTTTTCTTGGCCTCAGTTTCCCCATATGCAAAATGCAGGGATTAGGCTATATCAATATTTCTCAAAACACCAGTTCTATGGGGATATTAACTGGTGATGGGAGCAAAAAGTATTCCAGGGTGAAATAAGTTCCAGAAATGCTGAATTCCACAAAATAATAGATGTTGCATTGTGTATCTTCCCAGAGCCAATAATATGCCTTGCAGGCCTCCGAAAGGGGATTATAGCATACAATATTTCCAAAATGTATTTAACCACAGGGCCTCTAAACTCTTCCAGTATCAGCATTGGAATTCTCTTGCTTTCCTTGGAGAAGCAACAAGAAATTGGCCTTTGCTTATTTAAGTCTCTGAGGCTATTTGGTCTTTTAGTTTATTTCTAAAATATAGTCCTGAGTGACGTCTCAGAGGTATAGTAAAGATCCACCTTAAACCAGAGGTTCTTGAAAGTCCTTAGAAGATGGCTTTGGGGAAAGGGTTCCACTCCAGAAATTATATTCAAGGTCTTGTGTATATGGTTTGTACACTTTAGGAAAGTATACAAACCATATATGATAATATAGACAAAGGTCTATAGGATTAATTGGATTTTCAAAGGCCTCCATGATCTTCAAAATGGTGGGCCACTGATTTAAATTCTTACCAGCTAATACTTATGAAATGAAGTTTGATTTTATAGAAATTTGGATGTGAAACTATATGAGATGAGATTTTGGTATCTTGATAGGAGGTAGGGGAATGTGGGACAGAAACTATGGCAAAGAGGGCAGACAATGGGAAAATGAGAGGGACCAGTAGCAGCTCCATCTTGGGCAGGCCATGTCACCCCCAGTTTCTTCCTTGGTTCCAGGTGAATGCTTCTAAAAATCATCATATGGTTCTTCGTTATAAAACTCAGCTACTGAATATTAATGCTTTGTGGCAAGGAGAAAATTATTGCTGTATCAGAAAGGCTTCTTCTCTTACAGGTCACTGGGGCTCCACATATTAAGTTTTGCTCAAGGGCACAAATGTCCCAAATGTATGTGTCTCAAGGCCAGACACTTTCTGTTCAAAGACACCAGGGTTTCCACTTCAGGCTCTCTTCCGGCAGAGCAAGGCTGAGACTCTGAGAAATGGTTGCAGGAAACTCCTCCTGCCTCCCATTATAAAGCGCAGCCTGCACGTACAGATGTGTCCCGAGGCAGTGGGGGCATTTGTAAGAGGACTGAGAGAAGGTTCTAGAAGGTTTTTGCAGAGCCAAGAATGCAAGATGGGAAGTCCAGATCCACAGAGGGCCATTGTGAAGTGTGAATTCAAAAGCAGTTCAATTTGAGTTCTAAAGCTCACCGTTCTGGCCATCTGCTAACCGTCTTTTGATCACTGGCCTTTGAAACAGAATACTAATAATAAGTTTATACATTATTATTTACCAGCAGCCTGAGGGATTAGAATTCTCTCGGCTTGAATGACCCTATGACTGCTCACATGCATGACCCAGAGGAGGACGGTTTTAGCCTTTGGCAGAGGGGAAAACGTAATTGTGTGTTTTGATGACAAAAGAGCTCCTTTCTTTCCTTTCATAGTCTTCTAAAATATCTGCATTTTCCTACCTGAAATATCTTCATCCTATAGTAAGAATTTGCTAGAGAATCTGCTTTCAGAACCTGGTTAAAAAAGGGTTGGGGGTGGGGAGGAGAGTCCCCCAAAGCTAACTAAAAATGTTCATCAGAAATCCCTTAAATTAATTTAGAACACTGAGTCATACAGGCCCATCAACATTGCATAACAGCCATTAAAGTATTAGTATTACTTTGGGGGCACTTGATTATGCAACCCAGTAGTAAATCTCCTCTGGGCCTTTTTTCAAAATTCCCAACAAGAGTTGCAGTTTACTAATTTATTTTTGAATGAGCTGAGTCTGTGTTCATCCCAGCCTCCTATTCAGCTTTTTGCCTCCGTGCAAGGATGGTGAGCCATGCACAAGTTGGCACCTAGCATTAAAGAGGTGCTTTATATTTCACTTCCAATCATATGCAAAGGCAGAACCACCAGTTCACTCACTTAACAAGTGTTTACTGACAGCTTATATGTGCAGGAGAGTGAGGCTGAACCTAGAAGAGATCTGAGTTTCCATCTGGTTTTGTCTTTCTGGGTGTCAATTTCCCCATCTATAAAAGGAGGACTTGGGCAGGAAGGCTCATTCTTGAGGCAGGATGGTTAAGAGCAGACATTTGGGACCCAGACCACCTGGCTTTGAATCCCAGCTTGGTCAGTTACTCGCTGTGTGTTGAGTTTGGGCAAGTTACTTAAAGATTCAGAGGCTTGGGCTCTTACATTTGTCGATCACAATGGTAGTTACCTTGCAGAGGTGTCGGAAGGATTAAATGGGTCAGCGAAAGAAAGATCTTTGAACGCTGCCCGGCCCAGAGCAGGGATAGAGAAATAGAATCTATTATGATTGTTCTTGCTGAGGCCCTAGCAAGATGACTGCTCACTAAGCCATTTCCTCTCCTCCTTCACCCCATGTCCCAGCCTTCCTGGAGTCCATGGTCATGTGGCTGAGTTCTAACCTGTGAAATGTGGGTGGATACAAAGTCACCACGTCCAGGTTTGACCCATAAAAACCTTCCACGTGGGATTCTCCATGTCCTCACCCCTCTGTTGTTTCAGTGCAGATGAGCTTGGCACCCCCAGAGGCCATGTGTGGAAGATGGCACAGCCACAAGATGCAAGGGACCAGGAGCTCTGAATAAGCACTTGGAGAAGAGCCACCTGCCAATACATCCATTTTTGGACTTCATGTGAGTGAGAAATAAACTCAAAAGTGCTAAGCTCATGAGATTTGGGGACAGCTAGAGTTACTACAGCGAAGTGCTAGGCTGGGTACCGAGTCTGAGGGACTGAACCTATTTGCAATGGCCCGATTGCTTGACTCGCAGTTTCTGATGTTATCTGGGTAATGACCAAAGGACACCGAGTTCTCCAGTTGGGGACAAGAGCTCGTACATCTAGCAAGCGCTGGCCTGGTCTCTGGCAAGCTTCCTGCAGACAGCTGCCCGAGCTGGCCGCCTGGGCTTACTGCCCCTGCATTCTGGACAATGGGGCATCATTTCCACCCAGATGCCACAGGGAGCTACTCAGGTTACCCAGGCAGTAGCCCATGTTCAAAATACATGATCTCAGTCCTCAGAGCTTTGTCCATTTCTGTCTTCCCAGCCTTGGCCATCTTTTGAGTGGGAATTAGCAGGAATGTTCGTATAGGAGCCTCCAAAGTGGGCAGAGTAAAAATTTTCCTCATTAAAACTCAAAGCAGGCCGGGCACGGTGGCTCATGCCTGTAATCCCAGCACTTTGGGAGGCCAAGGCAGGCAGATCACGAGGTCAGGAGTTTGAGACCAGCTTGACTGACATGGTGAAACCCCGTCTCTACCAACAACACAAAAAAAATCAGCCGGGCATGGTAGTGCGCGCCTGTAATCCCAGCTACTCAGGAGGCTGAGGGAGGAGAATCGCTTGAACCCGGGAGGTGGAGGTTGCAGTGAGCCGAGACTGTGCCATTGCACTCCAGCCTGGGTGACAGAGCAAGACTCCGTCTCAAACAAAACAAAACAAAACAAAACAAAAACAAAGCGAAACAAAAACAAAGCAAAACAAAAACTCAAAGCAAAATACACTTCCTGACAAAACACAGGACTGAAAGATGCTCATCACGTGTACTGGTTTCCCTTGGGGACTGATTTGGCAAACGTGCACCTGAGTTGGAGACGTGTCTGTCCCAGCAGTCCTAGCTGCATTTAGCAACTCCCCTTGTGGCAGAATCTCCCTTTGATGAAAATCTCCTCCAATGTTGTCTGTTTCACTCTCCTAGCACTTGTCATTTTTCTCCTGGCACTATTGTCATTTCTCCCCATGTATGTAAGGCCCTTCCAGAGATGCAGAGGCCACAGCTTTTGAGGCCTGAACCATTAGCAAGAAATGAAGAAATGCAAAAGCAAGAGAGAGCATGGTCACAGAAAAACAAAAACCCAAGCTGCTCTAGCCTTGGGCTATGCAGTGCACTGGTCATAAAGGGAAATCTGGCTTTTGTGTAATGCCACAGCTTATACGGAGCAAGGAGAGGCCAATCCAACAGCAGAAAATTAGGAAGGGTCTGAATTGGAGGCCCCTTTTGAGCCCTTGCCAAATAGCTCTTCCTGTTGTCCCCTGTGGTTATCCCAACCTGCCTTATTTCCACTCTCAGACTGACAAGAGCCAAGTGAGCAGAGGGCAGTGGGTAGGGGGTGCTCTCTGGTTTGCAGCTCGAGGTGAAGGCTTGGATCTGTGACTTATTACCTGGGAGAGCTTGGACTAGTCATTTAATGACACTTCTACTACTCTGGTGGAGGCTGATCATTGTCCACTTACGTCCCTTCTGGCTCCCACAGTAACGGCATTCTCACTGGGCACATACTGCCCAAACATTTCCCAGACTTCCTTGTTTAGGTGTGGTCATGTGACTAAGTTTCCATCAATGGAATACAAGGAGAAGTGACGCTGGCCATCTCCAGGTCTACGACTTGTGACATTGAGCACGCCTCCTCCATGCTCTCCTCCCACTTCCTGTTAGCTGCAGCCCAGGTGTGGTGGTGAATCAGCTTTGACCACAGGAATGACGATAATGCTCCAGGGGATGGCAGAGCCACAAGGTGGAAGAAACCTGGGTCCCTAAGTGATGATGAGAAGCAGAGCTGCCTTCCACACCTGGACTGCTCTATAAGACTATTGCATACAAAAAAGAAATTGCTTTGTTCTTCAAGTCACTCCAGTGCTGGGTTTCTTTGACAGGGTATGTTAGCCTTTTCTAACTCGTATGTTCCTACAGGGTTATGGTGTGGTAAGATAGAGAATTGTAAAGAGCTATACAGTTAGGTGCTCCATAAATGCTTTCTGAATGAGTGGTGAGTGAAGGGACTGGTTATTTCCATGTTTAAATTCCGAGAATCTGCTGGGCATGGTTGCTCATGCCTGTAATCCCAGCTACTCAAGAGATGGAGGCGAGATGATTGCTTAAGCCCAAGAGTTTGAGACCAGCCTGAGCAAAAATAGTAAATCCCAAGAATCTGAGAAGCAGCCTTACAACATATGTAGCAGCTACACATGGTGACTGCAGGGAACCCCAGGCCTTGTCTGTTTAAGCACTTTCCCCCTTGGCTGGACGTTCCTACCATGAGTCAGTGACCATGAGATGACCCACGCAGGAGACAGCCGTGGCACACAGCCTTCTGTCTCTACAGGAACTAACTTATCCCACAAGCTAATCAGCTTGCCTGTCAGGGTGAGCATCTGTGGCATGGGGTAGTAGGTGGAGGGTGTTTAAAGGGCAGAAGACTGGGTTCAAATCCAGCTGTGTCTCTGACTCCTCATGCAAATTGGAGCAGGCCACTTAATTGTGAAGGACCTTGGCTTCCTGAGTGTCTGTAAAATGGGGATGCTAATTCTGGCTCTGCCTATTCCCTAGGGCTATGAGACACGCTCAAGAGATCCAACAATGGTGAAAACACTGCATATGACAGATGCCAATGGGAGAAACATGACAAGTCAAGTCACATTTGCTGAGTGTGGGCTGGGTGTGCTTGTCTCTTTCTTCCATGAATATTTATTGAGCACCTACTAAGTCACATAGTGAGCATGGTAGTTCCTGTCCTCACAGAGCTTAGAGTCTGGTGGAAACTATATATTATACAAGGAAGTAGGCAATTACCATACAGCATGATGAATTATCAATAGAAATGCAAGGCACCATAAATATACAGAAGAGGGCTCCTAACTCAGGCTTCAGGGCTCCTGGAATGCTTTTCAGAGGAAATGATCTCTCCTCCAAGATAGGAAGCAAAGGAAGAGTTATCCAGGTTAAGGGGGCTTTGGAGGTGGGAAGCATGTTCTAGGCAAATGAGATAAGGGTCACCCTTGAAGAACAAGAAAGAGCCACAAAGAGGCTTAGAATGGCTAGAACTTGGAGTTGAAGGAGGGGAATGATGACAGATTGGGCTGGAGGGGCCAGAAGGGTCTGGAGCGGGGGTTCTCCACCCCGGCTGCAGCTTGGAGAAAATACTGATGCTCAAGTCACCTCCACCTCTGGTGGTTGAGAAGTTCCCCAGGTGATTCAAATGTGCAGCCAGTGTTGGAAGTACTGCTTAGACCATGCGGGATCTTAAAAGCCAAGTGAAAGAGATGGAAGTTTATCCAGAAAGCCTCTGATGGTTTTATGGAAGGAAGGGTTGTAATCAGATTTTTCTTTCTCCAGATGCTGGGTGAAGAAGGGAATGAGACAGAAAGACTAGGCTTAGAGAAGCTGGTTAAGGAGGCTGCTGCAGTGATCCAGGTGGGAAATGGACCCAGAGCTGTCAACAGGGATGGCAAGAAGTGGACAGATCTGAGGCCTGGTTGATGATGGGCTGCGAGGAAAGATGTGGGAGATGTGGGGAGACAAAGGTCATTCCTTGAACATGCAGGTTGAAATGACCAAGAAGTTTCCAGCTAGAGAAACAGACTTGTGAGTCAGCAGCAGAGAGAACCAATGCACTCTCCCAGGAAGAGGGGTAAATGGTGAGAAGAAAAGAGGGACTGGAACGGAACCCCAGAGGACCAGGGAGAGCTGCGCCCCAAAGGGACCAAGAAGAGCTGGTCAGAGAAGGAAGAGAAAGACCAGAAGCGCACATTGTCAAGAACATAAAGAATGGTGGCTAGTAAGAGTCAACATGTGTAAGAGGGTCAAATTCTGGGAGATGTATTCACAGGCCACTGGTAACCTTGGCAGGGAAGATGGGGTCAGTGCCTGGGGCGGGGCTGAAGTGGTGGTAAGAGCAGATACCATCTAACAGGGGCAACTATTCTTTATCTATTTGTTTGCTCATTCAGTAAATACTTTATACATGAAACAGGGTGCTGTGTTCAGAGCTGTGGATAAGATGCCAACTCCGGAGGCCTTCACCCACTAAAAGGAGACAGATAATCTCGCCCACATCACAAAACGATGAGATATAAATGCTAGAATGAGGCTGGGTGCGGTGGCTCATGCCTGTAATCCCAGCACTTTGGGAGGCCGAGGCAGGTGGATTGCCTGAGCTCAGGAGTTCGAGATCAGTCTGGGCAAGATGGTGAAACCCTGTCTCTACTAAAATGCAAACAATTAGCAGGCATGGTGGCACATGCCTGTAGTCCCAGCTACTCAGGAGGCTGAGGCATGAGAATTGCTTGAGCTCGGGAGGTGGAGATTGCAGTGAGCTGAGATTGCATCACTGCACTCCAGCCTGGGCGACAGAGCAAGACTCTGTCTCCAAAAGAAAAAAAAAAAAGCTAGAATGGAGATGTAGTTCACGGGCTTTAGGACGTAGCAGAATCAACTCTACCAGAGAAGAGGAAGGGGCAGGCAAGGAAGGTCTTAGAAAGCAAGGAAGAGGGACAAGGTTTGCACTGATGTGGTCATCATGAAGGCCGCCCATTGTAGAGTTCAGATCTTAGCCTGCAGTGGAAGAATGGTACTTCTGGACCTCCTCATGGATTGGTGGGGCCATGTGACCAGCCTGGGGCCAAGAGTGGTGAGTAGAGGTGAGAGCAGTCATGTTCCTGCCAGAGCATCTAACGGTCAGCACAGGAGGCGCCAGAGGTCCTTCAGGCACTGCAAACAGCCAATGTTGAGACTGTGGCTGCTTTCAGGTACCTGACTGACCCCTCCTCAAGACACGCACCTCTTGGTAGACCAGAAGCCCGAGCCGGAAACAAATTTCTGCTGCTTTAGTGCTGTGACTGTCATCATAGCATCCCTTGGCCCAGTGCTCCTCAAAGTGTGGCCCCTGGACCAGCAGCCATCAGCTTCACTTGGGAACTTGTTGGAAATGTACATTCTCAGGCCCTACTCTGAATCTGAATTTACTGAAGCAGAAACTCTGTGGGGTTGGGGAGGGGGCGGTCCAGCAACCTGAGTTTTAACAAACTCCAGGGGATTCCGAAGCATGTTGAAGTTTGAGAACCGCTGCCTATCCAGGGCTGATGGATAGTCATCTTCAAGGCAAAGTGGAAGTTACAAGTCATGGAGAAGGTCATTCTAGCAAAGAAAACTTTTTAAAATGAAGTAAGATACAAATTAAATGGTGAGGCCCATCATGTCACAGGAAGGGATTGTTAAGGAAAAATACCATGGTACCCACCTCCCCTGGGCTGAGACTGCTGAACAAAATGGCCTAAACTCTGGCCATGTAGACAGTTCCCTGCAGTGTCATATCAGAAGACACAATTGCAGAGGAGATATTCCGAATCCAAAGGCACTGAAGCCAGGACCAGGATAAACCCGGCAACGCATTTTCGCTTTGTCCCACGGCCTTTGCTGGTTTACAAAATGCTCCTGAATGCCTTGAATCCCAAAGGTACAGAAAACCCAATTCTCTCTTCTGCAGAATGAGTCATTAGAGCTGGAGCTGAGGCTATTTGGTAATGGGCACTATTTAAATAAAGTGAAAAGTACAATTTCAAATGAATTGCTTTTTAAACTGTCAAATAAAAGGAATCCATTTGTGCATGAGAAATTATTCCAAGGGTTCTAACTATTAACTGAAAGCAGGTGAAAAATGTCAAAGAAAACGTCCTACTAAAGAGCTGACTAAATGTCTAAAGACAGACACCTAATGACTCCTTTGACCTGTTTTGGATTCAAAAACATGTATTTTCACCAGCCCCAGGTGAGCTCCGTGGACAAAAGTTTTAAGAAAATATTAAATGCTAGTAGCAAGATGCCATTTTGTCCATCGGCATCGCCTTAACCAATGTGACCCTGACACTGTTTTAGGGACAGGACAACAGCATATTATCACTTTAACTTTTTCCTTTGGCTTAAATTTGATGCCAAGGGCCCTTGGCTAGCTCTCTAAGTGTCATATTTAACAATGTTTTATAGTCTTCTATTTGAATGCATCCTTGTACAGTCTAGTCAATGTTTGCAGAAGAAAATTCTGCAAACGTATGAAAAGTGTCTTTTCTGTCACAGGCAGGCATGCTTGGTTGAGGTCACCAGTACGGAGAGTGAGCCTCAGTGTTAAGGCATCTCTGCAGACAAAAACAGAACCCTGGCCTTTTCCATTTCATTTCCTCTAGGGGTTTCCACTGCAATTAGTTTTGTGTTCATGCCTTCACTCTCTTTGTTGGTATTGAAACAGAGCTGCTGAAAATAATCAGTGAGGTTTCTCCCTTCCTGGCCCTCTGGCACCTCTAACCTGTGTCACTATTCCAGGCTAACACAAGCAAAATGACCCCTGCTTACTCAGTCCAGAGGGAACCGTGTGGGTGGTGACTGGCTAGAGGCATTGGAGCGGGCTTGAAAAGGGAGCACTTCTCACACGTGAAGGTGCACACAAATTTCCAAGGGATCTCGTTAAAAATGTACATTCTGACTCAGTAGGTCTGGGGTGGAATCTTAAGAGTCTGTGTGTCGCATAAGCTCTTAGGCAATTCTCATGCTGCTGAGGACCACACGGTAGTGTAGTGAGCTGTGAGGGAACAACGCACATTCTGCACAACAGTGACTTTCAGGACCCTCCTTAATGGGGCATTTATCTAAGGGCCTTGCTCCCTTTTGATTTAGAGTTCCTTGAAAGCAGAGACTGGGTCTCATACATTTGTTATTGTTTTGTTCTCCGGTTGGCACAGGGCCTGCACACGGTGGGTATGTATTTATTTAATTAAAGAGTTGGCCTGTTCCAAGAAGGATTTTAACCCCTAGCGGCACTGAACAGGTGGCGATGAATTGGCCGGGAAGGAAGTCGGTCCTAGGGGTAGTCACAGACCCCCTGGGCTGGGGTCCCCTCCACCTGCCTGCACCTGTATCACCCCTCAGCTGCTGTTCTGAAATTTTCCCTCCTGCCCCATTTTTAAAGCGGTTTACACCAGAGAGCCGACCAGAAAGGAGAGATACAAAACCAAACCAGCAAGCCCTGGGAAGCGGTAGGCTTAGGAACATGGAAAGCTCAACCGTCGGTTGTGGGGCCCGCAGATCTCTCTGGTTCCCCTCTCTGCCCCGTCTCCAGCTTTTTTGCAGGTCGGTGTCGCGGCCTCGCAGATCCCCAACAGCCCCGAGAGCCCTGAAGGAGCTGGTCCCAGCGGGTCCAAGCTCGTGTTGGCTTGGTGCAAGCCTGTTTGTTAGCTCTGCACGACCAATTAATTTTCTCCTGCATCTTCCCCCCGTGGTGGGTGGCGGGGTGGGGAGGGGGTGTGTGGCGGGGCCTCGGGTCGGCTCGGGGGTCGGAGAGCCCGGACAGGAGCGACTACACTGCAGAAACCCTTTTTCTAAGAGTCCCCAGCGGTGCCATAACCTGTTTCTCTCTGCAGCAGCCTCAGAGGGTAAAGGAAGGGCTCGTTGCAGCTCCATATGGAAGAAAGGAGAGAAAAAGGGAGAAGGAAGGGGATTATATTGGTCAGTAGAGGTCCAACTACTGAAGAGAAGAGTGCACGGGGGAGTGCGCCCTACGGGACGAGTACACGTGCTGGGAAGGGCGGGGGGTGAGAGGCGGGCAGGAGGGGAGGAGTAGGGAGGCGAGAGCAGCGGGCGGGAGGCGCCACGGCCTCTCAGACGCTGGCGCCCGCAGCCGAGAAGCCAGAGAGAAAGTTCCCGGGGAGAGCTCGCCCCTGGGAGGGCCGACGTCGAGCCTGCTCGCCGCGAGGGTCTCAGGTACCGCGCGTCCAGCCAGCCTTCCCGCGGCGCGCACTCGGCCGCCCGGGCTCGGCTCGTCGGGAAGCAGGGGAACATCGCCGGCTGGCAGCCGGGGCGGCCGCCGCCAAACTTGGAGGAGGAGGATGCTGCGAGTGGGCGCGGCGGCGCGGGGCGCGGGGGCGCACTGAGTGCTCCCTACGGCGCTGCTGCCAGGGCTGTGGCCGGGCGAGCCGGCCGAAGCGGAGCGGGCAGGTAGCGGCTCTAGCGCCGGGACTGCGCCAGCCCTGCGAGCCCGGGCCGCCAGCGCCACCGTGCCGGCGTCGCCTCCTCGCCACGGAGCCATGGTGCGCGCAGCGCGCACGCGGCGCGCGGGACTCTGAGCTCCGGCCGCGTCGCGCGTCCCCACCTTCCCAAGGGGCTCCCCCGCCGACCTCGCCCTCGGGCCATGAGGCTTTGGCCCGGAGCTCCTCGCCTCTGAGTCGCGCACCGCCTGCTCCAGCCCCAGCGCCGCTCGGCCACTGATTGCACTCTGGCCGCTGAAGCTCCCCATCCTCTCCCAGAGACGGCACCCAGGCGCTCCGGGATGGCGCTCCGCGGGACCCTCCGGCCGCTCAAAGTTCGCAGGAGGCGAGAGATGCTGCCGCAGCAAGTCGGCTTCGTGTGCGCGGTGCTGGCCCTGGTGTGCTGTGCGTCCGGCCTCTTCGGCAGCTTGGGTGGGTGCTGGTACGGGTCCCCTCTTCCTGGGGAGTTGGGGGCTTTGGCTGGGGAGTCTCGGGGCGGCTGCGAGATGTTTTCCCCTCCTTCCTCATCAGGTTGGTCCCAAGGGTTCATCCAGTCCCCTCCCCGCCGGGCAGGTAGAGCGCGCCCAGAAGAGCTGATGGACGCTCTGGGCTGTGGCGCCGGTTCCCCTGAGCTACGAGCGGCCCCTGGGGGGGCTCAGGACGCGGCTGCAGGTGTGTGTTACTAAGACGAAAGCAAGAACCGCTTCCGTCCCGGGAGTGCGCCCGGAATGGGCAGCGCAACTGCGGGGTGCAGGCAGGATTCTCTTGGTCTGGGGTGGGCGAAACTGAGTGGCCCGCTTTCCTATTCTGCAGAGCCGCAGGAACCGCCACTGCGTCTCGCCCCTGCCCTGGTTCAAAGGGGTCCCCTGGGTGCCCTGAGGTGTTTGTTCTTCCCAAACCCTAAAGGCGTTGGGGCAGTCTGCCGCGGGGGGTAGCTGCCATGTTTCAGCATCGCGTCTCTCAACTCCCCTTAACTCCCACGGAGGGAGAAGGCGGGTGTGTGGAGCCTCGACCCATGCCCCCTCCTCCAAGAAGAGGGATTTGGGAGTAGCTTAGGCTATGCAAATTTCAGGTGGAGCGGGAAGAGAGAAGGAACTAACCAAAGAAGTGTGTTTAGGGGGATGTGACCCCATGTGTAACCTTCAGGAGGCATTCACTTCCCTAACTCAGGAGACATTCACTTCCCTAATCGTCTCATTTTGAGTTGGATGCTGTGAACCTTTTAATTTCATTATTTTTTTAAATGTAAAAAGACAAAAGAAATGCTGGTGATTTAAACACCAAGACATGGAAGGTAAAGCGGGTAGTACCTTCTTGAGCAGTTAGAAAGGCCGTCAACATCCAGAGACCATTTAGAGAGGTGTACACTGATAGGTAAAAATCCAGTGGAACTTGATTAAAGTTTTCAAAATAACTGCCTTTCGAAACCTAAACTTTGTGATTTGAGGATGCAGGGTTAAAAAGTGGCTCTTTGCAGTGAGACCCAGGAAGATTATTTTGAATATCTTAGTACCTGGTGCTTTGCAATTGGGCAAGTCAGTGTTTGGATTTTTTTCCCCCCTCAATTACACACCAGAAATAACAACATACCTAGAGGCTCTTAGACATCAGCATTATAGAAGAGGTATTATTACCCAGCTGAAGCAGTGCGCATCAGGAGAGGTAAATGAATACTCTGAAGGTCTTAAAGTGAGAATCATTTTTATTTGCTGGATCAGGAATTACCTTTAGGAGTTTAAGTGTGCTTGGTTGCGGGCCTCCGCAAATTCTCTCTTGCCCAGTATGGCCCCTGGACCAGCAGAATCAGCACCACCTGGGAGCTTGTTAGTGCAGAATCCCAGGTCCCACCCCAGACCTGCTGAGTCAGAATCTGAATTCTAACAAGATCCCCAGGTGATCTGTGTGCACATTCAAGTGTGAGGAGCACTGGGCCAGACCGCATCAGCCTTGCCCACCTGCTTGCTGACTTGCTATTCATTCGTGAAGTTCCTCCAGGGCAGGGGCCCTCTGAGAGTGTCCTTTACTGGAAGAACACTTAAAAGGTCACCTATCTAAACCGTTTGTTGCACCTATGAGGTGCTGAGACCACCTCAGTCTTGGCCAAGGTCAGGTCACATGCTGACCCATCTGGGACTGGAAACAGTGAACTAGATCCAGGAAACAGGCCATTGTATGTAAGCAGGTGATATTATACTTCCAATCATCCTATCAGTCCCTAAAGATGGCTCTGAATAGGCAAACAGGGCTGTTGCTGACATAGACACACAAATGTAAGGTCATTTTGGAAACGCAGCCATCACACTGACCTAATGGTATCTGTGACTTATTTTCCAATCCAGGGCACAAAACAGCTTCTGCTAGCAAACGTGTCCTGCCAGACACGTGGAGAAATAGAAAGTTGATGGCCCCAGTGAATGGGACACAGACAGCCAAGAACTGCACAGATCCTGGTAAGAAATCAATTCTTCTCCACTCAGTCTACTAAGATGTTTGGCCTGGCCTGGAGATGGCGCTTATGTGGGTGGTTACAGCCAGAGCTGAGAAAGGTGGTTTATGGACTTGAGTGGGAAAGGGTGGCCATGAGGTATTGAAAGGTAACATAAAGACATTCGTCAATGGTGCTGCTAAGCAACTCAAGTGCTTTCTTTATCCAGCAACTGAAAAGGTCACAGTCAAGAGTTTAAAAATGTTACTTTTTGTTCTCACAATGTTCCTGAAGGCTAAGTATTTTCCCTGCTCTCTTGATGTTTGCGGCTCGGGGTGTCTTTGTTTTCTTCCCTTTTGCTCACTGTATCCATTACTGGAGCTCTCACGGTGGCAGATCCAGCTGCTGTGGCAATGGTGCTTTGAGGTGGCCCACCAGGGTCTCAGCATGACCGGGCAGCTGCAGGGGTGGGACACTCTGGGGTGCTGCGGCTGTTTCTCTCAAATGGGAGTCGGCACGGTGTCATTCAGCCCTGGAGACTGATTCTGCTTGCCCCGTTTTGATGTTCTTCTTCAGATTTTTCTTGGGGGTTTGAGGCAGTAGAGACCCAGAGGTGACATCTTGTCTGTTCTCCTGCCACAGACAGGCTTTGCTTAAATGAGTGAAGAAGATTATCAGGAGAAGACAGCGTATTGGCAGAGAGCAGAACTCACAGCCACTGCCCAGATCGCAGGCTGAGCACTTCTATGCTTGAGCTCTGGCTGTAACCCTTAAGGTCTTTGTGAGGAGGATCTGGGGGGATGATACATTCACAAGCCCTTAGGGAACTGTGGGGTTTTAATATAGATGGCTTTGCCACTAAGTTCCTGGGCAGATCACATCATCTTTTTGGATCTCTGTTTTCTCACCTGTAAATGGGCAGAATAGTTGCCTGTTGTAGGGTTGTTGGGAGAAACTGGGAAGGCTGTGTTGGGGACTGGGTATAAAAGGAGACGGAGCTCCAGGACAAAGGAGCAGGGTTGGATGGCAGTCCCCACGTGTTAAATTGTCATACTCTGTGAGGCAAGTCTCTTCCCCATTTTACAGGTCAGGAAAGATCTGGGGAGAAGGCACAAGTTGCTCAAAGTCACAGAACTCGTAAGTGGTGACGCTGGTTTGAGAACCTAGGCCTGTGAAACTAAAACCTTTGGTTGGTTCCCTGTGCTTAGGTGGGGGTGACCTTCTGTCAAAGTTTTCATACTGTTTTTATGCTATCAGCTTCCCTGCCCTCAGATGCCTTCTGAGAAGTCCACCGGGAGGGACGTGGTGGTGGACAAGCTCAGGCTTGCAGAGAAGTGCTGGGATTCACTTGTCACCTGGGTGGTTCCTCCTGTCCTGGTGGCCCAGCAGGCGGGGTGCTCATCCTGTCATTCCCTCCCCCAGGGTGTCTCCTCTCATCAGCCAGGCTGGTGGACATGTGGGCCGACTGATATATGGCAAGGGTCATTGGCTCCACACGGAAAAACATGCGTGAGGCCAAGGATGGTTAATGCTGGGGGCCGTTCCCACCCATTCCAGGGACCAGAAATGCTGGAATTGGCACCATCCCCATGGGAACACTTTGCTACTCTGGATAAAGAATCAGGGTTCAGGAATGTTTGGGTGGTTTCAAGCTTGCTGGTGCCCTCATCTTGGGCTGGCCATGCCCTCCTCTGTGACTTCTGTCGTACATAGCCTGAGTATGTTGGCTTAGACGGGGATCCCTTTCTTATGATAGAGTTCTCCTTTGCCCCGCTGTGGGCTCTGTGTCTGTCTTCAGCTGTCTGATTAAAAATCATTCAATTAACATATAAAGCGTCTGTTCTATTCGACAGGAAGGCCTCACCTTGTCCCTTTTGTGGAAAGGGAAGTGGAGGGAACTTGATAATATCTTTAAAAATAGTTAACTTTTGCATTATGCTTTGTATTGACTGTTTCCAGAATACAGCCTGGCCCATAGAAAGGACTGCATAGATATGGGTCGAATGATGGAATGAAAGTGCATTTTGATGTATCTCACATTTTAATCCTTATCACGTTTTTGCCAAGACAAGATACACGAAGTTCAGAAGTTTAGTGGCTTCCTAAGATCTCTTGGGCAGCTGGAAACATACTGGGGTCACCTGGATCCAGGTGCCAGGCCTCTCCCTTGTACTGCACAGCCCCCGGCTCTCAGGCCAGGTGGGGTCTGTGGCCAGCCTTCCCTTCCAGCATCTTCCTCCCTGGCCTATGAGAATCTCTGCCCCCTTTTCATTTCACAAGTCTGTGTAGCAAGCACCTGCTCGTGTGTGTCCAGCTCTATTGTGGACAGGTAGTGGGGAGTATAAGATGCAAGCCGCTGTCATTGAGTAGCTTATACTAGAGTAGAGAGGACAAGATCTCAACACAGGGAAAGCTAGGTGACATTGAGGGACTCCAGCGGCTCCCCAGTGAGCAGCCCCGCAGGAGGCACTGCAGGTGCACAGAGGAGGATGCGCTGGCCCGGTGTCCTTCTGTGTAGCCTGGGGGACTAGATGAGGCAGGGCCATTTAGAGTTGCCATGACAGAACTGGGTTTAGCAGAAATAGAAATTTAGTGGCTCAGTAACTGGCAGTGTGAGATCAAAGGTTACGAGGTGTCCATGGCTCTGTTTCTCCATCTCTGGGCTCACTTATCTTCTAGCACGGGAAGGTGGTTACCACCGGCCCAACCTTATGTCCTCCCAGACTCAAATATGCTGAGGCTGAGCAGCTTCTGCAGAAGCCAGGAAGTTCTGTTGGGCTGGGTTGGCTTGGGCCGCATGACCACCCTTGCAGATTGATCTGGCCAAGGGAGTGCTGGGCCCAGGACTGGCTTAGACCTTGGTCATAGGTTCCACCTCCGGAGGGAGGGGACTGAAGCTGCCACGCCTACCACCAGAACTCTACCTGGGAATCGGCGAGGTTGGGCACCTGGAGAGCAAACACTCAATTCTTACACCTCTTCACCCTGGGCTCCCATCCTGGGGCTTTCTGTGATAAGGAAGGCTGGATTAGAGTTTCAAGTGAGAGTTTCAGGGGTGTGACAGACGCTGCCATCTGATGGCTGCCTCCCTTCTGCACAGTTGGTGGGGTTTCCTCATAAAGAATTGCAGGCTATCTTGCCTCCTCTTCAGGCTTCTGCTTTAAGCTTGCCCCCATGAATTAGAGGGTGCCTTGTCCAGCTCTGCTGGATGAGGCCTTTCAGGGACGTCAGAAGATGGAGCTTTAAGAGCTCCCTCCTGTGCTAAGGCACCACTTGGAGTGGGTGTCCCACAAACGTGAGCCCACATCTCCTTAAGAACCTCCGGTGTGTGTCTTTATTGCCTGTGCCTTCTCATGCTCATCTTTACCTGTGAGAGGAAGAACTTTATTTTCCAAAAACATGAATGGGACCCTGCTCTAGTCTTTCCTGAAGATTCTGCATGGAAAACGGGCTCTGCCTGGGTTGTAACCCCAGATCTTGGTGTTAGCGTTTTGATCTCATTATCTGAGTTTCAGCCTAAGTACCAGCCACCACCCCTCCCTTCCCTTCCCCCTTTATTACTCTGTGTTTTTTGTTTGTTTGTTTTTGTTTTGTTTTGTCACTCTGTCACCCAGACTGGAATGCAGTGGTGTGATTATGTCTCATGGCAGCCTCTACCACCCTGGCTCAAGTGATTATCCTGCTTCAGCCTCCCGAGTAGCTGGGACCACAGGCTATTTTTTTCTATTTGTTCTGTAGAGGCAGGGTTTTGCCATGTGGCCCAGGGTGGCCTCAAACTCCTAGGCTCAAGCAATCCTTCTGCCTCGGCCTCCCAAAGTGCCAGGATTACAGGCGTGGGCCACCGTGCCCTCCTCCCTATGTTGTTTTTATGTTTTTATGACATATGTCACTAACATTACTCACTTCATTGTTGGGTGTCTACCCTTGAGGGCTACCTCTTTTGTGGCCAGAAGAGCTGTTCTTAATCCTGGCTGCATATTAAGATCACCTCAAGAGCTTTATAGGAATCTTTTGAAATGCCCAGGCCCCACTCCCAGAGTGTCTGATTTCACTGGTTTGGGGTAGGGCCCAGGAGTCAATACTTTTTAAGAGCTCCCAGGCAATTTCAGAATGAAGTCAGAGGTGGTGCTCGCTGGGCTGGAGACCTAGTGCTCAGCCTGGGAGCATCACCTGGGAGCATGTCAGGAATGCAGAGTCTCAGGCCCCCCAATCAGAATTGGCATCCTGAAGAGATGCCTAGGTGGCTCTCTGGGCTAGAGCACTGCTGGACACTTGGTAGGTGTTCAATAAATATTTGAATGTTGAACAAAAGCAATGCAAACAAAAATTTGAATGTTAACACTTATTTAATAGAGCCATTTTCCTAAAAAACATGTTTTTAAATGTAGGAAAGCTTTAAAAAAATCTGCTTTATTTTTGCTCAATGATGTCTATGGAAAATTTATAATTAATTTTTCCCTAGAGATCTGAAGGCAAAACATGGGCCTCTAGGCCTTAGATGTTTATTTTCATGGCCTGTACAGAGCAAGCACTGAAAATGGGAAGCAGGTCTCTCCATGCCACATGTATGATGTAGGAATGAGTGGCAGTGACTCTGAGTCCCTAGAGAACTATCTGAGCTCAGGCTGCTTTAGCAAAATATCATAGACAGGATAGCTCAAACAGCAGACATTTCTTTCTCATGGTTGTGGAGGCTGGCAAATCCAAGATCAAGGTGACTGGTGAGGGCTCTCTACTTGGCTTGCAGATGGCCACCTTCTTGCTGTGTGCTCAGAGTGGCAGAGAGAGACAGCACACAGTCTCTCTTTCTCCTCTTATAAGGGGGCTCATTCCATCATGGGGGCCATACCCTCATGCACTTGTCTAACCTTAATTACCTCCCAAAAGCCCTGCCTCCAAATACCATCACATTGTGAGTTCAGGCTTCAAACTGTGAATTTGCAGGGGACTCAAACATTCAGTCTGTATAAGGAACCAGCGAGTTTCCACACATCTCCTGGGGTATTTGAAGACAGCTGAGAATGGAACCTGGTGCTTCTCAACCTTGGCCTGTAAATGAGAGACACCAGGGGGACTTGAAAAAGACAGATTCCTGGGCCCAGCCCTGACCTGTGAAACCAGAAGCAGTAACAGTTGCATTCTGTGACTGACTTTTGGAGTATCTGGGAACCATACTGTTTCTGTCCAGATCTTCCAGGATGGGCTCCTGCTTGTCATCGCCACCTTCACAGGCTTTCCCTGGTAACCCAGTTCAAAGTAGCCCTCTGAGTCCCTGGCTGTCATGGCATCTTGTTTTTAGCTCCTTGCAGGTGCTAATTCTTAATTTTATTTATTTATTTTTAAAAAATGAGACAGGGTCTCACTGTGTCACCCAGGCTGGAATGCAGTGGTATGATCTCAGCTTACTGCAGTCTCGACCTTCCAGGCTCAAGCCATCGCCCACCTCAGCCTCCTGAATAACTGGGACTATAGGCACATGCCACCATGCCTGGCTAATTTTTGTATTTTTAGTAGAGACAGGGTTTCACCATGTTACCCAGGCTGTTTTCAAACTCCTAAGCTCCAGCGCTCTGTCTGCCTTGGCCTCCCAAAGTGCTGGGATTACAGGCATGAGCCACCACACCTGGCCTGCAGGCACTAATTCTATCCATTACTGTATTATCTGCCTCCCCTAACTAGACTATAAAAGGTGAAAGCCTTGTTTGCATTTTAAAACCATAATACGTGCTTCACTTTTTCCATCTGTAAAATGAAGGTGATAATTACAGTTAACTCTTGAACAAACCTGCATGGGTCACTTCTATGTGGATTTTTTTCTGCCTCTGCCACTCCTGAAACAGAAAGACCAACCCCTTCTCTTTCTCCTCTCAATGTGAAGATCATGAGGATGAAGACCATTAGATGATCTGCTTCCACTTACTGAATAAATATATTTTCTCTTCCTTATGATTTTCTTAATAAAATTTTTCCTCTAGCTTACTCTATGTAAGAATACAGTGATACAGTGTATAATACATGTGACATATATAATATGTGTTAAACAGGCCAGGTGTGGTGGCTCACGCTTGTAATCCTAGCACTTTGAGAGGCTGAGGCAGGCAGATCACTTGAGGTCAGGAGTTCGAGAACAGCCTGGCCAACATGCTGAAACCCCCCTCTCTACTAAAAATACAAAAAAATTAGCCAGGCATCATGGGGCACACCTGTAATCCCAGCTACTCAGGAGGCTGAGGCAGGTGAATTACTTGAACCCAGGAAGTGGAGGTTGCAGTGAGCCGAGATCGCACCACTGCACTCCAGCCTGGGTGACAGAGTGAGACTCCATCTCAAAAAAACAAAAAACAAAAAACCAATATGTGTTAATCGACAGTTTATGTAATCAGTAAGGCTTCTGGTCAACAGTAGGGTATTGGTAGTGAAGTTATTGGGGAGTCAAAAGTTATATGCAGGCCAGGCACAGTGACTCATGCCTGTGATCCCAGCACTTTGGGAGGCTAAGGCAGGAGGATTGCTTCAGCCCAGAGCAACAGAGGGAGACCCTGTCTCTCAAATAATTAAAAAATTAGCTGGGCATTGTGGGGAGCACTTGAGATCCTGAGCAACAGAGTGAGATCCTGTCTAAAAGTTATACATATTAATAGATTTTCAGCTGAGTGGGGGATTGGTACCACTAATGCCTGATTTATTCAAGGGTCAAAGGTACCTCCACCTCAGAGGATTGTTGGAATGAAATGAATCTAAATACCCATCAGCACTTAAAACAGTGTTTGGCCTAGAATACATGCTCAGACACTAGCTTCTCTCTTTATTATCACTTTTTAATATGCTCAACCCAAAGATGATATAATGCCTGTGTGTGGTAAGTACAGAAAAACAATTTGTCAGTTGAATTTTCTGAGGGCAAGTTAACAAGTAAACATCTTGCCACACATTTATTCTTTTCTCTTCTGGAAACAAATTTGTTTAATTTAATTCATCTTTGAAGAATTTAGGATGCTGGAGGATGGCCTACCTTGTAGAACGTGCTTCTAAATAGAAGAACTTTCTTGTGTCTTGACCGGCATTATTTTACGTTTGCCTGCATAACTGGGATAGGCATGATTTCCCCCTCTCTAACACTGCCTTTATCCCCAACTTCTGGGTTTAAAAAATTTTTTTTGGACAGAGTCTCACCCCCTCACCCAGGTTAGAGTGCGCTGGTGCGATCTCGGCTCACTGCAACCTCTGCCTCCCAGGTTCAAGCGATTTTCCTGCCTCAGCCTCCCAAGTAGCTGGGATTACAGGCGCCCACCACCATACCTGGCTAATTTTTGTATTTTTAGTAGAGAGGGGGGTTTTGCCATGTTGGCCAGCCTGGTCTCGAACTCCTGGCCTCAAGCGATCCACCTGCCTCTGCCTCCCAAAGTGCTGGGATTACAGGCATGAGCCACTGTGCCCGGCCCCACTTCTGAGATTGAATGTTTTTTTTCATTCTCCACTATGTGACCCCTTTTGGTTTGGGTTTCCAATGTCCTGTGCCCCATGTTAAAAAAGAAGGACGGAGCGGGGCTTGATTTCCCCTTGTTGTTGTGGGAGGGATTTAAGTCCTCCTTTAGAATTTGCTTTATTGTGTGTGGTTTTCCTTCTTCCAAATACATCTTCTGAGATGCCTGAGCTGTGTGTCCACAGAAGAAAGGCTGGGAGAAGCGGGCTGATGCAGGCTGCTAAGGAGGGTCTGCAGAGAAAGGTGCTTCGTAGCATTTCAGGGGAGCAGAGGAGATGGATGCAAGCGCTAGATGGAGAATCTTCTGTGATCAGCTTGCTTCTGATCCACCCTTACTTTTTATTCTGTACCATGCCAGTGTAAGGGCGGTTGTGGGGTGCGGGGGGAGAGGGTGGTAGAGTCTGGTGGGGGTGGGACCCTGGGCACGGGAGCTGACACTGTGGCTGGGCTAGGAGGAGATGAGATCACCAAGCAGGTGCCCTCAGGGGTGGGCCTCTGTAGACTCCCCTGTGCGGGGAGCAGAGGTGGAGAAAGCACGAGAAATCAAGAGAAGGACAAGGGGCCTAGAGCTGCAAAAAGGACATCAGGACAAGTGGGTGAGGAGGTGCAATGGCACTGGTGGCAAGAAGTGTCTGGATTCTGAACAAACGTCTGTTGGAATGATGCCTCAGTGGACTTGGGAGACAAGTCACACATCCAAATTTTAAAGTCGTTATGTAAAAGCAAATTTTGAGTTAGAAAAGCAAGAATTGGATTTACTACTATGGGCAGGGAAATCACAGTTCTATTCCTTTCCCAGACAGCAGGGGCAGGATGTCCAGCCTGGAGAGGGCCTTTCCTGAGAAGGGCAGCCTCCGGAGGGCCAGGCAGCTTCTTGGGGAAACTGTCACCAACCATACTGGACAGCCATAGGCTGGCACAGCCACCAATGTGATTACAAACAAAGGCTGAGGAAGATGGCACCCGGCATCACTGTGCCCACTCATGCCTGTTTCAGGGGTGGAGTGGGATGGTTATAGTGGATCAGTGGATTGGGAGCTGAAGGTCTGCGTTCTAGTATCAGTTGTGCCCGGATCCTGCCTGCTGGCATTTAGTGGCTATTCTCCCTCCCTCTCTCTCTTTCTTAACAAAAGGAAGTTGCACTGGATAAGTACAAAGATTTTCAGCAGCCAGAAAAGGCTCCTTCCCGTCTGTCTGTCTGTCTTGAAGATGGTAGTTGGACATGGTGAAGGCAGACGTGAGGGTTTGAGTCCCAGCTCACCCCTTACTGGCCGTGTGACCCTGGACAAGTTACATAATCTTGCTAAGCATCAGGATTTCTCTTTTGTAAAATGAGGATAGCAGCTCTTCTTACCTGTCTCACAGTGCTGCTGTGTGACACCACATGCTGTATGGAAGTATTTGAACCATACGGAGCCCGTGGTAGCTGCCATCATCATCATCATCATCATCGTCATCATCATCATCATCATCGTCATCATCATCATCGTCATCGAGGTGAAGTCCAGGGTACCCTATGTTGGGCGCTATTCTAAGCACTTTTCAGGGGTTACTTGCTTCTCGTAACAACTCTGAAGGCAGGTGCTGTCCTCAGTTTGCCGATGAAGTGAAAGAAACCCAAACTAGTCCAAGTCACGCGGCCAACAAAAAGCAGAGTCAGTGGTTTATGTGTTTTTAATTAATCGCTTTATTTTTAGAGCAGTTGTGGGTTTACAGAAAAACTGAGCAGAAAATACAGAGTTCCTCTGTTACCCCTCCATCCTCACAGTTTCCCCTATTATTGATACTTTGTATTAGTGGGTGTATTTGTTACAATGATGAGTCAATATTGATACATTGTTATTAACTAATGTCCACCTTTTACATTAGGGCTTCCTCTTTGTGTGACACATGCCATGTTTTTTTGTTTTTGTTTTTGTTTTTGTTTTTGTTTTTGAGACAAAGTTTCACTCTTGTTGCCCAGGTTGGAGTGCAATGGCAGGATCTCAGCTCACTGCAACCTCTGCCTCCCGGGTTCAAGCAATTCTCCTCCCTCAGCCTCCCAAATAGCTGGGATTACAGGCATGTGCCACCACGCCCAGCTAATTTTTGTATTTTTTTTTTTTAAGTAGAGATGGGGTTTCACCATGTTAGTCAGGCTGGTCTCGAACTCCTGACCTCAGGTGATCCACCTGCCTTGGCCTCCCAAAGTGCTGGGATTACAGGCGTGAGCCACTGCGCCCAGCCCTCATGCCATGGGTTTTGATAGATGTGTGATGTCCCCTATCTACCATTATGGTATCGTACAGAATAGTTTCACCACCCCCAAAATCTTCTGTGGAGCAAGACTTTTAATTCAGGTGGTCTGAATTGTGATTCCTATATTCCTTACTCATAACTATTAATAAGTGGGGTAGAAAAAGACAAACTAGAGATGGGAACTTCTGTAGCAGATTCCAGCCTGTCACTGTCTGAGTGCCCATCTGAGAAACAGAGAATGCCCTGTCCACGGGAGCAGCAAACACCTATGTGGGCCGTGCTTCTTGGTAGGTTTCTAATACCAATTTGTTTGCAATCGGAAGTTTTTTTGGCCTCATCCAAATGATCGGGGCTATCTGCTTGCCATCTCTTCTCTTTGCTGGGCCATCTGCTACCCCCAACTTGTAGATTCTCCGCTCTTGATGCAGCGTGGCCTACCACAATCCAGAGAGCGCCCACTCGGCTTCCTCTTGAACCCTGAGGAACGTTCCTTCCTGAGTTAAAAATGGAAATTATAAAGCATTGCCATTTGTTGCCTTGGGTGAAAGAGATCCAGCCGTTGGACGTAACAGAAAAGTTGAATACTTGAAAATGGATTTTTAAAATTTAACATTGTCCATTATTGAAGAGGCCTTTAGAACATGGCATTTTACTAAAAAGGAATAAAAATAAAAGTGCCGGAATAATTTACTGCTCCTTCTGAAAAAGCAGTGGATGTCCTCCTTGGGAAAGGAACAGAGGTCACTGTGTGGCTGAGAAACAAAAGCACTCCCTGCCCAGGGGTCTTCCGGTTGGAGGTGGGAACGCATGGCCGCCTGGTTTCTGGACCTACAGCTTCCTTTGCTAATTCAGCACAGTGTGTGGCTCCAGCCCTGAGTCTCCTAGTAATTGCGCAAGAAATTAAATTCAATGTATACTTCTTAAATGTCCACACACCCTGTACTGTACTAGGCTCTGAAGCTGGAAGGCACCCAGTCCCTGCTGTCAGTGAGCATGGGGAAGACAGGCCAGGGCTCAAAAACCAGACCAAGCCACCTGCCGCAAATACCACGGTGGGGGATCTTCCTAGGGAGGGTGCCACAGAGGAAAGAGTGTGGTGGTTCAGGGCAAGAGTGCCCTCCCTGGAGCAGACCACGTCTGAGCCTGGCCTCAAAGGGTAGGTGGAGGCTGTGGAAGGGCATTTACGCAGACAGCAGTGTGCACCTGAAACTGCCCCCTGAGAAATCGCAGCATCACCTCCCGTACCTGGAGGAACGCTTGCTAGCAACCACTGTGTCTTGCTCATTGGCTGTCCAAGGGGAAAGAGAAAATAAACACCTCCTAAGATTACCAGGTACAATAGTAAGTAATTAGGCTTTGGGGATTTATCTAGGAGCCAGTGCTCAACTAGGGCTAGGGCTGGATCAGATTACTTGGATTTTTTTTTTTAAAAACATGGGGAGGGGGTGGCAGTGATGCCTGGGAGATGCCAGCTACCTGTGCTGGCCCAGGGGGAAGTTGGCAAACTGGTTCTCAGTAATCCACAGTTGGGGCGGTCTCCCCAATTAGCAGGCTGTGCTTGGCTCAGTATTAGCTCATGGCAGATTGCGATGATAAGAATGTAGGTATTTGCCATTCTTTCCCTTCTTGCCTTTGAGCTCCTTGAGGGCAAGGACTATGTCCTCTTTGTCCTTGGCTCTAGAGGTGAGACCAGAGTCAGGCATAGACTCAGCTTACAGCGAATGGTGACTGGATGGACAGAGTCCCTCATCGTACCCATTGAGAAGCTGTGCTTCCACAAAAGTGACACCTCTCTCCCTGGCTGACCCCTCTAGCCTGTCGGTGCCTTGGGGAAGATCAGGACACCCAGAAGGAGTTAAGTGTTAGAGCTCAAAGAACATGGATCCTGGAGCCAAACTATCTGGTTTCCAATCCTGCTCCTGCCCTTGCTGTATTTCTGTGGCCTTGAACTAGTGATCTTGCCTTTTAACCCAAGGAAAGGGGCAGGGTGTGTTTCATTCACTGATGTATCTGCCTGCCACTCAATAAGAGTGTGTGTGCATGGGAGTGCTTGTACACACATATGTGCTCCTGGAAGTCAGACAGCACCATTATCTCAGGGTTCTGAGCGCTGACTTGTGTTAATCTCCGTAAGGTGCTTACAGGAGTGCCTGGCATGAGAGTAAGCACTATACAAGTTTTTTTTTGCAGCTGCAATTACCTCTTAAAGAGAACTTAAACTGAAGTATAACTTCACAGTACAAATTTTCGGAGCTGCCCTCTGATAAAGGCTGGAGGCTGAATTTTATAAGTGCAGCACCTGCTTCATTTTGAGTTAAAGTTCAAAATGAATATCAGAGCTTCCATTTGCTTGTTATTAATTCTTTGAGGACAAGAATCTGTTGACCCTTCACATGGCTGACACCAAGAGATGACCCAGATCACATGGGGCACAGAGGTACTCACTGTGATTGTTCCAGATAAAGTCCTTTCTGTTAGTGATGTGGGACCTGATGAATGAGAGCTGGAATTTGGAGAGCTTGCATTCTGGCCCTGACACAACCTGATTTTGTCCAAGTTATTCTGCCTATCTGAGCCTTAATTCCTGTCTGTGAAATGGGTGTAGTGATGATGTGGTTTGCCCTACAGGCTTTTAAGGATTAAGTGCAAAGTGCTGTGCAAATATGATTACTACTGTTTGCCTGACTGTAATAGATGCTTAACCCTTTGAAGACATCTCACCTTTGTGAAATAGAAGACATCAGTTATTTGGGGCTTTTCAGAATTGATCTATAAAATCATGAACAGGATTTGGTGAAAGCATGGTGCTTGGCTAATGTGGTTGATGCAGTGCCTGCCTAGAATAGAAAGAGAAAGACCATTCACACCACCCCGCCAACATACCAACTTGTATGACCCCGCTGTTGGTTTATCTCATTTCACACTACAAATGTCTGACTTTGGATTCCATTGTACATGCCAAGTTCAGGGATGGCTGGGCAGATCGCACGGCAGCTTGTTCAGCTCTGTACCTAAGATATCTGTTTACTAAAATAAATGCATTTATGAAAAAAATCACCCTACTTAGGAGGCCTATTGGGGGCAGTCTCCCTGACCTCAGGTGGAAAGCCATCCTTGGGTTTAGCTCATGGCAGATTGCAGTGGTAAGAATGCAGGTATTTGCCATTCTTTCCCTTCTTGCTTTTGAGCTCCTTGAGGGCAGGGACTATGTCCTCTTTGTCGTTGGCTTGGAAGTGAGACAGGAGTCGGACATAGACTCTGCTTATAGCGAATGATGACTGGATGGACAGAGTCCCTCATTGCACCCCTCAGGGAGCTGTGCCCCCACAAAAGTGGCTACTCTCTCCCTGGCTGGCCCCTCTAGCCTGTCGGTGCCTTGGGGAAGATCAGGACACCCGGAAGGAGTTAAGTGTTAGAGCTCAAAGATCGAGGTGCTGGATGCATGTTGATGGAGCAACCCTATCTGGTGGTCCCGTCCTAGATGCGGACCCGGCCTCCGGGGAGCTTCCATTTGAGTTGACAGGATAGGAATCCACAACACTAACCTGTAAGACGAGGGGGAGTACACAGGGCTGCGATCCTGGTGGTAAGTAGAGGAGGGTTGAGTTAAGTCCCCGATGTCAAAATCAAAGAGGGCGTCCCAGCAAAGATGGCATTGAAGATGGGAAAGTGTGGCTGCTGTAAGCTAACAATGGAGTAGACACTTGGGTAGCAGTGTCCTAAGTGCTTTGCACACATCACTTCCTTGATCTTTGTGACAGTCCTGAGGGTAGATGGTGGTGGTCTGTTATTATCATCCCCATTATACGAAAGATGTGAGTAAGGCACAGAGAGGTTCAATAACTTGCTCAAGGTCTCCCAGCTCGGAATTGGCAGTGTGGGGATCTGAACTTGGGCAGCCTGGCTCCGGAGGCTTTGCCGGGGTAGGCGGAGGGTCCCCCTGGCTGAGGGAACGGTGGGCGCGGGTGGGTATGGGTGGCGAGTCATCCTGTAATGTACGTTGGAACCAAACAGTCTTAAACACCCAAAGACCTTTGAGCTCTTTTGCAGGCTTTGGGAGCCAGGGACGGTTTCTGAGCAATTCTGGGTTTTAGGAGGTTAGATCTGCTGGCAACGTGGAGAGTAACTGAAATTGAAATAATATGTGAAAGTCCTTAGCATTATGCTTAATTAGCTTTTTAGGGCAAAAGAGAATGAAGATAGGGAGAATAATGAGAAGTTATTGCAAAGAGTCTTAGGCAGAAGTGATTGTCTTACTTGGGGTGTCAAGGAATAGGTTGAGAGAGGCAGGATCTGTAGGTCTTAGCAGATGCTAGAGGTGCAAGATGGCAGGTGGGGGTCATCAACCCTGTTTGCAGATGCAGATAAATGGCATCCCCATTTTCCAAGATGGGAGCATGAAAAGCACTTTTCCTTCCTTTCATTTAGACCCCTCTACAGGATACTAGTTCAAGAAGAGCCATGTAGTGTAAATACAGTGGCTGGCTTATATTGTATATTCTGTGTTCCAAAGTATGCACCCAGCAGGCACTTACTGGGTACCCGTGGGTGGGGTACTAATGAGGCTGGGACAAAGGAGAGAAATCCCAGTCCTCAGTGAGCCCACAGGTTAGAGAATGAGGTAAACTCGTAATCACTGCATGTGACCTGGGGTGACACACTCACATGCCCGGCATGGCTGGAAGCCTTCACAGAGCATGCAGCATTTGAGCTGTGCTTTGACGCAAGAGGGTATTTGCTGGACAGATGGGGAGGGTGGGACGTTGCTGGCAGTGGACTTGGTGATTGCAGTAATAGGGTGGTGAGAGAGAACTTGACCAAATCAGGGGCAAGGGAGATGTGTTCAGCTGGCCTTGCAGGGTTCAGGTCCTTGGGTGTGGTGGCTTCCGAGGCTGCATCATGCCAAACCTGCAGGGGGCTGGGCTTTCCTGTGTCTCACGTGAGGATTTAAGAGTGGGAAAGATTCCTTTCCCCACCCTAGGAACTGCTTACCTTTTCACCTCTGGGCATCTGGAGCCAAGGGATGGCAAGAGTGTGATATTCACCATCAGAAGCACAACCGAGAGGGGGCACGGATCCCCCTAATTCTGCGCTCCCTCCACACATGGCCTCACATGTCAGGACACCCAGTTTATTACATTTTTTAGATCAGTAGGGCTTAATCCCAGCAGGATTTTACCGAGGCCCCAGAGCAGATGCATTTGTTCTAAGCAACATTGGAGGCATGTAAACAAAATAATAGGGGAGAGCTGATAAAATGTAGGGCACTGCATGTAACATGCAAAAGGGAAGAGTCGGGGCCTTTCTCAGGTGGACAACCAGTTCTTAGAGTCATCCTGGTTTCCTTTTCTGTCTCTCTGCGCCTCCTCAGATGAGTATGCAGGGAGGCCGGCTAGTGCTCATCCCGAAAGAGGATGCATCACACCACACAAGCAGCAGGCAAAGTGGCAGCGGCCCTGCCTTCTTTGGTGGCCTGGTGGCCTTTGTGTCTTGCTTCATGTGTAGATGAACACCTGGGAGGGAGGGGCCACTGGCGCCTTCTGTGAAATGCCCTCTGGTTGCTGAATAAGCTGTCCTCATGAAGGTTGCTGACCTTGCCTGACCCTGGGGACGTGAACAATACTCTGAGAGGATGCTCAGGGAAGGCAGGACATGCTTATTGGCCAGTGGTGATTGAGAACAGGACATGAGGGTCACTGCCCCGAAAGGCCTTCAGCCTGGAGAAGCCCGGTGCCCAGAAAGAGGTGGAAACTCCCCAGAGACCTGCAGGAGTGTCGATAAAGGCGATTAATGGAGTAGATAGAATGACTTATAAACAAAGATCGGAGCAGCTAAGTGGTTCTGGCTTATTAGCTAAGCATCGGCAAAGAGAGCTGTGTGAACAAGAGCACTTGAGATGGTGTTGCAGCGACTCACCTGGCTGCAGGGCCTCCACCTGGGGCATTGTCAGACCTGGGAGAAGAACCGTCGACGGGCAGCTTGCCTCCCCTAAAGTGCTTCTTAAAGGAAACCTTTGCCTCAAACAGTCTCCCCAGGAAAATGGGGGGAAATTCCATCCTCTGGGATGTTTCAGTTAGATGGGGCCACGTGCTGGAGGGTTTATTAGAGATGATTCCGTGCTGGCAGCAGAACAGAATAGCTGTGTGGTTGCATCTTTTCGTTCTCTAATTTCTGAGTGATTCTTCTCTGGGCCTCAGAGGTGGCAAGCCCTTGAAAGAATTGCTTTGAAATCCCTTTGATCATTTAAACCTTGCTTGTTTTTTCCTTAGCCAGCTAAGATTCCGATATAGCCGTGTGTGAAAAGTGACTCAGTGACTTGTGGGCTTTGGGTGACCCATATGTGTAGGAGGAAGAAAGGAAAGGTGGGGAAGTTGGTACCTAATTTGCAGACCACACACACTGGGAGGATGTTGCTGCCTCTTCCACAGTCCCCGAGCCCCAAGCTCATCACCAATACCGAGAATCACACAATGAAGTCAGAGGGGTCTCAGAAGGGATCCAAGAGATCACGGAGGAGATCCTGAAGGAAACCAGTGTGTATTGTAGCTCAGAGCCGTGCCTCCCCATCTTTTATGTGCACATGGTCACCTGGGGACCTAGTTAAAATGCAGATACAGGAGGTCTGGGGTGGGGCTGTGGGGGGGGGGTCTCCATTTCTGACATGCTCCCAGATTCTTCTTTTTTTCCCCATTTATTTATTTATTTATTTATTTATTTATTTATTTTGAGATGGACTTTTGCTCTTGTCGCCCAGGCTGGAGTGCAATGGCGCGATCCCAGCTCACTGCAACCTCTGCCTCCCGGGTTCAAGTGATTCTCCTGCCTCAGCCTCCCGAGTAGCTGGGATTACAGGCATGCGCCACCACGCCCGGCTAATTTTGTATTTTTAGTAGAGATGGAGTTTTGCCATGTTGGCCAGGCTGGTCTCGAACTCCCGACCTCAGGTGATCCACCCGCCTCGGCCTCCCAAGTGCTGAGATTACAGGCGTGCACCACCGCATGCCCTGCCCGGAGGTAATGATTAAACAACAGCAAGGATAACAATTTTGATTCTTGATCACATCCCCCATTTGAAGAATTTCCATGGCTTTTTAGTGCCCTTGGACTCCACCTGCTATGCAGGCAGAGGATAAAGGCTGCTCCTCCCACTTTTTGGATCTGGCTCCTCTGTGCCCATCTTCTTGGAAACATTCCCTTGAACTGGGTGTAAAAATCTGTCATAAAGAGTGGGCCATGAACAAGGGTGTTTTCCAGTCTGGATCTGGGTGAGTCAGTTCAGGGTCCCACAAGGGCGAATGGGCCTCTGGCCTGTGTAGAGCTGTAGGCATTGGAGATGGATCTCTGCAAGCTGTTGCCCCATCACACACATCCCTGCGCAGCTTGCACCTTTGGCTGTGCAGCCGCCTGTCCGAGACAGCTGCCTGGGAACTCTGCAGCTGCCCCTTCCACTTCTTCCCTGTTTTTATATATGACAATGTCAATATTAGCAACAAGTGACAGATGCAACCCTGAAATGACATAGCAGACCCAATTCCCCATTGTTTGCTTGATAGGGTTTTGCTGCAGATCCTCTGTTCATTCGCCTCCTTTTCCTCTTCTGTAATCATATCCTAAGAGTTGCCTTTTGGATGTAACCTGTGTTGTAAAATTATAGTACCCCGATGTCCCTTTCAGGAGTAGCTGGCAGACAAAGGAAGAAGCAGTTTGCAGACGTACCAGAGATTCCCCATCACCCTCCACATGACTCAGTCATGGTTACTTTTGAGTTTAGCCAATCCTTAAAGCCAGATTTTTCCAGCCAGCTTCTCTCTGCCTCCCAGACCGATTGGGTTCTCCATTTGTTCCTCTTCTGCTGCCTCTGGGGTTGAAGTCTGCTCAGACAAGCTGCTCACTCATTAATTACTGTTTTCTTTCTTTCTTTCTTTCTTTCTTTCTTTCTTTCTTTCTTTCTTTCTTTCTTTCTTTCTCTCTTTCCTTCTTTCCTTCCTTCCTTCCTTCCTTCCTTCCTTCCTTCCTTCCTTCCTTCCTTTCTTTCTTTCTTTTTTTGAGACAGAGTCTCACTCTGTCACCCAGACTGGAGTGCAGTGGCACGATCTTGGCTCACTGCATCCTCCGCCTCCCAGGTTCAAGGGATTCTCCTGTCTCAGTCTCCTGAGTAGCTGGGACTACAGGTGTGCACCACTACACCCAGCTAATTTTTGTATTTTTAGTGCAGGTGAGGTTTCACCATGTTGGCCAGGCTGGTCTTGAACTCCTGACTTCAAATGATCCACCTGCTTTGGCCTCCCAAAGTGCTGGTATTACAGGTGTGAGCCACCACGCCCAACCAAGGCAGGACTTTTTTGTGATGGCTTATGTTATTGTTTGCATTTACTTACTTCCAGATCTTCCTGTATAGATGGGGATGTGACTTGCATTATAGGATATTCAATCCATTGACTTCAGACATGGACATGTGACTTGCTTTGGCCAATGGATGTGAGCAGACACCACTTACGTGATGTCTGAGCAGAAGCTTTAAAAGCTGTGTGTTTCTGCCAGCTCTTGCCGTTTTCCTTTTCCCATGAGGATGGTGTGTTCTAGACGGCACTTCTCCTTCTGCCTGGATTCTAGAATGGAAGACAAGAGAAGCCGTCCCTTCATTGCCAACTAGTGATGCAAATGAGAAACAATGTGTGTTATACGCCACTGATATTTGGGGGATTGTTTGTTATGCAACATAACCTAGTGAAAGCTGACTGATACAGTTTCTCAGTAGTGGATTAATGTGTAGTGTTAAGTGAGGGGGACATTTAAAAGGGAGTTCATCTTGAATCAGATGATAGCTAGGGAGTTTGCATTTTTTATCGAGGCAGTTGGAGTTGGGGAGAGTTTCTGAGCCAAGGATCGATATGCTGAGGAGTGTGCTTTGGGAATATGACTCCAATCTTAGGACCGAGAATGGAACTAGTCCTGGGGAGGTGTTTGAGGCTGTTTAGGATGTCCAGGGATGAGGGAGGAGGGCTGAGACAGTGAAAGTGGAGAGAGGATTTCATTTCAGAGACTGGGTTTTGATCAGATTTGTGAAGACATGACAACTGCCTGAAGATGAGTGAGGGAGAGGGGCCACTTTCTTTCCAGGGAGGGAGCTTTGTTCTGTTGGGCCCTCCACAAACAGGGAGGGCGGGATGGAGCCAGTGTGCTCCATCTAGCCAGCTTGCCAAGTGTCTAAGCACTACCTGTTTCCAAAATGCTGCATTTTACTGTGTAAATGTAAGATGTCTGGAGAGACACGCCAGGTTTGGGTAGACTTCAGATTCTCTCTCTGCTTTGAAGCCTCCTGAAATTCTGCCACTGTACAAATTGTTGAAGTGTGAAGGTATCAGGGGCCTGGCTGAGGGGCAGATAGAGTGCAGGGTGGGCCCAATTAGGGTGCTTTGTGCCCTAATGCAAAATTCAGGACAACCCCCGAGTTGCAGGATCTTTAGTTGGGTGAGGGCTACATTTGGCCTGCCTTGCACATCAACCAGTGGAGTGGCATCCACCATTCATTCATCATTCATTCAACAAAGTGGTTAAGAGTGTAAGCTCTGAAGTTGGACTGTGGAGCCTGAATCCTGGCTTTGCTGCTTACTGGCAGCAACCTGGAGCAAGTTACTTATGAACCCTTCTGCGCCTCTGTTTCACTGTCTGTAGCATGGTGATGACAGCACTGAGGTGGGTTGTCTTAGGGTTAAATGCATTAACAAAAGCATAGCACTTACAGGCCAGGTGTAGTGGCTCATGCCTGTAATCCCAGCACTTTGGGAGGCCAAGGCGGGCGGATCACTTGAGGTCAGGAGTTCGAGACCAGCCTGGTCAATATGGTGAAACTATATGTCTACTAAAAATACAAAAAATTAGCCAGGCATGGTGGCATGTACCTTTTATCCCAGCTACTCAAGAGGCTGAGGCAGGAGAATCACTTGAACCTGGGAGGCAGAGGTTGCAGTGAGCCGAGATGGTGCCACTGCACTGCGGCCTGGGTGACAGAGCAAGCCTCCATCTAGAAAAAAAAAAAAGTTGCATAGCATTTACAGCAGGATTTGCTGAGAATGAGGGCTGGTGTTCTGAGAGGGTGAAAGGGGGATGTTCATAGGGCACCCACCCCCTGTATGCCAGGCACTGGGAGACAGCAGTGAACAGAAGGGCCCTGCCCTGGTGGAGCTTACGGTTTAGTGGAGCAGACAGAAAGTAAATTTGTAAATGAGCACATGTATAATGTCAGGTGATAAGTATTGTGAGGAAAATAAATAGTGATCAGGAGATAGTGACTGGGATGGGCTTGGGGACCTAAAATCAGGTGTTTGGGGAGGTCTCTGAGTGGACAGGACCACTCAGGGGAAAGGTAAGGGAAAGGGGATGTGGAAGGAGCATTTCCAGCTAAGGGGGCAGGAAGCGCCGGGGCCCTGAGGAGGGCACGTGTTTGTCTGTCCTGTGAACAGCAAGGAGGCTGGTGTGACTGATACAGACTGAACTCATTGAAACATTTCCTTTTCTTTTTAAGGAAATTGACCCACTCTGCTTTCATGACAAGTTCAGATTTGATAGCAGATGCAGTGCTATAGGAAGCAGTGCAGGAATATGAAAGCCTGTCACTCTCAGACTCTGCATTGTTTTGGAGCCTCAGTTTTTCCGTCTGTAAACTGGAAGTGCTCTTCCCTACCTCTCAGGATGGCCATGGAGAAGGCATGAGGTCACCTGTCCTCAGTCTCTTACGCAGGAGGCATTCAGTAACCACTAATTACCATAAGTCTTGGGAGAGAGTGACCTGAGGTCAAGGATGGAAGCATCTCTCCAATATAACACGTTGGGATGAGATCTGAGGTCATAAGCGAGGGATAGATCATTGTTGTAACCATCTACTTAAACAAATTAAAAAGGCCTTATGTTCAAGCTGTTATTTATATTGCAGTAATAGCTGCTTGCAGTGGTAGTTGTACTTGTGAAAAGGGAAAATGATGATGATGTCTGCAAATCAGTGTTTTGAACTAGGGCTGCGGTTCTCAACTTTGGCTGCTCATTAGGGTGACCTGGGCAACTTTTAAAAATGCTGATACTGAGGCTGTGACCCAGACAGATTAAATTGTAATCTGTGGGTGGACCTGGTCTGCAGTGGTTTTTACATTTCCCCCGGTGATCAAATGTGTGGCCATGCTTAAAAAGCACTGAGCTGGGTTGGGTGGGGATGTGGCCTCTCTTGCTCTCAAAGATTCTGTGTATGCCAGGGTCCATGATCACTACCCCTGTGCTATGGGGCTGGGGTAAGAATGACCCCAAGAGTCAGGGTTCGGCTGAGCTACCTCCTTTATAGCCCCCACTTCTAGTATGGCTCATTTATGCCACCAAACATAACTTTATCTTTAACCTTCTAAAAAAGTGTCATAAAACATAGGAATGCTTTACAATCGACTCTATATTCTTATTTTAAAAGTAGAGGCCCTTCAGCGGGTTCTGATGTCAATCTCCTATTTCTTCCTCCTGGGGAGTTAGTGATACGCCTTAGCCAGTGTGGTCAAAGGAATTGGTGTAATACAATCTTGATCCCATTCAGTGTCCCACATTGGCTTATTTCACTTTGTACTAGGATGTGCTGAACTTTTCAAGGAGCCAAAGGCATTAGGAGACTGGTGTGTCCATTCGTGATATAAGACCTTACTAATGACCAAGGGCAGAGTCGAAGACACTGAAGATTCAAGGCAAAATAACAGTGAGGAAGGGATGATGCATTTTATTAGGTAGTGAGATTCTCATTTTCACATTGTTTCTCTTATTGCTTTGGCTGCCAGGAAGCTTAAACGTGTTTTATGCTCAATTGCTTTAGATTCCCTTAAAATGTTTGCAAAATCCATTCCCATCTTACTGTTACTTCCTAACATTGTTACTTGGCTTTCAACCTTTTACTCTGATCTCAAGGCTTTTTGGAAGTATTTGGGTTATAAAAATACTTTCAAGGCCGGGTGAGGTGGCTCACGCCTGTAATCCCAGCACTTTGGGAGGGCGAGGTGGGTGAATCACGAGGTCAGGAGTTCAAGCCCAGCCTGGCCAAGATGGTGAAACTCCGTCTCTCCTAAAAATACAAAAATTAGCCAGGCTTGGTGGTGGGCATCTGTAATCCCAGCTACTCAGGAGGCTGAGGCAGAGAATTGCTTGAACCCTGGAAGGAGAGGTTGCAGTGAGCCAAGATCATGCCACTGCACTCCAGCCTGGGTGACAGAGCGAGACTCCATCTAAAAAAACAAAAAACAAAAACAAACAAACAAAAAACTTTTAAAGAAAATACTTGTGCCTTGTGCCTAGATATTTGATTGGAAAAAGGTTGTTCTCATCATATTCAAAAGAACAGTTGAGATGTTAGAGCTTCTTTGGCAACCCTGACATCCCCACAGATGATGACCCAGGCCCAGGGAGAAGAAGGACGTTCTCAGGAGGTGAGAGAGTTACTAAGGTGCTCCATTTACTGAGTGTGTGAACTCAGCAGGTTTTAACTTCCTTAAATCTCATTTCCCTGTTTATGAGATGGTGATGATCTGAGCTTTGCAGGTTCATTGTGTGGATTGGATGAGCGAAGGCATCTAAAGCACTTGGCATGGTGCCTGGGACTTAAACATTGACACAGTAGTATTTTTATCATGACAGTTGTTCTAAGTCAGAGGTCAACAAACTCTTTGTGTAAAGAGCCAGATAGTAAACATTTTAGGCTTTGCGGATCATACAGTTTCTATAGCAACTGCTCCACTCTGCCGATGCAGGGTGACTCCGACAATGAATGTGTTGCGATAAAACTTTGTCAACCCTGGGCCATAGTCTGCTGATCCTGTTCTAGGTCACAAAGTTGGTTGGTGGTTTCCTGATTCCCAGTCCCTGGGGCCCCTTCCACTGAATCCACACTGCCCACCATCAGAAATGGGGACACACAGTAATTACTCTTACTCTGTCCATTGATTCATTTTCTGGGATAATTTTTTTTTTCTAAGATTCATACTAAGACAAGATTGCCACTTGAGAAATCTGAAACAGAATCAGTATGCTCATGGTTTTTCTCTGTGCCTAATCTTCTGATGTGCATGGGGAAAATCCCTTTGAAGCAAAGCGTTCTAAGGAGTCCCCTTCGGTGAAGGTTTTTTGGAGCCTATGGCCACCAAGGGGTAGAGCCAGGCTCTCATACATGTTGGAGCATTGATTACTCAGAATGTTAACAGGAGAGAAAGCCTAAACTCAGGAGGGAAACTCCAATTTGCCTAAGGTTTAACCACTGACCATGGCTTGTAATCTGGAGTTACCAGCTCGCAGGGAGGCACCAAGTCACGCTGCAGGCTCTGGGAATCTCATAAGATAAACCTTCACAAACAAAAAGGGGAAAATGGGATAACCCCCCTCTTCCAGGTAAAAAAAAAAAGGCCTGTGTAAGGATTGCTGTTGAATTTCTCCCCAGATTTCCAATGTCTTCAATAATAAAAGTGACTGGAAGATTTTTTTTTTTTTTTGATACAGTCTTGCTCTGTCGCCAAGGCTGGAGTGCAGTGGCGCGATCTCGGCTCACTGCAAACTCCACCTCTTGAGTTCAAGCAATTACCCTGCCTCAGCCTCCTGAGTAGCTGGGATTACAGGTGCACACCACCACACCCGGGTAATTTTTGTATTTTCAATAGAGACAGGGTTTCGCCATGTTCACCAGGCTGGTCTCAAATTCCTGAGCTCAAGTGATCCGCCCGCCTTGGCCTCCCAAAGTGCTGGGATTACAGGCGTGAGCCACCGTGCCCAGCCTAGAAGATGTTTCTTAAGTGTTAGGACATTTCCGTTTTTAGACTACAGTTTTTGAGATGATTGTAGATTGGCATGAAGTTGTCAGAAATAACACAGACAGATTTTATATGCCCTTCACCTTGTTTTCTTTCCCCAGTCATAATATTTGAGAAACTATAGTGCAATATCACAACAAGGATACTGACATTGATACAGTCAAGATATACAAGTTTCCCAACACCTCAAGGACCCCTCACGTTGCTGTAGGCATTTTAAAATATAAGCTCTTTATAATATAAGCTCTGAATTTTAGGGGATTCCAATAGGAGGGCATGCCAGCAGTGTGGTTCAGTTGTTTTAATGACTTGCTTTTTCAAATCCTGTCTGTGGCTGAGAGTGTTGTTTCCAATAGCAGATGTCTCCTTTTTGAAGTATGGATAAAGGAGCTTTGTGGTTGTTTGTTTTCCTAAGAGGCCATTCCTATGGGTTTGGGGATGTGCCGCCTCACTGGCATTGTGGGGCAGACACTCACCGCCTACCTGGCAGATATTTCACCAGAAGGAATCATTTGGGGCTGACCATGGAAGTCTTGTTACTTTGGGCAAACTTGCCAGAGCCCAGAAGAAGGCACTTGTGCTCAATAACTACAGGGTTATGAATGTGTTGAGCCCTGTTGAAGTCTCTCTGTCTAGAAAGACAATGCAGAGTACTTCTTGTTGCAAACTGACCTATGCCAATTGGGTCATGTGCGGTTAAGTTCTTTTTTTGGGAGCTGCTAAGCACGGTGGGTTAGAGCCAGCTGCCCCTCAGCAACCTTGCCACCAGGTTATAAAGAAAGTAAGTAGCCAGTCAAATCCTATACAGATGTACAACCCTCAGTAAGATAGATGATAACCTAACACTCTGTCCTTTCAGGTATTTCTGACTACATTTGCAGGAAAGAGTGACTCCAGGTAGAAGCAATAATATTCAAGTGTCAGGATTCAGTTAAACTTATAGTCAAGATCAAGCAAACAGGACCCTCCCAAATTGTTGGCCGGACTGAGGACCATTTGGGATCAGGCCTTGGGTACCATCCCTAAGGACCCCAGGATACAGGATCCCCTCCCTAATCATCTGAGGGTGGGGATGATCTCCAAACTCTCTCAGTCTATCCACACATCTCAAACGCCATTGATTTAATCCATGAGAGTCCATTTCTAACATCCAGCATGTTAATGACCAAGTCACTAAGTTACCAGTAAACTCAATTCATTATGGAGATTAGCAGAGTACCTGATGTTAATGGGAAATAGATATAGCTGCAGGACTTTGGAGCTTGGCCAGATATGCTCACTTGCCACCTGCAATGGACTGAATGCTTGTGTTCCCCCAAAATTCATATGTTGAAATCCTAAGCCCCTATTTGATGGTGTTAGGAGGCAGGAGGTGATTGGGTCATGAAAGTGGGAGACCTCATGAATGGGATTAGTGCCCTTATTAAAAGAGACCCAGGAGCTAGCTTCCTCTCTTTCTGCCTTGTGAGGATACAGTAAGAAGTTAGCAATCTGCAACCTGGAAGAGAGGGTCCTTACCAGAACCCAACTATATTGGCAAGTTGACCTTGGACTTCTAAGCCTCCAGAATTGTGGAAAATAAATTTCTGTTGTTCATAAGCCACTCAATCTATGGTACTTTGTTACAGCAGCCCAAACTAAGACATAACCCTTGGGTACAGATTCCTAATTAGGGCACCCAGTGGTCACTTGGGCTTAGCTGAAATCTCCCTCTCTCTCTCTTTCACACACACACATACACGCACACACACACACACACACACAAAACACCCAATACTGCCTATGCCGAAAACTCAATAAATTATAGGCGTCCTAAAGGTGGTTAGCAGGACAGGCTGGGCTTCAGAATGCCATCTCTAACACAAGCTATGGGACCCTGGGATTGTTTTTTTAAAACTGCTATTTTCACATCCATAAAAAACCCTCAAGGCTTGTGAATAGAACTCAACAAAAATTAGCAGCTATTGTTACATGAAAAAAAATATTTCTAAACTTTCTTCTGCCTCCACTAAATGAGCAAGACACATGCCTATTAGAGCTATTCTTAAGTGTTTCTTCTCTTACTTGAAAGGTGCAGGCAGGCCGGGGGCTGTGGCTCATGCATGTAATCCCAGAACTTCGGGAGGCCGAGGCGGGTGGATCACTTGAAGCCAGGAGTTTGAGACCAGCCTGGCCGACATGGTGAAACCCCATCTCTACTAAAAATACTGAAAAAAAAAATTACCCAGGTGTGATGGCGCCCACCTGTAATTCCAGCTACTCAGGAGGCTGAGGCATGAGAATTGCTTTAACCCAGGAAGCAGAGGTTGCAGTGAGCCGAGACTGCACCACTGTACTCCAGCCTGGGTGACAGGGTGAGATCTTGTCTAAAAAAGAAAGAAAAAAGGAAAGAAGGAAGGAAGGAAAGGAAGGAAGGAAAGGAAGGAAAGGAAAGGAAAGGAAAGGAAAAGAAAGGAAGGAGAAAGAGTAAGAGAGAAAGAAAGGTAGGTGAAGGCTTAGTTTTAGTGAGGGAGATGGGAGTAATAATGGGAGCTGTTGGTAGTAAACAGAAATGAGGAAGGGAACTCCCATTTGAGCCCCTGCTGTTCCATCAATACTGTTGTAGGTGGCAATGAAAAAGGGTCCTGACCACTAGGGAAAAGTAGGGGGTTTGCCAGGGAAGAGAGACCTTGAACAAGGAGCTATGAATGAGAGGCACCGTGAACAGGTGTGGGAGGCAATCAGCATAGAATGGAGGTTTGACCTAGTGAGAGAGAGCCACCCCAAAGGAAGGATGTTTAACTTGAGATACATTAGACAAGTAGGAGCTACCTAAGCAGAGAGAGAGATGGATGAGGGGACTGGCAGGTGCAAAGGCCCTGAGGCAGGGAAGGTTATGAATATGGTATAGCCGTACAGGTGAATTTAGAATGTTTGGACTAAAATGACAGGAGGAATGAGCTGGGAGATGAGGCCATAAGGTTGTAGGAGCTGTGCTGAGAAGGACCTTACAGGCAAAGGGTTGGATATGAGCTTCGATAGTGAGCACTCCCCTTCTGTGGTTTTGCATTGCCATTAGATTAGGTTCTGTTTTCAGACTATGACTGTTAGATGTGTGACATCCTCCTCATTTTGCTGCTGAGGAGTCAAAGCCCAGGGCCCCGAAATACATCGGAAGCCAGAGGTGGCCCCCAGACTCATTTATTCTCTGGCCCTTGTTTCTCCATCTGCCAAAAGTGAGGGTGGTGGCTGATGTCGGAGGTTTGGTCCAGCTTAAATTAGAGCAAGTTAGAGTTGCAGGGGTACTTATATCGGGGTGAGAGCAGGGCGCCCCCTTGAGGACATTCAGGAAAGGAATTGAGGTTGTTTCTGAGTTAATCAAACAGGAAATGCCATCATCCATCTATGGAATAAGTCCAGTTGTCTGAGAATGTCATTCTAGTTGGGAACCCCCAACATTCTGCTTTTCAGAAGATGCCCCTGGAGAGTAACTGTGCAGTTCAGTACGGGGCATTTAAAAACTTAAAGTCTTTGAATAGATAATGTTTTCATATGATTCAAAATTCAAAAAGCACTGGAGATGATAAAATAAAACCTCTGTCTCCTATCTCTGTCCCACAGCTGCCCAAACCCCCTCCTCAAAGGCAACCCTTTAGCAGTTTGTGCATGCATAGAATATGGGCCTATGTGATGGCTCAAATATTTCAAGCTGTCATCAGGAGCATGACATACTCTTTGATCCGTACCTATCTTTGCTCAATATTGAAGGCTAACCCAAGTCATTAATAATTAAATGTTTCTTTTCCCATCCTTTAATCATCTACATAGTATTCTATTGTGCGGATGTGCTATGATCTATTTAACTCATTCCCTAATGATGTATATGCATTTAGTTTATTGTTGTAGCGCAAGAGGGCAAAAAGCATTGTTGCCATGAGTGGCTTAGAAGTAAATTGCTGGGTCAGAGGGTGGGTGAATTTGTCATTTTGACAGATGGTGCCAGAGGGTCCTCCATCAAGTCTGTACCCATTGGCAGCCTTTGTCCCACCAGACATGGATGAGAGGGCCGGTTCTCCCCACCCCATGGTGTTATCAGACCTGTTGAGTTTGCCAATCTGGAGGGTGAATCATGGTATCTCAGTTTGTTTCAGTCATGAGTGAGGTTGAGCATTTTTCCTATTAGAGTCATTTGTGTTCCCTTTCTGCTTGCTCTTCGTGTCCTTTTCTGTGTAGGCATTTAATCAGCTGTACCCTACTTGGGCTGTGTTGTCAGAAAAGGGATTGTCGTGGTCAGGTTCCCCAGAGATAAATCTAGCATGGCCAGGGGAGGCATCTTGAGTGTTCAGTTCCCTGAAGCAGCTGTAAACCTGTAGCAGAGCATAACTTCAGCTCCCCTGTCCCAGCTGCCTGTGCCGCCATCCCAAGTGAGCTTCCCACACGGCCGGCCCAGAGAGCAGGAGAGTTGATGGGCTGACCCCGTGCTGGAGTCACCTCGCAGTCACTTGCTAAGAGAAATTAAGCTAAATTGCCTCCGGTTTTGTGTCCCTCCCATGAGGGTGGCCAAAGAGAACTGCCGGTGGAAACCTGGAGCCAGGTCTGGGCCCTTGGTGAGCTCACCTGCTCCTGAGGAAGGCGTGTTTAGCCTCCTGGCAAGCCTTGCCAGGTGATCGTACACCATATTATTTTACTGACTACTTTTTTTTTTTTTTTTGAGATGGAGTCTCACTCTGTCGCCCAGGCTGGAGTGCAGTGGCGCGATCTCCGCCTCCCGGGTTCACGCCATTCTCCTGCCTTACCCACCCAAGTAGCTGGGACTACAGGCACCTGCCACCATGCCCGGCTATTTTTTTTGTATTTTCAGTAGAGACGGGGTTTCACTGTATTAGTCAGGATGGTCTTGATCTCCTGACCTCGTGATCTGCCCGCCTCGACTTCCCAAAGTGCTGGGATTACAGGTGTGAGCCACCATGCCTGGCCTGTAGCAGCTACTTTTATAGTTTTGGGACCACAGTGAAGATTAGAATGGACAAACGCTTGCCGTTATGTAGTTTACAGTCTCATGGAGAGGAAACAGCAAGTAGGCAAAGTATCTGATGTGCTAGAATAGAATTTCTGGCTCATTATTTACATTTTTAATAGAATAGAATTAATGTGCACACAAATCACTTGGGGAATCTTGTGAAAATGCAGATTCTGATTCAGTAGATCTGGGGTGGGGCCTGAGATTCTGCACTTCTAACAAGCTCCCAGGTGAGACTGATTATTTTGGCTCCCAGAGCACACTTGGAGTACCAGGGCCCTAAAAAATGTTAGATGCTGGCTAGGCATGGTGGCTCATGCCTGTAATCCCAGCACTTTGGGAGGCCGAGGTGGGCGGATTGAATGAGGCCAAGAGTTCGAGACCAGCCCGGCCAACATGGCGAAACCCCATCTCTACTAAAAATACAAAAATTGGCCACGGATGGTGGTGCACATCTGTGATCTCAGCTACTTGAGAGGCTGAGGCAGGAGAATCGCTTGAACCCAGGAGGCAGAGGTTGGAGTGAGCTGAGATGGGGCCATTGCACTCCAACCTGTGTGACAGAGAAAGACTCTATCTCAACAAAACAAAACAAACAACAACAACAACAACACAAATGTTAGATGCAATGGGGCCAGGGGCCCTAGAGTACTTGTTGGGGTGGGGTGGTTGAAATATCATCTAGGCTGTCCTGCAGAGGCCTCAATTCGCTGAGAGGTGGTATGTGAGCCAAGATGTGAAGGAGGTGACAAGGTGGGCCTGTAGACGTGGGGACAAGGAGGTGAGTGTGGCTGGAGCGGGGTGGGGGCAGTAGGAGAGTAGCCTATAGAGATTGGGAAGAGGGCAGATGGTGGCACAGGGTCTGCAGGTCATGGAGACACACGTGGACACTGTATGGATACTGACAACAGCCCAGTGAGGTCTCACTCTCAGGTAGACGCCAAGGCTAGAAGGACGAGCTGACTTACCCAAAAGTTCAAAAGCTAGCTCTCAAACCCAAGTCCTTGGACCCTAGGTTTTCACTTGAAGATTCTGAGTGTAGGAACTTTTTCAGTTCGTGCAGACATGGATCTGGTGCTTTGAAATACCTCTTTGCCTAAATACTAGAAGCCAATATTTGTCTGGGGACGAGCAAAGGACAGAAAGGCAAAGCTTGGGTTTGCCGGGCCTGGGGTGCTGCCTGCTCCAGTTTCAGGAGAATCTGGCTGAGACCCTGTTATCATACCTTGGAGGATCTGCCTGCATTCTGTAGCTGGAGGTGACATAAAGCTGTCATCAGTGACACTGGCCCTGAGAGTCGGCCAGGTGAGGTACCCTGAGCGTGGTAGCTCGGCAAGTGGGTTCCTGTTAGAGCTCGTGCTCTCCCTTGTTGCTTTCTGACATCGTGTGTTGATTTGTTTGTGGGTGTGTTTATACCACTGGAAGGTCTGAGGGCTGAGCTGAACAGACAGTTCCTGACTTACAATGGTTTGACTTAGGATTTTTTTGACTTTACGATGGCATGAAAGCAATTTGCATTCAGTAGAAACCATACTTTGAGAACCCATCAACTATTCTGTTTTTCACTTTCAGTATAGTATTATTCAATGAATCACATGAGAGAGTCAACATTTTATGATAGAATAGACTTTGTGTAAGAGGATTTTGTCCAATCATAGGGTAGTGTAGGTGTTCTGAGCATGCTTAAGATGGGCAAGGCTAAGCTAGGATGTTCCGTAGATTGGGTAGATTCAATGCATTGTTGATTTACAGTAGTTTCCATTTACAGTGTATTTATCGAGATGTGACCCCATCGTAAGTTGAAGAGCATCTATACTTGGCTTCCACATCTCTAGTCCAGCCAGGAAACATGACATTCTGATTAAATTAATGTGACATTTTCCTTGTGAAATGTTTTTCTTTCTTGAAAACTAGAATGAGCGTGCCACCATGAGGACTGTGGCAAGGTGGTACCACTTTGTGGTACGACCTTAAGCTCTGAAGCCAGAACTCCTGAATTTGAACCCTGGATCTATCAGTCATTAGCTGTGTGACCTTGGGCAAGTCATTTGACCTTTCTGTGCCTTAGTTTCTCCAACTGTAAAATGGAGATGGTGATGACAATGCCTAGGTTGTTGTAAGGATTAGAGGAATTAATACATGTAAGTCACATGGCGCAGTGGCTGGAACAGAGCACGTGCTCGATACATTGGCATGGTATAGACCTTGTCTTTCTCCTGGACAAAGCTTCAGTGGGCCCCTATGGACACACAGTGATGTCCAGATTCTGCAGTAGGACACCATTCAGTTCTCTCTGGGGTCTGGCCCCTGTTATCCACGTGCTGGTCACCCTCACACACATGTGACAGCTTCCTGTCCCTGAGGATCTAACACTAAGCCAGACCCCCTCATGGCACGTGCAGGACAGAGGATGTGCTTTAAACGCTGAATGAATCTTATGCAAATGATCTCAGTATAGCAGATTTCTCAGATAGTTACAGGTGGGGCACTGGCTTATGTTGGGACTGAGTGGAGTAGCTTCCTCTGTGTTTGACTCAATCACATTTCTAGCTTTAATGAGTATCAGTTGGATTATTACATTATTCCCCCCAGGATTGGAACCTTATTTCCCCGTTTCTTGAGACTTACTCGAGCTGTGTCACCAACGAGGGGCAACTTGATGTTTCATTCTTCCTTGGAGGATTAGGATTAGGGTCATCTGTGGCCGACTGGCACAATTCAGATTCAGGGAGAACAACTTCCAAAGTCAGTACAGACCCAGACAGAAAGGCTGATTGCCAGAAAGAATCAGATCTCCTGGTGTAAAAACAGAAATTGATCAGCTTGATTAAATTTAACTCAGGAAACGTAACTAGGAAGAATATATGTTGCATTTTGGGACTTGAGATATTTGTACACCCAGGCACATGGCAGCATTATTCACAACAGCCAAGAGGTAGAAACAGCTTATGTGTCTGTCAGTGGATGAATGGCTACATAAAATGTGGAATATACATGCAATGGAATGTTATTCAGCCTGAAAAAGGAAGGAAATTCTGACACATGCTACAATGTGGATGAACCTTGAAGACATTATGTTAAGTGAACTAAGCCAGTCACAAAAGGACAAATAGTGTATGACTCCACTGATATGAGGTACCTAGAGCAGTCAAATTCTGAGAGTCAGAAAGTAGAATGGTGGTTGCCAGGGACTGGGGCGATGGGGGAGTTATCGTTTAATGGGCACAGAGTTTCGGTTTGGGAAGATGGAAAGAGTTCTGGCGCTGGACGGGGGTGATGGTTGCACAACAATGTGAATGCACTTACGGCCTCTGAACTGTATACTTAAAAATGGTTACAATGGTAAATCTTATGTGTATTTCACCACAATGTCTGCAACTTAAAATATATTGCATTTCAAAATTGTGACAAGTGAAGGAAGTTTGTCTTAGACTGCCTTTGGTGGGATGAAAAAGATGGAAGTCTTGCAGACAGAACTCCTTGAAGCACAAAACTTGGTCTGAGTGAATGTTTGTTTTCAATAAGTTAACTTCTGAGAAAGTGCTGCTGGCAGGCTCACTGTCTGCTTTGTCATAAATTATGGAGCAGACAGGGAAATTAAAGTTGGTTCTTTTCTACTCCAAAATTCTTTTCTTCCTAAAATTGCTTGCTTCAGTTCTACCTAGAGGGGACACAAAGTGGAAATACCGTGTAGGGAATTGGAAAAGAAAAAGCTGGGCTGTTCAGATAGGCCAGTTAAATGCATGCAACTGGGATAGGTCCTTCTTCTCCATCCATCTAAAGAGCAAATGGTGACCCATTTTGAAAAATGTTTATTTTAATTACGTTGACCCTGGGCAGTGATAGATGTCATGCGTGTAGGTTTGGCTGTTAGAGAGCACAAGTGGAAATCCCATTACATCGAATAATCTATTATTTGCTGAACTACACGCCATCTGTAGGTGCTGGGGTGCTGGCAGGGCTACTGGGTGATGACCGCTCACTCCGCTTGTCCGTACTCATCATAATGTGGTGAACTCCAGGCTCAAATATCCGCTGGCCTCCCAGACACCTCCTCCTGGGAATCCAGGAGGCACCCCCAACTTAACATGATCATTGAGGAACCCTCGATGTCTTCCTGCACCCCTCTCCATACCTGCCATCTTCTTTTCTTCACCACCTATCTGACTCATCTACTGCTGGGACAGATCCCACATCTACTCTTTTTTTTTTTTTTTTTTTGAGATGGAGTCTCGCTCTGTCACCTAGGCTGGAATGCAGTGCTCACTGCAACGTCTGCCTCCCAGGTTCAAGTGATTCCCCTGCCTCAGCATCCCAAGTGGCTGGGATTACAGGTGCTCACCACCACGTCATTTAATTTTTGTGTTTTTTTAGTAGAGATAGGATTTCACCATGTTGGCCAGGCTGGTCTTGAACTCCTGACCTCAAGTGATCCACTCACCTCGGCCTCCCAAAGTACTGGGATTACAGGTGTGAGCCACCACGCCCGGCCAAATCTACTCTTTTCTATCTCCATTATCAGGTCTCCAGGCCCAGCCACCATCATTTCTAACGGATTCTAGGGTGATCATCTAGTCAGCGTGGCTAAAATCTAGTCTAGGAGGCCAGTCTAGTCTAAGGAAGTCCTCTATCCTAGCCTAGCCCAGGGGGCTTGTCTGGTCTTCTCCAGCCTAGCCTAGCAGGCTTACCTAGTCTAGTTGAAGAGCATCTTTGTGAGCTCCCTGTTTTCCTCTCCCCCAACCCCAATCCACTCTTAACACAGCCAGGATGACTTGTTAAGACCTTTTTAAAAATGATCAAGTCCGGGCACAGTGGCTCACGCCTATAATCCCAGCACTTTGGGAGGCCAAGGCAGGCGGATCATGAGGTCAGGAGTTCAAGACCAGTCTGGCCAACATGGTGAAACCCTATCTCTACTAAAAATAAAAAATAGAAATAAAAATAATGAAAAAAGAATTAGCCGGGTGTGGTGGTGTGCACCTGTAATCCCAGCTACTCGGGAGGCTGAGGCAGGAGAATCGCGTGAACCTGGGAGGCGGAGGTTACAGTGAGCCAAGATCGCACCATTACACTCCCACCCGGGGGACTGTGAGACTTCATTTCAAAAGAAAAAAAAAAGATCAAGCATTACCACACATGCAGAAACATACATAAAACATAAACGTTAAGTATAACAAGTAATTATAAAGTAAAAACTCATGTCATGATCACTCAAGTCAAGAAGCAGAGCATTGCCAGGCCCCCAGGAGCTTTCCTGCAGGCATCCTGCAAATCACACCCCTCCGCTTCCCCCAGTAATACCGTCCTGACCTAGATGTCATCTCTGCCTTGCATTTCCTAAACTAGGTATAACCATTTTAATTTTGCCTTAAGAAAAACTCTTTATGTAAATGGAGTTATAGTAACACACACACACTTACGTTTTTGTGTTTTATTTATTTTTTGAGACGGAGTCTCACTGTGTCACCAGGCTGGAGTGCAGTGGTGCGATCTTGGCTCACTGCAACCTCCGCCTCCCAGGTTCAAGCAATTCTCCTGCCTCAGCCTCCCAAGTAGCTAAGATTATAGGTGTGCACCACCATGCCTGGCTATGTTTTGTATTTTTAGCAGAGGCTATTTATCAGTTCACCATATTGGCCATGATGGTCTTGATCTCTTGACCTCATAATCTGCCCACCTTGGCCTCCCAAAGTGCTGAGATTACAGGCATGAGCCACTGCGCCTAGCCTGTGTTTTAGTTTTTAAAATCATTATTATTTTAGGGACAGGGTCTCATTCTGTCACCCAGGCTGAAGTACAGTGCACCATCGTAGCTCATTGTGGCCTCCAACTCCTAGGCTCAAGCAATCCTCCCTCCTCAGCCTCCCAAAGTGCTGGGATTACAGGCATGTGCCACTGTGCCTAGCCCTGTGTGTTTTCTCTACTCAGCACTATTAGTTTTGTCCAGTTTTCATTGTAGCTATAGTTCATATTCACTGTGATTATTTCATACAGTGGGATACTGTACTATTTATCCATTTGCAGTTAGATATTTGGTTTATGTCCTCTCTGGGGCTGATACCAATAATGCTCTTACAAACATCCTGTGTACATGTTGCCTGTATACATGCGTCCATTTGTGTTGGGTGATACCTAGAAATAGAATTGCCCGATCATACTGCCAATCAGTTTTCCAAACATTTGTATCAATTTACATTCCCTCTTAATTGCACAAAGAAGAGAGGCTTAATGACGCATTGCACATCCTCCATCTGGTTGGAGTCATTTGCCAGGTTGGCCCAGCTAGTAAGCGACAAACTCGGTCCCTGGATCTGCTGTCTCCCTTTCTACCCACCACACAGCCACGTTACCACGGAGGCTCCTCTCAGGGTTTCTACGAAACCGAAATCTTGAATGCCTAATTTGGCTGCACAGCGTTTATCCTTGCATTTCAGAGGACAAGACACTCCATGTGCAGAAGTAATTAGAATAAGCAGTCAAGCCTTTTAAATGCACGTTTGAAATGAAAGGGAACAGTTTAATCTTTAAAAAGGAGAGGGTGTTGCCATCCTCTCAGCGAGCACCCGGAGCCTCTGCTTTCAGGTAGACAACAGGAGGATCTTCAGGGCTAAACTCTGCCAACTGTGCCCATGGTTGTGGAGCATTGCAGAAGGCTTTCCTGCAGTTGGCATCATTCCCCACATGTTTCTCATCTCGAGGATGTTGACCGATTATGTAACAGAACTTTTTTTTTTTTGCTGAAGATAGCATTTGAAAATGCAAAAATGTTCCCTGTCCTAGCTAACAACTATTTTTTTTTTTTTTGAATAATCTTGGACTCAGGTATTCTCCTTGGAAAGTGTTCTGGGGGTAGAGAAGCAAGGTTGGGAAGGGAGGGGCTTGGGAAAGTGCAAAGGAGGGGGCAGCTTGATGAACTACTTTGAACCATAAGGTCTCAGTGACATGAATTTCTGGTTGCCACCTAAGTCACCTTGTGAAAATAAAGCAACTGAAGTTTGAAATGGAAAGGAAAAAAAAAAATGAAGAGATTTAGGGCAAGGACAGCCTGACTAGATTTGTTCCACCAACACATTAAAATTTGACTTTTGCTAGATGCTGGAGACAGCAATAACGTAAAACAGAGTCCTTGCCCTCGTGGTGTTACAGGAGAGAAATAGTGCACAAGCGTACTGTTTGGTGGGACAAACAAAGCAGGGTGATAATTACAGAGTGTCGGGAACAGAGAGGTGCGATGTCTCGACTTTGAGTGGGGTGTTTGGGTGGGGCAGGATGGTGGGCGCTGGTGTGGGGTCCGATGATGCACTTGGCTTGAATGGTGTTGATTTTGAGGTCTCCATGAATCCTCCAGAGAGGAACATGTGTCCAGCTGGTGGTTGGAAATGGAGCTGAGGACATCAGAGGAACGGAACCTGGATATGGCATCTCAAAGGGGAGGCAAAGACAGCACCTTGGGAAACACCCTATTCTGGTGCCCAGAGGAGGACCCTTGAGTGATTCCTGGCTCCCAGGTGGTGCTTGAGAAGTATTTGTTGAAATAATGAACGCTGATGGTGGTCTGGAGCACAGGGAGGTCAGAATAGGTGCGGTCCCATGACTGAGCGTCTTGGGGATGAGTACTGGAATTTTCCTTTCGTGCTTGGCTGCACTAAAATGCAAACCCCGGACCCCAGCTTCTCTGTCTAACCCCGGCCTGAATCCTTGCTGACCTCAGGGGCCTCTCAGGTCCCTGTCCCTGTCCAGCCTTTTCCTCCCCGGCTCTTTGGGGTCTCTGGAGAGCCTCGGAGCTCCATTTCCAAGATGCCTGAATGGAGGAACCTTGGCACCTGCAGCCTTCTGGCCCCTTCTTGTTGCTCTAACCTCTGTGCTGCTCCCTCTCTCACCCCGCCCTTCCCATCTCTCCAGTTCCTCTCCTGTCAGTCCCCCCAATGTTCACCTCTTGCCACTCTCCAGTGGGCTGGGAGCTGGGTAGATGGACCGGTTGGGCAGGTGTGGGTTGAACTGAACCCTGAGATTCATATCAAGCCATTGAGCTAATATGTCTGCTTGGCAGCTGACACAGATGGGCATCCATAGAAGGGATTTGGAGGGTCATGGAAGAGATGGCTTCTAGCTTAGGAGCTGCCGGGGGATGGACATTTTGGCTAAAAACAAGGGATGTGTTTTCTGAAGTCCACTCACCCCGTCACAGTGATCCCCCCGAGGCGGCACCAGTGTGCTGCGTCCCAAGTCTCCTGTGTCACCATGCGCTCCTCCTCTCTGAATGTCTACAGTGCTTTTCTGGTGCCTGGGCTTGTGCTGGGTCAACACATTTTGCTCAAAAAGTTTTGCAGAATGAATGCGCAGAGAGAGGCGGCAGCTCCGGGCGGGATCAGGCATGCTCTTCAAACTCAGTCAGCCAGTGCTGGATGCCTGCTGGATGCAGACGCCATGCCGGCAGGTGGCATGCTGCAGGGAGCACCCGAGAAGACGAGGCGCTCAGCCTGCCCGACTTCTCTCAGCTTGCCTCCTCCCTGCTTGTGCCAAGCTCTAGTTAATGAAGCTTGGAGCACGCCAGTGGGTTTTAAAAACTAATGACCAAGAGGAAGGGAAAATTCCTTACACTTTCCAGTCATTTGACTGCTTCCCTCTTGGGTGGGTGCCACACTGTGACATGGAGAGCATGACTCAGACCGACTGCTTGCTTCCAGCCCGTGCCTCGAGGACCAGCCTTTTGCACCAAGTCACAGAGGTTACACTTTTAGGACATGAAGACCAACCAGGTCAGCTTGGGGCTGGACAAGGAATCGGGGTACAGTTGGGGCTAATACTGTGCGGGGTACCCACCTGCAGCCAGAAGTGAATTCACCCCCATGCCGTCCCAGGCCAGCCTGTGTGCCATGGTCCACTGGCTACCAGCAGATGGCCAATGGCTGCTCCTTGCCTGGCAAGCCTCAGACCTTTAAGGCACTTGACGATTTCACACCATGTTAACAGTCCAGGTGAACAGCAGCCAGGGATTTGCCAAGCGTTGCATGTAGCCTCCAGATTGACCTTCTGAAAGGTCTTGCTTTCCACGTCCCTCCTTTTACAGGCTCACGCCTGTAATCCCAGCATTTTGGGAGGCTGAGGCAGGCAGATCCCAAGGTCAAGAGATCAAGACCATCCTGGCCAACATGGTGAAACCTTGTCTCTACTAAAAATACAAAAATTAGTGGGGCATGGTGGCACGCATCTGTGGTCTCAGCTACTTGGGAGGCTGAGGCAGGAGAATCACTTGAACCCGGGAGGTGCAGGTTGCAGTGAGCTGAGATCGCGCCACTGTACTCCAGCCTGGTGACAGAGTGAGACTCCGTCTAAAAAAAAAAAGAAAAGAAAAGAAAAAGAAAACAATCTCAGCCTGGCATCTGTACTGCCCCTCGCCTGGTCCCTGCTGCCTGGCCCCCATCACTCTGCCCTCGGACGTCCCGGCCACGCCGACCCACACAATGCCTCCTGACTGTGGCACCTCCAGATGCTTGCAGGATTGGCCATCTCGTCTGTCCTGGTATCCTCTGTAGGTGACTCTTGCTCCTTCTTCTGCTCGCAGGGTACATGGCAGCTCCCCACCAGAAGCATTCCCCCCACTCTCAGGCAGTTAGTTATTCTGTTTTTCTACTACTGCTTTCGTGACATAATTAGATTATCATTATTAGTGTGTTGTATAATTAACTTATCATAATTAGCTGTCTTTCCAGACACACTGTGAGTGCCTCAGCTCACCACCCAGCCAGTAGCTGGCATGGGATGGTTGCAAACCTTTATAGAATGGTTCGAATGGGATCATGGCTACCTCTTTGGGTGACCCCCATCCTCTCTGCTAGACTCCTGGGGGCAGAGCAGGGTGGGAAAGACAGGAGGAAGCAGGGCAGCTGAAAGCCACAGAGGGAAGGGAGGTGGGATGACTGTCCTTGAGGGCCATGAAAAGGAAGAGGCAGAGAAGGTACAGATAGTTACTCATAAACACACCAGATGAAACAGGTGTATTCACAGTCAGCAGCAGCTATGCAGGGCAGAGGGAGGAGACAGGAGGATGGTGACTGTGGGGACCAGGGGTGACTTTGGAACACACAGCCCAGTGGAAAATGGCCTTTCCTTCAACCTGAGAGCCCCGTGGTGGGTGGGAGGGAGGCACAGCCTCTGTCCCTCTGCCTGCTGCACTCATCCCTCATCTGTGCATGGCTGGCCCCTCTTCTTCCTTCAGGCCTCACCTCTCTGATCACCCAGAGGATCTCAGAGCCTCTCTATCAGTCACTTCTGGATGACAAACTGATTGGGTGACCAAGGCAGGTGGCTCCTGCTCCATCATAGCCAACGGAATCTCAAGCATGTCTGGCACAGACTGGGTGCCTCATTAGTGTTTGCTAAAGGAAGCTCGTCACTTGCCCTCCTCCCTGCACCCCAGCAACCTGCTTGTGGTCCCAAAGGTGCCGTGAGAGCCCCTTCCTCCTGCCTTGCCCCTGCCCTTTCCACTGCCCAGGACTTCTCCCTCCCTATCCTTCCAGATGAACTTATGTGGTGCCCTCCACCCTTGAAGCCCTCCTGGCTACCCCTGGCCTGAAGCGGGCTCTCCTCCCTTGGCACATTCAGGCCACTGGCACCGCCATCCTTAAAGTCTGCCCAGCTCCCACTGCCCGGCTTCCTCAGGCCTGTCTCCAGAGCGCCCGGAGGGCAAGGACTGTGTGCCGTCGTTGGCTTATATTGCCTGGCACACACTGGCATTCACTGGGGAAGGGTTTGAGTTAAACCTGAATTCACCTCACCAGGCGATTGGAGCATTGGTGAGACTGGGTCTGCAGAGCAGCTGGTGCTCTTAAAACACGGCCATTCCAAGCCTTGCCATGGTCCTGGTCCTTGTTTTAGAGCAGAGCCTTCTGGATGGGCCCTTTGGGTCACATACAGGCCTTTATATCTGGTGGGGCCAGCCCAGGAGGGCTTAGGTGGACACCCCAATCCCCGGGGACCGACCTCAAGGTCTCTGCTGCCTGAGCCCTTGTATTTACAAGGAAGACCAGGAGGAGCCCCGGGTGCTGGTCTGTGCCGCCTTCCCTCAGACCCTTCCCCTCTGTGGGGACCCATGGTGGCTTATCTTACAGTGTGACATGTTGGTGACAACCAGCCAGGCTTTTCCCCAGGGCCTGCGAGTCACTTGGGGTGTGTGTGCTGGGACACTGAGGCCCCCAAGCAGGTGACTATATTGGCCACTTATGTTCATTTTTGACCTACTGTGTGTGTCGGCTGCTGTTCTTGGAATTTCCTGTATGCTAACTATGAATTCTTACAAGACTTGAGAAGACTGAGGCAGAGAGTGAGAGAGTAATGTAGTTGCCCAAGGTCGCATGGTGTAAGTAGCAGAGGCAAGATTCGAACTAGGCTGTCTGGCCCCAGAGCCCGCCTTCAAACACCACTCCATGCTGCGTGTACTAAGCATCTGCCATATTCCAGGTGATGAGAGCAATATCTTAGAGTTGAGAGCTTACCATGTGGCAGGCACGGTTACAAATCCTTCATGCGTGTAAACTGGGTTAATCTGCACAGCCTTTTGTGGCATAGGCACCATTATATTTCCATTTTTCAGATGAGAAAATTGTGGTGCCGGGAAGCCAAGTCATTGTGACAAAGCCTGGCTGGAGTGGGAAGGGATGCTGCTTTTCCTGCTGGATGTGCTGCCTGGGTGCTGGACACCCTGGCCCTTCCCCTGGGAGCACCCGAACCAAAGGCCAAGCCTCTGGGAAAATGGTGAGGCAGCGTTTTCAGGGGGCGTGGTCCTGCTGGTGTACCAAGACCCCTCTGGTGGGCAGATGGTCCTGAGGTGACGGGGTTGGAGTCCATCCCCTCGGGCAGAGGAATGTGACAGCCAGATGCTTGGGATAAACAGCTCTGGTCCCCGGCCAGAGGGACAAGGTCACGGTAGCCTCGTTCAGCCAGGCGGGTTTGCAGGTGGCTGACTGGTTGTTGGAAACAGGGATGACCTTGCGTCCTGCAGCAGAAGAGAAGATATTGATTGGTGTCAGGTTTTACTGGAGTGTCATGCACAGGGCTACCCTGCCAGTTCATTGCTGAGGGTGGAATCTCCCTGCCCTGAAATAATACCCTTCGCTTTGAATATCCTCCGCTGAGGTTTGGAGCCCAGAAATAAAACAATGGGGCCAGAACCACTTTGGAATGTCTTCAGGAATTGCTTGGATGACAAAATCCACACCGATATGGCCTAACCTTCTGTCGGCTGGATAATGAGGAGCATGGGGATAATTCTCACTTCATGTTTTTCTGTGGGTTTTCGCAAGTGTTTTCTTTTTAGATTTTTAAAACAACCCTGGAATAGGCGGGGAAGGGGTGATTACGTCCATTTCTTTTCAGCTCATGGCTCAGAGAGCTAGAGTGACTTGCCCAAGGTCATACAACTAGTAAGGGCGTGCCAGGACTAGAACGGGGTGTCTTGTTCTGGGGTCAGTGCCTTCCTGGCCCTCCTGGCTCAGGTTGAGGAGCGTGCTTTCTGCACAGCTTTGGGGTGGGACGTTCCAGAAGCGGAGTGAGGGAGCAGGTGGACACCCCGGGTACCATCCAGCAATTCTTGGAGTCCTCATTCATCACTTTACCACCTTCTGGTGCAGCAGGCAGACAGGAAAAAGTGCCTTGCCCGTTCAGAGGCTGGGAAATGTCCTTTAATATTGATCACCTAAAACCAGAGTGTGTCCAACATGCCGGCCTGAGCTCTGCGCTGTTCGAGGCTAGAGACCGGGGCTTATGCATCCAGTAGTTCTTGAGCACTGGGTGCCAGCTTCTATCCTAACTGTGTGTATAACTGTGTATTAACTCACTTAACTCATGCTAAGTTGACCGATATGAAATGACATGACAAGCAAACCAAGGCAGAGGGAGGCCAGGGTTGCCTGGTTAGTAAGCTGCAGAGCTTGTTCCAGCTCACATATGTTATCCCACACAGTTGGCAGAGCCATGGAGTCAAGTTTTGTTTATCCCAAGGTTGGTCTCCGGCCTACCTGGGAAGATGAGATTTGAGGTCGTGAGCTGACATGCTCTGCCTGAGAAGTGAAGGGGTATCAAGAGGGAGGAGTTGGCCCTCCATACAAGAAACAGAGCTGGAAAAAGAGAGTAGCAAGCCTCTCAAGGAGAGAGGCTACCCTTCCTACAGGAAAGGATCGGGGTGGCTCAGCATGGCTGGTTGATGTCTGGATTCAGGTGGTGCCCATATGCCGTAACGACTCCAAACCCTCAGTCACTGTCTGCCCGTGAGGGGCTTTGTGGGTTGGAGTGCTTTGGAGGGATGAAAAACAGAGGAGGCGACATCACAGCATGGAGGGCATAGCAGAGAAAGGGAGAAGCCAGTATTTGCTGCCTGTGAGTTGCAGAGTGGAGAATGAGCATTCAAGAGAGGCAACGTGGAGAAACAGAAGCACTTGGAGAATTGTCAAAGCATATTTTTTAAAAAGTTAAACACAATTCTTATACAAATAGTGAGCATGTGTCAAAGGCTTATTTAACTCATTAATGAGGGAAGCAGCAGGATGACAAAGCTGGTTCTAGGAAAGATACGGGAAGCAGACATATCTTATTAGTGAAAAAATGTTGGAGTGAGATTCCTACGTTTGATACAAAATCGCTAAGATCCTCACATCCTAGGGCAATGAAACCATAACCTTTGGGATTATCTTTTATCCCTCCAGACAGAAACAATGGGCAATTCATTAATTTCCAACAAGTTAATGCCTGAATTTACACAGTCTGAGTCACTATCAGGAAAAAATCATCACAGCTACGTTCCCAGGAAAGCTTCATGACCCTTCACTGGGTTTATAAGACGGGGGCTCCAGTATGACGTTGAAAGGATAGGAGACATCCATCTGCCTCATTTAGGAGATTTGGATAATTTTTTTTTTCCTATCAGTCTTTGGAGACATCTGGAAGGAGGGTTCCCTCTGAATTTCCTATAGTAAATGGGATTGGGGCCCTAGCTGTTATTTAAACATCGAAGAACACAGGCTCACTGCTGAAGGTAATGGATTGAAATTCACCCTCATCTTCATTCCTTCTCAGAAGCCCATTACAGGAACAGTGAAAGGATTTTTTTGGAAAGCTAAAATCCAGAAAGACAAGGAAGATAAAATATCAAGAATTTTGGAAGCTGGAAAGCAGAAGTATGGGCAGTAAGTCACCCGGAGACAGCTGCTGCAGGGGCTCTGAGGGTGGGGCAGGGGGAGCCAAAAACAGGAGGGCTGGTAGAACGTCGAGGTTGAGGTCTCCTTCCCCTCGTCTAGGCAGCACAACCAGAATACCCTGCCTCACCCAACTTTGGCAGAAAAAGAGGGTTTACCCTGGAGAGAAGGAAACTGAGGGTCTGTGGAAGAGGGGATTAACGGCAAGTGCACCCATTCCAGCTCCCTCCCCCTGCTCAGCTCCCTACCCACTCCTAAGGCAGAAGAGCTGGCAGCCAGTACTGGACCCATATACAAGGAGACCAGAATGTTCTTCTCTAGGGAGCCCCATCATCCTGAGGGAGGACTCTAAAGACCCTGCCTCCAGAGGTGCCCCCTGAAACAGCCTGATCACCCCACAATGAGGCCGTCAGCCCTAGGCCCACCCACATGCCCACAGTGCCCAGGCAGCTCTTCCTGCCTCTTATTTGAAACCAAGTGGTCAAAACTCCCCAGGCAGACAGGCAGACGTCCCAGGAAAGGTCTGACTTGGTGAGTACAAGACAATCTGAAGGAAAGCAACTGGGAGGCAACTGACTGTACAGGGAGGGAGGTGAAATGTAGGGGGCAGTCATGATTCCCAGCATGAAAGTAGAATTTGCATTATTTATGTAGTATTCATGCCAAGGTGTTCAGTATGGATGTAACCATGAGGACATCAGCAGATGAATCCATATGTGGGGCGATCTACAAGAAACTGGCCTGGAGACTTCAAAGATATCAATGAGAAGAAGAAAAAGGTTGGATCGACTCTAGAAGAAAGGAGACTGTGGAGACAGGACCACCAAATGTAATGGTTAGATCCAGAACCGGAAAAAATAATGTGTTTGTAAAACGTATTTTTGGAATAATTGGAGAAATCTTAATATGTGCTGTACGTTAGATAATGTTGAATCAAGAATAAATTCGTCGACAGTCATAATAGTGTGACTATAAGGTACAAGCACAGTTTCTTGACTTGGGCGCCACTGACAGTTTAGGCTGGGTCATTCTTCATGGTGGGGGCTGTCCTGTACATTATAGGATTTTTAGCAGTATCCCTGGCTCCTACCTGCTAGATGCCAATAGCATACTCACCCACTCACCCCGAAGTCTCGAGTAAAAATATCTCCACACATTGTCAAATGTCTCCTTTGGGAGAAGGGGTTGCACATTTGTCCTTGGTTGACTCATTGGTACAGAGGAGAATATTCTTGTCCTAAGGAGGAAAAGATACTGATGGATTTAGGGTTGAATTACATAATGTCAGCAATTTACTTTCAAAATGGTTTCACAAAAGAAATGTGTAATATAGAGAAAGTAACTATGGTAAGTATTAATTGATGAGCCTAGGCAAAGGGTATTCATTGTATTCTTTAAAGTCTTCTTTAGGATTGAGAAGTCTCAAAATAAGTTGATACTAAAAAATTGTATCCTTCTGGTAAGAGATAGCTTTTAAAAAATTGCAAAAGAGAGCCCATAGAATTTAAACACAGTTGAAGAACCCAAAAAAGGATTGAGATAAAATAGAGAAAGTCTTCCAGAACGTAGAGCAAAAAGACAAAGATTTAGGAACAGGAGATGCCTGAACCTGCCACACATGAACTGTGTGACTTTCGAGTCTGGCCTCTGTGGATTTCACTTTCTTTGTTGGGAAGATGGAGATCATAATTTCTGTTCTGATTCCCAAACAGATGTAAAAGGCATTGCTATTATTATTATTATTGCATTTCGCTGACTCTTGGGAGATACCTGCTTTCTGTGAATGGTGTTCATGTACTTGTCAACTAACTGCATTTATTCACTCACTCATTCATTTACTCATTTGAGAAACATTATTTAAAAATATGTATATAAATTAAACATGCTTTTATTAAAACAAAAGAAGGAGAGAAAGGATGAGAAAATTCGAGGGTGAGATAGGAAGGTTCAAAATAAGCATAATAAGAATATTCTAGAAAGAGAAGACAGGAAAAACTAGAGGGGGCAGTCATAAAAAAAATTCAAGAACACTTCTTAGAACTGGCTTTCCAAGTGACAAGCCCATTAAGTCCTCAGCAAATTGGATGAAAATAGGCCTCATTAAGGCCTCTTGTGAGAGTTTCCCCAATGTTTAAAAAAGTGTCTAGAAGTTTTCTGAGTGGGTAGAAAGAGGTCACATACAAAGGATCTAGAACCGGAGCGGCACCAGACTTCTCAGCAGCAGTGCTGGATGCTAAGAGGCTGTGGTGACTCCCTGGAATTCCTCAAAATTAGGTGTTCCAGCCTGGAATTCCCTGTCCAGCTGAACCTCCAATCAAGTATTGATACAAGAGATAGAAAGAAATTATTTAGACAGATAGTAAGGACAAAAAGTTCCCGGCAAAACTTTCCTTCTAATAAAAAGCAGCTCGAGAAATTACTTCCTTTCTGATCACAAGCAACTCAAAGAAATCACTTCTCTTCTGAAAAAGAACAGCCTAAAAAAATTGGACTGTAAACATAAACGGCTCCGACACAGAAAGAGAGCTTCCTGGATAACCAAATTTCACATACATACGGTGGGTCCCAATAAAAACAGTGGGCCTTAATAAACACATCCCTTTCCTTTTATACACACAGTAAAATAAAGAAACTAAATACACAGAGCAGTGGGGATACCTACAACTACAAAAAGATACCTGGGACCAGACACGTCCATTGTGGAAACTCCCCCTCCCCTTTTCAACACATACATGGCAGGAGAGAGATAAACAACATAAAATAACTCAGGCTAAAACCCACCTACATAATAAAAAAGTGGAGTATAGATGGCCAGAGATTCCACTCTATACAGATGGCACACCTGGTCCTAATCAGTTTTTCACACTGTATATAAATAAGATATCCCCTCTCCACTAACTCATTTATAAAAACCCTTACATTTTGCTACATTTTGCCACCCCATTCGGGACCCCTCTCTACAACACAGAACTGTTTCTTTTCTTTCACCTATTAAACTTCTACTCTAACCTCACCCGTTGTGTGTCCACATCCTTGATCTCCATGGCCATGAGACAAAGAACCTTAAATGTCACCCCAGACAATGAAACCACTTCAGTATGATGGCAGAATAAAGACATTTTGAGCATAGCAAACACTCATTAGGTCTGTTCCATGGGTGGCCTTGGGGCTAAGCTTCTATGACAGTGCTGGCCCTTTCTCAAGCACCAAGGCAGGGGCCATGGCTGGGAGCCTGGGTGCAGCCTCCCATCTTCTCTCCCAATGGCCTCTCTCTTGTCTGTGCCATTCATCAGACACTTACTGACCACCACCCTGTGCTGGGCTCTGGTTCCTCCCCTTGGGGGACTCCTGACCTAGTATGGATGTGGGATAGAGGGAAACACAGGTGATGATGTGATTCCAGCCAGCTGCAGCAACGAAAAACTCTTGGATCTCTGGCCTGCATTTTGAAGGGGTTGTTGGGAGAGGAGCCAGCCTGCTCAAATGCAGGGAGGCATGAACCAGACTGAGGTCAGAGTTGGGGGTTCCAATGTGTTTAGGTTTTCTCCCAGCCCCTGGGACCTGGGTCTCAGAGCACTTGAGTCTCACCAGACAGACTCATCTTCCACGCCACCTCCCTGTCCCATACTGAATAAATGGGAACAGGAGGGTGTGGGAGTCCATGGCGTGGCCAGCTCTGATGTTGACCAGCTGCTGCCCACAGACATTTGCAGCTGGTGGCCTGAGCCTGACCCAGGAGAGAGGAGCATGCATGAGTGGTCCCTGGGCTGGGTGTGGTGGGTGTGTGCTCAGCCCCTGGGGTGTCTGAGAGGCAGGCAGAGAATGGGTAGGGACTTCTCCCATCAATTATCCTGTATGTACTGGTGTGTTAGGGCCTGAGCACATACCTGACTCTCTCAGGGAGTATGGGTTGCAGAGCTGGGATGGAACAGCATCACATAATCCAGGTCCATGTTTTCTAGCAAAATGTGCCTGCGTTTCCAGAATCGGAGGATCTAGCTCGAGTTTGGCCCCTCAGCTCTCTCCCCTGGGCCTTCATCAAGCCCCTCAGCCTTGCTGAACTTGTCCCTCATGTGTCAAGTGGAGATGATGTTGACCTCCAGGTTTTGAAGACGTGGGTAGGACATTGTACATCACATTACATTTGCACCTTGCTAGGCCTCTAGAACAGAAAGGGTCACTGTCCCTTCCTTCCTTCCTTCCTTCCTTCCTTCCTTCCTTCCTTCCTTCCTTCCTTTCTTTCTCTTTCTTTCTTTTTCTCTCTCTCTCTCTCTCCCTCTCTCTCTCTCCCCCCCTCCCTCTCCCTCTCTCTCTCTTCTTTCTTTCTTTCTTTCTTTCGAGATGGAGTCTTGCTCTGTTGCCCAGGCTAGAGTGCAGTGATGCGATCTTGGCTCACTGCAACCTCCACCTCCTGGGTCAAGCAATTCCTGCCTCAGCCTCCAGAGTAGCTGGGATTACAGGTGCCCACCACCATGCCCAGCTAATTTATACACACACACACACACACACACGCACACACACACACACACATATATATATTTAGTAGAAACGGGGTTTCACCATGTTGGCCAGGCTGGTCTCGAACTCCTGGCCTCAAGTGATCCACCCGCCTCAGCCTCCCAAACTGCTGGGATTACAGGCGTGAGCCACCACGCCTGGCCAGCTGCTGTCATTTCTAAGAAAAATGGAGGCCCCGGAAGGAGAATAGCTTTGGCCAGGTCCAGCCCAAGTTAGAGTGAGCTGAGACAGGCACCTAAGGCATCAGGGTCCAGCCAGTGTCTGACCCCCTCCTTGTGATGGGCTACGGCCCCTACTGTGCCTCATTCACCCAGAAGAATTTTATGAAATGTCCTCTGAGTGTGAGCATTTTTAGACTCTGAGATAATGACATTCCTTTCTTTTACACATCCGAACAACTCAGGACTGAGGGGAAAGTTTTGGAAATGATCTGTCTCCATACCCAGTGGACTCTGAGGACAGGGGACGGTGAACCCTGTGGGTTTCGACGACCGCACATCAGACTTTTCTAATGAGAAAGAACACTCTTCACTTAGTTGTGTGTGTGCTTAATCATTTTAGCCTTTTCTTACTGTTTGTTGAAAAACCACATTTTATTATGGATAATTCCAAACAAGTATAAAATTAGAGGTAATAATGTAATGCCCCTCCCCACAGTCTAGCAATCACCCAGTTTTGACAATTGTCAACTTGTGGCCAGTCCTCTTTTATCAATGCCCCATCTACTCACCCCCTTCTCATATTATTATTTTGAAGCAAATATCATATATCATATTTTATTCATAAATATATCAGTCAGTGCATATCTCTAAGAGACTCTTTTTCAAATGATATAACCACCATATTGCATACTATTATTGCACCCGTTTACCTTGGCAAGGGAGGCCCCAGCCAAAATGCAGAGAACCCCAGAAAGTTCTTTGCTTTTGTGCTTCTTTGTGTCCAGGTCCTAGAGATCGAAGCATGGTTCTGGGGACCATTAGGAATGATTTTGGCACTGCATGATTTTTGTGACTGTTACCTCACCGTTCCTGAGGTAGGCCCCCATGGTGGCTTTCTCCATCAGCCAGAAGAGGTGGTGTGGTTCCCACTCATTCGAGAAGACCAAGGCTCAGACCAAGAAGCGACTTGTCCCTAGGTCCTCCAGGCAGTGAGGGACAAGACCAGAGCCAATCCAACGTCATCTTGAAGGACCCAGCTCTCTGGTCAATGGTATGCGAACAGTCAGTCTCTTGGAAGGCGGAGTAAAGTCACAAAGCTGATTGTAAATGGAAGCTTCTCTGAGGTTGCTCTTCCATGTCCATGTTACTCCCAGAGCTGGGTGCCTGTCAGACGGGGGCTGAGCACCTCCTCCACGATTTGCAGAGGTCTCAGGGATTCCAGAAAAGTCTCTTGCAACCACTCCCACTCCACGTTCCCTTCCTTAACTCTCAGCACCACCAGTTCTTGCTGCATTTTCTCATGATGCTCCGCATTGGAGATCGGAGTCTGAATTTTATATTTGTGCCCTTAGTATACTAAGGCTTAAAAAATAGAATGTTTCAGCATCCTATTACAGAACTATAAAGTTAGGGGACCTTTAAATGTTGGGTGCAATATTTTGCAATTTGCTCACTTGACCTATTTTTGTTAATAGATCTTTAATTCTCTTTAAACATTTACTCCTATCTTTTGGTTTTATTAAATTTTGAAATGCATATGTGTTTTTGAGTCCTCTGGGTAACAAAATGTCAACAGATTAAAGAGGCCATTTTTTCATTGCCTGGCGGCCTGCAAAATTATAACAATAACCTAGATCTGGTTAGAAACGAGGCTATGCCCTCTGTCTTCACTCCGGAACTTCTGATAGCAAGACCAGAGAAACATGATAAATTAAACCAAAGACTAGATTCCCCTCAAACAGTTCCAACTTTTTACCCAGTTCTCTGGGGATTGAGCCTGCTAGGATGAAGTATAGTTCAACCCTTTACTCCCATGAGTAAGCTAAGGACCTCTTAGAATGAAGTTCATTGAGTGTTTTATTAAGAGACAGTTTGGAAGATACCATTCATATCCACTAGAATGGCCTTGACTTAAAAAACAGCAACAACAACAAAGGAAAATAACAAGTGTTGGGAAGGATGTGGAGAAATTAAGACCCTCGGACAGTGCTGTTGAGAATGTAAAATGGCGCTCCTGTGGAGAACAGTTTGGAGGTTCCTTAATAAGCTAAACATGGAATTACCATATGACCCAGCAATTCCACTCATAAGTATCTACCACAAAGAATTGAAAACAGGTGCTTAAACAAAAACTTGTAAACAAATATTCATTGCAGGATTATTCCTAAAACCAAAAGGTAGAAACAATGTCCAAATGTCTATCAGCTGATGAATGGATAAATAAAATGTGCTATGTCCATATAATGGAATATTATTCAGCCTTAAAAGGAAGGAAGTACTGCTACATGCCACAACATGGATGAACTTGGAACACATTACGCTAAGTGAAAGAAGCCAGAGGACAAAGGCCGCATACCGTATGATTTAATTTCTATGAAATGCCCAGAATAGGCAAATCCACGCTGACAGAAAGCAGATTGGTGGTTGTCAAGGGCTGTGGGGGAGGGGTGCAGGGCTATAGTTGGGGAGTAACTGGTTAATGGATACAGAGTTTTATTTTGTGATGAGGAAAATATTTGCAACAAGATGGTTCTTCCCAAAGGTGGTGTGTGCTTAAAAAAAAATGGTGCTGCTGGTTGCATGACATTGTGACTGTACAAAATGCTACTGAATTGGACACTATAAAATGACTAATTTCATGTTATGTAAATTTCACCTCAATCAAAAAGAGAGACCATTTGGAATCTCATAACACACTTACTATTTCTTCTGTTTGCTGTGAGGCCAAATAAATGAGTTGGGGAGGATCTGCAAGTGCGTGTTCCAACGGCCATATGGTGCAGTGGCAGAATGAGCTCTGGAGCAAGGCAGACGAGGGTTCAAATCCTGGCAAGCTTTGTGATGCTGGGCAAGTTACTTGGCCTCTCAAATGGAGCTGCCGATAGAACCTACCTCACAGGGTTGGTGAGGAGACAAAGCTCTTAAGGTCAGCCATGAATGGATTCAGGCTGTCAGCCTGGGTCAACTCTAGTAGCCTCTTCTGCAAAAGGAAGAGTGGAGCCCCTGCCTGGTGCCCCCTTGGTCACATGGGTGCAGGAGCTAATGGACAGGAATGTACTCCAAGCCCACGCATGTTCCCAGGCCACGTCGGGGCAGCTGGGGGCAGCGTGGGAGACGACTGGCTTTTCTTTCCTCTGTGATCCGTCCATGGTATTTTGCATACAGAAGTCTGGGCTGGGGCTGGCCAGGGCCCCTGAGGGTCTTCACCAGCTGACTGGCTGGCCCATACCTGTCCAGCCCCTGCTGAGAGGCGGCAAGTGTGCTCTGAGCCCAGCTGGGGCAGACAGGTTTTTCCATGCAGGGATTATCCTCCCAGCTCCAAGGTCAGCTGCTTAAACCTCGTTTAGCTCAGGTGCCTGGGGTTTTTAGGTTCCTGGAATCAAACTCCAAGGCAGTGATTGGTTCTCAGTCACCTCACTGAGAACAATTGGCAATGTCTGGAGACATTTTTGGTTGTCACAACCTGGGGCAAGGCAGGGGGGTTGCTAGTGGGTAGAGTATCTAGTGGGTAGAGGCCAAGGAGTCTTTTAAACATCCCACAATGCACAGGCCACACCCCAGGACCAAGAACTATCTGGCCCAAAATGTCAGCAGTGCTGAGGCTGGGAACACTCGTCTGAGTGAACCTGTTGCCCTGGAAGCTCCTCGTGAGGGGCTCATCACTGCCGGTACCATATGCATCTCACCAGTTATCCCAGTAGCCTGGTGGGTGTCTCCCCACCTCATGGATGAGAAAGGTGAGACCCAGGAGGGATGAGTAACCTCTCCAGGGACCCCCAGCTGCCTCATGGCAGAGCTGGGTTTCGAACTTGGATCTGCCTCACTGGAGAGCCTGTTTCCCTAATTACCAGTCAGTTAAACAGGGAGAATTATACATGTCAAGGCCACCTTATGAAGACCAAATGGTAGAAGATGTGTTTTATTTAGATGAACCCACATTTACCCAGTTCCTGTTGCCTGAGAGCCGTGTGGCATGGTCCTTGTTCATAAAGTGCCTAGAGCATGAGGGAAGCAGACCTTGAGCAGGTAGATGAAATATACTATGCCAAAGACTAAAAGCTGGAGGGAGAGCTGTTTGCCCAAACTAAGGAGATGACACCTGAGCTGAGTGTTGAAGATGAGGTGCAGTACCCATGTAGGAGAGAGGTGGGAAGGGTTTTCTAAGAACATGGAACAGCAGGAACAGGAGGCAGGAGGAGACAGCCGTGGCTGCAATGCCAGGGAGGGTCCACTCAGAGGGACCTCATATGCCTTGCAGAAGGTCTTGGGCCTTATCTTGAGGGTGAGATGGAGAGCGACAGGGTCAGGGTACATTCTAGATCAGATATGCTGGCTGCTGTGTGGAAGACGGATCTGAATGTGCCAGTGGGCTAGGCTGTCAGGAGGCCTTGGGCAAAAGTGAGATGATGAGGGTCCAATGGCTGAAGCAACAGGGATGGAGAAAGGGATAGATCTGTGGAAGAGGCAGCAGATGAAACAGGCAGGACTCGGTGACTGGTTTGCTGAATGAAGGTGAGGAAGAAGGGCTGGGGCTGACTCTGGCCACCAGCTTGGGGAAGCAGGGTGTTGATACCTAACAGAAAGGGGGGACGATGAAGGTCTGGGGGTGGGAGGAGAGATGAGGCTTGGAGTCTGAGCTGCCTGTGGGACAAGCAGGAGGGTTTGTCTAGCACGGGATTGGTTCTGACCTCAGGAAATGGGTCTGCTTGCAGTCGGCTGCCTTCTCTTATCATGGGAGTCATCCATTTTGTTGCGGGTGGCAATAGTTCACTCTTTTCTTTTGCTCTGTAGAATTCCATGGCACAAATACACATGTGATTGGCTTGTCAGCTCAACTATTGAACGTTGAGGTTGTTTGCAGCTATTATGAATAATGCTGCTGTGAGCATCCTTGTCCGTGCCTTCTGAGGGCCATGTGCATTATTTTTGTTGGGTTCATGAGAATAGAATTGCTGGGTTGCGGACACATGCCTGCCATATTTCATAGACAGGGCCAAATGGTTTTCCAAAGTGGACCACTTTACACTCCCACCAGAATGTATGGGGTTCTCATCACTTTGCATCCTGACCAACATTTCTGTTGTTGTCTCTTGTGGTTTTAATAGGCATTTCCTTGGATAATAATGGCTCTGAGCATCTTTGTGTGTTTTGGGGCTGCTTAACATCTTCTCCACCTCCGTAATGTGTCCAAGTCTTTGTCCAGCTTTCTGTTAGATTGTCTTTTTCTGATTGATTTGTATCTAAGTCCTTTGTCAGATATGTGGACTGACAGTGTCTCCTTATCCACTGTGCATTTCATTTTCACTCTCTTACTGATATCTTTTGAATGAAAGTTTTCAATCAATGTATTAAAGTTAATGATAACAGCAATGAAGCAGATGTTTTTATTAAAAGTGAAACAAAATGAGCCAGGCACGGTGGCACGCACCTGTAGTCCTAGCTACTCAGGAGACTGAGGTAGGAGGATCACTTGAGGCCAGGAGTTTGAGGCCAGCCTGGGCAACGTAGTGAGACCCTGACTCTAAATAAAAACAAAAGTAAAAGTAAAAAATGAGCTGAGTGTGGTGGTGCATACCTGTAGTCTCAGCTACTTGGGAGGCTGAGATGGGAGAATCGCTTGAGCCCAGGAGTTCAAGGCTGCAATGAGCTGTGGTAGGACCACTGCACTCCAGTCTGGACAACAGTGGGAGACCCTGCCTCTAAAATCAATAAATAGCTAGCTAGCTAGCTAGATAGATAGCAAAATGATACCTTGGAATGCGAGAGAGGTGTCTTGGAAGCCCAGTTCTTTGGCTAGTGTGCTTTTTAAGGGAATGAAGGAAATCTCTCTGGTTTAGTGAGAGGTGGGGGATGACCTGGAAATCGATCTTGAGTCTTGGATCTTCTGTTTATTGGGCAGGTCCCCAGTTCTCTGTCTGTGAAAGGAAGGTGCTTTCTGCCCAAATTCTCAGGGCATCCACAGGATCCCCTGAGTTCACCAAGGTGAGAAAGCTCTGAAGAGGGATGTTGGCATTCTCAGTGGTTCTGCTCAGAACTCAAAGGCCCCAATCCCTGCTCCTCCCTGGTTGCAGGGGTGGGTCTGAGACAGGCCTGGCAGGGGCTGCTGGAATAATCTAGGAGGGGAAGGACCCGGCTTCAGCCCGAGTTTGTTGGGGGGAACCATGGCACCAGGGGCATGGCAGGAAGCGCCCCTGCCCCCTCCTCCTCTCTGGCGTCTCCCCTTTCCTATCCCTCCCCATTCAAGGACTGGTGAGCCCTTGCCTGAAGGGCATGGGAGTGCTGGAGAGAGGTGACTTCCGGGACACTGACTGGCCTGGATTCCATTTGTGCCATCTTGAGTGGTGCCCAGTCTGATGGAGCTCGGAGCTTGTTCCCACGAGGGCCAACAGTCATGCTTGAAACTCACGTGCCTCCTGCTCACCCTGCTCTCCCACTGCCTCCCCATCGCACACTGACCTTTCTGCCCCGCCAGCACACCCATACTTCCTACCACGCCTGGGGCTGAAGAGTCTTCCCCAGACTCTCCGTCATCCAGGCCTCCCTCTCCCCTCTCCACCCTCACCTGCCGTGTTGTCTTCGTGGCACTCAGTACTCCCTGACGTTGTGTCACATGGTATCATTGGGGTACTGGGGTAGTGTCCCCCTCCCTCCCACCAGCACAGCCAATCCTCCAGGGCAGGGTTTCACTCATTCACTGCCTGCGTGCCTGTGCCTGCTGCACCTGGCATAGGGGAGGGCCACAGACACTGAAGGCAGGAGGACATGGCGCTCGAAGCAAAAACGGGGTGCTCTGCATCCGAAGGCAGAACAGGCTGGCAGTGACCGAGAGCAGATCCAAGGGCCAGAGGTAGAGCACCCACGTTCCCTTGGAGCCCTCTGTCCTCATTAAACAGAGAACCACGAGGGGAATGTTAAGCTCTAAGGAGCAGGTTGAGTCTCCTAGGAGGTGGCCAGCCTTCCTTCCTGATCCCTCATAATCCCTGGGGTTTGGTCAGTTAGGAAGGAGGGGCTGGCACGTGGCCGCATTCCTGGCTTCAGGCAGGATCCTGCTTGAAAAAGGCCAGTTTTTGCCCCCTTAGATCCATACTGGGCTCAGTAGTACAAGATGGCTGCTCATCTAGTGAGAATCTGTGATTTGGTTTCGGTGCCTCAGCCCGCACTAAATGGGACATCTCTCAATGGCCAGAGAAAGAGGTGATGCATTCCTGAAAACCTAGACCTTCCCGGCAACAACTGTGGCATCACTGCCTTCATGGGACCCTGCTTTTGAGGCAGGTGTAATTTATCGACTCCAGGAAGGAACTTGCGGCTCCCGCCCAGGGTCACACAACACTGGGCCAGCCAGCACCAGGACTCTCAGTGTGCAAGCAAGGGCTGTTCCTCTGTGCCCCATGGCATGGAGGGTGCCAGGCTGCGTGGGGAGGCTCAGGGGGCAGGGCAGAGGCTCTGGAGGTGCAAGCGGCTCAGGCTGGACTCAAGGTGCTGCCGCTCATGAGCTGAGTGACCGTGGACCAGGGAGGTGACTGCCGTGAGTCCCAGTGGCATCTTGTGTAGAAGGGAATGTACTCTTCCTTTTGGGCCTGCTGTGAGGGTTCAGGAGTGAACAGCCCTGGGAGGGTGTGCACATAGTGAGAGGTGGGATAGCAGAGATGCCCACTGGGCCACACAACACTGATCTAGAACCAGAAATACCATCTGACCCAGCAATCCCATTACTAGGTATATGCCAAAAGGATTATAAATCATTCTGCTATAAAGACACATGCACACATATGTTTATTGCAGCACTATTTACAATAGCAAAGACTTGGAACCAACCCAAATGTCCATCAATGATAGGCTGGATAAAGAAAACGTGGCACATATACACCATGGAATACTATGCAGCCATAAAAAGGGGTGAGTTCATGTCCTTTGCAGGGACATGGATGAAGCTGGAAGCCATCATCCTCAGCAAACTAACACGGAAACAGAAAACCAAACACTGCATGTTCTCACTCATAAGTGGGAGCTGAACAATGAGAACACATGGACACGGGGAGGGGAACATCATACCCTGGGGCCTGTCAGGACGGTGGGGAAAGGGGAGGGAGAGCATTAGGACAAATACCTAATGCATGCGGGGCTTAAAGCCTAGATGATGGGTTGATAGGTGCAGCAAACCACCATGGCACATGTATACCTACGTAACAAACCTGCATATTCAGCACATTCAGTTCTATGTATCCTAGAACTTAAAGTACAATTTAAAAAAAAATTAAGGAGAAAAAAAGAATTTTCCATTGCCTTTGCACAGTAGTTTTAAGTTCTTCAATTATTGAGTGATATTTTGCTTTGTTTGTATCCTTTTAGGCTGGTTATTCTCAGCCATGCCTGCACATTGGAATCACCTGCAGAGCTTTAAAAAAAAATACGGTAAAAGCTGTCAGGTCCCCCTCCTCTCCCATTATTGATAGTCACTTGACACCCACACTTGGGGTGTGGCCTAGACACCAGGATTGTTTAAAGCTCCCCATGTGATTGTAAGGCGGAGAGCCCTGTTTTAGGCGGTCATGTATGTTCTTTAATTCACCACCTTTCAGAAATCTGTAGGAAACCTAAGATAGGTTATTTTAAAAATGGATGTAAGTTCTTAAAATAAATTTTGTCTTATTGTAGCGATTCAAACCCACCATCTTTCCTGCTATTTAAAATGTTGGTCAACTCCCTAGTGACAATCTGCATTCCTGTATATATATATAAACATACACACACACACACATAAATCTATACATAAGTGTGTGTATATACATATATACACATATATATCAATACATATATACATATGTATACATGCGCCTGGGTTAATGTTGGCCTTTGGGGAAAAATAATGTTGGAAATTATCATTATCATTTGATAATTATCAATTATCAAACATATATATATGTTTCTCTGGCTCTGAAGTCAGAACAGCCTTGCTCCACAACTTCCATCTCTGCCTTAGGCAAATCAGTTCACCTCTGTGAGCCTCAGTTTTCCCATCTGTTCCATGGGGATAATGGTAGTCTCTGTCTCATAGTTACTGTGAGGATTAAATGTGTTTAGTACGCGTAAGGCTGTTAGAACAGTGCCTTACACATAGTAAGTGCTCAGTTCCTGTCAGCAGATCTTTTTAGTACTAACAAAGGTACCAGGTTAGGCTCTTTTGGTTACTGTATCTTCCTTAATCATTTAATGCCCACACCCTATGAGGTCGGTAGAAGCAGAAGCGAAAGGAAGAAAGGTCACTTGCCATTGGTGGTCATCAGAGCAGGAACTGGAACCTATGTCCAAGCTGCCCCCTCCGTAGGTCATGCCTTGGCCACCTAACCCTACCTGGAAACAAAGGAATTGATCAGTCCTAGAAATCCATCCTAGAGAAATTCTTGGAGAAAATTGCCAGGAAAAGTGGACCAGGACTGTTTTTTGCTGCTGGGGTTCTGCCAGGTGCTGCCCTGGGCACCCTGCCCTCCAGTGGCAGGCACAGGAATGCAGCTCTTCTAGGCCATGGAGTTCTTATTGTGGTATAAAGAGACCTGGATTTACAGTCAGAAAACCTGCACCACGGGACCTGCCTCTTCCCTCTCCAGCAGTGAGGCTGTTGGCTAGCTAGTATCTCTCAGCTTCAGTTCCTGATGCCCCTGCCTTGGGCCAGGCCCCCACTGGCCACGTGTGGACCCCTGAGTAGTTGGCCGGCTGCCTGCTCGCTTGACTCCCCAGCCCATCATTTCTATGGCTTCACATTCGTCTTCATAAGAGCAGATGCGTTCTTCTCACAGTCACGTCTAAAGACCCCGGGGTCCTCATGGCAGAGAAGGAGACCTGATGTTTATTCAAGTCTAGCCACAGCTGGAAGTAAGATATGGGGCACCCCCCACTCTGCAGTCTATCCTCATTCTGTGCCCTCCCCTCCTGCACACCCCTCTGTGTGGACCCTGGAGGGGGCCGGGAGGCAGGAGGTTCAAATGTGGAATTGACAGGCCACACAAGCGCTCACAGATGGAAGACAAAACACCTGAATGTCACAGAGGCTTTGCATGTGCTGCGCCCCTGCCTGGAGTGCCCTTCCTCTCTCTGCCTCAAGATGCCTAGCTGCCTAGCCTGTGAGGTGCAGCGGGACCTCCCCTCCTTTGGAATATTGCCTGTCTGCACACCAGGCAGCATTGTGACCACTGCACTTAAATCCCCCCTGGCTGCAGCTCAAGCTAGTGCCAACGTGCTTGCTTCCCATGCGGCCTCTCTTGCTAGACCGGTAACTTGCTGAGGGCAGAGAGAGACTGTATCAACCCTCCGAGTGGCCCTCCCTACCCCAGCAAGGTGACCGGCACCGAATGGGCTTGACCGTGAGCGTATGAATGTTCATGCAGAAGATGAGAGATGCTTCCCAGACATCTACACGCCCTCGTCAGCCTCCTCCTCTGAGCCCCTGTACACCCCCTGGGGCCTCTAGCTACAGTTGCACCTTCTTATCCACCCCCAGGACCCAGCATTTCCGCGGGAAGATCTTCAGCGGGTCCCAAGCCATGCCTGGCTGGACCACACTCGCCGTGGCGGGACAGCATGCTTTCAGCGGAGCAGAGCGGGTCTGAAATGTAAGACAGAATTAGTCTGGAGCAAACCACTTAATGACTCCAGCTTGACTCAAATGAGATATGAACCGAGTAAACACTGAGCGAAATGAATTTTTGATTACCGCTTGGGCATTGTGAATATTTCTGTCTGCCTTGCCTGGTGGTTGTTTTCCCCCCAGCTCAAGCATGAAATACACTCCACAGCTCCTCAGAAGAGCGTGGCAAACAGGGTCTTTGGGGTAAAGTAATGTTGGAAATTATCAGCATAAGAAAGGAAAATGACAGGCCTCCTCAGGCAGAGGTTTTAGCCTCTCTTCTGTAATTAAAACTTACTTTAAATTTCAGGCTGTGTTGATCAAGACTGAAGGGGAGGGAGTGTTGCGCATTACAGCATAAATCATATTTTATGATTTATGTAATGCCCTGATGTTTTTTTCAGGGATGTTTAATGGAGCAGGGGTTTAAGATCAATTCTGATTTCTAGAAACATTATCAGTGTGTGCATGGGGGCCTGCTCTGGGCCTGTGCTTGAGATGGGGGGTGGGGTGGGGGATTTGAAGTTGAATTGGCTAAGAAGGCTGCCCTCAAGCAGGTAGATATACATTCGGTGTAGGGACAGGTAGAAATGTCTCACGGCTCTAGGAAAAGGCGGCAAGTTCAGAGCCCCAACAGGTCAATCCTGGCTGGCTTCATGGAGGTGGCATTTTAAGCAGGACTTGGAAGATACTGAGGCTTTAAATGAGCATTACAGTGGAGCTGTCAGGAGGCTGTTTGTAAGGGTTACTAAGTGACCTACTGGCAGGATGCAAAGAAAGGAGGGATCTGGCTTCTCTCTACTGCCCTCCTCCTCTTCCCCTGACTTAAAGCCTTGCTCAGGCTGGCCACTGCTAAGCAGAGCATAAGATTTAAGAAATGGAGCTCTGTGAGGCATACTACCTGAATCTGAATTCTGGCCCTTGCTCACACTAGCTGTGTGATTTCAGATGAGTGACTTAACCTCTCTGAGCCCCCATTCCTGTATCTGTAATGAAGGGGGATAAGGTTACCTAAGAGAGAAGGGAGTTCTGAGGAATAAATTGGGCAACATATAAGAACTAGAACTATGCCTGACAAACAGCAAGCGCTTAACAAGCATCTGTTGCTGCTACAGTTGCCGCAGTTACCAGCTGATTGATCTTGCCCAGTTTGGATCTCGCCTTAACTCTTAGCACCTCTGCTAAGACACAGTGCCTACCCATGCCTTCTGTAGATTATCTTTTTGCAAAAATCATGCCGGCCAGGCGCGGTGGCTCATGCCTGTAATCCCAGCACTTCGGGAGGCTGAGGTGGGCGGATCACGAGGCCAGGAGATCGATACCATCCTGGCCAACATGGTGAAACCCTGTCCCTACTAAAAATACAAAAATTAACTGGGCGTGTGCGTGTAATCTCAGCTGCTCGGGAGGCTGAGGCAGGAGAATCGCTTGAACCAGGGAGTTGGAGGTTGCAATGAGCCTAGACTGTACCACTGCACTCCAGCCTGGCGACAGAGCGAGACTCCGTCTTTAAAAAAAAAAAAAATCATGCAATGTTATTTTTAATTACGTACAAAGATCTAACATGTCACCCAGAGACCATTTCACCCATTATTATTCATAACATACCCGGGAGAGGGGCTGTCAGGTAGTTCCTATTGCTGAAGAGGAGAGGCAGGCTCAGCAGGAGGTGGCATGGTCAAGATCGCACAGCTGCGGGGCCCCATTTGGATGCACTCTGGGGCTTCTGCGCACCGGCTATCTCCCCCAGCTGCCTGGGAAGAGTGATGAGCCCTTGTCCCATGAGGCTGAGCTGGGTGTCGCAAGGACAGCATCTGCTCCTTCCACGATCCTTCCTCCCAGCTCCCCCATCCCAGACCTTAATGCTCTTCTTGAATTTGATGTCGCACCTCCTGGGATGCGAGGGGAGAGGTAAGGTGAGTGGGCGGCACCATGTCTGCCTCTGCGGCAGGCCAGGCCAGCAGTTATGGAGGAGGAAGAGTTTCCGGATGGATGGCTCGATCGCAGGTTCTGGGGGCTTCAAGGCAGCTTGCCCCTGGCAGGGAGCTGGGTCCTGTCCCTGTTTGGAGGGCCATCCAAAGCAACTGTGAGATCCCTCAGAGGCACGATTTTCAGACTCCAAGACCCCATTCTTAGGAGTTTATTGGGTGTGTTTCCCTTCATGGTTTCGTTTTTTTCCCCTTTCGATAGGTGGTTCTAGCTCGGTGGGAGGGGATGCTTTGGGAGGGTAGTTTGTGGCATAGAATATTGTGACAAGCGTGGGAGTGATGTTGGTAAGAGGGGGGCCTGGGCTTTTGACTCCTGCAACCCTGAGCAAGTCACCCACATTCTCTGTGCCTCAGTTTTCTCAGCTGTAAAATGGGACCATAACAGACCTACCTTCTGAGGTCACAGTGCAGATCAACTTATTAGAATGCACATAAAGTACTTGACATTCCTGCATTCTCCATTTTCCCTGGAGTGCCTACAATCTGCGGGGTGCCGGGGGATCCAGCCAGGAGCAAGAAAGACCCTGCCCTGTGGAGTCTCCTTTCTTCTGGGTGATGGGGCATTATCACAGTGCCTGACACATGATAAGTTCTCAAATGATAAACTGTACCTGCTATTAACCAGAATTATTATTTAAAGCCAACCTCATTCTCTCCTCTCACCCTAAAAGGCAGTTAAACCAGCAAAAATCAGAGAAGCATGTAGTTCACGACTTGAGCCCATCCTGCTAAAGGGGTTTGTTTGACGTTTCTGCTAATCCGTGTTTAATGTGTAAGCAGATTATCTGAGCAGAACTAGGATTTTGTGCAGGATGATTTGCCCGGCTGTGGCCTGGGCTGCTGGCCTGTGACGCTAACCTTGAGGCGGGGTTCATTCTTTGTGTTGAAATTGCAGGTGGTGAAATTTCCGGTCAAGGGAGGAGGCTCCTATAGCTGTGGAAATGTGTTCTCGAGGCTGGTTCATGCACAAATGCACTTCAACCTTGACCTTCCAGAGGCCCCAGCAGGGTGCCCTGCTCTCACCCTCACCCCTTGTAGCTCTGCACCCTGGCTTCCGTGAGAATCTGTCTTCAGTCCTGTAGACCCACCTCCACCAGCCCTCCACTCCCCTAAAGAAAGGAAACAGTACAGTAGGGGTGGGGTGGGGGTTCCAAGGGGGCAACTGGGCAGGGGGTACAGAGGGGGTGGCCTGACCCTGGAGAGAAGTATTTTTTTTTTTTTGAGATGGAGTCTCGCTGTGTCACCCAGGCTGGAGAGCAGTGGCGAGATCTCGGCTCACTGCAGCCTCCACCTCCCAGGTTCAAGCGATTCTCCTGCCTCAGCCTCCCAAGTAGCTGGGATTACAGGCACCCACCACCACGCCCGGCTAATTTTAGTATTTTTAGTAGAGACGGGGTTTTGCCATGTTGACTAGGCTGACCTCGAACTCTTGGCTTCCTGTGATTTGCCCACCTCGGCCTCCCCAAATGCTGGGATTACAGGCATGAGCCACCATGCCCGGCCAGGAGTATTTTTATCACTGATGTTTAAAATTGCTGGCCAATGGTGACCATACGTCATCTACTTTTATTGTGGTAAGATATATATAACATAAAATGCATCATTTTAATCACTGTAAATGTGCAGTTCAGCAGCATTAAGTACATTCACATGGTTGTGCAACCATCACCACCATTGGTCTCCAGAACTTTCTCACCATCCCAAGCTGAACCTCTGTACCCATGAGCACTAACTCCACATTCCTTCCTCAATCCAGCCCCTGGCAATCCCCAGTCTGCTTTCTGTCTCTAAGAACTTGGCTGCTCCAGGTACCTCAAAGAAGTGGACTCAGACAATATTTGTTCTTTTGTGACCAGCGTATTTCACTTAGCATGAGTCACCCATGTTGTAGCCTGTGTTAGAATGTCCTACCTTTTAAAGGCTGAATAATTCCACTGTATATGTGTACCACATTCTGTGGATCCATTCATCCATCCATGGACATTCACACTGTTTCCACCTTTTGGCAATTGTGAATAATTGCTATGAATGTGAGTGTGCAGATGTCTGCTCAGGTCGCTGCTTGTGGTTCTTTGGGGCATATGCTGAGAAATAAAATTGCTAGATCACATGGTAATTCTGTATTTAATTTTTTGTGGAACCTCCATACTGTTTTTAAACTCTTGAAACACAGCGTACCCCTTTATTGTCTGAACCTGGGGTGGACACTCCCAGCCTCCCCTTGGCATCTGCCTTGTACTGTTTTCCTCTCTTAAGGCCCGTTAAAGCCTGAGAGACCACACAAGGACCTGTGTGTGAGATTTAAGGTGTGACGCATAAAGGAGATGCCCAAGGGGTGTCCCTTCGCACCTCGAGACGGATTCCCAGTGGTGGGACTCAGGGTGGGTCTTCCCCAGGACCTGGGAGTGAGGTCTGTGGTTCTGTGGCTGCCGGTGCTCAGTCTGGGTTCCTTGCCACGTCCTCTGTGGTTCTCCAAAGCTCCCAGTGGCCGACTCTCGATCTTCTTTTTGGTTAATGAAGACCCACAGGCGTTGACAGCCTCCTTGGGTCTGGACTTAGCTGCCCACGGCCTGGTTCGCCTCTCCCTCCTGGCTCTCGCTGTCTCTGTTGGGGTGGACTCTGCAGCTGTGCATTTGTATAGTTGTGGGGCAGGAGGCCGTGCCTCCTGTTCCCCTCTGAGTACCAAATGAGTAGGAGGGAAGGGGACGTCAGAGATGTCCTCACCCATCTGTTTGTTCAGGGCAGGTGGTACCAGTTCTAGGTCATGACCGCAGGACTTGCTTTATCAACCCTGAGGGATGTTGAGACTAGCAGGTATGCAGGTATTTGAGGCAAGGGCTTCAGACCCCAGAGTGGCCCCCAGACCAAAACTGGGGCCCAGGAGACATCTTGCTCCTGCCTCTGGGCAGCCTGCATGCGGAGCAGAGAGGGCCTCTGGGGCCCTAGAACCCCAGTCCAGACTTTGCGTTGAGTTTGCTCTAAAAACAAACAAACAAACAAACAAACTCACTTTGGGTATGTGCACTAGACCACTTAAGGCAGAACTAATATGACAACTGGGATTTTCTTCAGAGTAAACTGGGTGGGGAGGCAGCAGGGCTGGCAGGTAAGTGAGTGAGGATGAACCCCATCAGCCTAGGGCTGATGATTGTTGAACTTGGATGATGGATGCATGGAAGTTCAATGTGTGCTGTGTCTATTCCTATGTATGTTTGACATTCTCCCTTTTAAAAGCCTTCCTCTCCACCCCACTCTTGGAAGGAAGTGAATCTTTCCTGAATCTACCTCTTGTGTGTGGGTGCCTCCCCTCTGTTTTCTTACTAAGTGCTCACAACACACATGCAGTGGGTGTTGTTATCCCCATTTCACAGGTGAGTAAACTGAGGCTCATTGACATTTCTGCTAGAAATTAGCTTAGCTGGAAAATGAACCAGATCTGATTCCCAAACCACCGTTCTTCCCCATGAACAGATTCTCCAAGCCCTGCCTTGTCAGCCAGGGGTCTGTGCAGCCTGGGCCAGGGTGCAGCCCCTGGAAACCCAGCCCTTTCTGAGGAATGGAGGGAGGTCCTGAACCTCTCCCTGGGGCTTTGCTGTTCTCCCTTTCCTGTCCCCCATGAAGTCCTGCCCGCAAGGACCTAGCAATCGTTATATGGAAGGGGACACAGGCCTAGGTTGAAGGGTCTGATACTTGGCCCAAGTCACCTGGCTCCTCGGTGGCAAAGCCACATCCCCTGTGCTAAGCCAGTGCACTTTCCCCCATTCTCCACCCTTTCTGTCTCCCCAGAAGCCTGGCCTTGTCCCTGCCCCCAAGCCCCAGGGGCCCGCCTGGCCTCATTAGCAGGTCTCATTTCCTGTGTCTTCTCTGGGCTCCTACACTTTGCAGCTCAGACCTTCTCCCACCCCTGGGCGCCTGCGTTCCCTGCCAAGTCTTATTCCCAAGCATCCTCTGCAGCTTGTTCTCTTCCGTCTTGTTTGGTTTCTTGACTTGCGCCTCTTCTGCTCAGTTCTGATGCCAGCCGGTCCCTCTGCAGGACAGCAGTGTTTTCTCTTCCCCCATCTGCTTTGTAGAAACCCTGCCTCACATCACTCCTGCCCCTTCTCTCCTTCCTTATCTCAGGTCTTCCCGGCTACCCCTGGGCCCGGCTTCCCAGTCCGGGTCATCCCTGCAGTCCCCAGGCCTGTGTCCCCTCCAGAGCCCAGTCGTCCCTGCTGCTGCTGTCTCCTGGTGTCTCCCCGCCAGGGCTGATGGTTTTCTTTCTCCCTCGCAAAGGGAGAACATTTCTGTCCATCACAATGAGGCATACCCACGCCATCTCGCCTGCATCGAGCCTTCCCCCAAGCAGAGGGCACAGCTACTCCCCAACAGGACCCGAATTCCCTGCCTCCCACTTGGTTTCATCAGCCTGTCAGCCCTTGTTATATTTAAGATATTTTTAAACACTCTGAACACTTTTGCCACAATTTTAACCCCTCCCCTAGTTAAAGCATGGCTCTCCTTCCAGTTAATTATTCCCCGAGTTAAGATCTGACAATATATTTTATTAAAATGCTTTCTGAAATTTTATTCCTTCAAAGCCCTGAATTTGAAATGAGAGTAGTCACAAGAATGGGGAAACATCCTCTGTGACTGTACTCTGTCCCCTGCCCCAGAATGGGCGGGGGCTCCTCCACCAACCCTGTAAGCCTTCTGGTGCCTTTCTATGCTATTGAACTTACTTGTCACCAAACAGGCCGGCTGGCAGCATTTTACCAAAGTGGCACGGGCACCAGGCCTACCAGGGAACATTCCGATTCCTATTTTAGGAATCTTGAGTTGAATGTGACCAGGACGATGGTGTAGTATTGAACCGGATAATGCCAGCTGGTGCAGTAGGCCCTCTTGGTTCAGGGTCTTAGCACAATAAAGGTTTACGCCTCATTTATGCAACACTGCAGCATGTGTTCCTGGTCTTCCATGTGGTCATTCAGGGATCCAGGCTCTTTCCATCTTGCAGCTTGTCTCCTCTCAGGCCCAGGGTCTTGGACATGCATCCAATGGATGGAGAGAAAGAGGTGGAATAAAGGCACCTGCTGCTGGGCTCCCAGGGTCTGCAAGGGAACATGTCGCTTCCACCGGTGAGAGCTGGTCACGGGCCCCACCTACATGCAAGGGGGCCTGGGAAATGCCCCTGGCTAGTCAGTAATTCCTCAGCCACCACTCTCCATGGGAAGAGAGAGCCACAGATCCTGGAGGGCAGCTAGCTACACCTGCCATCTGTGGGCGTGGAGTGCAGGGAAGGTGCGAGTGGAAGAGATACTGGCCATTTCATTGAGCTCTGACCTTCCGCTCAGCATCTTTCCTTGGATTGGATCTCCAGGTTTTGTGTGTCCCAGCCCAACCCTTGTGCCAACCCCAGGGTCTCCAGGGTGGGTTGTTACCACGCTAAACACTGGGTTTCCCTAAAGTCTGCTCCAGCACCCATCATGCATTGCTATTGGGAGGTAAGCTCCAGGAAAACAACCTGTCTTACTTGCCACCGTCCACACTCCCTTACCCCATGTGCCTAAAGTAGTGTTTGCTACAGGGTAGGTGCAGTTGATTGCAGTGGTCATGCTTGGAAAACATAGTATGTCCCATCCCACATGCTCTTCTGCAGTGTGACCTTGCCACTCCCCCATTGAGTCCCTGCCTGGGCTGCTCTTAGTGACTTTCTTGGTTAGTAGAATGTGGCAGAAGAGACATTCTGGACTTTTGCGAATAGATCATGAGAAGCTTTGCAGCTGTCATCTGTGTCTTGGGGACTCTCCCCCTGGGAACCCAGCGGCCATGCTCTGAGCAGCCCAGGTCATGTGGCGGTGTCCTGCTCTGCAGCCCCAGCTGGGTTCCCAGCCCACCGCCAGCACCAGCTGCCGGCCATGTGAGTGTGCCATGGTGGGCGTTCAGATGATGGCGACCTCAGCCAGCACCTGACTGCAGCTGCGTGAGAGACTCCAAGTGAGAACCACGCTTCCTGACCCCAGCTCTACGTTCTCCCTCCTCCCCCCACCACTTCCCTTGGAGCCACCAGCCCAGGCAGCAACATCACCACCAGCCCTGGTTGCTTAAGGACACTCCAGGAGACATCTTTCTCAAACAACTCCTTCCTCCTTCCCGGGGCCCTATTGATGTTACTGACCCATGTCTTTCCACATTATCGGAAACTCTTTGTAGACTATAGGTGTCTGGGGTAAGGCAGGACTTCTGGATTTAAAGGTTAGTGTGGAGAAATCTAGTATGTCCTGAGCTGAAAAGCATATTGGGTGGTTATCTTCTCATTTATCATTTTAGAATCATTGAAAGAAAAGACGATAGCAAAAAATGTGTTTTCTTTTCTCCTGGGTCCCCGGATTTTGTCAGTCTTACTTGGTTTCAGCCTGGTGGGAGCCTCGGGGTTTTTATCTGGTGTCCTCTCTACCTGTCACTTGCCTCGTGGAGGTCCAGGCCCTGATTGCTCTGTTGTATTCTGGGGCTGTTCTCCTCGAGGTATGTATCGGGGTGACAGCTTCTCATCTCTGCATCGTGGCGGCTAGAATCAGCCTTGTTTCTGATGAGGGCGGTAGCGGCCAGTCGATTGCTATGCATGTTTATTTTAAGAAATGCTCTGCCAAGGGGGTCTTGGAGTGTGGGGCGGGCATCCAGATGCCTTGCTATGGTCTGAATGTTGGTGTCCCCCAAATCCAAATGTTGAATCTTTATCTCCAGTGTGACAGTGTTGAGAGTGGGGCCTTTGAGGAAGTGAGGGATTAGTGCTCTTATAAAAGAAGCCCCGAGGAAGCCCGTTTGCCTCTTCCACTGTGTGAGGTCACATGGGAGGCGCCATCTGTGAGGAATACCTCTTCCTCTGTGTGAGGTCACATGGGAGGCGCCATCTATGAGGAACACCTGTTCCACTGTGTGAGGTCACATAGGAGGCATCATCTATGAGGAACATCTCTTCCTCTGTGTGAGGTCACATGGGAGGCACCATCTATGAGGGACACCTGTTCCACTGTGTGAGGTCACGTGGGAGGCGCCATCTATGAGGGACACCTCTTCCACTGTGTGAGGTCACGTGGGAGGCGCCATCTATGAGGGACACCTCTTCCACTGTGTGAGATCACATAGGAGGCGTCATCTATGAGGAATACACTCTCACCAGCCATCGAATCTGCTGGGGCTTCGATCTTAGACTTCCCCACCTTCAGAACCGTGAACAACAAATTTCTGTTTGTAAATCACCCAGCCTAAGGTATTTGGTTAAAGCAGTGGGAACAGACCAGACATACCTCAGTGATGGAATCACAAAACGGTCAGGTTGGATTGACTTTCCTTCATTTGTAGAATCCAAGCTATCAGTGAGCAGCTCCTCTTCTGGAGGTTTCTAAGGCACAGTTGCTGCGTGGAGGTCCTGGGAGTTCCCTTCATTGTCCTTAGCGTGGTTACCAGCTGTCTCCCGCAGCATGAACGGTGCAGGGGAGCTGGCTGTGAGTGGATGGCGGCCGCCTGAACAGGTCTGGTCGCACATCCAAGGAAATGGCCATGGTTTCCAGTTCCATCCAAGAAGACACACTCTTTTTTTTTTTTTTTTTTTTTACGGAGTCTCGCTCTGTCGCCCAGGATGGAGTATGGTGGTGATCACAGCTCACTGCAGCCTCAATCTCCCAGACTCAAGTGATCCTCCCACCTCTGCCTTCTGAGTAGCTGGGACTATAGGCACATGCCATCATGTACAGCTAATTAAAAAGAATTTTTTAAGGCTGGGCATGGTGGCTCACACCTGTAATCCCAGCACTTTAGGATGCCAAGGTGGGCAGATCACCTGAGGTCAGGGCTTTGAGACCAGCCTGGCCAGCCTGGTGAAACCCTGTCTCTACTAAAAATACAAAAATTAGCCAGGTATGGTGGCAGGCACCTGTAATCCCAGCTACTTGGGAGGCTGAGGCAGGAGAATCACTTGAACCCAGGAGGTGGAGGTTGCAGTGAGCTAAGATTGCACCACTGCACTCCATCCTGTGTGAAAGAGCGAGATTTGGTCCCAGAAGAAAAAAAAATTATAGAATGAGGTTTTGCTATGTTGCCCAGGCTGGTCTTGAACTCCTGGGCTCAAGTGATCCTCCCACCTCTGCCTCCCAAAATGCTGGGATTACAGGTGTGACCCACCATTCCAGATGACATACTGTTAATAGGAACAGTGTTGTGACCTCTGATTTTTCCCTCATCTTTTATTCTCACAGTTTTGTTTTTATCATTTTTTTCTCTCTCCTTATAAATTAGAATGCTTTTCTTGGTTTGGGGAAATCACATTCATTTGTAATGTTTTTAAAATGCAGAAGAAATACAGGCCAGGCATGATGGCTTATGCCTATAATCCTAGTGCTTTGGGAGGCTGAGGCAGGAGGATTACTTGAGGCCAAGAGTTGAAGACCAGCCTGGGCAACATAGCAAGACCCCATCTCTAAAAAAAAATTAAAAGTTAAAAAAATTAGCTGGGTGTGGTGGTATCCACCCATAGTCCCAGCCACGCAGGAGAGTTTGAGACTGCAATGAGCTATGGTTATAGCCTGGACAACAGAGTGAGACCCCCAACTCAAAAATATATATGTAGACTTCTGCCAGCTGTTAAATGGCAATCCAGATGGGAAATTTCTGAAATTGTCATATTACTGTTTGTACTATAATACTTAATCTTACATAAAATTTTGTCCAAAACAACCAAAAAGGAGCCTAGGACTGGGTTCTATTATTTCAGCAGAAACTCAGGTTATTCTCCAAATAACTTTGGAAACTACTCTGAAATGACTTTTAAAACTACACATCCTATGGGATATCAGCAGTATCATTTGTGCGTTCTCTGTCAATGTTTAATTCTTAATGGTGTGTAGAGCAGGAGAGGAAGTAAATGATATTTAATCAGCCCTGGCTCTTCTGCTTCCCAGCACGTTTCCCACCTTCCTCCAACCAAAGGACACCAGTTAAGGATGCAGTGAGACCCCGGCTGTTGGATAACTCACCAGCCAGAGTGGAATGTGACTGGATGGTGTGAGTGGCATGGGAGCAGGAAAACAAGGGGATTCAGGGAGATAGGAAAGGGTCGGAGTGGCCTCTGGACGGATAAGGGACTTGGCTCGGAATGTGACCCCAGAGAGGTTTGTAAATTGTCATCTTATTTTCTTTAGAAGTGGTAAGTCAGCCTGGGACCATCCTTTTGCCTGACTTTTACATCCAGCCTTTCTGCCTGACCCACAGTAGGGGCTCAGGTGCCTCAGGTTAAGAGTTAATCTGGGATGCACCCACACTTGGTGTGTGGAAGCCAAGCTCCCTAGCCCCGTTGCCTGGAGCACTGCAGTGTTACAGAAAGCCTCTCTAGCAGCCATTCTCAGAGCAGTGTCTGGGGCTTAATCAGAAGCCTTAAGGAGCCTCCTTACAGGCCAGGGATGATTCAAAACAAAACAAAACAAAACACACACACACACACACACACACACACACACACGAAACTATCCCCCAAGCTCCTCTAGTTTTATGGGCAAATTATGTACCTAAGGCTAGCTCCAAAAACTTCATTTGCAAAAACAATCAAGAGTTCCTAAAGACTAAGCAATAAGAGCTGCTTTGCTAATACTTTTTACTTGTAAACTAAAATCAGGGAGTTTCTAGAGTGTGAGGGCCCTAATTCAGGATTCCATAAGAAGCCTGGCCTGCACTCAGTCAAGGACAACACTGCCCAGTTCCAACCGCACATGTGCCCATGCAGAGAGCTGGAATTTGCTTGACTTGGAGGAAGCATGCTTTAGGGGTGTATACCTTCTGGTTTTTGTCATGAGATGGTTATGGTTTTCATATTTATTATTTATTTATTTATTTATTTTTGAGACAGAGTCTTGCTTTGTCGCCCAGGCTGGAGTGCAGTGGCACAATCTCAGCTGATGGCAACTTCCGCCTGCTGGGTTCAAGTGATTCTCCTGCCTCAGCCTCCCGAGTAGCTGGGATTATAGACGGGTGCCACCACACTCAGCTAATTTTTGTATTTTTAGTAGAAACAGGGTTTCACCCTGTTGGCCAGGCTGGTCTTGAACTCCTGACCTTGTGATCCACCTGCCTAGGCCTCCCAGAATGCTGGGATTATAGGCGTGAGCCATCGCGCCTCACCAGTCATGGTTTTTAATTGCTGCTCTTCTTGCCTTTCACTTATAAGCAAATCACGAATAGTTTAGCTGCATTGCCAGTCTAGTTTGGTGTGGGTTGTTTGCATCACAGGGTAAAGCGAGCCATATTTGCATATTTAGGCTTATCATTTTGCTAGAAAATAGACTGAGGCTTGTGTATATTTTAATTTCAGTAAATCACAGTCCTGTCCTGCCCCTACTCCCTTCAATTTGCTGTGGAGTGATGCTTCTTTTCATCATGGACTCCTTTGATACCTGGGAAGTAGAAACAGATGAGGTTGGGTGAGCCCAAGGTGCTGTTGTTCCTCCTTTGTGGACCACAGTGTAAAAAGATAAATTTTAAAAATATATAAAAGGTTTGGGAACCCTTGTTTCTGATCAAAGACCAGAGCGTGGGAATCAGCATGAAAGGGAATGGGGATGGAACCTACGAATGTGACTTTCTGCATCACCCACAACTTCATACCATATTTCAAAACACACCTGCTGCTGCTTTGCCGCAACAGTTTACTTCTAGAGCATCTGTAGCCCTATTATCTGGGATTGGGTAGGTTTGATGCCCAGCGTGCCCAATTTTATACTCTACTTTTCCATTTATCTACTCTCTTCTTTTCTGTATCTCTTTGGTAGTCCGCATCCTTTTTGTGTTTGTGTGGCCGTCTGTTGAGTGGCGATGTCATGTTGACAGAGCTAATTGAAGCTCCTTGTCACCTGCTCTGCACGCTGCACTCCCTCCCACAAGACTTGCTATACATATGGGATTATAGGGCACCACTTCTATACTGGACACAGTGCTACCCTGGAGATTCTGATATGGACAACACTTTGGTTCCTGCCTTCAAAGCACTGACAGCATTTTCTCTTAATCTGGCAAGTAACTTTGTAAGATAGAAAGTGTACATTTTCTTCTATTTATTTCTGGGTTTTGACTGCTTATAAAGTCTTAGTATAAAGAAGCATTGTGTAGAAGAGAAAAAGCTTCACCCCTTTGGCTGTGGTAATTCATGTAATTGGTTCTCAGTTGCTCTGACGTTGGAGGGTGGTGTGAAATCTATCACGGTGGATAATCCGAAATTTGCATTTGGAATGCAGAAGTATCTGTTCTCAGGATCCCACGGAAAATTAGCCTCCTTCTGTCCCCAGCTCCTTCTGCTCCGGCTTGGCATCTGGCTGGGCAGCACTGGGAGGAGTCCCTGAGTCACCATGTGGAGCGACCATCTGTGACTAATTGAATGATCACAGCCTTGAGTTATTTGGGTTTATGTCTTTGGCTTGAAAATGAATCTGTGATGAGCCAAGTGCAGCTTTCTTAACTCCTAGCCCAGTGCTCTTTCCCCTGTTACAGAAGGAGGAAGGAGCTTTTTGCATGAAAATAGTTGCCAAAGCATCCTGGAGGAGGGGGCATCCTGTCTGGGTTCCAGGGAGATTTAAATTGGCACACAGCGGGAGGGGCAGTGGGTGCAACTGTGTAGAGGTCAGAGTGGACAGAGATGGTGTGTGGGCTGGTGATGTGGCCAGTGTGAGAGCAGCTCTGGAAGAGAGTGACAGACAAGGTTGGAATTGCTGGCCATAGCCAAGTTTTGGAAGGAACGAATAAGATTTCTGCAAGTTCTGTTTGTCATTATCTAGTGCTGCAAGTTGAGAATTAATAAAAGTAAAGTAAGAGCCCACCTGGCAGAGGGGCTTTTCCTACCAATATTATTTTTCTCACTCTAAAAATAGAAGCAAATGACATACTGATATTTAGCATTCATAGAATAAGCAGGATTTGGCTTCAAATCAGTCCTGAATTACATGGGTCCGCAGGAGCCTAGCCTGACCCCTCCCAGTGTCCTCACTGAGCACAAGCCACGCAACCAATAACGAGACTCTCCCCTATGCCAGGCCCTGCGCACATGTGACCTTCTCTGTCATAGCCCTTTATCCTCTGCCTGGCCATTGGGCAGTGAGGATCTGGGGCCGTGGCTGCCATCCCTTTAGGTCCACACACCAAAAGAGGCTTTGTTTTCATTTTTAAGATATGCCTGGTGTGTGCATGCCTAAGTTGGTTGAAACATGCCCTCATGGTTGGTAAATTGGTAGTCAGAAGCCATTTAGCAACAGGACAGTTGAGTGCTAGACTAAGGATGCCCTTATCTTCGGAGCAGTAGAGGTCACCGAGGGCTTCTGAGGGATGGCCTGGCAGAACTGCAGCAGGGTTAGAAAGGGAGGAGGCTGGCAGCAGGCTGGTGGGCGGAGCAAGCATCCACACAGAGTGTTGGAGAAGTGGGCATGGGAGAACCGTTTGAGAGGAAGAATGGGTAAGACTATTGGAGGTGGGAAAGAGAGAAGGGAAAGAGTACAGAACAGGGCAGCCTCCAACGTCTGATGTTATTGACATCTCCTTCTCTTTCCTGAAGTTTTCTGTGCCCTAAGAAAAAGCCTGTTAGCCTCAGCCCCTTGCTCCCAGGACCACACCTGGCCAGGGCTGCTGGGACAGGCTCCTTCACATCTGTCCCACCTGGCATGGCTCAGAACATACCCCTTCCTCGTGTTAGCCAAAGCGAGAAGGGGGGTTACTGTAGTTGCTTGGACACACTGGGCTGCACAGGCCAGGAAATTACCAGCATGTCCTCTCAAACACCTCCTGCCCTCAGTGGAAACCCCGGAGAGATGGCTGCACTAGATGGAGTCTCTACAGAAGGGACATTCGTCTTCCCTTTGGGGTGGCACCCTTCCTTAAATCGTCAACTCAATGCCTGCTTCTTTCCCAGGATTGGATCTTCAAGGACAAGGACCGTGTTGGTTTAAATCTGATGACACACTCTGTAACTCTCCAGTATTTGAGGATGATCAAGTATCCTACTTCAGGGGGATTCTAGCGAGATTTAGGAACTTAATTAACAATCTTAACAGCTTAATCCTATTAAGTCTTGTTAGACAACATTTAAATGCCAGCACTCTCAAGCAGTACCTGGGGAGAGCCCTGCTAATTTATTCAGGCCTCAATTGATCTTAAAATGCATTTTCAGTAGGATATAGAGTTCTCTGGACCCTGGGTTCTCAGAAAAGAACATGTTGTTAATTTCATGCACACCGAGTTAAAAATGTCACTCTGTGGGGTCTGAATTGCTATAAACTTGCTTATGCGGCCGAGTCTCACCTTGATTTTGGCACCTACTACGTAGGGATAAAGATTTTCCATTTGGCATGATGCATGGAAACAGTTCAGATTAGCAGCTCCAAGATCAGATTTTTCTTTTTTTCCAGTAAGGGGTGAGTCAAATATATCTAGAAGAAATGAGGAAAAGCTGTTGGATTTTCACCAAACTTGGATAGGAAATAACATCATATCACTGTTACTTTCCATATGCAAGATGTTACCTAAGGGAGAAATCCGTATTTCCTGGTGTTGACTTCTAAATTAAATGTTGTCCCAAGGTTTGATAAAAAGCTACTTTATTGCTTTCTGGTTATGGCTGTGAAATCTTGAAGTGTCTTCTATCTGCCTTCACACTGGTGATTTACTGGGGCTGAACTTCAGCTGGTTTTGCGCTATGAAGGGGCTGATCATTTACTTCTCTGGTAACCAGCGCATTGTCCCAATGAGAGTTTTTGTCAGATTGGATAATTAAGACAATTGCAGTGAAATGTATTAATTGCAAAGGTAGTTAGAGAAGAGAGTTGAATATGACCTTTGCATAGAAGGAGAACTTACCTTGTTTGAGCATTGGAGGGTGGGGTTAGGGAGGAGTCGATGGCAGGTGGGATACAGTTTTTGTTTCTTGGGGGGTTTTTTGAGACAGAGTTTTACTCTGTCATCCAGGCTGGAATGCTCATAGCTCACAGCAGCCTCGACTTTCTGGACTCAGGCAATCCTCCCACCTCAGCCTCCCAAAGTGCTGAGATTACAGGCGTGAGCAACTGTGCCTAGCCAGGGCACAGTTTTAAATAAAGTACCAGTATGTTAGAATTGGTGGTGTTCTGTTAATCATCTGTAATTACAGCACCTTGATAAACTGGAAAAAATCAGAGTTGGAGGCCGAGCGTGGTGGCTCACGCCTGTAATCCCAGCACTTTGGGAGGCCAAGGCGGGCAGATCACGAGGTCAGGAGATCGAGAACATCCAGGCCAACATGGTGAAACCCCGTCTCTACTAAAAATACAAAAACTAGCTGGGCATGGTGGCATGCGCCTGTAGTCCCAGCTACTCGGGAGGCTGAGGCAGGAGAATTGCTTCAACATGGGAGGCAGAGGTTGCAGTGAGCCGAGATCGTGCCACTGCACTCCAGCCTGGCGACAGAGCGAGACTCCATCTCAAAAAAAAAAAAAAAAAAAAAGAGTTGGGGGAAAAATACATACACACAGCCGGAGTGCAGTGAAATGAGGGAGAGAAGATCTATAAGGGATTGACTAAGAAGCTCTGGACACAGTCGCCTTCTTTGGGGCATGCAGGACTACGGTTCTTTTTACCCTTGACTTTGAACCCCAGTTAGGCATGCCCATCCCTCTCTGGGAAAGTATTGAGTAATTATAACTGAGAATGTAATCCTCTTTCAGATGAGACCATGTCGTAATTAGCTGCAATGATAGGAAGTTAATTCATTTGGTTCCCTCTGACAGGTCTGAAACTAGCCTAAGCACGTGGGTCCCCTGTTATCTTTGCCTTTTCTTGTTTATTTCTGTAAGCATTGGTGTTTTGTGGGAGATGCATACTTTGCATATGCAAGATAGAAAGAGCTTTTGTCAACACTGTTGATGCCTGGTGTAAACAAGCATGTTTGAAGAGTTACTGACGAAAGGCAGAAGATAAATTTCAACATGTGCTTTTGCTTGAGAGGAAAAATCAGGAAATGAGAGTGAAAGCTGAAGTGAAAGAGATTCTTCTGAAAGTGTCTTCATTTCATGGAGAGGGGGGAATACACACAAGGCACCCAGTATCTGGCAGTCCTTGCTTCTCCACCAGCAAGGCAGGAGGACACAATAAAGAGAAAAGACTACAGCTCATCCCCCTGTCTCATAAGGAAGAGTCTGAAAACCCCTGCCTCTTAGAGTTGACTTAGCCAGCAACACTTGCAAATCAAGTCGATAAGAATTTTTTGCGCCCCATTGTGTGCCTGCTGCTGTGCTGGTAGATAGGGGAGGGCACCAAATGGAAAAACCGTGCAGGTTGTGCACTGCACAATCCTAGAAGGTGCTGTTCAAACCATAGACATTGTTTATTTGTCTCTTTAGTATGATAATATTCCAGCAAATGGAAGCAAAATGTCTTGAGGAAGACTTTTTCTATTTCTTGGCATCCTGTGGGCTAGTATGGCCTAAATGTGGAGATGAACAGAGAAACAACCATAGTACATCATGATAATGGCCAGAGTGCATGTGTGTGCAAAGCACAGAAGGACTTAGAAGGAACCCTCCATGTGCCTAAGAGTCATGCAGTGGTTCACAAAGGGCCCCTCTTTGGAAGACTATTCCCCTGAGCAGAGAGAGGCAGTGTTGTGGAGTGGCAATGAGATTGTGTTTTACACCCAGACTGCCTGGGTTCAAATCGCTAATGTGCTCCTTCACATGTGACCTTGGGCGAGTTATCTAACCTCTCTGTCCCCTACATGAGTTGCTGCTGTTTCCGCAGTGCCCTGAGGTGTGTCTGCCCAGCCAGGCTGTAGTTTAGGAATGTAGTGTTGGGGGCAGGGAGGCATCTCAGTCCTAATACACTCACTGCCCTCCCCTACCAAATGCTCCAGCCTTTTCTTGGTGTCCAGACCAGACAAAGACCAAATAAACCCACCAATAGCAAAATTCATTCTTTGTTTTCCTCTGAACACCAATGTCAGTAAGAGTAAAAGAAATACGAGACAAACATATTCAAATGTATCTAAGCCCTTTACCTGATTTCCTCGATGATGGGCTCATAAAAGTGATGGAATATATTAGTTTGCACTTTCGAGCTTGCTGATTGCAGTCCTCAGATAACATTTATCAACTTCTACTCTTGTTTCAAGTACCAGGGCAAAGCTGAACAATATTAATATTTGCTGGAAGAAGTAAGCCTCATGTCAAAAGCAAGACATAAACTTGGTTCCCGTGGCTTCTAAAAATACCTCCGTGAGGCAGGCAGGATTATTGAGTGCTAAGTGGGATTACAACTTAATTTAGGAAAGCCATCCACTTTCTAATTGTGATTGTCCTGAAATACATTGATTTATATATCAATAGCCTAAAGTTTTTCCTCTTCTCGGGTATATATTTTTGGTGACAGCCATGGAGATTGTCCCAGCTCTTTCAAGTGACCTAGAGTGGTCCACATACTATGATCAAAACTTCCAGCCAGGTAATATAGGCAGCTGCTTCAAGACCATTCTGAGAGCTTGAAAAATCAGAAAATGTTATTCCTTTGGAGATGAGTTAGAGTAACCATTCTATATTAGTCAATTTTCATGGTGCTGATAAAGACATACCCAAGACTGGGCAATTTACAAAGAAAAGAGGTTTAATTGGACTTACAGTTCCACATGGCTGGGGAAGCCTCATAATCATGGCAGAAGACAAGGAGGAGCAAGGCACTTCTTACATGGATGGCAGCAGGCAAAGACAGAGCTTGGGGAGGGAAACTCCACCTTATAAAGCCATCAGATCTTGTGAGAATTATTCACAATCATGAGGACAGTGCAGGAAAGACCCACCCCTGTAATTCAATCACCTCCCACTGGGTCCCTCCTACAACACCTGGGAATTCGAGATGAGATTTGGGTGGAGACACAGCCAAACCATATCACATCCCAACAGAAGCAGAGAAACCCTGAAATCTCAGTAGCTTCACCCAGTAGGAGTTTATTTTTCACTCCCACAGCCATCCAGCTTGCATGTTTAGCAGAGATCCTCCCAGGTGGGGACCAGGGACCCAAGGACCCATGCTTCTTCTGTCTTGGGGCTCTGCCATCTTCAACAGGTGGCTTTCAGGTCCTGCAGAAGGGGACAGGGAGTTGAGAAGACACACCTGCTTCTGAAGCACTGAGGCAGAGGTGATGCATGGCACTTGTGATCTGGTTGACGAAGTCCTCTGGGTGAGCAGCCTCTTCTCAGCAGTAAGTGAGGAAGGGCAGCGTGAATCTTTGGGGAACAGCCTACCTTCTTGGCCATGATACAGTCATGCATCCCCGCACACAGAATTAGTTCAAGATGACAGACTTAAAGCTCTGAGAGGACTGGCCAGGCGTGGTGGTTCATGCCTGTAATCCCAGCACTTTGGGAGGCTGAGGTGGGTGGATCACGAGGTCAGAAGATTGAGACCATCCTGGCTAACATGGTGAAACCCCGTCTCTACTAAAAATACAAAAAAATTAGTTGGGCATGGTGGCAGGCACCTGTAATCCCAGCTACTCAGGAGGCTGAGGCAGGAGAATTGTGTGAACCCAGGAGGTGGAGGTTGCAGTGAGCCGAGATTGCACCACTGCACTCCAGCCTGGGTGACAGAGCGAGACTCCATCTAAAAAAAAAAAAAAAAGCTCTGAGAGGACTGGCTGAGGCTTGAGGTCTGTAACCCGGACCTCAGAAATCAGGGAGAATTGCCTTCCCCCCTTCTAGATACAGTTAGGGCCAGCCTTTAACCATATTTCAAAGTAGGCATCTCTCATCTGTTTATTCTTTCTTGTACATCTTTCTAATGCGCTTCCCTACAGATTCTGCTTAAACCCTCTCCTTGGGCACTGCCCCTCCCCCCCACCCTGGCACATATGCTGTTTTCCTACATTACATGTTTTACATCTCTTCAGCCCAGTCACTCACTTCAGTGCTGCTGATGCCCAGTGTTAAGAGGTAAAGCGGATGGGGCTAGTTTATACTCATCTGTAATTGATTGACAGCTCTTTTTCTCTGAGAAGAATTGCATTTTTAGAGAAGATTTTTGAACAGGCTTCACTCTGGGCTTGCCAGAGCCTCAATTTACAGACTGTGTTAGAAAAGAGTAAGTCTTACTGAATTAACAGTGGCATACATAACCTCACCTCCCTGCTGCTAAGAAGCTACGGCTCTGACTCCGCATCTACCCTAAGTCTCACTGGCATCTGTCGCTATGATCTAATGCTACCATCGTCTCTGGCTGGACTATTGCATAGCCCAGCTGGTCTTGCTTTCTTTTGCTCTTCCCTCACTATAGCCTCTTCTTATGACAGCCAGAGTGATCTTTCTAAAAGAGGAATCAAATCACACAACTTTTTTTGCTTAAACTGTCCAGACCTTTTATAGTGCAAATAGAACAAAATTTCAAACTCCTCTTTGTGACTAACCATCCCCCATGTATGAAGGCCCAGCAGTCTACCTCTCCTGCCTCCCTGAGCCCCCAGTCCCCATCCATCACAGTGCTCCAGCACACTGGCAGGAGATGTAGACTGCTGGGCCTCTTCCTTTTCTCCAACACAGCAGCATGTCAGCCCTGGCTGTTCCTTGTCCCTGATATCCTCCACCTACAGACTTCTGCATGGATTTCTTTTTCTGGTCATTCAGGTCCCTGTGCAAATAACACCTCCTAGTGAGGCACTTCCTAACCACCCCCATCTAAAGCATGCATCCCTTCACTCCCCTTCACTCTTCTGCCACACATATGTATCTCAATGCCAACTTTACTTTTTTCATAAGCTCTGGAAACTATCAGAATGGATCTTAAATATTTGTACGTTCTCTCCACTCCCACCCCTTACTTCATTATGTAATTTTTGTAACAGCAGGGATCACATCTCTCTTGTCCTCTCCTTTATTCCTATCATCTAGTCCTGGCACATAATAGGTCCTCAGTAAATACCTACTAGGTGAAAATAAAAAGAAAAGAAAAGAATAAGTCTTATACATTTAAATGAAAATAAAAAAGAAATAGATTTTAAAAAAATACTATTCCTGGTGTTATAGGCGGGTACATATCTGCCTCCCTGAAAAGAGAGGCCACACAGTGTAGTGATGAAGTACTTGCTGACTGCCTGGGTACAAACCCCAACTTTGCTACTTGCTGTGCAACTTTGGGTAAGTTACCTAACCTCTCTGTGCCCTTGACTCATCTATTGCAGACCTTTCTTCACTGTCCCAGGAGTGGTGTCTGCCCAGCCAGGCAGACCAGGTTGATCGGTTAGCCCTCCAACTGGGAGTCTATCTCCACCAGAGAAATGATGGGTAAATTTAAGAACAGGCCATAGGAGCTGTTTGTGTTTGTAAAAAAGAGGTAAAACTGAACAATCAAGTAGAAACTCTTCCATTAGCTCCTGACTCTGGGTCATTAGGATAGCAAGGCAGGGGTTACCTGGTATGAGCCTCACTCCAGTAGTGGCATACAGTAGCAAAGGTTGATTATAGCATTAGAACTAGTTTGCAGGGTGTATTAGTCTATTCTCACACTGCTATAATGAACCACCTGAGACTGGGTAATTTTTGAAGAAAAGAGGTTTAGTTGACACACAGTTCCACAGGCTTAACAGGAAGCATGACTGGGAGGCCTAAGGAAACTTACAATCATGGCAGAAGGTGAAGGAGAAGGAAGCACATCTCACCATGGTAGAGCAGGAGAGAGAGAGAGAAGGGGGAGCTTCCACACAGTTTTAAACGATCAGATCTCATGAGAACCATCATGAGAACAGTAAGGGGGAAATCTGCCTCCATGATGTAATCACCTCCTACCAGGCCCCTCCTCCAATTTGACATGAGATTTGGGCATGGACACAAATCCAAACCATATCATCCCACCCTTGACCCCTCCCAAATCTCATGTCTTTCTCACATTTCAAAACCAATCATGCCTTCCCAACAGTCCCCCAAAGTCTTAACTCATTTCAGTATTAATGGAAAAGTCCAAGTCCAAAGTCTCATCTGAAACAAGGTAAGTCCCTTCTGCCTATGAGCCTGTAAAATAAAAAACAAGTTAGTTATTTCCAAGATACAGTGGGGGTACAGCCATTGGGTAAATGTTCCCATTCCAAAAGGGAGGAATTGGCCAAAACAAAGGGGCTACAGACTCCATGCATGTCCAAAACTCAGTAGGGCAGTCATTAAATCTTAAAGCTCCAAAATAATCTCCTTTGACTCTATGTCTCACATCTAGGGCATACTAATGCAAGGGGTGGGCTCCCATGGCCTTGGGCAGCTCTGTCCCTCTGGCTTTGCAGGGTACAGCCCCTGTGGCAGTTTTCACGGCTGGTGTTGAATGCCTGTGGCTTTTCCAGGTGCACGGTGCACACTCTCTGTGAATCTGCCATTCTGGGGTCTGGAGGATGGTGACCCTCTTCTCACAGCTCCACTAGGTAGTGCTCCAGTTTGGACTCTGTATGGGGGCTCCAACCCAATGTTTCTCCTCTGCATGGCCCTAGTAGAGGTTCTCCATGAGGGCTCTACCCCTGCAGCCGACTTCTGCCTGGACATCCAGGCATTTCCATACATCCTCTAAAATCTAGCGGAGGCTCCAAAATCTCAACTCTTGTCTTCTGCACACCTACAGGCCCAACACCATGTGGAAGCTGCCAAGACTGGGGGATTACATCCTCTGAAACAGGGGCTTGAGCTGTGCCTTGGCCCCTTTTAGCCACAGCTGGAGCTGGAGCTGCTGGGACTCTGGGTGCCATGTCCTGAGGCTGCACAGAGCAGTGGGAGCTCTGGGCCCTGCCTATGAAACCACTTTTCCCTCCTAGGCCTCCAGGCTTGTGATGGGGGGGTCTCTGAAATGCCCTGGAGACATTTTCCCCATTGTCTTGGCTATTAACATTCAGCTCCTCTTTACTATGCAGATTTCCGCAGCTGGCTTAAACTTCTCCTGAGAAAATGGGTTTTTCTTTTCTACCACATGGTCAGGCTGCAAATTTTCCAAACTTTTATGCTCTGCTTCCCTTTTAAACATAAGTTCCAATTTCAGATAATCTCTTTGTGAACACATATGACTGTATGCTCTTAGGGACAGCCAGGCCACATCTTGAACACTTTGCTCTTAGGACTTTCTTTTGCTAGATACCCTAAATCATCTATCTCAAGTTCAAAATTCCACAGATCCCTAGAGTAAGGGCAAAATGCTGCCAGTCTCTTTACTAAAGCATAGCAAGAGTGAATTTTACTCCAGTTCCCAGTAAGTTCCTCATCTCCATCTGAGACTACCTCAGCCTGAACTTCATTGTGCATGTCACTGTCAGCATTTTGGTCAAAACCATTCAACAAGTCTCTTGGAAGTTCCAAACTTTTCCACATCTTCTTGTCTTTTTCTAAGCCCTCCAAACTGTTCCAACGTCTGCCCATTACCCAATTCCAAACTTGCTTCCACATTTTCAGGCATCTTTATAGCAGTACCCCACTCTTGATGCCAATTTTCTGTATTAATCCATCCTTATACAGCTATAAAGAACCACCTGAGACTGGGTAATTTATGAAGAAAAGAGATTTAATTGACTCACAGTTCTGTGGCTTAACAGGAAGCATGACTAGGGGGCCTGAAGAAACTTACAATCATGGCAGAAGGCAAAGGGGAAGCAAGTACCTCTTACCATGGTGGAGCAGGAGAGAGAGAGAGAGAGAAGGGGGAGGTTCCACAGACTTTCAAATGATCAGATTTCATGAGAACTCACTCACTATCATGAGAACAGCAAGGGGGAAATCTGCCCCTGTGATCCAGTCACCTCCCACCAAGCCCCTTCCTCCAATTCGGCATGAGATTTGGGCAGGGATACAAATCCAAACCATATCACAGGGTGATCAGATACACTGCCTACAGAGTGATATTGTGTGTGTGTGTGTGTGTGTGTGTGTGTGTGTGTGTGTGTGTATTTATTTTTTGGCCAGGTGTGTTTCCAGTGTGGATTCAGATAGAAATTATTTCCAATAACCGAAAGTGTTGAATTGTCATGGGATGTTCATATGGTTATATGTATGCTTGTTGCTACAGCAGTGTGTGTGTGAGTGTGTGTGTATTTATTTTTTGGCCAGGTGTGTTTCCAGTGTGGATTCAGATAGAAATTATTTCCAATAACTGAAAGTGCTGAATTGTCATGGGATGTTCATATGGTTATATGTATGCTTGTTGCTACAGCAGTGTGTGTGTGTGTGTGTGTGTGTGTGTGTGTGTGTTTCACATCCACAAGGGGGAATAAGTCAGGATAGAAGGGAAAAAAGGGGATGACTAAATTGACCTGGAATTTGAATCTGTTATTGTGTTTGTTGTGGCTAAATTGAGTCTTCTGGGCCTATCTGTTTAAGGAAATGGCTTACTTCATTATTTACTTGACCATCCCAGAATAGCAAGCAATAAGTGCCTGTGTGTTGGCAACTGCAGCTAAAGCTCTCCTATCTCTGCAAACATGTGAGTTTATTTTACCTTGGAAGCCTTCATAGGTGGGCTGATTGTTTTAATGATGGCTGTGAGGAGTGAGCCAAGGTAGAAAACCTCCCGTGGATTGGAGCCAGGTCTGTGTGGCTTGGGGATGGGTTCTGGCTGTCCTGTTTACAGGCTGAATAGCCTCAGGCAAGTCACTTAGCTTTTTTCAGCCTCAGTTTTCTCATTTGCAAAATAGACATAATGAGATCTACCCTCTAGGTAGTAATTAGGATTAAATAAGATAATGACTTACAAATGTGGATTTTTTTTATTTCTCTACTGGAGTTCACCAGTATTTGTTTTACTTTCTCCATTGTTCTGAAGCAAATTAATCTATACTTGTTCCCCCAACAGGAAGTTTCCCTGGTGGAAAGTTGAAGTAGGGCAGATTTATTTATGAATATCCTTTCCTCAGTGGTTGTGGGGAACTTTCATTTCAGTATCTGTGAATTACAAGTTATGATTGTCCAGACTACATAGAACATCCTAGAAGCTGGAGTTTTCTGAAAGAGAAAAGGTGTGGGAAAGGAAATCTGGCCTGAGGACTGCCTGGCTGAGTCTGCAGGATGAAGGGAGGGAGCCATATATGTTGAGCTGGGCTTTGGCTGGGGTTTCTATAGAAAGAGGTGGGACTGGGTCAGGACGGCCTGTGGAAAATAGCTCCTCAGCCAACATGGAGTCAAGTTCAGTCTCCTCAGACCTTTCCAAGCTCAGTCATTCCAGTTGCTCTGGGTCTCCGAGGCCAGGAAGGGGTCCAGGAAGTTGATGTCACAACTCCAGAGAGGAAGAGATATTGAGCAACTGGATGGAGAATGGACCTAGGGAAGGAGGTGTGGAGGGGAGTGTCAGAGCCAAGTCCCAATGACCATGCTTCCTGCAAAGCTGAGCAAAGCTGGAGGCTGTTTGAGTTTCTGAAGCGTAGTGACGGTGGAGCTGCCTGGGAGCGAGGGATGGAAAAGGCAGCGCATTCAGTGTTATTTCCATTTGGAGCTGTGCAGCTGCTGATGATGTTCTGTCTTTTGTGTTCAAGAGTTCCTTTGTTCTTAGAGCTTTTTATTGAAGGATAACATACCTATGGGAAAGAACACAGTACATTTTCACAAAGTGGACGTGCCCATGTCACCAGCATCCAGGTCAAGAAACAAAATATTACCAGACTGGGAGTATCCCCAGTCTTCCCTAACATGCTCCCCAGGATAGGGCAACCACTCTCCTGACTGGTGACAACACAGACTAGTTTTGGGATTGTTTGGTTTTTTTTTAAGAGATGAGGTCTCATATGCACACAAGTCTTTATTGCAGCGCTATTCACAATAGCAAAGACATGCAATCAACCTAAATGTCCATCAGTGACAGTCTGGATAAAGAAAATGTGGAACACATACACCATGGAATACTATGCAGCCATGTCTATGAAAAAATAAAGAGATCATGTCTTTTGTGGGAACATGGATGGAGCTGGAGGCCATTATCCTTAATAAACTAACGCAGGAACAGAAAACCAAATACCACGTTTTCACTTATAAGTGAGAGCTAAATGATGAGAACTCATGAACACAAAGAAAGGAACAGACACTGGTGTCTATTTGAGGGGGGAAGGTGGGAGGAGCAGAAAAGGTAACTATTGGGTACTAGGCTTAATACCTGGGTGATGAAATAGTCTGTACAACAAATCCCTGTGACGCAAGTTTACCTGTGTAACAAAGCTTCACACATACCCCCAAACCTAAAATAAATGTTTAAAAAAAGAGAGATGAGGTCTCACTCTGTCACCCAGGCTGGAGTGCGGTGGTACAATCATAGCTCACTGCAGCTTCAAACTCCTGGGCTCAAGTGATCCTCCTGCCTCAGCCTCCTGAGTAACTGGGACTACAGGTGTGCCACCATGCCTGACTAATTTTTAAATTTTTTGTAGAGACGGAGTCTTCTTATGTTGCCCAGGTTGGTCTCAATTTTCTGGCTTCAGGCGATCCTCTCACCTTGGCCTCCCAAAGCACTGGGTTTACAGGCATGAACCACCATACTTTGCCAGAGCCTAGTTTTGTAAGGTACCTTTTAAAAGCAAAAATTACCATGGATGCCCATGAGAGAGTGTCATAGTTTTGGTATCATTGATCACATGGAATAGCAAACCTGTACTGAGCCCTCACTGTGTGCCAGGCCCTCTCCCACACCCTTTACATAATCCGCTCACCTCATCTTCTGAACAATTCTAAGAGGTAGATGCTAATACAATGCCTGTTTTACAAAGAGAAAACAGACATGGCACAGTGAAAAACCTTGCCCAAGGCCAGACCACCAGTAAGTGTAGAGCAAGAATTTGAACCCAGGCAGGGAAGGTCTGCCTTGCCTCTGCGGTCTCTGGATGAAGGTGTGGAGTGCCTCTCATCTGGATGTGGTGAATTGCACATAGATAAAGCAGAATAACCAAGCGTTATTGCAAGTTTGGTATTGGATTGATAACATAGAAATTCATCCAAAGACAAGTTTCTACACCTGCCTGATGCATATACCCGTGGGAAGTGTGTTCATGTCATGTTCTTTCCATTAGCATGGATTTGAGCACCTCTTGGACACACTCTGAGCTCTCCCCTCAGACTGACAATCACGCCTCTGGCCCAGCCCTCTCAGTTACAAATGAGGAAATCAGGTCCCAGAGAGGGAGTACAGGCATTTGGTGAGGATGGGGGCTGGGACTCAGATCCCCCGTGTTGACTTCCCATGCAGTGCTCCCTTCACTCTGCCAGCAAGCCGCCCATTAATCAGCATCTCTGTGCTCATAGTGCATGGAAACTCACCGTTGAGTTGAATATCCTGGAGCCTCTGTTGAGGACACTGGCCTGGAATCCCAAGCTGTCTATCTACTTCCCCAGATCCTCCCACCCACCCCATGATCAGGGTTGAGAAGCCCAGCCAGAGCTCCAGTGCTCATTTTCTCTCTCTCCCAGTGAGTTACTGCTAATAGCAAACATTTTTCCATGCCCAGTGTGAGACCTGCCCCTTTCCTAACCATCTCTGAGACCAGGTAATTCCCTTCTTTCATTTAGGTTCTTACTGAAACACGTCTATAGTTGGTGGCCCCAAGAGCCCGCTGTCTCTCGGCCAGAGCTGTCTTGGTTGTTTGTATGAGACAGAACCAAGTCCCTGTAGTTCATGGTTTCCCTGACCCCTTGGCCGGTGGAGGAGGAGGAGAAATCCATATTGTCTCCTGAAGTTTCTTTTTAGAATTTCCTGTAGCTCAGTGTGTGAGGCTCCCTAGGATTATGTGCCTTCCTTCCCACACCAGCAATGATTGAGCACATACTCTATATAAGGGGCACTGTCTAGAGATAAATAAGGCAGATGCAAATGCTTTGGACAAGACTGTCAAATAATCTTCTAAGGTAGGAACTGGGTCACACATGATTCCAAGGTTAAGACCTCTGCCCTCTGGGGCATGTTCTAACAGTTGCTGAGTGTGTTTGGACTTCTGGTTGCAAGTGACCAAAAAACAAAACAAAACAAAAAAACCCTGGACTGAGCAAAAGATGAGAGGTGATCAGCTCCTGAACTGAGAAGTCCGGGGCCCGCTGTGGGCATGGCGGGATCAGGATCGGCTCATCTCTCTTCCATGCTGGCTTCCTCCCCAGCCAGTCTCCCTCTACAGAGGGGCCTTGAGATGTACAAGCCTGCACTTTACCACTTTGGGGTTTGGCAGGAAGAAAGCCTCACGTGTTCAAAAAGGTCTAGCAAAATTCCTGGGATTGACTCACATTGGACCATTTGTCTGTGGCTGAACCTGGGGCCAGGCACCCAGGCTCTTACCCGAAACGCATCTATAGTTGGTGGCCCCAAGAGCCTGCTGTCTCTCAGCTGGAACTGTCTTGGTTGTTTGTGTGGGACCAGCCCCACCCAAATCATATGGATGAGAACAGGGGAAGGGCAGTTCCCCCCAGGAGAACCAGGGTTTTAGGGTGCCAGACAGGCAAAAACAGTAGGTATTGATGTTAACCCTGTCAACGCCCCGCACTCTGAGTAGCCTACTGGTGTGATCTGGCTCTGATCTGCATTTGGTGGGACGCTTCTGTCCTCCTGGGCACAGGGTGTGTGGCCACAGCCCACAGCCCTCCTGTCCCCTCTAATGTCCTGTCCCCATCTCAGTTCATGGTGTCACCATGCCCTCATCCCCCTCGCTGGAGACCACAGGTTTCTCCCTCCACACCACGCCCATCCTCCATCCTGCGGGTCAGGGGGCCGCAGCATCTCTACATCATCCCCTCCTCTCTGTTTCCATGTTACTTCAACAGCTTCTACCTGAGGCTTCTGTCCTGCTCCTTCCCACCGCCTCACCACCCTGCCTGATGTTTCTAAAGTAAGGGCCAATCAACTACAGCCTGCGGGTCAAATTCAGCTCTCCACCTGTTTGGAATACGTCCTGCAAGCCAAAAATGGTTTCTACGTTTTTCAATGATTGGACAAAGTTAAAAAGGAATACTATTTTATGACACATGAGAATGACAGAGAATTCAGATTTTAGTGAACATAAATAAAGTTTTATTGGAACACAGCCATGCCGATTTGTTTATGTCTCATCTGCGGCTGCTTTCATGCCACAGCGGCAGCGTTGAATAGTTGCGGCAGAGACCATATGGCCCGCAAAGCCTGAAATATTTACTGTCTGTCTGGTTCTTTCCAGGAAGACGTTTGCCAACTGTTGGTTTAAGATACTCTCATCCTGTCGTTGCTTTGCTCAGCGATCTGCTGCTGCTCTCCAATAAGGAGAGTCCTTATCCTGAAACTTGGTGTCCTCTGATCCTTCCAATCCCATGTTCCAGTCTTCCCATTGCGGCCTTCCCACCTCCCAGAACACCTGCCCAGAATTCCCAGTCTCCTGGGCTCCCTCCCGCCCCCCTGCCTTAGCATCCAGTTCATTCCTTTGCCTAGAAAGTGTCTCTCTTTCCACCTGGATGTCTCCCAGGAAATCCTGAGCCCAACTCTCCCATCTCCCAGCTCTTCCCTGAATCATCTTTGCTGAGTTAGAAATTAATTGTTCCCTCTTCTGCGTTCCACTAAAGCTCCATTTAAACCTCTCCCCACGGCATGTGTCTTGTTACAGTCACCATTAGCTGCACATCTGTTTCCCCCTCCTCCGTAGGTTGCAAACGTTGCCTGATTTATCCATATTCCCTTGCAGCCCTCAGCACAAATCCTCCCAGTAGATGCCACACGCTCAGTGCTTGTTGGAAAGATTGAAAGTCAAAATCTGGGCTGGGAGCAGCTTCCTTCCGTTCCGGGGACAGACCTGCTGGTTGTATAGGAACACAGCACTGCAGAACCACAGCTGGTGGAAGACAAATATTAAACTAAGGCAGAACGAACAGGGATTTGCTGTCATCCTGTAGTTTGTGGGTAGAGATAGGCAAAAGATGTGTCATTGTTGGAAGTGGTGTATTTGAATCGACTGAATGAGACTTTAAGGAGAGGTAGGGACAGAGGAGAAGGGGTGAGAATCAGATAATTTTCTTGCATGTTCCCAGCCACCCAGTTTTGATAGAGAGTTCTTTGAGAGAGGAGAACATGTGCTTTGACAGCATATGGACCAGTAGATAAATGGTGTGTGAAGGGAGAGTGTGAATGGCTTCATTACAAGCAGGCAGGCATCAGTGTTCAGTGGGCAAAGACAGCAGCCATCATTTTAACCATAGACTACAGTTTATTACCTGGACACTATTGGCATCGGGGGCTGGATAATTCTTTGTTGTAGGGGGCTGTCCTGTGCTTTGAAGGATGTTTAGCTACATCTCTGGCTCTACCCACTAAATGCCAGTAGCACCCCTCCCCCGGTTGTGACAACCAAAAATGTCACCAGTGTCATAGGTAGGGGTAGGGGGTGAGGGGGACAATCACCCCTGGCTGAGCACTGCTTCCCCACATGAGGGCTTCTCACACTACCTGTGGTGAAAGACTTGTTAACTTTATTTGACCAATATGATTGTCAAATACTAGAAAAAGAAATCCCTAGAAAAAACTGGCATGGTGGCTCACTCCTGTAATCCCAGTATATTGGGAGGCCAAAGTGGGAGGATCCGTTAAGTCCCGGAGTACGAGACCAGCCTGGGTGACACAGTGAGACCCCAGCTCTACAAAAACAAACAAACAAAATTAGCTGGGCATGAAGATGCATGCCTGTAGTCCCAGCTTCTTGGGAGGCTGAGGTGGGAGGATTGCTTGATCCCGGGAGGTTGAGGCTGCAGTGAGCTGTGATCGCACCACCACACTTCAGCTTGGGTGACAGAGCAAGAATCTGTCTCAAAAACAGAAAAAAGGAAAACAATCACGTGGTTGCCACAATCTCAAATTGCTTCACAAGTGTTTGGATGCCCATTCTCACTCTCTGTTCCTGTTCTGTCATGAGTGGGTGATAGAGAGTTCACAGGCCACACTTTATCACAGCCCTAGACCCAGAATCATGTTAGAGAACATTCTCTGTGTGGGTGGAGGTCACCATGTGCTCTGGAATTGTGTCGCTGTGAGGCCCTTGCCACGATGCGTGGTGCATTGTCTTGGTCCAGTGGCCTTTCCCTTGGGTGTGCACCTGCAGATGGGGGGATGGTGTTGGACTCATGGTTGAAAGGCGACGGTTCACCTCGTGCTGGCAGGTGTTTGATGGCCACTCTTTGATGCACCTCCATGGAGGCCTGGCCTTGTTGAGAATTCTCCTGTGGAAGGGCTGGACTTGTTCTTTTCCATTGATCTTCTCATGAGTTGTGTCACTCCCTGATCATTTTCCAAAGCTGGAGGTCAGGCCTCCTGCCAGTGCATTCCTCGGCCAGGCTCTCCTAGGAAACAGGATGGATGATGTTCCGAGGCTTCTCCACGGTGGGTGGTCAGCGTGGGAAGTTTGACCTCTTGCCTTTGGTCCTGGGGCCTTGCCTTTGGTCATGAGCCGGAATAGACTCACAAATGGTGGGAAATGCACCAGGAAGAATGCATGGATTTTATTTTTTATGTTTTTATTTTTATTTATTTATTATTTATTTATTTTCGAGACGGAGTTTCACTCTTGTCACCCAGGCTGGAGTGCAATGGCATGATCTCAGCTCACTGCAACCTCTGCCTCCTGTGTTCAAGTGATTCTCCTGCCTCAGTCTCCAGAGTAGCTGGGATTGTAAGCGCCCACAACCACATCCAGCTAATTTTTGTATTTTTAGTAGAGATGGGGTTTCACCATATTGGCCAGGCTGGTCTCTAACTCCTAACCTCAGGTGATCCACCCACCTTGGCCTCCCAAAGTGCTGGGATTACAGGCATGAACCACTGCGCCCGGCCTCTATGTTTTTATTTTTTTTTTAATTTCCATAGGGTTTTGGGGAACAGGTGGTATTTGGTTATGCAAGTAAGTTCTTTAGTGGTGATTTGTGAGGTTTGGGTGCACCCATCACCCAAGCAGTACACACTGAACCCGATTTGTAACCTTTTATCCCTCACTCCTTTCCCACTTTTTCCCCGAGTCCCCAAAGTCATCCTTATGCCTTTGCAACCTCATAGTTTAACTCCCACTTGTAAGTGAAAACATACGATGTTTGGTTTTCCAATGCATGGGTTTTAAATTCTAAGCTGTAAACTCTGTGGAGATGTAGAGACATCCCCACCACCCATTCCAGGAAAGGAAAGTGTGTGTATTTGTGTGTGTGGTGTGTGTGTGTGTGTGTGTGTGTGTGTGTCGGCCAGTGACTTTTGTGGTGTCAGCGTTTCTAGCCTTCAGCTTAGATGTGAGGCCTAACGTGCCGGGTGAAGAATCCACTATAGGTAAGCAGAGTGAGGGAGAGGCTGGTGGGAAGCAGAGATGCGTTTCTCTGTGTTGGCGATCAGGGTCTTTCCTGCCACGCTCTGTGTGCTCTACCCCAAGGGGACTCGGTGCAAAGGAAATTGAGCTGGTGGCACCAAAGGAAATGGTGATCAGGTGGCTTTGGGTCACTTTATGCTGTCCTCTTCCTGAGGAGGAAACTGAGGCCAGCACTGCCAAAATAACAATGGCAGAACTGAACTTTCCAGACTTTTAATCCAGTGCACATTGTCAGATTCTTTACTGTCTCATTCATTTTGTTGGTGTTTTTGAAGAGAGGTGATGGGTCCAAAGAGATGCCTAAGGAAGGAAAAGGCCACAGGCTGGAGGTTCAGTGAACTCATCTGGCTCAGCTGCTATTTTGTTCTGTGATCCTGATGAAGCTCTGGTTTGTAACAGGCTAAGAACCTCCTCAAACCTCACGGTGCTTTTGTGGAAACTAAGGAACGATGTAATTTTCCACAAGCTCACAAAGGAAAGCCAAGAATAAAATCCAGACCCTGGTGACTCTTTAGTGGAAATGTTTCTGACAGAGCCAAGGATAAGAATAAGCACCAAGCCTAGAAGGAATGAGGCAGACTTTTCTTGTTCTGAGATTTGAGGAAAAAGAGGTCATATGTCCAAGTTACAACTGTCAGTCATTCTACACATATTAAGCACTTATATGTAAGACTTGGAAAAAGAGGTCATATGTCCAAGTTACAACTGTCAGTCATTCTACACATATTAAGCACTTATATGTAAGACCTGGAAATACATTAAGCCTGTCAGTTTCTTCTTTTCTACCTATAGTCTTTCTTCATCCTATTGCTTGAACTATAGTGCTTGGATGGGCTTGTTAGAATTGTAAATATTTACAAGGACCATGTACAGTCATGCACCATATAACAACATTCATTTCAACAACAAACTGCATATTCTACATGGCCCCATAAGATTATACAGATAGGGAGCTGAAGAGTCCCTATCACCTAGTGACGTCTTGCTAGTCCTGACCCTCTGTAGGTCTAGGCTAATGTGTGTGCTCATGTCTTTATTTTTGATTTAAAAATTTAAAAAGTTAAAAACATTTAAAAAAGAAAAATAGCTTATAGAATAAGAACATAAAATATTTTTGCAGGGCTGTAGAATGGTCTTGTGTTTTAAACTAAGTGCTATTAAAAGAGTCAAAAAGCTTAAAAAATTTAAAAGTTTATAAAGAAAAAAGTTACAGTAAGCGAAGGTTATTATTGATGAAGCATATTTTTAAAATTAGTGTAGCCTAAGTGTCCAGTATTGATAGACTTTTGTCTACAGTAGTGAACAGTAACATCCTGGGCCTTCCCATTCACTAACCACGCACTCACTTGCTCACCCAGAGCAACATCCAGTCCTGCAAGCTCCATTTGTGGTAAGTGCCCTAAACAAGTGTACCATTTTTTATCTTTTAAACCATATTTTTTCTGTAGCTTTTCTGTGTTTAGATACACAAATGCTTACCACTGTGTTTCAACTACCTGCGGTATTCAGTACAGTTAAATGCTGCACAGGTGTGTGGCTTTGGAGCAGCAGGCTTTATGGGATAGCTTAGGTGTGTTGTAGGCTAGACCATCTAGGATTGTGTAAGTGTACTCTAGGATGCTCGTGCAGCAGTGAAACTGCCTAACACCACATTTCTCAGAATGTATACCCATCATTAAGTAACACACGACTACAGTTGCTCAACCAGCACCCACTGAGGAACTGTCTGCTGTGTGCAAGCTACTTTACAGAAGGAGAAGCTGTTCCTTCCTTTCCAGGGAGATCACCCTGTGTCCTCCCAAATATAATGAATGGACTCAGGCCCTAGCACTAAATCCTGGCCTGAGACTTCTTGCCTTGAGGCTACTCAGGGAATAGCAGGGATTTGGTCTAGGAAGAGAGGAAGGATTATGCCAAGGAGAAAGACTGCTCAACAGACAGGGAAGCCTGGGAGCAGGGGTGGGAGACAGGGCAGGAGCCAAGAGTGCTGAGGGGGTCCCTGGCTCACGGCTGTGAGGCTCCTCCTTGAACTCTACGTGCTCGTCCTGCTGCCAGGCTGGCCTCCTGGTTCTGCCCATCTTGGGGCAGCTGTGGCTCCTCACTCTTCCCATCCCAACCCCAATTCACCATAGTCCAGTGCACTGGTCAGGGTTCTCCAGAGAAGCAGAGCCCATGGAGGTGCACACATACACAAACATGTCCTGTATCTATCCTATATGTGTGTGTGTTGTGTGTGTTCATAAAGAGATTTATTTTAAAGAATTAATTCATATGATTATAGGGGCTGGCAAGTCCAAAATCTGTATGCCAGGCCAGCAGATTCGAAACTCCCAGGCAAGAGCTAATGCTCTTGAGGACAAATTTCTTCTTCCCCAAGAAACCTCAGTTGTTGTTGTTTTGTTGTTTGTTTTTGTTTTTGATTTGTTTTGTTTTTTGTTTTGTTTTGAGACAGAGTCTCACTCTATCCCCCAGGCTGGAGTGCAGTGGCGTGATCTCGGCTCACTGCAACCTCTGCCTCCTGGGTTCAAGTGATTCTCATGCATCAGCCTCCTGAGTAGCTGGGATTATAGGCACCTGCCACCACGCCTGGCTAATTTTTGTATTTTTAGTAGAGGCAGGGTTTTGCCATGTTGGCCAGACTGGTCTCACACTCCTGACCTCAGGTGATCCACCCACCTTGGCCTCCCAAAGTGCTGGGATTACAGGCATGAGCCACCGCACCCGGCCAATTTTTGTGTTCTTTAGGCCTTCAACTGATTGGGGTGGAGTTGAATTCACACCCACATTATTGAGGGTAATCTTCACTTAAAGTCCATTGATTGTAGATGTTAACCACATCTATAAAATACCTTCACAGCAACCCCTGGATTTATGTTTGATTAAATAACTGAGTATGACTACTACTGCCCAGCCAAGTTGGGCATAGAACTCACCATCACACGTGGCTGGCAACCCGACCTGACCTCAGAGCTAGAGCGTGCCAGAGGTGAAGGGAGGTGTCATTCCAGCCTTCCTCCAGGTCCCTTCCCAGTTAGTGGCAAGCAGCAACCACTCACTCTGGCAAATCATCCACCCTCCTTTGGGTTTGGGTGGAGGTGCTTCTGAATCCAGGCACCATGCTGTAGCAGCTACCTTCCCGCAGATGTTCTCTCATTGAACTTGAGGCTGTCTAGAATGAGGAAGTACCTGGTGTCCATGTTGGCAATGATGGAAGTCTCTCCTGGAATGTTGCCGTGGGCTACTTTGACATCTCCTGGCTAATTGGTGTTCATTTTTATTCCAGGTCCTTGTACTCCTAATGAGGAGAGTGAACATGAAATTTATCATCCAAACTGTGACACTTTTGATAGAAGGGGTTACTATTCATTAGACTGGACAGCAGATGTGAATCAGGACTGTCCTAGAGAAACCAGAGGATATAAAAGATCCAATAATGACAACTGCTCTGTTATTCCTAAGAGTTCATTCATACAGGAGTTGTTTTCATGCTTGTGTTTCATGAATAAAGGGTCAATCAAGTCAACACATAATGAGGGCTGAGTTGTTTTTCCCCAAAAGATATGGTGAAGTCCTAACCTGGTATTTGTAAATGTGACCTTCATTGGAAATAGGGTCTCTGCAGATGTACTTGGTCGAGAAGAGGTTATGCTGGATGAAGGTGAGCTCTAAATTCAGTCACTGGTGTCCTTATAAAAAGTCCACGTGAAGACACAGGGACAAAGAGGGGAAGGCCAGATAAAGACAGGGGCAGACATTGGGGTGATCTGGGCCCACAAACCAAGGAATGCCAGGGACTGCCAGCTGTCACAGACGCCGGGAGGAAGATGTGGAGCTGATTGCCCCTAAGTCTCCAGAAGGAACCAACCCTGTCGACACTTTGATATTGAATTTCCAGCCTACAGAACTGTGATAAAATACATTTCTGGGCTGGGCACGGTGGTTCACACCTGTAATCCTAGCGCTTTGGGAGGCCAAGGCAGGTGGATCATGAGGTCAGGAGCTAGACACTAGCCTGGCCAATATGGTGAAACCCTGTCTCTACTAAAAATACAAAAATTAGCCGGGCACAGTGGCATGTGCCTATAGTCCCAGCTACTCGGCAGGTTGAGGCAGAAGAATTGCTTGAACCTGGGGGCAGAGGTTGCAGTGAGCCAAGATCGTGCCACTGCACTCCAGCCTGGCGACAGAGCGAGACTCTGTCTCAAAAAAAAAAAAATCTGTTGTTTTAAGTATATACTACTTTGTTAAGACAGTCCTAAGAAACTCTATTGTAAAAGCTTCAATATAAGTACCTACTATGTGCCAGGCTTTGATCTGGGTGTTGGAGGTACATCATGATCAACAGCAGTAGCAGCTCATTCTCACAATGTCAAGGTGCGTCCCAGGGACCTTTCACAGGCTACTGGCCATACGGTCTAGTTAGACAATGAAGAATTGTTTCTGCAGTTGTATCAAACAAGTCAAATGTACTTGCAGCTCAAATTAAGTCTAGAGTCCACCTCTACCAGCTGAGAATACCCACGGTGGGCATGGGCATTTTTTCACGGGGGGGGCCTGTCCCTGAGTAAATTGGTTTCTGTTCTTGTCATTGGCAACAGTGAGCTGGGTCAGGTGATACTGTGGTCTTGTTTCCTGGGATGCCGAGTGCCTGTTGTCATGAACCTACCTGAGAATGGGTCCTGGCATCAGAGCCCTCACTGCTCCTCGGGCTTCTGTGGTTGAACTCCAGCCTCTGGAGATGAGCTCACCTTCAAGCAGTGGCAGGAACCAGATCTGGCCTCATCCCAAAATTTCCTCCAGGGGAGGCACGGTGATGGCTGATGTGTGCTGTGTTCAGGTGCATGAACCAAGGGGCTTGTTACTTGTTCATCCTTGCCATGAACAGTACAACAACGAGAAAAACAGTGGGGAGCTCTTAAAGTTTTTCAGTGATAATATGCTTTCCTTTTCCTAGAGTGTGTCAGACATTCAGTAGGTCTCTCTTCAATGAAGTATAACTTGAGTACAATAAAATACACAGCTTTTTAAGTGTAACTACCACTCCAATCAAGATCTAGGGCATTTTCATCACCCTAGAAAGTTCCTTGTGCCCTTTGCCAATTAGTCCCTTCCCTACCCCCAGTGGTTCTGATTTCTGTCACTGACCTTGGTTTTGACTGTGCTTGGGCACCATATAAATGAGATCATACCATTGGTACTCTTCTGTGCTGGATTCTTTCATACACCACGATTTTTTTGTTTTTGTTTTTTTGAGACACAGTTTTACTCTGTCGCCCAGGCTGGAGTGCAGTGGCGTGATATTGGCTCACTGAAACCCCCGCCTCCCAGGTTCAAGTGATTCTCATGCTTTAGCCTCCCAAGTAGCTAGGACTGCAGGCACCCACCATCATGCCCGGCTAATTTTTATATTTTTAGTAGAGACAAGGTTTCACCATGTTGCCCAGGGTGGTCTCGAACTCCTGACCTAGGTGACCTGCCTGCCTCTGCCTCCCAAAGTGGTAGAATTACAGACATGAGCCACTGTGCCAGGCCCATACACCATGTTTTAAAACTTCATTTTTTTAAAAAAAATAAAGCATAGCAAATTGACTAAAACATTTTTACGATAAAGCATTTGGAAAGGGGCCCTGGAAAGGGCAGCCGTTTAGAATTCCTCCACCCGCCATAACCACTATAATGGTTTTGGCATACTTCCATCCAGTTCTTTTCATTTGCTGATTTGCGTGTAGCTGCAAACAAACCACGAGTGATTTCGTGTGTTGCTTTTTTCATTTATGATAAAATTTTTTCCACATCCAGTGTCTTTAACTATCCTTCTGGGTAGTACTCTATCTAAAATGCCCTGTAAGGGCAGGCACTTTTGCCTGTCTTGTTCACAGATGTATTTTCAGAATCTAGAACAGTGCTGGGACCTGATGGGTAACAGTAAATATTTGTGGGAAGACTACAGGAAAGTGTCCAACTCCATAACCATTATCCTATTCCTGGGCCGTCAGTGGCTTCCAGTGCCTCGCTAGTGGAGGTAACAAGCATCTTCACACATATGACTTTCACCCTGATATTTTGAATGTCACCCTTAGAAGAAATTTCACATGAGAAACTGTTATGTCAAAGGGAAGAAACATATTTTTGGCTTTTGTTAGACAGTCAAGTGCTGTTGAGAGCTGGATTATCCAGATTTGAGTTTTGGCTCTGCCACTTACTGGCTGCACCTTGGGCAAATTACTTAACCTTTCTGTGCTCCAGTTTGCCCATGTTTGAAATGGGGCTAATGACAGTGTTTCCTGGGCTCATTGTGACCTTGAAATGTAGAAAGTACTTGACATGTAGTAAGCATTGTATGTGTATTGCTATGTATGTTTCATATGTAGAACATTATATCATGCTAAAAAATGGAAGCTATTTTTCCAAAAAGAAATGGGTTCCCTTAATGATGCCTGTCCTTTTGATAAACTCAGTGGTACTTGTGTTGCCAACTGGTGACTAGCTCAGAGTTTGGTTGTGCAGTACGTAGAAACCTAGGTTCCGAATTTACTTTTATTTTATGTATTCATTTATTGCGACAGGGTCTCACTGTCATCCAGGCTGGAGTGCATTGGTGCCATCACTGCTCACTGCAGCCTTGACTTCCTGGGCTCAAGTGATCCTCCCACCTCAGTGTCCTGAGTTTAGCTCACAGGCATGCACCACCATGCCCAGATAATTTTTGTATTTTTTTAAGAGACAGGCTTTTGCCATGTTGTCCAGTCTGGTCTTGAACTCCTGGACTCAAGCAATCCTCCCACCTCAGCCTCCCAAAGTACTAGGCTTACAGGTGTGAGCTGCCGCACCCAGCCCCTAATTTACTTTATTTAATTTAATTTTATTTCATTTCATTTTTTTTTGAGACAGAGTCTCACTTGCTCTGTTGCCCAGGCTGGAGTGCAGTGGCACGATCTCGGCTCACTGCAATCTCCGCCTCCCGGGTTCAAGCAATTCTCCTGTCTCAGCCTCCTGAGTAGCTGGGATTACAGGCACGCGCGACCATGCCTGGCTAATTTTTGTATTTTTAGTAGAGACGGGGTTTTGCCATGTTGGCCAGGCTGGTCTCAAACTCCTGGACTCAAGCAATCTGCCTGCCTCGGCCTTTCAAAGTGCGGCCTCCTAAAGTGCTGGGATTACAGGTGTGAGCTACCACGCCCAGCCTAATTTACTTTAGATATTAAGTATATGCCTTGTCTAGTAGAGGTAAAGACAGTACAGGAACAAATTTTCACCACAGCACTCTGAGAACACTTAACCTAGTGCAGGAGAAAGAGAGTAGAGACACAACTAAAGATTGCTGCTAGCTGTGGAAATAAACAAAGACCACACAAATGAAAACAACCCAAAATATTTACTCAGAGTTTACTATAGCAAGGGAGTCAGCTGTCATCACTTGCGTTTGGTAAAGACTCAAAGTCAGGCAAGGGAGCCGGGAGGCTTCACAGCAGGGAAGAAAGGGCAGGCTTCAGGTGTGCCCTGGGTGGAGGCTGTTGGCATGAGGCAGCCAACTGGAAGCAGGGCATTGTGTGCATTGGTTTAGGGAATGTTTTGCCTTCCCAGGGCTGCCATAACAAAGTAGAACACACTGGGTGACCTAAAACAACAGAAATTTATTCTCCCACAGTTCAGGAGGCCAAAAGTCTGATATCAAGGTATCAGCAGGATTGATTCCTCCTGGAGTCTCTGAGAAAATCTGTTCCAGGCCTCTCTCCTGGCTGCCAGCACTCCTTGGCTTGCAGACATACCACTCCAACCTCTGCCTTCGTCATCCCATGCCTTGTTCTCGGTATCTCTGTGTGTCTCCTCCTCTTCTTCTAAGACCACCAATCATTGGATTCGGGGTCCCCTGTAATGCAGTGTGACCACATTTCAACTTAACTACCTACCTCTGCAAAGACCTTATGTTAAAGACTGAATTGTGTCTCTCTAAGTTCGTGTGAAGTGATGGTATTTGGAGATAGTGCCTTTAGAGAGGTAATAAGGGTTAAATAAGGTCATAAAAGTAGGGCCCTAATCAAATAGGACTGGAGTCTTAGTCCTTTTAGTGTTGCTATAAAGTAACACCTGAGGCTGCATAATGTATGAAGAAAAAAGGTTTCTTTAGCTAATGATTCTGATGTCTGGGAAAGTTCAAGAGTGGGTATCTGCCTCTGGTGAGGGCTTCAGGCTGTTCTCACTGATGGCAGAAGGTGAAAGGGAGCCAACCTGTGCAGAGATCACATGGTGAGAGAGGAAGCAAAAGAGCGGGAGAAGAGAGATGCTCTGTTTAACAATCAGCTCTGGATGGGCATGGTGGCTGATGTTTATAATCCTAGCACTTTGGAAGGCCAAGGTGGGAGGGTTGCTTGAGGCCAGGAGTTTGAGACCAGCCTGGGCATAATAGTGAGACCCTATCTCTACCAAAAAAAAAAAATACCAAAAATATATATAAGCTGGATGTGGGTATGGTGGCACATGCTTGTAGTTCCAGTTACTCAGGAAGATTAGGCAGGAGGATCGTTTGAGCCTAGGAGGTCAAGGCTGCAGAGAACTATGATTATGTCACTGCACTCCAGCCTGGGCGACAGAGCAAGACTCCGTCTCAAAAAAACAAAAACAAAACCCAGCTCTTGCGGGAACTAATAGAATGAGAAGTCACTCACCACTTGCGCCCAGGGCATTAATCTATTCCTGAGGGACCTGCCCCCATGACCCAAACACCTCCCATTAGGCACTAGCTCCAAGATTGGGGATCACAGTCAACATGAGATCCGGAGGGAACAAACATCAAACTATAGCAATTGATGTCTTATAAGAGGAGGAAGAGACACCAGCAGTGTATGTGCAGAGAAGAGGCTGTGTGAAGACACAGGCAGAAGGTGGCTATCTACAAGCTAGGAAGAGAATCTTCACCAGAAACCAACCCTGCAGGCACTTTGATCTTCCAGCCTCCAGAACTGGGAGAAAGTAAATTTCCATTGTTGATGACATCTAGGCCATGGTATTTTGTTATGACAGCCCCTGCTGACTAATACATCTTATTTCCAAATAAGGTCAATGCTAAGGATTCCAGTGGACATGAGTTATTGGAGGGACACTATTCACCTCACTACAGGGAGCCTATTTGTTTTTCTCTTGTTGTTCTTGAGTTGGAAGCAGGAGAAAACAGTAGAGAAGGTGGCTGTCATTGGCAAAACATGACCATTTTGGGCCAATTGCTGCAGAGGCTGTGGTCTGACATCCCAGGCTAGTTGCTTTGGAGCTGTGGGTCACAGTCCTGTTGTCCTGTATGGACCAGCCATTGTCTGTTCGTATTAATTCGGGCTCTGGCAATTCTGTTGTTAACTAGCTGTGATGCTGAACAAAGCACTTGACCTCTCTGGACTTCAGGGTTCTCCTCTTTAAAATGGAGGGGTTACACCTATATGCAGTGGCTCACACCTGTAATCCCAGCACCTTTGGGAGGCTGAGTCAGGCAGATCACTTGAGCCCAGGAGTTCAAGACCAGCTTGGGAAACATAGTGATACCCAGTCTCTACCAAAAAAATACAATAATTAGCTGGGTATGATAGTGCACACCTGTAGTCCCAGCTGCTTGGGAGGATGTGATGTGGGGGATCACCTGAGCCTGGGAGGTTGAGGCCGCAGTGAGCTGTGATTGCACCACTGCACTCCAGCCTGGGTGACAGAGTGAGACCCTGTTTCAATCAATCAATCAATCAGTCAATCAATCAATCAATATAAATGGAGGGTTAAGTGACTCTCAGTGAGGTGGGACAGGATCTTCAGCATCAGGGCAGGGAGAGAGGTGGGGTTGGCAAGGATGAGGTCATAAATATGGGGCCCTAAATCAAACAGGATTTGTGTCTCAGTCTGTTTAGTGTTACTAAAAAGGAATACCTGAGGCTGGGTAATAAATAAAGAAGGTTTATATGGCTCATGATTCTGATGTCTGGAAAAGTTCAGGAGTAGGTATTTGCATCTGATGAGACCTCAGGCTGCTTTCACTCACGGTGGAAGGTGAAGAGCCAGCGTGTGTGGAGATCACATGGTGAGAGAGGAAGCAAGAGAGACGGGGAGAAGTACCAGGCGCTTTTGAAAACCACCTGAGGAAACATTGCCCTGTGACATTAACAAGTCCACTTCCCTTCCTGGGTGGAGAACAGCTGAACCACATAGTACCTGGGCCCTTGTCCAGCTGTAGAAATTCTATAGTGGTTGCTCCTGGAAAGAACATTCCTGTTGCTGAGTCTTCCAGGCATATTTTCTTTTTCATGGCACTGAATCTCTTTTGGAATGTACTGAAAGAAAGATAGGATTTTAAACTCCTTCTCATGCTAGTTAAGTCAGTGACTTAATCTAATTATTTTTACTCCTGTTTGGGACACAAGGGTGATGGTAGAAAATCCTAGATGTTCCAACTGTTGCCCATGAAAGGCATAAAATTCTTAGCAAAGTTATTTTAAACTGTACAATTGGTGGGGCGGGGGGGAATGACAATTTTCTTCTTTCGGTTTCTGGCACTGGGATGGTTTCTAAAACATATACCTTATATAAGTTGAAACAATAAAAATTTGAGGCTATTTAAATTACTTCCCAGCCTTCCAGTCTGGTTTTCATCGTTTCAGAATAAACGTCAAGGCTTAGAAGGTGGGGTTATTTTTAACAAGGGTAGAAAGCAAAGAGAGAGTGGCATGTTTTGAGGCAGTTTTTCTTTCCTTTAAAAAAATTCAATTCACAGTTTACATTCCCCAAAGAGAATTGACTAATTGAAAGGTTTAAGAACAACGAGCAGCTCACAGAAAGCACATCTCTGTCAAAAATGTTCTGCCTGGTAAGACTTGGTGTGCAGCATCCAAGAAGCAGTTTGGGAAGACAGGGGCTGAGGAGGCAGGGCCAGTGCACCATCTCCTGGGGAGCCATCCAGGCAGAGGTCACACTGGGGGCTCCTGAGTTTGTGTCAGAAGGGAGGAGCCCGAAGTACATTCACTCCATAGGCATTTCATGAACACCTACTTCGTGCCAGGTTTGTGCCAGGACCTGGCAGCACAGGCATGACCAGTGTGGCCAGAGTAGAGTGGGCACCATGGGGAAGGTGGCATGAGTGAGGCTGGAAGGGTTGGCAGGGCCAGACCGTGCAGGGCCTTGAAGGCCAAAATGCAGTCTTTGGCATTTATCCTAAGTGTTTGTTGAAAAGCTTGTCTGGCTGCCCTGTGGAAAACAGGAAGGAGCAGATTGAGAGAGGACCTGGGGACACCAGTTACGGGTCAGTGCAGTGGTCCAGCAAGAGAGGATGGCGGCAGAGGGACTCAAGAGCAGATCAGCAGTAGGATTGCCAGGGCTTGTGCAGGATTGGCTGAAAAGGAGGTGGGTGTATCAGTGAGTGTTCCCTGCAGGAAATAGAATCCATGTTTAATATTTTCAACAGAAAGGAATTTAATTCAGGGAATGAGATGCTTACAAAATTACAGGGAAGGCCGAAGGAGCAGCGCTACGGTCTGCATGTTTGTATGTCCCCAGCATTACATAGAAACCTAATTTCCAAGGTGATGTATTAGGAGGCGGGGCCTTTGGAGGTGACTGGGTCATAGAGGTGGAGTCTTCATGGTTGGGCTTAGCGCCCTTATAAAAGAGACCCCAGAGAGCTACCTGGTCCCTTCCACTGTGTGAGGATGCAGAGATAAGGCACCATGTATGAACCAGGACACTGGCCCTCACCAGACACCGAATCTGCCAGTGCCTTCGTCTTGGACCCTCCGGCCTCCAGAACTGTGAGAAATAAATTTCTGTTGTTTTTAAGCTACCCCAGTTTATGATATTTTGTTATAGCAGCCTGAATGAACTGAGACAAGTGGGAAACGGAATGATCAAGTGTTCAGTAACATCCTGTGCAGGAATAAGGAAGGGGACATGATTGCCAGGAGAGCCTCTTGACGCTTAGGTCTGTGTAACCTTGGTTGCCAGTGGAAATGGCAGCAGGAAGAACACACTGCCTCTTTTCTGCCCTCTGAGTCCCCTAGGTTGGCAGAACCTACTTCACATGCAGAACCCTAGCTGCAAGGGGGCCAAGCTCCTCCAAATGAGAAGTAGGACTGGGCTGTATGACCCTGCAGTGCACAGCCTGCGCACCCATATCTAGGGTCCCTGAGGGGGAGGTTCATGGGAGGAAATAGAGAAGGACATTGAGTGCCTATTGGCCTGTCTACCTGTCACAACATATGAGGAAGGAGGCCGTATCAAGGACAATGTCAGGATTTGTTTTATGCAGACCTGGATGGATGGGAGGCCATGCAATGAGGGCAAGTTGAAGGTGTTTATAGGACGGCTGAGGAATGATGTTCAGTTGTCTGCCGGACATGTTAGGTCTTGAGCTCAGAGAAGATTGAAATTTGGGAGCTGGATGTGGAGATTAAAAAGTCAAAGCCAGGGAATGGTCACATGGGCAGAAGAGGGCCCAGGGTGAAGCCCCTAGACCACCAGCATTCAGTTCAGAGTCCCTTGGGGGGAGGGGACCCCCTAGAGGAGACTGAGTTGAGTAAGGAGATGGGAGGCCAAAGAAGCTAAGCAAGAATGTTTCCAAAAGTGGGATCACCCGACAATATGGACGAATCTTAAACCATTTTGTTAAGTGAAAGAAGCCAGACTAAGAAGGCTACATATTACATGATTCCATTGATATGGTGCTCTGGAAAAGGCAAATATGGGGAAAGGAAACGTCAGTGGTATGGCACACCAGATAGGGATGTGTTTCCACTGGCAGTCGAGGTTATAGAGACCTAAGTGTCGAGAGGCTGTCCTGGCAATCGTGCCCACTTTCTTATTTCTGCACAAGATGTTATTGGATTTGATTATTCCATTTCCCACGTGTCTCGGTGCATTCAGGCTCCTATAACAAACTATGGTAAACTGGGCAGCTTAAACAACCAGGAGTAGGGGTGCAGGGAGGGGTGATTACAAAAAGGCAGCACAAGGGAATTTTAGGGGTGATGGAACTATTCTGTCTGAGGTATGGTGGTAGATACACGACTGTAGGTGTTTCTCAAAACCCATTGAACTTCAAACCACGAAGAATGAGTTTTAGTGTATGTGAGATAGATAAGTATGTGAGATAGATAAGTAGATTGATCTGTTCATTTATATACACATACGTTCATTCATATACAAATAGGAAGCAGTCACTTGTATTAAATGTTTCAAGATCAAGGAATGTAAGTGACAGGTTTTCTCTGGATCCATTTAATAATGGCCTAGACCTCTGTATGGGTGAATTCTGGGTTGCAGGCAGAATTGACCTACAAAATCCAATGTATGTTTCAGAGCGTGGCCTCTTGGCATGGCCCTTAGAGCTTACAAGAACAGAGGGCCTGCTCCTGGATGGAGGAGACCTTAGTCCTGAGATGTGCATCTGCTGGGGGTAACATGCTCCAATAAAGAGAGCCTGGTATTAGTTGGGCTTCCAAGCTGGGTTCTTCTCTTATCTGTGCCAGACTGTGTTTGTGTGACTGTAGGTGACTTTAGTCTCTCAGAGCCTCCACTTCCTCTCAATAAGATGAGAATAATGAGGTTCTCAGAATTGACTGGGAGCAGGCTTCAAGGCTTGATGTGGGCATCACCCTCTCCTGGGGCTGGCTGCATGTTCCCCAACAACTCTCCCAGGTCAGTGACCCCTAACTTATTCTACTCCACACCATCGCAATAAGCTTCTCACTGTCTCTTGGTCGTCTGTTTACTTGTCCTACAGACCAGGCACGTCCGTGACGCTCTGTGCCTAATCCAGTGCCTGGCACATAGTAACTGCTCAAGAAACATGCATCGATTCACATTCTTTCTGGATCAGGGGATTTCCCACCTCAATAACCTTCCACCTTCTGAGTAACTTTGCCTTTCCCCAAAAGTCAAGCCACCCTCTGAGAGGAAGAGCTGCCATATCTGAGGGCGCTCAGGGTCCGTCAGGGTCTCATCCAGCCATTCCTAGACAGTCCAGTGGCTACCAAGTGGGTGCTCTGTACATGCTGTTGAATAAATCCATCCATTTTGAGAAGCAGGAGCAATGTTGGTGAAAGTTTGGATCCCTGAACGGGCAGCACTAATTCAGAGCGTCACCGTGGAGCTTTTTGTGTGTAAAGAAAACAGCTCAGGTGTGCCTGGAGGCCTCCGAATGGCAGATTGTAGGGTGCTGAGGGCACTGGAGGTGCTTCTGTCCCCAAGGATTTTGGAGTTTCCCATCCAATGTTCAGGAAGGCAACTGGCAGGAAGGACCTCCTCCAGCTTCCCTGGGCCCTGCTCACAGTCGAGGATGGGTGCACGGGAGGGAGGCAGATGCCTGGGGTGTGAGGACACCTGGGTGTGTCCAGGACCAAGAGTGATGGAAGCCACTTCTGGGCACCAAGGTCCAAAGGGGAGTGGGGAGCAGCTGGCTTCCCTCCTGTCCCTCCTTTCCCTTCACTCCATGTCCCCAGGGCAGGGGTGGGGGCTGGGATCATCCCTGGTTCCTTGAGCCCAGCTCCACCTGCAGATACATCTCTCCCTTCCCTCCTCCCTCCACCTTCAGATTTCTGCAGCTTAAAGGCTTAAGGATGACCTCAAAAGCCGTGTGTATGTTCCCTGCTGATCCCTCCCTCCTCCCTGGTGGGGATTTGAGCAGACAGAGCAGGCTCAGCCCCCTCAGACACGCAAGCATCCCGCCCTTGAACATGGCCCAGTGGCTCCTGATCCCAGGAAGCCCATGGGAGGAGAAGGAAGGCTTTCTCAGGAACCTGGGATTACACTGCTCCAGGCTTCAGATTCTCATGTAGCCCAAATCATCTCTTACTTTCTCATTGTCTTGCTCTTTCTCTCTTTCTCCAAGAAGGCTTTGTCTTCTCTTTAGCTTTCATACACCAAGGCTGTGTGTTCTGTGGAGTTGTGGGGACAGAATGGATGTCAAGGAATGAGTCTGTAAGTTAATGATGCTGAGTGACTGGCAGCCTGGCTGAGCTCAGTAGTATCACTTCTTACGGCCCAGGTTCTGCTGTGATCTCCATTCGTAGGTGAGGGAACAGGCCCCGAGGTGTCAGGCAGCTTGCCCAGGTCCCACAGGTCATTAGGAGCAGAGGTACTTCCTGAAATCTAAGTCCATCGGCTGCTAGAGACAGTGCACGGAACAGCTGTGTGGGACATCTGCAGTTCCAAGTTGTTGCTGTCAGTGACAAGGGTGGGAGGCCACAGGGTCCTGGTCTATACCCACCCCCTTCACCATGCCAGTGTCTAGAGGATTTTAATCCTGAACTGTGGAGCAGACTGATCCCGGCTATCAGCAGCCAACTGGGAAGGGTGGGGTGGATATCTGCCTGCTCGCAGCCTTTGATGTCCATGCCAGGGCATGCCGCACATAATAAGGATGACTGATTCGTCACCGTAGAAGCCATTCGTTCTCCTCCATAGCCCCCCAGCATGCACACAGGGGTGCAAAGCAAGGCGTGAGGCTGAACAAGTAGAAGTAGCAGCAAATTGCCACTGAGGAGACAGAGGATCAGAGAAGTTTCATGATGTGACCAGGTTCGCACAAGCTCATGCGTAGTCGAGCTAGGACTCCAGTCGACAGTGTGGCGTGATTTCCACTTGGCCAGACCGTCTCAGTGTTAGAGGTGGGGCTTAACCTTGGACGAGGAACATCAGGTCCCACTGTGAGTGCTGGCGTAGATGCCTGGGTGCTCTGAGCTGCTAACTTCCCTCTCGGAGCCTCACCTGAAAACAGGAACGTTGATGGCTCTAGTGCCTGCCTTGTGGGTTCAAGATGTACCAGGAAGGTGTGGATGGGTACGGAGGATGGTGGGGCACAGGCAGCCGGGAACTCTGCCAGTGACCACTGTCTTTGCTGGCAAAATTAAGGCCATAGATGCCATTCATTCTCCTCCACAGCCCTCCAGGATACACATGGGTGTGCAGAGCAAGGTGTGAGGCTGAGTAGAAGTCTGTTCCTACCAAGGGCAAAGCCATTTAGAACCAACGCCCCTTCCCTGCTGGAGGTCAGGTGATATGTCCCCAGCAGCAGAAAGATGACATGACATTGTTCTAATTTTCAAAACTTCTCATTTTTCAAAAATTTTTAAAGATGTTATTCTAATTCCCAGGATTGGATAAATCAGTCAGCTCTCAAAACCCTGGTTTGGAGAATCAGGAAATGTCTCGAATTTTCATGACAGAAATGTCTATTGATCTGCACTGAAATATCCCAGCAGCTGCATTTCTCCTGGAAGTAAGATCTTGGCCTCAACAATGCCGAGTCTCTCCCTATGTAATTCTCCATCTCTGAGCTGACAAACCTTGAAGCCAATCCATGCCCTTGAACCGACAGCAGCAACTCTATTAAAGAAGTTTGATTACAAAAAAAGAGAGAGATGTGAGGGAAGCGAAAGAATCTATTTTTCGTTAAATGCTGCTTGTTTCAAAGTGGGAACATTTTCTGGGTGTCTGGGGAGCTGGTGTTTTCTGTGGCTTGCCGAGAGAATCAGATCTGAAAAATCAGAAAAATTTCCATATAAGGGAGAAAGCATCATTTTCAGAGCTTAGGGCCCAATTATATTTGCAGAGAAGGGATTTCTGTCCTGGAAGTTTATTTAACAAGCATTTATCAAGCACCCACAATGAACTAGGTGTCATTCCCTGTGTTTAAGGGGTTTACAAGGGTAATAAAAGTATTCTAATAAGATGAGACGATACATATTGTTATTTTTGTTAATATTTTAACCTTTGTTTATTCAGTCAATTACTAAGGTTGATTGAGAACCTACTGTGTACCAGGCCTGGCCTAGGTACTGAGGATGCAATGGTGACCAGGGAAGTGTGGATCCTTGCCTTCCAGAAGCTTCCAGTTTAGCTGGTGTGGTGAGGGTGGGTGGAGATCTGAGAGTGCCCTAAACAGGATCTGTGACAATGGAATTCATTCGTGTATACCTCCGTTCATGAGCGTGCTTATCTGCTGATGATTTTGAATGTGGCAGTGGCAGGTGAGAAGGGATTATTCCTCTATTACTGAGCAGATGAGTTGCTCAGAGCTGCCTGGGGTTGCAGGAATGATACTCAAACCCCAAGCATTTGATTTAGATTATTTCCACATCTTGGCTGTTATGAGCAATATGGCTATGAACATTGATGTGTAAGTTTTAGTGTGGACATTTGCTTGCATTTCTCTTGGGTCTATACTTGCGAGTGGAATTGCTGGGTCATATGGTCTATGCTTAATCTTTTGAGGAACTGCCAGACTGCCTCCCAGGGCTGTACCATTTTACATTTCCACCAGCAGTGTTTGAAATTCCAGTACCTCCGTATCCTTGTCAACACTTACTACTATCTGTTCTGGGTTCTAGCCATCCTATTATGTGGGAAGTGTTTCATACTGTTTTTTAAAATGCAAGACATATCTAAAACATCATCACTCTAAGGGGCTGGAATATCTTTGCATAATCCAGTATCCAGCAACTATTTCCTGAGAGCACTGGTCTGCCCCTGGACTGAGAAATGGCTGGCCTTCTCTCTGATCAGTCCAAAGCGAGGTGGGCTCTGCAGTTCCTTAGTGAACTCTCAGAAGTCAAGTGAGGTTTGTCGGGAGGCCCATAGATAACTAACACTCTGCCATCTCTTCCTGTCTTCCAGCGATTCACGAGTTCCCCACAGATCTGTTCTCCAATAAGGAGCGACAGCACGGAGCCGTCCTGCTGCACATCCTTGGTGTAAGTCGTCCTCCCAGAGTGGTCACAAAACTTCTGGCACATGAAGCCTCTCTGCACAGCGGGGCAGAGCCGTGGCGTGTCTGAGATCTTTTATTCTTGTAACAGCCCAGTGAGGAGAGCGGAGACTGGGCATGTTTTACCCACACAGAAAGGATGTCTTAAACGTGTTAGGAGACTTACCCAGTGTCACACAGCTAGTGGCCCCAGGACCAACACAGGAATGCAAGTCTTTCCTGTACCCCATTTTCTGCTTTTGTAAAACAGGGATGATGGTACCTATTACAGAGTGTGAATATGAGTGAATATGGGTCAAGGGCATCAGTGTTGCGTGGCACATGATAACTCCTACAAATGCCTGCTGTCCTGATTCCCATGACTACCCCTAAATTTTAATACCTTTACATCACTATGTAGATGGTCCCCAAGTTAGGATGGTTCCACTTACTATTTTTCAGTGTTATGATGTTACAAAAGTGAGACATATTCAGTATCACTGTTCTGGAAGTATAAAGAAACTATACTGTGAATTTTGAAGTTTTATCTTTTTCTGGGCCAGTGATACTCTCTCCTCATGCTGGGCAGTAGCACCAATTGCAGCTCCCAGTCAGTCACGTGGGCATGAGCATAAACAACCAACCAATACTTCACAGGGTACTGTGTTGCCAGATGAATTTGCCTAGCTGTAGGCTAATTAAGTATTCTGAAGCACGTTTAAGGTAGGCTAGGCTAAGGGATGATGTTCAGTAGTTAATTGGGTTAAATGCATTTTCCACTTAAAGTATTTTATTTATTTATTTATTTTTGAGATGGAGTCTCGCTCTGTCGCCCAGGCTGGAGTACAGTGGCGCGATCTTGGCTCACTGCAACCTCTGCCTCCTGGGTTCAAAAGATTCTCCTGCCTCAGCCTCCCAAGTAGCTGGTATTACAGGCATGTGCTGCCACACCCAGTTAATTTTTGTATTTTTAGTAGAGACGGGGTTTAACCATGTTGGCCAGGCTGGTCTCGAACTCCTGACCTCAGGTGATCCACCTGCCTCGGCCTCCCAAAGTGCTGGGACTACAGGTGTGAGCCACCGTCCCCGGCCCACTTAAAGTATTTTAAACTTAAAATGGGCTTATCAAGCTATAACCTCATTGTAAGTCTAGGAGCATCTGTAGTTTAAAACTTTGTTGTACTTCTCAAACTTCCCTCCCTATTCAGATGGACCTTGATGACAAATGGTGGAAGGGGGGTCAGGTAGTAATTTGAAAAGAAATAAGGGTTCAAACCTAAGTTACAAGTCACTCTCTGTGCTGGAATAGGCAAACTACAACCCTAGCCAAGTCTGGCTCAATGCCTATTTTTGTAAATAAAGTTTTATTGGAACACAGACACTCCTATTCATTTCTGTAATATCTATTTTTTCACTTCAGAGGCAGAGCTGAGTCCATGCATCAGAGACTGCCTGGCCCAGAAAGCCAAACATATTTATTATCTGCCCCTTTACAGAAAAGGTTTGCTGACTCTATTGTGTGGTGTGGAGAAATGTAGCTGGTCAAGGTTTGCTTCTCTGCTTTGGATCAACCACAGCAAATTTTCCTCCTGATCAGCTTCCCTGACCATCCAGCACCATCTGCTTGTATATTTAAGCCCAACCCAGTATTAACTCTTTGCAAGAGATCATTAAGAAAGTGAAATCTGGTATTCCCACATAGGTAGTAACAACCAGAAAATAAAGAATGGGTGAAGTTTTAATTAACAGGGTAAGCCATTAATGAAAATGAAGACTAGAATGAGGGTTGTTGGCACATTTTGAACGACAGACCTGTTTATTATTTCTATAACAGAGTTATTATCTTTCTAGTTTCTCTGGCTTTACACTCCTCCCCTTTCACTAAGGGACTGTGGATGTGGCTAATTGGTCCCACAGTTCTGTGGTCCTGCCTCGTGAAAGTCTTGGCATAGCTGAAATCAAACCTCAGGTTTCTGCTGAACCTGAGTGCACCGTGGGAATTTCACAGGAACCCTTTAGAGGAGGGGTTACCAAGCTATGGCTGGAGAGCCAAATCCAGCTCACCAACTGTTTGTTTGTTTGTTTTTTTAAATAAAGAAAAGAGGTTTAACTGACTCACAGTTCCTCATGGATGGGGATGGGGAGGCCTCAGGAAATTTACAATTATGGTAGAAGGGGAGGAGGCACATTTTACACGGTGGCAGGGAAGAGAGATCATGCAAGAGCAGGGAAAACTGCCTTATAAAACCATCAGATCTCGTGAGAATTCACTCACTATCACGAGAACAGCATGGGAAAATCACCCCTATACCGCCAATGGTTTTTATAAATAAAGTTTTATTGGAGCACTGCCACACCCATTCTATGGCTCGTTTTTGTTTCACAACAGCAGAATAGTTGTGGAAGTGACTATTTGGCCAGCAAAGCCTAAAATATTATCACCCCCATACCACCAACTGTTTTTATAAATAAAGTTTTATTGGAACACTGCAACACCCATTCTATGGCTCGTTTTTGTTTCACAACAGCAGAATAGTTGTGGAAGTGACTATTTGGCCAGCAAAGCCTAAAATATTACTATCTAACCCTTTACAGAAAAAATTTGCTGACCTCTCGTTTTTTCTTTTTTTGATTTGAATGGGTAGATGAATGCTGACCTCTTCTTTAGAGCACAAAAAGAACCTAGCTTAGGGGCCAGTTTTGCCTGCAGTGCTCCGTGACCCAGGAGATGGAAATCGGGGCGCCATCTTGGCTCATCTTCTCTCCTCATTGTTTCTCAGGGCTCAGAAGAGAGAGAGGCCTTTTGGCCTCTCGGGAGGTGATGTTGGTGGGGATTGCTGTGAGTGTGAATTCAAGTCAGAATCCTAAGCTTCGTAGCAGGGTCTCCCCCACCTGCCTTCTCCCCTTTACCCACACCCCTGCTATTTGTTTCTTTTTACTTCTCTTCCCCAAAATGTTGACGATGAGTCAAATCCAGTAGATACCTGCCTCAGATGCCCTGGATGCAGCTAATGTATCTTCTACTTTATTAATCCCAATGAATGAATGGTGAAATTGATGAGTATCACTGTTTTAGCTGAAGTAGCCCAGCCTTTCTCTGTTGCAAACAGGACATCCATAGCACTTTTTCTTTGAAGAAAGAAATGGCTTCCCCCAGTGCTTAGAGCAAAACCCATCTCTTTTTCCGTGGGTCCTGATCCTTGCCTCTCCCTCCAACCTCATATTCTCTGTTTTCCACTCTCTCTATTCTACCTGTTGTTCCTCAAAGGCATCAAACACACTCCTACCTCAGGGCCTTTGCACTGCTGTTTCCTGGTAGATATTTTACTGGCCAATTTGCTTCTTTGTTCCCCATTAAGGTAAGTTATAGGCGAGGGTTTTCCTGGCTTCCTCACCACTGTATCTCTGATCCCCTCGGTAGTTCCTGGCACACAGGATGAGCTCAGTGAAGCCGTGCTGGCTGCTGAACAGAGGGATGGGCCAGAGAGAGGCTCCAGATAGAAAACCATTTTAAAACTGCTGATCTGTTCTTACTTCGTCATGAGACAGATGCTGAAACCAAAACCTAGAAAAGTTTCTTATCCAAAGTCACATGGCAAGTCAGTTCCAGAACCAGCCTTAGAATCTGGGTTCTTTACTCCATGAACCTCTGAATGTCAATGACCTGTGCGTTTTAATGGTGCCAGCATTATTAAGTAGCATCCCAAGAAATGCTGGATCTCAAGTTGCCATTTGTTTTGGCAGTGGATGGGCAGTTCGTCACTTTAGTGCCTTCCCTAAAATTAAAGGGAGCAAATCAGGATTGTTATTATTATTTTAAATTCTTAAAATGACGGTTCTGAGTGCTTTCCTTCTTGGCTGTTAGGGTTAGATCTTGCCTGTTGAGGGCAGACGCTGGTGCTAGGACAGAGAGCTGCTGCTTTAAGAAGAGATGCTTGAGAGAGTAGAAAAAAAAGTGTTTTTCCTGCTCTCAAATTTGCTCACCACATTCTGCTTCAACAAACACACAACAAAATGCGTGTGGGTTTTTTCCCCACATGCCAAGAATTCAGCAGACACCAGCTGGGTGTCCTCTAACTCAATTCAGTTCTGACACCGTACCTAGAGACAGCGGCAGCTCCCACCCACCAAGGGCTCAGTCCCACAAGACTGCTTCTTTAGACGGCAGTTGCAAACCTCAAGTTGTTTTACCTGTGCTTCTGAACAACCTGCTATAAATCAGGATTCCGATGACCCGCTCTTTGCGCTCAATTAATTTGCTAGAGCGGCTCGCAGAATTCAGGGAAACAGTTTGACTTCCATTTACCAATTTATTATAAAGGATATTACCAAGGATACAGGGCCAGGTGCTTTGGCTCACTCCTGTAATCCCAGCACTTTGGGAGGCTGAGGTCAGAGGAGCACTTGAGTCCAGGAGTTCAAAACCAGCCTGGAAAACATAGTGAGACTCCCCCCGCCATCTCTACAAAAATAATAATAATAAACAGAATTAGCTGGGTGTGGTGGTGTGCACCTGTAGTCCCAGCTACTTGGGAGGCTGAGGTGGGAGGATGATGAGCCCACGAGGTAGAGGCCACAGTGAGCCAAGATGGCACCACTGCACTCCAGCCTGGGTGGCAGAGTGAGACCCTGTCTCAAACAAAAAAGGATACAGATGAAGGGATGTGTAGGGCGAGGTATCGGGGGAAGGGGTGCAGCGCTTCCACGCCTTCCCTAAGCATACGACCCTCCAGGAGCCTCCATGTGTTCAGCTATCAGGGAAACTCCTTAAGCTCTATCCTTTAGGGTTTCTATGGAGGCTTCATTACATAGGCGTGACTGATTACATCATTGGCCACTGGTGATCAATTCAACCTCCAGCCCCTCTCTCCTCCCTGGAGGTTGGGGGCTGGGGCTTAAAGTCCCAACCCGCTCATCCTGCCTTGGTCTTTCTGGTGACCTGCCCCCATCCTGAAGCTACCGAGGTGCCCCCAGCCACCAGTCACCTCATTAACCTGTAGAAGATATTCCTATTATGCCCGAGGTTCCGGGGGGTTTCGAGAATTGTGTGCCAGAAACCAAGGGCAGAGACCAAATATATGTTTCTTATTAGATCACAAGAGGAATGAGCCGCAGTGGCCTGAGTTTTCATCCCCTCTACTGCTCAGCATGTTATCTCCTCTCTGGGCCTCAGTTTCCCCATTTGCCAATAAGGGGATTGAGGGAACGAAATCTATGGTGCTGGAGTTTTCCTGTGTGCCCCGCTCTGTCCGCCTGGCCTCTGCCCTGGCAGCCTGGTTTGGGGTGTGGTGGGCCCTTTGCAGCTGCAGCAGGGACCCTCACCGACCCTGCCTGTCTCCTCTCTCCTTTGCAGGCTCTGTATATGTTCTATGCCTTGGCCATAGTGTGCGATGACTTCTTTGTTCCGTCTCTAGAGAAGATCTGTGAGGTATGTGGAAGGGACTTGGGACACCTTGGTGAAGCCTTGAAGACATGTGGGACATAAATGCCAAGCCAAGAAGGCCAGGGCTGGCGTGGGGAGCATGCTGGTGGCAAAGACTGTCACACCGAGCACTTAGTGTCTGCCCCATGGCGAAGCCTCGCCAGAAACCCTCAAATTGGTCTTGGTGGATGGCAGCCTCTCCCAGAACTTGGCAGAAAAAAACACTCCCAGTGTGAGATCACTACCCAGAACCACTGGGTCCACAGCAGGCTGTTGGCACTTGTGTCCAACCTGGCTAAGTACAAAGCCCAGGCAGGCCTGCCAGCTGCAGTGGAGCATTGCCTGTCACCAGCTGCAAGTGGCAGGTGACAGGTGGGCCCACCCCCACCCCGCCAGGGGGACGCCAAGCTGCAGCAGCAGGGAATTCCCCTCTGTCCTGACCTTTGCAGGCTGGTGTTTTCTCCCCACAACTATTTTGTTAGTTTTTGACTTTCTTTCCTTATTTCTCCTCATACACAAGATCCCAGTGTATCTCATTGCTCCACCTTATTCTTGGCTTCTAGTCAAGGAAGGAAATTGACTTCCGTTTGCAGCACCTCCTGTGTGTGGAGTGCCCAGGGCTTTACCACCCTTCATCCCTGTGAAATCTCCCGCGTGTTTGAGACCATGTCTTCATGGTGACATTTGCAGCTGGGAGGGTGGGTTGTTCAGGGCAGGTGCTTCCCCGTGACTTTCCCCCTGCTGGGCCCAGCTTGGGGAGCTCAGTGTCCTTGCAGAATTGGGACTGGCTGCTTTGGACCTGGGCCCCCCAAGCGGTGACCTGGCAAACGTGTGCAAAGGCCTCCCCTTACCCCACATCCCCTCAGATGGAGCCATGTGCTCGCCTCCATCCAGACGCTTGTCAGTGAGGGAATGAAGCCAGGGGAGGAGGGTGAGGAACAGAGTCCAGAAATGCCCACTGGGATGATCGTGTGGGAGGGTCCACCCAGGGCCCCTGTGGAGTGTGCGCTGCAGCGATGGCGGTTATTAAGTGTTGTTGCTTCTGCCTTCCAGAGGGGGCCCTTGGGAAGGATACAGTCAGCTGATCCTTACTGAATACACACCTAGGACCCACCCGCTAGGCTGAGAGCTTGGGGAGGCCATAGCAATGGGGTTGATGGGAGCCTATGGAAGGTGAAAGGTGGGTGACTACAGTGTAGGGCCACATACAGTGGAGGTGCATGCACCCCGTAGGGTTACCTGTATCCCTAAGGATAGAGGTGAGCAAGGGTGGTGGTCTTAGCTCTGTAGGTAAGACCAATGTCAAGGGCTTAGTGAGAGACATTAAAGGACAGGGGAGCCAAAGGGAGAGGGGGAGCATCTCTCTTGGGGGAGAAATCTGGGAAGGCTTCATGGAGGAGGTGGCATTGGGTCCAGGTTTCAGAAGTGGGAAGGAGTTTAGCAAGCAGAGAGGGAAGGGAAGGGAAGGGAAGGGAAGGGCATCCCAGGCGGAAGGAATGGCCCAGGCAAAGGCAGGGAGGAGGGAGGACAGGAGGCAGCATGGTTTGGGTTCTGCTGAGAGTTTTGGAGATCCTTTGGTGGCAGAGCCTCTTCTGTGGAACCGTGCTTTTTGGCAGGGTTAAGGTGGCCGGCTTCTGCCCTGGAGATCGATGCTGTGCCCCCACCCCAGACTCCGTCAAGCCCAGAGCTCTAACCCTTCTGAGGACCCCTCTAAGGCTTAGCTGACCAGTGGGTTCCTTGGTGGCCCCAGAACCCAGGGCTGCTCAGGGATACTTTGGGAGTTGGGGCTGGTGGAGGTGAGCCCTGTCCTGAGAGGCCTTCTGAGAACCGCAGAGTGGGCGCCTCCAGATTGGTTTTCAGGCAGACCCTCAGTCTCCACGGTTTCTCCAAACATCCAAAGCCTCCAGCGCTGCATTTCGGATCAGAGGATGGGCTCTGTGGCCAGACATGACCCGGACAGGCAGAACAGGCCCCAACCATGAGTTCCCGTCCTGTCCCGTGCCAGCTTAACCCTGGAACCAGTACCTCTGGGTCTTTGTGAGCCACTGGATGTCAGGCCTGCCGTGGAGAAGGCCTTCCAGAATGCAAGGCCCAGCTGCAGGCCAGAGGCCTCCAGATCCACAATGCTGACATTCTCATTGAGGCCCCCAGTACCCAAAACCGGCATGGGAGGGGATGGTCACTAGACTAGTGTGTGCCTGTGGAGCACCACTCTGTGCCAGACCCTGTTCTAGGCACCAGGGATGCAAAGTTGGGAAAGACCAGTTGCTGCCCTCATCATCCGGTGAGGGAAGGCAAGCGTGTGGACCACAAACCCTCATGTGAAATTCACGTTTCAGTAACAGCAGATAAAACACATCGTGTATCTGAGGGAAGTGGCTAGCTCTGAGTGGATGCCTAGGAAGACTTCATCAGGGAGACATTATTTGGTCACGGGCTTGGAGGACAAACAGAAAGGAGATAGTTGGGGGTGGGGAAGGGGCTCTGAGTGGAATGCCTGGTGGAGGCTGGAGGGCAGATGGCAGAGGGCACACAGCATGTGCCCAGGGGTGAGAGGCTGCAGGCAGACGAGTTTGCCTCTGGCTGCAGCACTGCTCTCCTGCATGCTCCTTGGCTGTAGAGCGTCCAGTGATGTCCAGTACCCCCACGTCACACCCTGAGGGTCTGTGGTCACTTCCGTTTCAGAGACTCCATCTGAGCGAAGATGTGGCTGGAGCCACCTTCATGGCTGCAGGAAGCTCAACGCCAGAGCTGTTTGCGTCTGTTATTGGTAAGAAATCCCCTCCAGCCTGAGACACAGGATCTAGAGAGTCCATTTGGTGCCCAGAGCAGTGGGGGCATTTGTCAGCTCTGAGCCTCAGTTTTCTCATCTGTAAAATGGGAGAATTGGAGAGGCAGTAAGTAGACTGGTGGTTTCTTGGGGCATGTGGTAGAGTAGGGTGCTGAGGGGTGATAAAAATGTTCTTTTTAAGGTGATAAAAATATTCTAAAATTAGATTGTGGTTTTGGTTGCACAATTCTGTGAATATACTAAAACCACCGAATTGTATATTTAAATGGGTAAATTTTATAGCATGCACATTATATCTGAGTAAAGCTGCTCAGAGAAAAAGGGAAGATTGGAGTAGCTGGTCCCTGGTGGCATTTCCACCTCCCTGGTTCTGCCACTGCTTCTGCCATTCTCTTCCGCTTCACGGGTGCTCTGTTTGTTAGTAAAGCAACCCACTTTCCTGTGAAAGGGGGACACTGAGGAAGGGGCAGGCTGGGGACGTGTGGCTGAGGCCCAGGGTCTGTGTGTTTCCTTTCCAGGGGTGTTCATCACCCATGGGGACGTCGGGGTGGGCACCATCGTGGGCTCTGCTGTGTTCAACATCCTGTGCATAATTGGAGTGTGCGGACTGTTTGCTGGCCAGGTCAGTGGTTTCTCCCTGGGCCCGGCAGATGCATGCCCTGAAGCGTGGGGGATGAGCCTCTAATGACAAGAGGTTGGGGTAGCAGTGGGGACGCCCACAGGACAGCTGAGCTGGATTCTGGATACATTTGGGGCCTGGTTTTGGCCTCTCCAACAGGGAGCATGAAGCTGGATTGTCATTGATACCCCATTAGATATCCTCAGAGCCCCAGGGGGAATGTTGGACTTGACCTCAGAGAGGCGGGCTCATGAGTGAGGCCCTGCCTTGCAGAGGGAGATGGAAGTGGGCAGCCGACTGTGCCTGAAAGTGCCAGGGTCCGGTGGAGAGCGAGAGCCTCTGGCCTCTGCTGTGAAACACACACTGTTCTGACCTCAGAGGAATAGAGGGCAGCTTTGCCATGGCTTGAGAACATTACTTGGTTTCATTCTGTTCCCCAAATTATAACAAAGAACAAGCGTGGCCTGGAGTTAGGAGGTGGAGCTCTGTGGGCATGCCCTGCACTGCGGGGGGAGGAGGCCTGGGCAGCTGCACCCCCTCCCCGCTTCTGCGCTCATAGCAGCCAACGACGGGGCTCTGCTGGCAGGTGGTCCGTCTGACGTGGTGGGCCGTGTGCCGAGACTCCGTGTACTACACCATCTCTGTCATCGTGCTCATCGTGGTGAGTTGCCCCTCTGCCCCCAAGGTCAGGTTGGCTGGGACCCTGCGAAGGCACAGGACCCCTGCCCATCTCTGCCCCTGGCACTGTGACCAGAGAGGACTCACAGCACACAATAGTGGGGTGTGCCAGCCACTCACTGCGGTCACAGTGACCAGCGCCCCGACCCCCAGCACTGTGCCTCCCTTTCCCCAAAACCTCAGACCCAAAACCTCTCCCACAGAAAGCAGGAGAGAATAAATCTTTGTCTCAAACTGCTGAGAAACCAGTCAGAAATGGTACAGCTGGGTCCTGTAGGCCAGGTCCTCTGCTGGGCTGTAGTTAAGGCCTTAGCCAGGGTAGAATCATCGCAGAGCTTGGCGGGCAGGGCTGCGCTTGCAGGGTCACTCATGTGGCTGTGGGCAGGGCTTGGGCTACTGGCTGTTCCACAGGGCAGCTCTCAGCTGGGTGGCGGGCTTCCCTCAGAGCGAGGGCCAGAGGCACCAAGGTGGAAGCCACAGCCTTTTCCTAACCTGCTCTTGGGAGTGATACCTGCCGTGTATGCCGTATTCTGTTTGTTGGAAGCAAGTCACCAGGTGCAGCCCACATGCTAGGGAAGCATGAATGTCACGCAGTGGGAGCATGGGGACCCCCCTACAGGCTGCCTACCACACCCCCCAAAAAATAGATGTCTGCGATGATTCTACAGATAAAACAATCTACGGATACATGATTTCAAAAAGGTCAACATATGCCCTAACTATAATACAAAGGAGAAATATAATCTATAATAAAAGAATACATATTTCAGTATGTAAATGTTTTGGCACGGATATGCCAGGAGATCCAATGAAGGGATTGGTTCCCTCCCACACAAAAACAATCTCTGAGACCGTCTAGTACAAATGCAAACTGATGCCCAAGTTATGGGCTGGCACCTAAGCCCCGTGGGTGGTGCCGATGTTGATGATGTGATTTTCCACAATAATGAATGACTGCTGATAAAATTCCAAACAGAGCAAAGTATAATCATTCCTTAATTTGCATGACAGTTACCTTACTAGAAAATTAAGGATTCACTAAAACGATGTAAAAACTCTTTGATTTATAAAATGAAGTGAAGGCTGGGCGCGGTGGCTCACGCCTGTAATCCTAGCACTTTGGAAGGCCGAGGCGGGCTGATCACTTGAGGTCAAGAGTTTGAGACCAGCCTGGCCAACATGGTGAAACCTTGTCTCTACTAAAAGTATAAAAATTAGCCGGGTTTGGTGGTGCATGCCTGTAATTCCAACTACTTGGGAGCCTGAGGCAGGAGAATTGCTTGAACCTGGGAGACGGAGGTTGCAGTGAGCCAAAATCGCACTGCTGCACTTCAGCCTGGGAGACAGAGCAAGACTACGTCTCAAAAACAAAAAAATGATACACCCTCCAACAACACTTGCACACCATATATACACACACACACCCTATATACACACACATACACACACACACACACACACACACACACACACACACACACTTAGCTATCTTTCAGTCTTTGAGATTTCTTGATTGTAGCAACTCTACTCCATGAATAAGGGGAGGCTTCTGCCAGGTTAGCCCCCAGCAGCTACTTGGACTGTTATAAAGCACAGGACGTATCTCTGGGGGTGGCCATGCTAAGCTGGGGCCTTGTGATACAGTACACTGCTGGCCTAGGCTACACTAAGGAAAGGCCCGTAGGTGAGCAGCTCAGAAATGGACCCATAACACATATAACAAGGCCAGTATAAATTGGCTCTGGGTGCCTGGGTGTCCGTGCTTGTTCTTGTTTGGAAATAAATATGTCCCACCCACCTCAACTCTGTTTCTTTTGCCTTACAGTTCATATATGATGAACAAATTGTGTGGTAAGTTTTTCAAGTGTAGTTTTCATTGTTCTTTTTTGTTGTTGTTTCCAGTATCCTTATTTGTTGGGTTCCCTGAATCGTTTTAAAAATTATTTTTATAAACTTAAGCTTATTAACTTGTGAAAGTGAAAAAAAGATATTCTAAGCAGTCATGCCTTTCTTTATCCTGTCAAAGTGAGAAAAATTGTTTCCCTTAATAGTCCCAGCCTGCTAGGTATCAGGATATATTATAAAGCAAAAATTCTGAAAACAGTATGGTATTTTGCAAAGGGATATGCATAGGCCAATATGGAATGCAGTAATGGGCCTATTTCTGGAATGGGGGACATTGCAGAGATGTCATAATAAGGCAGTGAGTTAGGAATAGAGTCTTGAATGCTGCAGGGACAACTGGGAATCCACACAGAACAACACAACATCAGATCCCTACCTCACACCTTATACAAGGGTAAACTCCAGGTGATTTAAAGATATTACTGTAAAACTGAGACTTTTTAGAAAATGTCAAAGAAAATATAGAGACTCATCTTTAAGACACTGAGGTAGGAATTGATTTCCTAATTAAGATACATAGCCAGGCATGGTGGCTCACACCTGTAATTTCAGCTACTAAGGAGGCTGAGGTGGGAGAATGGCTTGCGCCCAGGAGTTTGAGACCAGCCTGAGCAACATAGTGAGACCCCGTCCCCCAAAACAGATACATAAATCACAAACTTCTGAGGAACAGGTTGATGTTTCCACTCTATTTGATAGCATGGGAATGCATCTTACATTTGTAACTCATAAAAATTTTCTTTTGATTGCCAACGATTCAGAATCTGCGTGCATTCTATGTTTTTTTTTTTTTGAGACCCGGTCTTACTCTGTCGCCCAGGCTAGAGTGCAGTGGTGCCATCTCGGCTCAAGTGATTCATGTGCCTCAGCCTCCCAAGTAGCTGGGACTACAGGTGCATGCCACCACACCTGTCTAATTTTTTAATTTTTTGTAGAGATGGGGTTTCACCATGTTGGCCAGGCTGGTCTCGAACTCCTGGGCTCAAGTGATCCACCTGCCTTGGCCTCCCAAAGTGTCTGGATTACAGGCTGTGTCCTGTATGATTATTTATGGAAAGAGAGTCAGACAATCAGGCCGAGGACATCAGCCACCTGCCCTGAGCAGCTGTGTGCTATGGGCCCCCAGAAACCTGGTTCTGGTCCTCTCCTGGCCCCCAATCTGCTGTGTGGCCCCAGGAAAGCCTCTGAACTCTTGGGTTTCATTTTCGTCATCTGTAGACAGGGTTGAGATGGCAGTGGTTCCATGATCTGGAGGTTAGCAAAGGAAGAGCTCCCAAAACAACTGTAGCCCATGCTGGACACATAGTGGGCTTTGGTTTATATGTGTCAAGTGAATGAACAAGCTAAAGCTTGTGTGCTGCTCCAGGGGCTTGTGGTCAGAGCTACAGAAATCCCCACTGCTAATGGGATTGGGTGGGATGCACCAGAGGGTAGTAATGGTTGCATCCCAGGAAGACCCCAGCCTTCCATGGGCAGCATAAGGCCTGGGAGGCTCCTGTGCCACCTGCCGCATATTCAGTCAGCTCTCAGGCCCTACTTCCGGGACTGGGGCCCCTTTCCTCCCACACCCACAGCTTCTCTGGCTCCTGCCCAGAATCTTGGGTGATCACAGGGTCTCTCAGGGTCGAGTTTGTGTGACTTCAGGCCACGCCACTAGCCTCCGTGAATACTGGGACATGGTGGCCCTAGTCCCTCCTTTTTCTAGGAAGCTGAGGGAACCCCACCTCTGTCCTGCAGACCTCTATAGTTGAGAAGAGACCCCTCAGCTTTTCTCGCTTGAACATCAAGAGGGCTGCTGGTGGCAAGACAGCCACAGGCTGGGGGATCTCTCTCACATGCCTGGGTTCTGGGCCCGGCACTAGGGGCGGGGGAGGTAAAGACATCCCGCCCTTCCCCACTTCTGGACCCCTCATTCCCAGCCTTCACCTGCCCCGGGCCCCGAGCTCTAACCGCAATCTCCTTTCTCTCTTTGAGGTGGGAAGGCCTGGTGCTCATCATCTTGTATGTGTTTTATATTCTGATCATGAAGTAAGTGCCCTTTCTCCTCCCCGGGGCTGCCGACGCCTTGCCCCACTGCCTGCTACAGCCTTTTGTGACAGCAGGGAGAAAAACATCTGTCAGATCTTTGTCCTTTTAGGCCAGCCCCAGCTCTCTGGTAGACACCCTGCTGGGGGACAGCTGGAGTAGGGGAGGGGTGTCAGATGCTGTTCCGGGGGTGCCGTCCACACTGAGGCCAGGGGAGTCACGCTGGTGGCTGATGTGTGGACCACAAGGCTGCTCTCCAGACAAGTAGCATGCAAGGGCCTCTTTCCCGCCCTGCTCTGGGCAGCTTCTCCATGCCCCAGGGTAACCACTCACTTGTGCTGTCTCTAGAAGCCTTCTGATAATTTAATACCACTCTTTTCAAAAAGCCAGGCAGGTCTGCCCCAGGCTTCATAAAATGCCACTTCTCAGGGCCAGTGCTTGGTACAACTGCAGCACCACTGATAGTACTGAGGATGCAAACTCAGGCTATGCCACCTTGAGCCCCTCGAGAAGCTACCCAGGTCAGAACCATCTCAAAACTACCCATGAGGAATACTATGCAGCCAGAAAAAGGAATAACGTTCTGACAGTCTACCACATGGATGAACCTGGAAAACATTATGCTAAGTGGAAGAAGCCAGTCACAAAAGGACAACTATTGTCTGATTGCACTTACATGAGGGATCTAGAAGAGCCAGATTCATAGAGGTGGACCAGAGGTCAGTGCAGGCGGCTGGGGAGCAAAGAAGGAGGAATTAATGATTAGTGGGAATAGTGTTGTTTGGGATGATACAAATGGTTTGGGAACCGTGCTGATGGTTGTAGAACAATGTGAATGTAATTAATGCCACTGTTTTGTGCCCTTAAAAAGGGAAAGTAGTTAGAATGGTTAATGTTATGACATATATTTTTTTCCCACTACATACACACACACACACACACACACACACACACACACAAATCCCTACTCATGAGCTGAGCCATGTTCAGGTTCATCTTCCTCCTCATACCGCGATACGTAATTAAAAAGACAACACTCTGGGTTTTATGAGGATATAAATCCCACATTTATATAAAACATTTATAATGTTTTATAAAGATGGGTGATAAACTATCAGACTGCAAGAGCATTGTCCTTAAATGATCTCCACTCTGAGTGCCTTTCAGCGAGAGCCCGCCTGAGGTTCTTTGAGATGGAGAGACTCTTCCCTCAGGGGTGATGGCAGTGCTGGCTGTGAGTGTGCAGGAGGTGCCCGTGAGCATCCTGGGAGCAAGATCTGCTGCTGGGGGAGAGGGGACAGGCCTGGTAATGCCCCCTGCGAGCCTGCCCAGAGGCGAGGCCGAGCTTCCTTTATTAGGACAGGCTCCAGTAAGTAGGCCTCAGTCATTTTCTTAGGTGAAAGTTCTCTCATGCCTCCAGGAAGTCCACCACCAGCTCAATAGGAGCAGGTGCCACCAGACAACACAATGCTCCCAGGTCCCTGTCAGGAAACTGTCAGCCCAGTTGAAAAGCTGAGGCTCCACACCTCCCCTGCCACCCACCACTCCTGGGCTGTGCTGACTGCGTGCAGGGATGGGGTGTGATCCACCCGCTGCCCAGTTGGTGGGACTCCTTTCCATTGCCCTGACCTCCTGCCTCCCCTCGCTTCCAGGTACAATGTGAAGATGCAAGCCTTTTTCACAGTCAAACAAAAGAGCATTGCAAACGGTAACCCGGTCAACAGTGAGCTGGAGGCTGGTAATGATTTCTATGACGGTAGCTATGATGACCCTTCCGTGCCATTGCTGGGGCAAGGTAAGGCTGAGCAGACAGGAGTGGGCAGAAATGTGTCCTGGAAGCCACTCTCTCCTCTTTTGTGTACACACACACACACACACACACACACACACACACACACACACCCTCTCACAATGTCCCCCCTCTAAATTGTCACTCTCTTACCTTTGACCACAGGTGCCCTAAGAGAGGAGGGAGAGTCAGTATGGGAGATGGGGTTTGCTTAGGTGGGGCAGGGGTGGAGGGAAACTACACCAGGAAAGAGAAAAACCACAGCCACGTTTCTGGGCGCTTTCCCATGCCTTCTGGGAAAGGCGTAAGGCCTGCTTGGCTCTTCAGAATGCAGTGGTATCCCTGACCCCTGTAAGGGCCCACGACAGGCAGCTGAGGAGCTGGGGCAGCAGAGCCAGCCTGGGCCTCCCTGCGGTTTCTCAAATGCCAGACCCAGTCCTGGATGGAGAACGGCTCTGGACAAAGCATGGGTTCTCGGGCTGGGAACTGTTGCCCGGAGGAAGAACAAGGCCAGGAAAGGCAGACATGAAGCTGAGCAGGCATCCCCAGGCCAGCCTCAGACAGCCCCGCCGGGGAGCCCCTTCCCCTGGGGCAGCAGCCTCGTCTCCCCAGCGGCTCTTTGGCCCCCTTGTCCGGGAACTGGGGGTCTGGGCCTCCAGAGCCATCTGCTGTCGTGTCTTACTGAATTCTCTGAATCATCTGGGCCTGACCGATGGCTTCCTTGGAAACCTGAATAATCCAAGACCAATGACCAGGCGGCTCCCTTTGTTGGGGCAGCTGCCGGGAAGGAGAGAGCGTTCACTCTAGCCCAGACCAGTAGGAGAGCAGGGGCTGGTTCTTGCAATTGGTATGGAAAAACAGGTCTGACCTCCACCCACAGTGTTGGGCAAGGCCTTCACCAGGTGAGCGCCTTGCACTGGTGTCTGGGGGCTCTTTCCCCCGCTTTCTCCATGGCCTGGGGCTAATCACCTCCTCTTTTAGGTGAACTCTTTTGTGATGTCACTGGTGGGATGGAGTGGTCTCAGATGTGTCTGGGACATCTGGGGTGCAGAATCTGTATTTCTGGGCCCCCTCTCCAGTCATCATCCTGGAGCCGATGAAGGCAGGGGCTTCCTCCCATGTGCATTTTGGGAGTCTGTTCTGCCCTGTCTCAGGTAACCCCCAAGAGGGAGGAGTCTCTCCGTATAGAAGGAGGAAACCTGCCAGGGTGGCGGGGTGCGGTCCAGGCCACAGCCTGGCTGCTGAGGCCCACCCACAAAGGACAGAGCTGAGGAGCTGATGGGCATGGAGTTTGATTCGTGTGTCGTGTTTCATAAATGCTGAGCAGACTACCCCAGGGGAAGCCCGTTTCCAGGACAACCTCAGAAGGGGAAGGAGCCATGAGGGCGGCTGTGTCGGATTTTAGCTCTATGGACGCAGTGGCCCCGAGACGGTCCCCACACACAGCCTGGTCCCCACACACAGGCTGGCAGGACAGAGGCTGGTTGCTGCCCTGTCGTATATATGGTGCTTCTGGGTCCTCTGGGCCTTCATGGTGAAGAAGAGAAGTATTGTGTGCTGAGTCACTCAGGCCAGTGGCAGATGCCCATCCAAGAGCCACCCACCACCTGTGCCAACCCAGGAGACCTCCCAGGACCCTGCAGGAAACATTCCTCATTCACAGCATGGGGGCCTCAGCTCCTCACCTTCCCAGAGCAACCCAGGCTCCCAGAGGCCCCCGCCTACACAGTGCCTTTTCTGGCACTGCTGTGACTGTCTCCATCACTCTGTGCCTGTGACAGTAGCACTTCCTTGCAAGTTTATTTTCTCCCAAATCTCTTTAAGTCCAGGACATTTTCTGGAAAACTGGAAGACTGGACACAGGACTGCCCCCAAGCACTGGGGAAGGAGGGAGAATCCCATCTTCCTGCAGCTTTTATCAGAGGGAATGCATTTAGATAAGGGCCAAGGGAGAAAACAGTCCTCAGAAAGTGTGGAGGGAAGTGGGGTACAGGCCTGGACGCCTGGAATTGGAGAAAGGGGAGACCTGGAGAGGCAGACGTGGGGATTTCTTCACCCCACTTTTACTGCCCCTATCATAAGAGGCTCCCAGAGGGCCATGTGTGAGTCACTGTTCTGCACTGTCCCCTGCGTAGACTCGACTGAAGCAGGAGGAAGGAGCCCCCGGTAACACCCTGGGTGGGACTGGGGAGGCCAGGGCTTTGGGGCTTTTCCTTTCCTAAGGGCGGTGCCATGGAATCTTTTGGCTGGAGATGACATTGGGGTTTCTTTCCCTGTGCCCAGCTCCAAGCAGGTCGCTGTGTGGCCACCCCACCCAAAGGAATGCACGGGTTGCTGGCTGGGAGATTCTTCAAGAGCACACACTCTCAGGCCCGATCGAGCTGTTCTCAGTTTTTGGGTTTCCCATAGAAAACCCAAAGTTTTATCTTCCAGCTTCTTGACAGGAAAAGTGGGCAGAAAGCCTTTTCCCCACCACACTGATAAAAGGCGTTTGAGTACTGAAACGTTCTTAAAGGCTGTGTGGCTTGGCTCACCAAAGCAGCCTCCTGGTGCTTCTCAGGTGGCCTTGAACACAGCCTGGGCCACTTGCCTGCCGGCCTCGCCCAGGAGGCACACTGTGGACCCTTCCAGGCTGCCCTGGCCCTGGGCACAGCCTTGGTTTGGAGTGGGGAGAGTTGGGGGTGATGCCTGGCCTGGGGCTGGACTGCTGGGAGAATGTGCTGTCATTGAGTTCTTTTCCCGGCAGCCACTCCGGGCATGGGCACACACCCTTGTTCTGTCATTGGTCAGGGGACACCAGGACAAGCTGTCCCGGGAGGCAGGCATCCTGGGGAAGGAAGGAGAATTCCATCTTCCTGTAGCTTTTATCAGAGTGAATGCATTTAGATAAGGGCCAAGAGAGAATACTACCTAGAGAGTGTGGAAGGAAGTGGGGGTGCAGGCCTGTACTCCTGGAATTAGAGAAGGGGGAGGCCTGGCTCTTGTCTCACAGACTCCAGGCTCTCTCCTTCTGAGCCCAGTTGTTCCTCCAGCAGTACCTGGCATGGGGTTGGTTCTGTAGGATGGAGCCTGAAGCTGCGTTTTCTGTGGGTTCCGTCTTCCTCTGGGATGGAGGCTTCTGAGCAGGGAGGGATTTGAGCTTTCATGCAGCAGTGAGGGGCTGAGGGCATGAGCTGTGGAGGGGGCTCCTGCTCCTCAGAGTGGAAGCAGAGCCATCGAATCAGCCAGGACAGGAGTCATCCCAAAGGCCAGAGGCCCCAAGTGTTGATGCTCCCCATAGAAGGAGCCCGCTAATAACACTCTCCAGCACATAACCCCTGGCATCTTCGCCACCACCAAGAGTGCTGCCCCAGACTCTCGGCACCCACCGCACGCTAATCATCTCTGGCAGTTTCTGTTGGCCTTTGTCTCCTTAACTCTCCTCCTCTTCTAAATTGTAAGTAGTCAGCTTTCATCCACGCGATAACACGTGCATTTCAAGCAAAACAGCCAACCACAAGCCCAGCCCACCAACGCACTGCGCGCCTCGTTAGAGGTTAGCGTCCATCTCTGACAAATGCATGTTCTCCTGGCTTTGTTTTCTAACCCACACGCCTCCTGTCTGCTGAGCCTTGCTGCCTGTTTGGTGAGGAGTGTGTGTGTCTGGTGTGCTTTTGTGCTATTAACTCTTACACGGGTTTGCTCTCCGGACCTATTCGCTGGTTACCCTAAAACCCGTAAAGGACACACCAGGAGCTGGTAACCAGTGCAGAGGGACAGTCCTATCCATTTTTATAGCCCTTTGGAGGGGAACACTCTGCCTGCTTCTGCATGCTGTGTTCATGAGCAGTTTTGTAACTAGACCCTCCTAGGGATCTGGAGTCAAATGTGAAATTCCCAAGGATACCGGCCCAGTGCAGGTTTATGAAGATGGCAAGAAAGAGGTCTGGGGACAGGGAGTTTTGTTCCTCCCCATTGTGAGGGGAAGGAAAGGGTCAGAGAGACCAGCCTCCCTCCGGAGGGTGTCAGGGTTTATAGTCACTGGGCTCAGCCAGCGGCTCACCGTGCACCCTCAAACAAGCAGGCTCCTCTCCTGGGTCTTAGTTGCCTGTCTAGGTCCCATGATCTAAATCTTTGACCTCACTACTTGCCCTTATAAAGAACAAAGTTACAAGCATTCTGTCCTGCAGACAGAGCAGGTGGCCTCGTAGGAAGTTCAGAGCCAGTGCCCACTGCTCTGCAACATTTTCCACCCCGGGGACCCTTGTCAATTTGCAAAATTTCATCTGAGCCTCTGTACGTGGGGGAAAGAAAGGTCCCCTCATAGTCATGGGTGAAAAGTGGTAGGCCCCCGTGTGTATTGTAGGTTGGCTGCCCTGGTAAGGCTTAGATAACGAACTGAAAGACCCTTGTAATTAGCCAAGACTGGGCCCCAGAAGAGAGGCGAAAAGAGCATCAATTGCCCACGAGTGGTCCTGGAGCAAGGGGACACACTGGGCTTCACACACTAGGTCAGCAGGTGTTTCAAAGCTAGTGACCCACTTTGCCTGACATGAGGAGTTGAAGCCAGGCATCCAGACTTCCCGGTGGCTGCCAGCTGCCAGGACCACAGCCTAGGGCAGCTCACAAGGTGAGGGGAAGTCAGTGGCCCCAGCACTTGGGTGTTGTCCTCAGAGAGATCAGCACTAATCACGGTGTTGCGCTCAACAGTGAAGGAGAAGCCACAGTATGGCAAGAACCCCGTGGTGATGGTGGACGAGATTATGAGCTCCAGCCCTCCCAAGTTCACCTTCCCTGAAGCAGGCTTACGAATCATGATCACCAATAAGTTTGGACCCAGGACCCGACTACGGATGGCCAGCAGGATCATCATTAATGAGGTGAGTTTGCTTGAAGGACCATAAAAGTGAGCAGCCTTGGATGCAGGAGGCCTTGGCTTGTTAGGGCTCTTCCTGGTGCCATTGATCACTGCACCTGTTTAAGGAAGGATGCCCTGGGGCCTCCAGAAGCCTGCCCATCAGCCACAGGCAGCAAATTATCCTTTGAAGAGATATTTTAAAGCCTGCAGCAATCGAATACCTTGCCTGAGATATTTCACTAAGTATTTTGTCAGGCACTAGAGTAGAACTAATTGGAGAAAGGCCAGCCTGAAGTATGGATTATTTCTTTAAAATGTTGTTTAGGGCAAAACAAAAAAGATGAGTTCACACCTGTTCTCTGTGGACAGAACAACTCCAGAAGGAAATCTAAGACACTAATGAGCAGCAGTGACCTCTGGGGCTTCATTTTCACTCTTGCTGTGTTTAAATGGGGTGCTTTTATTTCTCACTTGCAGAGATAATGATTTTAATATTATTTAATGTATAAACAGTATAGCAAAGATAGGTTCATTGCTCACCAACTTTTCCAGTCTTTGTTGCATGTGTGCATTTTGGAATTTTAAGTCCTTACTCTGAGAAGCAGATGGGTTGGTAGACTTCAAACTGTGATCGCTGATAATTAGTAGTTAACACATAGATTGTATGCAAGAACGATATTTCACAGTGCCTACGGGTTCATATTGTAAACATTTCTCTTTGATTTAATGTGTACTGTGCCCTCTCTGTAGAAAGTATATTAAGAAAAGGAAACACCTTTCCAAAGTTTTGAATCATTGTGAATCATTTCGGTCCAATTCGGTAAAATTTGAATCAATGAAATTTGACCGAATCCAGGCCGTCTTTCATGCATGCATTAATTGTACCCACTGGGTGCTGAGAGGGTGGGGAGGGTTGAATAACTTTTAAGGATTTAGAGATTGGGATTTATAGTATCTTTTTCATGGCATATATAGCCGGGAAAGGAATAGGTTTTGGTAAGTTGCTGAGATACTGGTTATTATGCCCTAAATGTTCTAAGCTACTGGGAAGACTTTATCTTCCACCATGTTGTGATTGAACTACCTGGAAGGCAGCATGGAGAGCTGGAGAAGCCGGGTCCAGAAGGAAGGAATTCTGAGCTTCAATCTCACATCAGCCGCTAGCCCACTTAATGTGAGGGTATTGAACAGGATGCTTTCAGCTCTAAAAATTTCAGTGACACACACCGAAAGGCTGTATGTCCACAAAAGACATGTACACAAATGTGCATAGCTGCAGTCTTCATAACAACCAAAAAGGGGAAACTATCTGAATGCCCATCAATAGGCAAAGCCATATCGTGGGTTATTCAATATAATAGAATACTACACAGCCATGAAAAATAACAAACTGCTGACTCATGCAACAAGCTGGGTGAATCTCATGGCTATTGGTTGCCTGAAAGAAGCCAGTCATAAAATATACATTAATACTTGAATCCATTTATATGAAGTTCAAGTTCAGGAAAAACTAATCAATGTTTACAAAAGTCAGCAAAGTGGTTGCCTTGGTTACCTCTGGAGTAGGGGTATGTAGACTAGGAAAGTGCCTGAGGCGAGTCTTTGAAGGGGCTGGAAATGTTATACATCTTGATGTAAAACATCATTAATCTGTGCACTTAGTGTAAGTGTACTTTTTTTTTTTAGGACAGAGTCTTGCTTTTGTTGCCCAGGCATTATCTCAGCTCACTGCAACCTCTGCCTCCCGGGTTCAAGCGATTCTCCTGCCTCAGCCTCCTAAGTAGCTGGGATTACGGGGGCCTACCACCACGGCTGGCTAGTTTTTGTATTTTTAGTAGAGACAGGGTTTCACCATGTTGGCCAGGCTGATCTTGAACTCCTGACCTCAAGTGATCCACCCACCTCGGCCTCCCAAAGTGCTGGGATTACAAGCATGAGCCACCGTGCCCGGCAGTGAGTGTACATTTTGTATAATGTACCTAAAAAATTAAAAATTACAAAATGCACGCAGGGCCTTTCCTGTGGCCATCTTCAGGCAGCTGTGAACGTCACCAGGGAGAGCCCCGAATGATGGCTGTCACCAGGGCCGTGGGCTGGGTTGTCGAGCTGGCAGTAGGAAGGGGTGGCCCAGGCCCTCTGATAAATCCTCAAAGTTTTCCTGGTAACCATGCAAATGTAAGTGACCAAACATAGAAGGATTCCAAGGTCCTGGGGCTGATTCTCAGGCAAACCTGTCCCCAGGGTTGTTGTTCTAGGCACCTGTAAGAGCAGGGTGCGTGTGAGGGACCCAGCGTATAGCAATAGCATGATGCTTTATCACATGCCTTGGTGTCCATGTTGCCTCCTGTCCACACAGCGGCAGAGACTGATCAACTCGGCCAATGGTGTGAGCAGTAAGCCGCTTCAAAACGGGAGGCACGAGAACATTGAGAACGGGAATGTTCCTGTGGAAAACCCCGAAGACCCTCAGCAGAATCAGGAGCAGCAGCCGCCGCCACAGCCACCACCGCCAGAGCCAGAGCCGGTGGAGGCTGACTTCCTGTCCCCCTTCTCCGTGCCGGGTGAGTTCTGGGGGTACTGGACTCTCGGGCTACATTTTTGGGGGCTCCATTAGGACCAAGCCCAGGTCTTCAGGATGGAGGCATGGACTTGTAAGGGCGGCAGAGGGCTGGTGCAAAGGGTCGATATTAGGTCACTGGAATGCTTAGGAGGCGAATCTGTCCTCAGTACTGAACTGTGGGTTAGAGCTGCAGTGGGGTGCGGGCACCACCAAGTGCAGCAAGAGCCTCGGGCCAGAGAGCAGGGCGGCTGGAGGCCTGGAGAACACCAGTGACCCCTAGTGACCACACTTAAATGTTCAGTGCAGTCGATCTTTTGTGCCAAGGAAAAGCAGTCCACAGTGTTATTTTTAGGGACATTCTTGCACTCTCTTGGCCCTTGCAGCAGGCCATTTTGCCTATGCATCTCTTTATTTGCTGGGACAGGAGATTCTAAGGCCACAAATGATCCTTAGACAGTCATACCTTGTGTGTTTGAAGATATCTCCTACCTATAAATAAGTCCAATCAGACTGAGGCTCTGCAGCCAGCCCTCCAGGGTCCTCCCATCTCACTTGGAGTCTGACCTGCGAGGCCCCATGTCATCTGACTGCCGACTCCTGCTGACCTCAGCTTCTGTTCTTCTGCCTCTCCTGGCCCCTGCTGCAGCCACAGCGGCCTCCTCACTGTCATTCCTAGAACACACTGTCATTCCTAGAACTGCGCACCTGCCCCAGGACCTTTGCACCTGCCTTTTGCTGGAATGCAGTTTCCCCAGGTATCCACATGCCCACTTCCTCACCTTCTTCAGGTCTCTGCTTAAATGTCACCTTTTCACTGTGACCTTCCCTGACTACCGCATTTAAAATATTTTATCTTTTTCTTGTGTCTCTTGCCCTGCTTAAACTGTCAGCTCCACAAAGCAGGTACTTTTGTCTACTGCATTTATCTGCATCCCCAGTACCCAGGACTGGCCACATAGTAGGGGCTTGGTAGGTATCCGTCAAATGAATCCAGGCGTTCGTGTGTGAGAGGATCCCAGGACCCACCCCGCCTGCCTTCGTCTTTAACTAAGCCTTCCGTGAGGTCCTCTGGAGTCCTCAGTGGGAAACAAAGGCCCGAGCTAAGCTGTTTGGCCCCATTCTTGGAGGCGTTTTTTCTGATGTCCACCATCCTGAAAGGAGGCAAGATTCCAGAACTTTCAAGTCCAGAACTTGATGTTTTCTGAAAAGAATTCTGTGTTTAACATCAGGCTCACTGAGCACCTGACTTGGGAGGTGACTCTGGAGGGCCAGAGGCTGTCCTGCCTCTTGTCCCATCTTGATGGGAACACCTGCCTGCGGTAGGTGGCGTGGGCCTGGCAGGCTGGGGTGCCCTGCCCCCTGCTTTCATGCTTCCGCATGAAGATGCAGGTTTCATTTAGGATCACGGAGCTTCCCTGGAGTTTCTGGGTTAGAGAGATTCTCTGGGTTAGAGATTCCAGGGCATGCTCGTCGCAGCTATCCAGGGGCTCTTCCCAAAATGCCAGGCCTGGTTCTGAACCTGAACATTCCAGAGCCTGGAGCAGGGCCTGGGGATCTGCATTTTCAAACCCTCTCCCTTTGCTTCCTGGGAGCTGGCTGGGTTCAGAATTGCTGGCCAACACCTCCCAGGCTTTCTTCACATTAAGAGCAGACTCAGAAAATGAAATGTGTTCCCTGACTGGGGTCACAGAGGAGCCCAGCCCAGGGGTTCAGGCCTCCCAGGCCTCCTCTGCTGACCAGAAGGCCGAGGGGATTGGTGTCTCGGCCCGTCTCAAACGCTTCCCTGGCATGCCCGCACACCTGCCCACCTGCTCTGTGGGGAACAGGGGCCCTGCTCAGCCAGTCTGGCTGGTGGGGAGAGAGGTCACGCCATGCTTGGGTCAACTCAGCCACCAGGGCTGTGTGTGGGACATGAAGAGCAGGAGGGGTGGTCTCCAGATTCCAGGTCCCCTTCCCAGATTACCTGTTTGGATTCACCAAGTGAGGGAAGATTTCTACATGGCAGGGCGCTGGGAGGGCAGTGTGTCCACCCAGAGAACCAGCTCACGGTGATGAACCAGGACGGGCCCTGTATTCACAGAAGGTCCAGGCACAGGCCGTGATTCGAGCCCTGGCCACCCCTTACAGCCCCAAGTTATCGCACCCCCAGCTCACTTTCCCTCCTGTGTCCACGTGGGGCTGGGGAAAGGTCAGAGCTGCAGTCACCAAAGGAATTTCGGTTCTTTGGGTCCTGGAGACCAGATGCCAGGGAGGGCCAGAGTGCCAGAGCAGGCTGCATTGAGGGAGATGCAACCACAGTCCAGGAAACAGCCGAGCTTATGAGGGGTGGGGCGAGGAGGAGCGACTTGCTGTCTGGAGAGTTCTATGTGCCCCTTCTCCACCCCTTGAAGTGGGTGGCAGAATCCCCATTTTGCAGATGTGGGGCCTGAGGGGGCCAGAGCTACCACTGCCCCGCACTGGCCACTTCACCTGAATCCTGGTATCAAGGCTGTCCACTGTCCAGGCGCTGCAGGAAAACCAGGGGAAGGGATGTGCCCGTTTTGGTCATCCTTACCTAAGCAAGTCAGCCATAGGTGAGGATGCCTCATCTTCCCATTCCTTAAGCCCAGAGTTTGACAGGATTGTGCAGGGAGGACCCCGGACCAGCCACGCCTTCGCCTTGTCCTTGTACTGGGAGCTGCTGTTCCATAGAGAAGTGGCTGTGCGGCCTCTGGACAGGTCACTTCCCAGGGTCAGAGGCTTAGAATGCAGCTGTCTTGCAAGGGCTGGAACCAGATGGCTCCTGGGTCCAGGTTCTCTGCACCCCTGAGTCCTCCTCTGAGGGGCTCTGCCCTTGCTTGGGGGCAGGACTTCCTGCTAGATAGGGGCCCACCTTCTTCCTCAAGCCAGAGGCTCTAGGCTGTTCCCCTGGGCTCAGTGCATGCCTGAGCCAAGTTCCACACGTTTCCTCTGTGCGAGTGTCCTCCCTGCCCTCAGGAATAGGCCTCAGCTTCCTGCATCCCAGGGGAAACCTCCTTTGTGCGTCTGCGGATGTGTTTCCAGGTGTTGTCCCTGGAAACCACGAATGGCTTCCTTTTCTTCTTCCTCCCTTTCCCCTGTGAGGAGCAGGCGGTGGGAACGGAGTTGTACAGCTGCTTCTCGTTTAGGTGTGTACAGCTGCCTAGGAAAATTGAGGCCCGGGGTAGGCAGAGGTTAACAGGAAATTGGAACAAGTCAGTGAGACTCCGCCCCCGACAGAAATACCCTGTATCCAGCTCCTGGCCCTGCCACCACCCACCTCACCCCACCCACCCCTTGTTCAGGTTTCACAGTGGCCTGGGGCTGCAGGATGGCTTTGAGGGTGTTTCTTAGGGGTGGATGCAGCTAGCGTTTTCCAAAGCTGGGGCGCTGGAAGGAATCACAGGACCAGGGGAGGAATCACAGGGCCAGGGGCCGCGGGAAGAGGGGGAAGCCACCCTGCTGGTGAGCTCGGAACCAGCATAGCTTCGGGTGTCAAGGAATGAGTCTAGCCCCGTGCCAATGTGCAGATATCGTGTGTTGTGAAGGACAAGCTGGGAGGCCGGCTCTGGAGTGCAGGAATCCTGGGTTCAAATCTCAGTTCTGCCACTCACCAGCAGGGTGAGTCTGGGCAAGCTCCTTCACCTTCCTAAACCTCCATTCCTCATCCACAAAGTGGCGGGTGACGGCACCTACCTCCCAGGATTGATCTGAGTAGCAAATCAGATACTTTAGTCGAGGTCTGTGCACTGTGTCTGGCACACAGTAGGTGCTCAGCAAATGTTAGTGTGAATCCTAGTGTGCTTTAACCATGTGGCTTCTGTTATCCTCTCCTTTTGGGACTACAGTGTTCTAGAAAGATCGTAGGTTCCAGAATCCCTGGGGGCCTGGGACGATCTGTCATTCCAGGGCTCAAGGAGAGGGAATTATCGTGTACCAGGCACCTGTTATGTGCCAGGTCTGGGCTTCAGGCACTTAGCAGACAAGATGATCCTCTCAGTCAGTAAACAGTTAGGGCCCAGGCTCTGTTCTGGGCTTTGTGGATCAGGTAGGAACAGGACAGCCATGGTCCCTGCCCTCTGGGAGCTTCTGGGCTTGCAGAGCAAATCTGAGCAGATGACCACACAATGTTCTTTATACACTGTCTCCCACCCCTAGCATACAGCTGATAAGTGGGGAGGTGGGAGGCCACAGCCTGCTCCCTCCTCGCTGACCCCAGATGACGGGTCGCTGGGATTGCCGGGGTGGAGCCCGGCAGCATCAGCAGGACCCAGCTTCGGTGCCCACCTGGCCTGATGGTGGATTTACAGGTGGACACCCAATACAGGCAAACTCTTCCCACTTTAGACTGCAGAGGCTGGTAATTAGGCCTCCCAGGAGTGGGTGTGGGTAGGGGGAAAAAGAGGAAGAGGCGCTTTCGCCCGTGGAAACCATGGTCTGCAGTGCTGGCACCGCCCTGAAACGGTCGGCAATGACCCTGAGCCGCAGCCCAGCTGGGAAAGTCTCCTGGTGCAGCTTGTTTGCTTGTTGTGGCGCATAGTCTGGGGAATCTTGTGAGCCTGCTGAGGCTGCTCCCTGGCCCGCCAACAGGACTCTCTCCTGCGCCCGTAACGGTAAGGAAATCACATTGTTCTTACCAGGACGCTGGCCTTCGTGGCCACTTTTATTATAGCAGCCAACAAACAGCTACTGGGGACTTGCCATATGTCAGGCACTAAGCAGGAAATGGGGAATTCTTCTATTGCTCTGTAATTCTTATATTAGTCAGCTCAGGCCGTCCTAACAGAATGTCACCGACGAAGCAGCTTAAACAACGGAAATGTATTTTCTCACATTTCTAGAGGCTGCAAGTCTGAGATCAGGGTGCCAGCATGGTTGGGTTCTGTGTCCCTCTTCCTGACTTGTAGACAGCTGCCTTTTTGTTCACGTGGCCTTGTTTGTTTGTTTGTTTGGTGCATGCATGTGGAGAGAGATCTTTCTCTTCCTCTTCTTCTGAGGCCACTATTGAATTAGGACCCCACTCTTAGTACCTTAATTACCTCCTAAAAGCTCTATCTCCAAATACAGTTACATTGGGGGTTAGGACTGCAACATATGAATTTGGAGGCGGGTAGGGGGAGGAATAATTCAGTTCATGGCAGGATCTCACGGGGCATCTGTGCCCCATGCCCTTTTCTAAGAGCTTTACATGTATCCCCTCATTCATGCCTTGCCACAGAACGAGGTAGGAATGCTTATTATCTCCACTTTACAGAGAAGGAAGGGGAAGCACAGAGAGGTAAGTGATTGCCCATGGTCACCCAGCAGCTCTGCAGGTGCAATGAGCCGGGTTTCCACCCCGAGCACCAGACACTATCCTCTGAGTACTGCCTCTTCATTCCAGGCACTTTCATTTAATCTTCACAGCTGCTTTGTGAGGGAGGAATATTATCCTCATTTATAGAGGCGGAAACAGGCTCAGAGAGGCTGCGGGGCTCCCCGAGTCACACAGCCATTGGGTAGGGAGTCACTTTTCCACTCTGTGCTTCCCAAGCTGTGAATACCCTCAAGATCTGGTCCAGCCGGGAGCAGAGTCCCAAAGCACCAGCCCAGAGCTGTCATGAAGCCAGCACATGGCCTTAGGTATGTACCCTCAGCCTGCAATGCAATTTGGCTCCTCTCAGTGAAGAAACGATGGGATAAGTGTGTGTTTCACAAAAGTCCAGGCCCTTGGAAGTTCTTAGAACAGTAACAGGAGGTAAAACGCACTAAGTACTTACTCTGGGCCAGACAGGGTGCTTTATTTTATTTTTGTTTATTTATTTATTTTTTGAGACAGACTCTCACCCTGTCTTCCAGGCTGGAGTGTAGTGGCATGATCTCCGCTGACTGCAACCTCCGCTTCCCGGGTTCAAGAGATTCTCCTGCCTCAGCCTCCCGAGTAGCTGGGAGTACAGACACATACCATCACGCCTGGCTAATTTTTGTATTTGTAGTAGGGACAAGGTTTCATCATGTTGACCAGGCTGGTCTCGAACTCCTGACCTCAAGTGATCCACCCACCTCGGCCTCCCAAAGTGCTGGGATTATAGGCATGAGCCACCATGCCCAGCCGAGACAGGGTGCTTTATACACATTAAGTCATTAAACCCATTAAAACCCTAGGGAGGTGGATAATGTTATTGTTCCCATTTCACAGGTGAAGAAACTGAGGCACAGAGAGGCTGAGTTGCCCAGGGTCATACAGGAGGAAGGGACAGAGCTAGGATTTACACAATGGCCTCTGACCCCAGACCCCAGATGTGCTTAGGGGACAACACTACCACCCAACCAAAGGACTCTTTGCTCTTCTTTTCTTGGGAGCTCGTAAGGGAATTGGTTTCCTCCGTCTGGGATGCTAGTCTTCTAGTGTGTGTGCAGGGTGCTAAATAATTTGTGTGTGTGTTGAGTAAACTGTGTTGAATTGGGTTGAATTAAGGGCCTTTGGAATCTCACATGCTGTCTTCAGGGCTTGGATGGTACCACCCAGCCTTCTCTTCTGTTATTATAGCAAAACCCGGAACAGGCAATCGGAAGATTTCGGGAAGCTTTTAGAGCTTTTCTCCCCATCCACCCCCATCTTCTTCAGTTTTAAATAGCTCTTGAGAGGGCTCTACCGGTGGGGAGGAGAGAGGTCTTTGTGGTCCTTTTAAGCTCAGAAGGCGGCACTGCAGAAATGGAACTCTCTTAACACTCCGCCTTCCTGTCCTTTCCTCTTAGCGTCTCGGCACGTTGGTGACAGCAGTGCAGGAAATGGGGATGCTGTGGGCTCATTTACATGTGCAGTTCCATACACAGTTCTCGTCTGTTCCAGGCCCCCAGAGACACACAGCACTTTGTAGTGAAAATGATTTTGTTCTTACCTTGGTCTCGGAAGCCACCAGAGAAATTGCACATTCGGTTGACTGTCTCATAAGTCAAGGTCAGAATTTTAAAGGAGCTTCCTTTTCAGTCACTCTGTGTGCGCAGAGGTATCAGTTCTCAGACAAATTAGAACAAAACCTGGCTGAGCGTCCTTATTTTTTCATATAACAGGTCTTTTTCACTTATCATAATATTCATTCCTTTAAGTGTACAATTCAGTGGCTTTTAATATAGTCACAAAATTGTGGAATCGTCATCAACATCAGTTTCTGAACATTTCCAACACCCCAAAAGGCACCCCTCACCCATAACTGCCCTTCCCTCCTCCCCCGACCCCCTAGCAACCACTAACCGACTTCTTATGTCTTTGGACTTATCGATTCTGAATATTTCATATAAAGAGGATCACGCAATTTGTGGCCTTTTGTGACTGGCTTCCTTTACCTAACATGATGTTTTCAAGGTCCATCCACGCTGTACTATGTGTTGGTACTTTATTCCTTTTTATGGCTGAATATTCCATTGGATGGATCATGAATGCCACATTTTATCCATTCATCAGTTGATAGGCATTTGAGTGGTTTCTACTTTTAGGCTATGAGTGGGTTTTTTAAGAGACCAAATAGAGCATCGTAGAAAAGAAAACTCAGTATTTTTTATCGAAATGAAAGCAATATTCTTTTAAGTTTTCTGTGGTTAGCAGTAAACAGTCTCTGAATACTAGAGGGATCTTGGGAATTTTTAGAGTGGCCTTCTTATATTCCAAAGTGGGAAACTGAGAACCGGAGAGGACCAGCGGCTTGCCCAAGGGACAGTCTTGACCAGACAGAACCAGGCATCCAGGCCACCTGCCCTGGAAATCCACTCTGTGCCACCCCTCCAGCCAGGCCAATATAGTACATGCTGGGAGTGGGGAGATAAAGACCTGCCCGGGACCACGTGTCAGGGTCCTGAACAAGAATGCCAGCAACGAAAGCCCACCCAACAGATCTTCGCATGCCAGCAACAAGAAGCCCACACAAGCCTCCTTATGCTAAAAGAGGGATTTTTAAAAATAAGTTTACAGGGGTGTGCTGATGCTATAGCAAAACCCAGCATCCCCCAGCCCTGCTGGACAGTAGCAGGAAGGTGGTCGGTCCAGCCTCACCGCAATTCTGCTTTTCAAATCAGAGACCTAATTTGAATCCAGAACTTTAACTTCTGGGAGATGTCACCGTTAGCTTTCCAGCCTCTGCAGATACACTGGAAGGAGGCTGGAATATGGGGGCTGCCGAGGATGTCACGCTTCATACGTCCCCTTACACGGGCGTTGTAGTGAAGCTGAAGAAAAGCAGTGAAGCCATCTTAACAGTGTCTTCACATGGACCAGACCCAAGGGCCGCCAAGAAACCTGTGCAGCTTTTAGAGCATCCTGGGGGAGGCGAAGGAGGGCAAGGCCCCAGCCAACAACTACACAGCAGAGTGTCCTCCAGCAGGCACCTGCTCTGGCCCCAGCACCGTGCCTGACATCTTCTATTCAGTACTTAGAGTGTCCATGGCAGCCCTGCTGGGTAGCTGGTATTTATGGTATCCCCATTTCCCAGATGAGAACAACGTGTTCCCTGATTCTGTTGGTGTCTCTCTGATGCAGCCTCGATTTAATGCTCCCCAGGGCCTCCAAATTCAAGGTGAGGCCTTCAGAGGCAGGGCAATATGCTTGGTGCTTTTTGCATTTCTTTCATCTGCCCAGGGGTCCTTGAAGTGGGTGGGCCGGGACAGTTATCACTGTCTCACGGGTGAGGACATGGAGGCCCAGAGAGATTAATGGCCCCCCTAGTGCCACACCATCAAGAGTAATGGGACAGGACAACTTTGTCAGAAGCCTTGAGATCCCTGCGGTGAGATGCAAAGCGGGCCTTAACTTCAGGTCATCTTTAGAATGAGGGAGCTGGTGCTTCAACCCTGACATCCTTCCAGCTCTGGGACCCATTTACATCCAGTTGCAGAGCAGCCACAGAGCTTCAGGGTGGGGGCTGTGGGAGTGTCTGCAGTGCTGGGCCAGTGGTCCCTGGAATGGGGTTCCTGGGATCGGCACCAGCCGAGGGAGCTCTGGGCCCGGCTTCTCCCTTGACTGACAGAGCCTGGTCTGCAGCTCCGCTCCTTCCCTCCCCACGAGGGCAGCTGCTTCAGCGAGGAAGCATACACAGGATCCCTGTGTCACTCGACTGTGCCTGTGTGAGAAGGAGACCAAGCCAAGGCTGCCTCCCCTAGGAAGGCCCCCTCCCGACCCCCGAGAGCTCTCCAGGCCTTTATGTGGTGCTGCCAGGGAGGCGTCTCTTCCTGGGCCTTTGGTCTCTCTGCACCACCCCCAGCCCAGACAACCTACACCTGTGTGTGGCACTCAGCTGGGCCTGCCTCTGACTTTGCTGATACCTGATGTTTTTCCTCACATCATCCCTTTCATTCTTCCTCTTCCCCACAAACCTCAGTGTGACAGCTCAGTTCAACAGCAGGTCTTGACCTCTTCTGCTTTCTATTGGGCTTCTCTTTGCCCCTCTAATGCCCTGAGGGTCATCAAAACCCGCCCTGCAGGAGGTAGGACAGTGTCGCTAAGAGGCCTTAGCATTGGACACCCATGGAATTGAGTCCTGAGTCTGCCACTTCTAGCTGTGTGAGCTTGGACAAGTTACCTGACCTCTCTGAGCTTGTTCTAGTCTCTGTAAAACAACCCAACCCAGTGCTGACAATAGTAGCTACTCAGCAAGCGGAAGTTAACATGGTTAATATCAGCAGTAGCTGGAATTAGAGTGCTGACTCTGCACCAAGCACTGTTCTAAACACGTCATGTTTGTTGGCTCATTTTCAGTCTCACAGTAGCACAGTGGGGTGGAGATTCTTGTTATCCCCATTTTATAGATGAGAAAACTGAGATACAGAGAGGCTAAATGCTTTCCTAAGCATCCTAATGCTGGCATATGTCAGAGCTGGGATTTGAACCTGGATACCTAGCTTACTGTTTACCACAAAGCTGCAGTACCCCTCAGGCAATCAATTTAATAAGTCTAAATTTAATGGTACAAAAAAATAATAAAAATACCAAAAATTAGATTCTAAAGCTTATTCACCCCAGGGAAGAAGAGACTGGGAAAACTTCAGTGCTTCACATAAACATAGGAGGATTTTTCTGTTTAGATCGAATCTATGAGCTAAAAGTATGGGGCTCTAATCTGACAGTTGACACCTGCCCACTGGTAAGTAGCAGAGGGACTTCCATGGGCCCTGAAATAATAGGATTCAGAGGGCAGGCAAGCTGTACAGTACATAGGACCAGGATTTAGACTCTGAAGACCTGCATTCGAGACCTGGTACTATCTCCCATTGTCTATGATGCTTCAGTCAGTCACTGAATTTCACCAAACTTCAGTTTATTTACCTGTGAAACAGGAAAAATACTCCCCAATGCTCATATGAGGAACAAAGAGAGTATTTGTGAAAACAACCTCTGAGGTGTGAGGCACAACACAAATATTGGTCAATGGTGAGGTGGTCATTCATAATCCAGCCTTGATGGTACTCCAACATCCACCTGCATCTCTCTCCCTCCCCACAAAGGCCAGCACAGAGGCCACTGACTGAGGAAGCAGGGTCTGTTTGTGGCTCTGCCACTAATCTTATGTGAGATTTTGGGTAGTTCATTAACCTTCATGGGACTTGGTTTTCCTCTTTATAAAATGGAGTTCACCAAGTGGGATTTATTCCAAGAATGCAAGGTTGGTTCAACATACAAAGACCAATCAATGTGATATATACCACATTATTAGAGTAAAGGATAAAACCAGATGATCATCCCAATAGACACAGAAAAAGCACTTGACAAAATCCAACACATTTTCTTGATGAAGACACACTCACAAATTTAGGAATAGAAGGAAACTTCATCAACCTGACTAATGGCCTCAACAAAAACCCCAAAGCTAACATCATACTTAATGGTGAAAGACTAAAAGCTTTCCCCTAAGATCAAGAGCAAAACAAGAGTTAAAAGTGGGTCTTGGGAATTTTTAGACTAGTTTTCTTATATTCTAAGGTGGGAAGCTGAGGGACAGAGAGGGGAGGTGGCTTGCCCAAGGGACACTGTCGACCAAACAGAACCATCCAGGCCACTTGCCCTAGAAATTCACTCCATGTTGCCCTCCAGCCAGGCCAGTGTAGCATGTGCTGGGAGGAAAAGTAGGAGGTAAAGGCCTGCCTAGGACCATGTATCAGGGTCCTGAACAGAATACCAGTGACAGAAGCCCACCCAACAGATCTTCATAGGCCAGCACAGAAGCCCACACGAGCTGCCTTATGCTACAAGGGGGGCTTTTAAGAATAAGTTTACAGGGGTGTGCTGATGCTGCAGCAAAACTCAGCATCCCCCAGCCCTGCTGGACGTAGTGCCTCGCCACTTCTATTCCACATTATGCTGAGGGCTCTAGCCAGGGCAAATAGGCACCCAGATGAGAGAGGAAGCAGTAAAACTTTCTGAATTCATGGATGACATAATCTTGTGTGTAGAAAATCCTAAGGAACCCACACAAAAATAACACTATTAGATTTAATAAACATGCAGCATACAAGATCAATATATACAATTCAGTTGTATTTTAACACCTTAGTCATTAACAATCTGAAAATGATATTAAACATTCCCATTTACAATAGGATTTAAAAGAATAAAATACTTAGGAGTAAATTTAGCAAAAGCAGTACAAGACTTGTATGCTGAATTACAAAACATTGTAGAAAGAAATTAAAGACAATCAAATAAATGGAAAGATGTCCTGTGTTCAAGGGTTAGAAGACTTAACGTTTTAAAAATGATAATAGTCCTCAGATTGATCAGATTTAATGCAATCCTTATCAAAACCCCAGCTGACTTTTTTGCAGAAACCGACAAGCTGATCCTAAAATTCATATGGAAATGCAGGGGACCCAGAATAGCCAAAACAGTCTTTAAAAAGAACAAAGTTGGAGAACTCAAACTTCTGCCTGCAAAACTTACTACAAAGATAGAGTAATCAAGATTGTCTGGCACTGGCATAAGGATAGACATATAGATTAATGAAATACAATTGGAAGTCCTGAAATGCACCTTTACATTTCAGGCCAATTAGCTTTTGACAAGGGTAATGACAACTCACTAGGGGAAATAATACTCTTTTCAACAAATGGTGCTAGGACAACTGGATAACCACATTGAAAAGAAGTCTGATCCCTACTGCTCACCATATACAAAAGTTAACTCAATATGAAACAAAAACCTAAATATAATAGCTAAAAATATAAAACTCTTAGAGGAAAACATAGGTATACATATTTGTGACCTTGTGTTAGCCAACAGTTTCTAACCACAGAATGGGAGAAAACATTTGCAAATCATGTATCTGTGTGTGTGTGTGTGTGTGTGTGTGTGTGTGTGTGTGTGTGTCACTTAAAACTCAACAATAAAAGACAATCCAATTTGAAAATGGACAAAAGATTTGAACAGACATTTCTCCAAAGCAGATTATACAAATGGCTAATAAGGGTATGCAAAGATGCTCACATCATTAGTCATTAGAGAAATGCAAATCTAAATGAGATATCATGATGAGATGCCATTTCACACCCACTAGAATGGGTATAATCCAGAAAAGGTAGACAATAACAAGTACTGGTGAGGGGATGGGAAAATTGGAGCCCTCATACATTGCTGGTGGAAATGTAAATAGTAAACATAGGCCAGGCGCGGTGGCTCACACCTGTAATCCCAGCACTTTGGGAGACCGAGGTGGGCAGATCACGAGGTCAGGAGATCGAGACTATCCTGGCTAACATGGTGAAACCCTGTCTCAACTAAAAATATGAAAAAATTAGCCAGGTGTGGTGGTGGGCACCTGTAGTCCCAGCTACTCAGGAGGCTGAGGCAGGAGAATGGCATGAACCCGGGAGGCAGAGCTCGCAGTGAGCCGAGATCGCGCCACTGCACTCCAGCCTGGGCACGGAGTGAGACTCCATCTCAAAAAAAAAAAGGTTAAACATAGAGTCACCATATGACCCAACAATTCCCCTCTTAGTTCTGTATTTAAGAGGGATGAAAATATATGTCCACATGCAAACTTATACACAAGAGTTCATAGCAGCATTATTCATAATTGCCAAAAAGTAGAACAATTCAAATATCCATAAAGTGAAGAATGGATAAACGAAATGTGGTATATCCATATAATAGAATATTAGTCAGCCCTAAAAAGGAATGGCTTACTGATAGATGCTACAATATGGATGAGCCTAGGAAATATATGCTCAGTGAAAGCCAGACACAAAAGCCCCCATGTTACAATTCCATTTATATGGAACGCCCAGAATAGTCAAATCTATAGAGACAGAAAATTAATTAGTGGTTACCAGAGGCTGGAGGAAATGAGGAATGGGAATGACCGCTAATGGCTAGGGGTTTCCACTGGGGCGATGAAAATCTTCTGGAATTATATAGTGGTCATAGTTACACAACTTTCAAATATGGTAAAACCTGCCTGCTTGCACATTCTAAATGGGTGAATTTTATGATACGTTAATTATATCTCAATTGCTTTTAACTGGAGTTATTCTAGAGTGGTGGTCCTCAAAGTGTGGTCCTAGGACTGTCAGCATCAGCAGCACCTGGGAACTTGTTAGAAACACAAATTCTTGCAACTCCCTTCTCCTCTAGTCCTGCCAAATCATTGTGAGTGTGGTGATCTAACAGGCTTTCCAGGGATTCCGACTTACACTCAAATTTGAGAACCACTGCTTCAGAATCTGTGCTCTCCAGGTCATATAAGTGCTCTGAGCTCCCAGGTCCATGCAAATCTACTCTGCATCATCCAGTGATGCATGCATCCCTGCAAACCACAGGTTAACCACTCCCTTAATTGGAATGTGGAATTCATTCACTGTCCACATTAATTTGCTTGAGGTTTTTCATCAGCAACTGCATCTGTTCTTAATTTTTTTCTCCAGTCTGATTAGCCATCTGTTTTGTTACAGTTCATTTTCAAGACTTTTTTTTCACATAATTAAATTGTAATTTTCTACTTCAAAAGAGAAATCTGAGAGCTTAGTGAAAGGAATGACGGCAGCCCTCCGTTCTCTTGTTGATGTTTGCGTGTCAATCGGAGTCCGTGATGAACATTCCACTCCAATATTGCACCCAACGAGATGGAAGTGGGGGGCCAGGAGGGGTTCCCAATAGTGTAGGGGAGAATGTCCATCAGTATAGGCATTGTCCCATCACCTCTGCAGCCCCCAAAACTCTATTATTTCACACATGAATTAGTCCAGACTCCTAATGTTAAAGAACCCCTATTCAGGCCGGTTTAAGCCAAAAAGTTCACATGGTGGCAGGTTCCCTGAGAAAGGCTGCCTTCTGACAAGGCTAGACCCAGGGTTCAGAGGAAACAACAAGACACCATCCATCTCTCAGCATTGCTTTCCCCTGGGTTGGTTTTATCCCTGTGTTGGCTTTCCTCCACCTAAGCTTACATCCCTTTGGGTTAGCCCCATGCACAGATGGTGCCTCTGTCTCTTAAGGATTGCATTCAGCTGCATGTAACAGAAAACTCAAGTGACAGAGCCTTAAAGTCAAGGATTTTATTTTTCTCATGTAACAAGAAGTCCTGAAAGTAGGGAATCCTGAAGCTCTAGCATCAGTATCCCATTACTGTTGTCCATACTCAGCTGGTGGCTTTTGTCCTCAAGGTTGCCCACTGGCCTCTGCAACTCCAGTGACTCCCTACTCCTAGCAGGGACAAGGAGGACAAAGGGCAGAAGGCTCATACTACGGAGTCTCCTTCTCCTTATCCAGAAGAGAATGACTTTCCTGGAAGCTCCACCAAATAGACTTTAATTTGCATGTTGTGGTCCAGACCTGTCCATAGCCACCCCTACCTGCAAGGAAGCCTAGGAAATTAAGATTTTTAGCTGGGAACCTACTGTCTCAAGGAAAAGAGAGTTCTGTTAGTAAGGAGGAAAGGGCAATGGGTATTAGAGGCAGTGATTCTTGGCAGAATTCCCAAGGTTGACCCTTGTTATATTATACACCCAACCCAGGGCCTATGTAACCCCATAATACCAGGAGGTCTAGGAGTCCTGTGTTGGATTCCCAGTACCTAGAATAGTTCCTAGCATGGGGAATGAACACACTAAATATTATGGAATACATGATTAGCCAAGCTTGACTCTCATACCCACCCAGACGTCAAGGAAAGGAGTCAGCCCCTGTCTAAACTACATGAATTTAATGTGGAATAGAGGGTTGGTTCCCTAAAGGAAAATTGGCATGCTGTTACCATTAAAGGGGAGTAGATGCTAGCCAGATGAGAACAATGAATGCCCTCTACAACCTAGAATTGCCCAAAATCTGGAGAGACCAATTCACATTAGCAAAAAGTGAAAGTCACTTTCTGAAGTTAACAGTGTGTATTAGGTCTATGTTCTTATTTTCTGTATTCTTGATGCTCTGGCATCTGAGGCCTCCCTGCCTGGGGAGAAACTGCCCTTCCCAGGGCCCTTCAGTTCTCATAGATAGCAAACAGCTGCCTGCTGGGAGCATGACTTTCATGTGCAAAGCAATCAATCCAAAGCCCTACTCTGAACTGCTTCCTCCATCTGGCTCTTATACTCCAGGAGGCAACATTCCTCTCTGCCTTAGTCATCCCAGGGCAAGGTACAGACAACCAGATTCAGCCCCAGAGCTCCCTGAAGTTATTCAGTTCTCTTTTTTTAAATTTTTCATTTCCATAAGTTTTGGGGGAACAGGTGGTATTTGGTTACATGAGAAAGTTCTTTAGTGGTGATTTGTGAGATTTTCGTGCACGCATCACCCAAGCAGTACATACTGAACCCAATTTGTCATCTTTTATCCCTCACCCCTTCCCACCCTTTCCCCCGAGTCCCCAAAGTCCACTGTATCATTCTTATGCCTTTGGATCCTCATAGCTTAGCTCCCACTTATGAGTGAGAACATACGATGTTTGGTTTTCCGTTCCTGAGTTACTTCACATAGAATAATAGTCCCCAATCCCATCCAGGTTGCTGCAAATGCCATTAATTCATTCCTTTTTATAGCTGAGTAGTATTCCATCATATATATGTGCACATATCTGTGAACATATATGTGCATATATGTACACACCACAGTTTCTTTATCCACTCATTGATTGATGAGCATTTGGGCTGGTTCCACATTTTTGCAATTGCGAATTGTACTGCCATAAACATGTGTATGCAAGTAACTTTTTCACATAATGAGTTCTTTTCCTCTGGGTAGATACCCAGGAGTGGGATTGCTGGATTAAATGGTAGATCTACCTTTAGTTCTTTAAGGAATCTCCACACTGTTTTCCATAGTGGTTGTCCTAGTTGACATTCCCACCAGCCTGTAGAAGTTACTCAGTTCTAAGGCTGCATACTCACCCTCCCTTGCCCCATGAAAGCCACAATAAAGGCTTTTGCCCACACTTGCCTCTCACTCCTTGTTCCTCCTCACCAGCACTGGTGCTTCCTCATGTGGCCCCATGCGGCACACCCTGCCTCCTGTTTCTAGTTTTTGTGAGTACAAAAAACCTTTTTTTCATGACCATCATTTCTATACCTCTGTGTCTTACCACACCTGATTAAAACAAATTCTGGCTACATTTAAAAACACATTTGATGTGGGTTTGGCAAACAGTATGCATTTGAGCATGAACTTAGGACTCAAGGACTTGAAAGCAGAACCTTCAGGATATTGCTAGGACTCAGAAATCTGTGTGTGAACAAGCCCCCCAGGTAATGTGGCTGTTCAGTTGGTTTTGAGAACAACTGGTTTAGTCTCAGTCTCTCATTTGGAGGATGAGGAGGCCAAGGCCCAGCCTGGTGGGCAAGTCTGCTTGGGAGACCAAATCCTGGGGCAGGAGATTGCATGATGAGCTCAGAATTAAACCAAGGAGCGAGATACTCTTGGCTAGCATGGATTGAAAAGCTCCTCCCTGCTGTTTCTGTCTTCGTAACTCTATTGCTTAGGATTCTGTGGTTACAAGTATCAAAACTAGCTAGATCTTGGTTTCAGCAGGAAAGGGGACTTTATGAGAAAGATACAGAGGTGTTTCCTGGAGCCAGGGCAGAGGTGCGGATGAGTCTCAGGACAGCTGGAACCAGGAAACATGATCGGGCAGCCCCTATCTCCCCATGCTCGTCTCTGTCCCTGATTCATCTCCTGACCTTCAGACCTGCTGCTTCTGCCTCTCCTCTCCTGATTTCACAATTTTAGCCACATGCACGCCGAAATCGGTTCCAATTTCAGCATCCTCAGGGACAGGCTCTGATTGACTCAGTCTGATTAGAACTATCCTTGGGCTAGTCACAGGCAGGAGCACAAATGTGCCTGGGAGAAATGATCCCATCTCATCAGGGGAGCTGGGCTGGTTCTGCCAGAGGTGTCCCGGGATTCTTACTGAATCAGAACTCCTGTACCCAGGCACCTCTGTAGGCAGCATCAAAACCTGGGACACTTTTCAAGGCTGCCCAAGCCTCTTTAGCTTGATCAAGTGCAACTGGGTTCTCTAACTTTTCCATTCCAGTAATGTTTCCTGGTGATCTGGTCTCTTGGCATAAGTTCAGGAAATATCTAACTTCATCAGCATAATATGTGGGGCTTCTTTGCTGCTAATGAGCTTTTAGATGGTGATGATCACATTCATTATGTGGGATTTTAAAAACATGTTATGTTCAGATTATCTTTTCCTGATTCTGAGCGGGCACTTGTAGCCTCCCATACATTTAATATGTGTTGAGTTCTGCCATGAGTCAGGGGCGGGGCTGGGAGCTCTGCTCTCTTCCAGAGCCATGCAAGAATCCAGCAGGCCCCTGCCTGCGAGGGGCTTCCAGTCTAGCTTCAGAACTCATACAAGTGACTTTCTTCCAAGCCAGACATTGAGAGCTTTGGGCTGACAGCTCCATGCCACATTTGTTTTGTTGTTGTTGTTGTTTTCTTTTGAGATGGAGTCTTGCTTTATTGCCCAGGCTGGAGTGCAATGGTGTGATCTCTGCTCACTGCAACCTCCACATCCCGGATTCAAGCGATTCTCCTGCCTCAGCCTCCCAAGTAGCTGGGTTTATAGGCACCCACCACAACGCCCAGCTAATTTTTGTGTGTGTGTGTATATATATATATACACATATATATGTATATATACGTGTGTGTATATATATATACACACACGTATATATACGTATATATACGTGTGTGTATATACGTATATATGTGTGTATATATATGTGTGTGTGTATATATATACATATATACATATATATACATATATATGTGTGTGTGTGTGTATATATATATATATATATATTTTTTTTTTTTTTAGTAGACACAGGGTTTCACCATGTTGGCCAGGCTGGTCTCGAACTCCTGACCTCAAGTGATCCACCCACCTTGGCCTCCCAAAGCACTGGGATTACAGGCGTGAGCCACCGTGCCCGGCCTATATTTGAACCTGTGTCTTTATTGATATACGGTCCTGGTAGTAATGGTGAGATGTGCCATTTACTGAGACTCTTCTATTGACAAATAGTATCATGTTCCCAAGTCCCCAGTGTACTGTTGTCACCCCCATTTTACAGTAAGGAAATAAGGCTCATGAGGACTGCTCCCCCAGTGACCCACAGCTGATGAGCTAGTAAACTGGATTTGAACCAGGTCAGATGCCAGACCTTTAATGTTGCTTACCTTGTCTTTGACCTTTGGGCACTGCGCTTCAAAATGCAGAGCAATTAGGTAACAAGGCAGTAAACAAAATGCCCAATTATGCAGAGCAGGCTGTTAGAATAAGACTATGTACCACCACCTGCTAATTGTATGGTCCACACTGGTGCAGAAGGCACCAGGAGCTGTTACCAGCTGTGTTTGCAACCCAGTCAGGAGAGGTAGAGATGGTGGATTCAAGTAGTAAGGCTATGGGTCAACTTGGGTAGAGTTTCAATAATTCATAAATTCTTCAAAACCAAAGCAGTTACAGAAGGGAGAGATCACCATGGGCTGGCGGGGTTAACGGCTTTTCAGAAGAGTCAGAACACTGGGGAGGCTGAAGAGAGGCCAGATAGATGGAAGGCTGGGAGTTGAGAGGGTTGCACAGCACTAGCAATGGTGTCATTTAAGAAGTCATTGCCTAATCGAACAGAGACCAGCACGAGCACCATGGAAGGTTTCCACACCGTGACCATGACCTACAGGAATATTTTATACACATACCTGGAAATATAAAAAGGAAACCAGTTTCCTGGAGTAATACTGAACTCTCACTATGTACAGGAACTCTATTTTCTACTTTTTTAAAAAAGAAAATGCTGGTTGCCCTTCACTAAATTGATTTCACCATCCTCTCCTGGATCTCATCCAACAGTTGAAAAACATAGCAATGGAACGGGTCGGTTGAAGCACTGTTTCTTAGGAAACAATGGTGGGCCGTGACACTGGCCACGTGGGTGGGGCCAGATGGGGGTGGATGTTGAAACCGGATGCAAAACCCATAGCAGGCAAGAAAAAGGCAAACACCTCATGCAGTTTGGTGTCTGGGAACATATGAAAATTATCCTTCTACTGTGGCGTTTGTATATACCCGCAAAGACGTTCCTGGGCATTTAAGCATCCAGGGTTACAATTCCCTAAAGCGAATTCTTCCTCTACATACGGAGTTTTCTGTCAATTCTAGAAATACACTAGGCCTTCCTCAGCAACCTAGATGAGTTGGGATGTGGACTCACCAGAGAAGAACGTGGAATTTTGGACAAACCAATCAAGGCAGGAAAACTTTTGGCCATTTGTACAGGGACTACAAGCTACAGAAAGGTGTATATAGAGAAAGATCTAGAAAGAGATGGATGGATTTGCTTATTTCAAGCTAACCATATTCTCTTGGCTAATTATTATAAGCAGCTGATTTTTTTTTTTTAGTAAAAATACTTTTAATGATTTAGGAAGATTCTAGCACAAATATTACAGAGCAAACACAGCTAGTGCCAGTCTACTTTGCAATTTTTAAAATTGAGATGTAATTTATATGCCATAAAATTCGCCCTCATAAACTAATTCGTGGTTTTTGCTATATTCACAGAGCTGCGCAGCCATCACCAATATATAATTCTAGAATATTTTTATTATCCCACTTTTCATAGTCCCATGAGCATGACTGCCCATTCCTCTTCTCTTCCATCCCCTGGCAACCACTAATCTACTTTCCGTCTCTATGAATTTCCTATTCTTGACATTTATATAAATAGAATCTATCAATATATGGCCTTTTGTGTCTGACTTCTTTCACTTTGTGTAATGTTTACAAGATTTGTCCATGTGGTACCATGTATCAGTACTTCATTCCTTTTTATGGCTGAATAATATTCCTTTGTATTTATATGCCACATTTTGTTTATCCATTCATCACTTGGTTAATATTTGGGTTGTTTTCATTTTTTGCTATTATAAATAATGCTGCTGTGAACATTTGAGTAAAAGTTTTGGTATGGACATATATTTTTATTCTTTTTGGGTAAAACTAGGTGTAGAATTTCTGGGTCAAACTCTTTGAGAAACTGTCAGACTGTTTTCCAAAGCAGGTGTACCACTTTACATTCCTATCAGCAATGTATGACGGTTCCTATTTTCCCACACCCTCACCAATACTTGTTATTTATCTTTTTTATTCTAGTAATACTTGTGGCTGTGAAATCGCCTTGAATTACATTTTCCTAATGACCATTTTCTTTGGAGAACTGTCTATTCAAACACTTTGCCTTTTTTAAGAAAATTGGGTTTTTAAAATTGTTGAGTAGTAAGAGTTCTTTACATATTTTGGACAATAGACCCTTATCAGATATATTATTTGCAAAATGATTTTTTTCCATTCAATAGGTAGTATTTTCATGGTCTATCTTTTCCTTTTTTTGTTGTTGTTTTTGTTGTTGTTGTTTTGTTTTTCCAGACAAGACCTCACTCTGTTGCCCAGTGCAATGGCAATCATAGCTCACTGCAGCCTCTAACTCCTAGGCTAGAGCAATCCTCCCACCTCAACCTCCCAAGTAGTTGAGACTAAAAGGCCACCATGCCCAGCTAGTTTTTGTATTTTTTGTAGAGATGAGGTCTCACTATGTTGCCCAGGCTGGTCTTGAACTCCTGGCCTCAACCAGTCCTCCCACCTTGGCCTCCCAAAGTGCAGGATCGTAGGCATGAGACACTGTGCCCAGCCTTTCTTTCCTTTTTTTCTTTTTTCTTTTCTCTTTTTTTTTTTTTTTTGAGACAGAGCCTTGCTTTGTCTCCCAGGCTGGAGTGCAGTGGTGTGATCTTAGCTCACTGCAACCTCTGCCTTCTGGGTTCAAGTGATCCTCATTCCATTCCATTCCATTCCATCCCAGCCTCAGCCTCCCAAGTAGCTGGGATTACAGGCATGCACCACCACACCCGGCTAATTTTTGTATTTTTAGTAGAGACAGGGTTTCACCACGTTGGCCAGGCTGGTCTTGAACTCCCAACCTCAGGTGATCTGCCCATCTTGGCCTTCCAAAGTGCTGAGATTACAGGCATGAGCTGCTGTGCCCAGCCCCAGCCTCACTTTCTTAATAGTATTCTATGAATCACAAAAGTTTTTAATTGTGATAAAACATAATTTACTTATTCTTTTGTTGCTTGTGATTTTGGTGTCATTTAAGAAATCATTGCCCAATCCAAGGTCATAAAGAGTTGTGCTCATGTTATTTTATAGTTGTAGCTCTTATATTTAGGTCTTAATCATTTTTTAATTCAATTTTTGTGTATGGTATAAGACAGAGCACCAGTTTCATTCTTTTGCCTATGGGTATCCAGCTGTCTCTGCACCATTTGTTGAAAAGATTATTGTTTTCCTATTGAATTGTCTTGATACTCTTGTCAAATATCAAGATATTAAATGCCTGGGTTTATTTCTGGACTCAAAATTTTATTCCATTCTTATGCCAGTAAATGTCGAGTCCATAAATAAACCCTTAAATATCTGGGTTTATTTCTGGACTCATAATTTTATTCCATTCTTCCAGTAGCAGTCTCTCCTGATTACTGTAGCTTTGTCCTAAGTTTTAAAATCACAGTGTGTAAATTTCCCAGCTTTGTTTTGTTTTTTTTTCCAAGACTGTTTTGGCTATTTGGGGGTTCCTTATATTTTCATATGAATTTTAGGCTCAGCTTGTCAGTTTCTGCTCAGCTACCTGGGATTTTGATAGGGATTGCATTGAATGTATACGTAAGTTTGGGGAATATTACCGTCTTAACCATTTTAAGCCTTCCGATTCATAAACAGGATTTCTTCTCATTTATTTAGGTCTTCTTTAATTTCTTCCAATGATGTTTGGTAGTTTTCAGCATACAAATTCTCTACTACTTTTGTTGCATAAATGTTAGGTTTTTAAATTTTTTGATGGCATTGTACATGGAATTGTTTTCTTAATTTTATTTTTGAATTGTTAATGTAGAAAAACACAACTGAATTTTGTAAATTTATTACATATCTTACAAATTGGCTGAACTTGTTTATTAGTTCTAATAGGTTTTTATGGGTTCCTTAGAGTTTTCTATATACAAGATCATGTCATCTACAAATAGGGATAGTTTTACTTCTTCCTTTCCAATCTGAATCACTTTTATTTATTTTTCTTGCCTAATTTTCTTGGCTATAATCTCTAGTTCAGTGTTGAAGGAGTAAGAGCAGACATCTTCATCTTGTTTCTGATTTTGCAGTGAGGTGGGGAGGGGAGGGTTGCAATAGCTTTCAATCTTAATCGTTAAGTATAAGTGCTAGCTGTGGGTTTTCCATAGATGCCCTTTATCCAGTTGAGAAGGTTCCCTCAGTTCCTAGTTTGTTGAGTGTTTCCATCAAGAAAGAGTGTTGAATTTTGTCAAATGTCTTTTCCGTGGCAGTTTAGAGGATTGTGTAGTTTTATCCTTTATTCTATTAATGTAATGTTTTACATTGATTGAATTGTATATGTTAAATCAAGCTTTCATTCCTGGGATAAATCCCACTTGGTGGTGGTGTATAATCCTATCTATATGTTACTGGATTCCAGTTTGCTAGAATTTTGTTAATGATTTTTGCATCAATATTCAGAAGGGATATTGGTCTGTAATTTTCTTTACTCTTGATGTCTTTGTCTGCGTTTGGTATCGAAGTAATACTGGCTTCATAGAATAAATTGGGAAGTGCTCCCTACTGTTCTATTTTTTGAAAGAGTTTGAGAAGGAGTCATGTTAATTCTTCTTTAAACATTTGGTAGAAGTCACCATGAAGCCATCTGGTCCTGGCTTTACTTTAAGGGAAAATTTTAAATTGCTGTTTCAATCTTGTTTTAAATCTATTCAGATTTTCTGTTCCTTTCTGAGTCAGTTTTGGTAGTTTGTACCTTTGCAGAATTTTGTCTGTTAGGATTCTTCGTAGTATTCCCTAATAGTTTGTTTTATTTTTGTAATGTTCATAGTGATGTCCCTGTTTTATTCCTGATTTTAGTAATTTGAATCTTCTCTCTTTTTTTCTTGGTCAGTCTAGCTAAAGGTTTGTCAATTTTATTGATCTTTTCAAAGAGGCAACTTTCAATTTCTTTGATTCTTTGTATTTTTTTTTATTTTCTATTTCATTTATTTTCACTCTAACCTTGATTCTTTTCCTTCCTTCTGCTTTCTTTGGACTTCATTTTCTTTTCTTCTTTTATTTTTCTTAAGGAGAAAGGTTTGGACATTGATTTGAGATCTTTCCCTTTTTTTTTTTTTTTTTTGAGATGGAGTCTTGCTCTGTCGCCCAGGCCGAACTGCGGACTGCAGTGGCACAATCTCAGCTCACTGCAAGCTCCACTTCCCGGGTTCACGCCATTCTCCTGCCTCAGCCTCCCGAGTAGCTGGGACTACAGGCGCCCGCCACCACGCCCGGCTAATTTTTTGTATTTTTAGTAGAGACGGGGTTTCACCTTGTTAGCCAGGATGGTCTCGATCTCCTGACCTCATGATCCACCCGCCTCGGCCTCCCAAAGTGCTGGGATTACAGGCGTGAGCCACCACGCCCGGCCTTTCCCTTTTTTAATATAGGTATTTTACGGCTATGCATTCCTAAGTACTGTTTTCACTATATCCCATAAGCTTTAGTGTGTTACATTTTTTTGATTCATCTCAAAGTATTTTCTAATTTTTTTGTGCTTTCTTCTTTGACCCTTTATTTAGGAGTATGTTATTTCATTTCCCATGTATTCGTGAATTTTCCAGTTTTCCTTCTGTTATTGGTTTCTAATTCTGTTCCATTGTGGTTGGAGAACAGGAGATTATCTCCTGTTCTAGGGTTTGTGGTTGTTACTCTTTATTATTGTTGCTTGTTTAGTGACTTTTCTAAACTAATTCTGTAAAATTCATATTCTTTGTTGTGTGTGGCCACTGAAGTCTCTGCTAGGTTAGCCTAGAGGTCAGCTAATGATTAGACAGAAAATTCCCTAGGTTCCTGGATCCAATCGTTCTCCCAGTCTTTGCCAAGGGACTCTGTATGTGTTTTGGGGCATGCCTCCAACACTCAGGCGGGTAGTTCACAACTCTATAGTAGCCTTTCCTTCTTATTTGCACAGAGCCTCAAAGTTAGGCAGAGATGAAAGCTTACAGCAGTCTCGAGTCTTTCCTGAGCATGTGTAGAACCCTGGGCACAGCCCTGTGCATGCTCATGGTCTGTTAGATTCCCAGAGATATCTAGGAGCTTTTCAAAGCCCACTGTGGATGTCTCATTCCCCAGCTTTTCCTTTTATGCTTTTTGGTTAACCTATTGTTTGTCCCAGCTGTCATCTGCCACTTCCAGCAACATGATTTAATAATTGCCTCTAATTGTTTTTGACAAACACCTCCAAGTAAAAAGCTATTCACACTGGGTAAGCTCAGATTCTGGTAAAATAAAGACAGCCTTGAAAGTGGAGTCTTCTAAGAAACCACCAGACAGGTCAAATAATAACAATTCTGTGGGAATGAACTTGGGAGGTCCTCCAACCTTGTTCTGCCCCCTCTTGTGGCTGCTAGCCTGCTGTTTTTCAATGTGGTTGCATGCTGCTGGATTTCAAAACTACTCCAGACCTGACAAGAAGGAATAAAAATAGGGAAAGTTAAAACTCCACAGAGTTCACTGTTCTTACTAAGGTCCAACTGATTTTTTTAAATAGATATTCCCTGGATTGCTGCAAACCTTAGGTTAATTCTGGAGCTCTGAAAACGTTGATTCTGACAATTTTTTGCTGTTGTTCTCAATGCTTCTACAAAAAATAAAAATTGCAGAAGTCCTTCCTCCACCATTTCATTGATGAGCAGGCCAGTTTTTAACCTGCTTGTGCACACCTATCTTCAGTGGCTTATTAAGGAAACTATGCTTACACTCAATGGCTTATGAGGCCTCTTTTCCTCCATTGAATTGTTTCTGGATTCCCTTGGTAGGGGCCAGTGAGATCTGGACTGCAGCCAGGGCACACATTTAGTCTTGCACCAGTCTTGACTACATGACCTTGGGACAAAGGAGCTGAGATTTCCAAAGCACCTGCTGTGTGCCAGGCCCCGTGTGCTGGGTGTTTTATGTACACTCTGTCATATCATTCTTGCAACAACCAAGAAGGAGATACCTTTCTCATTTAACAGATGAGGAAACCAATAAGATGCAAAGCACTTAGCACTGTGCCTGCAGCACATGGCAAATGCTGGATGTGTTGATTATTGCTGCCCTGTTGTTGTTACATCTAAGTTATTATTGTCAGAGGAGGAAGTAGAGTTGGGATTCTCAAGGTCCTTTGACTTCCAGCCCAGGGCTGTCTGTCTTCAAAGCCCAACCATAACTCACATCCCCATTCCAGCTCCTCTGGGTGAGTCTGTTCCCCCTCAGCCTCACTTTCCTTATCCTGTCAAATGAAGGATTTGGAATGACTTAAGTTATTCAAGCAACAAACACTTACTGAATTGTCTTGCCACTTCCAGGGTGACATTATGGAGTTCTGTGATTCTGCAAGGTCAGTTGCCTAGAGTCACATCGGTGGCATTCTCTTATTTAGCTTGAAGACTAAATCGACAGGTAGACTGGCAGGTGTGTTACCCAGTGTCTTTCTCTCCCCCTCCTTTCTCACTCTGCCCCTTCACCCTGCAGAGGCCAGAGGGGACAAGGTCAAGTGGGTGTTCACCTGGCCCCTCATCTTCCTCCTGTGCGTCACCATTCCCAACTGCAGCAAGCCCCGCTGGGAGAAGTTCTTCATGGTCACCTTCATCACCGCCACGCTGTGGATCGCTGTGTTCTCCTACATCATGGTGTGGCTGGTGAGTGGGGGGAGCAGGGGGTGGACTGTGTGCACAGCCAGGGAGAGGTGGAGAGCTGGGTTCAAGGCTAACCACAGGTACTGCTGTGCCACCTTTGGGCGAGTCACTGGCCTCACTGACCACAGCGTATTTCTCAGTAGAAAAGGGTTTGAATGAGGTGCATGACTCTGTGTCAGGTACCCGGAATGCAGAGACACAGCACAGTGCCTGCCTTCGAGTGTGAGGGAAGGGGACCAACCTTTGCACAGGCAGCCTAAATCACACTGTTCTGGTGTTACAGGCAGAGCAATATGACAGGTGGATGATCACCAAGCCCCCTTGGTTTCCAGGGTCCCAAGGGAATGTGAAGGAAGGAGACTGGAGTCAAGGGAGATGAGGTTGAACACAAGGCAGCTTGTTCCTTGCTCCTGCCCAGGAATGCTCCTCCCCCCACTGATGTGCTGGTGCTGGTTTAAGCCCTTCATATAAACTCTTTCTTATCCTCATAACAGCCCCATGGGATGGGTGCTATTATCTCCATCTAACGAATGGGGGAAATCGAGGCATAGAGAAATTGAGTAATTTCCCCAAGGTTACACAGTTAGTGAGTGCCAGAGTTAGGATTAGGACCCAGGTATTGATCTCCTAAGCCCATGATCTCAACTACTACCATAAGCTGCCTCTCAGTTTGCTACTGGACTTTTCAGATTTCGTTGGATGGGAGTTTTGCAGGCAGAGAGGCATTGGTGTAGCTCCTCATAAGCTCCTATGGCCATACAGGACAAGTCCCCATGTAAACCTTTCATCGGCTGGGCTGGGCTGGGTCAGGCCACACAGGAGCCTCCTTCCCCACTCTCTGTATACCACCTAATGGGGTCCCTTCTTCTCCTCCTCATTCCCAGGAGCAAAGAGAGGGGAAGCAGTTCCAGCATGGCTGCAGTTCTGTTGATTGTGAAACTCACTCTCAGCCCCTTACACCCTAGTGGTTAACATCGAGTCCCTTTATTCTCCTCCTAATGCCTGACACCAGCAGCAGAGAAGGCAAGCGATCTTGACATGAGAGACAGCAGGGCCAGTAAACGTTCCATGCTGGCCCAGGGGCCACCTTTCCCTTAACTCCAGAGAAACCGTGTCGTTTGGTGGGGAACAAAGGATCCTGGATCACATGAGAACAGCGCTGAATCCTAGTCCTACCTCTTGCAAACCACAGAAGCTGGTGACTCCCTCTATGAAGTGGGGGTGATCATCACTCTCTTACAAGGCCATTGGGAGAATGAAAAGAGAGCCCAGCACATTCTAGGCACTTGGCCAATCCTGTCTCTTCCCTCCCCCCAACCCAATCACGCCTTCCCCCATCTCTCCCAGAGCATTACTGGAATTCTAAACAGTGTATGGGAGCCATTTTGCCTATGCTTTCCTGAAATCCCACCCTTTGGCCGGCTCCCTCACCTCAGATGCTTCCTCAGGCTGATCAGAGACCTGCCGCAACCTCTGTGAGTGTCCTTACTCATGCAGCAGCCCTCCTGTCCCTGTGGCAGAGCCTCCCCAAGACACCAGCTGGTGGAAGGTGCTGCCCCCAGCCTGTTCCCTTTCTCCCTTTCTTCTGGTACCTGCTTAGAGCTCTGTATCCCAAAAGGAAGCTCAGGACGGACTCTGTGACTCCTGGTACCGGCTTAGAGCTCTGTATCCCAAAAAGAAGCTCAGGATGGACTCTGTGATTGTGTTTTAGTGAATGAAACAAGTCATGTAACTCAGGAGAGGCAGAACCACTCCAAGCCTCCAGGACCCCAGCATCTGCCCCAGCCCCAGGCACTCACACTTGGAACACCCTGGCCTTGGTTCAGCTAAATGGGGGACATGGGGACACTTGAACATTCAAGTCCCCCAGAACCTCATTCATGTCCCTCCTGACCACTCCCTTTCACACCCTACTCCCAGCCCAAAACAGTTTGGTTAGACTGTGTCAGAAGCATCCAGTCGTTAGCCGCTTATTGAAACCAACAGCCAATTAAGGGTGATTACCTGGTAACAGTCAGATGATCATGAGCGTTGCTGAATAATACACAGTTTGGCCACTGAGTAGTGTGATTTCTTATAGTGCCCTTCTTGTGTCGAGTTAGTGTTGTGTACATTATACCCAATTTCAACCTAATCTTACTTCATCTTGTTCAAGCATTGTGATTTGAGTTTGCAGCATGGTTGGTTGCTCATGACAGTAAATATTAGCCATTTTCACCATGAGATGCAGCAGTGCTGTTTCCATGCTTCCATGATGAAGATTAAAGTCCCCACAGCCCACTCCATATGGGGGATGGGGAAGAAGATTTGGAATTAGTTACTATCTAAACTCCCTAGAGACTGGGTGTGGTGGCTCACACCTGTAATCCCAGCACTTCGGGAGGCCAAGGCAGGAGGATCACTTGAGCCCAGGAGTTCAAGACCAGCCTGGGCAACATAGTGAGACCCTGTGTCTACAAAAAATTAAAAAAATTAGCCAGGTGTGGTGGCATGCACCTGTAGTTGCAGCTACTCAGGAGGCTGAAGTGGGAGGATTGCTTAAACCCGAGAGGTTGAGGCCACAGTGAGCCATGGTCAATCCACTGCACTCCAGCCTGGGCTATGGAGCAGAGCAAGATCCTGTCTCAGAAAAAAGAAAAGAAAAAAAAAAACTCCCTAGAAAAAGATGACAATCAGAGATAAAGAAAACTGTGCCTTAAGTGAATTGGATTTGCAATTTTTAATTTTTCTGAATAAAATTAAAGGCCAGTTCATCTTACATTTTAAAGAAAGGATCCAGCGATTTCTCTTACTGAAGTGTATTTCCAAAACAACATTACAAGTAAAAAAAAAAAGTATTTCATGACATTTGAGTGGGTGAGAGAATCAGGAAGATCAAATTAATGAATATGTGAAATTCTTCTCTAGTTACAGAAAATAACCATATGATTAAATCAGTTCTGCTAATTTTCAGTGAGACAGGATACTCCAACCCCCACCACCTTGAGGTATAAACCCCACCCTTGTTTCTTAAACCAGGGTCATGGGGTCACAGGAACCACTTTACTGGGGCACTCTTACCTATGGGTTTGAACTTCAAATAGCCTCATTCTGGGGGAGTAGAATGGCCTTGACAGTAAAAGTCTATAAAGAAGGCAGTGTCCACGTTAGCCTTGATCTCTGCCTATGCAAGATGTGCCCACCTCAGCACCCTGCGCTTACTTTCACTATGTCCTGGTGAGGCTCCAGCAAGCAGTGAAGCCCCACCTGTCCATCCCCTGTACCTCCACCTTTTATTAATACATCTCTCACCCCCAAGGCTTTGGAAGAATGATTCTTGAATATCAGTGTCAAAAGGGAGAGGCCTTGGAAATGGATTGTCCATTTCCCCAGAACACTTGTGCAGTTGGGGAAACTGAGGACCAAAGAGAAGAAATGACTTCTGTAAAGTCACACAGACAGGCAGGGCAGAGCCAAGACCAGCCGCCAGGGTCCTGGACTTGAATCTGCTTCCTGGTCTGAAGCCTGAGTGTTGGAGGGCTCAGAGGGCCTGGGCATGGAGTCCAGGGTAAAGCAGGGTTCATGTGGCATCCCTGGTCCTGAGCACTCTGGATGGTATGTGCACACTCAAGACCTTCCTTCCATCCTTCCATCCTTTGGCTTCTTAGCCTCGTAGTTCAGTGGGGGTTTTTTTTGTTTTGTTTTGTTTTGTTTTAAAAGAGGCAGCCCCAGTAATTCTAAAATAACTGTTTCCTACGCTTACAGTGTCTCTAATACTAGGAATATTTCTTTAGTCCACACACTGTTGGTTGAGAGTTCATGTCTCCACCCCACATTCTGCAGGTGACTATTATCGGATACACACTTGGGATCCCGGATGTCATCATGGGCATTACTTTCCTGGCAGCAGGGACAAGTGTTCCAGACTGCATGGCCAGCCTAATTGTGGCGAGACAAGGTATGGATTATGCCCCAGCCCTCATAGTCATGCAGTGCAGGCCACTGTGTCCTCGTCCCTGCCTGACTTACAGTTGACCAAGTTGTGGCTCTTATGACTGGCAGTTGTCAAGTCCTGCTGTGGAGAAAAACTGCGACATCTAGAAAGCATCATTTATTAGATTCCATCCACAGAGAGAATGCTACCAAGATGAACTCCTCCAGACCTCTATCTAGAAGCTTTTGCTAGTGTGGTTGTATAAAAACAAAAATGTTCTGAGGTCAGCAGTCAATGTGAGATTGAACAGAGGCCAAGCCCAGACTTTATACAGCAAATGAGCTAATAACAAGAAACATTCTGGTCCCAGAAAGGCAAAGCACTGGCATCCTATACATCCAACTCCCCCATTCTTCTTCTGACCTCTAGAACGTGTATAATGTTTTGGTTTGTTTGGTGGTTTTCGTTTTGGGCTTACTACGTGGCATGGGCTGAGCAACACAAGGAGTGAGTGTATGAGCTTTGATGGTGGAACAAAAGAGCTGTAACAAGTGCAGGTTTTACTGACTTCTTTTCTGCTAGCCAGGTAGCATCCCAGCATGGACATCCACAGATCTTCCTCACAGCACAGAGTTTGAAAGTATAGGGATGGGGATGGGTGAATAATGGCGTAAAATCTCACAGGAGACAGAAGAGAACAGTGCCCAAAGAGAGAGGTTGGCTTTGGGAAGAGAGACAGGACGTGTTATTCCTCCAAGATAAAGGGTTGATTGGTTGGTTAGTGAGTTGAGCCTGAGAAACCACGAGATGAGGGGAAAGGAAGAGTGGAAGTACGTTTGCTGGTCGGCAGGGCCCTGACAGCGAATGGGGACAGTTAGGGACAGCAGCTGAGGGAGGAATGGAATTTAACTGAGTGATCTTTGATGTGAGCGTGTTAGTTTCCTAGGGGAGTCATAACAAAGTGCCACAATGGGGTGCCTTAAAATGACAGAAGTTCATTGTCTCACAGCTCTGGCAGCTAAAAGTCTGAAAGTCAGGTGTCAGCAGGGCCATGGTCCCTTGAAGGCTCTAGGGGAGGAACCTTCCTTGCCCCTTCCTAGCTTCCAGTGGTCACGCAATCCTTGGGTCTCCCTGGCTTGTAGCTGCATCACTCCAATCTCTGCCTCTGCCTTCACACCGCATTCTTCCCTTGGTATGTCTGTGTCGACTTCCTCCTCCTGCTCCTCCTCCTCCTCCTCCTCTCGCTCCTCCTCCTTTTCCTCCTCCTCCCCTTCCTTCCTTCCTTCCATCCTTCTCCTCCTCCTCCTCCTTCTTCCTCTTTTTTTTTTTTTTTGTGATGGAGTCTCACTCTGTCACCCAGGCTGGAGTACAATGGCGTGATCTCGGCTTACTGCAGCCTCTGCCCCCTGGGTTCAAGCGGTTCTCCTGCCTCACCCTTCCGAGTAGCCAGGACTACGGGCACATGCCACCACACCCAGCTAATTTTTGTATTTTTAGTAGAGACAAGGTTTCACCATGTTGGCCAGGCTAGTCTCAAACTCCTGACCTCAAGTGATCCACCTGTCTCAGCCTCCCAAAGTGCTGGGATTACCAGCATGAGCCACTGCACCCAGCAGACTTCCTCCTTCCTATAAGGAGACCAGTCATCAGATTAGAACTCACTCTAATTTAGTATGACCTTACCTTAATTTGAGTACATCCTCAGAGACCCTATTTCCAAATAAAGTCACATTCACAGGTTCCAGATGGACATGAATGGGGGCAGGGTACTCAGCCCAGTACAGTGAGTACAAGGAAAGCTGGTGAGCACCGGGTCTAATTTAGTATGACCTTACCTTAATTTGAGTACATCCTCAGAGACCCTATTTCCAAATAAAGTCACATTCACAGGTTCCAGATGGACATGAATGGGGGCAGGGTACTCAGCCCAGTACAGTGAGTACAAGGAAAGCTGGTGAGCACCGGGGCCCTGGCCGATGTTCAGCGACATGAACTTGGTGGGATTCAGTCATGCCAGCGCCAGCGGTGCACAGATGACAAGTTCATCCCTAGCCAGAGTCAGCTGGGTGGACACAGTGGAAGGTCAAGGGACAAGGAAATGTGCAGTTTAAACAACTGGCCCTGGAGTTCAGGCTAGGGAGGGGTGTTAGGATGCTGGAAGTTTAAGGGCTTGCAGGAGTGGGGAGTGTCCCAGTAAGATCAACAAAGGGTCTCTGTTAGGACCAAGGGACAGATGGGGCTCTGAAGCAGCACATCATCTCAGAGTGGCTACAGCGAAATGTGGAAGTACAGAAACTGAGGAAGGGTGAGGCCAGGGGCGGGGGTTGCGTAATAGTCCTCAGGGTAACATTGATATGATTGACAGGGACTCCAACAAACATGGTTAAAAATAGCTTCCTGGCTGGGCGCGGTGGGTCATACCTGTAATCCCAGCACTTTGGGAGGTCGAGGTGGGCGGATCACCTGAGGTCAGGAGTTTGAGACCAGCCTGGCCAACATGGTGAAACCCCGTCTCTACTAAAAATAAAAAAAATTAGCCAGGCGTGGTGGTGCACACCTGTAATTGCAGCTACTCGGGAGGCTGAGGCAGGAGAATTGCTTGAACCCAGGAGGCAGATGTTACAGTGAACCACTGCACTCCAGCCTAGGCGACAGAGGGAGACTTCGTCTCAAAAAGAAAAAAAAAATAGCTTCCTGATGACAAAAGATCCAGGAACCCCTGTTCAGAGCCTGCTGTACAAACCAGGAGGCTGTGCAGCACGTGCTCTAACCCGAGGCACCATATCCTGGCCTCCCTCCAGGCCCGCAGCACATAGCATGGTCCTAGCCCCGAGCATCGGCTTGACCTGGGAGCTGATGAGAAATGCAGACTCCCAAGCTGTGCCCCAGACCCACTGAATCAGAATCTGCATTTTCACAAGACCCCCAGGTGATTCCTGTTCTCACTAAAATTTGAGTCGCACTGCCCTAGAAGTCCTCAAAGGCTCACACAGCTGCCGGCAGCCCCGTTTGTGCAGAGCGGGAAGTCCACCAAACCTGAGACCCGCTCATCCCCTCCTCTGCAAACTCAGGCACCTTCCTACCCTCCTGACCTGCCGGAGTGCCTGCCTCTTCACCAGGTGCAACTAACTGGGCCACAACAGTTGCTGCATGTTCCCGCATCTTACCGGACACTGACAGACCAGAAGTCCAGGTTCCCAGAGACGCCACTCCTAACAGGACTAAGCTAAGAGATTTTGAAGTCACTCAGAAAAGTGCCTGGGGCAGGCTGGGAGGAGGAGTGTAAGGGGCCAACAGATGACAGCAACAAGCAGGGGAGGAGGAGGTGACCTAGCTATGCAACATGGGCGGGCTGGCAGTCGAACAGAGATGGGCCACCTGTGTGGGTGCCGATCTGAGTTGCCTGCCGTATGTGCCAGCTACCAAAGCAATGTTGTGGTTCTAGGCATGTGCGTTTCAGGTTTGTTCATTCCAAAAACATGTGTATGTGTGCCAGGTTAGGACAGTGGTGTGGAAGTATGGCTCAGTGGCCGGGTTAGGGCAGATTCCAGCCAGTACGAGTCTTACTTACAAAAGTTTGCTTTCTTAATTATATGCCTCTCCAGTTACTAACTTCCTGATTGTGTGGCTAGCTGGATACTGGACAGCTGGACAGGAAGGGGAAGGACGAGGACATGGGCCCCAGCCTCTGATGTGCTTCTAGCCTGGTTGGGGAAAGAGAGCTCACCCTTCAGAAACTACCAGAGCATACAATCCGATATCCTGTGATTCCCAGGCAGGGTCGTGGGTGCTGTTGCCTGGGTCCCAAATATGCTTCAAGGCTTGGTAAAAAGGATGCTGTACCAGGGGACCTTGGGCCGCCTGCAAACTGTGCCCTTGGGCACATCCCAAGCCTCAGTTTCATCTTCTGTCACGCGAGGTTATGCCCCACTCCGGCCTCCAGCCCAGGGTAGCTGGGAACATGAAGTGAGGCGCAGTGGCCGGGAGTCCTCATAGAACATCAGCTGACAAGCCTGGCAGGAGAGATCATGAAGGGCCCGCATGCATCTGCTAGGCTTCGTTCCCACAAACGGGGTGCCGTAAACAACGGAAGTGTATTGTCTTGTGGTTCCGGAGGCCAGAAGCCTGAAGGAGAGTCTGTCCCAGGCCCCTCTTGCCTCTCTGCCCTTGGCTGTCTTCATCTTTGCCCAGGTTCTCCCTGCATGTCCAGTTTTCTCCTTTTTATAAGGATTCTTGTGTCCTGAAAGAACCTCCTTAAAAACAACTAAAACCAAGAACTTCTGGGGCTGTTCACACATTGTTCGAGTCACCCCAAGATCGTTCTGGCATGCTGAGCTGAACACCACCATCTTTGTTCATTCTCTCTCTAATGGGCAAAGCAGGATCATCGAGTTGAAAAGTTGTAAATAATGAGTATATTTATCCCGCTATTTATTTTTTCAATAACTGTGACCTCCTGCACTGTGAATGCTCTGTGACATGAGATTCTTAGTTTAATAAAACTGTCATTAAATTTGAATGAATTGATATTATTGGTTACTGAACACTGGCATGAGTTTATTTTTATTGTGAAGAAAAAATCCAGTCATATTGGATTAAGACCCTAACGACCTCATTTTAACCTGTTACTTCTATAAAGACCCTATCTCCAAATAAAGCCACATTCTTAGGTACTGAGGGTTAGAACTTCAACATATGAATTTGGAGGGTCACAGTCAACCCATAATAGTCCCCTTTAGGCTTCAGGAAGGGCATGGATCTGAGGCCTTATGAAAAGGTTTAGAAATGTAAGGTCCTTGCAGAAGGAATTGCTTTCCAAGGAATGGCACTGATAGAACAGTTAGGAGAAAGAATACAGGCTTCTGGTGACCTGCTCTTATAAAATAAATGTGTTGTTGTCCCCTGCAGGCCTTGGGGACATGGCAGTCTCCAACACCATAGGAAGCAACGTGTTTGACATCCTGGTAGGACTTGGTGTACCGTGGGGCCTGCAGACCATGGTTGTTAATTATGGATCAACAGTAAGTTCCTCTCACCTTTAACAGATGTGTTTTACCCAGAAGGCTAGTGGTGTTGGCCCAGTTCCAGCCAGAGGCTCTAGGAGACGACCTCCTCCTCTCCTTGGCACTCAGACACCCATTTTCCATGGCGGCTTCTAGAGCACCTTAGGGATGTCTACACTTCCACTCCTCACCTCAGCCCGCTGGCGTGCCTCTCCCCATCCCAGGCTGTCTCCTCAGATGAGCAGGGTCGTGACTTGAATCCGTATTTTCCTGACCCTCCACGACCATGTGGTCACCTGTAAACACCTGTGTTTTCCTGATGAGGGAATGCATTGGGCCCAGGCATGCTGGGATTTCTGGATGGATTGGCTCTGAGCAGTCAAGAGACTCAGGGCACGTGTGTTTGATTTTCCAGGTGAAGATCAACAGCCGGGGGCTGGTCTATTCCGTGGTCCTGTTGCTGGGCTCTGTCGCTCTCACCGTGAGTCTTTACAATTCCAAAACAGATGCCTCATGCATACTTGATTTCATCTGATTCCGCCTCGTCACTTACGTGACTCTGTACACCCCTGTCACTTCCCTTGGTAGTGAAGGATAAAGGCAAGAAAATGTAGACGTTCATAGACACACCCAAGTCCAGTCTTTGCCAAGAGCATTGGCACTCTCGCTGTGCTTTTGCTGAGTACATAAGAAGTCCCCAGAGGAAGCGAATTGCATTTCCTTTCTTGCTGCCTGGTCCAGTTCCTCTCTAGTGCCAGTAGGAGAGAGATCCTCCCCTGCGCATCTGAGCTGACAAATGGGAGGCATGACATCCCTCAGGATGGCACGTCGGAATAATTGAGGCCTCCCTACCCTACATGTCCAGGTCTGTGCTGAGCACTTGACTTCAGCGTCACTTTATTCTATCCTTACAACCACCTGATGAGGGAGGTGCTATCATTCCCATTGCAGAAGAAATCGGGGCTCAGGGGTTAACTTTCCCAAGGTCACAGAATTGGGCAATGGCAAAGCTAGGATTTGAACCCAGGTTGGTCTGTCCTTAGGGAACTCTGACTTTTTACTCGCAGTGCTCCAGTGAGGTTCCTGGGATCCAGCCCCAGGAAGCCTTGATCGAGGGACAAGGAGGAAGGCAGTGGAAGGAAAGATAGAAGGATCAGGGAGGAATGTAAGATAATTCCGTGCTTTAACCCTCTACCCCAAACACACACACACACACACACACACACACACACACACACACACACACACACACACACACAGAGAAAGATTTGCCCAGCCAGGGGTCCATAGGAGCCTTGGAAATTGTGCTAAGGAGACAAGGGAAAAGACCATGGTTCCACGCTCTGAAGCACAGGGGTCATCCAGCTAAAGCCCCCATTTGTCTCTAGAGAAGGCCTGGGCAAGGAGGACCACATGCCTACGACCAGCCGGGAGGAAGTGACGTGCCTGCCTGGGGAGGGCCGGTCCCATGAGGGCGGCTGCTGTGTATCCCTGAGTCAATGCGGCTAGGACAGAGACTCGCCCTTTCATGGGGCAAGTCTAAGCCCTCTAGGGCTTATTCTGGTCAAACTGAGGATCAGACTGCAGCACCCCGCTACACTTGCCCACATTCTGCAGAATGTTCTAGGTTTCCCCACATAGGTGTCGCTTTCCAGTAGAAATGCCTCTTGTATTTCTTTGCCCTGCAAGCCCAGTTCCCACACTCTGTCCTCCCAGGTCCTCGGCATCCACCTAAACAAGTGGCGACTGGACCGGAAGCTGGGTGTCTACGTGCTGGTTCTCTACGCCATCTTCTTGTGCTTCTCCATAATGATAGAGTTTAACGTCTTTACCTTCGTCAACTTGCCGATGTGCCGGGAAGACGATTAGCGCTGAGTCGCGGCCCCTGGGAGCTGATCTGGACACCCTGTGACACTGGCGTTCTCCTCTCCCCTCCTTCCCCCACCACAGGTCTCTCCTGCATAGGCAGCCACTGTCCGTTCTTTCACACACTGGAAGGAAGAGCCATCGTGGTCTTTGTCTGGCCACAGGCCAGGCTGCTGGGCATCCTCCTCCTCCTTGGAGTTCCGCCCCTGCAAGGCTGGATTTGGGGGCCATTATCTGAGCAGCTTCAAAGACCCCTGAGCTGCCAACCACGGAGATGTGCCAAGCATCTCATCTCTCCTGCACACTTTAGTCAGAAGGACTTCTGCATGCAGTTTGTCTTTCTGTTCTGCAGGCAGCTTCAGAATTGAGGTCATTTGTGAGCACAAGATCTCATAGGGCAGGTGCAAAATAGGAATGTTGTTCTCAAGTGTCACCTCCAGCCCAGAGGTGGTTCCTTAGGCAGCATGTGCTCCTGGGAGCCTCTGACTTTTGCTGGAAGCAGCCACAGTTTGGAAGGGGCAAGACCTCAACCTGTTGGGGTTTAGGGCCCATGATGGCAGACATTCTACCCCTTTTCCTGGAAAAACTGGAAGAATGAAAATAATTTTTTTCTGTGGAAGAGAGAAAATGAGTGAATATTCTTCTCACTTTTATTGATGCATTCAGAGAATAAGCAATGAAATATTAAAAAATGAAACATCATATAGGTCATCATACTTGAAAATTATCATTCCATATGAAAGGATCATGATACACACCAAAAAAGTAATGATCGTAAAGACACAAATCCTCTGTATGCCATCTTGCATTGGCACTGAGGTGTTTGGTTTGGAATAGGGAAAAAGGTAAGAGACTAACGTGGAAAGGTGCTAACTCAGAGACTGGAGATTATAGTTTACAGCTGTACTTTCCAGATCTTCTATGTGACACAATGCACTGTCCTTGTGGGTTTGTCATTTATTGGTTAATGCTCTAGTTTCAAAACCACCCTGTTGAAAGTTCCAGTTATTTATATGCCCAACAAATTTCATAGCCTGCTGAACTGAACTGAGTGTGTCAGAAGTGCTGGTTAATGACGAGAAGAGATTGCCTGAAAAACAACAAACTGCTTTCTGGTTAGCTGAAGGCAAGTGTGAAAATCAGAATTTAGAATATTTAGAGCTAAGCTTCTGGAACCACGTAGTTTCTACACGTGGCAGGCCAAGAATGGGAGGCTGACTCAAAACTAGATAGAAAAATATAAAATAATCTTCGACCACTTGATAGCTCTCAAATATATATTTAAAAGATTTATGAATACAAACCATTTATGGTTTATGATTTCTAAAAAGAAAGCACAATTAATTTTATAGAGAGGTTTTTTATTTTTTTAATATTTCTATTGCAAAAGTCTATCCGATTTGATGCACTTTGAATATTGAGATATTTTGCACGGATGAATGTATGGGAACTACCCATGATGATGTAAGAGGAAAGAACATTTTTTTGTGATTCACCAGACATCACTTTAAACTTGGTGATGAGTTTAAATCCAGTAGCTAATCCCTTCCTGAGACTCAAAGATCGTGACGCTGGTTGGAATTTCTGACTGTGCCCTTTAGGGCCTCCTGAGTTTCAAAAGGAGGAAGTGTTCGTGCTTGTGTCCCTGAAGTTCCCTGTTGCATGAGCCTGCGACAGGACCTCACCCCCACCACCAGGCTTCTATTTGGGATTCACATCAGTATTAGTATCGTAGCTACACCAAGTTCAGGCTTCTCTTTTTGTTTTTTTACCTAGAAATTGGGCTCAGTGGTCTTCAACTTGAGGACGAGGGTGATTTTCCTAAGAAATCAGCAAAGAGGGAAGGCAGGGCCCCTGTAGATTCACCAGTATAAACTTCAGCTGCAGGGATTCCAGAGCCCTCGGGACCACTCTGTCACCTTAATAGCCAAGTTCTCCTGGTTCCTCCGATCTTACAGGCTCATCCAGGTTCCAAAGTGCTTCTGTCTCTGTTTTGATTCTCCAAACTGCTCTGTGATGTATGTAGGGATTATTCTCCCCACTTAACAGAAAGTAGTGTCTTGGAGAGGTCAAGGGTCTCTAGTTCAATGGCCAGTCATAGCAGAAGGGAGGCCAAGCACCAGTCCATCACCCCTCCCAGGCCAGCCTCTGTAAGTTGGCCACACTTGGGGAGTGAGTGTGGGTATGACTTTACCCTCCTGGTTGGTTCTTACTGTTTGAGTCAAAACCTCATCAATATATCATTGACTCCTGGGTTCCTCAGGTCATTTCCTAATATCTGTCCCTATCCAATGCCTCTATTTTATCTTGAAAAAAGGACCAAAAATTATTTTTAGCTATGGCAAGGCACAGGCCACATGGCCCCTGATGGCGTCCCTGCTGGTTTTCAATTCTCTGAAGCCTTGTGTAGCTTTCAGAGCACACGTATCCTAATTACCCTCCTCTTCCTCAGCAGAACCCATTTGAGATTCTAAATGAATACTCTTAGTCTCTAAAGTTGCAGTTAGAAACTAAAATAATGTTTTTTAATATGTAATATGCTCCTCTTGGCTAATTTTCTTTTGACTTTAATGTGCCAATGTAACTTCCTTTAAAGGATCTATGCATTTATTAAATCTGGAAAACTATATGTACACTGTAGGTGGAAAATTCTCTTTTTTAACTAAATATTTTTCCATCACAAATTTAAAGAATTGCATGATTAATTAGGCTTTCATTTTTAAATTACGCTTTCATCACTACGCAGGATTACTTTATTTTATTCCCAAAGCTCATTAGCATGGGATAATTACTCTGCTACAGAAATAGGCAATTTAAAAAAATGAATTTAGCTCTTCTCATTGGGGGCAGAAAAGAAAAAAAAAACCATTGCACTCAGATGGAAAATGCCTATAGACACAGGAGCAGGTGGTTCCTGTGGACTTCTGGTTTGGAATTTTGCCTCACCAGGTCAAGCGTGGTTAGGGTGGAAGGTGTCCAGTATCTTGAAAACCTGGCCCTGGAGGAAGGTTCTGGGTCAGCTGCAATGAGAGACTGGTGATTAAGGGCACCGTGGGCAGGACACAGTCCTCGCCTTACCCACCCCATCCTTCCTGTTACCCACAGTCTGCTGGCCTCCATGCCTCTTCCCCTTGTCACTTGTGTCTCCTCCTTATGCACAGAGCTGCCTGCCTTTATGAATTTTCTTTTCTTTTTTTTTTGAGACAGCGTCTTGCTGTGTCACCCAGGCTGGAGTGCAGTGGTGCCATCTTGGCTCACTGCAACCTCCGCCTCCCAGGTTCAAGCAATTCTTGTGCCTCAGCCTCCTGAGGATTACAGGCGTGCGCCACCACACCCAGCTAATTTTTGTATTTTTAGTAGAGACGGGTTTTCACCATGTTGGCCAGGCTGGTCTCAAACTCCTGACCTCAGGTGATCCACCCACCTCGGTTTCCCAAAGTGCTGGGATTACAGGTGTGAGCCACCACGCCCAGCCTGCCCTTGTGAATTTTCACCTGCTCCTTACCCCTCACCTGTTAGGACTGTTTCTTGCTTTTGCCCCTGTCGGTCCCCTGCCTTAACAGACCTAAGCAGCTGATAATGCACCAAGCTTCCCTGACCAGGTGGGGTGTGTCTATCACCCAAGGGCAGTCCTACAGACCCTGACCAAAGGCCGTTCCTGGGCGGCCCAAGGTCCAGGTTTCTTCCACCTGCTCTTCCCTGTTTATGGGGATTTGCAAGCCTAATTGCATCAGCAGGAGCCCATCTCTCAGAGAACCCGGACTCCCCAAGCAGACTGGGATTTTGGGAAGGGTGTGGGGGGTGTCATTGCTGGATACCCGTCTTTCTGCCTGTCCTTTCTCCTCTCTGAATCCTGGGGCCCCTCTCCCTCCTTAAAGCTGGAGTGGACAGAGGGACAGGAGAGGATCAGAGTTCATCCCCCCTGGGAAAGAGCAAGAGCGAATGAATCCCAGCGCCAGCGGCTGAGGCTGCCTTCCGTGCCTTCCCTCCATGGGCGACGGGTGAGTGGGGCTTAGGAAACTGGAACAGGGAAGGTTCTGTTACCACACTTTGGAACTTTCCCCCTGGGATTCAGCAGTTGAGAAGCAGAGACCTTTCTGCCCTGGGTGAATGGGTCCTTGGGGGAGGGGTTGGTCTTTTGTCTCGCATCCCCATCTTTCCTTTCCTTCTGGGCCATGCTCCTCCCTGGCTGGAAAAAGGTGGCTGTGCTGTCCCTGTGATCCACTCTCAGCAAATGCGTGTGGCTCAAATAAACAAAGAACTTACCTGTTAGAGTGAAAATCCTCAGGAGATTGTACCCAAATGCCATGCTCTAAATATTCATGGTCTCTCTAATGCCCTCAAGACGTGATTTCCATGGGAACCATCCTCCCCTGGGGGCAGTTAGCAGGAGTACGTGGGGCACGTGAGGTGGTCCTCCTTTCAGCACACCGTGCCCATAGAAACTTCTAGAAATTTCTGAAAATGCTCTGTGGGCAGCTCTTGGGTGGCAGTAAGTCCATCAACCCCCATCTACCCCGGGCCTGAAGCGCTGCGCTTGCTCTCTTTATGTGTGTGCACCCGAAGGATTTCCTGGTCTCTGTAGCTGATCCTGTGAGCCCCTCAAGCATGAAGCCTCCCTTGGGGCTTCTCAAAGCATGGAGAGGGGCCCTTCCTGTCCTTTGGGAAAATCTTCCCCACTGTGTCAGTTATATGGGAACAAGAGTGATGGGGTCTTTCTCTAGGCCTGTGCCACAGGACAGAGAACACGGGATTCTGCTGTTCGCTTTGAGCCACAGCCTTTACCAGCCCGGCTTGTGTGGGGGGCCCCTTCGCCTTGCTGCAAAGAGCTGTTCCCCAAAGGGCATATCCACAGGGTACAGGTTTTAAAAAGGCTTTTTTTTTTTTTTTTGAGACAGGGTCTCGCTCTGTCGCCTAGACTCAGTGCAGTGGCGCCATGTTGGCTGGTTGCAACCTCCACCTCCTGGGTTCAAGTGATTCTCCCACCTCAGCCTCTCTGGTAGCTGGGACTACAGGCACGCGCCACCATGCCCAGCTAATTTTTGGATTTTTAGTAGAGAAGGAGTTTCACCATGCTGACCAGGCTGGTTTCGAACTCCTGACCTCAAGTGATCCGCCCGCCTGGGCCTCCCAGAGTGCTGAGATTACAGGCGTGAGCCACCGCACCTGGCCAAAAAAAGGCATTTTGATTTAGGTTGCTGTGTTTGCTTGTTGATAAAGAAAACTCAATCGGGACACTAGTTTTGTGCTCAGCTTTAGGCCGGGTAGCTAATGGGAGGATGTCCAGCCTGTCACTGTGCTCCCAGCGCAAGGAAATGGGTGCCCACCTGGAATCAGGAGAAGAGGCTTTTCCCTCCTGTTCTGCAACCAGGGTGGAGCTATCTTTCCAGGGAAGCCAGCTGAGAGGTTTTAGGGCTTTGGTTATTTTATGGGGGTTTTAAACCTCCTAACTTTTCAATGACAAATGGCTCCCAGGTGCCATAGTCTCTGTTAAATCCTCAAACATTCACAAGCACACACTGCCAGGGGCACGGGTTGTCTTTCACCTGCATGTTTCTAAGGCTCTTTATTCAATCTCACGGTGTCAGTGTCCAGTTGTCAAAGTTATGAATCTTCCTCCTGCTTCTAAACAGGGCTGACAGTATACTCTCGTCTAGTCTAGGAACATGTCTGCTGCTGGGATACCCTGGTACCAGGATTTGAGGGCCACGGGTGGCATCTCTGAGAGCTGAAAATCCACAGAGTGCCTGTGGGAAAGCCAAGCCCTTGGCTGTGTGGCTTTTCTATCCCTTGGATTTACAGGTCTGGGAATTGGCTGCTTCTTAGTTATAACCCCAGTGACAAATGCTGGCTTAAGCCACACCTGTTCCCACTGTTGCTAGAATTCAAACAGTTGCTTTTTTTTTTTCTTTTTGAGAAAGGGCCTCACTCTGTTGCCCAGGCTGGAGTGCAGTGGCTTGATCACAGCTCACGAAAGCCTCAAACTCCTAGGCTCAAGTGATCCTCCTGAAAAGTAGGTAGGACTACAGGCACATGCCACCACATACAGCTAATTTGTTTTCATTTTTTTTTTTTTTAGAGACAGGATCTCGCTGTGTTCCCCAGGTAGGTCTTGAACTCCTGGCCTCAAGTGATCCTCCTGCCTTGACCTCCCAAAGTGCTGGATTACAAGCGTGAGCCCCTGCACCCGGCCCAAGCAGTTGCTTCTTTTTTTCTCTTTTTTTTTTTTTTTGAGATGGAGCCTCACTCTGTTGCCCAGGCTGGAGTGCAGTGGCGCGATCTCCACTCACTGCAAGCTCCGCCTCCCGGGTTCATGCCATTCTCCTGCCTCAGCCTCCCGAGTAGCTGGGACTACAGGCGCCTGCCACCACACCCAGCTAATTTTTTGTATTTTTGGTACAGACAGGGTTTCACCGTGTTAGCCAGGATGGTCTTGATCTCCTGATCTCGTGATCCGCCCACCCCGGCCTCCCAAAGTGCTGGATTACAAGCGTGAGCCACCGCGCCCCGCCAAGCAGTTGCTTCTTATGCAACATGTTGGTTGGGACTTGTCCACGGGCCAGGCCAATAAAATTCTTAATCCTGCAGAGAGTCAGTACCCTCATCACCCCATCACTGGAAAACAAATGTTTTAAGCTATCAAGAGAGGGAATGTGCAGCTTTTGGTTTCTAGATGCATGGTTTGGTGTGATCTACCTTTGTGCCTAAAGGGAATGTCCCAAACAACAGAGCCTTCTTTGCTGTCACTCCAGAATTCTCTACACAGAATTTCCCAAGTCCATTCAGGACAGACGCGCAGTCCTCTTTCAATGGAAGAAGAGAGGACTTTTCCCCTCCTGAAAAATGACTGGAGTGTGAACAAGGCAGCTCTGTTTTTCTAAATAAGTTGTTCTTGTGAGTTTTTTCTGGCCACTGGGCATCTCTGCCCTCACTTTTCATCCCTGCCCTCTAAGCTGCAGACCCCATGACCACACTGTCTGCTTCCTTGAGCTTCCCGCACGAGGCTTGGACCTGGGGGACCTGGAGACCCTGCGGACAGAACTGTGGCTGAGCCACTGTGGCCAACTCTTGGGGAGCTCCACAGTGGGGGTTGCTGGTCTGTGAGGCTGAGTCTCCATTTCAGAGCACACACTCCCTGGCAGGGCGCCTCTGCCTGTGTCTCCTGCCCAGCAGCCGCCAGCAGGGAATAGTTGCTGGTGTCTGAGCACAAAGAGAGCTTTGATTACCTAGAGAGGAAAAAGGCTGTCAGCCAGATGCAGCCAGGCCCAGGGGTAGATACAGGAGTTGCTAAGGAAGGGGCCGAGCCAGGAGAGGCCAGGCAGATCCACAAAGCCCAAGGGGATGCAGGCTGGGTGTGGTTTCTGAGGGAACCTACCAAATAGCAGGTAGATGGAATCAGAGGACTCTTGTGTCCTGAAAGAACCTCCTTAAAAACAACTAAAACGAAGAACTTCTGGGGCTGTTCACACATTGTTCAAGTCACCCCAAGATCGTTCTGGCACGCTGAGCTGAACACCACCATCTTTGTTCATTCTCTCTCTAATGGGCAAAGCAGGATCATCGAGTTGAAAAGTTGTAAATAATGAGGATATTTATCCCGCTATTTATTTTTTCAATAACTGTGACCTCCTGCACTGTGAATGCTCTGTGACATGAGATTCTTAGTTTAATAAAACTGTCATTAAATTTGAATGAATTGATATTATTGGTTACTGAACACTGGCATGAGTTTATTTTTATTGTGAAGAAAAAAATCTACAGCAATCTAAACTAAACCTTTCTAAGAAATCTAGCAGTCAGTATTGTAATGCAATATATCAAAATCTGTACACTGTCAATAAAATAAATGAGCACAAGTTGTCTTTCCCTAAATAGAGCTTCTATTCACGTTTTAATAGACACACACATATTTGTATTTTTGAAAGAATTCTATACACTGGAATAACAGCCATTTTAAGCCATTTCTATTTGCATATTAAGAAAAAATAAACTTCAAAAAGGATAAGGGTCGCAGCTTTTTAATGACAATGGTCGGTAATAGATGGAAACAGAGCAGAATTCTCATCACTTTCCTTGGCTAGCATGAGTGGCTCCAGAATGACCCAGTCTTACCTCAGCAGCTTCCTAGGGTGGGACCTGTAGGTGGCCCCACATTGGAAGGACCCAGCTTGGTTGTCGCCACCTTAGAAACCCTCAAAGATTTTTTTAAAAGGAGCCCCCACCTTTTCCTTTTGCAGTGGGCTCTGCAAATTACATAGCTGGTCCTGCTCATCAGAAAGAAGGTCTGTGTCACTAGCTCTTACGTCATGGGAAATTGAGGTTCGGGAGTAGAGGTTTTGGTTAATTCCTTCATTCTGCAAAACATTCCTGAGTCTTAGCTGCCATGGGTGTCACCACAAACTTTAACATGCACACGAATCAGTTGGGCATCTTGTCAAAAAAGCAGATTCTGGTTTAGCAGAAATGGGATGAGGCCCAAGAGGCTAGAGTTCTAGCAAGTTCCCAGGTGATGTCCATGCCACCTGTTGACATTGAGCAGTGAGAAGATAGATCAACCCTACTCACACCCAAGCCTGCTCACAGACGGGGCTTCTTATCGGTCTGCAGCAAGATGAGTACAGAAATCAAGAGAGAATATGAACATTGATGGAAATGTGATGAGTAATTCTGTTGGAATCTGGTTTTTTATTGCATCTTTCCAGTAATTTCTTTATATTGCATTACAAAAATATCAGTCCACAATGGATTAAAATTGTTTTAAAATATTGTTTGAATCTTGCCCACAGATATTTCAAGAAGTTCTACTTTAGATGGGCTAGAAACACCTTTCATTTTAACTCATTCCAGTTCATCTACGAGATAGGAAGTCAATTACGAAGTAGGAAGGACCCTGTCTTGGTCATTTTAGTGTGTGGGCTTTGTGGATTCTGCAGGCCTTGTACTCAAGGCTCTGGGCATCCCAGTGTCCCTCATGCTATCTGGCACTTAATCGCTTACAAAGCCAATGAAACAGAATGGGTGTCCTCCCCCCTTTACAAAGGGGTCTCTAGGCTAGTGACTGTGAGAACCAGCCTGAGAAGCCACGGCCTCTTCCATTGCCCAGGGCTGCCCGGAACAGACGAGGGAGCAGCGGTTCGGCTGAATCTGATCTGCCTGGGAGCTCGTCCCCTCAGCTGCCTTCACAGCCACAGCTGTCTCTATCAGCTTGGTTTCTTTGCTTTTTGTTTTGGATTTTCTGTTTGTTTGCTTGTTTGTTTCAGAGACAGGGTCTTGCTGTGTTGCCCAGGCTAGACTTGAACTCCTGGGCTCAAGGGATCCTCCTGTCTCAGCCTCCCAAGGACCTAGGATGACAGGCCTGGGCTACCACACCAGGCTTTCTCAGGTTGTTTTTGATGTTTCCTAAAAGTTGCTCCAGGCAATTGCAAGTTCACACAGCTCCTGGTGCAGGTGGTCTGCTGGTTCTCTGGTTCCAGGAGCAGGCCTCTCCCAGGCTTCTGTCACCTGCATTTGCTGGCTGGTGTCCACCAGGAAGAGCAAAGTCGTAGAGTGGGGAGGAGACATGGGAGTGGGTTCTGACCTCTCTCTGTCCCCACCAATGGACTCTCTTCCACGACTCAGTCTCCACTCACTGCCTGTGAGGTCTGAACATCCTGTCCTCTGCCTTGAATGTCAGATCATGGTAACCCTGGGCTTTTGCTCTCCTTGGCCATTCTGCAGGTTTTAATACTGTAGATAGTGTCCTCCTGAATAAACAAATTCTCTCTTCTGATTCTCCTCTGCTTCTGCTGCTTTTTTTTTTTTTTTTTTTTTTTTTTTTTTTTTTTGAGACAGGTTCTTGCTGTATCACCCAGGCTGGAATGCAGTGGCACGATCATAGCTCACTGCAGCCTTGACCTCCCAGGCTCAAGTGATCCTCCTATCTCAGCCTCTTGAGTAGTTGGGACTACAGGCGCATACCACCAAGCCTGACTAATTTTTGTATTATTTTGTAGAGATGGGGTTTTGCCGTGTTGCCCAGGCTGGTCTCAAACCCCTGGGCTCAAGAGATCTGCCTGCCTTGGCCTCCCAAAGTGCTAGGATTACAGGAGTAAGCCACGGTGCCCAGCCTCCTTTGCTTCATCATTTCTCATCTCCTCACCTGGCTTCTCCTCCACCTGCTCCTTACGTGAAAGTGTTTCCCTGCATTCCAACCTGGAGCCTCTTTCTCTTGCCCAGTGGTTCTCCATGCTGGCTGTCCACTGGAGTCATCTCTGGACTTGAAAACACACAGACACAGAAACATTTGTTGACTTCCGATGGCCTCACTGGGTGACCTGAGGTGACCTGTCTCATATTTCTAACATCATCACACAGGAATGTCCCTTCTCCCTCTTTATCTTGCATGACTCTGTGCCTGTCCTCCTGCTACTCCCTCTGCTTCAAACAACTTCCCCAGTTCTCTGTCTTGCAGAGGAGAGCCCATACTTCCTTCAAGGCCTTCCCAGACCCGCAGGCCAGAATGAATCACCTGCCTCTGGTTTTTATGATCTTTTGTTTGTAAGCTTGCTTCTATTGTTATTTGGTAATCATTCATTTGGAATGTTCTTGAACAAACTCAATCTGAAATATTCTCACCTGTGGCCCCCACCAAACATGGGTACCAATCTGGGGATGTCTAAACTCATCTCTCATACTGGCCTTTGAAACCTAGAAGCAACACAAAGGTTTTTTTTCACACACTGATTCATTCAACAAACATGTACTGAGGGCCTACTCTGTCCCAAGCATCATGCCAAGGGCTGGCTGCAGAGATAGAGGGAGCTAAGTGTCCCCCAATTCTGGGAGGAGGTGAACTCGGGGGCTGCAGGAGCCCAGAGAAGGGGCACCCAACCATCTCAGCAGTCAAGGAAGACATGGACTCAAGCCAAGCCTTAAAGAATGAAGGGTGTCAAGGGTGATGAAGGGGAGTCACGCACACAGACATACATTTAAATCACAGCAAACATTTTGTGATTTAAAAGGAGGCAATGAATAACTAGGAAAAAGTATGATATAGAGATTATGAAAGAATTCCAAGTAGCTCAAACCGGAAACTTCATGGGGGCTACGGTGGGCTGAATAACGCGCCCCAGAAATGTCCACATCCTAATCCTCAGAAGCTGTGACTATGTTTTCTTACATGGCAGAAGGGAATTTGCAGGTGCGATTAAGTGAAGGATGTTGAGATGGGGAGATAATTTTGGATTATATGGGTAGGTTCAAGGTCATCACACGGTGCTTATAAGAGGTGGCCAGGAGGGTCAGAGAGAGGAGATGAGCTGATGGAAGCAGAGGTCAGAATAATGTGGGGTCCATGAGCCAAGGAATGCAGGAAGCTTCTAGAAGCTGGGAAAGGCAGAAAATGGATTCTCTCCAAGTCTCCAGAAGGAAAGCACCCCTGCTGACACCTTGATTTTAGCCCAGGGAAACCCAATTTTGGATTTTTGACCTTCCGAGCTGTAAGATTATAAATGTGTGATGTTTTAAGCCACTAAATTTATGGTGATTGTTAGATCAGCCATAGGACATAGCACAGGGCCCAGGAGTGAGAGCGGGAAGAGAGAGATGCAGGTGAGGGTATGTCTGAGAGTGGGAGGGCCTTGAGGGGCAGCTAGTGGGGAGCCACTGAAGGCGGCTTCCCAGAGCAGCAGCTGCTCTGGATTCCAGTTTCTGAAGGGCCACCCGATTCAGGGTGGAGGATGGCTGGGATGAGGGAATGGTAACAAGACCAGAACAACAGCCATCAGCCAGGAGCTCAGAAATGAGGTGAGGCCGTTTGCGGAGAGGAGAGGTCGTCTCAGGGCAGATGGTCAGTGTTTGCAGGGTGACTTGTAGGTGCATGTGGAGGTGCTGTCACCCACAGAATTTGGGAACTGATTATTGAGAGAAGGGGGAGAGAGGAGGAGAGCAAAGCTCCCAGCCCTCTGACAGGGAAGCCCAGGGGAGGAGCAGGTTTGGGGCATGGGAGATGATGAGTCCCATTTGGAAACGTGGCATCTGGCAAGTCTTTGGGATTTGGGCTGCGTGATTTGGCCTCTCAGAGACCCTCATCTCATCCCCTGCAAAACTAGGATGGTGAACCTCCTGCAAAGGGTTGTTGAGCCCATTATATGAGATAATGCGTCCCTGTCACCTGGCCTGGTGCCTCCAACTTAGCCAACACCTATGCATGGCCGCCACGATGGCAGGCAGAACACAGACACCGTGCAACAAAGAGGAACTGCTCCCCTCAAAGCTTCCACTCTTGTTCCCTTGCTGCCTTCTCTCCAGAAGGCTGGTCTCCCCAGGGTGAAGGAGGGCATGATCTGGACCTCTTAAAATTTGAACACTGGGCTTGGGCGTGAAGGGGATTCTGGAGCCTCGTGAGTGCCTCAAGCCTGGGCGCCTGGGATGAAGGTTTCTCCTACAATGTGGGAGACAGCTGCCCACCTTGAGGCTTGGCCCTGGGGCTTGGGGATGGAAGAGGAGATGGGATGGGAGCCTCTCAAACTGCCTTCTCCGGGATTTCAGCTGTGGAAGGAAGAGTGTGTGAGAGAAAAGCTGTGGGAAGCAAAGGGGGCCTAGAGCTCTTGCCATGCTCCCCCTTGGGCCTCTGGAAGAAGCACTGGGCATGGTGGTCAAAGCCAGCTGGGCTGGCCCACAGAGTCCAAGGGAGGGCAGCATGGCCGGGCATGCAGGGAGCCAGCTTCCCATGTGTGGTGCTGCTGACCTGCAAGCAGGGGCTGACTTGGGCCTTCTGGGCCAGAGAGCTGGATGTGGCAGAGGGGTCTTCGGGTCCAGTGAGTTGCTGGAGGCTGAGCTGACACAGTGCAGCCACTGGGCTGTGACCAAGCTGGGACTGGACTTCTTGTGCAACCCCTCAGGCTGGAGCAAACTAAAATAGTCAGTCATCCCAGGCCAGGGCCGTCTTCTTGGGGATGTTACCCATGCAGTTGCACAGAGCTTGTGCTTAGAGGGGGCCCACACTTAGAAGTGTCCTGCACTAGGCTTAATGCTCTGCTGTTGCAGTCTGTAATTCTTGAAATCTGTACCTTTTTTTTCAGGAGGGGGTGAGTGTTTTTATTTTGCACCGGGTCCCAAACATTTCGTAGCACATCTTCCCATAGGCCAAGGTCACCCATGAGGACCACACCCTGCATGTCAGAATCTGCAGCTTCTGTCAACGAGACCCTTGGGCAGTGGGGACATTGAGTCTCCCTATCTGGTCCTTGTCCAAGGCTTCACTAATTAGCGGCAGCTGAATTGAACCCAAACTTCTCCAACCATGCCTCTTGGCACCCCTGTCAGGGGTAGGGCACCAGGCAGAAGTCACTGAAGAGCCCACCCAACTAGACATCTGTTCTACTCTTATAAAAATCAATAAAGGAAAAAAATTAAAAATAAATCAGTAAAGGGAAACTGACATGTGTCATGAACTTACAATGTGACAGACACTGTTAGCCACTTTCCATATACTCCTCACAAGCAGCCATGGAGTAGGTATACCTCTACCCATCTTCCAGAAGAGAACACTTGGGCCCAGAGAGGGTAAGAAGAAACTTGCCTAAGGTCACACAGCCAGCAAGTGGGGCTGAGACAGGAACCTGGGCTTGTGGTTCCAAAGCAGCCAGAGCTTCTGCCCCTCCCTGCCCCACCCCGGCACCCAGCCAACCTCAACAGCTCTTTAAGGAAGCGAGTCCCCATTTGGGAGTGTTCTTACCTGAAGTCCCAGAAGCCTCCTGCTGAGTGCACACCTGTCTGCAGACTGCCACCTGGGATGACAGCAGAAGCCCAGGCTGGGACTGTGGCTGAGAAGACCAGTGTGGGATCAGATTTCCCCTCAAACTGACTGGCTTGTTGCCACACCATAATTTCAAATGAACCACCCTGGTTTATTACACTGAAACACACTTGAGAACACATTTGATTTTCAGAGGAAGTAAATATCCCCAAAAAGGAGAAGCGAAACAAAAACAAATCACATCCTTACCCCCAAGTAGTTATGGAACATCTTTTTTGCTAAGCACACTATACAAGGAAGTGTCAGAGGCAGTCCTGGTCCTCCAAGCAAAAGACAGGCGAGCAGGATTAGCAATGATTAGCAATTGCAGCACCTCTCAATAGTGGGCACTTAAGTTTTCCTAGGCGGTGCAGGCATACCTCGGAGACATTGCAGGTTCGTTGGTGGTTCAGTTCCAGACCAATTCAATACAGCGAATATCACTTTATTGTGCAAGTCATATGTATTTTTTTGGTTTCCCAGTACATATAAAAGTTATATTTATACTGTAGTCTACTAAGTGTGCAATAGCAGTATATCTATTATGAGAAACCAATGTGCATACCTAAATTAAAATATGCTTTATTGCCAAAAAATGCTGAAAATCCTCTGAGCCTTTTTGCTGGTAGAGGGTCTTGCCTTGATGTTGATGGCTGCTAATAGATCAGGGTGGTGGTTGCTAAAGGTCAGAACGGCTATGGCAATTTCCTAAAATGAGACAAGAATAACGTTTGCTGCATCGAAGGACTCTTCCTTTCGTAAAAGATTTCTCTGTAGCGTGCAATGCTGCTTGATAGCATTTTACCCACTGTAGAACTTGTGTCAAAATTAGAGTCCATTCTCTCAAACCCAGCTGCTGCTTTATCAACTAAGTTTACGGAATATTACAAATCTTTTGTTGTCATTTCAACAATGTTTACAGTGTCTTCACCGGGAGTAGATTCTATCTCAAGAAACCACTTTCTTTGCTCATCCATAAGAAGCAACTCCTCATCCATTCATTTTATGAGATTGCAGCAATTCGGTCACATCCTCAGGATGCCCATGGAATTCTAGTTCTCTTGCTATTCCCACATCTGCAATGACTTCCTCCACTGAAGTCCTGAACCCCTCAAAGTCATCTACTAGGGTTGGTATCAACTTCTTTCATACTCCTGTTAGTACTGATATTTTGACCTTCTCCCATGAATCACAAATGTTCTTAATGGCATCTAGAATGGTGAGTCCTTTCCAGAAGGTTTTCAATTTACTTTGCCCAGATCCATCAGAGGAATCACTATATGTGGCAGCAATAGCCTTAGAAAATGTATTTCTTAAATTATAAGACTTGAAAGTCTAAATTATTCCTTGGCCCATGGGCTGCAGAATGAATGTTGGTGTTAGCAGGCATGAAAACAATGTTAATCTCCTTGTACATCTTCATCAGAGCTCATAGGTGATCAGGTGCATTGTCATTGAGCAGTCATATTTTGAGAAGAATCATTTTTTCTCTGCAGTAGGTCTCAACAGTGGGTTTAAATTTTCAGTAAACCAGATGTGCTCTTTACTGTAAACCAGTAAACAGATGTGCTGTCATTCAAGCCTTGTTATTTCATTTATAGAAATAATGAAATGTTATTTCATTTATAGAAATAGTGAAATGTTATTTCATTTATAGAAATAGTGAAATGTTATTTCATTTATAGGAAGAGTTGATTTAGCATGATTCTTAAGAGCCTGAGGATTTTCAAAATGGTAAATGAGCATTGGCTTCAACTTAAAGTCACCAGTTGCATTAGCCCTTAACAAGAGAGTTCAGCCTGTCCTCTGAAGCTTAGAAACCAGGTATTGACTCCTCCTCTCCAGCTGTGAAAGCCGTAGGTAGCATTTTCTTCCACTAGAAAGCTGTTGTGTCTCCACTGAAAATCTGTTGTTTAGTGTAGCCGCCTTCCTCAGTGATCTTAGCTAGATCTTCTGGATAACTTGCTGCAACTTCTGTATCAGCACGTGCTCCTTCACCTTGTACTTTATTTTTTATTTTTATTTTTTTAAATACCCCTTGGTGATCTGCACACCTTGTACTTTTATGTTATAGGATGACTTCTTTTCTTAAACCTCATGAACTAACCTCTGCTAGCATCAAACTTCTCTTCTGCAGCTTCCTCACCTCTCTCAGGCTTCAGAGAATAGAAGAGAGTTAAGACCTTGCTCTGACTAGGCTTTGGCTGAAGGGACTGTTATGGCTGGTTTGTTCTTCTATCCAGACCACTCAAACTTTTTCCAACTTAGCAATAAGACTGTTTTTCTTTCTTATCATTTGTGTGTTCCCTGAAGTAGCTTCCACCAGATAAGAAGCTTCCCCAATAATACAGTTTGGGGGCTGCTTGGAAAGCTGTTTGTCTTCTCAGCAACTTAGTACCCTCTCTCTGAGTTTGCCCACCCCTCACAGCCAAGATGGGTCCATGAGATTACTCCTCCTGAGAAGCGGGAACTGGGACTGTGAGGTGCTGATCAGTTTCAGTATAGCTGCAATAGAGACATGTACTCTTGGGAGTTGCAGGATGATCTCTCAGTAGAGGAGGGAAAGAGGTCTAGGACCTGCAGAGGGGGGACAATGAGGCAGAATCCCAGAGAGCCACGCTGAAGAAGGTCTCTATTGTCCCATGGGAGAGATCCCCAGCATGTCTATCTGGGCCCCCTCCCTTCCAGAACTGGGGGAATCCCTGACCACCCATGGGGACCACAAGGCACACCTATACCTGTGTCAGATTCACCTTCCTGCCACACAGAATCTCAGAACAGGCAGAGGTAAGAGATCCAGGCAGATGCCAGGCCAGCCCCTGTGGGGCAACTCGGCTCTCAGAGGTGCTTCTTTAGCCAGTACAATGTTTAGAAATTAGGGCCAGGCACAGTGGCGCAGTGGCTCACATCTGTAATCCCAGCACTTTGGGAGGCAGAGGCAGGTCGATCACCTGAGGTCAGGAGTTTGAGACCATCCTAGCCAAGATAGTGAAACCCCGTCTCTACTAAAAATACAAAAATTAGCTGGGCCTGGTGGCAGGTGCCTGTAATCCTGGCTACTGGGGAGGCTGAGGCAGGAGAATCACTTGAACCTGGGAGGCAGAGGTTCAGTGAGCCGAGATGGTGCCACTGTACTCCAGCCTGGGCAACAGAGTGAAACTCCGTCTCAAAAAAAAAAAAAAAGTTTAGAAATCGGAAACTTTCCATTAAAAATGCCAGATTTTCAGCATTTTTTAAACTGTAAGGGCTAGGGTGCTCAGGCCCTCATTCCTGTTGGACAGCTGTTGGTGAGAACGGAGAAGAGGCTGTCCCTTTTGCCTGGTTCCCAGTTGACCCCAACCCTACCCCGTCGGTGCAGTTTTATTTCCATCTGTCCTGAGGACACTGATTGATTTTGCAAAAACAGAGCTTGTCTCTGTCCGCCTCTCTTTTAAAGATTTCTCCAAATCTTTAAAATGGAGGAAATGGACATGTAAAACCTTGTTGGGGGTCAGAAGAAGATGGAACCCTCGCAAGATGAGCTGTTTTCTGATGATCTACTTTTGCCAAACAAAATATCCCAAACAGCAACCATTTTATTGGTCAGGAATTCAGAGCATGAGGACTTGGGAATGAAAAGAGGACCCAGGAAGAGAGCAGAGGGCAAGCTTGGCCAAGGTGCACCATGGGCCACAACCAAAAGGGGCTGCTCAGATTCTTGGAATTGTGACTGTCTCCTCTATGGTCATTTATCAGCAACAGGGTCATGGCGGGGCTCCATCTGGTGTCCACCTGAGGAATTCTGGCTTCTCAGAGCAGGTGAGCATTGGGGCTAGGCCCATGGAAGCCAGGCTTTAAGAGACTTGTCCTGTGTTTCTCAGCAGTGATCCAGGGAGCTGAAGGAAACCTTTCAGATCAGCCTGGGAGGGGGCTGAAGGACTGTTCTAGGTGCAGTAGTTATATAGACCGCTTCCCTGGGGTCCAGGGAGGCCTGAGAGTGGCCTGCAGACTTGTTTTAGAAACAACTAAGGAATAATAATGGGGCCCTGGAGGCAGGGGTCTTCTTGTCCATCTCATTTGTACTCACTGTGTTTATAGATGAGCAAGATGAGCCTTTGGGAAGAGACTTGCTCAAGGCCACCCACCCAGAAGCCGCTGGGGTTGAAGTTGAACATGGGTCTGTCCGCAAAGCCCATGTTTTCAAACAGGGCTTTGAAACCCTTGGAAACATGTTACAGCCCTGTTGAGGGAGACGGCGGAGGAGATGACTCATTCCCATCCAGGAGGAAATAATTCAGCCTCTGGAGGAGAGGAAAAGTCAGTGGGGGGTGGTTATGACCTAACGAAGGGAACCTGTAGGAATCTGGGCAGAGGGGGAAGGGGTGTGAGCTGGAGTAGTCAGGGTGGCCTCCTGGAGGCTGTACTTTTTCCCCCCCTTAAAAAAAAATAACAGCTTTATTGAGGTATAATTTGTATACTGTACAATTCACCCACTTACAGCATACAATTCAATGGTTTTTACTGTAGCCAGAGTTGTGCAACCATCACTACAATGAATTTTAGAACATTTTCATCACCCCATAACTCTTAGCAGTCATTCCTCATTTTCTTCTCTTCCCCAGGATTCTGACAATCACTAGAGTATTTTCTGTCTCTCTGGACTTGCCTATACTGGACACTTCATATAAATGGAATGTGGTCCTTCGTGACTAGCTTCTTTCACTGAGCATAATGCTTTTGAGGTTTATGCATGGTGTAGCATGTGCCAGTACTTCATTCCTTTTCATGGCCTAATAATATTCCACTGTATGGATGTATCACATTGTGTTTATCCATTTGTCAACTGATGACATTAGATTGTTTCCACCTTTTGGCTAGTATGAACAATACTACTCTTTATAGTAGTATTATATACTATATATATAGTATATACTATTATAAACTTATACATGAACACTCATGTATAAGTTTTTGCATGAACATGTTTTCATTTTTCTTGGCTACATAACTAGGAATGCAATTACTGGGCCATATGCTTAACTTGACGTTTAACTTTTTGAGGAACTGCTAGACTCTTTTCCAAAGTGGCTGCACCATTTTACATCCCAGGGGGAAGGCTGGACTTTTCGTGTATGCTCAGATGTGAATTCTTTTCTTTCTAACTTCTAGAAGGCAGGCTGATTTGGTGGAAATCCAGGGAAGATGGAGGAGGAGGGTGTGAGGAGAGAGCAGCAGGGCAGAGAGGCCTGGGGATCCTTTCACCAGAGCCCTGGGCTCAGTCCTGTCTGGTCCTCACTTGCCATATGGCCTTGAGCAAGTCACCTCCACTCTCTAGGCCTCAGTTTCCTTATCTCTAAAATGATGGTATTAGACCTCGACGATTTTGCCCCCGGAGGACACTTGTGATATCTAGAGACATTTCTGGTCGTTACAGAGAGAGGCTGATGCTATGGGTATTTTATGAATCATGGAGAGGCCATGGATACCGTTAAACCTCCTGCAGTTTTGAAGGAGGTTTAATAACAAAGCATTAGCTGGCCCCAATAACAAAGCATTAGCCCCAATAACAAAGCATTAGCCGGCCCCAAATGGCAGTAGCGGCCAGGTAAAGAAATCCTGCATGAGACTGAGGTGACCTAATAGGGTCCAGTCCTGCTCAGTCACTCTGGGAAATGCTCTGGGAAAACACTGGGCTCGGGAGGCATTTTTGAACACCCAGGCACTTAGAAGAGGCCTCACGGTCCCACCTGGGGTTGCTGTGGGTCTTGCATTTGTGTCAGCTGTCTGGCGTTCTCCATCTGCGGTACCCGGCACAGGTGAATTAGATGCCAGGCTTGATGGACGAGCAGTCCGCCTTGTTGAGGAGTGAGCTCCTTGTCACGGGAAGCATCCAAGAGGAGGCGGCGTGCACATCTGTCAGGAATGTGGAGGAGGCGCCCTGGCTCTGGTCTGAGGTTGCCCTTGAACGATTTCGAGGCTCCCTCGGGCAAGGCTGTGGCTCCGAGTGGGACGAACTCCCCGCCAGCTCTGGGCCTCCCCACCTGCCGGCCCGCGGTCGGCGCCGGCACAGGCGGAGGGCGTCTTCCTTCCCCTGCGGCCCCAAGCCAAGTGGAAGACTTTTCTCTAAGTTTCCCTCTCCGAAGCCCCGCGGGCCTCCCGCGCCCCAGCCCCAGCCACAGCCTGTGGAGGCGGCACCCCGAGGTTGGGCGCCCGTGCGGCGCCTTGGCCCCAGCACCCCCCGCCCCGAGGCCCGGCCCCGGGGGCGCGGCCGCCCGGGCCTCCGTGTGCCCCAGGGGGCTCCGGGCCGCGAGCCGCTGCCGAATGGCTTTTGACAAAAAAACCCTTGACCACCAAGGCCAGCCTCTTCCTGAAAGCCCCGCTCGCTCCGATACAGGAAGTAGAAGGGAGCGAGAGCCCCAGAGCGCGGCGGCAGCGGCGGCCTGGCCCTTCCAGAGGGCCAGAGCCAGGGACATGCGGGCGCCCGGGACTCCGCGTTCCGCGCGGCCCGGCGCCTGAGCGCCTCCGTTCCCCGTCCCGGAGCTGCCGGCGGCATGATCCGACACGCCGGGGCGCCCGCGCGCGGGGACCCCACGGGGTAAGTCCGGGCGGCCGCCCCCTCCTCCCTCGCGATCCCCACGGCCCGCGTCCTGGCCGCCCCACTCCACTTCTTGTCCCAGAGAGTCCTTCGGGCGCGTGACCTCGGGGTTGTCGGGCTGATACGGGACCCCCACCGTGGCCGAGGCCAGAACCTGGTTCTGCGGGGCAGGGGGCGGCCCTGGTGACTCCGCTGGACCCGATGTTGGCTAAACTTTCAAGGCCAGGCATTTCACTGGGAACCCAGTGCACACTTTAGGCTGCTGGTGGACGGATTACGAGGGAGTGCGTCGCTACCTGTCAGCGCCGGGGCTGCCCGCGTGGACGCGGCCCCCTCCCTGGCGTCTGCCCCGCCTGAACTTTGCAAACAAAACTCGCGGTCCCAGCCCCGCCAGCCTGCTGCACCCGCTGCTCTGCGAGTCGCAGCGCGCGCCCTCGGGTACTAGAGCCCCGCTGGGCGTGGGGTCGGAGACCCGGACCCCCGCAACTTTGGGTGCCCGCGGCCCAACAGCTGACCGGCCCTCCTGGACCGAGGGTCCACTGGGCCCTTTTCCCGCCGCCCCTCTGCCCTGGCCGTAGACGGTGACCTTCGGACCGGCCCTGGTCGAGCCTAGTGCTTGGGTAGGGTCCAGGGCGCACGGGCTGCGCGCGGGCTGTGGATGCATGACGCCGAATGGTTTGGGAACTGACTTGGAGAGGAGTCCCCGGTGGCTAAGTCCCCGCTCCGCCTCCTTGTCGCCCCCAGCCCCACCTCGCGAGCTCGGGCATTGCTCGGGGCTGGGCTCTGGGAGAAAGTCCTCTCGCCTTGCCCAGCTCAGAGGGCGTCCTGAGAAGCTTCAGGTGTTGTAGAGACGCCCGGTCGGAGGCGGATTCCCGGGGAAAGCCTATTTCTGGGTACCCAGGAGCGCGTCTGGGGAGGCCATTCCCAGCTTTTTGGTTTAAAAGTCCCGGGCCTACTTCTCTGATGGACACCCTGCCGCTCCCTGGCTTGGCAGTGGGACCTCATCTCCCAGGCCCTCAGTTCTCTGCTCTGTGAAACAGGAGAGTTGGGCCCATCTTGTGCAGTCCTGAACTGGGGGACAGCTGGAGGTGACTGGCTCTCACTCAGCTGGGAGGGACTGGGAGGGGGCCTTAAGCTCATCTAGATCTGAACGTCTCCCTTCCCTTCTTCTCCCTCCATCCTGCCAGCCCGGAAATTCTGGATGCTGGTTTCTTTCTCTCGAAAGCGACCTCTGCAAAGACAAATACCATCCGGTGGGAAGAACTGGGAATCCGTTGGGGAAGAGCCCCCCAACCCTCACACCCACTTGCAAGTATCTGCCACACCCAAGATGGCAGGGTGAAGCCGGAGAGGAGTTTCTCAGGGAGGAAGGGGAGGTGAGGGGCCAGGGCGCTGGCCTCACCGGCTTCTCATTTTCCCCAGAGATGACCTAGTGTGATCCACTTCCTCTTGTCTTTTTTTGTTCATTACTGGGTCGGTTATTTAAACTCTCTGTATCTCAGTTCACTTATCAATAAAATGATAAATAATAGTAACTACCCCTTAGAGTTGTTTTGAGGACTAAATACACAGAGTTGAATACATTAGACTATATGGTAAACCCTTAATCATAATTATCACCATTATTATCATTTGTTGGGTATGATCCCTCCATTTGCCAAATGTGTAACCTTAGACAAATGACCCGGCCCCTGCCTCACCTGTAAACTGGGGGTGCTAGCAACACACACCACATAGAATTGTTTCGTGGATTGGCTGAGTTCATAGCTAAGTAGCTGCCCCCAGGCAGCTTAGGGGAAACATCCGTTCAGGCCTGCTTAGAACTGTGCTTGGTACATTCTAGCACTGTATGAATATTGGTTTGTTGCTAAAACATGGCTTTGTTTTGGAGGACCTTTTGGGTTGGAAGGACTTTGAAGGGTAGAGGATTTGCTGATGGATTGGAGGGAGAGAGGAGTGGAGGATGACTCTGGTTGGGCTCTGTCTGCCCAGGGTCCAGTGCATCAGGGACAGATGCCGAACTGTGCGGAGTCTGCTGAGAGTGGGTTCTCAGAGTCCACTCAGGCCAGTAGCTTTCAGGGGGTAGGGAGAGACCTAGCAGGCACCCCCATGCAGCCCCACCATAGCAACTAGACCAGTCACCTTTTCACATTTTTGCTATATTAAAGGTCTGCTTAAGATTTCATTTGGAAAAGGATTCCACTGCTGGAAAAAATGTGGCTGTCATTGACCTAATCAATCCCCTAATTTAACAATGAGGAACCAGAAACCCAGAAAGGGGAAATGGGTTCCCTGGTATTGGGGGAGGTGGTGGTGGAACTCATGTCTCCTGAGCCTTGGCCTGATCTAATACAGGGGTCCTGCTGGAGCCCTGAAGAGGAGCCCCTTAACCACTCCAGGCTGAGACAGGGGGCTCTTCTGGGTGGGGCCCACCTACAGCAGGGCCAGTGATGGATTCAGGGTGTGAGCTCGTAGCTCCAGCTCTGTCCCTTGACCTTGGCTTCCTGGATTCAAGGAGCTAATGTTCCCTGGAGGTCCTGACTGGCACTTAGCTAGGAGACCTAGCCCTTTCCAGATCCTAACAGAGGCTCTGATGCACAGGAGCAAAGGGTCACCTCACCATCTCAAGTCTGCTCTCCTGCCCCCCCACCCCGAGAAGCCCCAGTACATCCTCTGAGAAGCAGCTGGGAGTGCAAGGGGCTGGGGGTGCAGGGTCCCCTTGGGTTGAAGGAGTCGCAGCACATTTATCCCTGAGGCCCTCCTCATCTCCCCTACCCCCTTGGTGCCCCTCTATCCTGGCCCTGGGTCCCTGATCTGTGATCTTCACTGAAGCTGCAAGTGTGAAAAGCTTGAAATGCCACAGGGCACCCGCATTTTAACCCAGGAGATACAGAAATCAAAACTGGAAACCTACCAGGAATTGATCTCAGCTGGAAGCAGAGAGAGGCATGATATTTGAAGGAGGACACCCAGACCCTTCACCATCCCCTTAGGCCTCCCTGGAGCTCCATTTTGGAGACAGGAGTCTGAGGTGGTCTGTGGTGCCTCCCAGTCCCTTGCCAGAGCAGAGACGGAAAGAATGGGTGACAGATGGCCACAAACTCTGTCTCTGTAACCCCCTGGAAGATTCCACCTGTCATGGCAAGACATGGCAAGCTGTGTCATCTAGGCAGTGATGAGTGAGCACCATTGGGTGGGCAGCTCGGAGGAGGGGAGTGCCTGAGCAAAGGTTCGGGAGGTGGGAAAGTGTGGTGGAGGGGCTTGTGGGGCAGGGAGTGCACCCTTCAAAACCCAGAGGTACATGACACACATTGCTTTACAAAGCGACTGTTATCAGATAACAGGGGTTGAGGAAACGGAAGACAAATTTTGTCTGGGGAGAGAATTACAGAAGAGGGGCAAAAGTATAAAGGGGGCTGCCCACAGAACCCCATCCTTGGGGCCTGGGTCACCTAGGGGATTGGGGGCATCTGTGTGTTCAGAAAGAGCCTTAACATGGGGTAAATGACACCCAAGGCCCCTTAACTTCCTGTTGGCCCCCAGCTATCTGATCCTATTAGGGAGTAACCTTTAGAAGAGAGTGGGGGGCCATGCGTTATCATCTTGTTATTGGGTAATTGATTGGTGCTGCTCTGATGGCCAACTCCAGAATGTCCTGTTGATACAACTATTGCCCCGAACCAGCATTTATTCTGAGAACCAGGAAGTCGAATTTCTCCTGCCCACCAGGAGTGTCTGAAACATGGATGTTTTCCCCCAAGATTGGAGCCAAAGATGAAAATCACAACTTTAATGACTTCCAAACTGGATCTCCCCTCCGTCCTACCCCACAGTGGGCCCTTCTGGTGGTTTGGTTGTTGCCAATCAAGCTAGAGGGACTCTCAGGCCAGGCAGGGAAAGTGGTGTGTCCCCCAACAGCTCCCTAATTGCCCTCAGGTGACATGCTGTCCTATTTAAAAGGTCCCTCAAGAAAGTCCTGCCCTCTGTACCCCAGCCCAGCCCTGCTGGAAGCCAGTGTACAGCTTCACATCTTCTGTCCTCTCCAACGTGCAGAGCTTGTCTGTGGTCTTGTACCTTTGCCCATGAGGTTCTTTCTGCCCTTTTTACAGGGCTCACCTCTTCCATGTAGCCTTCTATCCATGCCAGCTCACAGAGATTCCTCCTTTTTGAATATTCATAGCCTTTTTCACATGAACCGCTTGTTTGCCTAGCAATTTGAAAGAAGCCAAAACCTCTTTAATATCATGACTTCCTACTTCAGTTACAAACTTCCAAAGAAAGGGGTCAGGTCTTTTAGTTCCATATCCTTGTGTCCTACATGCACTTGGCACTCCATAAATGCTTGAGGCCAATGATACGCTGATTGAAGGCTGCACAGCCTTTTCTTTTGTGTCCCTGGAGCCCCTGAATTTCTGGAGGTGTTTACAAGGTGGCCTAGATCACAGGGCGGGGCTAAGTAGGGGGAGACCCAGGGCTTGGGGGGCTAGGAGCCCAACTCCATTCCGCAGCAGCTGGTGACCCCCACCACAAGGCTACCACACTCCTCTCCAAGTCTGGAAAGCAGAGGCCACCCAGGCAATTGAGTAGGGACCCTGCTTGGCCCCAACTCCCCTAATTTTATCCTCCCCAGCTGTGCTCCTGATACTTGTCAGGGAGAAAGGATGGGGGAAGGAGAGGCCAGCCCTGGATACTGTGTCTCAGCCGGAAGAATGGAGAATAGCTTGGTGTACAGACTTGGGGGAGCCCTGGGGCATCAGTGGGTCCCAAATGCGGGTCTCTGGACCACTGAGAAACTGGGAAAATAAGGGTGGCCTGTGTGTGTGTGTGTGTGTGTGTGTGTGTGTGTGTGTCAGCATCAGTGTCAGCCATGGCTGCCAACGTGTCTTTTCTTAGGCAGAACTGTCCTTTGCTGGTTTGGAAGAGGCGTGGGTGTTTGCATGTTGTAGGTCATCAGTAGGGCTAGAGAATCTGGGGTCCTGTCTCCTCTAGTATTTTAGGATTTTATTCTAGGAAGCTGCTCCCTTCCCTCTGGACCTCATTTTCCCATCTGAGAAAAGAGCTCCATGTTCTCAAGGTCCCTGCTCGCTCTGACAGTCGGCTCCCTGAGTTACCAGCTAGCAGGCAACGGAAGCTGGTGTCCTAGAGTAATAGCATTCAGGGGATCAAAGTGCCCATTGGAGCTGAAGTGGCCCATGGAACAGTCTAGAACATGCAGGCACTTTCACAAGAAACAAAGACCCATCCAGGAGACTTTTGGCTCATTACCCTGACCAAGCTACCTGGAAGGAAATGGTTTTTCTTTTTCTTTTTGTTATTGCTGTGGTTTTATTTTGAAAAACCTAGTCTTGAAAAAAGTACATTTGGTTTTGGGAGCCCACTTTGGGGCAGGACCCATGGCTCCTTGCCAAGTGGACAGTGAGCTGGGAAGGTTTCTCAGGCGGGGAGCCCTGGTGTGGCTGGAGTAGCCTCTCGAGGGTGGCTGGGCTGGTAAGGTGGAGCCTGCCTGGCCATCAGCTGTGGGAGCTGTGGAGGTGCTGAGGAGATCGCAGACAGCCGGGGATACGGGGCCTGGCTGTTTAGAGACCGTCTGTGAAGCCTGCCCCTGTCAGGGTTGGAGTCTGAGGGGCGGCCCTACCAACAGAGGATGAGACAGGTGTCCAGGCTGAGGGATGGCGCTCTCTGCCAGGCCTCGGTCTCCCTGCCCAGGGCTGCCCAGAGATAGCCAACGCGTCCCTGTGCAGGTGGGGGCGGCAGTGACGCTGTGTGCCTCCCTCCCCACGCACAGTGTAGTACAGCGAAGCCAGTCCGTCCCTCCTGCCAGCGTGGCCTTGATGGAGAAGAGAGGAGTGACGGGTACATGGGAGGCCTTCCCTCAGCCTGGCGTCCACAGGGCAGTGGGAAGGCATTACTATCTGTGTGGTGTCAGCGTTTATACAAGAGTCTGGAAGCCACCACTGTGTCCTCTCCTCTACTCTCCTGCCAGTAGGGCCTCTGTGCAGCCTTGGCATGTTTCCTCTCCACAGGGGTAGGGGTTGGAGGGACTGCCCCCAAAGCAGAAACAGTGCTGATAGTCAGAAGCTTTGAACATGGCTGCAGAACCCCCTGCCCCAATTTGACCTCAGTAATACCCAGGGGTGCCCCCACCTCAACCAGTACATGTTTAATGGAATGAACGAGCCTGCAATGAAATGTCGGTTCTCTTTTTAGCAGAAATGGCCTAGGCCGTGGTTGTGGTCAAGGCCTGTTGTCTGTAAGTGACGTGACGGCACACACTCAGGCCACATCCTATGGGGTAATGGTGCTTGCATCCCCACCTTCTGGAACTGAGAGAGCCCCAGAGCCTGGCTCTACACACAGGCCTGGAGCCATGGGGAAGCAAGGATTCCAGTAGAGGGGGGTGGGAGTGGGGCCTTTGAGCCCATCCTCGAGGGGCTGCCCTAGGGGGGCTCTCCTAGAGGATACTCCCCTGTGAAGGTGGCCTCCATTTTGCTACTGACTCTGGGACGTTTAGCAAAGCTGAGAACTTTTTATTCCCTAGTTAAGAGATGCGCCACCCTACCTCCCGACTGACATTTAACACGGGGTGTCAGGCACTGATGCGAAAGCCTGTTCTCTGAAAGATAAGCTGGAGAGAGGGGTGGACAGAGGGCACCCCAACAGTAGCAGAGAAGCCTTCCCCTCCTCCAAAGTTTCCCAGAGCTAAATTGTTCTGTGAGTCAGTAAGTGTGCTTCTTCACCCATCTTCACGGACTGAAGAAATAAAGGGCTTTGCATCTGAAATTCACAATCTGATGATCTCTGGCTACAGGGAACAAGCTGTCAAGAAAGAGTCACCGGGGACCTTTTCCCCTAACCTCCATGTTCCCAGCTTCCTTAATCTCAGTCAATGTCAGAGATTGATAATGTAAATTTCTCTAGGGATGTTGCAGTTCAAAGCAAGGACTTATCTCTCTACCGATGGCATCTGGTGACAGCATTTATTATCGTTGCTTCTTTCTGTTCTTGACATTTTTGACGGAGCATCCATCTAAACTATACTCAAGGACTCTTCTCGCAATGGATATCTTCTCATTTATCTTCACCCATCCTCCTAATCATCATCCAGACATCCACCTGTCCATTCTATTCACCATCCATCCATCTAGCCATCTACTTATCCACCCATCCATCCATACATCCACCCATCAACCCACCCTTCATCCATCCATCCACCTATCCACCCATCGACCTATCCACCCTCCCACGCTTCTATCCATCCATTTATCTATCCATCCATGCATCCATCCATCCATCCACTCACCTACCCTTCCATCCTTCCATCTATCAATCCATCTATTTACTGAGCACCTGAACACCTAGGAGTTTCCAGTTTATCTACTAAGGAAAATGATTTGATTTGGATGTTTGTCCCCTCCAAATCTCATGTTGAAATGTGATCCCCAGTGTTGGAGGTAGGGCCTGGTGGGAGGTGTTAGGGTCATGGGGGCAGATCCATCATGAATGACTTGGTGCCATCCTCACAGTAATGAGTGAGTTCTCAGTTCACATGAGATCTGGTTGTTTACAAGAGCCTGGCACCTCCCTGCTCTCTCCCTCTTGCTGCCTTTCTCGCCATGTGACATACCTGCTCCCCCTTCCCCTTCCACCATGATTGGAGGCTTCCTGAGCCTCACCAGGAGTAGATGCTGGCACCATACTTCTCATACAGCCTGCAGAACCATGAGCCAAAATAAACCTCTTTTCTTTGTAAATTACCCAGCCTCAGGTATTCCTTTATAGTGAGGCAAAATGGACCAACACAGAAAATAAGAGAAATATGTGCGTATTTAAAGCACAGGGTACTGTATAAAAAGCTGCCGAACTTCTGTTACAGTTGGCTGTGCAGAGTGAGTAGGGAGGACTCCTTGACAGAGCTGGCATGTGAATTGGATCTTGAAAGATACGTAGGATTTTAACCACTGAAATCAAGCATATGCAGAGAAGCGTATTGCAGATAGGAGAAACGCACCGAGTGGGAAAGGACAAGTTGTGTGTGGGAGCCCTAAGAATCTGGGGTGGGGGCAGAGAGAAGATTCCATGTGTGATGGGCCTGGAAAGGTGGTTGGGGCCCCCTTGGCTATGGGTGGGCAAGTTTGACTTTTACCATGGTGGTGAAGACCACAGTTCTGTTCTTCCGGGCAAGACACTGAAACAGAACCTGCCAGAGCACCTTCTTCCCCCTCCTCTGTTAGGTAAAAGTCAATCTCTATAGCCCACTGTTGTTGCCAGGGTTACCTGAGATGATGATGTTCTTGTCTCTTTGGGTTGTGAGACCGGTGGGGGGCTCTCACCTGTATGTATGTGGTGTGTGTGTGTGTGTGTGCATGTGCTATTGATTTTCCAAAAAATGTATTATAGACTTTAAAAGTTCATACACAGACACACCCAAAACAGGGAAATTTAAAGCATCAAACATTTTTATCACCCGGTGCAAGTACGTGTTACCTTGTATTCTTTTTTCACTGAGTGTTACCTCTGGTACACATTCCTGTGTGCTGTGTTGTGGACCTATGTTGCCTACCTGCCATCTTCGATGGTGTCATCATATTATGATCATTTTAATGGTCAGAGTTATTTCATGTGTCTATCTTGACTTCTTTCCAAGTCCCCTCTGTTTTAAATGAAACTCCTGAAAACTTCTGTGGATCTAGGGTTTAGGGACCATTTCCTTGAGATCTGTCACCATCCTGGAGCCTTTGAGTCCAAGAGTGAAGCAGAGCCTGCTGATTGGCCCCTGAATTTTTGCTGGGTGTAAGTTTTAGCTGAACATTTCCCAATTTTCTTGCAGCTAGGTGTGGCCATATGACTAAGTTCAGGACAGTGAGATATAAGTGGGGAGTATAATTTGCTTGGAGAACCCCTTAATGGGGGTGTCCTTCTCTCCTTTCCTCTCTCCTGTTGCCTGAAATACAGATGTGATGGCTGGAGTTGAAGTGGCCATCTTGGACTCTGAGACAAACTTAAGCATAGAAGCTATGCAGGATAGAACAACAATATATTATAGTAAGGGTCCCAAACATGTCAGACCATCATCCCAGCTACAGACTGCTTACCAGTTTTTTATGAGAGGAATACATACTATCTTGTTTGTTTGTTTTATTTTATTTTATTTTTGAGATGTAGTTTTGCTCTTGTCACCCAGGCTGGAGTGCAGTGGCGATCTTGGCTCACTGCAACCTCTGCCTCCTGGGTTCAAGCAATTCTCCTGCCTCAGCCTTCCGAGTAGCTGGGATTACAGGTGCCTGCCACCACTCTTGGCTAGTTTTTGTATTTTTAGTAGAGACGGGGGTTTCACCATGTTGGCCAGGCTGGTCTTGAACTCCTGTCCTCAGGTGATCCACCCATCCTGGCCTCCCAAAGTGCTGGGATTACAGGCGTGAGCCACCGTGCCTAGCCATACTATCTTGTTTTAATTTCTTATTTTAGATTTTCTATCACTTACAAGCTTAGTTCTAATGAACACAGAGAGCTTTCTATCTCTGTCACATAGCACCAGATTATATGCCCGAAGTACTCAGCTGCTTTGCAGGGCGACCTGCAAGTCCCCATTTCCTAGTGGAGGCAAGAAGGAGGAAGAGAGGGGAGAGAGAAGAGGCAGCTTTGCATCCACTAAGGCTCTTGTTTCAAGGACTAGATTGCAAACATTTTTTTTTCATATTAAGTGTTTATGAGTTTTAGATTTTGCCAGAAGCTTTGAACTGTTTATTCTGACTCTCAAATCCTTGTGCTTTGACAGGGCTAGGTTTGCTGCTCAAGGCAGCCATGCCTCTTCCCCCAGCCTCAGTTCTGTGCTTTAGGCTGAGAACTCGCCTAGGTTAACCCTCCCCATGCCAGTGTTCTCCAGCTCCTCCTGAGAGTTGGTGTCCCCGCCACACCAGCACAAGAAAGGCCTGGAGACCGGGTGCAGTGGCTCATGCCTGTAATCCCAGTGCTTTGGGAGGCTGAGGTGGGAGGATCTCTTGAGGCCAGGAATTCAAGACCAGACTGGGCAACACAGCAAGACCCCGTCTCTACAAAAAATTTTATAAATGAGCTGGGCATGGTGGTGTGCACTTGTAGTCACAGCTACTCGGGAGGCTGAGGCAGGGGGATCTCTCGAGCCCTGGAGTTCAAGGTTACAGTGAGCTGTGATCACACCACTGCACTTCGGCCTGGGTGACAGAGTGAGATCCTGTCTGTATCCAAAAAACTAAACGAAAATAAAGACCCGGGGCCCAGTTTCAACAATGCCTGTGTTCTTGCCGGATGCTGCCGTCACTCATTCATTCACTGTCTCTTCGTTGAAACAGTCTTGGGGTCTCTTGGGCCGTATCTTGGCACTTGCTGAGTGTCAAGCTTGTTTTATGCTGACCACTGGCCACTGGGAGTCTTCAGTGGCCACTTCACCTCTTTGCCTAGCCTTGGGAAAGGTTTGTCCTGAAACTGCTGGACTTGAATTCCCCTTTCCAGGGACAGCACAGGCCTGTTCTGAGCCTGTAAGAGCCTGCCTGGAGCTGCTCAACAACAGCCTAAGACCACTCCTGGGGCATAAGAGGCCCCAAGAATGGCCTGGGATTTAGCTGGGTGGGCTGTCTGGAGGAGCTGGGCCAGAGCCCGTTGAAGTGGCCTGAAGGACAGTGAGGGTCTTGTTTCCACTGGGCAAGGCTTCCCCAGCCCTAGCTCTGCAGTCCTCAGGCGTCAGAGCTTCGTGCCACTCTGGAAACTCTTCATCCAGCCCCTGCTTGCAGATGAATTGGTGGCTCAGAGAGGGGAAGTGGTTTCCCCAGGGTCTCCGGACCTGTGGGCTGTCTCCAACCAAGGCTGTCTCCAAGGCTTGTGCAGCACCCAGGCCGCTCCATGGCACGAGGCCCCAGAGATGGAATGTGGGCACATCTGCCTTCACTAGCTGCCTCCCTCTCTAGCCTCTGGAAGGGGCTGAGCTCTTTCCTGCCTCTGGGCCTAAGTGCAAGTGTCCCACCTCTACCTCTTGCAAGAAGCCTCCCAGGCTGTGTGAGGCCTGCAGGGCCGCTGTACACCGTTGCGCAGGTTGTTTACTGCTCACGTGTTCCTGGCTGAGGCAAAGCTGGGTAGGGGCTGAACTTTCATTCTCTTGCCAAGCCTTGTGTCATGGTAGGTGTGTATGGGGGTGGGGTGGGGGTTGGCCTGCACCCATGGGCAGCAAGGAGCACCCTCTTCTAATTTATGCAGAGGCACCCTACAGGCTACCAAGGACCCCAGCCACAGAAGAGCCGGCAGCACAATGGGCGCTCGCCCCTGATGCCTGTGGCAGCTCATTCTGTGTGTAGCCCCACTAGACTGTAAGCTCCCACCAGCAGGGACAGTGGCTCTTCCTGGCAGGGTGTGGGGGGATGGTATTGCCAGGTCAGCACCATAAAGGGCACAGAATGCTCCACCAAGAACACTGGTGCTGAGCGAGAGATTGAGGGGAGGGAAGGAGGATCTAGTGCAGGGCTCGGTAAGTGTTTGCTGAGTTAATATATGGTGTGTTGATGCCAAAGAGGGGGGTGAAAGGGAAGTGCCCAGGACAGAGGGCCTCTGGGAGAGGGAATGGGGCCCACTAGGAGGCCTGCCAGGGTGGAGGGGACTGTGAGCTGTGAACATCTGAGAAACAGGGTGGGCCGCCAAGGGAGAGGGTCCAGCCACAGGAACAGTGCAGGGTCGGCCACAGTGTTGGGGAGGTGCCAAAGCCCCCAATTCCCCTCAGCCATAGACTCTCAGGCAGCGTCAGGCCCTGGAGCCCCGCTGTGGCCTGCATGGCACTGCACCAGCCAGAATGTGATCACCCATCCTTGTCCCAGGGACCCTCAGTCTTGTGGGGACGCAGGAGTGATAGGCAGTGCTGTGGCCACAGGGTGCAGGATGGTCCTATGGAGTGCCGGGGGTCCCTGGCTGGCTGAAGGGCATCCTGCTCAGACTGGGGTGGCATCTGGGGAAACTTTTCCTGCGGCATGAGAGCCACACAAAGCCATGCCTGGGAGTTTCCCAGGTAAACTCGTGGTGGGGGTGGAGGGGCTGCTGCAGGCTCCGTGTGCCTGTCATTGACAATCTTCTGGACGGACAGGAGAGGTGACCAGATAGCAGAGGCTCTTGGGCTGTATCCTGAAGGCAATGGAGACTATAGGCAGGAATTTTTACCCCATTTAAAAAACTGAGCTATTGCCCGGGCGAGGTGGTTCACGCCTGTAATCCCAGCACTTTGGGAGGCCGAGGCAGGTGGATCACTTGAGCTCAGGAGTTCGAGACCAGCCTGGGCAACATGGCGAAACCCCGTCTCTACTAAAAAATTTTTTAAAATTAGCTGGGCGTGGTGGTGCATGCCTGTAGTCCCAGCTACTTGGGAGGCTGATGCGGCAGGATCAGTTGAGCTCGGGAGGCAGAGGTTGCAGTGAGCTGAGATCACACCACTGCACTCCAGCCTGAGTGACAGAGTGAGACCCTGTCTTAAAAAAAATAAATGGGCCGGGCGCAGTGGCTCAAGCCTATAATTCTAGCACTTTGGGAGGCCAAGACGGATGGATCTTGAGGTCAAGAGATGGAGACCATCCTGGCCAACATGGTGAAACCCTGTCTCTACTAAAAATACAAAAATTAGCTGGGCGTGGTGGCGTGTGCCTGTAGTTCCAGCTACTCAGGAGGCTGAGGCAGGAAAATCGCTTGAACCTGGGAGGCAGAGGTTGCAGTGAGCCAAGATCGTGCCACTGCACTCCAGGCTGGTGACAGAGCAAGACTCTGTCTCATAAATAAATAAAAACTGAGCTGTGTCTCAGTGTCCTGGGACTACCATAACAAAGTGCCACAAACTGGGTGGCTTAAAACAATATAAATGTATTCTCTCAAAGCCTTGGAGGCCAGAAGTCTGAAATCAAGTTACAGCCATTCTCCCTCCAAAGGCCTTCTGGGAGGATCCTTCAAGCTTCTGGTGGCCCAGGCAATGCCTGGGGTCCCTTGGCTCGTGGCTGTACCTCTCCATTCTCGGACTCCATTGTCACTTGGCTGTGTTCTCTCTGTGTCTGTCTGTGTTTCTCCCCATCTTTTTTTTTTTTTTTTTTTTTTGAGACAGAGTCTCGCTCTGTCCCCCAGGCTGGAGTGCAGTGGCACGATCTCAGCTCACTGCAAGCTCCGCCTCCTGGGTTCACGCCATTCTCCTGCCTTAGCCTTCTGAGTAGCTGGGACTACAGGCGCCCGCCACCACGCCCGGCTAATTTTTTTTGTATTTTTAGTAGAGACGGGGTTTCACCGTGTTAGCCACAATGGTCTCGATCTCCTGACCTCATGATCCACCCGTCTCAGCCTCCCAAAGTGCTGGGATTACAGGCGTGAGCCACTGCACCTGGCCATTTCTCCCTTTCTTATAAGGACATCAGTCGCTTTGGATTTAGGGCCCAGCTTACTCCAGTAGGACCTCATCTTAGCATTACATCTGCAACAAACCTATTTCCAAATAAGGTCACTTTCTGGGGCGCTATAGGACTACATCTTTTGGGGGGATGTGATGGGACCTGTAACAAACTGTAATTTACACGGAGTAAAAGTCACTCTCTTTAGTGTACGTTTCTGCACGTTTTGACAAACAGACAGCCATGCAACTGCCACTGCAGTCAAGACAGAAAATTCCATCACCCTCCAAAAGCCCCCTGGGCCCTTTTGTAGTCAGGACCTCTTCCTCCGCAGACCCCCGCGTTTCTGCTTCGTCCCTACGTTCTGCCGTTTCGAGAACGTCCTGTGAATGGAATCACAGTGTGTCACCATGTGCCTGGCTTTTTCTCAGCCACATGCATTTGAGGTCTGCCTGGGTTGTCGTGTGACTCGAGAGTCCATTCCTCTTTGTCGCTGAGAATATTTCGTTGTGTGGATCTACCAGTGTGTTTATCCCTTCCCCGCTCAGGCCTGTTTGGGTGGTTTCCAGTTTGGGGCGATGACAAATACAGGCACTAACAAACGTTTGCATGTAGATTGTTTCATAGTGGAGCCACGCGGGCAGGCTTGCATTTGGGCTGCTATGTGAAGAAGGATGTGGGGGCAGCTCAGGGAGGGGGGCGTGGAAGGGGGCTGCTGGGGGGTCCTGGCAAGGGCTGGTGCCTGGACTAAGGCCTCGGCATCAAGGAGGGGAAAGGTGGGCTCAGGGACAGGAGGGCTCACTGGAGTGTATTGAGGAGGCTGAGTGAATGGAGCCTGGCAGGAGATGGGTGTGCCCCGTGGGGGCGGGGAGGCCGCCTTTATTCCCTCCCACCGCCTCCCTCCTAGGGAGATGGCCATCGTGGCTGAGTGTAGCTGTCTGGACATGTGGACATTGAGTGGTAGAACAGTACGGTGTGGTGGTCAGGGCTGTGAGCCCTGGAGTAAACTGCTGGGGTTGACGTTCCACTCTCTGCCTCAGTTTCCTTATCTGTAAAATGACAGCCTCTAATTCAGAGTTGCTGTGTATTACATGAGTGGACGTATGTAAGGACCTAGAACAGAGTCAAGAACGTAGTAGGCGTTGTTTCCATGGTCTTCTGAAGGGCCCTGGTTCCACACCCCCTTGTCCACTCCACTCACAGTTTGCACTGCCTCTTGTGACCCCGTGGGGGTGTGGACGGCATGATCATCTGGGAAATGGGGGGCAGGTCCCCAGCGCCAGGTCTGCCCTTGCTTACTGTGAGACCTCTCCGATCATTGCTTCTTCCATTCATGCAGTGTGGAGATACAGGGCTGCACTGTGTCCCGGGTGGAGTGTGAGCAGTGTGTAGCACAGCAGCCCCGCACAGTAGGCACTTCGCAGCAGGCATGAAAATGTGCGGCTTCATGATGTGTGCATGACATGATGGGGAGAGGCCTCAGTGAGCGGTTCGCGGGACACACTCCAGTTCTGGGGCTGGCAGAGGCTCCCCATGCAGCTGCCACAAGTAGCCCCTTTTCCTCCAAAATTTGTCCTCTGCCTCTGATGGAAGCTGACAGAGGTGATGGCCCAGCAGCCTCTGAGCTACACGGCCCATGGTAAGCTGGTGCCTGGCCTGGGCTCCAAGGAGGGAGGTTTAGTGGGTCCTGGTTCAAATGCTACAGCAGCCCCCAGAATCCAGGCCGGCTGGTGGAGACCCCCCTGCTCTGAGATAGGGTTCATATCCAGGTTGGCTATGATTGATACCAGCCTAACAAAGGGATACTTACAGTCAATTCTCATTGTTCACAGATTCTGTGTTTGCAAATCAGCTTACTTGCTAAAATGCATTTGTAAGCCCCAGATCAACCTTTTTTTTTCTTTTTTTTTTTTTGAGATGGAGTCTCGCACTGTCACCTGGGCTGGAGTGCAGTGGTGTGATCTCGGCTCACTGCAACCTCCACCTCCCCATTTCACACGATTCTCCTGCCTCAGCCTCCCAAGTAGCTGGGATTACAGGCGCGTGCCACCACGCCCGGCTAATTTTTTGTATTTTTAGTAGAGACGGGGTTTCACTATGTTGGCCAGACTGGTCTTGAACTCCTGACCTCGTGATCCGCCCACCTCGGCCTCCCAAAGTGCTGGGATTACAGGCGTGAGCCACCGCACCCAGCCCAGATCAACACTTTTGAAGTCATTCAAGGACATAGGCAGAGTGATGAAATATTCCAGTTGTCCGGCGGGCACATTCCCAGCTGAGGTTGAACAGGGCGACACTCTGTTTCCCTTCAGCTCCTGTGCTGCAAACAAGTGTCCTTGTCGAGGTCGATTTTGTGTCATGTTTTCTCATTTTCATGCTTTTTTTGGTGGTTTCACTTTTTAGGATCCGAAGCGTAGTGTTCGAGGGCTGCCTCGTGTTCCTAAGTGCAAGAAGGCTGTGATGTGCCTTACAGAGAAAATATGTGTGTTAGATAAGCCTTATTCAGGCATGAGTTAGTTCTGTTGCTGTGAGTTCAGTGTCAATGAATCAAGATTATATATTTAATTCGGTGCCCTTCAACAGAGACACACATAAAACAAGGTTATGTATTGATTGGTTGATAAAAATGTTGTGACCAGACGCTTGCAGGAACCTATCTTTGTATTTCCCCTAGGAGCAATGATTCAGTATTCGCTCAGTGTTCATGGTGACTTTACAAAACAAAACCACAATGAATGATGAGAATCAACTATATCTTCCTCGTGTAGATAAATCTTCCCCTAACCTCTCCCCTGCACTGTGCACACTTCTACCATCAGCAGCTCATGCCTCTGGGTTAAGAAGTGCCCAGTCTTAGCTATGGTGTTTCCTGAAAATGCACAAATCCTTGGGATATGCACTATCCCTCCAGTCTTGGGGCCTTGGTCCCCTCTCACCTTCAGTGACATTGAAGTGTTCGAAAGGACAGTTTCCAAGAAAGGTAGTGGTCAATGCTAATATTTTATTTTCTGTGCTTCTAACAGAAAGACTCTTGTAGGGAGTAGTGTATCAATCAAGGCAAATAAAAAGCAGGGATTTTTCACTTTCACAGATTTGACACTACTAATTGCAGCGATTATGTCTGGAGCATTTACTCAGGGTCGAGTTTTTGTTGTTTTGTTTTGTTTATCAGTTAATAGTCATAGCCCCCTGAGGCTGAGACTGCATTGCCCAGTTTACAGGCGAGGAAACTGAGGCACAGCAAATCACTTGATCAAAGCTCTTAGCAATAGCAGAGCTGTGGCCACTTCTCGGTGGATTCAGCCACCTGAACCCAGGTTTCTCTGAGTCCAGAGCCTCTGCCCTAGCCCCTGAACTCCCTGCATCTCCGTGCTTTATCCCAAGGTTCTGGGGCCCTACTGCCTTTTCTACATCCACGTGTGCCTGGATCCTGGAAGGGATGCTGCTGGAACCTCTGCAACCTTCCAAGCCCCACTGAGGGGATGACCTCCCTATCTTCTCCCCAAGTTGGTTCTATGTGGACAACCCAGGTGAAGAACCTGGGAGGCACAGAAAGGTGCATCCAGCCCCACCCACCAATCTCTGTCTTGTCATCTGCTGGCAAAGTCCCACCCTACAGTCACTGTCTTCGGAGTCTTTGGGGGTCATTGTAACCTGGGTGGGATGGGTGTGCCTGTCATGCCTCAGGACTCCTCCTTACAGCATCTTACCTCCTCATTTTCTCCCTATTGTCCCCAAAGTAAATTCACCAGTGTCTTCGTCAGCTTGGGCTACTGTAACAAAATAGCACCGATGGGGTGGCTTACAAACAGTGGCTCTGGAGGCTGGGAAGTCCAAGATGAAGGCAGCAGCAGATTCTGTGTCTGGCGGGGTCCAGTCACTAGACACCAAACCCTGTCATAGATGGAATGTCTGTGTCCCCACAAAATGTATGTGTTGAAATCCAATCCTCTCAGGGCACACAAACATTCAGTCTATGACAGCCAGTGTCCTCAGCTTCCTCTAACCTCTCACTCTTGAAAACTCACCCACAGCGACTTCATGCCTTAGCACAAGGGACTTTGCATGCTTTAAAATCTGATGGGGGCAGGTGGACATAAATGTTAACAGGGAACAAAAACCTGGTGGTAGAATTTCTAGCTGGGGGTGCGGAATCCACTTGGCTTTGCAAGGGCACCTGGGCCTGGCAGGCGGCCCCTGTCAAGAAGCGTCAGGACTGTAGTCGGCCTGGGGTGGGCACATGATACGCTTATTCCCCAGCAGAGGAAATGTGGTCACAGCAACTGTTAGGTGGGTTGCAGGGTGACTCAGTGTCACCAGGGGGTGGGAGCAATGTGACGCTGTGTAGTTTCCTGCAATGGGCGTGTCAGGGCTGCTATCCTTGGCCTGCACCCTCACGACACTGGCAGTGCCCGTGGAAGGGCAGCTATGGAGAACCTGCAGTGCGTTCTGACCTCCTCCCTAGCGTAGAAACAGTGGTTCACTCTGCCAAAGCACAACTCTCGCCCCCCTAGTTATTTTAAACCCCTCCCCCCAGTAAGCCCATGAAGTAAGTGGAGGCAAGTCTCCCATCTCTTATCTTTTTTTTTTTTTTGAGACTGAGTCTCACTCTGTAGCCCAGGCTGGAGTGCAGTGGTGTGATCTCGGCTCGCTGCAACCTCCGCCTCCTGGGTTCAAGCGATTCTCCTGCCTCGGCCTCCTGAGTAGCTGGGACTACAGGCGCATGCCAGCATGCCAGGCTCATTTTTGTATTTTTAGTAGAGATGAGGTTTCACCATGTTGGCCGGGCTATTCTTGAACTCTTGACCTCAAGTGGTCCACCTGCTTTGGCCTCCCAAAGTGCTGGGATTACAGGCGTGACTCCCTTCTCTTATCTTACTGCTAGGAGAACCTAGGCTTAAAGAGGGAGGGAGACTTGCTTAAGGTCACACAGCAAGCTAACAGCAACAGGCTAGAATAGACCCCAGATAACTTTCCAGGATACAGGGTTTTCTGCACCACCCAGAGCTGCCCAGGATGAGTAATGTCCACAGCCACTCTTTATTGAGCCATTGTTAAGCTCTAGATGCCTTAGTCCTTCTGGTCCTCACAACTAATCCCATGGGGTCATCTCATTTTAGACACTGAAAGGCCAGCCTCAGAGTGGAAGGCAGGGCACCCAGGCTCCTTGTCTCCCCTTCTGGGGGAAGTTATTTACCATGGTGCAACTCCTCCCCTCTCCCTCTCCCTTCTCAGCCTCAGCAGGGGAGGGGGAGGCTGCCATCTCCTCCCTAACGTCCCCCACTCAACCCCAGATGATGAGGAACTGCTGAGTAAGCAGCAGGCAGGACAGAGGCGGGGGTCACGGGGCCACGGTGGAATGTATGGGCTGCCACAGGTTGCAGGTACTCTTAGAGGAAGGGTGGTCTCCTCAGAGCCGTCTGAGATTCCTGCCCTCTTGCTCATTTTCCCAGCCTGGTCCATCCCTGGGTAGGAGAAGGCAGCCAAAGGGAAGTGGGCATGGGAGTTGGGAGGCTCTTGAAAGCCGGGGAGCTTGGAGGGGACGAGACTCAGGAGGCTCATCTCAGGCAAAGACCTGGTCCAGGAAGTGGCCTTGACATGTACCAGCCTCCCGTGGAAGCTCCCAGGAGGAGGGGCCGGCAAACACTGCAACAGATGGCACAGGACTGGATTTGCTTTCCAGAAGAACTTTCCAAACAGGGTGGTGGCCAAAGGTACTAACAACACTCAACATGCATATAGTTTTCCTCTTTATTTCTTTTTTCCTTCTATTTGAAAACAAATCCCACAAATAACACACGAATTCACATATACACTGAAAAGATGTAAACTTTAGAAAAGTCTAGATCAGCATTGTCCAGTGTGATAGCCACTAGTCACATGTAGCTATTTTACAAGTTAAATTAATTAAAATGTGTCAGTAGCACAACCATTATGGAAAACAGTGTGCAGATTCCTTAAAGAACTAAAAGTAGAACTACCATTTGATCCAGCAGTTCCACTACTGAGTATCTACCCAGAGGAAGAGAAGTCATTATACAAAAAAGATACTTGCACACGCATGTTTATGGCAGCAAAATTCACAATTGCAAAAATATGGAACCAGCCCAAATGCCCATCAGTCAATAAGTAGATAAAGAAATTGTGGTCTCTCTCTATATATATGATGAAATACTACTCAGCAATAAAAAGGAGTGAATTAATGGCATTCGCAGCAACCTGGATGGAACTGGAGACCATTATTCTAAGTGAAGTAACTCAGGGATGGAAAACCAAACATCATATGTTCTCACTCCTAAGTGGGAACTAAGCTATGAGGATGCAAAGGCATAAGAATAATACAATGGACTCTGGGGACTTAGGGGAAAGGGTGGGAGGGGAGTGAGGAATAAAAGGCTACAAATTGGGTACAGCGTATACTGCTCAGGTGATGGGTGTACCAAAATCTCAGAAATCACCACTAAATAACTTACTCAGGTAACCAAATACCACTTGTTCCCCAAAAACTTACGGAAATAAAAATTTTGTTTTAAAATGTGGCAGTAGCCTCATTTCAAGTGTTTAATAACCACATATGGCTTGTGGTGACCATACTGGATGATACAGGTAAAGAGAATTTCCAGCAATGACAAAATTCTATTGGATAGCACTGGCTAGACCAGAAGCTAGGAAAACCCCACCAGCCAAAAATACTGTTTGGAATCAGTTTGGTTCTTTGGACTTCTTTTATATATATTTATATATGTGTGGCCATCCATAGAGATAGCCTTCTTGAGTTTATAAAACCCCTCCACAAAATGATTATATCTGATCTGCCCAGCATCTCAGCCCTATGGGTATGAGACTGATGTTCCCCATTAAAAAAAAATATCCTTTGAGTCATGTCATTTTTTTTTTTTTTTTTTTTTACAGATGGGGAAACTTAGGCTCATAGAAAGTAAATGGGGCTGGGCGTGGTGGCTCACGCCTATAATCCTAAAACTTTGGGAGGCTGAGGTGGGCGGATCACTTGAGGTCAGGAGTTCGAAACCAGCCTGGCCATCACGGTGAAACCCCGTCTCTACTAAAAATACAAAAATTAGCTGGGCATGGTGTCAGGCACCTGTAATCCCGGCTACTCAGGAGGCTGAGGCAGGAGAATCGCTTGAACCTGGGAGGCAGAGGTTGCAGTGTTGCAGTGAGCCAAGATCGTGCCACTGCACTCCAGCCTGGGTGACAGAGTGAGACTCCATCTCAAAAAAAAAAAACAAAAAGAAAGAAAGAAAGAAAGTATATGGACAAGTGTGGAGAGGTTGGAATGAGTTTGTTCCTTAGGGACAGAGGTCCTTCCCCTGAGTTTGTCCAGGGCAGCTGAGGGGCAGCCAGGCAGGGGGTCTCTGCTGGTCTTCTCAAATCCCTACACCTTCCACTATCTTGTATGTGAGAGGCTCTGACAAGCACATTGATCTGGGAAGATTCATGCCTGGGTGTCTATTCTCCCATTTTTATTGTTCCCCCTGAAGTGTTCACCTGTTACTTTTTTTATTGTCATTATAATACACATTTATTGTAAAATTTGGAGTGTACAGAAAAGTGCAAAGAAGGAGAAAGAAATCACTTCATCTCAGGATGAATTGCCACAGTTGTTTCAGTTTCCACTCACACCTGCAGAATAGGAGAGCTCCGGTTCTTCCTCATCCTCCCCAGGCCTTGGTAGTGTCAGCCTCCATCGTGACACCCATGGGGATGGGCTCTCACTGTTCAATTTACGATTCCCCGATCCTCACGCTGTTGAGAATCTTTTCACATGCTCACAGCCATGTGGAGATCCACAGTAAGAAGCGCCAGGTCAAGCTTCTTGCTTATTTCCCTATTCATTGTCTGGTCTTTTCCTTATCGGTGTGTACACTGTGCTTATGAGCCCTTTGTTGGGTGTGTGTGTAAAAATATCTTCTCCCACTCAGGGCTTGTGCTTTCATTCTTTTTTTTCTTTTCTTTCTTTCTTTTTTTTTTTTTTTTTGAGGCAGGTTCTCGCTCTGTCGCCCAGACTGGAGTGCAGTGGTGTGATCTTGGCTCACTGCAGCCTCCACCTCCCGGGCGAGCTTTCATTCTCCTAATGATGTCTTGATGAACAGGAAGTCTTTGTTTTACTGCATTCAATTTTATCAGTCCTTTCTTTTAAGATTGGCGGGTGTGGGTGTGTGCGTGCACGCACGTGCATACTGTTTAAGAAGTCTCTCGACCATCAGATTACGAAGACATTCTTTACTTTCTTCTAGAAGCTTTTTTGTTTTACCTTCCACCTTTTAAATTAGGACACAGTCTACCTGGAACAGACTTTTTTTTTTTTTTTTTTTTTTTTAGACAGAGTCTTGCTCTGTCGCCTAGGCTGGATTTCAGTGGCGTGACCTTGGCTCACTGCAACCTCCGTCTCCCGGGTTCAAGCGATTCTCCTGCCTCAGCCTCCTGAGTAGCTGGGATTATAGGCATGTGCCACCACGCCTGGCTACTTTTTTTTTTTTGTATTTTTTAGTAGAGACTGGGTTTCACCATGTTGGTCAGGCTGGAACTGATTTTTTAAGTTGTGAAGAAGGGACCAGGCTTCATTTTTCCCTCAGTTGGATACCCAGTTGTTCAACACCCTTTATTGACAAGACTGTCCTTTCCTCATGTGCTACTATTGCGGCTGTGCAGAAATCAGGTGACTGTAAATGTGCGGCTCTATTTCTGGACTTTTCTGTTCCACTGACCTGTGTGTCTGTCCCTGCAGTAATGTCACACCATCTTAATCACTTCGGCTTTATCATAAGCCTTGATATCCTGCAGAACAACTAATACCCCCTCTTCAAGTGCAGCCTGGATCTTCTCAGCCCCTTTCATCTCCCTCTGCCTTTTCACACAACACCTTTGGGATTCTAACTGGGATTGCACTGATGCTGTAGACCGTTTGTGTAGAATTGATAGCTTGACAGTATTGTCTTCCACGCCATGGACAAGATCTGTCCTTCTATCTCTCCATTCGCCTATTGTGTGTCTGTGATGTGTAATGTTTATATCATAAGCACTCATCAGTAGGAATTTGGCAGTGATTAGAAACATAGACTATTGACTCAAAAAACTGCCAGGGTTCAGCCGGGAGCAGTGACTCACATCTGTAATCCCAGCACTTTGGGAGGCCGAGTTGGGCAGATCACGAGGTCAGGAGATCGAGATCATCCTGGCCAACATGGTGAAACCCTGTCTCTACTAAAACTATAAAAATTAGCTAGGCATGGTGGTGGGCGCCTGTAGTCCCAGCTACTCAGGAGGCTGAAGCAGGAGAATCACTTGAACCCGGGAGGTGGAGGTTGCTGTGAGCTGAGATCGCGCCACTGCACTCCAGCCTGGTGACAGAGCAAGACTCCGTCTCAGAAAAAAAAAAAAAAAAAAAAGAAACTGCCGGGGTTCATATCCCAGCTCTGCCAGTTGCTAATTCTGTAGCCCTACTGACTATGTCTTGGTTTCTTCCTCTCTAAAATGGGAATGATAACCGAGTAACCTTATAGCATTCTTTTAAAGGATTAAATTGGTTCATGTATGTTAACCAGCAACAGCAATGCATGGCACACAGTAAATGGTAAACTCTGGAAACATAATTTATTTCCGAGTAGGTAATATGCTCATAGGATTTAAAAATATATATATATATAATGAAAAAGATGTACAGTGAAGAAGTTTTCCCACCTGGTCCCTTCATGTCCCTGTTTATACCCCTTCCTGACACTAGCTTCCTGCATCTTCTTCCAGAGTTTCTTTATGCAAATACAAATAATTATTCTTTTTCTTTCCAACAAGGGAGTACAGTATACATACTGGTTTATATGTATGTAAGTGGTTAATATCTCCTTAACCACTTAGTGACTGGGTTGTTTCATATGGTACTAATATTTCCTACATTGCTTTTGTCCTTCAGCCACCCACCCACCCTAGGAATCTTTCCATGTCAGTACACAGAAGGTATTCTCATGATTCTTCTTACAGTTGTATAGTATTCCATTCATTTCCCTGGTCCCTTATTGATGGACATTTAGGTTGTTTCCAGTCTTTTCTCCATTACAGACAATGCTCCCCTGAATCCAGTGAGCACTTTTGTCTGTGCGTCATTTTGCATACATGCAACTGTACGTATAAGTTCCCACGATTGCTGGGTCAAGGGGCCTATGTGTTTATGTGTTTGCAATTGTGATAGAAGTTACTGAATTGCCCTCCATGAAGGCTGTACTAACTTATGCTTCCACCAGCTATAAGTGAGTGCCTTAGGGACTTTTTTTTTTTTTTTTTTTTTTTTTTTGGAGACAGAGTCTTGCTCTGTCGCCCAGGCTGTAGTGCAGTGGCACAATCTTGGCTCACTGCAGCCTCTGCCCCCCCGCCACCAGGTTCCAGCGATTCTCCTGCCTCAGCCTCCTGGGTAGCTGGGATTACAGGTGCACGCCACCACGCCTGGCTAATTTTATTTATTTTATTTTATTTATTTTTTTTTTTTTGAGACGGAGTCTTGCTCTGTCACCCAGGCTGGAGCACAGTGGTGCGACCTTGGACCACTGCAGCCTCTGACTCCTGGGTTCAAGTGATTCCTCTGCCTCAGCCCCCCAAGTAGCTGGGACTACAGGCGCCCGCCTGGCTTTTTTGTATTTTTAGTAGAGACGGGGTTTCACCATGTTGGCCAGGATGGTCTCAATCTCTTGACCTTGTGATCCACCTGCCTCGGCCTCCCAAAGTGCTGGGATTACAGGCTTGAGCCACCACACCCGGCCACACCTGGCTAATTTTTGTATTTTTAGTAGAGACAGGGTTTTGCCAGTTTGGCCAGGCTGGTCTCAAACTCCTGACCTAGGTGATCTGCCTGCCTTGACCTCCCAAAGTGCTGGGATTACAGGCGTGAGCCACCATGCCTGGCCCTTAGGGACGATTTTTAATGGCTATATATTATTCCATTGTTTGTATGAGGCTGAACATCCCAAATTGCTTTCTTTATAGGTAAAAAATGGTTGGATGTTGCCAGTTTCATATGGTACTAATATTTCCTTAACCACTCCATTGTTGAACACTTTTTCTTGAACCCTTATTCTATGCCGGGCTTGGGCACACTGTGGTAGATGGGCCAGACACTGGAACACAAAGCTTGAGTTTGGGGGAGACCAGCATGTTACAGGCAGTATTGTTTGATTGTTTCTAGTTTTCCACAACTGCAAGTCACGTGGCAGTGAACATCTTTGTCTGTTAAGCTTCATTTGCATTTTAAAAGTATCTCTTTGAGATCTATTCTAGAAGGGAAATGGCCTACACTGTGCGGTCTTAGCCAGAACAAGAGTGCAGAGTTCTCTAAATACACCTGCACACAGCCCAGCTCAATGCCACATATGAATGCTCTTAAGGGAAACTTTATTTTTCAAAGTTTCAAGTTGTTTTAATTGTTTTCTGAGTAGGCGATATAGTCACACGGTTCAAATTCCAAAGGTACAAAAGGGTTCATATCCCAGCTCTGCCACTTGCTAATTCTGTAGCCCTAGTGACTATGTCTCGGTTTCTTCTTTTCTCCATTACAGACAATGCTCCCCTGTACAGGGGAGGACCCCCTTCCCACCCTGTCCCCCAGCCTCCCAGGCCCCCTCCCAGGGGTCTGTCCTTGCAGAGATGGCCTCAGCTCATCCCAATATATGTGACAGGTGTGCTCAGGGCCTGCCCGTTGCTCTTGGTGACCTGGGTCTTTTGTCCTTGCTGCCTCCAGCTTCAGTCCCTCCAGCTTGGCCCCTAAATCCTGTCTTCTCCAGTAACTATCTCCATGTTCAGTGAAGTTTCTGGGGATCTTGGGGTGGGGGGGATGTCAGCTGCTCTTTCATATGACTGTTGTAATTATTATTACGTTAAGCCCAGAGTGGGGTCTGGGCCCATACTAAGTGCTGAATAAATACTTACTGGGCGAATAAATACTTACTGGGTGAATAAATGGTGGATACTAACATCACTGAATGCTTGCTGGACTCTGGGCACTATCCTGAACTCTTCATAGCAAACTCATCAGGTAGTCATGCTTATCTTTCCCATTTTAAATATAGGCAAATTGAGGCAAAGAGAGCCTGAGTCACTTGTGAAGCCACGGACCTGGGATTCTAACCCAGGCTGCCTGGTTCTCAAGCCCATGCTTAAACCATGAGGCTGCATAGCTCTGGTTGATGACTGAAGGCCAAATTGCATGCAGTACCGGGGACAGGATTGGTACCGTCACCTGTAAGCTTGGGCCTGGTGGGAGTGGACAGACCTGCCCAGGACAGGTGGTGGGGTCAGCAGGACAGGCAGGCTGAGTCAGTTTAGTCCTGGATGACCCAGATAGGCAAAGTGGCTAGGACCTTTGAACCAGAGAAGATTCCAGAGGGAGGGAGGGTGGAGGAACTCAGTCCAGGTTCCTAGGATGCTGGGGGTGTACAGGGTTTGCAAGAGCAGAGCCCAAGGAGAAGGCAGAGCAGCTGGGACTAGAGGCCCAACAGAGCAAAGCCATGAGCCTTCAACCACAGTGGCTGAGCGGGGGCCTGGGGTGGGTCTGGCGTGGTGGGAGCCACCACCAGAAGGGCCTGCGGCTGAAGCTGGCTGCCTCTGCCGGCACCACCAGGCCTCCACACGTTGGGGTCAGTGTGGGCAGGTGGAGCCCAGTAGGGACAGCGGGGCACCTAGCTGGAGTCAGGAAGGCAAGACTGGTAGCTGGAGAGTGCTGGACGCACACTAAGTGACAGAAGGCCTGCAGCGCACACAGATGTGGAAAGTTTGAAGGCCTTTGACCTGCCAGACCCCTTGATGTGGGCTGTGACGTGTGAGCTGAGGCAGTCTGGCCTGCTGTCAGCGCTTCCGAGGTCCGGAAGACCTGCCTAAACTGACTTCCCCTGCTAGAGGCTGTGGGCAGGGGCCCATAGAGCCTGTCCCCTGTTCCTGGGACTGACCCACCGAGGGTCGGGGGTCTTAGGCTGCACTCTATTCCCCACCTCCTAATGGAAGGTCTTTTGGTTTCCCAAGGGAGGAGAAACCCAGGGAACTTTCTCACAAGATTTTCCAGACACTTCTTGGAGCCACAAGCATCTGTGAGAAACTGCCAGGGCCTTGTACAGTTATTTAGCCCCTGGAAATAGGCTGGAGGCATTTGTTGAGTGTTTGTGCTTTGTGCATGTGTGAGAGATCCTAGTTCTGAAACTGCTACTTCTCTTCCATCCCCACGGGACCTCCATGGTCAGCCTGGAACTGTGTTTTTGTTTCTGTATGCACCAAAGCCTGGGCCAGAGGTAGAACTAGGAAGCAGCTGTGGCTCAGCTTCACACACGTCTAGGAAGAAGGATCTGGCAGACACAAAGCCATGGAGAAGCCAGCCTGGCCGCCTGCCTTCTCCCAGGCTGTTCACTGGGGCAGGGCCAGCCTGGCTTGGAAGAGAAGCCTTCAGGTGGCAGCTAGCCAAGGGTCGGTTGAGTCACAGAATTGCAGAATTCATAATGCTGGAAGGAACCTTAGTCCTTGGTCCGATCCATGCTCAGGAAATACCTAGCACAGCTGCTGCTGCTCTCCCAGGCAGAGCCCCTGGCAGACATCACTAGCAGATTCCTGCATTCTTTCAGTCGAGCCTTCAACATAACAGTCTAGGCAGCTGCTGTCAGTCAACTGGGGTTCACATGGGAAGTTCAACCTACTTGCCATCCCAGATCTGATCCAACCTACTATTTGTATTAAGAGGCTGCTGAACCTGGAGAAGGAAAGTGAGTTGCCCAAAGTCACGTAGTAAACAACAGAACCAGACAGTGTCATTTCCTTTATATCATATCCATTCTTGTAATGGTTACAGCATTTGCCATGTTACTACCCATCTCATAAACCCTTGTTATCTCCATTCATCTCCACAATGTGATTCCACCCTCCAGATCCAAATTAATTTCCCAAAAGCATTGTGGAGCTACAGAAAAACTGGTTAGGTCATGTTAATACAAGTAGAGTATCTAGCTGTAGAGAGGTGATGGTCACACTTCTTTCTGTGCTGCTCAGGGCACACCTGGGTATTGTTTCCATTTGGGACTCCACATTTCAGAAGTGCAAAGAAAGAAGGATACTCATTATACTCGGATAAAAGCAGTATGATGAGGAGGCTCAGAACCACTCCATATTTTATGGTCAATTGATTTTTGACAAGGCTGCCAAAACAATTCAATGGAGAAAGAATCATCTTTCAACAAATGGTGCTGGAACAATGTGGGATATCCACATGCAAAAGAATAAAGTCAGACCCCTACCTCATGCCATACATAAAAACTAACTCAAAATAGGACAAAGACCTAAATGTAAGAACTGAAATGATGGGCAAATTTTCATGATCTAAGACTAGGTAATGGTTTCTTAGGTATGACACCAAAACCACAAGCAACAAAAGAAAACCTGGACAAATTGGACTTCTTAGATTATAACTTTTATGTTTCAAAGGACACCCTCAAGAAAGTAGAAGTGCAGTCCATAGAATGGGAGAAAATATTTGCAAATCATATATCTGATAAGGGGCTTATATCCAGAATATATTAAAAATTTACAACTCAGTAATAGAAGACCCAATTCAAAAATAGGTAAAGGATCTGAATAAACATTTCTCTGGGGAAGATATACAAATGGCCAATAATGGGTCAGGCGTGGTGGCCCATGCCTGTAATCCCAACATTTTGGAAAGCTGAGGCAGGAGGATTGCTTGAGTCGAGGAGTTTGAGACCAGCCTGGGCAACATAGACCCTGTCTGTACAAAAAATAAAAAATTAGCCAGGTGTGGTGGCACATGCCTGTGATCCCAGCTACTTGGGAGGCTAAGGTGGGAGGATCACTTGAGCCTGGGAGGTTGAGGCTGTAGTGAGCCATGATCACACCACTGCATTCCAGCCTAGTTGACAGAGCGAGACCCTGTCTCAAAAAAAAAAGGCCAAAAATGAACAGATGCTCAATATCAATAGCCACCGTAGAACTGCAAATCAAAACCGCAATGAGAAACTACTTCACAACCAATAGGGTGGCTGTAATAAAAAAGACAGACAATATAACAAGTGTTGGAAAGGTGCTGGAGAAATTAGAACCCTCATATGCTGCTGGTGGGAATGTAAAATGGTGTAGCCACTTTGGAACACAGTCTGGTAGCTCCTCAAAATACTAAACACAGAATTACCATATAATCCAGCAATTCCACACCTAGATATACACCCAAGAGAACTGAAAACATAGGTTCCATACAAAAACTTGCACATGAATATTAGCAGCATTATTTGTAATATCCCCAAATTGGAAACTACTCAAATGTTAGCTGATGAATGGACAAGTCAAATGTGGCATCTCCATACAATGGGATATTGCTTGGCAATAAAAAGAAGTGAAACATTGATATAGAAGTACTGATAAATTCCACTAGCTGCTACTACATGGATGAACCTTGAAAACATGATGCCAAGTGAAAGCCAGACACAAAGGACCACATAGTGTATGCCTCTGTTTGTAGGAAATGTCCAGAATAGGCAAATCTATAAAGACAGAAAGATGAGTGGTTGCCTCGGGCTAGAGGGAAGGGGGCAGGGCTGGGGAGGAGTGACTGCTCATGAGTAAGGGGTTTCTTTGTGGGGTGATGAATATGTACTAAAATTGATTGTGGTGGTGGTTGCACAGCTCTGTGACCATGTTAAAAACCACTGAATTGGATTATTTAAATGCTGTTAAAAAACGAACCACCCTATCTGGAAATTCTTGGAGACACCCAGCTCAGCGTCAACCGCAGTTGACAAACCTTCCCTCTGGGTTGCTGTGTGGAAGCCTGGGGCTGTTCCAGCCGGAAAACAGAAGACTCTAGGGCGGTAGATGCACAAGCCATGTTCACATAGTTTAGAGGCTTTATGGGGGGTGGGGGGAGTAGTCCTCATGGCCCTATAAAATGTAGAAAAAGCAACAAGAGGAAACACTTCAGGGGAACGGATTTCATCTCAATAGAAATTGAGAATTGCTTCTCGGAATGGGTTGCCTGGTGAGGTAGCTAGCTCATGTGATTAAAGGTCTTCAAACAGATACAACTGCTGCTTGCTAGGGATGGTAGAGAGGGAACTGAAGTGTTAGGGTTAGGCTCTCAAAAGCCTATTGTTAACTATCCAGAAATTTTGCTAGCCAGGTGCAAACCTTTAGAGAGCTTGACCTCAGCAATGGTGGGAGCATTTACACCCCACACCCTGGAAACTGGCAATTGCTACACATCAAGGCTTTTGCTTTTTTTTTTTTTTTTTTTTTTTTTTAAATCTTGGCTCACTGCAACCTCCGCTTCTGGGGTTCAAGAGATTTTTCTCCCTCAGCCTCTCAAGTAGCTGGGATTACAGGTGCCCGCCACCACACCCGGCTAATTTTTTAATTTTTAGTAGAGACGGGATTTCACTATGTTGGCCAGGCTGGAAGGCTTTTGCTCTTCATTTACTTATTCATTGTCCTAGACGGGTGTTTTATTGGCACATCTCTGATCCAAACCAGATACTCCAACAGGTATCTCTGCATGCTCACCTGCCTCCTAACAGTCTCAGATCCACCTCCCTGCCCTGTGGGAATTCCTTCTCCACTCTGTCCCATGTCTAATTCAGCCCTAGCTTCCTCCATGAACTGTTCGTGAAGCCTCCCCACCCCCCCATCTCATTTAGTAGTTACCATTTGCTAAAAGTCAGCTGTGGGCTGGGTTCTTTAGTTACACTGTCCCATTCAACCCTCATGCAGTCCTTGAGCTGAGTGGCAGAGTCTCCCTGCTTTACACAAGAGGACTCTGAGGCTCAAAGAGGTAGAGGAGCTCAGGAGGATCACAGGCCCTATCTAGCCTGAAGCCTGTACCTGTTCACCACACTATGGAATGAGGAGTGGGGAGTTCTCCCAGCCCCAAATGCCTGCAGGCCACACCGCACTCTTCCCGCCTACATCTACACCTGGAACCAGGAAATTCAGAGTTAGATGTCCTCTGGCATCAGCTGTTCTTTGTCTCCAATGACCTTCTCTGGCTTCTGCTCTGGTGGCTTGTGACAGCTGTGGGGGGGGGGGGGGGGTGGGGGCGGGGGTCCCAAAAAGTCCCCTGGGGCTGATTCTTTGGATGGCCAGTTGAATCTATTCCCGGGGCTAGACTCATCTTGATGACCTTCCAACATGGGACTCTCTGACTTCTGAACTGACTTTAAAATGCCAAGAAAAAACAGCTGGAGTGGTCATGGGGACAGGGCACTGGCAGAAGGAACAGGCCAGGGTGCCTGGGCTCTGCTCCACTCCACATTTCCTCGACTTGTGGCATGCTCTGGGACCCGGGGGTATGTGTGTTTATACATGAGAGCTTTTTTTTTTAAATTAAATATCAAGTTTAGAGAAGTCTAGAGAACAACATTGCAATGCCCTATGCACCCATAATTCAGCTTTGTTAATTCCTATCACTTTGCCATGTTTGCTTCAGATCTTTTTGTTTGGTTTAATAAATAAATCATTGCAGAACTGGTTGAAACCTCCTTCGCACCCCTCCCTGATCCTATTTTTCTCCTCAGTTCAAGGGCAGCCATCTTCCTGAGTTTGGTGTGTGCATGTATCCACAAACAGGTATAGAACTGTGGTGCGTGTTTTTTTATACTTTACATAAATGTTTTCATTCCTTCCGTAATTTGCTTATTTCACTCATTAGGGTTGATTTTTTTGTTTGTTTGATTGCTTTTTAAAACGTTTTCTTTTAACTTTCTGGTGTTTTTTTTTTTTTTTTTTTTTGAGACGGAGTCTTGCTCTGTCCCCCAGGCTGGAGTGCAGTGGCACAGTCTCCACTCACTGCAAGCTCCGCCTCCCGGGTTCATGCCATTCTCCTGCCTCAGCCTCCAAAGTAGGTGGGACTACAGGCACCTGCCACCACGCCTGGCTAATTTTTTTGTATTTTTAATAGAGACGGGGTTTCACCGTGTGAGCCAGGATGGTCTTGATCTCCTGACCTCGTGATCCACCTGCCTCGGCCTCCCAAAGTGCTGGGATTACAGGCAGGAGCCACCGCGCCCGGCCTAACTTTCTGTTTTGACGTGATTTCAGACTGGCAGAAGAGTTACAGGAATAGTACAGTGAATTCTTGTTGGTACACTCCTTTCGCCAGATTCATCAATTATTAACATTTTGTCACATTTGCTCGTTTGCACTCTTTCTTTCTCCCTCTCTATTTTTTTTCTTTTTTCTTTTTCTTTTTTTTTTTTTTTTGAGATGGGGTCTTACTCTGTCACTGAGGCTGGAGTGCAGTGGTGCGATCAGTGCTCACTGCAGCCTCAATCTCCCCGGGCTCAGGTGATCCTCCCACCTCAGCCTCCTGAGTAGCTGGGACTACAGGCATGCAGCACCACACCTAGCTTCTAATTTTTTCTAAATGATTTGAGAGTAAGTTGCAGACATTTTATCTCTTTACCCCACATACTTCAGTGGGTATTTCTCAAGGACAAGGATCAAAATCAGGAAATTAACATTCATGCAATAAACAGAATTTTGAGATTTAACCATCTGTGTAGCATTGATTCTGGCCCTTTTCTTTTCTTTTCTTTGTTTTTTTTTGAGACGTAGTCTTGCTTTGTCCCCCAGGCCGGAGTGCAGTGGCATGATCTCGGCTCACTGCAACCTCTGCTTCCCGGGTTTAAGCGATTCTCCTGCCTCAGCCTCCCTAGTAGCTGGGATTACAGGCACCCGCCACCACATCTGGTAATTTTTGTATTTTTAGTAGAGACAGGGTTTCACCGTGTTGGCCAGGCTGGTCTTGAACTCGTGACCTCAAATGATCCACCTACCTCGGCTTCCCAAAGGGCTGGGATTACAGGCTTGAGCCACTGTGCCTGGCCCCTGGCCCTTTTCTTTTATTGATAAATAATAGGTGTACATATTTTGGGGGTGCATGTGATCTTCTGACACATTCATGTAATGTATCAGAATCAAATCGGGGGATTGGGATATCCATCACCTTAAATATTTATCTTTTTGCTGGGAACATTCGAACTATTCTCTACTTGCTGTTTTGAAGTATATAATAGATTAATGTTTACTATAGCCACTCCACTGATTTACTGCATTTCCTGCCTTTTAACAGCTGTGTCATTGTCCAGGGTGGACTGAGTCACAGCTTTATTTATCCATTCGCCTGTGGCGCCATTGGCTTTCCCCATTTTCTCCATGTAGTAAATGCTGCAGCAGCAGTGGCCATCTGTAAACATGTAAACGCGGGTGTTCAGGGAATGGGGCTGCTGGAATCTGGGCTCCAGCATTTCTTCTCTTTTAAATTTTGATAGATTGTTATGATAGTGGGCGTAACTGTTTTCATTCTCTGGGGAGCTTTGCCCCCCGCCCCCAGCCTCAGACCATTCCTCCTGCTGTAACAAGTGAGAAGCAGTTGGGGTGAGTAGGGCCTGTTTGGGGGAATGAGATGTCCCTGGTGGACTAGGTTGGCCAGTGTCCCCAAAGCAACAGGTGTCCCTGGGAGAGATAGGGCATGACCACATGTGTGGTTGCTACATCCAGAAAAATGTGACCTACTAAAAGTGTTAACATGGGCCAGGTATTACCAGCTCCATTGTACAAATAAGAAACTGTTTATTTAAAATTATTTTTATTTTATTATTATTATTTTATTTTATTATTAATATAATTATTATTTTATTTTATTTTATTATAATAAAATAAATTATATTTTATTTTATATTATATTATATTATATTATAATTAAATAAATTATCTTTATTTTATTATTATTATAAAGTAAATTATCTTTATTTTATTATTATAAAATAAATTATCTTTATTTTATTATTATAAAATAAATTATCTTTATTTTATTATTATAAAATAAATTATCTTTATTTTATTATTATAAAATAAATTATCTTTATTTTATTATTATAAAATAAATTATCTTTATTTTATTATTATAAAATAAATTATCTTTATTTTATTATTATAAAATAAATTATCTTTATTATTATAAAATAAATTATCTTTATTTTATTATTATTTTATTTTATTATTTTATTATTATTGAGACAGGGTCTTGCTCTGTCACCCAGGCTGGAGTGCAGTGGTGTGAACACAGCTCACTGCAGCCTTAACCTCCTAGGCTCAAGCGATCCTCCTGCCTCAGCCTTCTGAGTAGCTGGGACCATAGGTGCACACCACTGTGCCCAGCTGATTCTTTTAATTTTTTGTAGAGATAGTGTCTCACCACGTTGCCCAAGCTGGTCTCAAACTCCTCAACTGTAGCAGTCCTCCCACCTTAGCCTCTCAAAGTGCTGAGATTGCAGGTGTGAATCACTGTGCCTGGCCTATTTAAGATGATTGTTTTCTTTTTTGAGACAGAGTCTCGCTGTGTCACCCAGGCTGGAGTGCAGTGGCACCATCTCAGCTCACTGCAACCTCTGCATCCCTGGTTCAAGCGTTTCTCCTGCCTCAGCCTTCCAAGTAGCTGGGATTACAGGCATGTGCAGCCATACCCAGCTAATTTTTTTATTTTTAGTAGAGATGGGGTTTCACCATGTTGGCCAGGCTGGTCTCAAACTCCTGACCTCAGGTGATCTGCCCGCCTTGGCCTACCAAAGTGCTGGGATTACAGGCATGAGTCACCGCACCTGGCCTATTTAAGATGATTTTAAATCATGTTAGCAATGCATAATTATTATAAAAATTTGAAACAAACCCCCTTAACGTCTCTGAAATAACTCTAATGACATCTTACATAGCCTTCTGGAAATTATTTCTATGTATATTTCTATGTCACTGTGTGTGTTTGTGTGTATTCCCAAGTGGAATAATGAACATTATTGAATACCCTTTCTTTGCCAGGATACGTAAACATGAAATTTTTTTTTTAAACTTTCAAGAGCTGGAAGAGTAGAGTGGTTAGAAGCGTAGACTCTGGAGCCAGATTGCCAGGGTTTGAATCCCAGTTCTGCCACTTATTGGCATGTGACCTTTGGTGAATTATTTAACCTCTCTGTGCCTCTGTGTCTTCACCTTTACATGAGACCACTAGGGGTAGGGTAGGTATATTCGGTTCCTAGGGCTGCAGTAGCAGGTTACCACTAACTTTGCAGCTTAAAGCAGCAGAAATTTATTTTCTTGTGGTTCTCAAGGCCAGAAATCCAAAACCAAGGTTTCAGCTGGGCAGGTTCCATCTGGAGGCTCTAAGGGAGGATCCGTCCCATGCCTCTCCCCGAGCTCCTGGTAGTGGCTGTCTACCTCTGGCACTCCTTGGCTTGGGGCATCATAACTCCATTCTCTACCTCTGCCTTCACACGGACCTCATCTGTGTCTCTCTGTGCCTTTCCTTCTTATAGGGACACCTCTCATTGGAGTTAGGGCCCACTCTAAACTTAGGATGATCTCATCTCAGTAGCCCTAAATTATATCTGCAAAGAAAAAGATCCTTTTTCCAAATAAGGTCACATGTACAAGTACTGGGGTTAGGATTTGCACATATCTTCTCGGGGGACACAATTCAACCTCTGAGGTTGAATCAGGCAGGTATGAGGATGACTGAATTAACAGGATTTGGGGGCCCACAGTGGGCACCGTATGGTGTGGACTATGAATACATGAAACAGGCAAGTTGCTGCCCTGGCTGGCATCACCAGGGCTCCCTCCCTCCCACGCCGGCCCCTGCACTCCCTCTGTGTACTCATGGTGCTTTGTCTGGAGGGACTGTGCCATCCTGTAACATTTATCACCAGAGCCACACTGGCTTCTACTGGCCCAAAAGCCCTCTAAGGCCAGGGACCAGGCCTCTCCATTCCTGTAGACCCCCTTTGTCTTGTTGAAGCTGGGAGGCCACGCTGCCTTGGGTCAGGTTGGTAGGTGGGGTAGTGACGGCCTTTTCCGGTTCTCCCTTTCCGTCACACACTCCCACCTCCCGCCCCCTGGCGTGTTCTGGCCAAGTCTATACAGGAAGGCCTCGGTTCCCACCGTGAGGCTGCATTGGAACTCTCTGAGCTGCTTCCTGGGGCTGACATAGGCAGCCCAAAGCCGGAACCCTGTGAAGCTGGGAAACTTCTGCGCCTTCCCCCTACCCCTAATAGGCAGCATCTAGCCAGGGCCACACACCCCAAGCTGCCATGCTCACCACTCTGTCCCCACATTTGGTCAGCTCCTTGGGCTAGCTATCCACGCTGGAGTGGAGCTTCCCTCTTCTACTCCCCAGGCTGAATAGGCCTGAATGTAGACAACAGGCACCATGCCCAGGAGCTGGGCACACTCAAGGCCAATTCCCGCCCTCCTTTAGGGAACTGGTGAGAAAATCCCCATAGAAGCTGAGAGGTTGAGTCCTGCAGCCCAGGGACTGGGTTTTCCTGAGTGTCTGCTGGCACTGCGTCTGGCAGGGCGTTCTGGGTGGGTGTCCGGCGGCAGCCATAGGATCAGAAGCCTGTGGGCCTGCTGCTCTGAGCTCATTGCTCTATTCCCCATGAGTGGGAGAACAACCCGTTGTGGAGCAATTTCTCTTTCTGGTGGAGCTGCTCCAAAGCTTCCAAGGCTCTAACAACACCTTTCATTATCCAAGGTCCCCGGTTCTGCCTTTGCAGGGTCCTTAGCGGAGTGGGAGTTCAGCTGGTGAGAGGGAGGGCGTGGGTGTCAGAGTGGCCGGCTCTGCCAACAGATGGCTGATCTGATGCTGGTTGGGCTTAGCGACGGTTCCTGGCAGTTGGAGCTGCTGTGGCCAGGCCAGTTGATAAGTGTCATCACAGCTGTAAAACAAAGCCTGCGTGTCACCCACTCTGGGCACTTCCATCTTTGCCATCTTGCCACAAGTCACTTCAATCAAATGTGCCTAGTCCCAAAATCAAGGTTTTAAAGTGAGAGAACTGTAGCAGGAAGAGGAAGAGAAGCGTTATAACTCGGGGGTTGGAGGGTTGGAAAAACTGTAACATTTACTGAATAGTGTGTCAGGCACTGTGCTAAGTAGTTGACAGCTCATGAAATTTTCCCAGTAACCCTCTTAAATAAAGACAATTACGTTGTTTTTACTTATTTTTATTTTTGTTTAGTTTTATTTATTTATTCATTCATTTTGAGACAGGGTCTTGTTCTGTTACCCAGGCTGGAATGCAATGAGGCGATCTCAGCTCACTGCAGCCTCCACCTCCAGGCTCAAGCAATCCTCCTACCTTAGCCTCCTGAGTATCTGGGACTACATGGGGCACACGCCATCATGCCTGGCTAATTTTTCGAAAGTTTTTTGTAGAGATGTGGTCTCACTATATTTCCCAGGCTGGTCTCAAACTCCTGGGCTCAAACAACCTTCCTGCCTTAGCCTTAATCCCAAAATGTTTGGATTACAGGCGTGAGCCACAGCGCCCAGCTTATTATGTTTTCACAGGTGATTAAACTGAAGCCCAGAGAGGTAAAGTATTAATAACTGGCCAGAGGTCATACAGCCTGCATCCAAACCCAAGACTTCTAATACAGCAGGCAGGCTTCATCTGAAGGGGCCTTAAGGGATGGGGAGAACTGTTATGCCAGTAGTTCACTATTAAAAATTTAAAAGATACAGAAGACTTGAAAGAACTTTGCAGTAAACACCCATACACCCACAAGTAACCCTCAATGTTTTTCTCTATCTGTTTTGTTACATATCTTTACATATCCATGAATGCACCTTACTTTTTAATGTATTTCATAGGAATTTGCAGACCACCCCCTGAATGTTATCATGACTAGAGTTAACTAGAGTTCAGTGTTTAGTTAGGATTATCTTTTATAGTTTTGGTATAAAATTTGCATGTGGTAAAAGTGAATGCACACATCTAAGTGTCCTGTTTGAACTTCATATAGATGGATTCATGCCATATGTACTTTTTTGCATTTGGCTTCCTTGACTCAGCATAATGCTTCTGAGATTCGTTCATGTGGTTGTGCGTGTGGTTAATTCCTTTTTATTGCTGACTACTGACCCGTTGTGTGGACATGCCACCGTTTGTTTATCCATTCTGCCGCTGATGGACACTGGAACCAGGTGGTATTGAGCTATTAGGAGGAGAGCTGCTTTGACATTCGTATGCAGGTCTTTCTGGACGTATACTGTCATTTCCCTCGGGTGTATACCTAGGAGTGGAATCGCTGGGCCATAGGGTAGGTATATGTTTAGGTTTATTAAAAAGTGCCATATCTTTGTCTAAAGTGCTCGTTCCAATGTTCGTTCTCCCCAAGAGTACACTAGCATTCTGATTACTTCCCATTCTCACCACTATGTGATGTTGTCAGTCATTTTAATTTTAGCCATTCTAGTGGTTGTGCCGTGGTATCGCATTGTGGTTTTAATTTGCATTTCCCTAATGACTAATGACTTTGAGCATTTTTTCACCTGCTTATTGTCCATTTGTATGTCTTCTTCTTTGAAGTATCTGTTCAAATCTCTTGCCCATTTTAAAAATTGATTTGCTTGGTCTCTGTTGGATATATGTTTTGCAGATATTTTTCCCCCAGCCTGATGGGCAGAAGTTTTAAATTGTGATGCAGTCTAACTTTATCTATTTTTTCTTTTATGATCATTGCTTTCTGTGTCTGGTCTAATGCTTTTGCCTGCCAGTTGGAAATAATCTTGGGAGGAAGAAATAGACCCTGAAGGAGGTGCAGGTGGACAGAGCAGCATGAGCGTGGGCTCCAGGTGGAGAAGTGCATGTTCTGTTGGGTGATGGAGTGGAGCCCTTTGTAGGGGGTGTCTGGGGTTGAGGGGCAGAGGCCCAGAAAGGGAATGCCTTAAACATGAAGGGACTGGACCGGATTCTTTAGGCAGTGGAATCCATTGCAAGTTTTAGAGCAGGAAGGGATGTGATCACAAGACAGTGAGATGTACAGTCCTCGTGATGTTGGAGCCTGGGGCAGAGTTTCCACTCAGTCAGTCACCCTGAGAGCAGCAGCCTCGTGCTTCAGGATGCAGGTGGGGCTGCCGGGCTGGGAAGCAGGTTTATCTCTGTGGATTCCTGCAGACCCTCCTGGGCCCTGAGACCACCCAGGTCCCCCCAGATCTTCATGGGCCCATTTATTCTTGCCAAGGAAGCCTGAGCACAGGGCTAGGCATGTAGCTAGCTGGAAGCCCAGCCCTGGGGAGTGCTTGTACATGTGGATTTAGGGCCAATGCTCCCTGTGGCTCCAGATGCTCATGGGGCCCTCCCCCTACCCCCTCTGCTCTCACCTCCTGCCACTCTCACCCTTCTCTCATTGTCCCTCCTTGCACTTGCTCCAGGAGCAGGAATTGCAGGCTTGGGAGTTTGCTCTTCCTTCTGCCTGGACATCTCTTCCCCAGATACCTGCAGCCAGGCACTTATTCCACAGTCACCTTTTCCGGGTGTCTTCCCTGGCCACCCAGTTTGGAACTGTCCCCCATCCCTGGGACCCTTTCCTCTTCCTCTTTGGCAGTATTACCATCTAACATCCTCTAGTCACCTATTTGCCTTGTTTATTGCCCGCCTCTTCCCCTAGAATGTAAATACCGTGAAGGTTTTGGGTTTTTTTTAACTGTTTTGTTCACTGCTCTAACCTGTGCCTGGAACAGCATTTGACATTGGCAGGTCCACAGAAACTAAGCACAGCCCGAGTGAATGAGAGGCCCACTCCCTCATTACTCCCAGAACCTCTCTGTTTGATCGCAGCTTTGGTTCTGCAGGTAAAAAAAAAAAAAAAAAAAAAATGGGGATGAGCCCAGGTCACACCTAGGGCCACCCAGCAAATGGAGAAGCTTCCTTCTCCCAGTCCCCATTGCACAGATGAGGAAACAGACCTTGAGGGGGAAAGGACTTGGCCAAGTGCTAAGCCATAGTTCGTGGCAAAGAAGAAATGAAGCTGATTGCCCTCAATCCCTGCTATTGAAAGTCCTAACTGGCCCGGGGGAGGCTGGGGCCCAAGCAGGGATGTTTAAGGATGATTATAGCGTCTTTTGGTGCCAGAACATATCTTTGTGTTTCCAAGTGGGGTTAGAGGAGCCTGCAGCCCAGGGGTTTCTTTTCTTTTCTGGGAAATTCAGACCTCCATCATTTTAACTTTTCCCAGACGAGATGCTGGGACCACACTCAGGGCCTGGGAAGTGGTTGCATCAGTATCAGCCAGGCCGCCCTGGCCTTGAGCTCCAAATGAGATTGTTCGGCCTCAATTCCACAGCCTGTGGACTTCCACAGAGCCATCCTACCCCGCCCCCACCAGCCCCAGGATTCCTGCCATTCCCCGGGACACTCATATTTTCCTGGTGACCTGGCTCCTTCTTCTAGGTAGGCTGAAGGCTGTGGACCGAAAGGGGAAATCCACAGGCAGCCGGGAGCACACACAACATTCGTGAGAGTCAGGGCCCCCCGGAGGATGTGGGAGGGAATTTTCTCCCCGGGTACAGACTTCACACTGACCTTGACACACCCCTCCTCATGACAGGCAGTCCCAGTCAGTTCTCTCGAAAACCACTGCTCAAAATTCACAACACTGCTGCCCCTGTTTAATACAGCGCTGCCTGACCCCTCCACCACCCTGAGAACCCCCAGGACCCCTACAGCCCTGCCTTCAGGGGTGGTTCCACTTTCCTGTGCCCTTTTACAGGGCTTACCCTGGCCTCGTCCCCTGCCTTCCCCAAGGGGCTCCTTACAGCACATGCCCTGGATGCTTCTGGAACCAATGCCAACCTTGATCCCTGGTACCCCTGGGCAACATCACAGAGACACAGGGCAAGATGGAAGGCACCATCCACAGCTTCATGGCTTTCTGGGTACCCTTGTCTGTGTGATTAAGGTTTTCACCCCTGCAGGTACCTTGAGAGACTTGGTGCCTTAGGTAGAATGCACACAGACCTTCTGGCCCACCCAACTCAGGATGCGAGGCTCCGAGATGTTGTTCCTCCTTTTCTGGAATCAAAACCAGCCTGTGTGTGTTGGGATGGGGAAGGCAAACATGAGGGTCTTGGGGAGGGTCTGGGATCCCTTAAACCGGACAGAACTGTGAACAGTAGGCAGTGCTCATTTCCCAGCGAAGCCCTCAGTTTGACTTTGCTGTTTCTTGGGTCTGTGATCCTCCTTCCCCCACCGTGCTGTGTTGACTCATCCTCATTCTGGGGGCTCAGGCACTGTTGACTGGGAAGGGGTAAGAAGGAACTTTCTAGAACTGTCCTATATCAGCACCATCCAATGGAAATCTAATGCAAGCCACATATGTCATTTTATATATTCTGGCAGCCATATTAAAACAGGCAAAGTAATTTTAATAATATTTTATTTAACCTGACACATTTAAAATATTATCTTGCTGGGCACGATGGTTCACACCTGTAATCCCAGTACTTCGGGAGGCCGAGGTGGGTGGGTCACTTGAGGTCAGGAGTTTGAGACCAGTCTGGCTAACATGGTGAAACCCTGTCTCTACTAAAAAAATACAAAAATTAGCCGGGCATGGTGGTGCACGCCTGTAATCCCAGCTACTCGGGAGGCTGAAGCAGGAGAATTGCTTGAACCCAGGAGGCGGAGGCTGCAGTAAGCTGAGATCACGCCACTGCATTCCAGCCTGGGCGACAGAGCAAGAATCTGTCTCAAAAAAAAATTATACTAACTTGTAAACAATAAAAATATTAATAAGCTATTTTATATTCTTTTTATCACAGTAAGTTTGAAATCCTGTGTATATTTTGTGCTTACAGCACTTGTCAGTTCAGACAAGCCACTTCTGGCTAGTGGCTACGGCAGCACAGATCTCTCTATCTTGATTTGGGTGGTAGTTACACAGGTGTAGACATATGTAAAAATGTGGCTAGCTGTACACTCAAGATGTGTGCATTTCACTGTGTGTGTTACTCTTTAAAAGTTTTTAAAAAGCCTCTTCAAGGCTCTGCTCAAATGCCACTCGTTTTCCTGAACCCATCCCGGGTTGCAGTGAGCTGCTTCTGTTGAACTGTGCTTCTGTTACATTTATACTTGTACCATAGCTGTGTCTCGCCATTTCCTCACAGACTCAAGTCTTGGGTCTCACAGACCCAAGAAACAGTGAGATCAAACTGAGGGCTCCACTGGGAAATGGGCACTGCCTACTGTTGACAGTTCTGTCCGGTTTAAGAGATCCCAGACCCTCCCCAAGACCCTCACATTTGCCTACCCCATCCCAACACACACAGGCTGGTTTTGATTCCAGAAAAGGAGGAACAACATCTCGGAGCCTCACATCCTGGGTCGGGTGGGCTGACGTGTGTTTCCTACAAGCACCCTAAGATGAAGACCATGGTTTGTTGATTTTTTTTTAATTCCCCAAAGGGCCACTGACTACCTCATGCTGAATAAGTAAGCGTGGCTGAATGGAATCCCCAGGTGTTATAAACCTTCTCTGGGCTGGCTGCAGGATAGCTGATCATTGAATTCTGTTTTTCAGTCCGGTTCCAGTTGTTGGCAAAGGAGAGGAAGAGGAAGAGGAAGATGGCATGCGGCTTTGTCTGCCAGCCAACCCGAAAAACTGCCTTCCTCACCGCCGGGGCATCAGCATCCTGGAGAAGCTCATCAAAACATGCCCGGTGTGGCTGCAGCTGAGTCTGGGCCAGGCAGAGGTGGCCAGGATCCTGCACCGGGTGGTGGCTGGGGTGAGTGGGGGCGTCTCCCACTTGGTAGGCACACACACCTGTGAGGAACTCAGGCGTGCTCCACACCTGCCCTGGCTCCCACAGGGAAGCAGCTACCATGCAGATGACTGCATGTTTATTTCCCTTTCCTACATTTGTCAGCTTTTGACCACAATTTTCTCCCAGAACACAGGCATGGGGGGCTGGTGAGAGGCCTGGTTTCTTCTTTGGGGAGCAGGTGTTTGTGACTGGAGAGCAGGTAGTGGGTGGCTTGCAGGCTCTCAGGGCATTTGGGCACCTGAGAGGCAGGACTGATGCAGTCAGGAGGACCATGCTGGCCTGCTCTGACTTTGGGGGCTCAGCCAGGCATCCAGGGTCCAGAGAGTGTCAATCAGAGCCAGGGTAAAAAAAAAATGGCTTTATGCTCCCTGTTTTACATATGCAAATAAGGGGCTGTGTGATGGAGTCAAAAGATGTTTTGGAGGTCAGGCTCTGTGAGCTGGGCACACGGCTTAAATTTTCTAAGCCTCACTTTTGTTGCTTTGAAATAGGGGCATTCACACCACCCCCGAGGCTCTTATTCCTATTGCATGGGAAGATAGATGATGGATGGATGAATGGACAGATGGATGGACAGACAGACAGATGGATAGATAGATGGATGGACGTATGGACATACAGACAGACAACAGATAAGTGGGTGATAGATGATGAAATATGAGTCAGAGCTCATCATATGTTCCTTTCACCTCCCACACACATTTTCTCCTATACGCTGCTTCCTTTTAAAAACAACTTGAATTTGTTTAATTACCAAAGTGATACACATATGTGTTCATTATTTAACAGAAACCCAAGCTGGACAGACATGTAAAAAGTAAAGATCTTTTCCACCTACTGTAACCAAACTCACTCCCCAGAAGTGTTTTCTTTTTTTAATTGAGATGAAATTCACATAATATAAAATTAGCCATTTAAAAGTATACAGTTCAGTGGCATTTAGTACAGACACAATGTGGTACAACCACCACCTCTATCTATCTAGTTCCAAAACATCTCATCATTCAAAACAAAGCCCTACACTCCCTCCCCCTTCTCCCCTCCTGCAGCCCCGTAACCACCAATCTGCCTCCGAAGTCACGTTGCATGCGGTACGTCTGTCTGCACATTTTCCATGCATATTCATGCATATTCACGTAGCGGCAAGCATTCCCTGAGTACTTGCTTTGCTCCAGGCAGTCTTGCAAGTTCTTCATGTGAATCTGCCCATTTAACCTCACAGCAGCCCTAGGAGGTAGGTGTTGCCACCTTGCCCATTGTATAGATGAGGCAACTGCGATGCAAAGGCATTGAGTGCCCTCCCCCAGGGGACACAGTGAGTAAATAGCAGAGTGGGAATCTGGACCCAGGCAGTCTGGGTGCCCTGTGCTATGTTGAGCACACACGTTTTATTTGGCTTAGCTGGACTTTTGTCCCCCAGCCACCGTGCACTTTTGATGGTCTCTCCCCTGCTGTGGTTGCAGCGCTTGTCTGCCTCCCAGGAAGAGTCCAGACGTATAAGTACAGGGCTCAGATGGCGAATGGACTCGTTCACCTCGGACGAGGTAAAATGCATCAAGTCGCCAGTTGTACCTGAAAATCGGAATTACTAGAACTTATGGGGCCTTCTGCAAAGTCCTGACCTCCTCTTGCTACAGAGGCCCCTGTCACAGGGAGTGGGCACTGTGGTGGCCTGGAAGCACAGCAGTGTCCTGCCAAGACCAGGGGGACCGCTGGCCTGGCAAGGCCTGGGTAGAAAATAAAACCAGGGTCTCCTGCCAGTGGGTGTTCAGCCAGCACCCTCTGTGGTCCCCAGTTCCCCTGGTAGGTTCTCAGGAATGAGCTTCCCACCCTTGCTGGGAGGATGCAGCTCGAAACCAGCCCAAGGGGAAAATTTTTGATGCCAGGGGATGGCCATGTTCTGGATTTTTCTTGGTCATCAAGAAGGACATGTGCAGGGCAGGTGTGTGGATGGGAATTACCAGACAGTGGGGGATGGTCCCAGGAGAAGGTGCTGGCTCTCCAGAGCAAGCTGGATGGGACATAGTCATGACTGCTCTGTCAAAAGATTCAGTTCTCTCTTCAGAAAATTAGCCTGGGCGCGGTGGCTCATGCCTATAATCCCAGCACTTTGGGAGGCCACGGCAGGGGGATTCCTTGAGCCCAGGAGTTCAAGACCAGCCTGGGCAACATGGCGAGACCCCGTCTCTACAAAAAATACAAAAATTAGCCAGGCACGGAAGTGTGCACTTGTAATCCCAGCTATTCGGGAGGCTGAGGTGGGAGAATTACTTGAACCGGGGAGGTGGAAGTTGCAGTGTGCCTAGATCACGCCACTGTACTCCAGCCCAGGTGATGGAGTGAGACTCTGTCCAAAAAAAATGATTAAAAAGTTTAAAATAAGCACAACTAAAAATAACTGTAGTGGTTCCTTTTGGAGAATGCTTAGTAATTCCAGGCTCTGTGCTTTGCAGATATCATCTTGCAATCATCCTGTGAGGTCAACTCTGCCATTATACCCATTTCACAGATAATGAAACCGAGGCTAAGAGGAGTGCTTTAGTTTGGGTTTCCCCAGAAGCAGACCCTGAGACAAGGATTTGAGTGCAAGTGGATTATTTGGGTAGTAACCCCAGGAAGCACCAGTAGGGGAACCAAGCCAGGGGAAGGGACTGATGCCAATAAAAGGTACATTGTCATGAGAGTTACTCTTGGGGGCAGCTGGAGCTGAATCCTCCTGGGGAACTCTGGGAGCCAGCGTGGAACACACATCTCGTGGTTATCCCACCGGAAGGGTGAGGGAGCTGTGTATTATTCACCAACTCCTGATAGTCGTGGGTCAAAGGCTGTGGGGTGTGAGGAGGATGCATCTTCCAGCACCTTCTCTCTTCCTTTTGTTTTTTCTTTTCTTTTCTTTTTTTTTTTTTTTTGGTGAGACAGAGTCTTGCAGTGGCGCAATCTCAGCTCACTGCAACCTCCACCTCCTGGGTTCAAGCGATTCTCCTGCCTCAGCCTCCCAAGTAGCTGGGACTACAGGCGTGTGCCACCACGCCTGGCTAATTTTTGTATTTTTAGCAGAGACAGGGTTTCACCATGTTGGCCAGGCTGGTCTCAGACTCCTGACCTCAGGTGATCCTCCCACCTCGGCCTTCCAAAGTGCTGGCATTACAGGTGTGAGCCACCGTGCCCGGCCCCCTTCTCTCTTCCTTGACTGTAAGATCTGACTCTTGCCAGAAACAGTCCTTGGGTGAAGAGATGCAGAGATGGCTAGTGGAAGGAGGGCTGGAGTCCACTAAAAAGATAAGTCTCCACAGGGATGGGTGGGACACCAGCCACACCTACCACTAGAGTGGGCTAACTTTCCCAAAGATCACACAGCTAGTGAGGTACAGGGCTGAGGTTTGAACCCAGGCCTGGCTAGGCTCAAGCCCATCCCTCCAGAAGTGAGTAGCAGGAGAGACATAAAAGTAATTTTCTGAGATCAACCAGTGCTGGATGGGTTTGGATATGAGCCATGTTTATAAAGATGGGTGAGATACAATCTTACCACTGTCCTCTCCGAGGGTCTGGTGGGGACTCCATGCACCAATATGAACCGTAAAGGCACCAGGTGGGGTTAGCTAAGTGCTCTGTGAAAGGCAGGGCAGCGAGTTACCTGGAGCAGGAAGAGAGCACATCCAGGTGGGGTGATCTGGGCAGACTTCCTGGAGGAGGCAGACACCAAGCTGGGCCATGAAGAATGGATGGGCAGGTTGGGATGGGGGAGCTGACAGAGTCTGCTGGAGAGTAGCAGGTGACATAACAGCAAGGGCCAAGGCCCAGAGGTGGATGTGAGCCTTGCTGGGGCCCTTGGGGATGAAAGAGAGTGGAGGGAATAGAGCCTACCGGAACCCTGGAGAGCAGGACCATGTTGCATTCATCTACCAGTGACACCATTGACTGATTCGGGTCTGGGAGCACAGAGTGAGCCTGGCTCTGATTGTTCACTGGGACAAATGAATGAGGACAGCAGGTGTGCAGGTCTGCTTCTTCCAAACTGACAAAGCCAGGCTAGGTTGCTCGGGGCCTGTGGCAAGAGGCAAAGGCCACGGGGCTTAGTTCATTTTCAAGGTGAGCACAAGTTAAAGCAAGGCCTTAGGCCTTAATCCCAGCTTCAGTGGTGCGAGAAGGCTGGACACTCCTTCAGCCCCAGCAGGGGAGGCACCCAGGCTGCCGAGGCCCAGAGAACTCTGCTACAATCCAGGTGCTGAGTATAGAAGATGTTGAGACCACAGGTGACTGCATTAAAGGAGTCAACCATTCCCTTCCCACTGCCACCCACTCACCACCCCCTTCTGAGGGCGTAGCAGCTGGGCCAGCCCTGAGAACAACAGAGTGGAGGAGCTGTGTCATCTGTTGCCTTCCCTGCTCTCTGCCTTTACGCCCCACTCCTCCCCGTGCACCTCTATATTTTCAAGCATAAGGAAGGGCCTGAGTGCATGTGCTGTTACGAAGATTGGCAGCTTTTACCCAGAGTTGCTATATGCATGATCTTACTTGATCCTCAGCGATTTCTGTCAGGTAGGCATTAGTGTGTTCCCATTTTCAGATGAGGAAACAGAGGCACAGAGAAGTCAACTCACTTGCCTGAAGTCACACAGCTGGTGAAAGCAGAGTCTGTGTGGTGTGATCTTCAGCTGGCAAGGCGCTTTGCTTCACAACAGCGGTCCCACAGAGCTGGCATCCAGGCGATGATGTCATTGTTTCTAAAGATACAGACACCGGGCCGGATGCGGTGGCTCATGTCTATAATCCCAGCCCTTTGGGAGGCCAAGGCGGGTGGATCACCTGAGGTCAGGAGTTCAAGACCAGCCTGGTCAACATGATGAAACCACGTCTCTACTAAAAATACAAAAAATTAGCCAGGCTTGGTGGTGGGCGCCTGTAATCCCAGCTACTCAGGAGGCTGAGGCAGGAGAATCACTTGAACCTGGGAAGGCAGAGGTTGCAGTGAGCCGAGATCGCACCACTGCACTCCAGCCTGGGCAACAAGAGCGAAACTCTGTCTAAAAAAAAAAAAAAAAAAAAAAAAATATATATATATCTGCCATATATATGCCATAAATATATATATATCTGCCATATATATGCCATATTTATATATATTTATATATATTTATATTTATATATATTTTTATATATATATTTATATATATATATACCGACACCATGGGTGGTCCCCAGGCTGTGGGAACTCAAAAGGTCTTCAGAGACCACCTGGGTCTACCCCTGCTGGCACCGATGAAAGACAGTGCTTCATTGTGTCTAGCGCTGGTGCTCAGGCTAGGGATTCAGGCCCTTTGTTCCAAATATCTGTATGACCTTGACCACATCTCACCCCTTCCCCACTATCCACCTCCCTCCCTGCAGCCTGCTTCTCTGATAAGGTTTTGGGAACATATTGGCCCATTTGTTCATTTGTGTGTATCCAGAAGCAAGGCAACCAAATAGCCACCTTTATTTATTCTGCATTCAGGCTGATTTTTTTTTTTATTTTAGAATAGTTTTAGATTTACAGAAAAGTTTCAAAGACGGTACAGGGAGTTCCCATATACTCCACACCAGTTTCCCCCATTGTTAACATCTAGCATTAGTGTGGTACATTCGCCACAATTAAGAAACTGATCTTGATACATTAGTATTAACTAAAGCCCGTACTTTATTCAGATTTCCTGAGTTTTGTTTGGTTTTGAGACAGGTCTTGCTCTGTCACCCAATCTGGAGTGCAGTGGCGCGATCATGGCTCACTGCAGCCTACCTCCTAGGCTCAAGTGATTCTCCTGCCTCAGCTTCCTGAGTAGCTGGGATTACAGGCACACACTACCATGCCCAGCTAATTAATTTTTTACTTTTTGTAGAGACGAGGTCTCCCTATGTTGCCCAGGCTGGTCTTGAGCTCCTGGGCTCAAGCAATCCTCCCACCTCGGCCTCCCATACCACTGGGATTACAGGCGTGAGCCACCATGCCTGGTCAGCTTTTACCTAGCGTCTTTTCTCTGCTCCGGGATCCCATCCCATGTTACATTTAGTCATCTTGTCTCCTTAGGCTTTTCTTGGCTGTGACATTTGCTCAGACTTCCTTTGTTTTTGATGACCTTGGCAGTTTTGAGGAACAGTGATCAGGTATTTTGTAGAATGTTCCTCCACTAGGACTTGTCTGATGGTTAGACTGGGGTTAGGGGTTTGGGGAGGAAGACCACACTGGTAAAATAATCTAATCACATCATATGAAGGCAACAGACTCTCGGAATGACTTAACCACTGGTGATGTTGACCTTGATCAATTGCTGGGGTTGTGTTCTTAGGGTTTCTGTACTTCAAAGTCACTCTTTCCCCCACTGCCTCTCTAGACTGTACTTTTTGGAAGGCAGTCGGTGTGCTCAGCCCACCTTTAAGGAATGGGGAATTATGCTCCACCTCCTTGATTTGGTATCTAATAAATTATTTGGAATTTGTCTGTACAAGAGATTTGCCTCTTCTCTCCCATCTATTTGTTAAGCCATTTACTTATATCATTGTGGAATCAGGGGCACTTTTATACTTTGGACTATAATCCAATACTACTTTAATTATTTTGTTGCTCAAAGTTTTCCAACTTTGGCCCCTCGAGTCCTTCAGTTGGCTCCTGTATGCCTTTGACACACTGCCCTCACTGTGCATGTGGGTGTGTGTTTTGTTTTTTGGAACATGTCGTTATTTCCTGGCAATATAAGATACTCCATGCTCATCTTATATATTTTCTGCCCCAGTCCTAGAATCAGCCATTTCTCCAAGAAGCCGTCGTTCCTTTTATAGGGAATGATATTAGAAACCAAGATCTGGGGACCACAGGTGTTTGTTGCTACTGGAGTGTCAGTTGCTTCTAGGCCAAGGTGGTTTTTAATAAAAGAAACCTCTTTTAAGGTTGCTTTTGGTGATGAAGGAGGTGAAAGGTTGGGTCAAAAGTTGTAGTAACCTGAGTTGTGATATAGACCAGCCATCTAGATGGTTCAAGGCACCCTCCCTAGGTGTGAGCCCAAGGAGTACCGATTCTGTTGAGTATTAGTTTGGTAAAAACCTTCAGTGGGCCAGGTGCAGTGACTCCTGCCTGGAATCCCAGCACTTTGGGAGGCCGAGGTGGGTGGATCACCTGAGGTCAGGAGTTCAAGACTAGCCTGGCCAACATGGTAAAACCTCATATCTGCTAAAAATAGAAAAAAATAGCCAGGAGTAGTGGCAGGCGCCTGTAATCCCAGCTACTTGGGAGGCTGAGGCAGGAGAATCGCTTGAACCCGGGAGGCAGAAGTTGCAGTGAGAAAAGATCGCACCACTGCACTCCAGCCTGGGCAACAAGAGCAAAACTCTGTCTCAAAACAAACAAACAAACAAACAACAAACTTCAGTGAAGCCCCTCTGTTGTGAGACCAGGGAAAAAGGCACAATCATCAATTATTGCAGGATTACTTTGGACTAAGCACCATCTCTCATTTTTCCAACAACCCTGCAAAACAGGGGTGTGATCTCTATTCTATAAGGGAGGAAACTCAGCTCTGAGACGGTAAGAAACCAGCCTGAGTCATATGGCTACCAAGTTGTGGAACTTGATTTAAACCCACAACTGACTGTCTCCAAAAGCTTTAAAAAAAACAGTGTCTTGGCCTCACCCTCAGAAGTGCTTCTCTTTTTCTTTTGGAGTGGGCCTCAGCCATCAGCATGTTTTAAAAGCTTCCTGGGTAATTCTGCTATGTAGCCAGAGTTGAGAATTGCTGCTCTGTGCTATGCTAATGGGAAAGGTGGGCCTCAGTTTCCCCATATGTAAAATAAAGATATTGGGCAATATGTCCCTTTATTCCATTTCCAGTCCTCAGTGGTTCTGAGGATTTGTGGCTTGACTTTCTTACATCTCTGTACACACACAAACACACACACACATACCCCTAAGCTCTGTCAGAGTCAGGACTGAGGATATGAGGACCTTTGTCCAGGATGGGCCCCAGCCACTGGACTGTCAACCTCTGCAGGCACAACCCCTGTGGACATAGCCTCTCAGAAGAGCCAGACACTTCTATTTCTGCCCTAATGGGCATGATTGGAAATTTTCCCCAAGCAGCTGGAAAATAATCCTAAAATAACAGAAGTGGAAAAGCAGATAGCTCTGAATTGTCCAGGCCAAAAATGAATAGTAAAAACAAAACCCCTTATGGTGCATTTAGCTTTGGATAAAAATCCAAATGTATTTATTTGGAGAGGAAGAGGGGAGCGTGGTGGCTGCATAATTCTCTCCCTAAGCATATTCTGTCCCAGCTGTTAGTGAAATAAGTTGGTCTTTCCAAAACTCACCTTGGCTGAAGATAGACAGGAAGAGGGTCTGCAGACTGGCGGTACCATTTCCTGGATTGCGTTAATTTACCATGAAACTCACCCTCTTGCAAGCCTCTTAGGGACTGGGAAAGACCCCCAGGGCACTGATGCTACAAGAGTATCTTCTAGAAGAAAGGAGTCTTGGAATTGTTCAGCCTACCTCCCTTGCTATAGACTGGAAAAAGCCAGCTCAGAAAGGGGAAGTGACTTGCTTAAGGACACAGAGCAAACCAATGTCAGAACTAGGAAGGACACAAGTGTCTGACCCTCAGCCCGTTGCTCTTACCATTGCCCGCTGTTTTTTTGGTGGGGGCTTGCATGGGGGAATCCTAAATCATCAAAGAAAATCGAACTCTCACAGTGGCAAGAGCCCAGCAGTTTGTACAATTGATGGAAGAGGATTTTTCTGCTTTCTGAGGGTCCCTAATGCAATGCAGTGAGGGATGAAAAATGGAGGAAACGCGCACACACACGCGCGCGCGCAGGAACAGCTGACTCAGCAAGGCCCCAGACCAGGCTTGTTCCCAGAGAGGAGAGAGGTTGAGTAAGGACACTGGGCCTAGGAAGCTTTGTTAGTGGCTAATCAGGGAAGGCTTTCAGGAGCAGTGGCAGATGGAGGGCCCTACCGTGGGCATGAATGTGAACTGTTCTGTTTGTAGGAAACCCAGGCAGCCCCCTGTGAGTGTCCTGGAGGTGGACAAAGGTGGCCCCGGCACTGGCACTTGTCTCCCTGTGTTCCCTCACTGCTCCACCTGGCTCATCTGCTCTGCCTGGCTTATCTTCCCATCGAGGTTGAGCTCTGAAGTCTGGAGCTGCCCATCAGGATGCCTTTCCCTGTCCAGGGTGCCCCATGTCCTGCCCTATTGCCCTTTTGATTCATGGAGCCATCCATGAACACTGACATCAGGAATGCTAGGAGCTTTGTGACATTCGTTCTCAGGGCCAGGAGGCAGGTAGAGGGGGTCTGGGGAAGGAAGTGTTACCAGAAAGGGGTCCCAAGCCAGACCCTAGGGAAGGGTTCTTGGACCTCAGGCAAGAAAGAAACAGGGGCAAGTCCACAAAGTAAAGTGAAAGCAAGTTTATTAGGAAAGTAAGGGGATAAAGAATAGCTACTCCATGGGCAGAGCAGCAGCATGGGCTGCTCGAATGAATATACTTAGAGTTATTTCTTGATCAAACAAGGGGTGGATTATTCATGAGTTTTCTGGGAAAGGGGTAGGCATTTCCTGGAGCTAAGGGTTTCCCCGCTTTTTAGACTATATAGGGTAACTTCTTTACTGCCATGGCATTTGTAAACTGTCTTGGCGCTGGTGGGAGTGTCTTTTAGCTTACTAATGCATTATAATTAGCACATAATGAGCAGTGAGGATGACCAGAGGCCACTTTCATTGCCATCTTGGTTTTGGTGGGTTTGGGCCGGCTTCTTTACCACATCTTGTTTTATCAGCAGGGTCTTTGTGACCTGTATCTTGTGCTGACCTCCTGTCTTATCCTGTGACTAAGAATGCCTAACCTCCTGGGAATGCAGCCCAGCCGGTCTCAGCTGCCCCAGCCCCTATTTAAGATGGAGCTGCTCTTGAGCTGTAAGAAAGTTGCTCTGGAGCTGTAAGAAAGTCAAGATGGATCACCTCTGACAGAAGTATGACATATTGACTGCTTACTATGTAGCAGGCACTCTGCTAATACCACCTGTGCAGCCTTTTCAATGATCCTTTGAGGCACTGGGTTGGTGGTGAATGCTTTAAACTTCAAGTAACAGCAAGCCCGGCTATGGTAGCTTCAGCCATAAGGATGCTATTGTTCGTCTAGTGGGAAGTCTGGAAGTTGGGGTCCAGGGCTAGTTTAGCAGCTCTTTGATGCCTTCAGTTCCCACTGTGTTCCCTCACTACTCCACCTGGGCTTCTCTCTACCCTTCTATTCCTCCATCTTCAAGTGGTTGGCTTTTTGTCCTCAGGTTTCTCACCTCATGGTTGCAAAATGGCAGCTGCAGCTCCAGACACCTCACCCATTCGAAGGCAAGAGGTCACAGGCAAATGGCTTTCTCCTCCTAGGCTCTGCATTATTGTTAGGGAACACATATTGTTCCAAATGCTTTATTGACCACCCGTGATGTGATGAAGGCTAGGAAAGGGGGTGAATGGCCAAGGAGAGCAGGATGGTCAAGATCGGCTCTGACCAAATGTGATACATCTCCTGAGTCAGGGCACATTGCCGCCAGAGCCAGAATCAGGGTCTGTTAGCAAGGAGGGGGAGAGGGGACTGGTTCCTGGGGAGCTAACTCAGTAAGTATCATAGGCAGGGACTATTATGACCCCATTTCACAGAAAAAGAAGCCGCCCAGAAAGCTCAGATAGCTCCAAGTGGCTAACTAAGGACTAAACTTGGAAGGTTTGGCTCCAGAGCATGCGGGCAGAAGGTCTTACATGAAAGGGTTCAAGGCCCAACACTCTGGACCTGCCGCTTGAATGCCCATCCCCTTTCCCGTCTCCTTACCAACCTGCACCTCACACTATTTTCTCATCTGCATGGAGGGTGTGATATTCAGAGCCTCAGGGAAGGAGCTGTTGCAGGTATCTAAAATCCCTAGCCTGGTGCCTGCCATGGAGTATATGCTTATTTAACACCAGTGGGTTGGTTGGGCTAGAGGTTATGTATTGTAGTGGTCACAAACGTGGCCTGGAGGTCACGTGTCTTGCATTCTTGTTCTGGCTCTGACACTAATAAGTGATGTGACCTCAGGAGGTCATTTTACTTCTCTGGGTTTCTTTGGCTGTAGAGTGAGGGGCTGGACCACATCACTAGCTTTGAAACTTTCCCACTGAGCTATGTGTATTCGTCAGCAATGCCTGATGGAAGAGAGTAGGGGGATACCCAAAGGTGGAGGCCACATGTCCGTATACCTCATGGCTATACCATTACCTACTTTACATAACAAACCAACATTCAGTGGCTTTCAACAGTCACTATTTTATATTTGCTCACAATTCTATGGCTCAGCAATTTGGGCTGGGTTCAGCTGAGTGGTTCTTCTGTTGGTCTTTTCTGGGGTCAGTCATGCAGCTGCAATCATCTAGCAACTTGACTAGAGGGGGATGGTCTATGATGGCCTCACTCATGTGTCTTGTGTTGGGTGCTGGCTGTTGGCTGGGCCACACAACTCCAGCTGGCTAGCTCAGGCTTCTTTACATGACAGCATAGTCCAAAGGGTGACATGGAAGCTGCATGCCTCTTGAAGCCCAAGCTCTGAACTCCACAGTGTCTCTTCTGCTGCATTTTTTTTTTTTTTTTTTGGTCAATGCCAGTGCCAAGGCCATGCTGTTTTCACCAGGAGGTGAAAATAGACTCCATCTCTTGATAGGGGGAGCAGCAAAGACTTTGTGGCTCTTTTTAATCTACTGTGGAGGTGAATGCTCTTTGAGTCCTTTGTCCTGTCTCTTTGGTTCAGCTGCAAGCATAGTAATAATCCTATTAATAGTTGTCATTTATTTGTCTAATGATATTAGGCACTTAAAATCATAGCATGTGATTTGGATCAGTAAATGAGAGCAATCTATAATAATAATTAATAATTAGGATTATAAGTTATTAAGTACATTTTCTGTGCCAGGCATTTTATATACATGATCAGCAATTCTCACAGCAACCCTGAATGATGGATATTATTGTCCTCATGTTTAGATGAGGACATTGAGACCCCAAGAAGTAAAAGTAACTTGCCCACGGCTGGTGAGGGGCAGAGGTAGTATTTGTGTTTCACTGTGTCTCTAAATAGCTGGCTGCAGGGGGGCAGAAAGGGAGAAGTAAGGTGGGCTTTGAGACTTTTCACATGGAAACCCCAAAGGTGTTGGAGAAAGGGCTCTGGGTGGTCCTTCGGCTCCCCATCCCACCATGTACTCACTTGTAACAGCCATCATGGGCAACATCCCCTTGGAGTATGACCTGGGGACACTCGATCAGCGAGTGGGCAGGGAGGCAATGTAGATATAAACAACTCATGAAGATGGCTGCTGCCTGACACTGACTTGGGCCAAAATCTGCCAGATTTAAGCTGAGATAATTCACCATAATCTAAAATGTTCTTCAGGCATCACTGCGGCACAGTGATGCTGTTTTTGAGGTGCTGTCTGTGAATACCTTCTAGAAGAGTCTCCATGACTAGCTCAGCAGCTAAACCTCCCCAGAGAGGAACAGAACAGACCCTCTGATTCCAGTTGGCCAAGGCAGACCACAGACCTGGGCTCTGCCCACAGCACGTACCTGTCAGTGTCACCCTCACCCATGGCCACCTGGGCAGGAAACGTCAGAGGACTCCTGGAGCCATGCCAAACTCAGAGTCCGTCCCTGCCCCACTCTCCATCGTGAACTCACAGCCTCCAGCCTCCTCTGCCCCAGGCCAGCGCCTTATCATGGTTTTTAGTCAGAAGACAAGAGCCACATGAGAGCCCTGTGGCCATGCTGAAAGGGTGGGTGATGGGTTCGGAGCTGGGGAGCTGGCAGAGTCCAACCTTGGGGACTTTCCAGCCCTGTCGACAAGCTGTGTAGATAACACAGCCCAACAGCGAGAGGGGAGCGAGATGCTTCACCATGTGGTGGGGATGCCTGGCCCTAGTCCTGCTCTGGCAGTTGCCAGCTGTGTGGCTCTGGGGAGGACTGAGTGATACCAGTCCTGGTGCCTGTAAGGCACCTGGCCCAGTGTGCACACGCCAGCTGCCGTTTTAACTTCTGCCTCCGTACTGTGGACTTGAACCACTCTCTCTTTAGTTTATAATCTTGCATTCGCCTCCTCTTGCCCTGGATCTGTAAGTTTCATCTCTTCTGGGGTCAGGCAATCCCTTCTGATTCTCTTTCACAGTAAACACACATGGTGGACAGACTCCCAGGTCTAGGTGGAGCCTGAGACCAGGAGACAGAAGCACAAAACCAGCTGCGGGTGGGGTGAGTGGAGCGTGGTCCTCAGTGAGCGTCCTGTTGGGTGCTTTCCTCTGCAGCTTCTCCATACATCTTACAACCAGAGAGGCAGGGCCTTGGTTTCATTTTTTGTTTCTGCTGGGTGGTGGCAGGTGTTGCCACCCCCATTTATGGACAAGAACACGGAGGCTCAGAGAAACCATACAATCACCCAGGGTCCCAGGGCTAGTAACTGGCTGCTCAGGGCCGTCTGAGGGCCCAGAAAGAAATACAGTTTGTGAGCCTGTCCCCAGCTGGAGGATCTCCCTCTGAGAGCTCCTGCCTTTTTTTTTTTTCTTTCTCTCTTGGAATGTGAGGATGGAGAACAGGGTCCATGTCCGAACAAAGTGAGAAAACCTAGAAATAGCTATGGGCTAGGTGTGAAAGAGCTGATTCAATGCAGAGAAGCATCGAAGGACAGCCTAGTTGAAGCCAGCAACCAGGATGTTTCATGCCAGTCACCCTAGGCAGAGATCAGTGGGGGCTAGGGGCATCAAAATAGTAAGGGGAGAAAGTAACTATCAGTAGAGTAAAAATATATATGTTGTACTGTGGCCCTGACCCGCGTAGACCTGCACCCTCCAACAAGAAGTCTACCCTTACTATAGGCAAGGGTCTTCTATTTTATTTTCTTCTGTTTCATTCTGGAAAAAGAAATTTTGGGTGGCATTCGCAGTAATGGGTCATGACGTGCAGTCTGAAAAACACTGCCCTTCCTTCCTGTGCCATCCCTGATACCTAAAGATGGGGCAGCCCTGCCATGTGGCTGTGCTTCTAACCAGTGACCTGGGTGTGTGTCCCCTGCACGTGCAACACAAAGAGAGCACTTTCCCAGTGTGGACAGAAATCTGCAGTTTGGTTGCAATTTAGGAGGGCTCCAGCCTCAGCTCCCACCCTGGCTCAGGGCCAGGGGTCAAAGTTTGCCTTCCCAGGGGCACCACTGGCTCCTGCTCTGCCTTTCTTTCCACGTCCTGCTCAGCAGGAAGGCCCTGGGGGCACCCCAGAGTTCCCTCGTGGCAGATACACACACACACACACACACACACTCACACACACTGTCCACTTTAACTAATGACATTCAGGCCAGGCGCGGTGGCTCACGCCTGTAATCCCAGCACTTTGGGAGGCCAAGGTGGGCTGATCACTTGAGATCAGGAGCTGGAGACCAGCCTGGCCAATATGATGAAGCCCCATCTCCACAAAAATATAAAAATTAGCCAGGCATGGTAGTGCGTGCCTGTAATCCCAGCTACTTGGAAGGCTGAGGCAGGAGAATCACTTGAACTCTGGAGGCAAAGGTTGCAGTGAGCTGAGATCACGCCATTGCACTCCAGCCTCAGCGACAAAGTGAGACTGTCTCAAAAAAAAAAAAAGAAGTGACATTCAGAAAATGTGATTAATTATGGAGTTTATTCTACCACAAAGCTTGAGGGTAGCCACCTGGGAGACACCGACTCCAAATGAACAAGGCCAGCATTGAAGGTGAAGTTAAGGTTTTACTTATACAGGCAGAGACAGAGAAGTTTTAGCAGGATGACATTTTCCATATGAGACCACTGCATGCCCCAGTGATTTGATTGGTTACAGATTGCTACAACCTAGGAAGATTACTTTATTACTCCTGTTAAATTAAGTTTAGCCTAACGCTGCCTCTTTACATATTTGAAGTTCTGTCTAAAGGTTTTTCTGGACATAGTGAACTGTAACCTAACTGGAGGTGTAAACAGACTGTAAAATACTCTTGTGGCAATCACTGAGTCTTGGCCGGTCAAAGGTGGCCAACTGGTCCAACGGTGTTCAAATAAGGCAAATGCCGAGCTGTAACCAATCCAGCTGTTTCTGTACCTCACTTCCAGTTTTTGTCCATTACTTTCCTTTTACTGTCCATAAATCTTCCACTACATGGCTATATTGGAGTCTCTCTGAACCTATTCTGGTTCAGGAGTTGCCCGATTTGTGAATCATTCTTTGCTCAATTAAATTCTGTGAAATTAATTGGTCTAAGGTTTTTCTTTTAATACTCCAGAAGAAGGGGAGTGTTCTGAGGGGGTCTTATCTCTGCTGCTGTTTGGTCTTCAATATTTACAGGAAATCAGCTGCAGAAGTTGCAGTTGCAGGCAGTGTTGCTCAGGCTACAAAGCCACATTCCTCTCAAGGCTCTAGATAATTTGAAGTTCCAATAGCTTTAAGTCCCAATTATTTTAAGTTTGAATTTAATTTCACAACACTCACCCATACTCACACACACACACTCACTCACAATTTTCTGACACCGGCTGGGTGTCCAATAATTTGGACACTACCCAGAGTTAGTGCAGACTCCACGGGCTGCTCCTCCTTCAGATGCCAGCCACAAGTGGGCTTCCCAGGCAACTGCACTTCTGTCCAATTTGGCTTCAAATTCAGGAGTTCCCATGATCTCCATTCAGGTTTGATAATCCGATAGGACAACTCAAAGACTCACAAAGTGTTATACTTCCAATTACAGTTTTGTATAAAAGATACAGCACAGGAACCACCAAATGGAAAAGGCACATAGGGCGAGGTCTGGGGCGGGGCAGCCACAGAGTCCCCATCACCTCTCCTCCTATTCGCAGGGGGAGTCCAGATGGGTCTGCAGCATCCTCAGTTCTTGCCTCCTCAGAAGAAAGAATTTGACCAAGGGGGCATAAGGCAGAGTGAGAGACCGAGGCAAGTTTTAGAGCAGGAGTGAAAGTTTATTAATAAAGCTTTACAGCAGGAACAAAAGGAAGGAAAGTACACTTGGAAGAGGGTCAGGTGGGTGACTTGAGAGATCAAGTGCATGGTTTGACCTTTGACTTAGGGTTTTCTGTGTTAGCATGCTTCCAGGGTCTTGTGTCCGTCCCTTCTCCCCTGAGTCTCAGAGTGGGCTTCTTCCCCTGGGGTGGGCTGTCTGCATGCGCAGTGGTCCGCCAGCACTTGGGAGGGGCCGCATGCGCAGTGTGTTTACTGGAGTTGTGCGCATACTCATTTGAGGCCTTCTTCCCTTACCAGTCCGGTGTTTCTAGAAGAAGGTCCTATACAAGTTACACTCCGCCATTTTGCCTCTTAGTGCTCATGCTTGAGCCCACGGGCACAGTTTGTGAGATGTAATCGAGAAGATGCTGATCACCAGTTTTCAGGTTTTTTTCTATCTCTTGGGAGACTGTGTTTCCCTGGGGTGACAGCTGCAACCAATTATTAGAGAGACAGTTAATAACCGCCTGCCCATCATCTGATGGTCGCCTGACATTCCTGGTCAGGGAGGGGACTCTCCTGCCCTGCTGATACCTGACTACCTACTGTAACATTTTCCCCTCAAGAGTCTAAGACCCCAATTCCTTGGGGAAAATGGATGGTCAGTCTTTCGTAACTGCTTCCTGCAGTTATAGAGAGGGGCGGTGGTGGTTGTTCTGTGGGTCTTGGCCTCTGCTAGCTGTCCGGGCAGTGTGGCTCCGTGGGTTGGTGAAAGCAGTATCCAGCCAGGTCCAAGGGAGATAGGCAGAACTTTGCCTCTGCCATGACCCACTGATGGGAAGTCTGGTGGTCTCCTGTAGAAGGGTGACTCTTTTTTTTGCTTTTTTTTTTTTTTTTTTTTTTGAGATGCAGTCTTGCTTTGTTGCCCAGGCTGGAGTACAGTAGTGCAATCTTGGCTCACTGCAACCTCTGCCTCCCAGATTGAAGCTATTCTTCTGCCTCAGCCTCCTGGGTAGTTGGGATTACAGGCATGCACCACTATACCTGACTAATTTTTGTATTGTTAGTAGAAATGGGGTTTCACCATGTTGGTCAGGCTGGTCTCGAACTCCTGACCTCAAGTGATCCCCCTGCCTCAGCCTCCCAAAGTGCTGGGATTACAGGCATGAGCCACCGTGCCCGGCCAAAAGGGTGACTTTTTTGAATATTGAGGGGATGACATCTCTCACTGAGGATCAGCTGGAGACAAATCAGGTTATTAGATTTAGAAGACTGTCAAAACAAAATAAGGGGGTGAGGACAGCTCCAAAAAATCCCAAGGTTGGTGACACACCCAGGTAGCTAACACTCCTAGAAGCTGGGTGCATCTTCCTCCCAGCACATCAGTGTGTTCACCAGCCAGAAAGTCCAGAGGTTTTATTTCAGAGGCATGATTGATTAAATCATTGGCCATGTGATTGAACTCAAGTCTCCAGTCCCCTTCTGTTGGTCACACGGGGGGCCGAAGTTCCAACCCTCTAAGCAGGTGCTTAGTCTTTCTGTGGCCAGCACCTCCCTTGAATCTAAGGTCCCACCAGGAGTCCCTGTTTAGTAGCAGAAACTCAGGTAAGATCAAAAGGGGCTCATTATGAATAATAAAAGACACTCTCATCTCTCAGGAAATTCCATGGGTTTTTGAAGCTCTGTGCCAGGATTGGGTACAAAGACTGGCTATGTGTTTCTGTCTTACTATATACCACACACTCACATTCCCTCACACACTGCTGGTTCCCATGGGCCTGGTGGCCAAGGAGGCAGCTCCACCTTGAACCTCCATAGAGGCAAAGCAACCTCATTTCTTTGAAATACACCATGTCCTGGTGTTAGTTCAATTTCAGGTGAATGCACTAGTTCATGGATGCTGCAGCTCCAAGTAGGGTGACAATTTGGCAGGAGCCGAGGCTTGTCTCTGAGCCTCTGAGCGGAGAGCCAGGCCTGGCGGAGGCATCTAGATGTAAGCCAATGTCAAGCAGGAACACCTTCCAGGCAGGCACCACCCCCACCCCTGCCATGAAGCAGTGTCGTTTGGGGTAATACCTGAGGTTTGTTTCCTCACACCAAGGAAATAAAGGACACGGACACACAAGAAATGAGGTTAAGAGTGGAGGTTTAAAAGGTGTAAGAACAAGAAAAGCACTCTCCTGCAGAGAGAGGGGGTCCTGAACAGGTCTTCGGTCCATGGTGAAGTGCAGGAGGTTTTATAGATGAGCTTGAGGAGGCAGTATCTGATTTACATAGAGTACCAGAGATTGGCTGGACAGGTGTGCCATTTGCATTGCATGCAAAGAAGCTGGCAGCCCCACCCTAATCTTTTATTACGTAGATGGATTCTCTACCTGGCTATGTTGCCTGCTTTTCTACTGTACACATGGTGACAAAGAAAAGGGAAGATGAAGCCTCCATGTTAAACATACCTGGCTTCCAGGTAGCCCTTTTCTGTTGGCACAGCTGCCGGCATTCACCCATGCAAGCTTCCAGCTTGCTTGTCTATGTTTGCCGCTTGAGTTTTCAGGCTGTTCTTTGTTAAAAAAGAAATGATTTGGGGGCTGCTTTTTGTTAAAAGGGAAGCTCAGCAGAGGACTCTGTTACCCTCACTATCTGCCTAAATAATTTCTTTTTAGCTCCTGTATCACCAGGAGTACCCCTTCCATCGCCCCCTATTGCTCCTGCTTCTAATTCTCTCTTCATCCTGCTCTGCTGGAGGAGAGGGGCTGCTAAAAACTCATTTCCAGCCTTGGTTTGGTGACTAATGATTCATTGTGCTGCTGCTCTGGAAGGGCCATACACTCACGGAGACCAGGATCTTAAGCCTCAGGGCCACCCTCTGTAAGCCAAGTGGAGGCAAAATTGAGCACTCAGGATCTAGAGTTGAAGGTCCTGAGTTTCAGGTCTCAGCTCCACCACCTACAACCCTGTGATCCTGAGCATTACTTGCCTCTCTCTGCCTCAGTGTCCTCATCTATAAAATGGGGATAACTATAGTGTTTCCCCCATAGGTTTAAGAGGAGAATTAAGTGAGATCATAGAATCTAATGCACTAGTATTTGGGTTTGGGCCAGACTAGGGAGGCCATTAATTAATAATATTAATATGGTTATAGTATTTTATTAACAATTATATATAACAACTATAGAATAACAATGATTATGATGATACAGCAATATAGTAATATTAGTAATCAATACAATGGCAGCAGAATTGGGATATCACCAGAGCAAGGTCAGGACAGAGGGCTCCTCAGGAGCCTCCTGTGCTTGGGGCCGTATCCTCACGTTACCAGAAAGGGCTCCCGATCCAGACCCCAAGAGAAGGTTCTTGGATCTGACACAAGAAAGAATTTGGGGTGAGTCCAAAGAATAAGGTGAAAGCAAGTTTATTAGAGAAGTAAAGAAGCAAAAGAATGGGTGCTCTATCCTGGTACACTGTCTCATACTCATGCTCGACTGATTATGCTTATGGTTATTTCTTGATTATTTACTGAACAAGGGGTAGATTATTCATGAGTGTTCCAGGAAAGGGGTGGGCAATTCCCAGAACTAAGGGTCCCTCCCCTTTTTAGACATAGGCTAATTTCCTGACGTTGCCATGACATCTGTAAACTGTCATGGCGCTGGTGGGAGTGTCTTTTAGCAAGCAGATGCATTATAATTAGCACATAATGAGCAGTGAGGACGACCAGAGGTCACTTTGGTCACCATCTTGGTTTTGGTGGGTTTGGGCCGGCTTCTTTACCACGTCCTGTTTTGTCAGCAGGGTCTTTGTAACCTGTATCTTGTGCCCACCTCCTATCTTATCCTGTGACTTAGAATGCCCTAACCTCCTGGGAATGCAGCCCAGCGGGGTCTCAGCCTTATTTTACCCAACCCCTATTCAAGATGGGGGTCACTCTGGTTCAGACGGACACTCAGATATCCCAGTGTCCCTGCTCCACAGCCTTTCTTCAGCAACCTTGGCCAGACACCTAGTTTTCCAAACGCTAACCCAGAAGCTTGGGGCTGGAGTGGGAGAGGCTTAAGCTCCAGGGGTGGGGTCAAGACAGGAGCAGGGAGGGGAAGACATGGACCAAGTCCTTCCCCTATGGAGGGATGCCCCCTCCCCCTTCCTGGGGAAGCTGTGCCACAGGAGGCTGGGGAGATTCCAGAAGGTGTCACCTGCCAAGGAGGGATGAGCTTGCTGAGACCTGCCAAGACTCAAAGGACATTTTAAAACAGCAGAGTTTGTGAAAGGCAGCAGAATCCCGCTCCCCATGCTTGCCTTCGGGACCCTCACTGGAGCAGAACCATTGCTTAGAGCGTGAGAAGGAGAAGCGAGTGTCCGTCAACATGCTGGCTCTGGGTGAGACCTCGGTTAGTATTTGGTTTCTAGAGCACAGCTGCGTCCTCACAGCCTAGAGCCATGGTTTTATCAGAAGAGAGTAAACCTACAGCAGAAGCAAGTCTTCCTGCTCAGGACTTGGGATCTGCATGCAGAGGCCTCATGGCATGGAGGTCCCAAGCGTTGACACCAGTGTCCGGGGGCCGAATCCAGTTCTTCCCTTATAGCTGTGAGATCTTGGCCAGGATCACCTTCCAGAGCGTGTCCTGTGGGCCAAGCCCTAACAGGTATTAACTCAGTCAGTCATCACACCAGCTGGAGGAGGGGACGTCCTGTTATAATCAGAGAGTACCTCAGTTCCTTCATCTGTAAGATGGGGATAATAATAAAACTCATGGGGTGATGGAGAGGATAGAGCAAGTTACTCTATGTGGAGTGTCATCACAGCTCCTGTCTCAGCGAGAGCTCTATATTAAGTATTAGCTATTTTTATTTTTTCAGGGGAAAAAATGGTGTGAATTGACTAATATCTGTGATTGTTTCCAGCAGCCTCCCCCAGAGTGTACGTGCTGGGGTGAGAGTTGAAATTCAACCTGACTCCTGTACATTAGAGCTTTTCTGAGTGTAGACTCAGCACTGCTCACATAAGAGCCAGCCAATTCCAGCCCCACTTACAGAATCAGTGTCTCAGTGGGTGGGGGCATAGGAATTTTAAGACCTCCCCCCACCATGGACTCTGTGCCTCCAATACCCTTATAGAAACATTGACTTCATTGAACCCGTCAGTGGGCAAATGAGAAACTGAGCATGCAGGATCCTCAATGTGGATGTGGGCCAGGTGGCGCAAGGCTCTTGGGGCAGAACCCCCAGTGTCCCTGAGGCATCCTTGATCTCCCTAGCCTGCCTCATCATTTCAGGAACCTTCCAGATGACTTCCATCTCGTGGTTGTCCTCCTCACCTTCACCCAAATCTTTAATTCACGGAGCTGCATCCCCTTCTTTGGTTTCAGATGTTCCTGGTTCGCCGGGACAGCAGCTCGAAGCAGCTGGTGCTCTGTGTCCACTTTCCTTCTCTGAACGAAAGCTCGGCCGAGGTGCTCGAATACACCATTAAGGAAGAAAAGTCGAGTAAGTACCCATCTTCTCTGTTTTCACTTTGACCACGCGGCAGCAGCAGCAGCAGAGAGGCTGCACCTTCTAACCACAGACTCCCCTGTATGCACTGATGGTGTTTAAAATTAGAAGGAGGAAAAGCTTTCAGTCACTGAAGTTACTTAGCCAGACTTGTTTTGAACTCAGTTCATCATCCAAAGTCAGTGTGAATTTCCACTCACCCTCGTCGCAGCTGGGTGGCTTTGCATTCTCATGGCCACATTGAAGTTTCTTCTTGTTAGCTCAATGCAGGGACGCTGGAGAAAGGGAAGAAAAGGAGAAGACATGTCTGCACCCTTGAGTCCTAGTGTCAGCTCAGCACACACTCAATCCATGATTGCAGACAAGTCACTTAATCTTTCTGAGCCTCAGTTTTCTCTTCTGTCAAGTGGACATAATAGTCACAGAGCTTTTGTGAGGGTCAAAGGGACAAACACTTTGAAAGACAAAAATCTGGGCCAGGCTTGATGGCTCACGCCTATAATTCCAACACTTCAGAAGGCAGAGGGCAGAGGATTTCTTGAGCCCAGGATCTGGAGACTAGCCTGGGCAACATAGAAAGACCCCCTCTCTACAAAAAATAAATAAGCCAGGTGTGGTGGCATGCACCTGTGGTCCCAGCTACTTGGGAGGCTGAGGTGGAAGATTGGCTTGAGCCAGGGAGAGTGAGGCTGCAGTGAGCTATGATTGTGCTACTGCATTCCATCCTGGGTGACAGAGGGAGATCTGGCCTAAAAAAAAAAAAAAAGAAAAAAAAGAAAAAAGAAGGACAAAAATCCTGTGTGTGCATAGTGCTACTGGAAGTGGGCATGGGCTTCAGTGGGAAAATGTTTGGGGACCCCCTCTCTAGGGCGGGTTTGTTCTGGTAGTACAATGTCACCGGGTTTGGGGCCCTTGTGGACTGCTGGGCACCCATCTGTGCCAGCTTTCTCCTCCTCGCATGGTATAACCGCTCAGTGGGTACTTCTCCCCCTCTGCCCAGATAGACCCAATTTATCAAGACGGGAATTGCAACAGAGAAAGAGTTTGATGTACATAAAGCCAACTAAACAGGAGATGGAGTTTTATTATTACTCAAATCAGCCTCCCTGAAAATTTGGAGGCTAGGGTTTTTTAAAGACAGTTTGGCGGGTAGGAGGGGTATGGAGGGGGAATGCTGATTGGTTGGGTCAGGGATGGAATCACAGGGAGTTGAATCTGTCTTCTTGCACTGAGTCAGTTCCTGGGCGAGGGCCACAAGACCAAATGAGCCAGTTTACTGGTCTGGGTGGCTGGCATCAGCTGATCCATAAGAAAGAATGCAGACCTCAAACACCAATCTTAGGTTTTATAATAGTAACATTATCTACAGGAGCAATTGGGGACATTAGTGATCTTGTGGCCTCTGGCTACGTGACTCCTGAGCCATAATTTCTTTTATTCTTTTCTTTTCTTTTTTTTTTTGAGATGGAGTTTCGCTCTTGTTGCCCAGGTTGGAGTACAATGGCGTGATCTTGGCTCACTGCAACCTCCGCCTCCCGGGTTCAAGCGATTCTCCTGCCTCAGCCTCCCGAGTAGCTGGGATTACAGGCATGTGCCACCACACCCGGCTAATTTTTGTATTTTTAGTAGAGACGGAGTTTCTCCATGTTGGTCAGGCTGGTCTCGAACCCCCCACCTCAGGTGATCCGCCTGCCTCAGCCTCCCTAAGTGCTGGGATTACAGGCGTGAGCCACCGTGCCCGGCCCTGAGCCATAATTTCTAATCTTGTGGCTAATTTGTTAGTTTTACAAAGGCGGCCTGGTCTCCAGGCAAGGAGGAGGTTTGTTTCAGGGAGAGGCTGTTACCATCTTTGTTTCAAAGTTAAACAATAAACTAAATTCCTCCCAGAGTTAGTTCAGCCTATGCCCAGGAATGAACAAGGGCAGTTTGGAGGTTAATGGCAAGATGGAATTGGTTGAGTCAGATCTCTTTCACTGTCATCATTTCCTCGTCATAATTTTTGCAAAAGCAGTTTCAATGGCTATGTGTATACATGCCAGGCATTCAGATCCAAACAGCCTGTTAGAAGAATCTATAGAATATTCCAAGCACTGGTTTACATCTCTTGTAAATGGATCCATCTCTTGTAAATGGAAGCCTTTCACCCTCAGCTAGCAGCAGAGTGACAACAGTTAAGATTCATTAAATATTCTCAAGTGTTTGTTTCTCAAGAAACATGTGTGCCTGGCACTGGGAAGATGCAAAGATGAAGAAAACAGAGTTCCTGGCCTCAGGGGCCTCCAAGTCTGGTTGGAGGGTGGGGACACACTGGTATGGGAAACAGACATCACTTGCTGTGCAGTATAGCATTACTGCATTTGCATTACTGCAAAGGGACCTCTGGCTGGGGACATGGAGGATACAGGTCACTGTGGGAAGGATTCAGGAGGGTGTCAAAGAGGAAGAAGCCTCAGGCTGGGTCCTGAAGGTGAGTATATTAGTTCAATTGAAGGTTAATCTTCTAGCCCTAGAAGTAGACTAGGAAGGGAATGCAGAAGCAGGTTACCTTTCCTGCTATAAGGAGGTCTTTCCGCAGAGACCCAGAGCCCCACAGAATGGATAAAACACAACTCGCTGGGCACAGTGGCTCAAGCCTGTAATCCCAGCACTTCGGGAGGCCGAGGCAGGCGGATCACGAAGTCAAGAGATTGACCTGGCCAACATGGTGAAACCCTGTCTCCACTAAAAATACAAAAATTAGCTGGGTGTGGTGGCATGCACCTGTAGTTCCAGCTACTTGGGAGGCTGAGGCAGAATTACTTGAACCTGGGAGGCAGAGGTTGCAGTGAGCTGAGATTGCACCACTGCACTCCAGCCTGGCAACAGAGTGAGACTCCGTCTCAACAACAACAAAAACAAAACACAACCCACACATTCATGTGTTCAGCAGAGAGTTATGGAGTGCCCACTCTGTGCCAGGCACTGTTCACTGCCTCTCAGAGCTCACTTCAGATGGAGGGAGGGGATGATAAGCAAGTAACCATCCAGGATGACTGGCAGATGGAGAGGTGTGCTATGAGGAATGTGTGAACATGGATAATTAGCTAGCTACTGCAAGAACCAGCATGATGGCTTAAAGCCAGAAGCTGGTTTCCCACTCACAGGCAAGATTCCTGCCCAGTGGGGAAGGAACAGGGACCCCAATGGAAGAAGAGGCTCTGCCACCTTCAGCGTGCAGCCTCCAGTTTCCTAGGACTGACTCCAAGCCAGTAGGCTGGAAGGGGGAAAGAGCATGGAGAAGGCTTGTGGTCCCGTCTTCCTGCCAAGGCCTAGGAGTGGGTGTGTCACCTGTGCCGCATTCCATTGGCTAGAACTTGGTCACAAGATCACACCTAACTGCAAGGGAAACTGGGTCTAGCCATGTGCCCTGGAAAAAGAACAGCATCTGGGTTTTGAACTGCTAGAAGCCTGATCCATGGGTAGTAAGGATAGCGAGTGTAGGGTTGGGGCAAATCATTTATATAGAAAACTTGATTGACCTCTCCGTCTTGTGAAGTCCAGCGGGGAAGAAAGTGTGAGGTTCTCAAAGAAGGAAGAGAGTGTTATGGTTTTCCCAGACCAAGTATGCAGCACCCTCTGATGACAGCAGAAGAGGTAGGGCTGTTTGGGGCATCCACTGTTCTCCAAGAACCAGAGTCTCTTCTCATTTGGCCAGGGCCAGGCCTTCTTAGCGGGTGCTCCTGGGGTCACACAGCCCCCGGCTGTGCTTATGGTCTCCTGGGAGATAGAGAGGACCATCACCTATCTATTAGTAGATAATAGAGACCAGGAGGGTACAGACCTGTCTCTTACTAAGAGCAACCAGGCTTTCAGAGACTCGGCTGCCACCTGCCAGTTACCTACAACTTTCGGAAACCCAAGAGCCAGCTGTGCTCTTGAATTTCCACAGCAACATTGGGAAAGTAGCTGAGGTTGGAGGTTATGATGAGCTGAGCTTATCAGCCAGTGCTCTAGGAGCCTGAGTTGGGAGTGCTGTTCACGGCCAGGGTGGACAGGAAGGCTTCTTGGAGGAAAGGCACATCAGGCTGGACCAGCAGACTGTCTGAACGTTCTGCCCACGTCCTTTGCGCCATACTCCTTCCCCACCTCCCCGCCCAGCCTCCAGGGTCACCACTCTGCTGTCTCTCCAACCCAGTGACACCCCACACCCCTGGAAACCAGGACATTGTATCTGGTTTCATGTCTCATTTTCCATTAGGCACCAATGAAAAACCAGAGCTGGATGGTCGTTAAAGCAGTAAAAACAGGATTTGCTCAAAACTATTGCAATAAAGACAGAGACCTCGGTATAGAACTGGGCTCAACTCCAAATACAGCATGGGCAAGTGGGGGTTATAGCCAAGGAGCAGGGTGGGAGGCAGTGGATGGAAAATCACTAAGGGGAAACATCAGGGGCAGGGAGGATTCTGGCGAAACTGACCCAACAGGATTCTTGCTGAAGGCAGGCAGGGTGATCAGACAGCACCCGGGGGATGGTGGAGGACGAGGAAACTGATCAGATATTGACAGTGATCAGATATCAAGGGGGAGGTGTTTTTCTAAACCAGTGAAGCAGGATTCTTGCTAAAACTGGATTTTAGGAGGCACAGATGGGCCTAGGAGAAGGTTCAGGAGCCTGACTAAAGTTTGGTCAAGCGAAGAATTTTTTCAAGCCTGAGGGACAAATTGGGTCACTCAGAGACAGAGACGGCCAGCCTACTTCTATGGGTTCTTTCTTCCTCCCAGGGCCGTGTGGCCGAATCTCACTTTCCATTTTTAAACTTTTAAAAATTCAGTGCTCAATTTGCTGAAAATATGATGAAAACCAAAAATCTTTCTTGTAACCTAACACTTCCATCATCGTTCATGTGCATTCACTATAAATACACAGGTGTCATCCGTAAGTTTGTGTGTGTGTGGTTTTGCTGTTTCCTTTTTTACTTTTTTTTTTTTTTTTTTTCCCTGAGATGGAGTCTTGCTCTATCGCCCAGGCCGGAGTGCAGTGGTGTGGTATGATCTTGGCTTACTGCAACCTCTGCCTCCCGAGTTCAAGCAAGTCTCCAGCCTCAGCCTCCTGAGTAGCTGGGACTACAGGCATGCGCCATCACGTCCGGCTAATTTTTGTGTATTTAGTGGAAACCAGGTTTCACCATGTTGGCCAGGCTGGTCTCGAACTCCTGACCTCAGGTAATCTGCCTGCCTGAGCCTCCCAAAGTGTTGGGATTACAGGCGTGAGCCACCCCGCCTGGCCTGCCGTGTCCTTGTATTACTCCATTGCTCTCCAAACCTCACTCCCCTGAGGTCAGCCACTAGCATGCACCCAGACAACATTAAGAAAGCAGCAGGTAACTTGTTTCTTTGCCGAGTTAATGTGCCGCTCCTGCCTCTTTGCTCTCTTCCTGTTTGATGCCCTCCTCCTTGACACAGCAGTTGAGACAGACCATGGAAGCCACACAGCTTTTTGAATCCCGCTGTTTTCTCCTGCCTGTGTGACCTTGTGCAAGTTACTTTACCTCTCCAGGCCTCAGTTGCCTTGCCTGTAAGATGGGGATAATGATGGTGCCGCCATCACAGGGCACTGGAAAGGGTTCGTGTGTCTACACTGCTTAGGACTTTAGACACTGTGGCCACGGTGACTGCAGTAGGGGGTGATCTGAGGGGGAAGTGGTCAAGGGAAAGGCCCAGGCCTGGAACTGGGGCCTTTTGTTGGGGTTCCCCACACAGAGCTGAGGCAAGGGAAAGAGACGTGGGGATACCCCAAAAGGGGTAGCCAGCTTGATCTGTGACTCTGCTCTGTTTGAAGAAGAAACACTCGCTCTGACCACTTCCGTTTCCATGTGCCTGGATTGTCCTCTAGTTTCTTGTTAAGTGTTTCCTTGAAACTCTCTGAAGCAGTCAGCTTGGGCTAGTCTTGCTGTGGTAACAAACAACCCTAACCCCAGTTGCTTGCACACACATGGGTGTGTACACAAAGTAAAATGAGTGTGCAGCTGGCCCTCCAACCTGTGGTTTCCACATCCACGGATTTAATCAAACATGGATCAAAAATATTCAAAGAAAAAAAGATGAAAAATAACAACACAACAATAAAAAATAATGTAAATTAAAATATAGTATAACAACTGTGTATATAGCATTTACATTGTATTAGGTATTAGAAGTAACCTAGAAATGATTTAAAGCAGAGCTCCCCAACGTTTTTGGCACCAGCTTCATCCATGTCCCTGCAAAGAACATGATCTCATTCATTTTAATGGCTGCATAGTATTCCATGGTGTATATGCACTGTATTTTTCCACAGATGGGATGGGGGATGGTTTCTGGGTGAAACTGTTCCACTTCAGATCATCAGGCATTAGATTCTCATAAGGAGCCTGCAACCGGGATCCCTTCCATGCACAGTTCACAATAGGGTTCTTGCTCCTATGAGAATCTAATGCTGCCACTGATCTGGCAGGAGGCAGAGCTCCAGTGGTGAAGCTCGCCCTCCCAATGCTTACCCCCTGCTGTGCGCCCCGGTTCCTACCAGTTCCCTGGCCCAGGAGTTGGGGACCCCTCATTTAAAGTATACAGGAGGACGTGCATACGTTATAGGCAGATACTATGCCATTTCATATCAAGGACTTGAGCATCCTCAGATTTCGGTTTCTGAGGGGGTGGGGGGGTCTTGAAACCAACCCCCCACAGATACCAAGGGACAATTGTATTTCTCACTCAGGTGACATGCCATCTGAGGCTCTTTGCAACAACTTGTGTATATTGCAATGCAGGCTGAAGGAGCAGCACCCATCTGGGGCATTCAGGCGGGAAGAGAAAGCAGAATCCATGACTGTTTCCCAAAGGTTCCACTCAGAGAAGGCAGGTGTCACTTCCCTTCACATCTCATTGGCTGAAACAGGTCACATGGCCAGGCCAGCCTCCAGTAGGATGGGAAGTCTAATCCTCCGGCAAGCATGTGACCCACAGGGCAGGGTAGCCACCATTTTGAACAAGCATTATGTGAACAACCATCTCCTGCATCCCCAGTCCTCCTCTCTGCTGCACAAAGGGAACAAGAGATGTCTTGGTCACCACTTGGCCTCACTGGGGACCCTCAGAGGCCCGATGTGTGTGGAGAGAGAGGGGACCAGCAGAAGAGGCATGGGGGCAGGGGATGTATGGGATGAAGGGCCGAGACTCAAGATGGAAGGGAGGCTAGCACAGCTGCTGAGCTGCAGCCTGCCCGTTTATGGCTGAAGTGAGCCACCTGGCCAGGAGGACACTAGCTACTTTTTCATTGATGGGCTTTGAAGATGGTGACAGTGACAGATTCAGGTGATGGCGTCTTTCTGCTGGCTGCTCTAAAAAGAAGGCCACTTGGCCCCATCTCCAGAATAGGAACCATGAGACAGTGACAAATGCCCATACAGGAAGTGAGCTGCCCAGCACTCACCATCTGAGCCATTTACCCCATGTTTCCCAGGTAGCCCCTCTTCATTTCCTGCCTATTCCCCTGGCTTGCTTTATTTATTTATTTATTTATAGAGACAGAGTCTTGTTCTGTTGCCCAGGCTACAGTGCGGTGGCGCAATCATAGCTCACTGCAACCGCAGCTGCAACTCCCTGGGCTCAAGCGATCCTCCTGCCTTAGCCGCCCAAGTAGCTGGGATGACAGGTGTGTGCCACTGTGCCTGGGTAATTTTTTTATTTTTTGTAGAGATGGGGTCTCTGTGTTGTCCGGGCTGGTCTCAAACTGGCCTCCCAAAGTGCTGGATTTACATTTTGATTTAAATCCAGGTCAAATCTCTTTCTAGGATAATGGGTCAGCTGGTGAAAGGGTCAAACTTAAGAGCAGAACTCAAAGGCATTGTGGGTGACGCTGACACCCGTGCACATGGATCTCCACTGCCCAGGAGGACTCATCTAGCATTTCTCCTTTCCTGAATTTAAAACGTCCCCATAGTCCAGTGGTGATAACCACCAATGCCAGTTAGCACAAGGGTTCACTACATTTGCCCATGACATGGGCTCCCTTCCCAGGGACAGATGTGTCAGCTTCAACTACTTAACCTAAAAGCACATGCCTTAGAGTGGGAGACTTGTTTGGTGCAAGAAGCAATCCTACCTGAGCTAGTCCAGCAGGTTTTTTTGTTTGTTTGTTTGTTGTTTGTTTTCACGGTCTCACTCTATCAGGCTCTGGAGTGCAGTAGTGTGATCACAGCTCACTGCAGCCTCAACCTCCTGGGCTCAAGCGATCCTCCCCAAGTTGCTGGGACTACAGGTACACGCCGCTGTGCCTGGCTAATTTTTGTATTTTCTGTAGAGACAGGGTTTCATCATGTTGTGCAGTTTCAGTCCATAAAAAGTAAGGAGTGATTATTATTAAAAGAGGGATTGGTGTCGAGAAGGCAGCCTCTTGATATTTCAGCAGTGAGGAAGTACTGATGGCATCGTGGTAATCTTGCACTCTTGTTAATGCAAACTTCTTTTGAGAGCTTAAGCTTTAGAAAGGCTGGCAGTTCTGGGTTTTAATTCTCTGTCACCTTGTGACATCAGACATGTTACTTAATTTCTCTGCTTCACTTTCCTCATCTGCAACATGGGAACTCTGCAACACAGCTACTGGGAGGAATGATGAGCACATCAATCGGTGACTACTCATAGGGGCTTGGGACCGTGTTGCCTGGCACATGGGACGCGCTCCACAACTTTGTCTCCTGGATGAAATGGGGACATTTATGGGAAAAAGCCTGTGTGTAGTAAGCACACCATAAATACTAGCAGCTATAATTAGCTATGGAGTTTGAGCAGCATGCAGTTCATACCACAAAACCCATCGTTTCCTGCAACACTTTGCTCTTGGAGAACTCCTGTAAGATGTTGATTCGTTCTTCTTATCTCACATTGGTTATTACTCATAGAGGTTTTGGCTAAAATAACCACAGTTTATTTCTTTCTGTTTTCAGCATTCCCCTTTTCAGCCTCCAACACTGGAGTTGGGCCAGGAAAAAAATACATCATGAGATAATTTAACTCCAAGAACTTTATTGTAAAACTTCAGTGGTGAATTTCTTTTAAAAAAAATAGATCTTGAATCATAGTGGTGTATTCTTAGCCTCCTTTTTTTTTCACTTAGACATTTTATTATGAGCTTTCTCTGTGTTATTGAACATTTCAAAGACTTTGCAACCAATTAAATATGTGTTGGATGGCTTCTGAAGGAAGACAGTATGACAGGCTTGAAGACAGGGTTCTTGGCATTGAACCAGTGGGAGAGACAGGCTCATGCATACATAACCAGAAATACAAGTCGTTCGAACTGTCCTAAATGTTAGAATGTAAGCATGTACTCTGGGTCATCAAAACCAATGACACTCAGGGAAATCCACCCAGGCCTACTTTGGGCCTTGGACGATGGAAAATATTTGTGAAAAAGAGAAATTGAGGAACAGATGTGTTAAGCTGAGTCCACAGCCTGCATCAGGGCTCAGAGGCAGGAAAAAGAAAATCAGGAAAGGGTAGAACTCTGTTGGGGGAGAGGTAGATTGGAAGTAGAATCAAAGTTGAGGCTAGAAGGTGGGATTCGGCCAGGTCACGAAAGACCTTGACAACCACCCGAGGGTGTTAGAGATTTGGTTTGTAGTGTTATCGGAAGCCACGCAAAGGTTTTGAGCAGGAAGTAGCCCTATGAGATTGGTGCTTCAGAGTAGAGCTTGACTGTGTGGGAGCTGAACAAGACAGTTACTCTGCCAGGACAGAGGAAGAGGAGGAAGGTGCTTGAGACACCTGTCTCAGGTAATGGCCTTCCTGGCTGCCTAGGAACTGGGACTGGGGAGCTAAGATAAGGGGCAGGCCCTGGGGCAGCCATTACCCACAAGAAGGGAAGCCCTTTCAGTGGGTTGGGGCCTGTGAGGGGCTGCAGTACAGTAATGCCCCTCTAGGAAACGGGAACATAGGGACAGTGGAGGAGTTTGTTTTGCAAGGAGAGAACTGGACACAGGAAGAAGTTTTGACAGAGATGGAGAAAGATCTAGAACACATGGCCTCAGAGGCAAGAGAAAAGGGAGAGATGAGGGAAATGGGTTAGTATTGTGGGTGGCCAAGCCTGAGTGTACATGGGCTGCCACCTTCAGGGGCCTTGCAGCTTTAGAAAGTACATCTAAGTTGGGAAAGCAGCCCACCTCAACTGTCTCGGGGGTCCAGAAACCACTGCACAGACACCCCTCTTTTGGAAGTGACTGCAAGTGGGGTCAGGGGTCAGAGCCCAGGCCACAGTGCTTCCTGGGCTTCCTGTCACAGGAGAGCACCGGGTTTGGATAATCTTGGCTCAGCATGTCTTAGTCTATTTGTGCTGCTTTAACAAAATACCAAGACTGGGTAATTTATAAAGAATGGAAATTTATTTCTCACAATTTGCAAGACTGGGAAGTCCAAGATCAGGACACCAGCAGGTTCTCTTGTCTAGTGAGGGCTGCTGTCTGATCCAAGATGGCTCCTTGAAGCTGTGTTCTCTGGAGACGAGGGATGCTATGTCCTCACTTGGCCAAAGGCAGAAGGGCAAGAGAGCTGAATACTGTGTGAAGTCTCTTTTATCAGAGTCTTAATCCCATCCACGAGGGAGGAGCTCTCATGGCCTAATCACATTTTAAAGGCCCCAACTCCTCATACCATCATGTTGGCCATTAAGTTTCAACACGTGAATTTCGGAGGGGACCCATTCAAGCCATAGCACTCTTTTTTTTTTTTTTTTTTTTTTTTTTTTTTGAGATGGAGTTTCGCTCTTGTTGCCCAGGCGGGAGTGCAGTGGCGCGATCTCTGCTCACTGCAACTTCCGCCTCCTGGGTTCAAGCAATTCTCCTGTCTCAGTCTCCCAAGTAGCTGGGATTACAGGCATGTGCCGCCGCCCCTGGCAATTTTGCATTTTTAGTAGGGACAGTGTTTCTCCATGTTGATCAGGCTGGTCTTGAATTCCCAACCTCAGGTGATCCGCCTGCCTCGGCCTCCCAAAGTGCTGGGATTACAGGTGTGAGCCACCATGCCCAGCTGCCATAGCACTCTTTTATAAGGGCACTAATCCCATTCATGAGGGTGGATCCCTCATGATTCCACCCTCATGACTTAATCAGTATCCTAAAGACCCTACCCCTTAATACTCTTGCATCAGGAGTTAGGTTTCATCATAGGAATTTGGGGGGACACCAGTATTCAGATCATAGCAGCATGAAAGGAGGCAACATCTGGGCAATCACCTTTCTTTCAGGTTGTGTCTGCCTCCCTCTCCCACCCTCCCTGAAAACCTCTCTGGAAATTCTCTACTCAGTAACCATACTAGTACTAGCACGTGCAAGACTAACACCACCATAAAGCAGCACTCTCTGCCAGGGCAGTGTGCATCTTAGCAGGAATAAAAGCTCTCGTATTGGTGTTATCACGGAATGTCAGTCATTAGCCCATGAAGTGTAGGAGTTAGTTTGTCCTGGCCATCCTGAAATAGCAGAGGAGCGGGAACCTGTTCTATGTAAGGCTCTTTCTGACTGACAGCATCCTCCCCATGCCCACATTCACCCAGACCCTCTGACTTCCCTGCAAGGCTACTTAGGTGCACAGTGAAGTTTCTTGGTTTCTTGCCTGTTCTTGCCTGTTCAGAGTGATTTCTCCAGGTTGTCACAGTGCAAAGCCCCCTGGAAGAGTAGCAGTCCCTACAGCCTCCTCCAGGACCACCCTACTTCATTTCTCTCCTCTCTTTTGCATGTATTGTGTTCACTCCCACCTCTGAGCCTTTGCTTGTGCCATTTCCTCTGCTTGGGTTGGTCTCCCCACTCCTCTCAGCTCATCAGATGTTCCCTATCCTTCATTGTCTGTTTCATATTGTCGCATCTTCTTTCCCCAGCTGGGCTGGAAGCTTTATGTCGCATACAACATCTGTGTTCCATTGTCCAGCAGAGGGCAGAGCCTGTTGCAAGTGTTCAGCAAATACTGGTCGACTGGCTAATAACAGCTCACACCTGTGCAGGGAGACAGCCTGATCTGGATGGACTGAGAGGGTGGGCTTTGGAACCCAGTGGATCCAAATTAAAATCCCACCCCTTTGCTTTCATCAGTTGTGAGATCTTAACAATGCCACTCAAACCTCTATCTCACTAAGCCTTGGCTTTCTCAACTGTGAAATGGGCTCATAATCATAGTGGTGATTAACTGAAACTTTGTGCAATAATAGTGCCTGGCACACAGTAGGTGCTCATAAAAAGTTAGTTGTCTCTCCTCCATTCCTGATTGCCCCCCTTCCCATGTGACGTGGGTGTTCAGGATTAGAAAACCTGGCTTCTGTCCGGTCTGGCATGTTAGAAAGTTGAAGTCATCACTTGGTCCTAATAAGTAAAACCCTGACCAAACTGAAAAGTCAACAACTCTTCTTGGATCTGTCATAAAGGTGGGGTCACAGGTCAAGTCACTGCCCCCAAAATTGGAGAGACTAATAGGCAAATGCAGAGAACTGCAGCTTGCCAGAGCAGAAACCCACAGGCAAAACTCCCATGGGAACCAGTGCTGAGCTAGGGAAACCCAATGTGTAACTGATGAACTAGTGGATGTTCACTGTGGACAGGCCTGAGTTAAAACTCCAGGGAAGCCAGTCATCTAGGGGCCTCCACACTTTTGTGAGTTTTACCACCAGTAGCTTGACCAGGTTCCTGCAGTGAATATCAAAGATCTCATGCATCCTGCAGGAAGAAGGCAAAAGGAACATTTTGGAAATATGCCAGAGCAGTCTGTTCTTCTCAATAAGGTATGCTTTCAGAGCTGATACAGTTTGGATCTGTCTCTGCTCAAATTGCATGTTGAATTGCAATCCCCAATGCTGGAGGTGGGGCCTGGTGGGAGGTGTTTGGGTCACAGGGGTGGATCCCTCATGGCTTGATGCTATCTTCCCAGTAATGAGTTCTGGTGAGATCTGGCTGTTTAAAAGTGTATGGCACCCTCCTGCTCAACCTAACTTGCTCCTGCTTTACATGTGAAGTGCCTGCTCCCACTTCACCTTCCACCATAATTGAAAGCTCCCCAAGGTTTCACCAGAAGCTGAGCTGATACGAGCACCGTGCTTCCTGTAAAGCCTGCAGAACCATGAGCCAGTTAAACCTCTTTTCATTATAAATTACCCAGTCTCAGATATTTCTTTATAGCAATGCAAGAATGGCCTAATACCAGAGCCTAACCTGCCTGGGAAAGGGAAATACCCAACTCCAGCCCATTTTAGCCATCCTGCCCAACTTAAAGGAGGAAAAAACTGAGACATACTTTTGAAGTTAACAGTCCAGAGGCACAGGCTCAGTGAAAGACTGAGACTTACCCATAGGATTTAGAACTCTCCCCCTCCCCAATACCTTCTCATCATATCACTAAAGGCCTGTTTATAGCAGTTCCTTTTATCTAGTACATTACATTTGGCCATCAAGAGAAACTTACAAGACATATTAAAAGGCATTAAACACTGTTTGAAGAGGTATGGCAAGCATGAGAACAGACTCACATATGGTAGAGAGGTTGGAATGGTCAGACCAATAATTTAAAGCAACTATGATTAAGGTGCTAAGGACTCTAATGGCTAAAGTAGATGACAGCATGCAAGGACAAATGGGGAATGTAAGCGGAGAGATGGAAGTTCCAAGAAAGAACCAAAAAAATGCTAGAGACCAAAAACACTGTAACAGAAATGCAGAATGCCTTAGATAGGCTTCTTAATAGACTGTACATGGCTGAGAAAGGAATCTCTGAGCATGATAATATCTTGATAGAAACCACCAAAACTGAAAAAGCAAAGAGAAAAAAGACTGAACAAAAACACAGAACGGAGTATCTAAGAACTGTGGGACAACTACAAAAGGTGTAACAGACATATAATGGGAATTCCAGAAGGAGAAAAAAGAAAGGCACAGAAAAAATATTTGAAACAATAATGACTGAGAACTTCCTCAAATTAATATCAGACACCTAACCACAGGCTAGGAAGGTCAGAAAACACTGAGCAAGATCAATGCCAAAACAACTAACCTAGGCATACCATTTTCAAACTACAGAAATTCAAAGAAAAAGTCTTGAAAAAAAGCCAGAGGGGGGAGAAAAACACCTTGCCTATAGAGGAACAAAGATAAGAATTACATCTGACTTCTCAGAAATCATGCAAGCAAGAAGATAGTGGAGTGAAATATTTAGTATTGAGAGAAAAAAAACACCAACCAAGATTTCTGTACCTTGTGAAATTGTTCCTTCAAAAGTGAAGGAAAAATAAAGACTTTCTCGAACAAACAAACAGTCAGGGGATTTGTTGCTATTAGACCTGCCTTGCAAATGTTAAAATTTCTTTAGAGAGAAAGAAAATGATAAAGGTCAGAAACTCAGTTCCACATAAAGAAAGGAAGAGCATCAGAGAAGGAATAAGTGAAGGCAAAAGAAAAATGTTTACTTTTCTTATTCTTAATTGACCTAACAGATAACAGTTTGTTGGAAATAATGGCAATAGTATATTCTATTACTTATGCTTATGTGTGTATGTGTATCTATATATAAGCAAAATGATGGCCCAACAATAATACAAGGAATGGGAGGAAGAAATTAAGATTGTTTTGTTATTAGAAGGTACAGTTGATCAGGTGCAGTGGCTCACACCTGTAATCCCAACACTTTGGGAGGCCGAGGCAGGTGGATCACCTGAGGTCAGGAGTTTGAGACCAGCCTGGCCAACATGGTGAAACCACGTTTCTACTAAAAATACAAAAAATTAGCTGGGCCTGGTGGTTTGCCTGTAATCCCAGCTACTCGAGAGGCTGAGACAAGAGAATTGCTTGAACCCAGGAAGCAGAGGTTGCAGTGAGCCGAGATCAGGCCATTGCACTCCAGCCTGGGCGACAGAGTGAGACTCTGTCTCAAAAAAAAAAAAAAAAAGGTACAGTTGTTCCTTGGTGTCTGTGGGGGATTGATTCCAGGACCACCTTCACAATTCCAAAATCAGTAGGTACTTGAGTCTCTGATAAAAAATGGTGTAGTGTTAGCATATAACCTATGCACACCCTCCTGTATACTTTAAATCACCTCCAGACTGCTTGTAATACCCAATACAATGTAAGTACTATGTAAATAGTTGTTATACTGTATTGCTTTTAAATTTTGTATTATTATTATTATTATTATTATTATTATTATTATTATTATTATTATTGTGAGACAGAGTCTTACTCTGTCGCCCAGGCTGGAGTGCAGTGGTGTGATCTTGGCTCACTGCAACCTCTGCCTCCTGGGTTGAAGAGATTCTCCTACCTCAGCTTCCTGAGTAGCTGAGATGACAAGGCTGCACCACCATGCCCAGCTAATTTTTTGTGTTTTTAGAGATGGGGTTTCGCCATGTTGGCCAGGCTGGTCTCGAACTCCTGACCTCAGATGATCCACCTGCCTCGGCCTCCCAAAGTGCTGGGATTACAGGCATGAGCCACCATACCCAGCCAAAATTTGTTTTTTTTTTCCTGAATATTTTCAATCCATGGTTGGTTGAATCTACATGTGTGAAAGCTGCAGATATGGAGGGCCAACTGTCCTCACAACGTGTGAAGCAGTATAGCGTTATTTGAAAATGGACTTGGATTGGTTGTAAATGTATGTTGCAAACTCTAGGACAACCACTAAAAAAAATAATTTAAAAAGAAGTATAATAAAGGAGAGAAAATAGAATCATATAAAATGCCAATTAAAACTACAAAAGGCAGAAAAAGAGTGGAAGACAAAAGTGGGACCAAAGAACAAGGACAACAAATAGAAAACAGTAACAAATATGGTAGATGTCAATCCAGCAATATCAATATCACTTTGAATTTTAATGGTCCAAATGCACTAATTAAAAGAGAGAGGTTGTCAGAGTAGATCAAGAAACAAGACCCACTATATGCTGTCTACAAGAAACCCACTTTAAATATAAAGACACATATAGATTAACAGTAAATGGATGGAGAAAGGTATACCATGCTAACACTAAATTGGACACAGGAAGGGGAACATCACACACCAGGGCCTATTGTGGGGTGGGGGGAAGGGGGAGGGGTTGCATTAGGAGATGTACGTAATGTAAATGATGAGTTAATGGGTGCAGCACACCAACATGGCACATTTATACATATGTAACAAACCTGCACGTTGTGCACATGTACCCTAGAACTTAAAGTATAATAATAATAATAATAAAAAGCTGAGGTAACTTTATTAATTTCAGTCAGGGTAGACTTCAGACTGAGTAAAGTAAGGGATAAAGAGAGGCATTAAAATGGAGCAGTACTCCAAGAAGATCTAACAGTCCTTTATGTGTGTGTGCCTAACAACAGAACATCAAAATACTTAAGGCAAAAGCTGATGGAACTACAAGGAGAAATAGATTAATCTACTATCATAGTTGGAGACTTCAGCACCCCTCCATCAGACATAGGCAGATATAGCGGGTGGAAAATCAGTAAGAACATAGTTGAATTCAGCAGCACCATAATCAACTGGATATGGTGGACATCTATAGACTATTTTATCCAACAATAACAGAATGCACATTCTTTTGAAGCCCACCTGGAACATTCACCAAGATAGACCACATCCTGGGCCGTAATACACACCTTAAAAAAAATTTAAAAGGCTTGCAATCAGGCCAGGCATGGTGGCTCACACCTGTAATCCCAGCACTTTGGGAGGCCAAGGCGGGCAGATCACCTGAGGTCGGGAGTTTGAGACCACCCTGACTAATATGGAGAAACCCCATCTCTACTAAAAATACAAAATTAGCTGGGCATGGTGGCGCATGCCTGTAATCCCAGCTACTCAGGAGGCTGAGGCAGGAGAATCACCTGAACCTGGGAGGCAGAGGTTGCAGTGAGCCAAGATCATGCCATTGCACTCCAGCCTGGGCAACAAGAGCGAAACTCTGTCTCAAAAAAAAAAAAAAAAAATTGTAATCATACAATGTCTTCTCTCAAACCACAAGGGAATTAAACTAGAAATCAATAACATAAAGATAGCTGGAAAATCCAAAAGTACTTGGAGATTTAACAACACACTTCTAACCAACATACAAAGAAGGAATCTCAAAAGAAATTTAAAAATACTTTGACGTAAATGAAAATGAAAACACAACTTACCGAGCTTTGTAGGATGCAGTGAAAACAGTGCTTAGAGGAAAATTCATAGCATTGAATGCATATATTACAAAAGAAGAAAACCTGGTTTTATATTTACTTCTCTCACTTAACTAGCTCTGTGAACTAAAGCAAGTTATTTGACTTCTGATCCTCATTTTCACCAACCACATGATGGGGTCTCATGTCTGACTGCTTCCATAAATAGTTTAGGCAGAAAGAAGTTGGTGAGACAGGCATAAGAATGTGGCTTCCTCTGGGGCAGGTGGGCTGCCTGGACACTGAGCAACATGTGTTTTCCTTTATAATCCAGGTGCTTGGGATTATATTGTTGTTATGAGGAACAGACAAGAAAATATATGTGAACATACCTAAAATCTGACAGAAATCCAAGAATGAGCTGCATACTGCTGCATTCATTGATAACATATTCATGCATATAGGTAACTAGCATCTACTGAACCCTGGATCATGTTAAGGCGGTGTCTGTGTCCTCAAGGAGCTCAAATCTAGTCAAGGAGGCAGAGTTGTCAATTGCAACACAGTGTAATCAGGGCTCTTGTGATCAAAATGAGCCAAGGGAGAAGGAAAAAAGAGAGGGTTGCAGGAATGGCATTGCAGGCAATGGGATGAAGGTGGACCAGCTTCTGCTCTCAAAAGGATCACTTGGGTAGCTGAGTGGATTGGGGCAAGAGTGGAAGAAACAAGACAAAGAGCCTTTGCAAGTGCTTTATTGTTCTCACAGCATTCTGTGTGGACGCTCAGCTTGCCCTGGGCAGATCACATCATATAGAGGACTTCTAAAGAGATGTTTCTAGGGGAACTTGGCTTTGAGGGGGTTTTCCCAAAAGAGAAAGTTGATTATTACCTCTGAGCGCCTCTGAACCCACCTCCCAGATTTGCTTTGCTCTGGGAGTTCCTAGGCGGCCTCATCTCTAGGAAGTGTGAGCAGTGTTAGAGCCAAGGTGAGCTTGTGCAAAGCCATGGGAGTGTGTCAGTAACCTGGGTTCTAATCAGGCTTCCCCAGTAACTTGCTATGTGGCCTTAAGCAAGTCACTCAACATCTCTGAGGCTGACCTCACCTGGCAAGAGACAGATACAAAATGCCTTGGAAAGATAAAGCCCCACACAGACAGAAGGCGCCGTTCTTCTTTTGCCTAACCCCAGATGTCCCAAGCACCTGGATGGTAAAGGAAAATACATGTTGCTCAGTGTCCAGGCAGCCCACCTGGTCCAGAGGAAGCCACATTCTGATGCCTGTCTCACCAGCTTCTTTCTGCCTAAACTATTTAAGGAAGCAGTCAGACATGAGACCTTCTGGAAAGTTCTATAGAAATAAACTGATGTTTTCTGTGTCTCTTTGTGTCCATCTCCCCTTATCTGCCCAGGATCAATGAGTAGTTTGCACTGCTTTTGTCATCAGTCCTGATCCTGTTACATGTTTTATTGTGCTTATTGTTGTCTCAGTCTTAGTTTTCACATTGGAAACTTTTAGGGAACTTGCCCCAGAGGAATTTCCCCTGCTGGAATGTTCCTTTAATGTAGTTCCCAGTGCAAGGCTGCCCTTTATACCTACAAAAGTAGGATCCCCCAGGTGAGACCAATTCCCCAATAACTAGGTCATGAAATCTTACTTTTCTTCAGCCTTCAGCCCCAGTTATTGGGGAGTTGCTGTCTACCAGGTACCATGTGGGTATTCATAGACATTGGCCCGTCTGTCTTCATAACGCTATGAAACAGGTGGTAGGATCTCTAGTCTGCAGCTGAAGTGTGCCCCCGGATGTAACTGGGATTAAACCTGGGTCTGTAGATGCCACGTGCAAGCTCTTTCACCTGAGCCAGGTTGTTTCCTGTCTTATCTCCCATATTCCTTATCCAAATGACTCTCCAAGACAAGGGAAGTGGAGGACTCCAGAGAGGAAGTAGAGGAGTTAATAATCAATCCTTTATACTCTTTGTGTGGTTGTATCTTATCCGTTCCTCTTTTAGCAGGGGATTTATTTAACAAAGAACATTGGAATTACCCTTGGAGTCTGAAGCCTAAGCTAAGAGTATATTAACGTGCTTTATGTTCATTGCGAAGTACCAGAGTTGTGCAGAAAGGGGGCAGGCTGGGACTAGATGGCTTCAGCAAGGACAGCCATGGTGAGGAAGGGTCACTCAACTTCCAGGTCTGACTCTCCCTCGTAACAACTGAGTGGAGGTGGGTTTGTGCCTGAGCTGTGTTTTTGGTGGCATGCTGGAGCCGACTCATGTCAGCTGGTGACAGCTGATTGTGTGAATCTCTTCCCAACTTGGTGGTAAGTACCTTATGGAAACTGGCAAATGCTATAAATCAGGGTTTGTTTGTTTTTTTTCCCTCCTGGAGAGCTGGATTTAAGCAATTACCAGCACACTACTGCTCAATTTCCTCATCTAGAAAATGCGGATGGTAATACCCATCTCACAGAACCATGGGGAGGTGTCACGTATGTGAGCATTTTGCGAAAAGCATGATGTGTGTGTGGGTCAATAGGATGATGTGTGTTTATATATATTATTTTTTATAATTCTTACATGAAAAGCTGTGTCTTTTTTTGGCTGTATCTTTGTAGAAACAGGAAATAAATTTCAATCAGGGCATGATAGGACACGTGTAGCATAGATTCCCAGAGAAATCAGATGCATAATGTGAGACTATTAGCTGATCATGGGATGACCTTTGAAATCATCAAGCCTGAGGGGCTTCTTCTCATTGGCTCCAGGGTCCTGAGGACCAAAACCCTGTCATTCATTGAGAGGATCGGTCAAGTGTTTTCCATGGTTTTCTTTGAGGAACGCCAGTGGCAGTGGCTGTGGTGAAAGAAGCCAACAGACAGGCAGACCTAGATTTGAAACCTGCTTTTTCACTTACTAGCTGGTTGAACTTGGGCAAATTCCTGAGCCTCTTCAATCTCAGTTTCCTCATCTGTAAAATATGGTACCTCCCAAATAGAGTTTTGGGAGACCCTTGGAGTGGGGTAGATTCTACTGGATTTCTGTTAGTTCTGTTCTCTCTCCTGGGCTTCCTCAGAATTCCGTTCTTATATCATGGTCTTAGGACTCCAGCTGGATCCCTAGTTTGCAGAATGTGGCTCCCGATTGGTACAAGAAGCCCGCTCTGTGTAGCCCGACCTAGAATGTTCTCTATGTGCCTCTTCTCCTACTGAGTTATGACGCAAAATATTTACTGAGACTTTGCTGGGTGCTCAGGCCTTAAGGAAGTAGAATCATAATAGCAGTCACTTGTTAAGCATTCTATATGAATTAATTTAATCTGCATATCATCCCTGGGATATAAACAGTACAGTGTGGCAGAATAAAGATGGTCATGCACTCTTTGACAATTCTCCCATCAAGATTCTATTGCCTCTCTCCTTGGATCTGGGCTAGCCTGTTACTTCTTTGACCAATCAATACAATAAAGCAGAAGTGACACTATGCCAGTCGCAGATGTAGCTTTTAAGAGAACTGACAGCTTCTGCCTGGACTCTGGGAGCTCTGAGTTGTCATGTAAGAAATCTGACGACTGACACCACCATACTGGAGAGACCATGTGGAGAGGCCTGGACACTATATAAGGAGGGAGAGAGGCCCAAGAGGAAGACAGGCCTGGGTGAATCCAGCCTTCCAGCTATTCCTGCTAAGGCACCAGGCATAAGCAAAAGTGCCTTGGACCCTCCAGATCAGACCAGCCTGCAGCTGAATACCACTAAGTGCCCTAGTCAGTGCCAAAAAGAGCAGGAGAATCACCCAGCTGAGCCTTGCCAAATTCCTGACCCACAAATTGTGAGCTACAATAAGATAGCTATTATTCTAAGCCACTAAATTTTGCAAATGATTTGTTACAAAGCAATAGATAACTGGAACCATGCTCACCCTCCTTTTACAGATGAAGAAACGGAGGCACAGAGAGTTGAAGTGGCTTAATTAAGATCACACATTAATTAGCAAGTGGTGGGAACAGGATTTAAACCCCAGAAACCCGGTTCCCAACATGAGTTGTTAACACTGTGTTGTACTGCTCTTGAGTTGAAAACATGTCTCTGCTTGCAAGGAGACTTCTGTTTACTTTGGGATGCAAGAATCACTCATGCTACAGAAATAGCAGTTAAGGCAGAAATAGAGAATTATAGAAGACATTCATTTATTCACTTTAAGGACAGATTTATATTAAAATGATGTTAGGATTTTACTGCAGTCAGAGGAAGGACCCCCACCACCCCACAACACTGACTGGTGAGTGAGACCCCAGGGTAACAACTCTGAGGGGTGAGGACATTTGAGTTGTGTCCTGAAGGATGAATAGAAGTGTCCTGTTTGGAAGAGCACACGAGGTGGCAAGATAGTCCACGCAAGTGCACAGAATGGCAGAATGGTGGGGTGCATCCAGGGAGAGTCCAGTGTGGCTGGTGTGAAAGGGAGGGAAAGCCGAGAACAGGAGCATCAGCTGGAGCCACTCGCAGGGCAATGTGCATCCAGGCCTTGAAGCTCAGCCTCTGTCTAAATGGCCCTGGGGAACCCCAGCGAAGGACATTAAGTGTGGGGGCACGATCCGATGTGCCTGCTAAACAGAAGCCCCCCGCCCTTGGGGGTGTGAAGACTGGAGTTCAGGGGAGGTTGCCGAGGATGAAGACCAGAGGAAGCTCCATGGCAGCAGTCTGGTGACAGCATGGTGGGGCCAGACCAGGCAGTTATGGCAGACATGGAGGGGAGGGGACATGCCCCAGACATATTTAGGAGGAGGACTCTTGGGCCTGGTTGGCAGAAATGGCATGATGAAGGAAGAGGAGCCAGTGGTGCCTCAGGGGTACCTGGTGTCAGGGACTGTGGGACAGCATCACCCCAGGCCCAGGGAAGAGCAGTTAGAGGGTAACAGCAAGGGACGCAGTGAGCGTCGGTGCCTGGGAGAAAGAGAGCAACCCCCTGGTGCCTGTGATGGAGTGGGAGCTCAGCAAATACTTGACAAGAAAGATCAAATGGACCCCTGGGTCTGGTTCTCTGGAGGGAAGGAAGAGTGCAAGGTAGAGATTTGAGCGTCACCAGCACAAGGGCAGCTGGAGCGGTGAGATGCTAAACTACACCACATCCTTCCATTGTGTTCTTGACCTTTGGACTGAAGAGACCTGTTTCCACCTCTGTTCTTAGAGACAAGGCTACTCTGTTCCTATAGGGCTATACAACTCCCATCTTGTCGCTAAAATGGGATTTGAGTTAGATGACCAGCTAGAGAAATCTATGACTCTGTGGATATAATTGCCTGGGAGCTTTGAGCCCTGACCCCAGGCAGTCACAAGGAACATCCGCATGCCAACTGAGAGACTTCTCTTTGCAGCCACAGTGATGTCACCATCCCTGACCTGGGGCATTTATAGTGATTCAGAGACCCTCCAGTTCTATGCCTGTGGTGGATTTAGGGATAGGAGCAGTGCTCTAAATAACACCCCTTGCTTCACCACCTGCGCTCAGAACCAGTGAGGAAATAGACAAAGATGAGGAAGATGCAGATCAGTGTCAGCTTTCTTAGCAATGGGCTGAGCTGAAGGATGCAGTGCAGGCACATGATAAAAAGGAAAATGAATAAGGAAATTGAGAGGAAGCCTCACAGTTAGAAGGGGATGTAGTTGTGGGATGCAGTTAGGGCACAATCCAGTGCCCTAACACGCACCCTCTTTGACTCTGCTCCCCGGAGCTGCAGGCTTCCCCGTCCCAAGAGCTGGGGCTGCCCCAGGATGCCTAAGGGGGGTGGGAAGAAAGCTGCACCCTGACCCCAGCAGGCTGGCTATTTACAAGCATGAATCAGTAGCATCTCGAAGCAAGTGAACTGTCAGTTGCACTGAGACTGATCCCTTGTTCTTGATTTCACAACTCATTTCCTGGCTCTTGGTGTCTCTGCACTGCTGGTGAAGAGGATGGAGCGTGATTCCTCTGAGACTGAGTCATGGGCCGTCTTCCATTGAATTCAGTTCTGAGCACTGATTTCGGGTACCCACTGTGTGCCAGGCAGCACACTAGGTGTTGGCGTCCATGGCACTCCTGGGCTCCTGCCGGTTCACTCAAGGAGCACAAACTGGTTCTCTCTCTCGAGCAGGGTGTCTGAAACACGGCATTGTTGGCATTTGGAGCCGGGTCATTCCTTGTCGTGTGGACTGTCTTGGGCATTGGAGAATGTTAGCAGTATCCCCGGGCTCTGTCCACTAGATGCCAGTAGCATCACCCTCTGAGTTGTAACAATCAAAAGTATCTTTACATATCACCAAATGTCCCCCTGGGGGATCAGTTTGCTCCTGGTTGAGAACCACGGCTCTAGGGCTGTGCCACCCAGTATGGTAGCCAGGGGCCACATGTGGCTAGTGAGCACCTGAGATGTGGCTCAAGTATCTTGAGATGAGCTGTGAGTGTAATATACACACTGGACTTTGAGCACTTAATAGGAAAAAAATATGAAATGTCCTATTAGTAATTTTTAATATATTTATGGTATCTTAAAATGACAATATTTTGGATATATTGGGTTAAATAAAATACAGTATTGGGATTAATTTTACCCATTTCTGTTTACTATTTCTAATGTGGCTATGAGAAAATTGATGTTGCACACATGGCTCACATTCTCTTTCTCTTGGGTCTAGAGCCTCACCAGCCCCATGTGGTAGGTGAGGGCACGGACTGCAGTGTCAGAACCGCCCAAGGCCACGTCCTAGCCTCACCGCTTCCTAGCTCTGTGACCTTCAGTGAGCTACTGAGCTTCTCTGGGTCTCACAGTGGCGGTCACTTTCTCCAAGACCTCAGATCAAAGTTCCCAAGCTTGCAGGGGAAATGGTGAACTTTGTAAGATTCTGATGTTGAAGGTGGTATTTTCTGGACAGTCTTGGAGATCCTTCTGTGGCACTCAGGGCTGTTGTCACTACCAAGGTGTTACCCACCTCCCTTCTCCCCGTCCCCTCTGCTCCCAGAGAGAACAAAGTGTTTTTTCTCAATGGGTCCAGTCAAAGACATCTCCCCGGCCCTGCGGCGTGAGCAGGAAGCAGGTGGGATTGCTTTCCCCAACATGCACCTCTTTCCAGGGTGGCACCTTTACCCAGCATCTCCCCTGACTCCTTCCACCTCCCCTTCCCCTAAAAATCTCCCCAGCCTGGTTTCTCTTTAGCCTTCCCTGACACTTGGCAATTTGCAAATCTGTCCAATGTCTCCCCTTCTGTTTTGGCATCTGAACCTATAAATAGCTCCCAGACAAAGTCCTGGCTGCATTGTGACAGTTTGTATGCTTGCACTGTATTCCTTTTCTCAGACTTTTAGAAAGCCTCATCTACGCACTTGCTCAATACGAAGAGCAGCTTCCAAGAAAAGGAATCTTTTATTACAGCATGAACAGTGTAGTGGGGAGTCACCTCAGGGTAACATGCTGCTTGCAGCAACGACGAGCCCTGTGAAGCATGCGAGATGGTCCAGGCAAGGTCCTGGACCCAGGATGGTGAAAAGAAATGAGGTCTGGGCCCTGCTCTCTGGAAGCTTCGTCCAGGGCCAGAGCTGGGCCTGTAAATAAATCATGATGTGCTGTAATCAGCTGTAAAGTCAGCTGTGTGCCCAGTGCCCAGGCCAGTGGGAGGGGCCAGAAGTTCTGCCCAAGAAGGCCTCACCAAGGGATCACCTGGGGACTGCCCGATGACAGGGGAGATGGTGGCCCACAGGAAAGGCATCACTGCCGACAGTGAGGCAGGGACACGCCGATTGCATTCCTGTAGGAGGCACTGGGACACCCTTCCTCCAGCCTGCACCTCCTCTCTCAACAAAAGGCACCTGCTATACTGGCTGGCGGGCCATGGTCACAACTTGGCCACAGCCTTGGGCCAGTCACTTAGCCTTCCTGAGCCTCAGTTTCCTCACCTATTAAAGGTAGATAATGGAGTTGTCATTTTGATTAGAAGTACAGAGCCTGGCACAGTGAGCACTTATTAAATGGAAGATGACATTATTATTATTATTATTAAAACTTTGAAAACTGTAACCCTCCATGACTCCTCAGGAGGCTCGAATTTACGCAAAGCCCAGTGCTGGGAATTTGGGAGAAGGAGGCAAACAATGACAGTTGCCATTGAATCAGAATCTGGATTCCAGAGAGCTCTAGAATGTAACTCTGGAAAGCACTCGGGCTGATCCCCTCTCTCAAGCTGATGATGTGCCACCTCTGGACCTCAGTTTCCCCATCTGTGCCATGGGGAGGGTGCAGAGCTATCCCTTAGAACCCTTCCATTCTGGCTTTCAGTGGTTCCCTGTCCAGGGCTGCAACCTGGGGCATTTGGAAGCAGCCTTGCTTGACCATGGCTGCTGAGTGCTCCCCATCACTTTCCCGTTGGCCTCCAGCAAAAGGCCAACTCAGGCAAACTCACTATGCCCTACTCTGCACTGCAAGCCTGCATCGCACTCGGCCCAGGGCCCTGGTGGGTGGAGACCAGGGCTAAGGAGGGATGATCTTACACTGAGAGCTGCGGACTGGACAGGTGTTGGAGCCTTACAGAGGGAGACTCAGGCAGGCTGGAAACATACAAACTCCAGGGCCAGCTCCAGAGGCAAAGGTGCCACCCCAGATCATCAGTAACAGCCAGCAAAAGAGAAAGGATGCTTTTTTTCAGCACATTTTCCCAATCGGCATCCTCTTCCAGCTCCCTGAACCCTAACTCACCCTTTGCCCTCCCCACCCTTCAGCCCCCTGCCCAGGTCTTGGAGATCTCTGTGCTGTCTTTTGTGGAGCAGCTGCTATCTTGCAGTCAGATCCTCTGTCGGGGAGGCCTTCAGCTTTTGTGCAACGACCCAGAGGGTGTGGGAGGGGCTCAGTTACTCTTCTCCTCACCTGGCACTTAGAGAAAGCAAGTCTCAAGAGTCTCATGGTATGTGGTTGGTGGACCCAGGGGCCTGTGCCCGGTCTGTGCTGTCCAGCTTTGGGCTCTGCCTGGAGCAAAAACAAGAGCTTGCCTGTGCCGTGTTGCGGTCCTTACATGGTAGCGAATCTCAGAGAACACAGGAGCCACTCAGGCTGGCATGGGGTTGTCTGCTCTTCTCACTTTTGGCAGCTGCTACCCTCTGCTGGTACCAGCAGTGCTGGCAGCCCTGGTCTGGCAGCACCTTTTCCTCAGGCAGGAAAGGGTGGTTCTCCAACATCACCTCAAAGCCAGTGGGTGCCAGGGCTGGGCCTGGAACCAGCGGGTCCCTGGGACTCCAAAGAAATCGCTATCTTCCCCACTTCTACCCCAGGAACACAAAGCAATTTCCATCTGTTTCAGAAAATCGTGCCTTTGGATAGTAAGCCCTGTGACGGTAGCAAACATTCCTTTCTCCACCTCAGCCACAAACTGGCCAAGTGGTGGTTCCCATGGCAACTGCGGTGTTGCTGGGCAGCCGTGGACCCTGGCCAAAATGTAACTATGTCCTTCAAAATGGGGAAGGCGCCTGCCCCTTTCAGGGGCCTGTAGGATGGCCCACAGGCTGGCCAAGGTGGGTGGGGGTCCATGGAAGAGTGGGCATGGCCCTGAAGGGCCTCACTTCCCCATCCCCAGCCCATGGGGCCCTGCAGGCGCCCCCCCTCCCACTCCCCAGCTGGGAACCAGTCCCCAGCCCCTTGTCACTTTGACTTTTTATCCTCAGGGTCTGCGCCCCTGGCCTTTCCTGTCAGGGACCCAGCTCAAAGATGTAGTGCCCCTTTTAGGAAAGAGGATCAGAATCCATTAGGATTGAATTCTCTCACCCATCTGGGTAATAGGTGGATTTGGAATAGGTTGGCTCAGTAGTGTTACATAAGGACCTGGGGTGAAAGCTACTTCCAGGGTCCACCCAAAGGTCCCCTCCTAGCCAGGTGTAAGGGCATTTTTTTCTCCAAGCATTGAGCCCTCCGAAAGGTCAGAAACTCCTGTCTCCTGTAGGGGTGGTGTCCAAGCCTTCCTTGTGTCCCCGATAACAATTTCCTCCTGGGGCAATCCTAATCTCTCCATTGTAATCCATCCAGTGCTCATTCCATAAGCATGCATATTGAGGCCTTCTGCATGCAAGATTTTCCTTAGGTAAAATCAATCAACATCTCTCTCGCCCTACCAACCAAATGTTCAATCATCAAAAGAGAATGAGCTGATTATTTTTGAATCTCTACCCACCCCTCCCCACCAAGAAAGAATTACAGGTAGGTCCCAGGGCCCATATACCGGCAGATTCCCTGTTACCCTTCTGTTGAGGCTTCCTGTCAATTTCCTTATCCATTTTCCTCTTTTTTTTTTTTTTTTTTTTTTTTTTTTTTTTTGAGATGGAGGGAGTCTCCCTCTGTCACGCAGGCTGGACCTCATTGCAACTTCCACCTCCTAGGCTCAAATGATCCTCCTGCCTTAGCCTCCCAAGGTAGCTGGGACTGCAGATGTGGGCCACCATGGCTGGCTAATTTTTGTATTTTTGGTAGAGATGGTGTTTCACCATGTTGCCTAGGCTGGTCTCAAATACCTGAGTTCAAGGGATCCACCCACCTTGGCCTCCCAAAGTGCTAGGATTACAGGCGCGAGCCACCACTCCCCGCCCCATTTACTCTTTATTTCTACATACTATGAGCACAATAAGTCCTTGTTGATGAGTAAATACATAATGAAAAATGCCCTAGTCAAAGAGAAACTCTGACCAAGCCCTTCAAATGGGGGTCAGAACTGGAAATTTTATTAACAACGACTATTGTCGATCAAAATGTGTTAGAAGTGGGATCTCTGGGGTTAACAAAGCTGTCTGCTAAAATGAAAGATTGGGTTTGTGTTTCACAAGTATGTGTATGCTTCAAAAATAATGATCCTTGGCAAGGTACATCCTCGTTCCATGCTTTCATATCATGATCTGTTCCTTCTCAAAGCAAGGATCAGGCTTGGATTAACAAACGCTCACACTTCATATGTTAGCAAAGATAAATGAGACTGTAATGAAGGCATGTGTCAATAGACATTCTTTCCCTAGAGTCAGTGTGATGAAGGATAAGTTTAAGTTTTCATTTGTTGAATACATTAGCCTCAATCACTGGGAACTTGCAGTAATTAAAACTGGGCATATCTGAAATTTACCTTTGCACCATCTGTGAAGAAAGCATCTAGGAAGGGAAATAATAGTGTCAATAAAATTACAGAGAGGACTTTGGCCTAGATAAGGATAATAACTGGTTAAAGGCCCACAATTCATTAATGATATCAATAGAGAGAAGAATTGACCGTTAATTAAAGCAGATTGGGAATGGCCCTATTGAATCATTTATGTAACACCCATTATGTGCCTACTATTTTCCAGACAAGCTTGGATAGCACTATTTTATTCTTAAATATTGGAAAGACCCTATTAAGAGGATGAAAAGACAAGGTCAGATGCAGTGGCATGCACCTGTAATATAAGCTACTTGGGAGGCTGCAGTGAGAGCATCCCTTGAGCCCTAGAGTTCAGCACCAGCCTGGGAAGCAGAGGGAACCCCAGAGCCAGTCTCAAAAAAAAAAAAAAAAAAGAGGACAAAAAGACAAACTACAGAATGGGAGAAAACATTTGCAAATCACATATCTGACAAAAAATGTGCATCTAGAATATATAAAGAACTCTCTGCCAGGTGCAGTGGCTTATACCTGTAATCCCAACACTTTGGGAAGACAAGGTGGAAGGATTGCTTGAGCCCAGGAGTTCAAGACCAGCCTGGGCAACATATTGAGACCCCATATCTACAACAACAATAACAACAAAAATTAGCTGGGCATGGTGGTGCATGCCTGTAGTTCCAGCTACTTGGGAGGCTTAGCTGAGAGGATTGCTTAAACCCAGGATGTTCAGGCTACAGTGAGCCATGATCACACCACTGCATTCTAGTCTGGGTAACGGAGCAGGACCCTGTCTCAAAAAATAAATAAATAAATAAAGACAAGTAACCCAATCAAAAATGGGCAAAGGATCTGAGAAGACATTTTTGCCAAGAATATATGGAAATAACCAATAAACACATGAAAAGACTCTCAACAGCACTAATCATCAGACATGCAAATCAAAAAACCACCATGAGATACACTTCACACCCACTAGGGTGACTATCATAAAAAAGATGGACAATAACAAGTGTTGACAAGGGCATGGAGAAATTAGAATCCTCACGGTGGGAATATAAAATGGTGCTGTCACTTTGGAAAACAGTTTGACAGTTTCTTAAACATACAGAATTGCCATATGACTGAGCAATTCCACTTCTAGCTATATACCCAAGAGAAGTAAAAACATCCACACAAAAACGTGTACACAAATGTTCACAGCAGCATTACTTGTAGTAGCCAAAATGTGGAAACTATCCAAATGTCCATCAACTGATGAGTGGAAAAATACAATGTGATATATCCATACAGTAAAATATTATTCAGCCATAAAGAAAAATATTCAATTAGAAAATGGGCAAAACACATGAACAGACATTTCACCAAACAGGATATACAGATGGCAAACAATCACATGAAAGGATGTTCAACATCATTAATTATTTGAGAAATGCAAATTAAAACCACAATGAGATATCACTCTTCACCTATTGGAATGGTTAAAATAAAAAGTAGGGATAACATTAAAGGCTGGTGAGGATGGGAAGAAACTGAATCACCCCTGCATTGGTGGGAATGTCAAATGGTGTGGCCTCTCTGGAAAGGAGTTTGGCAGTTCCTTTGAAAAGTAGAGGCTGGACATGGCAGCTCATGCCGGTAATTCCAGCGTTTTGGGAGACCAAGGTGGGAGGATTGCTTAAGGCTAGGAGTTACCCATCTCTACAAAAAATTTAAAAATTAGCTGGGTGTGGTGGTGCATGCCTGTGGTTCCAGGTACTCAGGAGGCTGAGGATCACTTGAGCCTGGGAGGTTGAGGTTGCAGTGAGCCGTGATGGCACTACTGCACTCCAGCCTGGGCAACAGAGTGAGACCCCTTCCCCAAAAAAGGATGGGAAACTACAGATGGCCTTACCACATGACCCAGCAATTTCACTCTTGGGCATATATCCCAGAGAAATGAAAACACATTTTTCACACAGAAACTTACATGCCAATGTTTACAGCAGTTTCATGCATAGTAACTAAAAACTGGAAACCATCCAAATGTCCTTCAGTGGATGAATGCCTAAACAAACCCATGGTACATCCTTACTACAGAATATTACTCAGCAGTAAAAGGCAATGAACTGTTGATTCACGGAACAACTTGGATGAACCTCAAGGAAGTTACACTGAAAAAAGCCAGTCTTCAAAAGATATATACTTTGTGATTCAACTTATATGATGTTTGTGAAATAATGTGATCATAGAGACTGGAACAGATTAGTTGTCAGGGCTAGTGATGGGGAGGGGGTAGATGTGGCTATGAAGGGATAGCACAAGGGAGCTCTGTGGTGTTGGATGAGCTAAATATCTTGATTGTGGTGACTGTGCGAAGCTACCTATGTGATAAAATTGCCTAATACTATACAAACACACACACACACAAATGAGTGCATATAAAACTGCTGACATCTGAATGGCATCTGGGGATTGCATTGAGGTCAATTTCCGGGTTTTGACATTGTGCTCTAATTATGACCGATGTTACCACTGGGGGGAACTGGGTGAAGGGTACACAGGACTTCCCTATTCATTTATTTGCAACTTCTCGTGAATCTATAAGCATTCCAAAATAAACCATTTTATGAATACAGTTATTTATTTTATTAATGCAATTAAATAAATATTTGAGAACTGGCAATGTACCAACCACCATGGTATATGCTGGGGGTTCTGTGCAAAACAGAAGATGCACACACAGTCTCTGCTCTTGACAGTTCGTTTGCATTGCTGAATGATAAAACTGAATTTCTCTCTCTCTTTTTTAGCATTTTTTTTTTTGAGACAGAGTCTCACTCTGTTGCCCAGGCTGGAGTGCAGTGGCACGATCTTGGCTCACTACAACCTCTGTCTCCTGGGTTCAAATGATCCTCCTGCATCAGCCTCTTGAGTAGCTGGGATTACAGGCACCTGCCACAATGCCCAGCTAATTTTTGTATTTTTGATAGAGACAGGGTTTCACCATGCTGGCCAGGCTGGTCTCGAACTCCTGACCTCAACTGATCTGCTTGCCTCAGCCTCCCAAAGTGCTGGGATTACAGGTGTGAGCCACCGTGCCCAGCCTCTCTCTCTTAGCATTTTTAAGTTGTTTATTAAATTATACAAAAAACTTGCATTTAAAAAATTTATTTATTTTAATTTGGGGGTACAAGTGGGTTTTGTTTACATGGATAAGCTCTTTAGTGATGATTTCTGAGATTTTGGTGCACCTATCACCTGAGCAGTGTACACTCTACTCAACATGTAGTCTTTTATCCCTCACCCCACATGCAGCTTTCCCACCCAACTCCCCAAAGTCCGTTCTATCACTCTTATGCCTTTGCGATCTCATAGCTTAACTCCCACTTATAAGTAAGAACATATGATATATAGTTTTTCCATTCCTGAAAAACTGAACCTCTTTAAAAACAAAAACACCTAATCGCTTTCAGTTCTTCATGGATGTTCCATTTTGATGTTGAGATTGTGAGTGCCAGGGGCTGGGCTGGCATGTGTGTACCCAGCATCTCTACCTGCCCCTGACACAGCCTTGAGGGTGAGTCACTGGTGAAAGGCTTCCTTTCTTCTGAGCCAGGGCAGAGTCTGTTGTCACCTGCTGTCACCTTGGAGTGCATTGGGTTCGGCTGCCTGGTGCCTGTTCTCACACCTCACCTCTTGAGACGGTTTGGACAGGGTCTGGTATGTTTCCCCTGAGGCTTTTGCTGAGGGATATGGGAGAATGTACTCAGCGTGACAAGTCTCAGGAACTGCTGGAGCTGGCAATTTTGTTGGGAGGAGTAGGCTGGCCGGCTCCCTGCCCAGGGCAGAAGCGGGTGCTGGACGGCCTGAGGCTCTATCAGAGCTGTCTTGGCAGGTTCATGGGTGATGTGGTCTCCTGGGCAGTAGGTGGCACGGGGGCTTTTCAGCTGTACTAGTAGGGTTTTGATCTGCTACTGAAAGCAGAGTGAACTGAGAGGACACTGGAAACCAATGGGCTTTAGAGAAAAATCTTGACTGTCTCCGCTTACAGAAGTTGTATATGCTCATTATAAAAAATCGCAGGAAAACAGAATGCAGGAAGTGAAATTCAGTCTGTGTGTGTGTGTGTGTGTGTGTGTGTGTGTGTGTGTGTGTGTATGTATGTGTGTTTCTGGTTTTAATAACAGCTTTATTCAGATGTGTTTATTTAATGTATCAATATCTTTCTACTAGATAACAGCTTTATTCAGACGTGTTTATTTAATGTATTCAATATCTTCCAAGATCAAGGCGCTGGCAGAAAAAAAAATTTTAAGTATTAAATATCATACAATTCAGCAATTTAAAGTATACAATTCGATGGCTTTTAGTGTATCACAGAGTTGTGCAACCATCATCACAGTCAGTTAAGAACATTTCATCACCTCAGAAAAGACACCTTGTGTTGTGTAGCAGCGTGAATGTACTCAATGCCACTGAACTGTACACTTAAAAATGGTTAAAATGCTAAATTGTGTATTATTTATAGTTTACCATTATAAAAAGAAAGAAAAAAAGAGAATGAATGAAGCCCATACCATTTAGCTAGCATCCCCCTATCTCCCCCTACCCCCAGCCCTAAGCAACCGCTGATATCCTTTCTGTCTCTGTTTATTTGGCCCATTCTGGATCTTAACACCTGAAGGCCCCTTTCGCCCAACTGTTCTTTACGGGTCCTCACTGTGTGGCAGGCATGGTGTTGGGCTCAGGGCAGGGGACAGGGAAAAGTGAGACCTGCTCCTGCCCCGGCTGTAGTCCAACAGCCCCTGCCTCTCACAGTAAAACACATGGGCGGCATTTCCCTGATGGGCATTTTGGGCAGTGCACCCTGTGTGTGGCTTTCTGATGGGAGAGGGTGGAATCCCTGGGAAACAAAGACTTTGGTGTAGAAGGTGGATCTAGAGCTGGACTCTGGAGCTGCAGGGATTCTCTGTGCAGGACAAACAGCATGAGCAGAGGCAAGGAGGTGGGAGTGAGGACTGTAGGAACAGGAGATAGGGAAGAAAATGCCCAGCCAACAGACAGGATTTCTGTTGAGGAGCAATAGGAAATGAGACCCAGTGGGTCCACAAAACCCTTTCCCTGCACCCCTGCCTCACACCACATTGCCTTGCATGTGTAAAATGACAGTTTAGTAATATCCCCATTGACTGAACACACGGGCACTGTTCCAAGCCACTCCCATGGCATAATTTATTTCATGCTCACAGTGATGTTTATGAGGTGGTGTAGTCGCTTCTTATGGCTGCCACTGCAAATTACACAAACTAGGAGCCTTAGAGCAACATAAACTCATTCTCTCACAGTTCTGGAGGCCAGAAATCGGAAATCAAGGCGTGGACAGGCTTGGTTCCTTCTGGAGACTGCGGAAGCATCTGTTCCATGCCTCCCTCCTGTATTCCGGTGGTTGCTGCCAATCTTTGGCATTCCTTGGCTGGCATTCCTTGCATCACTGCAATCTCCATCTCCAGCTTCCCATGGCATTCCCTTCGCTGGGTCTGTGTCCCATGCCCTCACATGACCTTCTTTTTTTTTGGAGACAGAGTCTCGCTCTATCCCCCAGGCTGGAGTGCAGTGGCACGATCTCACCTCTGCCTCCCAGGTTCAAGCGATTCTCATGCCTCAGCCCCCCGAGGCACCTGCTACCACTCCTGGCTAATTTTTTTTATTTCTAGTAGAGACAGGTTTGACCATGTTGGCCAGTCTGGTCTCAGACTCAGGTGATCCACCCGCCTCGGCCTCCCAAAGTGCTTGGATTACACGTGTGAGCCATCGCAGCCAGCCCATCACATGGCCTTCTTATGAGGACACCAACCGTTGGATTTAGGGCCCACTCTAATGCAGTATGAGGTCAGCTTGGTTACATCTACAAAGAATCTATTTCCAAATAAGGTCATATTCACGTGTGTTAGAGATTCACACGTATTCACATGTATCACATTCACATATCTTTTGCAGGAACACAAGTCAATCCTCAACAGGTGGGTACTTTACTACCCCTGTTGTGTTCGTCTGTTGTTGCATTGCTATAAAGAAAGAGACTGGGTAATTTGTAAGAAAAGAAGTTTAATTGACTGTAGTTCTGCAGGCTGTACAGGAAGCATGATGCTGGTATCTGCTCAGCTTCTGAGGAGGCCTCAGGAAACTTACAATCACGGTTTAAAGGAAAGGGGGAACAAGGTGTCTCACGTGGTGGGAGCAGAGCAAGGTGGGGGGCAGGGGCCAGACACTTTTAAACAAGCAAATCTCGTGAGAACTCTATCAGAGAACAGCACCGAGGGGATGGTGCTAACCCATTCATGAAGGACCCACCCCCATGATCCCATCACCTCCCACCAGGCCCCACCTCCAACACTGGGGATTACAATTGCACATGAGATTTGGGTGGGGACACAGATCCAAACCATATCACCTGTTTTATAGGTGAAGAAACTGAGGCACAGAGAGAAGCAACAACCTCGGCACATGCTCACGGGCAGGTGGTGTGGCCTAGGAACCCACAGGCAAGACACCCGGCCGGTGCAGTACAGGACAGGGGGCAGTCTAGAAGCTAAGCCCACCACCCATCAGAACAAAGGATTGTTTGTCTTGTACCAATCTGCACTCACCTTTGTTCTAGAAAGGTGCGAGGCTGTTTGTTGGGACTTCCTCAAGTCCAAGGTGTCCCTTTGGGGCCCTAGAGGGAAGGGCCATCAGCCACGTGGTAAGAGGTCCAAGACCCTGTCCGTGATGCCCCTGTGGCCTTTACCCCTCTAGGGTGTCTTTCCCAGACAGACTTTTAGTAAACATTCATCAGTCTCCCATGCACTGTGCTGGATGCTAAGGGAGACTCAAAGATGGACCAAACCCTGCCCCAGCATGCAGGGTCTCCCCGTGTGTTGCCTTCGTGTGAAGAGATGCTGTTTGCATAGTCAGGAATGGAAAGGTGGCAGAAAGGGCAGGGGCTGGGGCCAGGGGAGAGGTTTAATTGCAAAGAAACAAGCATGAGCCTTAAGCATTACTTATGATTTTACAAATCTGGGGTTTTAACAGTAAAACAGTATTTGGGCCTCTGCGTCTAGCGTCGTGTTGGGCCCTGGCTGCCAAAGCGAATAAGCCCTAGTTCCTGCAGTAGCAGCTAACCCAGCAAGGGGACTAGATACCAAAGCCTTGTAAGGATGCTGTTTCAGGAAGGGAGTCCAGGGCTTTGTGTAAAGTGCCAGGGGGCACAGAAGGGGGTGTGACTGACTTCGTCTTCAAAGTTTATCTGTGTTCTGCAAAGATCAGGCCGTGCCTCAATGGGAAGGAAAGCCGCTGATTGTTGAGTATGCCTGGTATGTAGGCTGGGCTTTTTGTGTGCATTGCCACTAACCCACTCCAGGCATTCCTGAGGAAGGTCCTTCCTTCCCTTCCCATCTTACAGATGGAACCTCTGTCTCCCCTCTCTGCTGCCGGAAGTCTTTTGACCCCAGCCTCCCTTGGCCACACCTGTGCTGCCCCTTGTGGAAGGAGTCGGCAATGCACCAGATGCGGGCACTAGGTGGCACTGGGACGCTCGGGGCATCCTGTGAATTCCAACACCACCAGCTAGGGTCTTTCAGACTTAAGTCATTTGTAGGCATCCTCCAAATACCTCCTGTACCACCATCTAGTTAATATTTTATTTAAATTCTCTTTTAAAATTTTGTCTCTATCTCCTTGCCATAGACAAATATAATTTTTTTAATTATGTGAACTGTTAAGAACAGTGTTTGATATGCAGAAAGAAGGCAAATATAAAAATGAAGCTAATTGAACACAACATGTTGGTTCGCGTATCACTATAAGCATCTCACAGACCTCTAATGCTGTGGAGTGCAGTCCTGGGCTTTGAAAACAGGTCCGCAAACTGATGTCACCTATGTGCGTGTGGCTTTAGGGAAGAGCTCCTTTCCCTTTACAGGTGGAAGGACAGAGGCACTGAGGGGGGAAAGGGCACGCTCTAAGCCTCATTGTCTGTTCCAGGCTCAGAGCCAGACCTGGAAGCCGGGTCCTGCCTTCCCTCTCCATCACATGGAAACTAGAACCTCGGGAGACCAGGACCACAGTGGGACATGCACATGTTTCCTGGCCCCTCTGGAGCCAGAGAGCGCTCATGTGGGGCTCTCACGTGCAGGGAGCATGACCATTTGAGTGTGAGGATGAGTCAGGAGTTGTGGGGCAGGTGCCTGTGGGGCACTGATGAACAGTGGGACCTCCAACAACCTGCTGAGCCTCTCTGGGCCCTTCGCCCTGGCTTTCCCAAGCAGGGCAGAGCATGGTGCCGTGTTCTCCACTGGTCAGTCTGGCCCCAGCTGCAGGCACTGACGGTGGCATCCTGGCACCCTGCCCCTCCGAGGAGCCCCATCCACCTTGGCATGGATTTTGAACAAATGCTTTGATCCCTCTTCCTTGCCAGAGCTGTAAAACATCAGGGTAGCCCTCGCCCTTGGGTGAGCTGTGCAGCCATTCAGGTTCTGAGAGGCCCTGGAGATCTGGGTGACAGGCCAGTGGCCCCACTTCAGTGCCCCAGACCCATGTTCCTCCTGGAGGCTGAGGCAGAACTGGGCAACACCCTTCCTCCTGGCCTCTACTGGGCCTCAGAATTGCCAAGTTCTAAGACTGTTGCTTGGGATGACTGTGATCTATTAAATGTTTAATTCTGCATTTACAGTCTAGAAACTTCTGTGTTATTTTGTCAAAAATGATGAGTGTATATTAACACCAGCTATCCTAATAGTGATATGGTTTGGCTGTGTCCTCACCCAAATCTCACCTTGAATTATAGCTCCCATAATTCCCACGAGTTGTGGGAGGGACCTGGTGGGAGATAATTGAATCATGGGGGCGGTTTCCCCCATACTGTTCTCCTGGTAGTGAATAAGGCTCACGAGATCTGATGGCTTTATAAGGGGAAACCCCTTTCGCTTGTCTGTCATTCTCTGTCTGCCATCATTAAGACGTGCCTTTCGCCTTCCACCGTAATTATGAGGCCTCACCAGCCACATAGAACTGTGAGTCCATTAAACCTCTTTATATATATATATATATATATAAATTATCCAGTCTCTGGTATGTCTTTTTTTTTTTTTTTTTTGAGACAGAGTCTCACTCTGTTGCCCAGGCGAAATGCTGTGGTGCAGTCTCGGCTCTCTGCAACCTCCGCCTCCCGGGTTCAAGTGATTCTCCTGCCTCAGCCTCCCAAGTAGCTGGGATTACAGGTGCCTGCCACCACACCGGCTAATTTTTTGTATTTTTAGTAGAGACAGGTTTCACCATGTTGGCCAGGCTGGTCTTGAACTCCTGACCTTGTGATTCGCCCATCTCAGCCTCCCAAAGTGCTGGGATTACAAGCATGAGCCACTGTACCCGGCCCGGGTATGTCTTTATCAGCAGCTCGAAAATGGACTAATACAAACAGGTAATCTCCTGAAATCTCAATGGATTGACAAGGAATTCCATTTCTCACTTACCTAAGGTCCAGCTGGCAGCTGATGTGTATGGGGGCCGCATGCAGCCCAGCATGGGACCCAGAATGTGTGCAGCAGACACGCCCCCCGACCCCATCCTTGCCACCTCCTTCCCCCATTTTCCTTGGCAGGATACTCACCTCACCCAGGGCCCTTCTTGTGTCTCCCCAGTATTGTACCTGGAAGGCTCGGCTCTTGTGTTTGAGGACATCTTCAGATTGATTGCGTTCTACTGTGTCAGTAGGTGAGTAGACCCGGCCCTGCAGGAGGTTATCTGGTTGTAGCAAACATCACATGCAACCCTGGGTGGGTGCAGGGGACTTCACAGGGAAGCCCCAGAGGGAGGGGTGTGGCCCAGAGGATGCAGAGAGAGGGCACAGGCCCCTCTGGGAACCACAGAGGATGTGTTGGCTCTGAGGCTTTCTCACACTATCTGATAAGAGCCCCTCCCTTCCACACCTGCCCCTCTGGCTCACGGCCTGTCTCTCAGCTTCCTGTATCATCAGCTTCAAGGACAGCCTGGAGTCCTGCGTGGACCAGGCCTCCCATTGCAGGGGTTCTAGAAGAAACTTCCTGTAGGGGCAGCAACAGGGGCTGATCCCCCTTCATGGGAGGTAGCTTGTGATTACTAAGCAGCTGCTGGGTGGAGCGGGTGTCTGCTAACCACCCTGAGAACTGCCTGTTTATTCAGAACTGGTTTTGGGTCAGTAAGAATTTAAAAATACACTTTGGTGCCATAAGTCAATGACTTAAGCTACGGGACCTTGACAAGGGCTGGTTTAAAATGGGGTGGTATGTGTTGGGGTCCAGCAGTGGGCTCCAGGCCCACAACCCCTGCTGCCTCTGAAGAAAACCATGCTCAACCTAGAGCACCCCCTCCCCACCTACCAGGACCCTCCTGAGTCCAGATGGGCAGGAAAAATGAGGCTGATAATGTCACCGGTGGAGGGTGTCCGGGTTCTTGGTGTCTTGAACAGAGAATTGGACAAAATGCACAAAGCAAGGAAGGAATGAAGGGGTTTATTGAAAATGAAAGTACACTCCACACGGTGGGAGCGGGCCCAAGCATAGGGCCTCAAGGGCACCGTTACAGAATTTTGGGAATATTAAATACCCTCTAGAGGAGTCCACTGGTTACTTGGGGTACACCCTATGTAAATGAAGAGGATGACGTAAAGTTACAAAGTCTTTTACTTGGCCTACACTGTATGGAGAGGATATTTCCTGTTATAACTGAAGTGTGAATCAGCCTTATGTTCCCTGCCTCCAGACCCTATTTTTCCTGCCTCATATCTTCCCTGAGAGAGGTGATCCCCATAAATCTTTATAGGAGGCAGAGGGACCAATGATCTTTTTTTTTCTGTAACTGCTTCATGCTGGCTTGGGGTGTAGTCCCTACCTATTGGGGATCAAGGAACTCTCACCCTGCTCTGTATAGTGGAGGCAGGATAGCTTCTTGATGGGCAGGGTTGGTGTATTCACCTGCAAATGGCTGGAACCTTTGTTGCTGTTCATCTGAAGCTTGATGGTCTCTATGCGAGAGGAAATGAAATTGGTTAAAAGATTTAATGGGAACTTCAGGGGGTGGATACCTATGCTGTCAAGAATGTTTGTTACAGAGATTTGCAGGAGAAAAGAAGAAAACCTGGTCTGTTCTAAAACCTATGTGTTTCCTTAAAGTCTTAGCACAAATGATACCATTTTGGTTTGGTTTGTTGGGGCCTAGTGCATGAGCTTAGTCCAAAACAACAGCCTGCCAGAATTTTGTTTAACAAATTCCTGGCCAGGCACGGTGGCCCACACCTGTGATCCCAGCACTTTGGGAGGCCGAGGCCGGTGGATCACTTGAGGTCAGGAGTTCGAGACCAGCCTGGCCAACATGGTGAAACCCCGTCTCTACTAAAAATACCAAAAATTAGCTGGGCGTAGTGGCGGGCGCCTGTAATCCTAGCTACTCAGGAGGCTGAAACAGGAGAATTGCTTGAACCTGGGAGGCAGAGGTTGCAGTGAACCAAGATCGTACCATTGCACCCCAGCATGGGCAACAAGAGCAAAACTCCATCTCAAAAAAAAAACCAAAATAAATAAATTTAAAAATTCCCCCCTTTTTGGTCACGTTCTCACTTTGGTCACTTAGGTGAGAACGTGACCAAAACTTAGGGCCTTAGTGCCACTCTCTGTTACCATCATTTTGGGTTTCTGGTCTTACTTAGCCCATCATTCATAGGTTACGGTGTCCTCATGGTCACATATTTCTTTCAGCTCCTGTTATTCCAGTTGGAGAGAGACCATATGACATTCTAGAGATGGCTGCATGCAAGCATTTAAAACCTTTGAGAGAATACAGCCCAACAGGGAAACTATCACTATGACTATTGGGAGGATAATAGTAAGAAATTGGAGTATGCTCCTTACCCAAGGTCCCCACAAGCCAAACCTCCTAAAATCAAAGAGACCAAAGAATGACTTAACTAAGCAGTTTCTTTGTTAATCCCCTAGCACTGAATTTCTATAATCTTCATTTGCTGTATTTCTCCATAGGCCACATGTGCCAGCAGCTGCACAGATATGTCTTTGTTCAGCCAATTCTATCATAACTTTCACAAGAAAATTTAAAGTCTGTTGTGTAACTGTAGCCTTTACAGTAGAATTTGCTGTAGAGCCTGTCATAAGGGATATATTGCTAATCATTGCTTCTTTTACTTTAAACCATGGAAAAAGGACCTAATAAATTATGCCCTTCTAGAAGAGTGAAGGCCTCCTGGCAATGATATCTTTAACCTGTGATGTGGGTTAAGAGAAATGAACCAATGTTTCGTTTCTGACTGATTGTGAGGCAGCCATAATGAGGTACCATTAAAGTTTTTTTTAACCTGCATTGGGCCTTTATCCTTTATCCATCAAAGTATAAGGTTCTTCATGTATAAGGCTGGCTGCAAACTCCTGCACGAATAAAAGTACACCCCATAAGTGCACAAAACAGACCCCTTTTCCACTTCTATTGTTCACAGAGGCATAAGCAAGGGAAAATATTCAAAGATAAGAGTTTCATGATAGTGGAGGCCTTAATCTGTGAACTTGGGAAAAGCTGTTCACATCAAGGATGCCATCGTCTTCTGGGGAGAAACACCCCTGGTTAGCCTTACCCCAAGGGTTCCAATGGGTATACAGTTCCAAGAGTATGGAGGGACCCTTCACAGTTTTGAGATTATGAACCCAAAGTTCCAGGTCCCGAAGTTTTGTTGCAATGTGGATGGCAAGGACAGTCTTTCTCTGATGTTCTCAGAAGATCTAAACTATAAAAGCTTTTTTACCTGGTGAAAATACACTATAGCATAATAATCTACTGTTATAACATCAGCCCTCTTGCATGGGAAAGCTTTTATACAACCAGAACACATGCACTGAAAATACCAATTGAATGAAATCCCTTTGTAAAATGTTTAAGTGGCCTCCAGGTGACCAATTGTACCTGAAGCTTTAATTGTTTTCCCAGGAATATGGGATCAAACATTGGTTATAAACAATTTCAGTAATTTGTAAGCCACTACATCAATGTATTCAATTTGGATCATTTTATTTTTTCCATGTTGAGTCATGGAATGCAGAACTCTTAATAATAAAAGCTTTAAGGACTCAGGAAGGACAAGGTGGCCATCCTGGTTCTCCATGAGGCCATGCTTAATTAACATTAGACTTATATTATCTTGGATACTAGTTGTTTTTCCAAATTAGGTACATAGCACTGAGAAGAAAATTTGTTTTTTGTGTGTGGTTTATAATCACTTAGCATAATAATCATAATTATAATTGATAGCATATACTTAGACATTAACATTTTAGAAATCCCATACAATTTTGTAACACATATTAGTATTATTCACAAAAATATAACCTAAGGAAGATCGAACATCATTTTGGCAATCTCATGTACCTAAACATGTCAAATAATCCTGTTTACCTCCTTTCTGGATGTTTTCAGGGGCCCTCTGATCCATCCAAAAAATCAGGCATCAGGAAAGACAATTTTGAAACTGAAGTTTGATTTTGGAATTCCAGAGTACCATAAATTATTTATTTTGCCAAAATGACTCAGAAATTTTAAAGAAGTAGAAACCTTTTATAACCTTTTACAAAAAAAAACACACACACATTCTACTGTTCTTATATACCTTGCATGTAAAACTGTTTCTAGTAGTCTTTTTTTTTTTTTTTTTTTTTTGGGATGGAGTCTCACTCTGTTGCCCAGGCTGGAGTGCAGTGGCGCAATCTCAGCTCACTGCAATCTCTGCCTCCCAGGTTCACACCATTCTCCTGCCTCAGCCTCCCGAGCAGCTGGGACTACAAGCGCCTGGCTAATTTTTTGTATTTTTAGTAGAGACGGGGTTTCATCATGTTAGCCAGGATGGTCTCAATCTCCTGACCTCGTGATCTGCCCACCTCGGCCTGCCAAAGTGCTGGATTACAGGCCTGAGCCACCACGCCCGGCCTCTAGTAGTCTTAACTGCATGTTATAATGGCGAATTTTAAAGTAAAACCTGGTAAGTTATGTTCTGATAAAGTTTGACTGTTTCCAGCATAGCTAGAAGCGTGGCCAACTCCGCATGTCCCCAGGCCTTACCTAGCTGGAAAGCAGGCAAGTTAAACAATTTTCGAAAGGCAAAGAAGCAACTTATGACCTTCAAGCATTTAGCAAGCCCAATATTTGAACATAATTTGGACCACATGTTTACATTTTGAAGACATTTGTGTTTTACCAATAAAACTGTCTTTATTTCCCAAAGATTACTCAAGTCACATGAACTAAATAAAAGGCATTACATTTTTCACTTTTCCGACAAAATATTTGACTTAAGCTTTTATTATTATTAAACCAATTAATGTAAAACTTTACAGAGGAGACAAACAGTGACTTTTCCTTTATATTTAACCAGTTTGCACAGAGAGAAAGAAGCCAGAGACTGACTAGTAAGAAACTCTTACCCTTTTGCTGGCATGCCAGGTTTCTGGGTTCTCTCTCTGAGTGGCCCTAGCGACCCTGCCTGACCATATGCAAACAAACACATTGCCATGAATTAAGAATATTCACAAACAGTTTACAAATTGTGGAGACGTTAGGCAGAGAGAGAGAAATATGACTCAAATTCTATTTACAAGAGTATACGCAGAACACTTAAATTATCAGGAAGCCTAAAATCCAAAAAGTTTGTTTAAAGGTAGAAAGTTGGTGTGCTCCATTAATTCCTCTGGGCCCGACAAAGGTAGCTTTGGAATTCCAGATAAATGGAATGAATGATGATTTGCTAGAAATACATGGGAAACAAAATAACTATTCACAGAACCAAATGAAAGCCTTCCACTAGGAACTAAAAAAAATCATAGTTTTATACATATGGATACACAAGCAAAGCCAGAGGAGAATAAACAGCAAGTGAATGAAAACTAGAAGTCAAAAACAAATAAACAGGAAACCAACCCTAAGTTTTCCTACTCAATTTACCCTGGAGGCTACAGTGTTACCTAGGGCCCCCAAAAACCCACATAATGAATATTTTAATCCTGACACGTAATTCAGTATCCTTAAGTTCGCCAATATTTTCATACAGCCTGTGCAATTAAGAAATTGACTTTAGGCACATGGCCAATAAGTACTCCAGCACTATCCATGCAAAAGAGTAAACATAGTGTGAAGCAATGCAAGCATGTATGTGAGATTTGGCTTTGCACTAAATCCAGCTTCATGCTTAACTATATTTAAAAAAGAATTGCTGGGCCGGGCACGGTTGCTCATGCCTGTAATCCCAGCACTTTGGGAGACCAAGGCAGGTGGATCACCAGGTCAGGAGATGGAGACCATCCTGGTTAACATGGTGAAACCCCGTCCCAGCTACTCAGGAGGCTGAGGCAGGAGAATGGCGTGAACCCGGAAGGCGGAGCTTGCAGTGAGCCAAGATTACGCCACTGCACTCCAGCCTGGGTGACAGAGCGAGACTCCGTCTCAAAAAAAAAAAAAAAAAAAAGAATTACCAAACTTCTGATGCATTTTTTTACAATACTTCTTGTTTTACTGTCGATGAAGAGTCAAACTCTGTAAAATATTTTAAGAGATTTATTCTGAACCAAATATGAGTGACCATGGCCCATGACCCAGCCCTCAGGAGGTCCTGAGAACATGTGCCCAAGGTGGTTGGGGTGCAGCTTGGTTTTATAGATTTTAGGGAGGCATGAGACATCAGTCAAATACAATTAAGGAATACATGAATACATTGGTTTGTTTCAGAAAGGTGGGACAACTTGAAAACTGTTGGGGGTGGGGAGCAGTGTTCCAGGCTATAGGTAAATTTAAACATTTTATGGTTGACAATTGATTGAGTTTTTGTCTAAGGACCTGGGATCAATAGAAAGGAAATGTTCATAAAAGATTGTGAAAAACCAAGGTTCTTTTGAAGTCTCATAGTGGCTGCCCTTAGAAACAATCGAAAACAAATGTTTCCTATTGAGACCCTTTAAAAGGTGCTAGACTTTCTGCCAGTTTTGGTAGACAACATATAACAGTAAGTGTACATACAAATAAACACATCTAGACGTGTATACACACACATAAATGAAAATCCAGTAGCTCGGAACCTTAGCCATGAGATAGCAATACAAGCTTACTGGTTTTACTTTACCCCAATAGATAAGCCAATGAAGGCTATGAACCAAAATTTCGGGTAAAGCAGTTTGGTTGTTAAAGGCCAGACCTCCCCAGACTCCAAAGAGTGCTGGAGCCAAACAGTACCAAAGGAGGGCATCACACATTAACCAGGCTCCTTGCTCAGAACAGCAGCACAAGTGGGATCCATGCAACACCATCCCACTTTCCCAGTAGACAGTAAACTCCAGATTCTAAACAATATGGGGGCCAAGCAGCCATTGCAACTGCAAGAGAAAATTCTAAGGAGGGCTTAGTACTAGACCTCATAACCTCTGCCAAGAGCATCCACTTTGGGGAGGTTGAGGTCTACAGGATCCCCCAGAGCATCCTCCTGTGGGCTCCAATCTTAGAGTGTCAGATGTCTCTGACCTTAGGTGGGCACTGGCACCACTTTGCATGTGTTCCCTCCAGAGCCTGCTATGAGCTTTCCTTTGGTACCTGGGTGTAATCCCTGACTTTTAGCATCCTTATAATTTGATAAGGCCATGCCTTCCCATCCTTCCTGTTCTGTTAGAAACAAATTTTCAGTGCCACAAAGTGAACCCAGCACTCAGGCAAAAGTTTTCTCAGCAAGGCAATTTACTTCTGTAGAAGGGCGCTTCCTGCATGCAAGGCAGAGGCAAGGGGGAGCATGCAAAACAAAGGAGAACAGGATTTTCTTATCCCTAACGCAGACCCTGTTCCTGTGTCTTCCCCCTGTGGGCTGGGGTCAGACCGCACAATCTAGGCTAATTCCGATTGTCTACAGTTGACATCATCAAAGGAGGCAAGGGTGGGCCTTTGACAGGAAGCACAGGTATAGTACATTTTGGGGTGTTTGGGCACAGCAGAGAGAGGGAGGGCTGATAGATGAATGGGTATGATTACCTTTTAGAATAGAACAAAGAACCAGGCACAGAAACTCTTTGAAGAGGAACTATTTGTGGTCAACAACAATTTCCTCCTCTTGAATTTATACATGTTCTGCTTTAAACCTATCTAATATGATTCGGATTTCGTGTTCGTTCACGGGGAAGAATTTGTTACTATAGGATTGGGAAGAACTAGGGAAGGTTTTGTTACTAGCTGTCTCTATAAGTCTTTGGACTAGTCCACGAATGCAGGGCATGATGCAGCATCCAACAAGAATAAGCACAGCTATTGCGATTGCGAGAGAGGTAACAATAGAGGCCATGAGTCCTTTCCATTTACCAAACCATTGCCCTAACCATCCTGTGAAAGGGTCAGTTATCCCAGAATTTGTGGCTAATTCATCTGATAAGGAGGTAAGACCTTGTAAAGCTTTTGTAATTGTTCCATCAGGAGCTGTATTGTTGGGAATGTAGGTGCAGCATTGGGTTCCTATCATAACACAAACTCCACCTTTTTCTGCTAATATCATATCTAAGGCCATTCTGTTTTCCCAAGCCATTTGGCTAGTAGGCCCTAATTGTTCAGCTATTCCTTGGATAGCATCCCTAGTGTAATTAATAAATCGCTGCTGGTTATAATAGATGTAATTTATCCAAGCTACATTTTTATTAATAGCTACCATTGGAAATAATGATTCAAATCCTGCAGCTACTGGGTCTCGGGCTTTGAATCTATCAGGTACCCCCTGTGGGACTCCAATTTCATCTACATAGACATGAGAGTCGAAAGATCCTTGAGGGGCCTCTCTTGTTTTACGGCGTTGTGGTTTCTTTTTTTCTGGTTGTTGAAATGCCAGGGTGAAAGGGATGGCCAATTGAATTAGAGCACAAGTACCACTCCAGTTACTTGGCAGAGTGTCTAGCAGGTGACCACCACAATACCACCATACATCAGCTCGGGCATGAACAAGTGCAGACTGATTGGTAAGCTCTTGGAAAGACTTAAGCTCACTGCATCCCTTTAGGTCCCCAAGAAACTCCAAATTTTTTCCCTGTCGTGAGAGACAGGAAGTAAACTTGGCATCTGGAGATGGAGGCTGGATGGCCCTCGGGGGCTCACCCTCAAGGTGTTGAGTTTCAGGGAATAGCACAGAGAGAGTTCGACAGAATTCACTATCCCAGGCTGTAGGGTGTTGGAAAAGAGCCACCATGCAGCCCATGCCCGGTTGGTCAGAAGACCATCCAAGTGGAAAGGGGACGACTTGGGCCTCTGGCCTACCTTGCGCACAAGCGTAACAGTCGCTTTTGTTTAGACTGCGAACGGAATATTCAATCCATTCCATCCAGGCATTTGTTTCTTTGTATCCTGTTTCAATTGTCAGTGTTTGTTTTAAATTTTTAACCTCTACAATAGCTACTTTGCTTTTGTCATTAGATGAAGAGACAATGGTCTGGTTAGCAGGTGTAGAAGAGGATAGACGTGGAGATATGAGGGATGGAGATGTACTGAGGTGCAACTCGAAGAATCCTATGGGGTCTTTCCCTCTTACATCTGCTCCCATACCATAGAAACGGTTTAGGGTGGGGGAGGAATCTTGGAGAGTTGGGATGGTGATGGAAATTTGCACCGGGTTACATTGGTTATATCGACAATTGGGAGGGGCAATTCCTTTAGTAAAATGGATATAGGGCTTTAGAACCGCTAGCGGGAAATCCTGTGAGGGGACCCAATCTTGACGTTGAGTGGTCCAAACGACATATTCCCAAGTATGACAAAACGGAAAGCTAAACAAGGTAGAAGCATCTGCTTCGGAGGGGCAGAGATATTTCTCTGCTGCTGCAAGCTGTCTCTGGCTTTGGAGATCCCCACAAGGTATAACTAAACAAGCATCGAAGGTAATGGTCTGGGGTGAGTCTGATCTAGTTACGTTAATAATGAGGTGGCTAGCAAGAGCACAAGGAAAGAAGAAGGAGTAACAGAATAGATGAAAGAGAATTAAACTTTCCTTAGCTTTAGTTTGGTAGGATTTTCCCCTGGGACTATGGCCCATGACGCTGGAGGGGGCGGTGCTTTCTTGACTCGGGTGTGATGGGTCCATCCTTTCTCGGCAGTTCAGACTGCAGTTTCAGTTGTTAGGAGCACTAGATATGGTCCCTCCCAGGACGGTTCAAGTTTCTCTTCTTTCCAGCTCTTATTGAGGCCGTAGTCTCCGGGCCGGTGCTGATGGACTGGAAACTCAAGAGGCAGCGTTTGCGCTAAGAGACCTTTAGTCCTAAGGGAAGATAAGGTAGAAGACAGACCAAGTATATAATTCCTAAGGAACTGATCTTTGGTCTCAAAAGTGGGACTGTCACTAGTGGAACTTAAGTATGGTAACCTATAGAGCATTTCATAAGGGGATAGGCCAACATCTGTTTGAGGGGCAGTTCGGATCCTGAGTAGAGCGATGGGGAGACACTTAGTCCAGGGTAATGGACTTTCTGAAATTAACTTAGATGATTTTTTAAAGTCTGATTCATCCTTTCTATTCTTCCTGATGAGGATGGATGCCAGGGGTCATGATACTCCCATTTGATTCCTAAAGTTTGAGTAAGCCCTTTAATGATATTTGCGGTAAAGTGATTCCTGTTGTCTGAGTCAGTGTTTTCTACTGGCCCGAACTGAGGTATTATCTTCTCTAGTAATACTTTAACCACATTATTAGCTGTTGCGGGGAGGGGAATGGCTTCAACTCAATGGGTGAGGTGGTCTACTATTATGCCATGAGCAGGACAGTTTCTTTTTCCTTCCCCAACTCAGGGCATTCTCTTTTGAAGTGGCCTGCTCTTCCATATTTGAAGCACCTATCCTGTCCTCCCACTCTCTCATTTCCAGGATTATTTGACCTTGCTCCCCCATACTCTTTAGAGGGCCTGGTAGCTGAGGGTCTGGGTCCGCTAGTTGGAGGCTTGGGTTTGGACCCTTTATAATTCCTGGTCCCCTGGAGTCTCTGTTTAGAAGCATATGGCTTGAAGCCGTCTGTTGGAAGGTGGATAGCATAAGTTTCATTTTTTGTTTTTGCTTTTCTTAATCTCTCCTCACATATACTTTTTGGGCTTCTCCTAGGGGTTCCTCTCTGGACCGGTTTTTTGTTTTTCTAGTTTCTGCAACTTCTTTGCTATATCTGGCCAGCTATTTGTGACAAAATGTAGCTTTAATATTCCTTGCCCAAGAGGGTCTTCTGGATCCAAATCTGCATATTTCCTTATTTGTTCCCTTAGTCTTTCTAGAAATTTCATGGGCCCTTCATCTTTTTCCTGTTGTATGTCAAATGTTCGGGAAAGATTCTGAGCATGGGGCACTGACTCCCGAATTCCTTTAATTATCATTTCCCTAAGATCTTTCATATTTTCCCAGCAGACTGCATTGTTATTATCCCATTGAGGATCTTGGGCTGGGAATTTCTGGTCTGCTGCAGGAACATTTTGGCCAGGAGAATGTTCACATTCCCAAATTGTCATAGCAGCCCTGTGAATCATCCCCCTTTCTTCCCCTGAGAAGAGGATACCCAGGATGGACATTAATTCGACCCAGGTATATAACTGGGGGCCTAGGAATTGATCTGCTACCCCATATGGGTCATCTAGCAGTGGCTTAAGTTCTTTCTTTAAACCTTGAACCTCTGAACTAGTCAAGGGAGCATTTACAAAGCCAGTAGCTCCTCCTGCCTGGGACACCTCTCTCAAAGGGAAGAGAGTTGGAGCTGATTCCTTAGAGGCAGAGGGGAAAGGAAGATTTTGAATATCCTTCTTACATGGTAGTCCCTTTAGGGAAGGATACTTAGGCTGACAAGGAACAGACTCATGGGGTGGTGGTAATTCCCAAGAGTCAGAGTATAAGGGGGAGGAATAATAGGAGTAGCAGAAGGATCTGGGACCGAGTCCAGGGTAGCAGCAGCTGCCTGTGGAGGGGACAGGTCAAGTTGGGGGGAATTAAATGGGGAAAGGTGGTTTAGAGGGTTCCAGGAGTTGGGATCCCTCTGCCTAGGGGTTGGTTTTACTACGCCTTCCCCTGTATTCTTTAGGGGAAAGAGGAGAACAGGTTGTTTTCTCCAGAAGAGGGCATAGTCTCTTCCCGCAAGACCAGACTTTTGTCATTCACATACTGAGTTAAAAGTTAACAGACCCAATCCTCATCTGATCCATATTTTGGCAAGAAGATGGCAGGTTTGCGGATGGGTTCCTTGGCCCAAATGAAACAACAATATTTTATCATCTGTTGCTTTTTCTTGTGCCTATTCCTCTCATTCTCCTTCTAATATTTCAGCATGAGACCTAGAGGACTATCAGAGGGGATCTGACTATCCCCGTCCTTACCTTTCCCTGTTGTACTAGGAGTGTTTCCCATCTTGGAAGTTTTGGATGCCCCCTTGACTGTGTGTGTGGCCCAATCTCTCTTACTAGAGTTCTCTTGCCTTCCCTTTTCTCTAGAGGCTCAACCCCCATTAATGGAGGTTTCTTGCACTCCTTTCCATTCACTTCATCCTATCTGGCCACTTCCTTCACAGGAAATTAGGTCCCTCTTAGCATTGGCATGCAGGTATAAGCCCCATGGCAGGATCTGCCCTAAGCCATATGAAGATGAGGTGACCACAGAACCACAGAACCACAGACAGGACCCACTCACCCCGGACAGCAGTAATGCCTATCACCATTCACACAAGCAGCACCGCAAGCAGTGGTGCCTATGATCATTCACACACACTTTCAACCTCCAGGATATCCCGACCACCAATGAAATACTTCACCGCCCCCACAGCTTTTCTTACTTTGGTCTTGTGCGCAAAGTTACCTGGTCGCCACGGTATTTGTAGGCAAGTCTTTCCTTCCAACGTTGCCGAGAGTCCAGGTTTATTCGTCACAGTGGGTGGGGTCCCAATCTCTAGCCCTTGAGGCCACGTCAGCAAGGCAGTGGGTCACGTCTCCCCCTGGGAGATGACCAGAGACCCCTTCCCCAGAGGAGAATGGGAATCCTGGGCAAGGCCCCAGATTGTTAGAAACAAATTGTCAGTGCTGTGAAGTGAAACCCAGCATTCAGGCAAAAGTTTTCTCAGCAAGGCAATTTACTTCTATAGAAGGGCGCTTCCTGCATGCAAAGCAGAGGCAAGGGAGAGCTTGCAAAACAAAGGAGACCAGGAGTTTTTATCCCTGAAGCAGACCCTGTTCCTGTGTCCTCCCCCTGTGGGCTGGGGTCGGACCACACAATCTAGGCTAATTCCGATTGGCTACTGTTGACATCATCAAAGGAGGCGAGGGTGGGCGTTTGACAGGGAGAACAGGTACAGTATATCTTGGGTGTGTTTAGGCACAGTGGAGATAGGGAGGGCTAATAGATGAATGGGTAAGATTACCTTTTAGAATAGAACAAAGAACCAGGAACCAAAACCCTTTGAAGAGGAACTATTTGTTCTTAACAACGGCAGCACAAGTGGGATCCATGCAATGCCATCCCACTTTCCCAGTAGAGAGTAAACTCCAGATTCTAAACAATTTGGGGGTCAAGCAGCATTGCAACTGCAAGAGAAAATTCTAAGGAGGGCTTAGTACTAGACCTCATAACCTCTGCCAAGAGCATCCCCTTTGGGGAGGTTGAGGTCTGCAGGATCCCCCAGAGCATCCTCCTGTGGGCTCCAATCTTAGAGTGTCAGATGTCTCTGACCTTAGGTGGGCACTGGCGCCACTTTCCATGTGTTCCCTCCAGAGCCTGCTATGAGCTTTCCTTTGGTACCTGGGTGTAATCCCTGACTTTTAGCATCCTTGTAATTTGATAAGGCCACGCTTTCCCATGCTTCCTGTTCCGTGAACTTTAATGATAGGAACTGGAGGCTGGGTGGGTTTCTTTTGCCCTTAGCCAGTTGAATAGGAGAAGGGAAGAATTTAGCATAAGAAAAGAAGGTTTAAGTCCTGAAACATGCGAGTTTGCTCTGAGCTGTGCCACATGTAGGGATCAGGGACCACACTCAGAAAATATTTTTTTTAAAAAAAAGAATCCCTTCCCATTCTGGACAGGGCAATTATTCCCATTCATTCCTAGGCCTTCAGGCAACACTGGGGAGTGACCCCAGCCAATTATCCTCAACTTCCAAGGAGCTACTGGGAAACAGCCACTGAAAGACAGAAAAAGAAAGAGAGAGAAAAAAAAATGAAAAAGACCCTGGTCCCTTAAGTGAACCAGGCAGTGGCATTTAGGCTTCTCCACATGGAAACGCCTTAGTTTCACTGGCCACGGCCAGAAACCTGCAGTTGCTTTCGTATTTAGGCGCTGCCCACCAAGGGTCCTGAGTCGGAAAGGAAAAGAGAGAGAGAGAGAGAGAGAGAGAGAGAGAGAGAGATTGATTGATTGATTGATTGATTCCCCTGTATGGAGCAGAAAGGAAAAAGAGAAAGGAGAAAAAGGAATCCCAAACTTTGGACTTACCTCTTCCTCCCCGCTGGCTCGCCAAAATATGTCACCAGTGGAGGGTGTCCAGGTTCTTGGCATCTTGAACAAAGAATTAGACAAAACGCACGAGCAAAACAAGGAAGGAATGAAGGGGTTTACTGAAAATGAAAGTACACTCCACAGTGTGGGAGCAGGCCCAAGCATAGGGCCTCAAGGGCACCGTTACAGAATCTGGGGGAGTTTAAATACCCTCTAGAGGATTCCATTGGTTACTTGGGGTACACCCTATGTAAATGAAGAGTATGAAGTAAAGATACAAAGTCATTTACTTGGCCTGCGCCCTATGGAGAGGATATTTCCTGTCATAGCTGAAGTGCGAACTGGCCTTACGTTCCCTGCCTCCAGACCCTATTTTCCTGCCCCAGTAATAGTTGATGCTAACAGCTGCTGCCTCTTAAGGACACACCAGGTACCTGGCACTGTGCTAAGGGCTTTTATAGCCATTCTCTTTTTAAATTTTGCGAACAATTTCAGGAGGTAAATGCTCTTGTTATCCCCATTCTACAGATGAGGAAACGGAGACTGAGAGAAGTCACTTGCCCAGCTGATAAATGGCAGGGCAGGGTTTCAAACCAGACGCATCTCCAAAGTCCACACTGTCTGCTCCAGAGGCCTCACTGTGTGCATCCTGCAGTAATTCTGATGCCTGTAGGCCCACAAGGCAAAACATCAGAGGCCTCCTGGCCCTTGGTATGTTATGACACGTTAGGCTCTCAGAGAGGCAGGTTCCAAGCTCCTAACCATAGTGGAAGAAGCCTAACAGTGTTTGGCACATGTTAGGTGCTGTGAATGAACAAATGATGGCATAGTTGCAAAGCCCAGAACTTGAGCTTGTTATTTAATCTCTCTGAGCCTCAACTTCCTCTTCTGTTAAATGGGAATGATAATATCGTTATATTGGTGCTGAAGGAGGGAATAAGAAACACATGTAAAGAGACAGCACCGACCCAGCGCAGTGGCTCACACCTGTAATCCCAGCACTTTAGGAGGCCGAGGCGGGTGGATCACTTGACGTCAGGAGTTCTCAAGACCAGCCTGGGCAACTTGGTAAAACCGCACTCTACTAAAAATGGAAAAATTAGCCGGGTGTCGTGGCACATGCCTGTAATCCCAGCTACTCAGGAGGCTGAGGCAGGAGAACGGCTTGAACCCAGGAGGCAGAGGTTGCAGTGAATTGAGACTGTGCCACTGCACTCCAGCCTGAGCAACAAAGCAGGACCCTGTCTAAAAAAGAAACAGCACCCTGCCCCCACACCCAGTCAGTGCCCTTGTTCTACTTCCATGAATTGGGCCATAGGGGTTTGCTGGAGCAGCGACTTCCTCTATGTCCAGGGAGCTCTGGAGCCATGGTCACCAAGCTCACTGCTGTCACTGTTCAACCTTTCCTCCATGTTCCAGAAAAGCAGGTGCCCCTGGGCCTACCCTCAAACTCCCAGGGTACCCTTAAGGAGGCCACAGGGCACAGAGCCTGGCATCACTGTATTTTGAGGGATGTCAGCTCCCAGGCCTGAGTTTGTGAGTAGCTCAGAAGTGAGATGCTGTGGGAGGGATAGTCCCAGGCTGGGAGTTGGAGACCCATCACTTAGAAGCTTGTGACCCTGGGCAAGTCACCTGACCTCTCCTGGCCCCCAGTTGCCTCCCCCATCAAGGGGATGTTAGCCAAGATGGAACATCAAAGATCTAGAGCTCTGTGGTTGTGCAATTCTAAGATCCTGCCCTACAGACTCCTCCAGAGCCTAAGTCCTGGAGGCAGCAGGTGATGTCCCAGAGGCATATCATGTGCCTTGTGTCACCTCCAGGACATGGCACAGAGGGGTGTTACAGTGGATGCTTGTCAGCCCTGGCGTTTAGTTAGACATGTGTCCCCAGCACCATGCTGAACCACAGGCCTGGTCCTGAGCAAGCCTACCCAGGCCCCTTCCCCTTCCCAGAGCCTCTTGTCAGTGAGCACTTGGGGCCCGGGGGGCTGGGCTGGGAGCCTGTTCCTGGAGCTTATTCCCCATGACAGCATGGCAGCCCCCAGAGGGCCAAGCTGCACAGTGAAGATTCCCCAGAGCAGGACGCCCCCATCCCTCTCAATCCAGCACTCAGGAAGCACATTCTGTGCTCTGTCTGCAGCCTCTGCCCCCAGAAATAAAAAAAAGACAGGTTCTGCTTCAAGATGCTCACTCCAAACTAATGCAAAGCCTAGGTGGACTGGCGTAAGGGCTCTAGAGAGGGTTTCCAGACCTGGCTGGGTCCCACAGTCACCGAATAGCTGGTTAAAACTACAGACTCCTCCCAGGAGATCCTGACTCAGTGGGTCTGGGGTGGGACACAGGAATCTGCATTTTTTTTTGGCGGCGGCGGGAGTGGGGGTTGGAGTCTCACTCTGTCACCAGGCTGGAGTGCAGTGGTGTGATCTGGGCTCACTGCATCCTCCACCTCCCGAGTTCAAGCGATTCTCCCGCCTCAGCCTCCCGAGTAGCTGAGACTACAGGCACACACCACTACCCCCAGCTAATTTTTTTTGTATTTTTAGTAGAGTCAGGGTTTCACCATGTTGGTCAGGCTGGTCTTGAACTCCTGACCTCAAATGTTCTGCCCACCTCAGCCTCCCAAAGTAGGAATCTGCGTTTATAATAAGCCTGTCTCAGACCGGGGTTTGAGAACTTCTTCCAGGTGAATGATACCAGTTGCTTACCTGGGGGTCTCCTAGGGGCAGACTTTGGGACAAGATTCATATACAAGGGGTGATTCAGGACTTGCCCTCGAGGAGAAAGCAGGAGGGAGTAGGGAAGCAGGACTGGGAGTGGGAGAAGCCCAGTGAGGGTGCGACTGCAGGGTGACCCCAACCTCAGTCTGGTCCTGTCGGCAGCTCTGGAGCATAAAGTAAACCTGGGGCCACTCCTAGGCATGTGTGAGGCTCCAGCACCAGGACAATCCCTGATGGTCCCAAGGGCCAGCACTTAAGGCAAACCCCACTGAGGCTAGGGGACGGGTGTGTAGAGCTGGTAAAGCCATCAGGGTGGGTGGGGTGTCAGCAGTGATTTCGTGACTGGCTCCTGCTGATGGGGCATCTGTGTGGAGTGAGCCTTTGGGCTGCGACTGCCCACAGAGCTCCCTCTAACCGCTACAGCAATAACAGCTTTAGGGAAGGTATTACCGCTTCAGTGATGCCAGCCCCCAGGGCTGTGCTGAGGATCAGACTCCCTGATCCTTGGAAGGGGTTTAGCAGAGCGCCTGGCATGAAGTAAGGGCTCAAAAAACGATCAAGCATGTTCTTATTGCTGTTATAGATAAAGAAACTGAGGCTGGGGGTGTGACCTGCCTTGGTGTCACAGCCAAGTTCTGAGCCAATTGGAACCCAAGTGTGTGTGACCCGCAAGCCCCAGCTGCTTCTGCCCAGGAGACTGACTACCAGGCCCGTGGCTGGGAGGATGCCCTGTGCTGCCCCCACTCCAGCCGCTCCCTCCACATATGGGAGACTTGTGGCTCTCTTTGTGGAAGAGTGATGTTGCGAGCCAGGCAAGGAAGGGCGGGAAGGGAACTTAAGGCAGAGGAGACAGCATGGGCAAACGCCTGGCAGTGGGAAAGCTATGGGCAGCCTCAGGAGTGGCTTCATGGGCAGAACCGCATAATGGGTGGGAGGTAAAAATGCTTGGAAAGCCTTGAACGCCGTGCCTAGGGATTGCAGGGACTTCCTTCCGCAGGTGCTGTGAGCCTGTTGCTGATATCAGACTGCTCTTCAGCGAGCAACCTGGCCATAGCAGGTGGTGGGATTGGAGGAAGGGGAGAGCAGAGACCAGCAAGGGGCTGCTGCAGCCATCCTGGCCCTATGCGGAGGTGACTGCCCCAGGCAATGGCTAGGGGAACCAGAGGGGTGAGGGCAGCCCCTGAGGGAGGGAGCAGGGGGAGACTGTGGAGATGCCGGGGTTTCCATCCTTGACGACAGGAAGACGAACATGCATGATGGTTTCCTGAGTATTTACTTGGTGCCAAGGTGCTGTGCTCAGCACCTTGCAAGGATCATGGGGCCTGATCCCTGGCACAGCCCTGGGCACTGCAGTCATTAGCCTCAAGAAGTGGGCACCATTACCCAAAATGAGGAAGGAAGAGAAGAGCCTCTCAGGCCTGCCCCACCCTAGGATGTGCCCAGTGTTGTGACTAAGCCGCCACCCTCCTGTCCCAGAGGAGGAGATGGCAAGAGGAGGGGACGGCTGGCTGGGCATCCTTGCCCTAGGAGAAATCTCGTCACTGTGCCTGGAAAGCTCTGATATATAGCCGGCCAGTCAGAAGCCGGCTGGTGGCCTGAGACAACTGCATCTGAAGTGGGGGCAGTCTTGGGGGACTGAAGCCTTAAGTCTGCAGAGTCTAACTCTACATCCAGGTAATTAGTGTCAGAATTGAGCTGAATTGTTGTATACCCAGTTGGTGTCTGGAGAATTGGAGAATTGATTGCTAGTGTTGGAAAACACTTCAGAGGGGGTTATCAAATCAGTTTAGTGGGTCATGACTTTTTTCTTTTTAATGAAAAAGTAAACTGGACTAGAAACTATCAGAATCTCATGTAGCTGGAATAAGTCTCATTTTGCTAAACTTTTGTTTTAGTGGTGTGTGTGTGTGTGTGTGTGTGTTTGTATGTGTGTGTGCATGCACATATGCTGTGTCATGATGTCAAAAGTATTTCTCTCTGGTTACAGAGGTTTGGAAAGCACCAGCTAAAACAGAGACCTCCAGAGAGAGGTGCTGGCTCCCTGGGAAGTTCACAAGCTGACCCTCCAGAGTGTGGGGGAAATGTCAGAATATTTATTCTAAAAATCCCTTTTTTTTTTTTTTTTTTTTTTTGAGATGAAGTTTCACTATTGTTGCCCAGGCTGGAGTGCAATGGTATGATCTTGGCTCACTGCAACCTCCGCCTCCTGGGTTCAAGCAATTCTCCTGCCTCAGCCTCCCACATAGCTGGGATTACAGGCACCTGCCACCATGCCCTGCTAATTTTTTTTATATTTTTAGTAAAGACTGAGGTTTCACCATGTTGGCCAGGCTGGTCTCAAACTCCTGACCTTCAGGTGATCCACCCACCTCAGCCTCCCAAAGTGCTGAGATTACAGGCATGAGCCACTGCACCCAGCCAGCTAAAAATCCAATTTTAAAAATTCCCATTTTTGTGAATGCTTTTTAGTGGATTTCATAGTTTATAAGGAAACACACACACATCAGGAAGGTTGCTTAATCTTAATATTTTTTTAATAGCCCTGACCTTGGGGGCCTGTGATTCTCACCGAAGGCTGCATGCACCAGGATCCCCTCAGGAGCTGTTTAAAAATGTGGATTCTCAGCTGGGCGTGGTGGCTCACGCCTGTAATCCCAGCACTTTGGGAGGCCGAATCACTGAAGGTCAGGAGTTCAAGACCAGCCTGGACAACATGGTGAAACCCCAGTCTCTACTAAAAATACAAACTTTAGCTGGGGGTGGTTGCAGTCACCTGTAATTCCAGCTGCTTGGGAGGTTGAAGCAGGAGAATTGCTTGAACCCAGGAGGCAGAGGTTGCAGTGAGCCGAGATCACACCACTGCACTCCAGCCTGGGTGCCAGAACGAGACTCTATCTAAAAAAAAAAAAAAAAGGTGGATTCTCAGCCTACCCCAGACCTGATGCTAGGGACTCTTGGTTGGAAACCTAGCAGTCTGCATTTCTAGCAGCTCCCTAGAGGATTCTGATCCAGGCAGTCTGCAGAGTATAAATGGGTATGGTGGCCCCAGTGGAGTCCCTCACAAGTGTCTAGTTCCCTTTGGTTTTTTGTTGTCAGTGAGTGTTCAGGCGGAGGCCCCACCACTCCAGCACCCTATCTGGAGGTTTTTCTTGGCATTTTCCAAGAACTAAGGACTCGGCATTTGGAGATGAATAAGCCGTGCATGGCAGCACCAGTTTCAGACACCTGCCTTCCCCATCTTCACACCCTGCTAATGTTTACTGAGGCATGAAACTGATTTGCCCTCCAGACCCCAAACTGGGCAATTTGCCCAGGCTCCACCTTTGTCACAGAGCAGGAGGGCACCATGAGGACATAATGAAGCTGAGGTTGGAGGACTGGGGTGTTTACTGTCTTTTATTACGGAATTGGGAGGAACCAGTACAGGCTGCTCCATTAGCTTGGGACCATTTACTTCTCAGCCCATCATAGGCATTGATGGAGTGTAAATAGGAGCAAGCTGCGGAAAAGGGGATCAGTTTGGTAAATTCTGTCATTTCTCCAAATATATCTACCTTGTGGCCCGGCAGACTCACATCTAGGAATGTATTCAATAGAAATACTAGCTTGAGGCTGGGCGTGGCGGCTCACACCTGTAATCCCAGCACTTCGGGAGGCTGAGGCAGGCAGATCACTTGAGGTTAGGAGTTTGAGACCAGCCTGGCCAACATAGAGAAAGCCCATCTCTACTAAAAAATACAAAAATCAGCTGGGCATGGTGGTGCACACCTGTAGTCCCAGCTACTCGGGAGACTGAGGCAGGAGAATCGCTTGAACCCAGGAGGCGGAGGTTGCAGTGAGCTGAGATCACACCACTGCACTCCAGCCTGGGCAATAGAGGGCGAGTCTGTCTCAAAAAAGAAAAAAGGAATACTAGTTTGAGGGCAGAAAGATGATGTGCTCAATTCGTTCTTTGCAGCACAATTGGATCCAGTGGCAATTAGGAAATAATTTTTTGCTAAAAACAAGTAGTCTAGGAGTTACAAGCCTGAACCCTCCATTCAGATGCAGGCATTGTCACTTACAAGCTGTGGGATGGGGCAAGCCATTTAGTCCCTCTGTGCCCCAGTCTTCGGAGCTGCGAGATGAGTGTAAGGAAAGTACCTGCTTTGTGGAGCTGGTAAGAGGATTTAAAGAGCTAATATACGTAAAGTGCTTAAAACTGCTCCTGGACACTTAGTAAGCTCTGTAATGGTTAGCATTGATGAAAGAGGAGAGAGAGGAAGACAGAAAGAAAGAGAGAGGGAGGGAAAGAGAGAGAGAAAGAAAGAAAGCTTGGATGACCATCAAAAGAAGAAAAATAGTAGCTGGGCACAGCGGCTCACGCCTGTAATCCCAACACTTTGGGAGGCCACTGTGTGGATCACCTGAAGTCAGGAGTTTAAGACCAGCCTGGTCAACATGGTGAAAACCCATCTCTACTAAAAATACAAAAATTAGCCAGGCGTGGTGGCACACGCCTGTAATCCCAGCTACTTGGGTGGCTGAGGCAGGAGAACTGCTTGGACCTGGGAGGTGGAGGTTGCAGTGAGCCCAGATCATGTCATTGTACTCCAGCCTGGGTGACAGAGCAAGACTCCATCTCAAAAAAATAAAATAAAATAAATGACAGTTATCCCATGGAATACTCTGCAGCACAGAAAAGGAAGCCAGTATACATGTATGGACTTGCTCACTATATAGATCACTTTACTGTTCAGTAGAGAAAGCAAGCTGCAGAGCAATTGATGGAACATAATGCCATTTTCACTTTTAAAATACATGATGTGGGCCAGGCATGGTGGCTCATGCCTGTAATCCCAGCACTTTGGGAGAAGGAGGCAGGAGGATCACTTGAGGCTGGGAGTTCAAGACAGGCCTGGACAATTTAATGTGACCCTGTCTCTTCAAAAAAATTAAAAATATATAAAAAAATAGTAAAATAAATGGTGTGTGTGCGTGTGTGCTTGGGCACGCGTATGTGTACATTAAAGAAGGGCCAGCAAGTTTACTCTCCAGAGTGTAGACCAGCAGTCCCCAACCTTTTTGGCACCAGGGACCACTTTCGTGGAAGACAATTTTTCCACGGGCCAGGGGTGGGGTGGGGATGGTTTCGGGATGATTCAAGCGCATTACGTTTATTGTGCACCTTATTTCTTTCACTATTACATTGAAATATATAATGAAATAATTATGCAACTCACCATCATGTAGTACCAATGGGAGCCCTGAGCTTGTTTTCCTGCAACTAGATGGTCCCATCTGGGGGTGATGGGAGACAGTGACAGATCATCAGGCATTAGAGTCTCAGAAGAAGCACAAAACCTAGACCCCTCACTCACATAGTTCACAGCAGGGTTCATGCTTCTATGAGAATGGAACGCTGCTGCTGATCTGACAGGAGGCGGAGCTCAGGCTGTATGCGAGCGATGGGGAGCAGCTGTCAAGACAGATGAAGCTTTGCTCACTCGCCCGCTGCTCACCTCCTGCTGTGCAGCTCGGTTCCTGACAGGCCATGGCCTAATACCAGTTTGTAGCCCAGGGGTTGGGGACCCCTGGGGTAGACAGCAGGACCCTCTGGAGAAGGGAGGACCTGCACATTTTAAGCACTTTTGTATTGTATGACTTTGGCTACAGTAAATCTGTTTCTTTTCTAATTAAAAAAAATCCAACATTTTAACAAATGTTGACAATAGCACTTAGATCACAGGATTGCTTCAAGGGTTAAGTGGGATAACAGGGAAAGCTCTTGGTGAGTGACTGATAAGGCTTAACAAGTGATAGCTCCTTTTCCTTAAAAAAAATGTAGTAAGTGGTTTGTGATACTGATTGAAAGTTTTGCCTTGTAGAGAATCAAATTTTATATTGGTATAGATTTTTAAATGTTTCAGTGTTTCTGTCAGAAACTTACTACTGGCTGGGGGTCTTGGGTGAGTCCCTTAACCTCCCTGAGCCTCTGTGTCCTCTGTAAAACAGAGGTACTGATGCCTGCCCTCAAGGTGCCTGTGATTTAGTAAGAATATCACTTAAAGCCTCCAAAACACCTAGCCCCACACCTGACACATAGTAGATGCTCAGCAAACACCCACGTCCTGTGTGTGCTTTCCTCTGGACGGAAGAGGTGCAGTGGTGAATTGGATGGGATGTGGAGAAGCAGAGACGCATGAGACCCTTGCACCCCAGGTCATGGAGGAAGAAGAGTCCATGGTGTGGCCTCGAAGGATGTATAGAATCTAAGTAGATGTAGGTGCTGGGGATGAGGGGCTATTCCCTCTATGCGTAAACTCAGAGGTGGGAAATGAGTGGGGCACACCCACTAGAGGAAGATAAGCGTGATCATTTGGGAGCCAGCAGGAGTCCCCCGAGTGTGGGGAAGGGACTGTGGAGGGCGGATGTTGGGGGGGCAAGCCGGAAAGGCAGAGCAAGGCCAGACCAGGGGAGGCCCTGGATGCTGGGGTTCGAGTCTGGGGTGTGACTGCAGCTGCAACTGCAGCAGACTGAGTAAAGTGACAAGGTGGCAGGAGGCTGTCCTGGCAGTCAGGGGGTGGGCACAGATGAGCTGAGCAGCCTCTGCTGGCTATTGTGATACACACGGCGACGGAGGAACCATTGGAAACCCCACTGACAGGCCACCACGTAACTGAAGTAAACTGAGGCAACTTGGGATGAATGTTGCCACCCTTCAAAATTAGAGCTGGGGTTAGTGGTGGTGGGGCAGGGCCTGAGATGGGAGTGCAGCACTGAGGGCCCATCCAGTCCGGCCATCAGAAGACCTCAGGATGCAGCAGAATCACACAACAATGACAGAAGATGCCAACGTCAGCTGGCCGGTCCCCAGACCATTTGACAGTGGAGAAGCCCAAGGCCACTCCCGAGACCTGAGAAAGGGCCCAGAACCTGTGCCACAGCCTGCCCTGTCCAACTCTTCCATAAACACAAGTGTCCCAGCTCCATCGAAGCACTTCCCAAGGGGCCATGGGGGCACCTGGGAGGCCACAGAAGCCAACATCGCTGAGCAGAGGTTCCCTGGCAGGGGCCAGCCCCATCCCAGGCGGTCTCTGCTCTGCTATGCCTCCAGTTCAGCTCCTGAGTTTGGCAGGGTCCATTCAGCAAATAGCCTTGGAGCCTCGTGGTGAGTGCTAAGCACTGCGGGGCTTTGGAGACCTGGAAGGCAGCCCAGACCCGTTCCAGGAGCACCCAGGGCTCCCAGCCTCATGTCACCAGGAAGATGAGGTGCAGACAGCAAAGCCATGAAGACCCCAGGGAGGAGGTAGCTCTGGCCGAGGCCATGGTGAGAGGCTCAGCAGATGATGGATGATGGGATTTCAGTGACTGGCATCAGGATTTGGGGAGAAGGTGGACGAAGTGTGAGCAAGGGAGGGTAGAACAGGTTGTGAAGAAAATAGTGGTGGCTGCCAGGTCTTGATAACCACTGCTGGGCACCCTCTCATCCATTCCTGTCTTCACAGAGGAGGAAATGGCTTCAGAGAACAGGGCAGGTGGGATAATGAGGAAGGAGCGGGAGACATGGCTGGAAAGGGGGTCCCCAGGCCTTAAACACTAGGAAGAAACACAGAATCGGGACCACCCATCCTGGGGCCCTGGCAGTGCCACATTCCCCTTCCTGAGCGTGTGAAACAGCCCTAGGCCAAAAGTCAGGAGCCCTGGCCTCAGCACACAGTGTCTTCAACTACCATGTGGGCTGGCCACCCCTTTTCCTTTCCGGGCCCCTGTTTCCCCATTAGTCCGAACTCCTTCTGGGAGATCTCTGGAGGGAACCCTGAACAGTTGCCTGTTGTGACCAAAGTCATCAGATGGACCTGCCTGACTGTGCGTTTGCTGGGAGATGCCTGACTGTGTGCTCGTCAGAGGCTGCCTGACTGTGCGTTTGCTGGGAGATGCCTGACTGTGTGCTCGTCAGAGGCTGCCTGACTGTGCGTTCGTCGGGGGCTGCCTGACTGTGCGTTTGCTGGGAGATGCCTGACTGTGTGTTCGTCGGGGGCTGCCTGACTGTGCGTTTGCTGGGAGATGCCTGACTGTGTGTTCGTCGAGGGCTGCCTGACTGTGTGTTCGTCGGGGGCTGCCTGACTGCGTTTGCTGGGAGATGCCTGACTGTGTGTTCGTCGAGGGCTGCCTGACTGCGTTTGCTGGGAGATGCCTGACTGTGTGTTCATCGGGGGCTGCCTGTGTGTTTGCTGGGAGATGCCTGACTGTGTGTTCATCGGGGGCTGCCTGACTGTGCGTTTGCTGGGAGATGCCTGACTGTGTGTTCGTCGGGGGCTGCCTGACTGTGTGTTTGCTGGGAGATGCCTGACTGTGTGTTCATCGGGGGCTGCCTGTGTGTTTGCTGGGAGATGCCTGACTGTGTGTTCATCGGGGGCTGCCTGACTGTGCGTTTGCTGGGAGATGCCTGACTGTGTGTTCATCGGGGGCTGCCTGACTGTGCATTTGCTGGGAGATGCCTGACTGTGTGTTCATCGGGGGCTGCCTGACTGTGCGTTTGCTGGGAGATGCCTGACTGTGTGTTCATCGGGGGCTGCCTGACTGTGCGTTTGCTGGGAGATGCCTGACTGTGTGTTCATCGGGGGCTGCCTGACTGTGCGTTTGCTGGGAGATGCCTGACTGTGTGTTCATCGGGGGCTGCCTGACTGTGCGTTTGCTGGGAGATGCCTGACTGTGTGTTCATCGGGGGCTGCCTGACTGTGCGTTTGCTGGGAGATGCCTGACTGTGTGCTCGTCAGAGGCTGCCTGACTGTGCGTTTGCTGGGAGATGCCTGACTGTGTGTTCATCGGGGGCTGCCTGACTGCATTTGCTGGGAGATGCCTGACTGTGTGTTCGTCGGGGGCTGCCTGACTGCATTTGCTGGGAGATGCCTGACTGTGTGCTCACTGCACATCTCAGTGTGCACCAGCAAGGGTCAGAGGGCAGGGAGGGGTGGGCCACTCACTTTACCCTAAAGAATGCCTTTAGAGGAGCTGGCCTGGGCTCAGCAGTCCAGGAAAACCAAGGAGAAGCAGTGACCCCGCCCCGCCACTCCTGAGTAGGATCTCCACCTCTCTGGGTCCCTGGTGCTGGCTCAGGACCTAGAGTTGACTTGATGCTCCTTCTGCCTCAGAGTCTGCCCCTCAGCTCCAGGGAAGCTTCCAGGCTGTATGGAGACCCTGGCAGCCAGCAGAGATTGCCAGGGCTCTTCCTTTGTGGAGGCTGGGAATGGACACGGTGGACCCAGACATGACTTCTGCCCCTCGTGTCTTCACAGAGACTTACTGCCCTTCACACTGCGGCTACCCCAGGCCATCCTTGAGGCCAGCAGCTTCACGGACCTTGAGACCATCGCCAACCTGGGTCTGGGTGAGTCTTCTCCGAGGGGTTAGGGGAGCTGGTGGGGCGTTAGGAACTGGGGCCCTAGGACTGCCCCAGGGGCCGCCTGTGCAGAGGGACAGCCTGAGTCCCAGCTCCCATGGGACCACCCACACCCCTGCCTCAGGCTGCTGAGCCACGTGATAGAGAGATTGTCCAGTTTCTAAAGAGTCGCCTCTATCAGCTGCCCAGGACGCCCTGAGGCCCAGCCACGTTTGGTCTAAGGGAGCAGGGCCTGGTCAGGACCAGAGAGGCTGGTGTGGTCCTGGGAGAAGCCGAGCTTTACCCCAGGGCCCTTCTGAGTGGGAGCCAGAGAGCTGGGCCTGGCAGCCACCACAGCCCTGGCCCCTCATCGGATGGAAAAGCAGCATGAATGTGACCATGAACTTGAGTGTGGCCCTTGCGGGTCCTGTCCTGTGCCCAAACAACTGACCCTAAGCACACCCTACCCCACCCTTCCGAGTTCCTGAGGGGTAAAGAGGGGAGAGGAAAAGAAGAAGGGGAGGGAGGGCAGGGTGTGTCTGACCCCAGCACTTTCACATAATTATAGAAAGAACTCACGTTTAGTGGGCTCTTCCCATGTATGGGCGATGCCAAGTGCCCTACAAGGAGGCAATCAGCAGGTGCCTACCTAGAATTAGGGCCTCACCTTGCTGGCCCTCAGGAAGCCCAAGCATGCCAAGTCTGTAGCTGCTGAGAGGCCAGGCCACCTGCCTCTTTCAGTGTGTGTTGGGAGCAGAGAATTTTTTTTTTCTTTTTCTTTTCTTTCTTTCTTTTTTTTTTGAAACAGGGTCTCACTCTGTTGCCCAGGTTGGAGTGCAGGGCATGATCATGGCTTACCCCAGCCCCAACTTCCCAGGCTCAGGTGATCCTCCCACCTCCACCTCCTGAGTAGCTGGGACTATAGGCGCACACCACCATGCCTGGTTAATTTCGTATATTTTAACATGGTCTCTCCATGTTGCCCAGGCTGGTCTCAAACTCCTGGCCTCAAGCGATCCTCCCACCTTGGCTTCCCAAAGTGCTGGAATTACAGGTGTGAGCCACTGCGCCCGGCCCTGAGAATTTCTTACAGGGAAAGGGAGAGTGTTTCACGCAGCTGCTCAGGAGCCGTTGTAGGCCCCAGAGCCTCATAACCTGGGGCCGCCAGGTCACATTTATGAACAAAGCAGTTCATCAACAAGTCTTTAGTAAAACTCAGCCATACATAGGACACTGTGCTCCATGGGGCTGAGCACAGTGCCCAGAACATTGGTGCCTTGTTCACCAGTGTTGATGGAATGGAAGAAACAGTGACCCAGAGGGCAGAACCAGATCACAGAGGAAGTGAGGGGCAGACCTGGGATCAAAGAAGACACCCCTTGGTTCCCAAGCCAGGCCACTGTTCACCACTCAGAGGGGCCCATCAGGGGCAGCAATGCAAGAGACACCACCAGGCAGCCATGGTCAGGGGCCAGGAAGTAGGAGGAGTTCTGGTCCTTGGGTGTTAGCGCTCCATGAGCACTGACTGCGTTCTAACCTCTTTAGCTGCCATTGGCTCGTCGCAGCTTCAAACAATCCTATAAAGCAAGTACTATTATTATAATTCCCCTTCTATGGCAGAGGAAACTGAGGCACAAGAGGTTAAGTCATGTCCAGTTTCACACAGCACATGGCAGAGCTTGGATGAACCCAGGCCGTTTAGCTCCCACACCTGCCATCGTCTCATGGTGCCTCTTAACTCTTTTTTTTTTGAGATGGAGTCTCACTCTGTCACCCAGGCTGGAGTGCAGTGGTGCGATCTTGGCTCACTGCAACCTCCACCTCCCAGGTTCAAGCGATTCTTCTGCCTCAGCCTCCCGAGTAGCTGGGACTACAGGCGCATGCCACCACACCTGGCTAATTTTTGTATTTTTAGTAGAGACAGGGTTTCACCATATTGGTCAGGCTGGTCTTGAACTCCTGACCTCATGATCCACCCACCTCGGCCTCCCAAAGTGCTGGGATTACAGGCGTGAGCCACCACACCCGGCCGCCTCTTAGCTCTTTATCCAAATTCTTCTAGGTCTAATTTACCCAGTTATAACCCTAAGGGCAAGTTTTCAGTTGCTTTTGGGAATCAACTTGCTATTAAACTTTGCTTCCCAGAATGTTAGTTGTTGGGCTCCAACCCTCCCAGGATCTTGGATGTGGGACAGGTGACAGTTTTGTAATTTGCACTTTTGTAAGGTGCAGATGACCTCCCCCTAGGGGTTCGATGACACCGACCATTGCAGAGCACTTGGCATTGTCTTATGTCATTTTTGTGCATTTTAAAGATAGAACACTGGCTGGACACAGTGGCTCATGCCTATAATCTCAGCACTTTGGGAGGCCGAGGCGGGCAGATAACCTGAAGTCAGGAGTTCAAGACCAGCCTGGCCAATATGGTGAAATCTCGTCTCTACTAAAAATATAAAAATTAAGTGGGCATAATGGCATGTGCCTGTAATCCCAGCTACTCCGGAGGCTGAGGCAGGAGAATTGCTTGAACCTGGGAGGCGGAGATTGCAGTGAGCTGAGATTGCCCCACTGCACTCCAGCGTGGGCAACAGACTGAGACTCTGCCTCAAAAAAAAAAAAAATTAGAAGATCAAGTTTTAGCTCCGCTGGGAACCTTGTGTAAAGTGCCCCAGACAAGATTTGCACCAAAGGCTTTCTGTCCTCAGCGGTTCTTGAGCAGCTATGTGAAACATGCTCTCCTTTTCCCTGAAGAAATCCTCAGGGCTGGGCCTGGTGGCTCACACCTGTAAAGTGCCCCAGACAAGATTTGCACTGAGGGCTTTCTGCCTCTGAGGACAGCCTTTCTACTGCTCCTCAGCTGCACCTCCCCACCTTCTCTGTTGTTTTTGCAACGAGCAGTCAATGGCCAGTTTGCAGGCCATGTTGGTAGAGTAAGTGAGATGCATGGCCTCAGTCTATGACACATTGCTGCACCTCTTGACCCCGCTATGGGGTTTAGTCATCCCTAGGACTAACTGCCGGGAGACTCCCTACAGATTCCTCTCACCTGCAAGAGCACAGCTTCTCCTAAGACCTAGGAACATGCTTTTTTTTTTTTTTTAAAGGCGATGTTCCTCCTGGAAGAACTGCATTCCTTTCTGGCACAGACAAGACCTTCTCTCCTGGGAGAGTTTGATCTCAGGCACGAGGAGGAAGTGGAGAAGGGAGGTTTCCATTTGGGAAGCCAACAGCAGTTCAGATTCATCTATCAGCACTTACTTCCTAGAGAACAGGATTTAAATGGAAGCTGAGTGTGTTGCAGCTTAGGAGCTGAAGGGATCCGTGCAGACCTGGTGTCCCCGAGTGCTGAAAGACATAAAGCCAGGCTCACCACAATCATTTTCCCCTGGAGCCAAGGAAAGGTTCACTTTACAGTCATCTGAATGGCTGGAGACCCAGGGCGCAAGGAGCACATCCTATCAAAGGCCAGAGACCTTGGCCCTGGCATGGGCAGGCTTGGGCCCTGCCAACCTTCATGTGAAATAGTGATAATAAATATGGAAAGAGCAGCGTTTGTCAAGGGCCCTGACACACCAGGCATTGTGCCTGGCATGTCACACATTGTTCTAGGAAGGGACTTTGGTGGCAAAGAAGTGAAACTCACTCAAACTAGCATCAAAAAGAGACTTAGAGAAAGGACGCCAGGGACCCTCTGAGAAATGGAGACGGAGGGTTAGCTGGGCTTTGTGGGCCATTGCAGCTGCTCGGTCACACGTGCCAGCCCCTTGCTCCCTGCACATGGCCTCCTTGCTGACTCAGGTTCCTACTCCCCTGCTCCCCCGACTAGCGGGGCTCTGACTCAGCTCGCAGCCCCACCTGACCACTGTTCTTCATTCAGATTGTCCAAGGAGAACCAGATGATCCCTGGCCAGCCTAGTGATGAGGCCCTGTGAGCCAGGGGTTACCTTGTATAGTCAGCATTTCAGGGAAGACCAAAAGGACAATGGGAGGCAAATTCATTGCCACATGCCCACACATACATTATCTCATTTATTTATGTAAAAGCCCGTTTTACAGATAAGGAAATGGAAAGTTAAAGAGTCTAAAGGGTTTATTCAGCTATAAAAAGGAATGAAGTGCAGGGACTGACACGTGGTGCAGCATGGAATAACCTGGAAAACATGCTAAGTGAAGGGAGCTGATACAAAAGACCACATATGCTACAGTTCCATTTGAATAAAATGTCTAGAATAGGCAAATCCATAGAGACAGAAAGCAGATTGGCGATTGCCAGGGGCTGCATAGAAAGGGGGATGGAGAGTGACTGCTAAATAGGCACGGGCTTTCTTTTGGGGTGATAAAAAATGCCCTAAAGGCCGGGCGCAGTGGCTCACGCCTGTAATCCCAGAACTGTGGGAGGCCAAGGCGGGCGGATCATGAGGTCAGGAGTTCAAGATTGGCCTGGACAACATGGTGAAACCCCATCTTTACTGAAAATTCAAAAATTAGCCAGGCGTGATGTCACATGCCTATAATCCCAACCTCAGGAGGTTGAGGCAGGAGAATCACTTGAACTCGGGAAGTGGAGATTGCAGTGAGCCAAGATCGTGCCATTGCACTCCAGCCTGGGTGACAGAACGAGACTCTCTCTCAAAAAAAAAAAAAAGCTCTAAAATTGATTGCGGTGAGAGTTGCACAACTCAGTGAATACACTGAAAAACATGAGCATGTTTTTTAAATGAGTGAACTCTGTGGTATGGGAGTGGTATCTCAATAAAGCTATTATCCAGAGAGAGAAAGAGAGATCGACTAAAGGGCTTTCCTCATTTTGGGATGTAAACAAAAGCTGAATTCATACTCAGGGCTTGCTGAGTTTGAACCCCGTGCTCTGCCTGCGCTATGCCCTGATTCTCAGCCTTGCTCACCACTTCCCGCCCCTCGGCCCTTTCCTCCGCTTGCCGTGCCTGCAGTGGAAAACAGCATGGCGCCCTTTTGCCAAGGAAGCCTGGATTTGGCATTGGGATAGGCAGGGTAGTGGGCCCCACCCTCTGCACCATGCCCTCCACATGCCCGCCATGTGCTGCTTTTTCTTATGACACTTTTTCATCTTATAATAAAAGTCAAGCATGTTGTGTTTGTTTGTTTGTTGTTTGAGATGGAGTCTCACTCTTTTTGCCCAGGCTGGAGTGCAGTGGCACGATCTCAGCTCACTGCTACCTCTGCCTCCCAGGTTTAAGCGATTCTCCTGCCTCAGCCTCTGGAGTAGAGTAGCTGGGATTGCAGGCACCTGCCACCACGCCTGACTAATTTTTGTATTTTTAGTAGAGATGGAGTTTCACCATGTTGACCAGGCTGGTCTTGAACTCCTGACCTCAGGTGATCCGGCCCGCCTCGGCCTCCCAAAGTGCTGGGATTACAGGCGTGAGCCACAGCTCCCGGCCATGTGTGTTTGTTTTTAACTGACAAGACCAGAAAAGGCTGAGGATGAAAACCACATATAATCTCACCCCTGCTGCAAGTTCAGGGTGTGTTTCCTTCCAGTTTCTTTTCCTTAATACACCTAGACGCAACTGAAAATACAGTTTTGGTTTCTTGCCTTCTGATTTTGTGCGAATATATTTGTGACTTTCAGTTTTTTCCCTAGAGCCCAGAGCCAAGGAATGTCTAGTTAAGGCTAAAGATTTACTGGGTTTCCAGTCCGCTGGATGATCTTGTAGTTACAGGAAGTTCATGAGGCATATATGTTTCTTATCATTAGTGTCATCAGTTTTATTTGTTTGGCATGCCACTCATTTTCCTATGAGAAGAATGCAACAAATGTCCAAAGAGTTGCACCAGGCCTGCTTTTGAGATAGGGATGATGTTGCTGAAACTCAGCTATTGACTTGCAGGCTGAGTGCCATGTGATGGCTCACAGTGTGCCTTCATGAGCCGACGTAAGAAAGTCCAAATTCGGACTTGGAAAAGCCAGCGTTCGAAAGTGCAGGCTATATAAGGTGTAATCTTGGACTTTAAGAGCTTACCAGTTAGTCAAGGCCAGAAAACTAACATAAGGAGGAGCAATTCAGCCCTCAACTATATTCAGCAGTTGATTACAAGCGTCCAAGGAATTTAGAGAATAGGGATTACTCGCAGTGGTTTTCAAACATGTTACAGTGTGTATGTGTTTAATACTTCAAAAATATGTTTAGGAAAGGCATCTGTTCTGTGGCTCTTCCAAGTTTGCTTGTAACTTGCTTTTTCCTTTACATCAGATGATGAGCATTTTCCTAGTTATTAATAATTCATTGAAAACTTGACTTTGACTGACTGTGTAACAGCCTCTGTCTTTGGGATGCCACATGAATATTTATTCACTGGCCTTGTTGGATTTTTTAGTGTTTCCGTGGCATCTGGAACACTTTGCCTTTACTCATCCCCTTCCTGTCCTGCCACCAGCCCCAAGCTCCCCAGGGGTAGAGTCTGAGTTTGCCCTCAGGACCTACAGCCCAGCCTGTGATGTGGCCCAGGTTCTCTGAGGGTAGAAAGAGTGGGCATCTGGCAAGAGGTGTCCCCAGCCAACGCTCAACAGGCCTTGGGGCCAGCAAAATCGTGGCCTCAGTCTGAGGCCAGGGCAAGGATGGGCCCTTCTTTAGGGGAACTCTCGCAGCAGAGCCAAGGCTCAGTATGGTGCCTTTGGGGACTGGACCCCACAGCTTTGCCAACCAAACCACTAGGATTGCATGACACAGGGTTCTGTTTCTCCCCTGGCCTTGGCGTTCTCAGGCTGCAGAGAAAGTTACTCATTTCCCTTTTTTTTTTTTTTTTGGAGCATAAAGCCCTGCAATGCCACTGTGGTTCCCTAACAGGTCCCAAGACCCCAGGATGCAGCCCATTAGCTCCTGGCTTCCCCCACTCCTTGGAGTCACATTGGCTTTGAGAACTTTGCCCTGCCAGGGTTTGCCAGGGTGCAAACCCCAGGCCTGTCTTGGGGCAGGGAAGCTGTGTCCCAGGTACCCAGGCCGAGAGCCTATTTGCCTGAACCCGTGTCTGCTCTGTTCCTGCCAAAATCCACACCTGAGCAATGGGAAATGTTGTCTTCTGTTCTGTGCCTAATGGAGCCATCCTGTCCCGTGGCAGGCTGCCCGGCTGGTGGCCCATCCGTTTACGGGGCTCCTGTGCCCTCCTTCCTGCCTCCTCTCACTGTCTTGTATTTACACATCCTCCCATGGTTCAGGTTGTCCCCATCTTGCCCTTGAAACTAACCTTGCCTGTGTCCCCTTCCTCAGAGGCCTGACTCTCCACTCCGGCTAAGCTAATCCACTCATGGGTGCCAAGGGGCTGACACTGGGCCCCTGCTCTGGGCCAAGCACTGTCTCAGGTGCTGGGAATACTCAGACAGCTGAAAGATTTGACTGCCTTCTGGAAACTCTGAGTCTGGTGGGAAAGTCAGGCAAAAAACAGAGAATTACAGTCCCAGTGATGGTCACTGCTGTCACAGGCATATCAGAGCTGCAGGAACACAGGCGGGGTGGGCAAGGCCTGAGCACATCAGGGAGGCGCTACCAGACAGGTCGCATTTGACCTGAGCCCTGAAGGATGAGTAAGCATTTGCCAGGTGGAGAGGGTGGGAAAAGGATTCCACACTGAGGGAATAGCATTAGCCAAGACCTGCTGGTGGGGCAGCGCATGGCACGTGGAGGAAGGAGTGAACGGCAGATAGAGTGGAGTGAAGACTCGGTAGATGATGCCAGAGAAGATGTGCAGGGGCCAGTTCCTGCAGACTGGAATGCCAGGCTAAAGGGTTGAAAGCGATTCTCTACAGAGAACCACCAAGGGCCTGCCGTATGCCCAGCCGAGGACCCCAGGAGGAGAATGGAGTAGAGGGGGCGGCTACAGCCGTGATCTGGGTGAGCAGTCATGGGGTGTCCCGGCACCAGTGGGCAGTTCTATATGTTATCTACCCCCATGACACCACCTTCACCCACAGGAAGAGTCTGGAGGTGGGCACCGGGGGTCTCAGCTCACATGTGGGGCTGCTGCCCAGTTACCCTGGGATCAGTCTGGCTGCCTGCTTCTCCTTGCTAGGAAAACTCCCAAGGAGGCAACTTTGTTGGGCCTGTGTAGACATGGGCACAGTGCTTCAAACACTCACTCCAGGGGCCTGTGTAGACATGGGCACAGTGCTTCAAACACTCACTCCAGGGTCCTGTGTAGACATGGGCACAGTGCTTCACTCACTCACTCCAGGGGCCTGTGTAGACATGGGCACAGTGCTTCAAACACTCACTGCAGGGGCCAGAACATGTATGTACTCGAGGCAAGGTGCCTGGGAGAGTGAGGCATACATGGAGGAGCCATGCGCTGCCCAAGAAAGCAAAGGGCCCTGGCAGTCACAAAGAGCAGCTCGTCCAGGCCCTGGGAGAGGCCGCTCTGGATACCATGTCCTCGGTGACTGTGATGGGCACAGAGCTTTGCACATTGGAAAGAGTCACAGGAAAGGTTGTCATGCTTGTTAGTGTGATGAGACCTGGTCTCTCTCCACTGGCTGTGATATTCAGGCAGCCAGACACAGGGTATCTGCCCAGGACAGGGCTGGGGGGTGCACCTCAGAGGGGTGCACACAGCTGGTGGGTCGCAGTTCACTTCCGGTCTGTTTCTTCAGTCCCTTTGTCCTGGAAAGGCACCTGCTTACCCTGATTGCGTTGGTGACCCCAGCCAGCAAGATGGCAAATGCCTACATCCCTGATAGTGCCCACCTCTTAGAGCGAGCACACGCTTGGCTGCTCCAGGCCATCTTGTGAGGTCTCCTTTCAACATCAAGAGCCTGTTGTGTTGTTGCCACATCCTGAGTTCTGGGCTGCAAGCCACCCTGCTACTCACCGATGCCGGGAGAGCAACCAAAATATGGGAAGTGTCGCAAGTTCCTATGAAGGAAGGCCGCCTAACACGGAGGCTAAACACACAGGCTGTAGAACCAGCCCGACCTGGTCAAATCCCAGCGTCTCACTCCCCAATCCGGTGACACAGGGCGAGTGCTTTCATGTTTCTGAGCCTCTTACCCTCATCTGTGAACTGGGGGCAAGGCCTATGATCAGGGGTCGGCAAGATAACCCAGGTAAAGCAAGGAGCCCGTGGGCTCACGCGCAGCAAGAACGCCATGGATGTTTGCTCCTCTGATTATCCTTGATGTTATTTTCCATAGTTTTCTTAAGGGTGAATTCCTCCCAGGAGTGAAGAGCCCTGGGTGAAAGGCTGGCTGCACCAATTCACAAGGAACTCTGCATCTGCCTGGGTCATCCTCTGTCCAGCTCCAAACCTAGCAGGCTGAACAAGACCTGGGACCCTTGTTTCTCTCCAGGAGGAAGCTTGAGTGAACGCAGGGTGGCCTATGCACTGACTGCAATTGTTCCCAAGATGTAGCATCCCTGTGTGCTCTTTGGAGGGTCCTGAGCCTCCGTCAGATGCTTGGCAGAGTGTGGTCCCCACAGATCAAGATTGCCTGTCCCTAGCCTGCTTTGGTGGCCACAGCCATGACTGAGCCCCTGGGGACTGGGTCGGTAGAGAGGCACGCACTGGAACTCAGCTCCACGGTGCAGGAGCCTTGGCTTCCCCTGACTGGGGCAGACGACCAGCTTCTTATTTTAAGCTCGAGGTTGACTGGAGTCAGAATCACTTTGTGGTGGGTGGCTGCTCCCCGCTTGGACAGCCGGGTCTGATCTCGCTGGCCACAATCCATAGGTTCGTCCTTCCCACATATAATAACCATGGAGGCCAAAACAGGCCCAATGTTCCTTCCTCCTCGTGTGCCTGTGATGTGTGTACTGTTGTGACCCCATTTTAGGGATGACTAGACTGAGGCCTAGGAAGGTCAAACCACCTGCCCCAGAGCACCCAGCTGGTTGGCCGCAGGAATTCCAGGCCTTCCGTCCCCTGTGCTCTCACCATGCCTTCCCCACGGCTCCAGAGCACAGTGTTGTCACCCCCCACCCTGTGTCATCAATGCCCTCCAATGTGGGCTCTCACACCAAGGAAGAGAACTGAAGCTGAGCTTATCACATCACCCCCGGCCTCACCCTACACTGCTGGGGAGGACTGAGTGGGGCTTCCCCTCTCGAGGCAGGAAGTGGTGGGAGAGGTTTGAAAGCGTCCAAGAGGGGAAAACAACCTCAACCTCGGAGTAGTGAAGCAAATGCCTTGAACAGCCCTCCCACCCGTGGACCCCGCCCACAGACCCCGCCCAGCACAGCAACACCTAGTCCCTGGCACAGACTGACCCCCTGCCCCTCTCTTGCTTCCACAGGTTTCTGGGACTCCTCGCTGAATCCTCCACAAGAAAGAGGGAAGCCAGCAGAGCCCCCAAGAGACCGGGCCCCCGGATTCCCCCTAGTCTCCAGCCTCAGGCCCACAGCCCATGACGCAAACTGTGCCTGTGAAATCGAGCTGTCGGTAGGAAATGACCGCCTGTGGTTTGTGAATCCTATTTTCATCGAGGACTGCAGCAGCGCCCTGCCCACCGACCAGCCACCTCTTGGAAATTGCCCTGCACGCCCTTTGCCGCCCACCTCTGATGCCACCTCACCCACCTCCAGGTGGGCCCCACGCCGCCCACCACCCCCTCCCCCAGTGCTGCCCCTGCAGCCCTGCAGCCCAGCCCAGCCCCCTGTGCTCCCTGCTCTTGCCCCCGCCCCTGCCTGTCCTTTGCCCACCTCTCCCCCAGTGCCTGCCCCCCACGTCACACCCCATGCCCCAGGTCCCCCAGACCATCCGAACCAGCCGCCCATGATGACCTGCGAGAGACTCCCATGCCCCACTGCAGGCCTGGGCCCCCTCAGGGAGGAAGCGATGAAGCCAGGGGCAGCCTCCAGTCCCTTGCAGCAGGTCCCCGCCCCGCCACTGCCTGCGAAGAAGAACCTTCCCACTGCCCCTCCCAGACGCCGCGTTTCCGAGAGGGTGTCCTTAGAAGACCAAAGTCCGGGGATGGCGGCAGAGGGGGACCAGCTCAGCCTGCCTCCCCAAGGGACCTCAGACGGCCCTGAGGACACGCCCCGGGAGAGCACGGAGCAAGGCCAGGACACAGAGGTGAAAGCCAGCGATCCTCACAGCATGCCAGAGCTGCCCAGGACAGCCAAACAACCCCCAGTCCCGCCCCCCAGGAAAAAACGGATCTCTCGACAACTGGCCTCGACCCTCCCAGCTCCCTTAGAGAACGCTGAGCTCTGCACACAGGCGATGGCCTTGGAGACACCCACGCCGGGTCCACCCAGAGAGGGCCAAAGCCCTGCTTCTCAGGCTGGGACTCAGCACCCTCCTGCCCAGGCCACTGCCCATTCCCAGAGCTCTCCAGAGTTCAAGGGCTCCCTGGCCTCCCTCTCAGACAGCTTGGGGGTGTCTGTCATGGCCACCGACCAGGACTCCTACTCCACCAGCAGCACGGAGGAGGAGCTGGAGCAGTTCAGCAGCCCCAGCGTGAAGAAGAAGCCCTCCATGATCCTGGGCAAGGCTCGGCACCGGCTGAGCTTTGCCAGTTTCAGCAGCATGTTCCACGCTTTCCTCTCCAACAACCGCAAGCTGTACAAGAAGGTGGTGGAGCTGGCGCAGGACAAGGGCTCGTACTTTGGCAGCCTGGTGCAGGACTACAAGGTGTACAGCCTGGAGATGATGGCGCGCCAGACCTCCAGCACGGAGATGCTGCAGGAGATTCGCACCATGATGACCCAGCTCAAGAGCTACCTGCTGCAGAGCACCGAGCTCAAGGCCCTGGTGGACCCCGCCCTGCACTCCGAGGAGGAGCTCGGTCAGTGCCCTGGGAGGAGGTGGCAGGGAGGAGAGGGCGGTGGGGCTCACAGACTCAGGAACCCCTTAGGACAAAAGAGGCCTATGCAGTGGACGCTGTTGGTGCCCACCCCCTATCCCTTCCTGGGCACCAGGAACTTTCTCTGGCTGCTGCAAGGTAGGCTGCTAATGGTGCCCGGCTCCCCCCCTTCCCTAGAGAATTGACCTTGACTGTATAGGATCTGTATTATCTGCACCCTCTCTTCCACCATCAGGGGCCCACTGCCAATTACTCCCTGCCATGGGGGACAAAGACTGGCCCCTTCGCCTCAAGCAGGACCACTGTGTGGTGCAGTTTATGCTCCAGGGCCCGGCGAGATCTGGCTGAGGCTGAGTTCATCCTTGCTCAAGCTCGCTCTGCGGCTTCCCACTGCGCTCACTCTCTGTCTTCTGAGAGTCTCCGCAGTGAAATCATATGCACCCAGATCCCTCTTTCACGCTCTGCTTTCAGGGAACCAGCCCCAAACAGCTCACTCCTCTGACCACCCCTTCTAAAGTAGCCCCTAGCCTTCCCCACCCTCACCAGCCTCGAATCCAATAATTATCAAAGCTTTTCCGATTGTGGTTCACGGTGAAAAGTACTTGTGAACAACCACACGCCTACGTATATTAAAAATATTCAGGCCAGGCGCACTGGCTCAAGCCTATAATCCCAGCACTCTGGGAGGCCAAGGCAGGAGGATCGCTTGAGCCCAGGAGTTCAAGACCAGCCTGGGCAACATGGCAAAACCCCGTCTCTACAAAAAATACAAAAATTAGCCAGGCATGGAGGCACGCACCTGTAGTCTCATCTATTTGGGAGGCTGAGGCAGGAGGATTGCTTGAGCCCTGAAGGCCAAGGCTGCAAAGAACCAACATCCTGCCACTGTACTCCAGTCTGGGTGACAGAGCGAAACCCTGTCTCAAAAAGAAAAAAATAGCTGGGCGTGGTGGCTCATGCCTGTAATCTCAGCACTTTGGGAGGCTGAGGTGGGGGGATCACTTGAGGTCAAGAGTTCGAGACCAGCCTGGCCAACATGGTGAAACCCCATCTCTACTAAAAATACAAAAATTAGCCAGGTGTGGTGGCGCATGCCTATAATCCCAGCTACTCGGGAGGCTGAGGCAGAAGAATTGCTTGAACCTGGGAGGCAGAGGTTGCAGTGAGCCGAGATTGTGCCACTGCACTCCAGCCTGGGCGACAAGAGCAAAACTCTGTCTAAAAAAAAAAAAAGAAAAGAAAAGAAAAAAAATACATTCTGTCAGTTCGCACTGCCGTAGCCAAAAAGTGGTTGCTAAACATTGAGCTGCTTCTGAGCTAGTTTGTAAATAGTTACTGCCCCAGCCGTCCCCTGGCGTCCCTAAGCCTCTCCTTCCCCACCCAATAATGAAAGAGTCAGTGCTGGGTACGGTAAAGGACACGTGGGCCTCTGAACACAGTAGCTTCGTAGCGAATGTTTCTTAGAAAAGGAGCTTCAGGTGTTCCTTTCCCAGGGCTACTGGATTTTGCTAGCAGACTCCTGAAAACGAATAGGTTTGCCAGGCCACAGGATTCATGATGGCGTTTCAGGTGTGGTGAGGGGTGATGGGATTGAGATCTGAGGCCAGTGCTGTGTGTGCGTCTGCACAGGGCCCTGTAAGCAGAGAGTCGACAAAGAGTTATTGGGCACCCAACTCCGCATCAGGTGCTGGCTCAGATATAGAGACAGAGGTGAGCAAAGCACTCAAAAGTTTCTGCCTGCGGGGAGCTTACGGTCTATCAGAGGTGACAGGCAATCAGCAAGAAGGATGAGTAGGGCCGGGTGCAGTGGCTCATGCCTGTAATCCCAGCACGTTGGGGGGCAGGTGGATCACCTAAGGTCAGGAGTTTGAGACCAGCCTGGCCAACATGGTGAAACCCCATCTCTACTAAAAATACAAAAATTAGCCAGGTGTGGTGGCGCGCACCTGTAATCCCAGCTACTCGGGAGGCTGAGGCAGGAGAATTGCTTGAACCAGGGAGGCAGAGGTTGCAGTGAGCCCAGATTGTGCCACTGCACTCCAGCCTGGGCAACAGAGTGAGACTTTGTCTCAAAAAAATAAAAGTTAAAAAAAAAAATAGAAAAATTAACTGGGCATGGTGGCATGTGCCTGTAGTCCCAGTTACTCAGGTGGCTGAGGCACAAGAATTGCTTGAATCCAGGAGGCGGAGATTGCAGTGAGCCGAGATTGTGCCACTGCACTCCAGCCTGGGCAACAGAGCGAGACTCTGTCTCAAGAAGGAAAGAGACAGAGAGACAGAGAGACAAAGGGAGAGAGAGAGAGAGTAAAGTATAGTGTAAGGAGACACATTAGTGAGTGCATGTGGATGGAAGTGAGGTCAGGAGGCTGTTGGGGGGCAGGACCCCAAGGACCTTGTGAGCCTCTCTATCAACCTGACTTTTCCTGTATGTGAGATGGGGTCGTGCAGGGTTCACGTCCAAGGGTGAGTGACCTCACTCACATGTGAACAACGTCACTCTGGCCGTCACACCTAGTGGGAGCAGAGAGACTCAGACTCAGTGTGAGGCTACTGTCAGAGCCAAGGTGAGCAGTGAAGGTGGCTGAGACCAGGACGGAGGCAGCACAGATGGGGAGACATGATTGGATTCTGCCTGTTGTGAAGCTGGAGCCACAGGACTGGCTGGAGGCCAGATGCAGGAGTGGTAGAGGGGAGGTAGGATGTGGACGAGCATTGGCGTCCCTGGGAGGACACAGCGTCCATCCTGGGGCAGGCACTGGGGAGGAGTTGAGGAGTTCAGTTTGGGACATGACACTGGAGATGCTTATTAGATACCAGGTGGGGAGGTCGAGCGGGCCATGGAGGGCTGAGTCTGCAGTTCTGGGGCTAAAGAGAGATGTCTGGGAACTGTCAGCACAAAAGGAGCCATGAGACTGGATGAGATCATCCGGGTCTGAGGACTGAGCCACAGGCACCGTGCAGACCAGGAGGACACAGAAGGGCATGGGAGGACGTGGAAGGACATGGAAAACTCCAAGTGGCCCAGAGGAAACTGTGGTCAGCCCTGCCTTCCAGAGTTGGGGGAGTGTAAGAGCTGAGGCCCAAAGGAGGAGTCAGGGATGCTAAGCCGTGGAAAGGGTAGTGGAAGGACTTTCCTTCCGGAAAGGGATGACAGCGTGGACAAAGGCCGAGAGGTGGGGAACGAGGCTGGAGGATCACGGGCCATTCACACAGGCAGTGAAAGTCAGCCTGAGGATTTAGCCCAGAGGTGATGGAGCCCCTGAAGGGTGTGTGTGGAGGGCAGAGGAGAGGGGACAAGACAGGGGGACGGCTCAGGAGGCTGCGGCGGGGCAAGGCCAGTACCCGGTGGCCTTCAGCAGAGCAAAGGAGGTGGAGCACAAGCTGGACCTCTGCTGGAAACAGCAGGAATGACTTCAGCCTTGGGGCAGCTGGCTGGCAGGATGCAGACACACCATGGGTCCTGTTAAGGCCAAATCTGCTTCGGGCACCAAGATGTCAAGAGGTGCTAGACTTGGAGTTTGTCCTGGCAGGTGATATGGCAAAGTGTCACCAGAGCCTGCCGTGGGCACGAATGTGTGGGGCAGAGAGGTTTCCAGGCAGTGAGAGGTGGCAGCTGAGCTGAGCCACCAAGGATGGGAAGGGCTGGAGCTACAGAGATGGAGAGAAGGGCCCTTCAGCCTTTGGGAACAGGGTCAGCATCCACAGCAATGGTGCCATTCCAGACACTGCATGTGTCAGCCTCATGACTACAAACCAGACCAGATGGGCTTGGCTATTGTCATGCCCAAGAAGCCACAGCTCAGAGAGGTTTGGTGACCTGGCCATGAGGACAGAGCTGGTAGTAGAGCTGGGCTTCAGACCCAGGCAGCCCAGCCCTTTCCATGAGCTGAGTCTCTGCCTCTGCCTCTCCCTTCCAAGCTCTGCCCATGTGTGTGGCCAGTCAGATGGTGAAGGAACTTAAACCACATAAAAAGGCCAGACAGGGCGGGGTGTGGTGGCTCACACCTGTAATCCCAGCACTTTGGGAGGCCGAGGAGGGCAGATCACTTGAGATCAGGAGTTCAAGACCAGCCTGGCCAACATGGTGAAACCCCCCTCTCTACAAACAATGCAAAAATTAGCCAGGCATGGTGGTGGGTACCTGTAATCCCAGCTACTCAGGAGGCTGAGGCAGGAGAATTGCTTGAAACCCGGGAAGTGGAGGTTGCAGTGAGCCAAGATCACACTACTGCACTCCAGCCTGGGCAACAGAACAAGATTCTGTCTCAAAAAACAAAAAAGAAAAAAAAAAGGCCAACAGAACTCCATGCTTAGGGTGCTTCTGGTTTGATTAGGGAGACAAGTCACAAGGAGCAACTGGATACAAAACAGTCCTGACGTGAGGCTGCTGAGGGCCCCAGACCAGAGAGGAGGTGCCAGGAAGAGATCCTGCGGCTCTTAGATGTGAAGGGGCCGGGAGGGCGTGGGCACAGCCCTCTCATTTTGCAGTTCAGGAAACAGGCCCTGGGAGGGGAAGAGACATGGCCGAGGTCATGCAGAAGCCCAGGACAGTGGGGAAGTTCAAGTCCCTGCTCCCAGGTCAACCCCCATCTGCGCCCATCTCTGCCTGCGGAGGCTCCAGTGAGGTCGGGAGGTGGGCGTGGAAGGAGGGTCAGGAACGGGGTGAGGGAAGTGAGGGCAGCCCTGTGTTCTGCTGAAGGGGAAGAGGGAGGCAGCAGCAAGGGACCCAGGATGGCCATGGGCCAGCTCCAGGCCTGAGTGGCAGGGAAGGGCTGTCCGGGCCTCTGTTGAGACCCAGCCCCGTGGGAGCATGAGTCCCTCCCTCCTCTCTCAGGGCTAGGGCAGCACAGGTGTCTCCTTACAGGAACAGGGCTTGGGACCTCCCCTTACTCAGCCCGTAACCAAGACCCATCCCCTGGAGACAGAGGAGGGCCAAAACAACTTCCTAAGAATATGTTTCTACAGTCACCCAAAGCAACTGGACATCCCCTTGGTATCAAGTAGACATGAGTTCAAGTCCTTGTTCAACCCCCAACCCACTCCATGAGAGCCTAAGCTGGTCCATCCTCAGAGTGGGCATCAGAGCACATATGCCTCAGAGCAGTTACAAGATCAGAGCGCCAACTCCTGCTCCAAGAGCTGATCGGGAATGCCTCTCAGATAGGACGACATTCGAACAGTGAAGGAACCAGCCATGTGGACGACTGCGAGGCGACTGCACCACACAAAGGGAACCGCAGGAGCAAAGGCCCCGGGGCAGGAGCAGGCCTGGCAGTTGGCAGAGCAGCCTGAGCATGGGGAGCAAGCAAAGCAATGAGTGAGAGGTCACAGGGCCCGATCACAGCGGGGCCTCTTAGGCCATGAGGAGTCTTTGGCTTTGATTTGATTGCATGGGAGATGGGGGCCGTTGGAGGTTTCCAAACAGAAGCATGTTACGATCAAAGATGTCATAACAGGACAACACCAGCTGCTGTGTTGACAAGAGACTATAAGGGCCAGGGCAAAAGCTGACTGACATAACCTGGGCAAGAGATGATGGTGGTAGCCTGACCAACCCAGGTCAAGGTAGTAGCCACAGAAGTGATAAAAAAGTAAGGTTCTGGATGTACTGTATTTTTGAGACTAGAGTCAAGTGGGTGTGGGAATTGGAAGGGAGATATCAAGAATAATTCCACCAGTCATTTACTGGGCATTCAGGCCATCAGCATACAGCTGCCCAGGTTGTACACTGTACAACTCCAGTGTGAGTAACACCCTCTGAAGTTATGTACTCATAGGCAGCCTTGTGAAAGTTTGCTCTCTGCCAGGCCCTGTGAAAAGCATCAGGATACAATGACCAGTTAGCATTAGTTCCCAGGGGCTCCTGTGCCAGTGCCTTTCCAGTGTGGCTTTCTCTTGAATAAACTGTGCTCTCTCATGTGTCAGAACCACAGGGTATAACTGCTGGGGCTGTGAGTGTCCTTCCAGGGGCCAGGGGATGGGGATGGCTGTGCTGTTGGGCAACAGAACCAGGTGGCAGGATCCCTGCATCTGGTTTCCTCACCCTCGCTCTCTTGTTTACCTGCAGAAGCAATTGTAGAGTCTGCCTTGTACAAATGTGTCCTGAAGCCCCTGAAGGAAGCCATCAACTCATGCCTGCATCAGATCCACAGCAAGGATGGTTCGCTGCAGCAGCTCAAGGAGAACCAGTTAGTGATCCTGGCCACCACCACCACTGACCTAGGTGTGACCACCAGCGTGCCGGAGGTGCCCATGATGGAGAAGATCCTGCAGAAGTTCACCAGCATGCACAAGGCCTACTCACCTGAGAAGAAGATCTCCATCCTGCTCAAGACCTGCAAACTCATCTACGACTCCATGGCCCTCGGCAACCCAGGTCAGTGGGCAGCCGGGAGGGGTCTGGGTGAGGAGCTCTCTTTGTATGGGTCCATGACCCCACCCTGACCAGGACTCCAGAGCCCTTGGAAGGCCCCAGACTTTCCAGATTCAGAGCCCCCTTGGGGAGGAACTGAGTGTGGGTGGGGTGTAATTCCTGGGCCCTCTTGGAGTTACCTGGGGACTGGGAGGAGAGCCATGATCGGCTGTTGCCCTGGAGGCAAGCAAGGAAGCCAGCCCACACCTTAACTTTGTGTGAATGAGGAAAAGCACTGTGTTAGTTTGCTAGGGCTGCTGAAACGATACCACAAGCTGAGTGGCTTAGCCAGCAGAAACATATTGTCTCACAGTTTTGGAGGCTGGAAGGTTCAAGATGAAGGTGTGGGCATGGCTGTGCTCCCTCTAAAGACACCAGGGAAGGTTCTGTTCCTTCCGAGCTTCTGGTAGCTCCTTGGCTTGTGGCCACAGAACTCTGATCTTCACATGGTGTGCTTCCTGTGTGCATGTCTGTGTCCCAATTTCCTCTTTTTGTAAGAACGCCAGTCAGACTGGATTAGGGGCCCACCCCACTCCAGTGTGACTTCATCTCAGCTAATCACAACTGCAACAACCCTATTTCCAAATAAGGTTAAGGGTTAAGACTTCAACATACAAATTTTGAGGGGACAAAATTCAACCCCTAACAGGTGCCTTAAACAATTAGCATTGATTTGACGTGTAAGTCCATGGGGCATGGACAAGTATCTGATCTGGATCAGGCGTGCCTGAGCTTGCGTGGGCTTATTCATGGATCTGTGGTCAGAGGTGGGCCAGTTGGAGGCCAGATAGTCTGGGATGGCGTTGCTCACATGCTGGGTGGGTGGTTGGCTGTTGGCTGCTCTGGGACGGCCTTGCCCACATGCTGGGTGGTTGGTTGGCTGTTGGCTGCTCTGGGATGGCCTTGCCCACTTGCTGAGTGGTTGGTTGGCTGTTGGCTGGTCTAGGATGGCCTTGCTCACGTGCTGAGTGGTTGATGAGCCGTTGGCTGGTCTGGGATGGGGATGACTGAGCCACGAGTTTCTCATCCTCCAGCAGGTTAGCACAGGCATGTGTCCATGGCAGTAGCTGGGGCCCAAGAGAAGAAGCAAAGCCTGCAAGGCCCATCGAGGCCTGGCCCTGAACTGGCATGATGTCACTCTGATGCCTTTCATTGACTTGTTTAGGCACAAGAGACCATCCCAGACTCAAGGAGTGAGGAACATTTCCCCTCTTGATGGAAAGAGTACAAAGGCACATTGTAAAGGGTGTGGATGTGGGAGGGGAATCAGTGGGACTATTTGTAATCATTTGACTGCAGTCCTCCAGGCAGACAAGAACAGGCATCACTGCACGATGGAGCACAGCTCAATGAAGAGAATGCTGGCAGGATTCATCCCTTCAGCTGGTGCCCTTGTGCAGTGAGCAGACTGTGTACCTGGACACGGCTGCCATGGCAACAGAGAGTGGATGGATAGCCACCTCTGTAGACTCACAGACGTGGGTTCGAACTCCTGGTCTGTCACTTACTACCTATTTAACCTTGAATGATTTACTTAACTCCTTAGAGCCCAATTTCCTCGCCTGAGGAAGCTGCTTTACAGAGAGGATAAAAGACCCTAAGACCGCTAATGGTTCAGAAGCCATACTCAGTCACTTGTGAGTATTAGAAACAATGTATGTAAAATGGTGGCCTCCATGCACAGCACCTGGCAGGCTCAACAAATGTGGCTGTGTTAAAAGAGGGATTCTCTTCATCTCCCCTGGAGAAGGGCAGGCCAGTTTGGCCATAGACCAACAGAAAGCAATTGTGGGTATGATTGGGGTATGGTGCCAGATCCCCTCACCCAAGAAACCTTTCCTCTCAGATCTGGTACAGGACACAATTCCAGGTTGGAGTCACATTTTTGTGGTAAACTGATTTGTGTCCTGCGACCATGTGTTAGAATTGTGCTCCCCAGGCCAGGTGCGGTGGCTCATGCCTGCAATCCCAGCACTTTGGGAGGCTGAGGTGGGCGGATCACGAGGTCAGGAGTTTGAGACCAGCCTGGCCAACATGGTGAAACCCCATCTCTACTAAAAATACAAAAATTAGCCGAGTGTGTTGGCGGGCGCCTGTGATCCCAGCTACTCAGGAGGCTGGAGCAGGAGAATCACTTGAACCCGGGAGGCAGACGTTGCAGTGAGCCAAGATCATGCCACAGCATTCCAGCCTGGGTGGTGACAGAGTGAGACTCTGTCACACACACACACACACACACACACACACACACACAAAAAATAGAATTGTGCTCCCCAAAAGGAGACACCACGCCAAGGCGAACTCCATATTAACACTTTATCCTGATGTTGGAGATATGATGGGAAGAGAGAGGGTTGTAGTAGAAGCAGGATGTAGTGAAGGGTTTGTTTTCACAGAGTGGACATTAGGCTCGGAGGTCGGGTGTCTTGTGCAGCCTAGAACCCAGAGAACAGGCCCAGGATGTAAACTCTGCAACTGAGTAACCTCCAGGAAAAATCCCCAAAGAAGTACATGGGGGACAGCGGACAGCCTGCAGAGCCCAGAGCTCTTGGCGAGTTTGACCTGGTCAGCCCCAGAGGGCTGGGACCCAGGGAAAGAGTCGAGTATGCCCTGCCAGGCGACATGAGGCGGAGGGTTAAGACCCCCTCATGGCCTGGCAAAGGGTGTCCGAGAATGAGCGGGGCCTTCTCAAGCCTTCTCAGAGAGAGGCAGTCCTGGCTGTCTCTGCAGCAGCAGGGGTCGGGGAGGGAGGCAAGCTCAGAGGTGTCCTACAGGGAAGCAGCAGTCAGACTGGATCAAGGCAGAAAGGAGACAGAGCCCCGGGGGACCCTTTGCTGGGAACAGCCTCGGGGAGAGCAGGCAGGCTGGCCCTGGGACCCTGGGGGGGATCATGGAAGAGCAAGGTCCAGGCTTCCTTGCCGGCTCTGCCGCTTCTCGGCTTGTGGCTGTGTTCAGATGACTTAGGTGCTCAGCCTCAGTTTCCTCTTGTGTTCAATAGGCACAGCCACAACCACCTTGCAGGCCTGTCTTGAAGCTTCGAGGAGTCTGAAGTTTGCATGTGGCCCAGCAGTTGGCACTTAGTCACAATAGCTGTTGATTGGTTTCAGTGCTGAATTTCTAATTAGGGAAATCGTTTCCCCTGGGTTTGCTAGGCTTGGTGGCAAAGTCAGAGCCAAGGGTTTTACAGACGCTGAGACATGATGAGGGAGACAGCTTTGCGCTGGAAGGGGCAATTCCATTCTCAATGAGTCCCAGTTTATCCAGAAACCCCTAGCTTCCTGGAATTCTTTTTAAAACCCCATGACTGAGCAGCAACATTCAAACAGCATGATTTTTTTTTTTTTTAACACGGGGTCTCTTTCTGTCACTCAGGCTTAAGTACAGTGGCACCACCCCCCAGGCTCAGGCAATTCTCCCACCTCAGCCTCCTGAGTAGCTGGGACTACAGGTATGTGCCACCACACCCAGCTAATTTTTGTATTTTTTGTAAAGACGGGGTTTCACCATGTTGCCCAGGCTGGTCTCGAACTCCTGAGCTCAAGCAATTTGCCCGCCTTGGCCTCCCAAAGTGCTGAGATTACAGGTGTGAGCCACCACACCCAGCCTGACTTTTGTAAATTGACAGATAAAATTGTATGTATTTATTGTGTACAACATGATGCTTTCAAGTATATCTACATTGTGGAATGACTAAAGCTAGCGTCATCTCACATAGTTATCGTCCTTGTGGTGAAAGTCAAACACCGTGATTTTTGCTAACAATGAATTCGCTTCCTAAAAACTTACCAGAGAGCAGGGATTCGAGGAAGGAATGGCTCATTTTGAGTAGGGAGGAGGAGCAAGAAAGGCAGCTGCTGGAAAGGGCATGGCTGGTGCCGCATGTGGTTGAATGGAACAGAACCAGGTGCTTGCTGCTTTCTATCCTCAGCAGGCAAGAGGGAGGGAGGCCGGAATCTCTGCAGATCCAGAAGCCAGACCCAGTCGGGGAGACTCTGAGACGTGAAGGTCAGGCCAGGGTCTCCCCCAGAAACCAGTGGGTTTCTTATCAAGGAACAGAAAGAATGTTTCCCTCCCACCACTGGTTGAGCACTGGACTGGGAGCACCGTGACTCCCAATTTCATCTCTGAACCGGGCAGGCCAGGGCTGCTCCAGTCAGAGCCTCAGCATCTTCACCTGGGCGGAATTAGGTTCTGCTCAAATCGGTTTGGGATTTGTCAACCCCAAATCCAAAGAGCAGAGGATTTGGGGTTCATCCACGGTCCTGGTTTTGAATCCCAGCTTCGGTGCTATAGCCTTGGACATTAATCTCCCTGGACCTTTGTTTGTGTACAAAATGAGGGTGATACACTTGTCATGTTGCGATGCAGGGGCTGGGACAGCACATGGGACAGCCTAAGTGCTCAAGGAGTTACTTCCTGAGCCTCGGTTTTCCCACTCTTTAAATGGGGCTAGGAACGCCTCTCTCTGGGCTATTGTGAGGGTCAAAGTTTATGAATGAGCGTCTAGATGTTAGGATACAGGAACAGCTGCCTCCCAGCCACGTTCCCAACAATACAGAAGCTGAACTCAGTGGTTTTCAAGATGGATTCCCCAAGGCACCCCAGGGGCCACCAAAGGGTCAAAAGACAAGCTGGTCCCCAAGCCAGCTCCACCCCAGACAACGCTGCTTGTACCTGTTTTACACATGGGGTTCTGCATGGGATTTTGTTTCAAATAAAGAGTTCTATTTTTTTAACATTTCATTTGGAAATAATTTCAAACTTCAAAAACTCTAAGAATGGAAACAGGACACCTGCAGACCCTTTGTGAATTGTTAACATTCAACCCCCTCCGCTTCATCATTTTCTTTCTTTCTTTCTTTTTTTTTTTTTTTTTTTTTGAGATGGAGTCTCACTCTGTCGCCCAGGCTGGAGTGCAGTGGCGCGATCTCGGCTCACTGCAAACTCCGCCTCCCGGGTTCACGCCATTCTCCTGCCCCAGCCTCCCAAGTAGCTGGGACTACAGGTGGCTGCCACCATGCCCAGCTATTTTTTTTTTGTATTTTTAGTAGAAACGGGGTTTCACCGTGTTGCCCAGGATGGTCTCGATCTCCTGACCTCGTGTTCTGCCCGCCTCGGCCTCCCAAAGTGCTGGGATTACAGCAGTGAGCCACTGAGCCCGGCCATTCATCATTTTCTTTCTCTCTCTGCATACATAATGTTTTGTCTGAATAGCGTAAGGGTAACTTACATACACCTGTGTCCTTTACCCCAAACGCTTTCCTAGGTATTTTGTGGCATGTATGTATGTAACATTACATAACTCTTACATAGCCACGGTGGAGTTGTCCGTTGCATAAATTTATGTTAATACAGCATTTTTGTCTAAACTTTCAGGTTGTCACTTGACCTAATAAGGTCCTTTTTAGAATTTCCCCCTCATGTTCAGGATCTGATGAAGGGTTAGATATTCCGTGTGCTTGTCATATGTTTTTAACCTCCTTTAATTTGGAATATCTCATATCTGTGGCTGAATGATGGAAATAGAATCTGAGGAGTGCGTCATTAGACAATTTCATTGTTGTGCAAACATTTTAGAGTGTACTCACACAAACCTAGATGGCACAGCCTACTATACACCTGAGCTGTATGGTATGGTCCATTGCCCCCAGGCTACCACCCTGTACAGCATGTGACTATACTGAAAACTGTAGGCAGTTGTAGCTCAGTGGCAACTATTTGTGTATCTGAACATATCTAAATGTAGAAAAGGTGCAGTAAAAGTCTGGCATTATGATCTCATGGAACCACCGTCATATACGTGGTCCATCATTGACCAAAAGTTCATTATGCGTTGCGTGACTGTATTTCCACAGCCTTTGTCTCTTTTTTTTTTTTTTTTTTTTTTTTTTGAGACAGAGTCTCGCTCTATCGCCCAGGCTGGAGTGCAGTGGCGCAATCTCGGCTCACTGCAAGCTCCTCCTCCCGGGGTCACGTTATTCTCTTGCCTCAGCCTCCTGATTAGCTGGGACTACAGGTGCCCACCACCATGCCCGGCTAATTTTTTTTCGTATTTTTAGTAGAGATGGGGTTTCACCATGTTAGCCAGGATGGTCTTGATCTCCTGACCTCATGATCCACCCACCTCGGCCTCTCAAAGTGCTGGGATTACAAGCGTGAGCCACCGCGCCTGGACTCTTTGTCTTTAATGATATTGATGTTTCTGAAGGATACTGTTTTTTTTCCCCCAGCCCCACCTTTTCTTAATGAAAGTTCCTCATTTTGTGTTTGTCAGATGTTTCCTGATGATTAGATTGAGGTTATGCAGTCTTAGCCAGATCCCAACTGACTTCAATTCTGACTTTGACGTTCAGCAATTTTAGAACGAGGTCCCAGCATTCAATCATACCTTCCCCTGGCAGGTGATCCGGGCAGCTGTGTAGTCTATGGCCTTGCTACCCGAGGTGTGGTATGCAGCCCAGCAGCTCTTTGTTGAGCCCTGGGAGCTGTGAGTGACCCCACAGAGAGGCAGACTCCAGCCCGAGTCCCGCCTACCTCCACCACTGACCTACTTCCTCCACCACTGACTGCTTTAAACAGAAAACAGCCCTCCCTGTCCACCACTCCTGACTTCCATCCTGCCTAGCCCTGCCTCTAGTCTTCCCAGCCCCCTCACCTCCAGGGAAGATGCCTCACCCACCTGCCTCATTGCTATGATGCAGGCAACAGTAGCTTGATGTGGTACCTTCATGGCCCGCTTGAAAGGGGAATAAAATAGGGCGGGCCGCTAGCAAGACCTGTTGGAACAGCGAGGAAAGGGGTAAACATGGAGACACAAGATCTGGGTTAACTGGCCATGCTATCTTCTCCAGAAAGATAGGGCCAGGATTAAACCTAGTATCAGCTCACTCTAAAGCCTGTGCTTCTATCACGGTGCCAGTGGCCGGCCTGGGAATGGACCCCAAGCTTCAGAATCCTGGTCGAGTGTGTCTTCTCCTGTCACAAGTTTAGGGCCCTGGGTTCGGCAAATTGGGGAGTTCACGGAAGCAAATGGCTTTGGATAAACTGGCCCTCCATCCTGGAATCAGGAGCAGACCGGGATTCTTCATGGACTTCATGAGGCTTGGTGAGAGCAGCCAGAACTTCTAGATTCATCTCTTCTATTACTTTGACAAAGAAGTCATTCCCACCTCCTTGATGTCTAAGACTAGTCATTCGGAGCTGGTCCTCTGCTGGGGAGAAACAGACTCAAGCCCAAGAAACCTCTTCAAGATGGGAGGGGGAGAAAGACGGTAGGGGTGCAGTTTGGGAACCTTCTAATGTGAATGCCGAGCAGGAGGCATCCCAGAGGGTACTGATGGCCAGAGGCTGCCTTTTCAGCTCCTTGAGTAGTCTATGTAAACACCCTGATACCACCCACGTGAGCTTCTGGAAACAGGGCCTGGCTCCTAACCCCAGGGGGATGGAGCACACTAATGACCAGGTGGTGGGACGTGGGGGCCAACCGGGTGGTGATAGATTCCCAGGTCCCCTGCCATCCACTTCCCTGGCAGAGACCACAGAGTCAAGAGTCCACAGCTGGTTCAGGCAGGGGCAGCCGCAGAGGAATTGGATGGGAGGGGGGCTCTTGATGGGGACCCCAGGGGTATGGAATAATGGGCCTTGTGACATTGACGGGGTAGAGAGGACAGGGAGGGAGGTCAGGCTGTTGATTTTTTTAAATCTGTGTTTAAAAAAATTAAACTGGGCTAGGCACGGTGGCTCACGCCTGTAATCCCAGCATTTTGGGAGGCCAAGGCGGGCGGATCATGAGGTCAGGAGTTCAAGACCAAGACCAGCCTGACCAACATGGTGAAACTCCGTCTCTACCAAAAATACAAAAATTATCTGGGCATGGTGGCGCACACCTGTAATCCCAGCTACTCAGGAGGCTGAGGCAGGAGAATCGCTTGAACCCAGGAGGCGGAGGTTGCAGTGAGCCAAGATCACACCATTGCACTCCAGCCTGGGTGACAGAGCAAGACTCCGTCTCAAAAAAAAAAAAAATTAAACTGATTTTTGATGATCAAAGTCGCTCATGTTTATTGTTGCAAATTGATCAATAGTCTGTTGGTGAATTTCTTTCTAGTCTTTTTGAAATAACTACAGATAGGTAAATAGATAATTGGTTAAGGAAACATTTGCTGCTATAAACATTTGCTGCTATTTGATGCTGGATAAGCCCTCTCATCTCTAACTCAATAGAAGTGTACTTCTCACTCATGTAAGTCCAATTGCATAGAGGAGGTTTGGAGGTGGAGGGCCATGCTCCATATGGTCATTCAGGGATCCATGCATAGGAAGACTTCCTAGGTCTCCCTAGGGATTGACATCCAGGTGACAGGAATGGGGGGGCATCTGAAAGAGAGCTAAAGAGAGCTTTCCTTCTCCAAAAGGTTGTAACTCACAACCTCGCTTTTTTACCCCACAACACAAATGGAGTGCAGGCCCCCTAAGATGTCATGTTCTGAGGCTTATAGGACAAAATCCCCTCCTGTCTTTCATAATAATTGTGTCTAGCATTTACTAGTCCATGCTAATCACCTTCCATCTGTCTTGTCATGTCATCCTCACAACCACTCCAGGGGATGTGGACACTGTGATTATCCCCATTTTACAGCTGAGGAAACTAAGGCTCAGTGAAGTTAAGTAGCACGCTTAGGGTCACACCTGATGAGCAGGTGAGTGGTTGACCTGAGACTTGAACCCGGGTCCTTTGCTGAAACCCAGGGCCCTCTGGCCTCTCCAGCCTGCCTCCCCAGGGCATCCTGAGGTCAGAGATGACCTCAGAAAAGACAGACACAAGTCATGGCTGAGTTTTGCAGTGCCTCCAACCTCATGCCTTTTCAAGCCAGAGTGGGACTTCATGGCTTCAGACCTCAGAGCCCACAGCCTGTGTAGCTGACTGGCTTGTGGGCTGAGCTCTCTGAAGAGAAACCCAGGGAGCTGGAGTGTTTTCCTCAGGGACACAGTGTAGCTCAGAGCAGAACTGAGACTTAACCAGCATCTGTGCAAAGTGCAAGCAACCAAACAGGGTAGCTTCAAGGAGCTCAGTGGGAGAGAGGGGGCTGGGTTCTAATCTCATGACAGCCACAGACTTGACAAGTGACCTCCAGCCAAGCATTTCTCTGCCGAGGCTTCAGTTCTTTCATCTGTGCAGCGGACAGTTCAGACTAGATCAGTAGTTTTCAAACTATTTCCAGGAAACTCTCTAGGGGCCACAGACATAGCTGGGGGCCGCCATGGGAACAGTGGAGGGACATAGTTGAAAGGAGATGAGCAGGCCAGCTCTGCTGCCCCACCCTGAGTCAACCAGAGAAGCTGAACTGTGCATAAGGTACCCATTACTAAAGGTTTCCATTGCAAACACAGATTTGAAGTCTACTGTTCTAAATGGCCTCTACTTCCTGCTGTCATACGTTTTTATCAAATAAATTCATTCATTCAACCGTTCAACAAACTTTTTTTGACAATGCAGATGTTAAGAACAAAACCCAGAAGACCCAGCCCATGTTTTTAGGATGTTCACAATTCAAGCTAAAAACAAGCATTAAATAAGCAAGCATCTTGCAGTGTGATAACTGATATTCATTCATGCTTTTAGCAAATATTTTTATTAAACACCTACTATAGACCAGGTACCGCTGAGATGTCAGATATAAACAGTGAAGAAGATAAGGTACCTGCCCGAGTAAAACTTTCATTCAAGGAGGGGAGATAGGCAATAACAAGTAAACAGAAATGCAAAATATATCCTCCAAGGTGAAACGTGCAACTGGGGTCGATAAAGCAGGGTAGGGGGTCTGAGGAGTGTTGGAGGAGTTTGCTGTCCTGGGACTGGGTGGTCAGGGAAGGCCTCTCTGAGTTAACGTGTGATATTGACTTTCCCATTCTGCAATGCCAGGACTGGGGAGAGCCATTACAAGGGCATTGGCCTTAGCTGAGGAGGTCTTCAAGGAAGACTTCTGGGAGGAAAAAAGTGGCTCTAAATGGGAATCATGGTGGAAAGCGAGGGCCAGGGCAGGGCACAGTCATGAGCCTCCTGCTGCCCCAGTGTTGCAGCATCAGCCACTGGCTTTCAGTAAGAGCCCAGTCAACAAATGGGTGCCCTGGGTGGGGGTGAGGTGGGGGGTAGTTTTGATAAGATGCTCAGTCCTTTCCTCTCCATCAGCGTCTGCAAACTGTGGCCCTCCCAGCCAACTCTGGCCTACCACCTGATTTTGCAAATAGTTTTATTGGAACACAACCCATATCCATACTCAGCATCTAGGGCTGCTTATGTTCTAAGGGCTGAGTTGAATAGTTAGGCCAGAGACCCTGTGGCCCCTGAAACTAAAAATATTTACTTTCTGGCCTTTTACAGAAAAAAATTTGCTAGCCCCTCTTTTAGACAATGCTTCCTCACCCTGTCACTCAGGCTGGAGTGCAGTGGCACAATCATAGCTCACTGCAGCCTCAACCTCCTGAGCTCAAGCAGTCCTCCTACCTCAGCCTCCAGAGTAGCAGGGACTACAGATGCATGCCACCAGACCCAGCTGATTTTTTTTTTTTTTTAAGTAGAGACAAAGTCTCACTATGTTGCCCAGGCTGGAATTAGGGCCTTTCTAATCTTCACTGTCTGGGTGACCCAGCTGAGCACCTCTTCAGCTCATTTTGATCTTAAAGAGAGCTTTCCTTCTCCAAAATCTCCCAGTGGATGAAATATGCATAAAACCCCAGCCAGCTTTTTGAAATGTGATCAGCTACCTACAGATGGCAAACAGATGTGACTTGGCAAAAAAGAAAGCAGAAATCACCAGGAAGTGGAGGCTGCCGCCAGCAGGGCATTTGAATGCACAGCCAAATGGGCGTGATCTCTGGTCCACCCAAGACAGATGTTCAGCTCACAGGAGAAGTATTTTGCAGCTAACATCCCAGTGGCACTTCCTGAGGCTCCGATGTGCTCAGGGCTTAGCCCTGAGCCTGGGGTTCCAGGCTGCTCAGGAAGGAGAGGGCAGCCCTAACTGCCAAAATGTTGGGCTGGGACCCAGTGCGTTTAAACAATGCTTGAAGCTTGTGTTGGTCCATGAGGAGCTATCATGCCTGTGTGGATACTTTCTCACCAACGTCAACAGCCAGAGACCCAGATTCTAGTCCCAGCTCTGCTATTGACCAGCTGCAGGGCTTTGAGCAAATTTCTCCCATCTCTGAGCCTCAATTTCCTCACAGTGTGGTTGGGCGTGATAAACTAAAGCCAATGGTGTGCTGGAGTCAGCTCGCACCAGCTCGTGGGAGCTGGCTGTGGGCATCTATCTCTTCCCAGCTCTGTGTTCTTGTTGGTAGCTTGACGTTGGAAATTGTGGAAATATTTAGATCATGGAAATTGGCAAATGCTACAAATCAAGGTTGATTTTTTTCCTTCAGAGAGCCAGTTGTTAAGCATTTCCCAGCACATCACTTTCTAAGGCCCACAGGACATCCCAGTGTCTATGACCATGACCCTACCCCTGGCAGGACAGAGTGGCACCCAGTAAGAACACACATGGGACATAGTTCAGTCCATTGTCAGCAGCCTACGTCCCAAGCCTGTGCTGGGGGCTGGAAAGGCAGTGATGCGAGAGAGGCTCAGAGAGGGTTAGTGACTCACTCTGGCTCACACAGCCTCCATCCATGCCCTCAGCACACTCACGATGTGAAGAAGGGGGCAGGCTCTGAATCAGTCAAGGCATATGGGAGCCAGAGCAGGAACTGTCCAGCTGTGCTGGAGGATGTGGGAGAGCACAAGAAGTTGATAACGGGAAGGTAGGGAGGGGGTCCCAGGAGGGGGGGAACTGCGTGTGCAAAGGCCTGGAGAGGGGAGAGTGCACTCAGAGTTCAGGGAATGGGCCGTGGTGCAGCCCAGTGGGATGTTATGTGGGAGGGTGATGGAGGCAGAATGTCATCTCAAGTTGGAAGATGGAAAGTAGAGTAAGCACCAGTAACCCTGGGGCAGCCCAGGAGGGCTTCTTGGAGTTGGAGGAGGCAGATCTTGAAGGATGAGTGAAATTAGTAGGAACGTGGGATTGTCGGTCAAGATTCCTCAAGGAAAACATGGGGAGAAGAGCAGGTGAAGGACCTTCCATAGCCAGGGGATACAAAGCCACAGTCCTGGGCCCCCTCCCTTCCTGCCCCCTCATACCCACATGGCCGGCCCCGAAGTCCTCAGACCTAGGGCCCCATCTGGGCCATCCTTTGGCCAAAAGTCATTACTCCCTCAAGCAGGGTTTCTCACCCGTGGCCCTGTGGACATTTGGGGTGTCCTCTGCATCCCAGGATGTCATCAGCACCAGTGTTGCTGGCCCATTTTGCAGATGTAGAAACTGAGTGTGGCCAGAAAGGCAGGTCACAAGGGGCCGCATTGTCTAAAAAATTAAACAAGGACGGGCCATAAGCAGAATCCACATTCACTGGACAAAAGTGACTGGAGGCATCCATGGTGCCAGTGTTATACTGCAGGAGCCAGGACTTAGAGACAAGGCCGCCCAGGCTATGAGGCAAGATGGGAAATGGAGTCTTTATTTGGGGTGGCCCTATCCTGGCTAAAAGTCAGGAGTGCTGTTACTTTGAAAATAGAGACTGGGGCCGGGCGTGCGGCGGCTTACGCTTGTAAATCCAGCACTTTAGGAGGCTGAGGCGAGCGGATCACTTGAGGTCAGGAGTTTGAGACTAGCCTGTCCGACATGGCAAAATCCCATCTCTACTAAAAAAAAAAATACAAAAATTAGCCAGGCGTGGTGGCAAGCACCTATAATGCCAGCTACTCAGGAGGCTGAGACAGGAGAATCGCCTGAACCTGGGAGGTGAAGGTTGCGGTGAGCCGAGATCGTGCCACTGCACTCCAGCCTGGGCGACAAGAGCAAGACTCCTTCTACAAAAAAGAAAAAGAAAATAGAGACTGGAGAATGCAAGAGGAAGGAAAGCAACCACTAGTCTCTGTTACTCACACCAGGCTAGAACAGACTGCGCAGGCAAGGAACACAAGACCTCCTGGTCGGCTGAATGTGACCCTGAAATCACAAGCCCTGGCAGGGAGGGGAGACACTTGCCTTAGGGGCAAAATGTAGGGGGATGCCCAAGAAACTCAACCACAAAGATAAATTATATATATATGTGTGTGCATGTGTGTGTGTGTGTGTGTGTGTGTGTGTATACACATAATTTTTAAAATGATTCAGTGGTTTTCAGTATATTTGCAAGGTCATACAACTAAAACTACTCCAATTCCAAATCATTTTTATCACCCCAAAAAGAAACTCGGTACCCATTAGCAATCACTCCCCATTCTCTTTTCTGCCCAGCTCCAGGCAACCACTCATCTGCTTTCTGTTTGTGGGTTTGCTTATTCTGGACGTTGCATATAGATGGAATCCTATGTCCTATCATACGTACAATATGTGGTCTTCCATGGCTGGCTTCTTTCACTTAGCATAATATCATCACGGTCTATCAATATCACAGCAGCCAGGCATGGTGGCTCACGTCTTTAATCCAGCGCTTTGGGAGGCTGAGGCAGGTGGATCATTGAGCCTAGGACTTCGAGACCAGCCTGGGCAACACGGCAAAACCCTGTCTCTACCAAAAATACAAAAAGGAAAAAAAAAATAGCCAGTCTCATAACCCGGTCTCAAAAAAATGAACAAATATCAATATCACAGCATGTATGAGTAGCTTGTTCCTTTTTATTCCCAAAGACTTTTCCATGGTGTGCATGCACCACATTTTGCCTGTGTATCCACAAGTGATGGACAAGTGGAGCCATCTCCACTTCTTAGCTATTATGACCAATACTGCCATGAACATTTGTGTGCAGGTCTCTGTGTGGAAATATATTGTTGTTTCTCTCAGGTGTATATATAACTAAGAGTGGAACTTTGGGCTCATGTGACAAGATAAGTACTATTTTAATGCAGTATTTTTTAAAAAATAAAAATTAATGCAAAGAAAAGCCATGATGAACAAAATATCCACTTTTTTTTTTTTTTGAGACAGAGTTTCACTTTGTCGCCCAGGCTGGAGTGCAGTGGCACAATCTTGGCTCACTGCAACCTCTGCCTCCCAGGTTCAAGTGATTCTCGTGCCTAAGCCTCCCAAGTAGCTGGGATTACAGGCTTACGCCACCACTCCTGGCTAATTTTTGTATTTTTAGCAGAGATGGGGCTTCCCCACATTGGCCAGGTCGATCTCGAACTCCTGACCTCAGGTGATCCGCATGCGTCGGCCTCCCAGAGTGCTGGGATTACAGACATGAGCCACCGCGCCCGGCCGCCACATCTTCAGTGAAGTCAGGCTGTTGTCTGTTTTATGATCCTGCACTACTGTGCAACAGGAGCAGTCATTTCCAATCAGCCTGCAGTTTCCAGGCCCACATACGTTTGTGACGGCTGACAGTAGAAAGCAAACAGATTGGCAACCAGATTTTAGATACAGTCGTTGTTTCTTGAGTGTAGTGCGTTTGTTAACTTTTTCCACCTGGTTCAAAATATGAGAGGCTATTTTGATAAACACATATGGGGCACGCAGTTTTCCTTTTGCCTCAGGCTTTGCTATGGCTCTGACCACCTGTGCCGTTTCAATTAATCCTCAAACATCCTCGGGCACCTCGTTCTCCAACCTCCCTGCCGAGGTGAGAGGAGGGAAGGAGCTTGCTACGGTCCACAGCTGGTGAGTAGTAGAGCTGGGATTTGAACCCAGGTCTGGGGTTGGAGACTCAGCCTTCACACCGCGCCTCTCAGCAGTGTAGCGTGCAGTTGCCCAGGAGGGTCACTTTAGCTCTCTGAAGTCTTTTATTCAGGCAGGAAGCAGCCTCATTGTTACAAGGACAGATGTGAATGTGCAGAGCTCACTATGAAATTTGACAACCTGGGCAACATGGCGAAACCCCATCTCTACCAAATAATATACACATACAAAAATTAGCTGAGTGTGGTGGTATGTGCCTGTAGTCCCAGCTACTCAGGAGGCTGAGGTGGAAAGATTGCTTGAGCCCAGGAAGTCAAGGTTGCAAGTGAGCTGAGATTAAACCACCATACTCCAGCCTGGGCGACAGAGTGAAACCCTGTCTCAAAGGCCGGGCGCTGTGGCTCACACCTGTAATCCCAGCACTTTAGGAGGCTGAGACGGGCGGATCACTTGAGGTCAGGAGTTCAAGACCAGCCTGGCCAACATGGTGAAACCCCATCTCTACTAAAAATACAAAAATCAGCTGGGTATGGCAGCGCACGCCTGTAATCCCAGCTACTCAGGAGGCTGAGGCAGGAGAATCACTTGAACCCGTGAGGCGGAGGTTGCAGTGAGCCGAGATGGCACCACTGCACTCCAGCCTTGGCAACAAGAGCAAAACTCTGTCTCAAAAAAAAAAAAAAAAGGGAAAAGAAAGTTGCCTCCTCCCTCCCCTGGAAGTGCTTGCCATGAGCTGCACCTGACACAATGGTAGGACCATCATGAGTCAAACATCCATGTGTGTGATAGGAACTTGCCAGGCATGTCTCTCTATGTCCCCAAATGAAGCCACATGTGAAAATTTTCTTTTAGAGCTAAGAGTTAGAAAAATAATTTGATTCCCCCAAGAAATAGGTATATTTTTTCTTCATGGACAGTGAGAATGTAACTGTTTTCCTTTTTGCTTTGGCCAGCAGGAAACTCAAAGCCAAATTTGCTGCTGTAAAAGAGTAGTTGTGTAGGTTCCTGCTTATTTGCATTTTTATGTTTCCTATAGTATCATCCCTCTAGTAATTTATATTGGTACTGATGGTTTTCAAATTTTTATTTAGATGTTACTGTTTTATCAGGTGTATTTCCTGATGGTCCCTAAATCCTTTGTAAACATGTCAAGTAGAAACACACTTTTTGCAAGAGCTATACATTGCTTGGCATGTGCTTGGATGGATTATTAATCTCACCCAAAACACAAAGGTAGCAGCACTGGCATGGGTTATTCTGCGGTCCACATCCAGACCTGGTAACCCCCGGCTGAGTCTGGAGACCTTTGCCTGAGCCTTGGACTCCCTTTGGTTAGAGGAAGTGAGAAGGTGGGCTGGGGACCAGGCGTGGCCATTCCCACCATGCACAGCTGCTCACCGAAGCTTCATTTCTCCAGTGCACTTGCAGAGTCTGGCTAGAAGACCAGCCAAGGGCCTGCAGGAAGATTCTATTCTGGTCAGAATTCTCCACCCACAGTTCCAGCCTTGGGCTTTGCGTTGCCAAATGGGCAATCTTCAGGGCCAGCCAAGAGCCACACTGGGGAGGTATCTTTCGGACCCACCTTCCACCCTCCTTCCTGCCACTGTTCCTTTATAGAGCGCCCTCCATCTGCCACGCAAAGTGTCTGTTGCTGTCAGGATGCTCTGAGCCCTGTGAACATCTCCCTCAAAGGCAGTAGTGATGAGATGATACTTCGAGGGGTCTTTACGTTTTAAAAGAAGGCCTTAGGAAAGGGCACTGTTTACGCCAAAAAAAGGAAGAAGGCTGAATGGTGACATTTCAGGTCTCGTAGTGTCTGGGTGAGGAAGAGGTTTCTGTTTCGCAGGTGGGAGGGAGATGTATGATTCGTGGGGATAGGGAACCTTGCCAGGAGCCATGAATGCTTCTGGGTGGGTCCACGAATAAATATGATGTGAATTTGTCTGTCAAGCAAGCAGCAGGGGGCGGTCATGGAGAGGGAGGACTAGGAAAGGGGAAGGGGTCAGGGTCTTGCTCCACCCAGCCGAGGGCACTTTCTCAGTTCCTTCTTCCTAAACTTGGACTGTTTCTCGGGCCTCCTGAGGAGGCTGCTCCCTGGGTCCTCTCTGTCCTGAGAGTCATGAGAGAGCAGGAACATTCCTCTTCCAGGGATCGCCATCCACACTCAGCAAACCACTGTCCCCTACCCTGGGCAGAGAGCATCTCACAAGGAGAGCCTGGAACTCATCTCCCTCTGCCTCCTTCTTCTTCCCAGGGAAGCCCTATGGGGCGGATGACTTCCTGCCTGTGCTCATGTATGTGCTGGCCCGCAGCAACCTCACGGAGATGCTTCTCAATGTGGAGTACATGATGGAGCTCATGGACCCCGCCCTGCAGCTGGGGGAGGGTGAGTCACCACCCCCTGCCCATCAGGTGCATTGCACACCCCCAACTCAGCCACGCCACGGGCACTCTAGGTGGCCCAACAAGCACCTCCTGGATGCCAGACTCTGGCTGAGCTCTGGACCCATGGATGCAAATGTGAATCCTACACAGGTCCTGTCCTGCAGGAGCTCACAGATTAGGGGGAGAGATGAGCCAGTCAAGAGACTGTGCCACCTCCACGTAACAAGTGCTGGAATAGTTGGAATCCCAGAAGGCATAGGAGCATGTTACCCAGACTGTGCAGTCAGGGAAGGCTTCCTGGAGGAGGTGACATCTGAGCTGAGCAATGAAGGATAAATAGGAGCCAGCTGATTAAAAAAAAAAGGGAAAAGGCAGTCTTTGTAGCGGGAACAGCAGGAGGTAGTAGTATAAAAGAAGGGGCTGAAGTGGCAGGCAGTGCTCACAGTAAGAGTCTGAGAGACAGTGACAATCAGTTCTTAGACAGGGGTGACCCCCAGGGACTCTCGGCCCCTTGCTCATAAGCCCTGGGTCAGGACCTCCATCAGTGGGAAGTTAATGATATGAGTAAGAAGCCCTGTGCTCCCCAATAGGATGAAGGCAGAGGTGTGGTTTGGTCCACCCCATGCTCAGTTTCCCTTCCCCTTTCCTCCTTCCCACCACATCCTCCCACCCACTTAGCCTCAGCCACCCATCCACCAAGAATTTCCTGAGGGGCAGCCAGTCCAGATATCAGCTCTGAGGGAGCCCTGACTTCCCCTCTGAGACATCAGCTTCAAAGGAGGGAACCATCCTCCCAGGCCCTGAGGGTTCCCCTTGGGCTTTGTGGTTCTTGAGATGAGCAGACCCTCTTTGTATCTGTTCGCATTTTTTTTGCATGTTCCAGTCTCTGGGGTGATAGTTTGATGAGATAGTTCCATGAGTTGTTGACAGCTCAGGGGAGCGTGTTAAAGCCATGACGTTTGCTGTCATATATAACTTTGGCTAGTGGCACTGGGACCTCTGTATCTACCTTTTTTTTTTCTCTGTAGTTAAAAATGTCCTGTAATGGGAACAAGTTGTCTTCTAGGAAGTCCAGGAATTCAAGAGAAGCCAAGGTTTCTTCAGCAATGGTTATCTGCTGCCCAGTGTAGCCATATATCCATCCATCTATTCATCTGTCCATCCATATAGCCATCCATCCACCCATTCACCTACCCATCCATCCATGCATCCACTCATCCACCTACCCACCCATCTACCCATCCACCCACCCATCTACCCATCCACCCACCTATCCATCTATCCATCTATACGTCCACCCACCCATCCGTCATCCATCCATGCATCCATCTACTCATCCAACCACCTACCCACCCACGTATTCACCCACCCACCCATCCACATATTCAGCTACCCATCCACATTTCCATCTACCTATCCACCTATCCATCCATCTACCCACCAATCCATCATTCATCCATCCATTAACCCATCCACCCATCCATTCACCCATCCATCTATGCACTCATCCACCCATCCACATATTCACCCAGCCATCCACATAACCATCTACCCATCCATCCATCCACCCACCCATTCACCCATCCATCCATCCATCCACCCACCCATTCACCCACCCATCCATCCATGCATCCACTCATCCACCTAACCACCCACCCATCCATCCGTCCACTCATCTGTCCACCCACCTGCCCATCCACATATTCACCCACACACCCACATATTCATCCACCCATCCACATATCCATCTACCCATCCCCCTACCCATCCACTTATTCACTCACCCACCAATCCACATATTCGCCCACCCTCCACATATTCATTCACCCATCCACATATCCATATACCCACCCACCTACCCATCCACCCACCCACCCACCCACATATTCACCACCCACCCATCCACATATTCGCCCATCCACCCACCCACATATTCACTCATGCACCCATCCACATATTTGCCCACCCTCCACATATTCATCTACCCATCCACATATCCATCTACCCATCCACCCACCTACGCAATCACACACCCATTCATCTACCATCCATCCATCCACCCGTCCACCCATCCACTCATCCACTCGCCCATCTACCCTTCCACTCATCCACCCACCCATTTATCCATGCCAAACACATGGGCTGTGGTGTAGGACAAGACAAGTAAGGCTGATAGCCTTGTGTGAATGAATGAATGCCTCATTCTGCATCCCACATTTTGGGACTTCTACCTCATCAGGACTTTGTGGGCCTTCTTCCTTGGTTTCCCCAAGGAAGGGAAGCTCTCAGCATGCACACAGAAGAACCACAGGCACGGTGGCTGAGCAGGAAAAGGGCAGGGACATCCTTGGGCCAGCAGCCCTCTCCTATGGACTTGCGTCCCCCACCCCAATCCTGCCATGGCCTCCTGGGATCCTTCTTCCTGTTCCCAGAAGCCTAGGGGATTTGGGTGAGAAACAGAGAAGTTCTCGAGGCCAGAGAGCATGTCAATTCTGGGCTACTTCAAGTATTTGGAGGACAAGCCAAAGTACAAAAAAAGTTCATAACGGCGCTAAACAGTTCCTAGATTCTGACCAAGGCTGCCTGCATCCAGCCCTTTTGTCAGACTTGAGTAGGCAGAGCCCCCCAGCCCACCTCTGGCCCCATAGAGAGGGCAGAGGGCACACTGTCCCTCCTGGCAGCCCTGTCTGACCACGGCAGTGTCACACCTTGCCCATGGCAGCTCCAGGGGCCAGAGGACAAACCCACACCACGCTGTGCACACCAGCAAGGGGGGTGGGTGGCACGGGCACATCCCTGCACCTCTCCCTGCCCTACTTCAATAGTCAGGGTGTGGGAGGTCACAGCACCTAGGACAGCCAGCCTTGCAGGTGTTTGCCTCTGGCATCTAGATGACCTTGGGGCTCTCCAGCGAGGGCAGGGGTTTCCACCTTTCAACAGCCTGGACACTTCATCTCAATGGATCTGGGTCCCAGGGCAGAGGGGCAAGGGTGAGGTGGTGTTTCTGAGTTTCTCTGGCTTAGCCCTCCTGGCTTAGTGGGGTGGTGGTGCAGAGGTACCTGATCACCTCAACCTCTGTGGTGCAGGTGGGGAGGGAGACTGAGCCCTGACAGAGCTCAGAGATGCTTAGGGTGGGAGGTGGGGGTTCCCAGAATCCCCAGACTCTTGGGAACTTAAGTTGCTAGAATCTAAGAAAACTAACACAAAGTGGAGTAAAAAGAGCAGTTTGGAGGCTGGATTTGGGGCCCAGTTCTGCCTCTGACTGGCTGGAAACCCTGGGCAAGTCACCTAACCTCTCTGGCTTGCAGAAGTGAAGACATCAAGTTAGATTGGCAGTTTTCAAACTGTCTGGATGCTCTCGTATTCTGCAGTGGTGGCTTGGTGTTAGTTTGTTTGGGATGCTTAATAAAATACCATAAACTGGATAACTTTGGAACCATGGAAATGTATGTCTCTCAGTTCTGGAGGCTGGGAAGTCCAAGATCAAGGCACCAGCAGACTCAGTGTCTGGTGAGAACCCCACTTTCTGGTTCATAGATGGTGGGTTCTTGTTGTATCTTCACATGGCAGAAGGGACAGGACAGCTCTCTGGCACTTTTTTTTTTTTTTTTTGAGACAGAGTCTCTGTCTGTCACCCGGACTGGAGTGCAGTGCTATGATCTTGGCCCACTGCAACCTCCGCCTCCCAGGTTCAAGCAATTCACCTGCCTCAGGCTCCCAAGTAGCTGGGATTACAGGCCTGCGCCATCACACCTGGCTAATTTTTGTATTTTTAGTACAGACAGGGTTCCAACATGTTGGCCAGGCTGGTCTCGAACTCCTGATCTCAAGTGATCTGCCTGCCTCAGCCTCCCAAAGTGCTAGGATTACAGGTGTGAGCCACCATGTCCAGCTGGCACTTCTTCTGTAAGGGCACTAATCCCATTTATGAGGGCTCCACCCTCATGACCTAATGACCTCCCAAAGGCCCCACCTCCTAACACCATCACATTGGAGGTTAGGATTTCAACATAGGATCTGGGGGTAGGGGGACCCGAACATTCAGACCTTAGCACATGGGGCAGGATGAGAGATGGAGCTGGGCCCTGCCTTCCAGTGTTTCGTAGTTCAGGTGAGCAAGCCATTCTGTGTTCGACAGAAAGCCTGCAAGTTGGATTCTGTGCACCTTGGGACCTTCAAATTCTCTCAGCCTGTTCCACGTGCTGCAGTTTAGCAAAGGATGGGCCATGGGGTCTTACTTTCCTTGCAGCAGGCGTGTGGGGCAGGAGACATCAGGGACTTGTGCAAGGAAGGGCCTGAGTGCCAGCTTGCTGGGACCCCCGCCCCCTTTCTAGCCTCTCTCTTGTGTTCCCACTCCCCCCACCCCCTGCCCCTGTGAAGTCATGGGACAGACAGGTGACCCAGGCAGCTGCTGGGCACCTTGCTGGAGCCAGCCCAGAATCTTAACCTCTGCTAAAATCCTGGCTAGGCTGGTCCCAAAAGTGCCCTCTTGGACCCCTTTGCCCATGTCCCTTCCCTAGTCTGCCTGACAGCTGGCCATGCCGGGCTGGTGTCTTTCCAGGGGCAGTGGGTTTTTCCAATCAACGCATTCGCCCCAGAGAGAAAAGCCTGCTCCAGAACTCACGGTAGGGCCGCCTGCCACCTAGTGGCCCTGGCAGGCATTTCATGGCCCCAAGTCAAAGAGGAAGGCTGGCAGAGAGAGAGGCCTCACGAAGAAGTCAGACTCCAGCACCAAGAGTGCAGCAGTAGGGCGTGGCTGCTCCCCTTTCACCTGCGAGGGTGAGACACCCCCAGAGCACCTCCCTGAGGCCTCATAGCCACCATGCGTTATTCACACATTCCGAAGCCCTGTACTTTACACATACTCATTTCCTTTTCACAACTTTATGATGTTTGCAGATAAGGAAACTGAGGCATAGAGAGGCCATTAGCTCACCTGAATTACAGGGCTGGCTGCTATGGAGCAAAGACCTAGATCCTGTTCTCTGACTCCAAAACTGAAGGTTTGCAGTCAGCACACTGCACTCACCTCTTCCATTCCCAGCCAGGAAGACATAAGCCAGACAGGAAACAGGACGACTGAGGGATGCCAGGTAGAGGACGTGGACTTGGGGCAGCAAGGGCTGGGGGCACCAGAGCCGACTTCCTGGCCTGGGGCTTTAAACCTAACTTAAAATGGAGATACGTAAGTGGTTTAGTGGTTCTTCTCTTATTAGGGACACCAAGGCAACCTCTGTGGTAGCTTTAATTTAGTTTTTTCAAAAAATGTCTCTTATTTATTTTTATTTTTTTTTAATTTGAGATGAAGTCTCACTCTGTCACCCAGGCTGCAGTGCAGTGGCCTGATCTCAGCTCACTGCAACCTCTGCCTCTCAGGTTCAAGCGATTCTCCTGTCTCAGCCTCCAGAGTAGCTGGGATTACAGGCACGTGCCACCATGCCCAGCTAATGTTTGTATTTTTGGTAGAGACAGGATTTCGTCATGTTGGCCAGGCTGGTCTTGAACTCCTGACCTCAAGTGATCCACCCGTCTCAGCCTCCCAAAGTGCTGAGATTACAGGCGTGAGCCACCACACCCAGCCATCTCTTTTCTATACTGCTATGAAAGGGTGGGTGATCCTGTGGCCATAAACCCTTTTATCTTACCCACCCCCGCCTCACCACCTACTGGACCAGGGTGTGAACTTGTCCCATATTGGTTGTAGAACTGGTGGAGATGTGTGGGCCAGCTTCACCCAATGTAACAGCTAGGAATGCTTTGGGCTGCACGTAACTCACAAAAGTAACTAATAGTGGTTTAAGTCAGAGCAAGGAATTGGTTTGTCTCTTGCATCAAGAAGTCCAGGCGAAGCACCTAGTAAGGATGGCATTTTGCATCCAGGGAACTATGGGCCCAGCTCTTTCCATCTTTTCTTAGCATGTGGGGCCTTTGGCTTTGTGTCTGTCACCTGTGATCAGAAGACAGCTGCAGTGCCCCCAGTAATGCGTCTGGGTTCCAGGCAGAAGGAAGGGTGACAGGCAGAAACCCAAAGGGATACATCCACTGAGTCTGTCTCTTTCAAAGGCTTTCCTGGAAGCCCCACCCAGCCTTCCACTTATATCTAAGGGGCCACAGCAGAGTCTCCTGCCTCTACCCAAGCTGCAAGGGAGTCAGGGAAGTGAGCATTTCAGTTGATGTTACTTCCCCAAATAAAAGCACAGTTCAATTAGGTAGAAGGGGCAGACGCGATTTGAGTGGGGCACTAGCAGAATCTGCCTCATGTCAAAAATCATCATCCTGGCCAGGCATGGTGGCTCACACCCGTAATCCCAGCTCTTTGGGAGGCCAAGGCGGGTGGATCACTTGAGCTCAGGAGTTCGAGACCAGCCTGGCCAACATGGTGAAACCGCGTTTCTACTAAAAATACAAAAAGTTAGCCAGGCGTGGTGGTGCGTGCCTATAATCCCAGCTACTCAGGAGGCTGAGGCAGGAGAATAGCTTGAACCTGGGAGGCGGAGGTTGCAATGTGCCTAGATCACGCCATTGCACTGCAGCCTGGGCAACAAGAGCGAAACTCCATCTAAAAAAAAAAAGAAGAAAAAAATCGTCATCCTGGCACTGGAAGGGCTGGGCAGAAAGGCCTTTGCAGTGGTGGGAAAGCCCAAGGAAGCACCATGGAGGTGGGCGGCGCTGGGGACCCGAGAGACCAGGGTTTCCAGGGTCTCCTTGCCCTCCTCTGGGCCCTTGATCTCTCTATGACCTTGGCCAAGCCACCTTCCCTCTCTGGGACTCGGTTTTCTCTCTCTAAAATGAGGAGCTTACCAAAGTTAGTATTTCTCAAACCTTTTAACCAAAGTCCCAAACAAGCTCAGGAGAATGAATTTGTAAGCATCGTGTAAAATATTGCCTTTTATCTTAAAAGTTCATGAAAATTTTGCAGTCTGAAGTATCTCAAAGCTTAAATTACTTTAGGAAACATTGTGTATTAAGAATATGTGTGAGGCCAAGGCAGGAGGATCACCTGAGGCCAGAAGTTCAAACCAACATGGGCAACATAGCTAGACCCCTTCTCTATAGAAAATGTAAAAATCAGCCTACAATCGCTTGAGCCCAGGAGTTGGAGGCTCCAGTGAGCTATGTGTGAATTAACTTAAGAAATGGATACATAAATGATTCAAATTTTATACTTATTTAAAATCTTTAAAAATTGCATGTAATAGTATAACCATAATTAAAATTTCCTCTCTTCTTAAAAATTATTTTTAGAATAGATAATGCATTCACATGGCTCAAAATTCTAAAGCATATCAAAGTTCCTTAATTTATGAGGGTGTGTCCTAATAAACCCATCATAAATTGAAAATATCTTAAGTTGAAATGCATTTAATCCACCTAACCTACTGAACATCATAGCCTAGTCTACCTTAAATGTTCTCAGAACACTTACATTAGCCTACAGTTGGGCAAAGGCATCAAAAAGCCTATTGTGTGTGTGTCAAAAATCAATCACACAGTCCAGCCATGGTGGTTCATGTCAGTAATCCCAGCACTTTGGGAGGCTGAGGCGGGCGGATCACCTGAGGTCAGGCATTCAAGACCAGCATGGCCAGCATGGCGACACCCCATCTCTACTGAAAATACAAAAATTAGCCAGGCGTGGTGGCATGCGCCTCTAATCCCAGCTACTCAGGAGGCTGAGGTAGGAGAATCGCTTGAACGTGGGAGGTGCAGGTTGCAGTGAGCCGAGATCACGCCACTGCACTCCAGCCTGGGCAACACAGCAACAGAGCCAGACTTAGACAAAAAAAAAAAAAAAAACCTCACACAAAGCATGTTTTATAATAAAGTGTTGAATATCTCATGTAATGTATCGAATACTTTACTGAAAGTAAAAAACAGGTTGGTTATATGGGTCCTGGAAGCATGGTTTCTACTGAATGTGTATCACTTTCACACCATCATGAAGTCAAAAAATCATAAATGGAACCATAGTAACTCAGAGACCGTGTATATGTGATACACACACAGTGAGAAGTCTCCTGCCCACCCTGTCTCCTGGCCACCCCTTTCCCCACACTGAGGTTTCTGTTTCTTGTGTATCCTTTAAATTTTTTATTGTTTTAAAAATCATTTTTTAAATAAGCAAGAGTTTCGTCCCCAAGGGGAGCCAGTGAAAAGTTTTGAGCAGGGCCCAGACAGCTCAGGGCTGGACTCTAGGAAACTTTCTGAGGCTGGAGGGTGGGCGTGGGGTTGAGCTCAGCTGTTGAAGCAGGTGTTTGCAGATGTGCCTCAAGCAGAGGTGGTGGGCGGGGCTTGGAGGAGGTGGGTGGGGCAGGCCAAGCTCCTTGCCTCTGGTGGGCGGAGGCGGTCCTGGCTCAGATTCCACACCCTTGTCCACGCAGGTTCCTACTATCTGACCACCACCTACGGGGCCCTGGAGCACATCAAGAGCTACGACAAGATCACGGTGACCCGGCAGCTGAGTGTGGAGGTGCAGGACTCCATCCACCGCTGGGAGCGCCGGCGTACTCTCAACAAGGCCCGGGCCTCCCGCTCCTCCGTACAGGTGAGGCCTGAGAGCGGGAGGGGCCCGGTGGGGCCATGTCCCAGACACCATCCCTGCTGCCTGCTGGCTAAGGAGCCGTGACATCACCTGGCTGCTCCAGCCGCCCAGCCCTGCCTTAGGGGAGCAGTGAGACTCCCCACACCAGAGGAAGGGCCCCCAGCCCCTGCTGCCAGTGTGTGTCCAGGACTTGGGTGCGTCTAGAAACATATCAGCAGGCATTGGTGTTCTCCCTGGGCAAGCAGGAAGGGTGCAGGAGGAATGAGACACACCCATCATTCCTTAGCCCCTCCTAGGACCCAGCACCCTGCAGGGGCTGGAGATGGGGACTTGTCATCCCAGTCCCTGCTTTAAGGAGCCCACAGGCTCATCTACAGCCTTGCTCCTTAGTCCCTGGACAAATGCAGCAGCTGCCAAGGGTCTGCGTAACCCCCACCAACCCAGTGGCCCACCCCTCCCCATACCTCTCTCTATACAGACTCAGTATTCAAACCAGTCCCGCCCCTCCCCAACTCCATCACCCCACCCACCCCCAGGCTGCATCAAATCCAGCTGCCCCCAGTTCCCCAAACATGCCCAGCCCAGTTCACTGGCTGCTCAACCGCTGCCCTCACTGGTCAATCTCCCCTTCTTCACTGGCTGTCACTGCCCATCCTTTAAGACGACTCAGTTTCTCCAACAGCCCCTCCTCTGAGAAGCCTTCCCTGATACACACACACACCGTTTCACACAGGCTGGGTGGGGTGCCCTCCTCTGGGCTTCCTGCGGCCTCCCCTTTTACAGTGCATATCACATCCTATCATCCTCTGCATATGAAGCTGTCACCTCTGGGAGGGCACAGCCCATGGTTCACATGCCTCAGGGGCGCCAAGCCCAGGGCCTGGGACAGAGCAGGACTGGGTGTGTAAAAAAGGGTGAGAGTTGGACTAGTGAGCCAGGCACATCCAGAGCTGTGAGCAGCTATGCAGACTCACTCCTCTGACACCCAGAGCAGACCAGTCCTGAGCCACACTCCTGGCTTTCAAGATGGTGCATCTATAATAAGCAGAGCCCAGGCCTGGGAGACAGGAGGCTTGAGTTCTGGCCCCAGCCCTGTACTAGCTTGCTGTGTGACCCTCAGCAATCCCTGCCCCACTCTGGGACTCAGTTTTCCTGCCCACACAGGCTGACTATGGCTAATCAATTTAATAACTGACTCTCTGGGGAGAAAACAAAAGCTCTGATTTTAGCTTCTGTCCATTTCCATGGTGTGAGTCCTCCATGGCCAACTTCAACTTGGCATCACTGAATGTGGAGTTGGAAAGAAGTGTATGCAGTCGGCTCTCCCTGGCGGGTGTGAGCCAGCTCCAGCACACCTCTGTTCCCATCCCCTCCCAACACCCCGGACTCCCACAGACTGTAGGGACATGGACACTCTTGGTCCAAGCCTGGCCCAGGCATCCCGTACTTCCTGCTTCTACCTTAGGGGTTCCTGATGCTGAGCCAGGCAGAGTATGGATGAAACGGACCACCCACTGTTTGGGAGACGGAAGCTTCGGAGGGGGGTCCCCTCAGCACCACATCTGGGATCTGGGGAGGGCACCACCCTCTGCCCCCTCCCAGTGCCTCCTCCGCACACCATGCCTTGGGGGGTGGGCACCCTTCCCTGGGGAGGGGAAGCCCAGAGCTGGACAGTCACTAGCAGGTGGATAGTGCCCTGGGAGGCCTAATGGAGGACAAGGAGCCCTGAGGCAGCCACTAAGACGGAGGGAGTGGGCCGGGCTTTTCCCCTCCTGGAAGAAATGGGCGGTCCCCGTGAAGCTCTTGACAGGAGCCCGGCCTCGCCTAAGCCCTAGCCACCAGTTGCCATCACGGTCTCCGCCGAGCCGGGATCCTCAGCCGCTTCCCGCGCAGGCCTGCTGTTCCCAATCCGGCCACAAGGGGGCAGCCCCGCGCGCAGCCTCTCTGCCTGCAGCCCTGAGCCCCGGGGAAGGCGAGGCCGCTCCGGGCCGGAGCTTCCAGCGCCTGCTCGCCCATTTATGGGAGGCGGGCGCTATCCCCACTTTACAGCCGGGGCTCGACGAATCAAGGCCACACAGGCAGTGGGAGCAAAGGCAAAGCCCGGCAGGTGTGGGGCTGGGTCCCTAGGGGTGGAGGACGGCGGGCGGGCGCCCTGCTCGTGCTGCGAGTGCCCAGCCCCAGCCCGCAGGCGTCGCCTCGCCTTGCCCGCCCTGCTCATGCCGGGCCTTCCCCACCCGACTGCGCCCAGCCTCCTTCACCCGGTCCCCTCCCGCTTTACCAATCCCTGCCCCACGCAGCTCCTCAGAGCCCCAGGGCTCTTGCAGCCCTAAGGGGCTGGACTGTGTTGCCCGCCCGCACTATGGGATGCCCGGGCGGGCTCGCACCTCCCTTCTTATCTGTGCTGCCCTCCGTGCCCAGCATTGCGCCTGGGGTGCAGGGAACTCACCTGGAGGGAGGGAGGGAGGGAATGAATGAATGAATGAATGATGGGGAGCCTGTGGACCAGCAGCCAGGGGACGCGCCGGCTCCTCTTTGCAGGGACTCCGAGACGCGCCTTAATTCATCTCCCAGAACTGTCGGCCCAGCTGGGAAGCCAGGCAGGGAGGGGGACGGGCCCCCCGCAGGCTCGCGGCAGAGACGGGAAAGGCGCAGGTGCCGGACTCGCAGACAGCTTGGCGCCCGCCACCCGCTATCCATCCAGGGAGGGGCCTGGGCCGGGAGAGGGCGCCTGAGGAGACAGGGCCCCGCCGTGACCACAGGCCCCTCGCGTCTCCGCAGGACTTCATCTGCGTGTCGTACCTGGAGCCCGAGCAGCAGGCGCGGACGCTGGCGTCGCGGGCGGACACCCAGGCCCAGGCGCTGTGCGCGCAGTGCGCGGAGAAGTTCGCGGTGGAGCGGCCGCAGGCGCACCGGCTGTTCGTGCTGGTGGACGGGCGCTGCTTCCAGCTGGCGGACGACGCGCTGCCGCACTGCATCAAGGGCTACCTGCTGCGCAGCGAGCCCAAGCGCGACTTCCACTTTGTCTACCGGCCCCTGGACGGTGGTGGCGGCGGCGGCGGCGGGAGCCCGCCCTGCCTGGTGGTGCGGGAGCCCAACTTCCTGTGAGGCCCTCCCGGGGCGCCTCCCCTCACCCCCAGGCGCACGTCTGGCCCCGCCTCTGGCTGCGCACTCCCGACCGCGACGTCCACGCAGCAGAGGGACATGGGCCATTCCATGACGTGCCCAGGCCAACGTCGCAGGACAGTTGTGAAAATAACATGACGCTCGTCCAAGGCCACTTCCTGAGGGCAAGTCCTAATAGCCCTGAGACACCGAGACGGCATGTTCTTCATTAGACGGAAAGGGAAACTGAGGCTCAGGAGAGAGGCGCTCCAGGCCGCTGCAGCCAACAAACCGGCGCCCTCTTCACACGTAGCTCCTCAGGCCATTCCCCATGAGTCCCCCACACCCACCCCATCCTCGGTCTTTGCAAAGAAGGGCCCGAGCTTAGTTTCCCCAGGACTGGCCTAGGAAGGAGCACCGGCCACAGCTGCTCCCCGTGCCACTCAGGGTGGACCCAGCATCTCAGGAGCACCTCAGGGTGTCGGTTAAGAGACAGGCCTCCACCCCTGCACCAGAGCCTGCTCTTAGCTCCCGGTGCCCCCAGACCCCGCAGCTCTGTGCCCGGCAAGAAGCAGCTAGACACACGCCAGGGCGCCAAGCACGGCCAGCTCCGCGGACCCATGGACAAGCCCAGCCCCGCCTCAGGGAAAACAGGGCCTTTCCCTACAGGACACGCCCCAGAGCTGTGGCAGATTGCAGGAGCCATCGTGTGGGGAGAATTTAATAAAAGCCCTTTTGAAAATGACATCTTTTCTGAAGGGGCTGGAGCTCTGCACAGCCAGCCCCGCATTCACAGCCTCACCTCCTTCCCGGGTGGCTTCAGAAGACCCCCTCTTTGCCATGGGGATCCTGTCCTCTGCCAGAACCTGTGGCATACTCTCAGCCACCCTCAGCACCCTCAGCCCTTGGGACCCTGGCCCCTGTCGGCCCGTCAGCCTCCCACCATCCTTGGCTCCCGTCATCCCCAGCTTAGGATCAGAACCATCTGTCACCTCTCCCAGGGATACCATTGCCTGTAGTATTTGCCTGGTCAACTCCTATCCAACCTCCTCCAGGAAGCTTTTTTTTTTTTTTTTTTTTTTTTTTTTAAGACGGGGTCTCATCTTGTTCTGCTGCCCTGGAGGGAGTACAGTTGTGTGATCAGGGCTCACTGCAGCCTCCATCTCCTGGGCTCAGGAAGTCCTCCCACCTCAGCCCCCCAAGTAGCTGGGACTACAGGCTGGTGCCACCACACCTGGCTAATTTTTGGTATTTTCTGTAGAGATGGGGTTTCACCATGTTGCCCAGGCTGGTAGGAAGCCTTTCCTAATTCCCCAGGTTGGGCCAGACAGTCCTCCCATGGTCTGTCTGGCCCAACCATGCTCCCACAGCCCCCTGGACTTGTCTGTCTCACAAGAGAGAGACCATCAAATTGTAACTATCTACCGATGCCTCTGCTTTCCTTTTTTTTTTTTTTTTTTTTTTTTTTTTTTTTTTTTTTGAGACAGAGTCTTGCTCTATCACCCAGGCTGGAGTGCAGTGGCTCAATCTCAGCTCACTGTGCAACCTCTGCCTCCCGGGTTCAAGCAATTCTCCTGCCTCTGCTTCTCGAGTAGCTGGGATTACAGGCGCCCGCCACCACGCCTGGCTAATTTTTGTATTTTCAGTAGAGACGGGGTTTTGCCATATTGGCCAGGCTGGTCTCAAACTCCTGACCTCAAGTAATCCAGCTGCCTTGGCCTCCCAAAGTGCTGGGATTACAGGTGTGAGCCACTGCACCCAGCTGAGGCCTCTGTTTTCTCCACCAGAGTTGCACCATTTGTGTCTGTGTCCTCAGCATTGATTGGAAGTAGGTACTCATGAGTGCTTCCCACAGGTCAGCGCTTTGCGAGGCCCTGAGAACCAGCGCAGAGCTCATGTGGAGCACCAGCATGAGTGGCCCTGAGCTGGGCATCCAGGTAATGGCAGCTGGAATGGGCTGAGTTAAATTCCTGGGCACCAACCAGCTCACTCAGCCAGTCAACAAACACCTGTTAGACTCTGGACCTGGGCCAGCACGATGGGAGCTGCAAGGTGTGGTGCCAGATGCATCCTGGTCCTGGAGGTTGGCGTCACCAATGTTGAATAAAAGGCAAATACCCAGATGGTGAGGACACCCAGCCATGATCCCAGATTGCCCCCCACCACCCTCACCCCAATCCCTGCCAATGCAGACAGCACTCTTCCTCTGCTTCCAAGCTCCCGTCGGTCCTGGGCTGGCCTGGGCAACACAGCCTCATTCCCCAGCTCTCAGGCCAGCAGCACCCTGCCACCTGCTGGGCCTATGCAGTCTCACAGGTGCTGGCAGATGTCCATACATTCTTCAAAACCCATCTTCAGGCTCATAAGCCTGGTGGGAAAGGTTAGGGGATTTTGTTTCCCCAACCACCCTGTGGGCCAGGTATGGCCCAGGCTTGGGGTGGAGCTGGGGTTCAGAGGGTAAATGAGGCACCTGCCCTGCTCTGGGTTCTGATGCCTGCTTCCCAGGAAGGGGACAGAGCTTGCCAGTGGGCCGGACTGAGGGAGCCGCTGTAAGAACGTTTATATGTGTGCATGCATGTGTGAATGTGTGTTTGCGCGTGTGTGCCAGGCCCTCCATCCTGAGGCCAATGCTGGAATTCACCTGTCAGGAGAGGCCGGCGAGCCCTCGTGAGCCCCCAGAGAGCAGGAGAGGGGTTATCTGGAGCACTTGTCATCTGGATGCCTCTGCCCCCAGGGAGCTGCGACTGGGAAAATTGGGGGGCCTGACCCAAGGCCAGGAGACAACATAATGTGAGCTTCAGGAGTACCTGGCCCTGGTTAGCGATTACTCTGCATCATTTTATTTAATCCACAAAACAGCCTCTTGGAGGGAGGTATTTATGGATGAAGTCATAAAGGCCCAAAGAAAGATGTATTGGTCTGTTAGGGCTGCCATAGCAAAGTGCCACAGAATGGGGAGCTTAACAGACACTCATTTTCTCACAGTTCTGAAGGCTGGAATTTCAAGACCAAGGTGTCGCAGGGTTGGTTTTTCCGGAGACCTCTCTCCTGGGCTGGCAGAGGCCACCTTCTCTCAGGGCCCTCACTCAGCCTCCTCCCTGTTCACACATCCCTGGTGTCTCTTCTTATAAGGACATCAGTTGTATTGGATTAGGGCCCACCCGAATGGCCTTATTTAACTTTATTTATTTATTTTTATTTTATTTTATTTTAAGACAGAGTCTCGCTCTGTTGCCAGGCTGGAGTGCAGTGGCACGATCTCGGCTCACTGTAACCTTTGCCTCCCGGGTTCAAGCTATTCTCCTGCCTCAGCCTCCCGAGTAGCTGGGATTATAGGTGCCCACCACCATGCCCAGCTAATTTTTGTGTTTTTAGTAGAGACAGAGTTTCACCATGTTGGCCAGGCTGGTCTCGGACTCCTGACCTCAAGTGATCCATTGCCTCGGCCTCCCAAAGTGCTGGGATTATGGGCATGAGCCACCGCGCCCAGCCTAACTTTAATCATCTCTTCAAAAGCTCTATCTCCAAACGCAGTCATCTTCCCATTTTCTCAGTCACAGCTCCCTGGGGGCAGAGGCATCCAGATGAAAAGTGCTCCAGGTAACCCCTCTCTTGCTCTCTGGGGGCTCACGAGGGCTCCCTGGCCTCTCCTGGCAGGTGGACCCCAGCATTAGCCTCAGGGCAGAGGGCCTGGCACACACACACACACACACACACACACACACACACGTACGCGCACACACACATGCACGCCCTGGGGTGCTGGGGGTTAGGGCTGCGACATACACATTTTTGGAGGGACACTATTTAGTCCATAGCAGGGGGGACTTGTCCTACCCATTTCATGCGAACAAAATGAGTCTGACCCTAAACCTGCGGCTCTCTAGCCTGCCCCCATGCCGCATCCCAAGTGATATATCTGTAGAAAGCCAAAGTCGGACAAGCCTTGGCTGTCAAATCCCAGTTCTTGGGGACCCTGCCTGAGGCAGTGGCCATTGTGACCTGACTGATGGGCCCAGGATGCAACTAATGAGCCCGGGCATCCCCACAGCCCCAAACAAGTGCTGAGGAGTCCACAGCTGGGCGTGTGTGTGTCCAAGGGTGACCTGGCCACAGGCCATCATGCATGGCGGGGTCTGTCTGTGGCTCCTCCCTGGCATTTGTCCCTCTCCCCATGGCCGGCTGGCTCCCTCCTTCCTGCACTTTTAGAGTGCACAGCCTCTGGGTGAGACTGGGCCAGCGGTGCTGGGAGAAGCCACCCAGGGTTTTCAGAGAGAGACCAGGCGTGCCTGGCCCTGTGCCTCCCCATCCCCTTGGCCCTCCCAGGTGGCTGGGCACAATGTCCTGCCTGCCATGAAATGTCCCAAACTGACACTGAAGAGGCCTGGCCTGGGATGGCCCCACAATCCTTTAATGGGGTGTATTGCCTTCGCCCCAGGAATGAGCAAGTTTCTTCTGTCAGGGTCAGACCCACAGGTGAGGTGGGTAGAGAGGAACAGAGACCCAGGGGCAGGGGGCAGCCAGAGAAGCAGTGGGGGGGGTCCCCTGGGTGCTGCATAGACACCCCTTCCCCCACCCCACATACACTCACAGATGAGCCTGCCCTCCCCACTCATCAGGGCAAAGCTGGGCACACATTTGCGAGTCTGGTTGCCAGGTACCCGCTCAGCTGGCTGGGATCCAGGGCTCAGAGGGCTCATTGGTGGAGGAGAGGAAGCAGCTGTGGCTGGCAGCAGGCCTTACCTTCACAGGAAGGTCACATGGAGAAGGGCTTTGGAGAGAAAAGTGCCACCTCCCAGTGGTAGCTTTTCTCCTCCCCAGTTTGCTGGGAAATGCTGGCTTCCAGGAAAGCTGTACCAGAACCTCCTCTTTGCAGCCCACACAGCCCTAAGCCAGCAGGAAACTGAAATGTTTGTCTTCAGGGTCAGAAAACCTACTCAGCAGTACAGTGGGAAGAACTGAACTAGAGCCAGAAGACCTGGGCTCCAGCCCAGCTGCAAACCCTGTGCACGTCCTTAATAGCTTCATGCCTCTGTTTCCCCATTCTTAAAATGAGAATGCATATTCTATCCTAACCTTCCAGGTTTGTTGCAGGGATCCTCCAAGTTCCTGGGTGGGGGCAGGTACGGGAAGTCTCGGATCTTCTTGAAAAGGTAAATCAATTCAAGGCTAGCCCATATGGGCACAGAGGGTGTTCACTGCCAAAGTTGCATGGCTGAGGGGACAAGTGGAGCTGAAATTCAGTCTATGTGCCACTTGTCAGAGCCTACACCCTGTCTTGGGCCCACGTCCACTCAGAGGAAGGGACATCTTTTCCAAATCTGTAGGAAGGAATTTTTATGGTCTAGAGTGAGAACAAGACTCAAACCTGGGGGTTGCTGAGCCGTGGGGCTACTTCCAGTTCAATGTGACCAGCAGAAGGCACAGTACTTTACAGGTCCTGCAGAATGGAGGGCGTGTAACCAGCCTGGAGCAAGGAAAGAGGGCGTCCTGCAGACAGGGGTGCCTGCGCTAGGTTTTGAAGGATAACAGGTTGGCCAGAGCAGACAGGAACAGAAGAACCCCTTCTAGACTATTTGAAGACAATTCTCCATGGGTCGCTTGCATTTCTGCATGTATAGTGAAAAGTCTTTGACAGCTTTTATTCCAGACTGTCTTTTTAAGAGTACTTGAGTATCTCAGATGATCCAGATAGTTTCTCCCTCCTGGAAAGAGAGCAGATTTTTCCTCCTGACCAGGATAATAAAATCATACCTCTCACTTTGGAGAATAGTGTCTCCCTCCAGGGCAAAACGCGGGCAGGAGTGCTAGCAGCCTTCTCTAAACGATTGTTTCCCAAGCTTGAGATTTCTGAGCCGTGACGGGTGCTCAGCATCCACCCGGGTCCACCTCTGTGTAACATTCAGCGGACCTGACAGGTAGGAGTCATCAAAGCAAACATGAGGCTCATGCACCCTGCTGCGCCGTGAGTCATAGAGTCCTTTGCCTTTGACACTGGAGTCTCATATCTGCCAGCACCTATGAGACTGCACAGGCTGCCTTGCTAGCCTGCAAGTGGGTAAAACCCCAGACTCCTGACAGTTCTTGACAATGAAGAAGGAAGACAGTGAAAAATCATGGAAAAATTAATAAGACTATGCAGTATGCAGGGGAACCAGCCGCTTCAAGATGGCTTAAACATAAAGCCTGAGACGAGAAGTGGGAGATGGGCCTGAGTGAGCAGGCTGGACCGGGCCCTGAATGGTCTTGATTGGCAGCAGACGGAGTCTGGAAATCCTCCACCCGCATGGAACCGGATTGGAGGGGCGGGTTGAGGCAGGAGAGGCTCTGCTGAATCCTGCCCTGGCACTCTGGCCAGGAGGGGAGGTCTGAACAGGGAAAGGGGTGTGGGATGGGAGGCAGAGTTAAGTTTGGGAAATGCTGAACATGGAAAATCAGCAGAATGTGGTGGCCGACTGGAATGTGTGAAAGGAGAGAAAGGATCCTAGAGAAAACTTCCAGATTTCTGGCTTGGATGCTGTGATGAGGGGCGGTGCTATCAGCTCAGCGAGCGGGGAACGCAGGCTGGAGGGCAAACAAAATGCATCAGCTTTGGGTGTGTGGAGTGTGAGGGGCACGCAGGACACCACCATGTGGGGTCAACAGGGGCCTCTGTCCCTGTTAAGGGTCAAATATTCTGCAGAGGGGAGGGCGCTCCTGCCTCCAGGAAGTCCTTTCCTGTCTCATAGCAAGCACCCGGGCCCCACTTCCAGTCCTCCTAGCTGGCCTGGTGACTGTCTCCCATGAAAGGCTGCAGCCACCGCAGCTGACTTCATGACTTGTCCTGGGTGAAATGCAGTGACCAGTTCTCCTGGGGACAATGAAAACATACTACAAAGATGCCCCTAAACAGCTAAAAAAAAATGCAATCTGCTATGTCCAAAAGAGCTAAGAAACATGAAAAAAATTGATACAAGATGTGTGGTGCAGTGGTGCGTGTCTGTAATCCTAGCTACTTGGGAGTCTGAGGCAGGAGGATCGCCTGAGCCCAGTTCAAGACCAGCCTGGGCCACATAACAAGACCCTATCTCAATAACTAATAAATAAATAACGTTAAAGACATGAACAAATAACCTAAATTGGAATTAGGAAAACTTAGAACTTAGATAATAGAACTGAGGAAAAAATTAGAAAGAAAAGAATCATTTCAGAAATAAAAACTGAGAAGGAACACAATATTATAAAAACACAACTAAAAACGCATTATTTGGAAAAGATGATTTTTTTTCTTAGTTTCTTATTTTTGTTTATTTATATTTTTAGAGACAGGATCTTGCTCTGTTGCCCACTGCAGCCTCCAACTCCTGGGCTCAAGTGATCTTCCTGCCTTAGCCTCCCAAGTAGCTCAGACTACAGGTGTGCACCACCATGCCAAGCGAATTCCTTTCTTTGCTTCCTTCCTTCCTTCCTTCTTTCCTTTCTTTCTTCTTTTTCTTTCTTCTCTTTGTCTCTCCCTCCCTCCCTCTCTCTTTCTCTTTTTCCCTTTCTTTTTCTTTTCTTTCTCTTTCTTTCTCTGTCTTTCTTCTTTCTTTCTTCTTTTTTTCTCTGTCTCTGCCTCCCTCCCTCTCTCTCCCTGTTTCTCTTTCTTTCTTTCTCTCTTTCTTTCTTTTCCTTCCTTCCTTCCTTCTTTCCTTCCTTCAAAGCTCCCTGCCTCTCTCCCTCCCTCCCTCCCTCCCTTCCTTCCCTCTCTTCCTTTCTTTCTCTTTCTCGTTCTCTTTCTTCTTTCTTTCTTCTTTCTTCTTTCTTCTCTCTCTCTCTTTTTCTTTTCTTTTCTTTTTTTCTTTCTTTGGCAGGTCTCACTATGTTGCCCAGACAGGTCTCGAACTCCTGGCCTCAAGTAATACACCTAATAGGAGGTGAGTAGCTGGGATCATAGACGTGAGTCACCAGGATGGCTGATAAAATATTTTTCAATACAAAAGAAATAGGGCCAGGCACCATGGCTCACACCTGTAATCCTTGCACTTTGGGAGGCTGAGGCAGACAAATCACCTGAGGTCAGGAGTTTGAGACCAGCCTGGCCAACATGACAAAACCCCATCTCTACTAAAAATACAAAAATTAGCCGGGCATGGTGGCACATGCCTGTAATCCCGTCTACTCAGGAGGCTGAGGCAGTAGAATCACTTGAGCCTGGGTGGTGGAGGTTACAGTGAGCTGAGATCGCACCACTGCACTCCAGCCTGGGCTGCAGAGTGAGACTCTGTCTCAAAAAAAAAAAAAAGAAGAAGAAGAAGAAGAGGAAATGGAAGCCAAGTGTGATGGCATTTGCTTGTAATCCTAACTACTAGAAAGGCTGAGGGGGGAGGATCCCTTGAGCCCAGGAGTTCGAGGTTGCGGTGAGCTGTGATGGTGCCACTGCACTCCAGGCCTGGGTGACAGAGTGAGAGCCTGTCTCTTTAATAAAAAAAGAAGAAAAGAAAAGAAAGAAGAGGAGAGGAGAGGAGAAGAAAGAAAGAGAAAGAGGGAAGGAGGGAAGGAAGGAAGGAAGGAAAGAAGGGGCTGGACGTGGTGGCTCATGCCTTTAATCCCAGCACTTTGGGAGGCAGAGGTGAGCAGATCAGCTGAGGTCAGGAGTTCAAGTCCAGCCTGGCCAACATGGTGAAACCCCATCTCTACTAAAATACAAAAATTAGCCGGGTGTGGTGGCACGTGCCTGTAATCCTAGCTATTCGGGAGGCTGAGGCAGGAGAATCGCTTGAACCCTGGAGGCGGAGGCTGCAGTGAGCCGAGATCATGCCACTGCACTCCAGCCTGGTGACAGAGTGAGATCCTGTCTCAAAAAAAAAAAAAAAAAAAAAAAAAGGAAGGGAGGGAGGGAGAAAGGGAAGGAAAAGAAAAGAAAAGAAATCAAAGATACCAAAAACATGATCCATGAAGGAAAAGGTAAATTGGGCTTTATTAAAATTAAAAACTTCTGATCTGCAAAAGACACAGTTAAGGAAACGAAGAGACAAGCCACAAACTGAAAGAACACATTTGCAAAACACATGTCTGATAAAGGACTTGCATCCAAAGAATACAAAGAACTCTTCAACCTCAACAGTAAGAAAACAAACACCCAACTAAAAAATGGGCAAATGAATCTGGAATTAGACACCAGAAAACAGACAACCCAACTAAAAAATTGGTAAATGAATCTGGAATTAGGCACCAGAAAACAACCCAACTAAAAAGTGGGCAAATTAATCTGGAATTAGGCACCAGAAAAAAAATTGGCATAAGATCACCCAAGAAAATGCAGAGAGCAGATAAGTATATGAAAAGATGCTCAATGTGACTTGTCATTAAGGAATTAATGAGATATTACTACACACTTATTAGAATGGCCAAAATCCAAAACACTGACAAATGCTGGTGAGGAGGCAGGGCATGAGGAACTCACATTCGTTGCTGCTAGGAATACAGAACAGTGCATCCACTTTGGAAGGCACTTTGGCAATTTCTCACAGCGCTGAACAGTCTTACCATACGATCCATACAACTAAATTGAAAACCTAAGTCCACACAATGGTTGAATCAAACACAGAGGATTTTTAGGGTAGTGAAACTATGAAAACATAAGGAATATTGGACATTATGCATTTGCCAAAATAGATAGAACTTTATAGTTCGAAGAGTGAACCTTGATGTATGCAGATTTTAAAATATCACTTAGGAAGTTAGCGGATCCCAAGGTGGAACGCAGACTACTACAATACAATCTAACTATATTATAAGTGTGTGAAACATCCCCACTGAAGGGAATAGGGGAAAGAAACTGCCCAAGTAATTTTGGGAATGAGGCTGTTAGCGTAAAGGCAAACAGAACTGCATATAAGCATTGTACTCTAACTGACAAAGTTGTTCCCCAGTGGGGAACAATTCTGATGTTGCCATGCATGTATACTAGAATCAAACAACTAATTAAATAGATGGTGGATGGTTGGTGTCACATTTATCTCTGATGGAGTGGGAGTTTACAGATACGAAAGGGCAGGAGGCTAGAATGATCCATGTAGTAATGAATTAGAGTTGGAGACATTAGTATGAACTCACATATGGTTTTAAATAGAAATATTTATAGGTATGTGTACGTATACACATGGGTTAGTAAACACATATATATTTTCTTGCTCTGTCAGCTGACAGGGACTAGAAACAACAATACCCCAGGACCAACAAACACATCTAGTACCCAGATCTTGCTTTATAACATAAATCTTCCAACAAAAGGAACTAGGGCTTCTTGGAGAAATGGCTGATGCTAGGACTGTGGCAGGAAATATACAAGATAAGCCTGAAGCATTCTGTACTGCACACAATTAAGGACATCCTCAAACAAAAACAAGAATAGCTGTCTTGAAGTGGGGTGCAGGGAAAATGTCAAATGGACACAGCAGCCAATTGAAAGAGCTCCCATTAGCCAAAGATGGAATAATTTGAGCAATAAAGTATTGGATTACAACTCAAAGTGTAAAATAAATATCCATGACTCCATACAGAATGGTGGCTTGATTTTGGACTTCTCAGCTTCCAGAACTGTGAAAAGTAGATTTCTGTTGTTTACAGGCTGCCTGGCTTAAAGGAATTTTATTATAACAGCCTGAGCAGACCAATACAGAAATTGTTTTCTTTTTTCTTTCTTTCTTTCTTTTTTTTTTTTTTGAGAAGGAGTTTTGCTCTGTCGCCCAGGCTGGAGGGCAATGGAGCGATCTCAGCTCACTGCAACCTCTGCCTCCCAGGTTCAAGCAATTCTTGTACCTCTGCCTCCCAAGTAGCTGGGATCATTGTTGCGTGCCACCACACCCGGCTAATTTTTGTATTTTTAGTAGAGATGGGGTTTCACTGTGTTGGCCAGGCTGGTCTGAACTCCTGACCTTAGGTGATCTACCCACCTTGGCCTCCCAAAGTGCTGGGATTAAAGGCATAAGCCACCACGCCCAGCCAGAAATCTTATAGAAAATGGCTTAATACAAGGGATGGAGAGCCCGTTTCTACTGGGGGCCTATGAACTATATGAGGAGGGAAAAGGCCAAGGCATTGTGACTTATGAAACTGTCATTTATTTGAGAAATGCAACATAGCTGCTTTCAACTTTTAGAACCATGAACATTCAAGCTTCTGTATTTATTAAATAAGTATACTCTCATTCTACTTGGGGCACAAACAGAGAGAAGCAGGGTCATTATGGTAGTTAACAGTTCTAGAAGATAGAGGAACAAATTTTTTACTACCTGTATCTTAAGGCCTTTTAAGATTCTCCCTTTAGGAAATGCAAATCAAAACCACAATGTGATACCACCTTACTCCTGCAAGAATGGCCATAATAAAAAAATTTTAAAAAATGGATGTTGGTGTGGATGTACTAAAAAGGGAAAACTTTTACACTGCTGGTGGGATGTAAACTAATACAACCACTATGGAGAACAGTGTGAAGATTGCCTAAAGAACCAAAAGCAGATCTACCATTTGATCCAGCAACCCCACTTCTGGGTATCTATCCAGAGGAAAAAAAGTCATTATACAAAAAAGGTACTTGCACACGCATGTTTATAGCAGCACAATTCACAATTGAAAAACTATGGGGCCGGGTGCGATGGCTCATGCCTGTAATCCCAGCACTTTGGGAGGCTGAGGTAGGTGGATCACTTGAGGTCAGGAGTTCAAGACCAGCCTGGCCAATATGGCGAAACCCCGTCTCTACTAAAAATACAAAAATTAGCTGGGCGTGGTGGCACATGCCTGTAATCCCAGCTACTTGGAAGGCTGAGGCAAGAGAATCACTTGAACCCATTGCACTCCAGCCTGGGTGACAGAGTGAGACTCTGTCTCAAAAAAAAAAAAAAAAAAAAAAAATCAAACTAGCCCAAATGCCCATCAATTATTGAGTGGGTAAAGAAAATGTATATATATTGTGGAATACTACTTAGCCATTGCTGCATTCGCAGCAACAGGATGGAATTGGAGACCATTATTCTAAGTGAAGTAACTCAGGAACGGAAACCCAAACAATGTATGTTCTTGCTTATAAGTGGGAGCTAAGCTATGAGGACGCAGAGGCATAAGAATGATACACTGGACTTTGGGGACTCGAGGGAAAGTGTAGGGGGTGGTGAGGGATAAAAGCCTACACATTGATTGGGTAGAGTGTACACTGCTTGGGTGATGGGTGTACCAACATCTCAGAAAGCACCACTGAAGGTGGTAACCCAACACCACCTGTTCCCCAAAAACTTATTGAAATGAAAAAATAAAATGCTGTGCATAATAAATACATAGAATTTTTGTCAATTTTAAAATGAAACAAAATTATCTTATTTTTTTTTAAAAAGATTCTCCCTTTAAAAACTCTACTTTTCAGTATTTGCTCTCTGGTTTGCCCACTGTTGAGCATTGGCAACAGCAAATTCAGTGTGTTTCTTGTACTTGTTACCTAAAACCTCAGAGCTCCCCCAGATGTGTAGGACATTAAAAGTTCTTTATCCCAAAGTCATTTGATTAGCCATATGAGGCCCTCATTGAGAAAGGATAATCTGTACTGAAAAGAAATGGGCCCGTTAGAAACAAGAATTTCACCCTTGAATTTGTCACAGACATAACCCTCTCTGCCAGTATCTCACCTTCCAGGCCATAACTCCAAAGGTTAGAGGAGTCAATCGTTGCTAAACAAGATAGGTACACCTAAAGACAGGTGGTCAGGAGTGGCAGGGTGTGTGAGGGTTATTTTTTTCTTTGCTTTCTCCCTATCTACCTAAACAGCCATCTAGCTAACATGGCTTTTTTAAAAACAGCTTCATACCACATAATTCCTCCATTCAAAGTGTACAATCACTCCTGTAATCCCAGCGCTTTGGAAGGCCAAGGTGGGAGGCTCGCTTGAGGCCAGGAGCTCAAGGCTGCAGTGAGCCACGATCGTGCCACTACAGCCTGGGCCACAGAGCAAGACTCTGTTTCAAAAAAACAAAAGAAGTGTACAATTTGATAACTTTTAGTGTGATCAGAGTTACCTAACCATCACCACCATCAGGTTTTTTTGTTTTTTGGGTTTTCTTTTTTTTTTTTTGGAGATGCTCTGTTACCCAGCCTGGAGTGCAGTGGCATGATCTCAGTTCACTGCAAACTCCACCTCCCGGGTTCAAGCAATTTCCGGCTAATTTTTGTATTTTTAGTACAGACAGGATTTCACCATGTTGGCCAGGCTGGTCTTGAACTCCTGACCTCAAGTGATCCACCCGCCTCGGTCTCCCAAAGTGCTAGGATTACAGGCATGAGCCACCGCACCTGCCCCTCACCATCAGTTTTATAACATTTTCATCACTTCCCAAAGAAACTTCATACCCATTAGCAGCTACTCCTCATTCCCCTTATCCCTCATTCCTGGAACTAAGGATTCCAGGGATTTTCTATTTCTAAGGATTTGCCTATTCTGGACATTTCGTAAAAATGGAATCCTATGTGGTCTTTTGTGGCTGGCCTCTTTCAGTTGGCTTAATGTGTCATGCCCATGCACTTCAGTCCTCTTTATTGCTACACAATACTCCATTGCATGGATATCCACTAGTCCCCTATATCGATCCAGTTTTACTTTCTGAGGCTTCAGTTACCTGAAGTCAACTGCGGCCTGAAAATATTAAATGGAAAAATTCCAGAAATACACAATTCTTAAGTTTTCAGTTGCACGTGGCTCTGAGTAGCATGACGGAATCGCGCACCCATCCCACTCTGTGCTGCCTGGGACATGAATCCTCCCTTTGTCCGGGGGCTGCAGGCTGCCCACGCTACTCGCCCGTTAGTCACTTAGGCAGTCTCAGTGGTCAAGGTATCTCAGTGCTTGTGTTCAAGGCACCCTTGTTTTACTTAGTGATGGCCCCAAAGCTTAAGAGTAGTGATGATTAATATGCCATTGGGATATGCCAAAGAGAAGCCATGAAGTGCTTTCTTAAAGTGAAAAGGTGAACATTCTTGACTTAGAAAAAAAATCGTATGCTGAGGTTGCTAAGATCTATGCTAAGAACAAATCTCCCATCTGTGAAATCGTGAAGGAAAAAGAAATGTGTGCACGTTATGTATAGGGTTCCACGGTTTTGGGCATTCACTGGGGGTCTAAGGTATCCCCTGTGGGGTAAGGGGAGACTACTGTAGCCAGGGTTACTTTTACACGTTTTTGACAAATCCATCATGAACACCTCCCTGTGTGCGGCGCTGGACCAAGGGGAACACAGAGAAGTCAGGCAGCCCCTCTGGAGCGGCCCATGGTCTGCAGTGAGACGCCCTTTCCTGCCCCAGTGCCTGGTGTAGGGCAGACCTGACATGTGCTATTAGAGACGCGACAAAAGTGCAGCTGGACAGGAGACAGTACTTCTGCAGTGGATTCTTAGAACTTTGTTGCTTTGGCAGCCACTTTGAACATACAGTTAGCTGGACTTTCTCATGCCACAAGCAGGGCTCAGCCACCCTTGACAGTTTCCGGTTCTCCACCTCCTCCCAGTTCCTCCATGTGGTTGATCCAAGTATCTCTGCCACATACAACTTCCTCCTGGTGGCCACCTCTCTATGGGCCAGCCACATACAGCCTGCAGGACTGGCCCCTGACCCTCGCACCCTGCGTGGACTGTGGAGATATGCCACAGTGACCTCTTAGCTACAGTGCAACCTCCTGGAACTCATGCCAGCCAGCTCTAAACCACCAATTAGAGCTCCCCTCAGGAAACCTGTTTGAATAACACCCTGGACCCAAAAAGGTGGTGGTCCATGAGTCCCTCTTTCTCTCCATGCACTCCCTGACCTGTGTGTGTGTGTGTGTGTGTGTGTGTGTGTGTGTGTGTGTGTGGCCTCCAGATGTGCTGCGTACACCCCAGATCCTATAAGTAATAAAATCTTTATTTCTATTTTGTGTATCCCCTAATCATGGAAGGGGTGGTCTTCACTTTAAAGATTCTAAATGAAAACAACTTTTTTTTTGAGACGGAGTCTCACTCTGTCGCCCAGGCTGGAGTGCAGTGGTGTGATCTTGGCTCACTGCAACCTCTGCCTCCCGGGCTCAAGCGATTCTCCTGCCTCAGCCTCCCAAGTAGATGGGACTACAGGCATGCGCCACCACGCCCAGCTAATTTTTGTATGTTTAGTAGAGACGGGGTTTCACCATGTTGCCCAGGCTGGTCTCGAACTCCTGACCTCAGGTGATCTGCCCACCTCGGCCTCCCAAAGTGCTGGGATTACAGGCATGAGCCACCGCACCCAGCCAAAAACAACTTTTGATGAGTGGGGAGAAGGTGAGGAAGGCTGGAGGAAAGAAGCTACTTTAAACTGCACCTGGAGGGTGTGTGGAGGAGATGGGAAAGGCGTTCCAGGGCAGGAGGAACAGCAAGTAGCAAAGGCACAGGAGGCTGCAGAGCCCAAGGAGTGCAGAGGAGCAGAAAACAGCAGAGCAGCGGGAGGGGAGACTCGGGACGATAACGCTGGAAAAGACGATGACGGAGGAGGCCCCCGCTAGGAGGTGCAGGAGCATCAACCACAAAGTCAGTGTCGGACGTGAATATTTGGGTTCTGTTATAAATCTTTATTTTTTAAGACTTGAACACCTGCAGAATTAAATACAAAAGCAATCAAAAATCATCATATTTTCTAAAAACAGTTTTCCATTTGGGGCTTGCGGCCCTCTTCAATAAAATCATTCTGAAGATTTAAAGAGGTTTCAGCTTCAAATTCTCAGAATAAAGACTCCTTTTGAGAGGGGCTACAGAAGCCCCCATGAGCTTCCTGCTCCTCAAAACTAACAGGCAAAACAACAAACCTCCTAGAAAGCAAATATGACCCTTCTCAATACAGAGCTTTTCCCACCCTAATTTGTAGTTTTTCAGAAAAGACTGGGGAAGCAGGTAACAGCGAGCAAGTCATCTTGTGAAGAAGGTCCTGGAGCGAGCCCTGGAGCGGGGGCTCCCCAGGAGGGCCCGAGCAGCGGAGACTTCTCACTCCACCTCTCCAGTCTCTGATCAGCACACAGTCGGTGGGGCGCTCACACTTGGAAAAGCTTCCAGGAGGCAGCTCTTCAGTAGTGACCAAGGCACACGTGGTCCATGGACAATTTTATCCTGCGAGAGACAGGAAGGAGAACTTGGTGAACCGTGTCAACTCTGAAGAAAGGCAGACAAACGCAAACCCACATGCGGCAGGCAGGCAGTTATGACAGGCCCGCCCAGCAGCTGTCACTGAGAACGTGGCTTCTGGACCCTGCTGACAAATGGCTGTAGAGGAAAGCTGGAGGGAGCTCCTGGCAGAAGTGAAAATGCCCACTTGCAGAAGAGGATGGCAGCCCCTTCTGCTTTCAGAATGACATCGACCTTTCAAGCGTCACCGCTGCATTAGTTACCTGTGAAGCGGATACGGCTTCTCACAAAGGTTGACCAGCACGTACAAATGTCTCAACGCATACTCGTACTGGGAGAAAACAAACGAGAAGAATGAAACTTCCTCATCTCACCACACAATCCACTCCACTTTTGCAATTGCAGAGGGGAAGCATCTTGACCAGTGGCTCTTGCCCTATTTTGGTTCATGGATCCTTTCCCAACCTTTAGATAATCTGGTGATATTTATGGACGATCCCTCAGGAAAGAGGCACACATGCCAGGGTTTGCATGCAAGTTGGGGGGCTGGCGGGGTTCTGCACTCTCAAATCTGAGGGCAGGACTCCTGACAGGGAACTCCCGATGGCTCTGCTCCCCGCCATGGCCTGGGATCTCCCCGGGAAGTCTGCCTTTTGATTCTGGGAGGGACACGCCAGCGAGGGAGATGGACGGCGTGTGAAAGCCACGCTGGATCACACCAGGGAAGGGTGAAGCAGCGGGGATGTTTATCTTGAAACAAACTTCAGGGGAACCCAAGAACTCTCTGAGAACAAAGGAAGAGGTTCACTGTGCATGACTCCAAAGGTCAAAAGACCAAGACTGGGCCGGGTGCGGTGGCTCATGCTTGTAATCCCAGCACTGTGGGAGGCCGAGGCAGGTGGGTCACCTGAGGCCAGAAGTTCAGGACCAGCCTGGACAACATGGTGAAACCCTGTCTCTACTAAAAATACGAAAATTAGCCAGGTGTGGTGGCGCGTGCCTGTAATCCCAGCTACTCGGGAGGCTGAGGCAGGAGAATTGCTTGAACCCAGGAGGCAGAGGTTGCAGTGAGCTGAGATCACACCACTGCACTCTAGCCTGGGCAACAAGAGCAAAACTGTGTCTAAAACAAACAAACAAACAAAAAAAACAAGACTGGAGGGGTAAAGTCGAGCTACCTTAACTCTGCCCCAGTGTGAAAGAAGCCAGGGACAGGGACAACAGGGAACTGAGCAGGATGTGGCTATGTTCCAATAAAACTTTTTTTTGGAGACAGAGTTTCACTCTGTCGCCCAGGCTGGAGTATAGTGGCACAATCTCGGCTCATTGCAACCTCCACCTCCCTGGTTCAAGCGATTCTCCTGCCTCAGCCTCCCGAGTAGTTGGGATTACGGGCGTGCACCACCAAGTCTGGCTAATTTTGGTATATTTAGTAGAGATGAGGTCTTACCATGTTGGCCAGGCTGGTCTGGAACTCCTGACTTCAGGTGAGCCACCCACCTTGGCCTCCCAACGTGCTGGGATTGCAGACATGAGCCACCATGCCCGGCCCCAATAAAACTTTATTTACAAAAACAGGTTATGGGGGAGAAACAGACCTGTAGGCCAGTTTGCCAACCTTTCTCTAGAAGGATTGAAGCACCACATGCTACTGACCAGGAGGCTTTTCAGGTGCCTTCCAATTCTACATCTGCAGAAACTCAGTACTTCTCCATGGGCCACACCTGACTTCAACTGTCTTGGGAAGAGGTCAGAACAGACTCAGAAGGGAGAAGATGTGTGTGGCTCGTGTGAGGGGTAGAGACGAGGGTGGGGTTTGGCAGGGACAGCAGAAGTGTGAACACAAGTAACTGTTCTTCAAACTAGAAGTGAGAGCTGTCATCTATGGCTCTGGTAAACTCTCCTACCCACTGGGACAAGAAGAGTGTTCTGGGGCCAAGATTTAAAATTAGTGAATTTGGACAACCTTCTTCCTCTCTGAAATGAGCCCACTGTTTCTCAGCCTGGATGGAACCTTCTATAAGGTCGTACAACCAATGTGACTGCCAGGGGACAATATGAATTCAGCTTCTGGATTCTGGTCATGGGGAGAGCCTGCTGGCTCACCGTGGGGGAGTGCCAGTTGAAGCAGTGGGTCCGGAAGTGCAGCAGGGCCTCTGGGTAGCAGCTGTGCCCCGTGAGCGGGGCTCTCTCGGACAGGAGCTGCTCCACCTCAGCCTCGGACGCTGCCAGCAAGGAGACGATCTTACGCACTGACTTCTCAATGAGGTGCCTGGCCTGGGGAGAAACGCGGCCTGTCAGAATGTGCCTCCCTGAATGCGGTCTCTCAGGGACCCAGGTGCGGTGAGAAGTGCATTCAAAGGCTACTCTCCACACAGCCCTCAGCCTCCCGCAGGTTAGAGGAAATAACAATCAATGTGCTCCGAGAAAGGCGAGAGATGTCTGTGCCCACTTGTGCGACGGTCAGAAAGACCTGCCTTTTGGGGATCTTCTGGCATGATGCAAACATTTGTATCAAAAAACAACCTTTGCTGTGGAGAAAGGAGGTGGCAGAACCTGTGCCCCAAAGCAGACGACTGTGCCGTGAGGGTGCTGTGTCCACGGGCACCTCTGCCCATTCAGGAAACTATTGAATGGTTACACAGCAGGGCACAGAGGGACTTTTATTTTCTTTCCAGACAATGAAAAACAGCATCATAAAGAAGAAAATGCTTCTACACTACCCTCACTCTGGCCAGGCACAGTGGCTCAGGCCTGTACTCCCAGTACTTTTAGGAGGCCGAGGCAGGAGGATCACTTGAGGCCAGCAGTTCCAGACCGGCCTGGGCAACACAGGAAGACCCTGCCTCTATTAAAATAAAAATCAAAAAACTAAAAAAAAAAAAAACCTTCACTCTACAAGCAAGCTCTGTCCTACCCGCTCTCCAGCCAGGGTTTGCTTGCTTCATATCTGAATTCCACAAAGACCCTCCACCCACTGTGTGTTAGACCAGCAGTTCTCCAGGCGTGGTCCAGAACCACAGACTCCCCAAGAGCTCTCAGGCTCCAGAAGGTCTTCCCTTCCTCAACTCTGTATCTTTACAAGGCTGGATTTTCTTCTTACACTTCAGCCGAAAGAACAGCGCCCGACGGCGAAAGCAGAAGCCAGTTCAAGGATCCAGCTGTCGTCTAGCAATGCCGGACACAAAAGAGATACTCCCACATGTAAAGCAATGCCACTCTTCTCACCCAATGCTTTTTGTTTTGGAAAATGGTTATTTCTCATAGAAAATATATTAGTGTAAAATGTTATTTGTTAAGAATATTGTTATTTGTAAATGAGTTAAATATTTTTAAATCTTAGTTTTAATTTTTTCATAATCTTTTACTTTACATAAAAGTATAATTATGCAATAGTTAAACAGTCTTGGAAATAGTTTTCAAATTTGCAGCAGATACCAAAGAAGTCCTATATGATTTACACAGCTGTTTAAGCAAACACAAGAAAACTCTGAGCCAGGTGCGGTGCCTCACGCCTGTAATCCCAGAACTTTGGGAGGCTGATGCAGGTGGATCACTTGAGGCCAGGAGTTTGAGACCAGTCTGGCCAACGTGGTGAAACCCCGTCTCTACTAAAAATACAAAATTAGCCAGGCGTGGTGACGGGTGCCTGTAATCCCAGCTACTCGGGAGGCTGAGGCAGGAGAATCGCTTGAACCCGGGAGGCAGAGGTTGCAGTGAGCTGAGATCATGCCATTGTACTCCAGCCTGGGCAGCAAGAGCAGAACTCCATCTCAAAAAAAAAAAAAAAATCACCAAAAAACCTCTGGTTCACTTTCTGTGAACTATCAAAAATGTCCTTTCATCTCATCTTAATTTAATGCAATAAATATCAATAGACATAACCCACCATGAACAAAAGCTCTTTGGGATCAATAATTTAAAGAGTATAAAGAGGTTTGGCCGGGTGCAGTGGCCCACTCCTGTAATCCCAGCACTTTCAGGGCCCAGGTGGGAAGATCACTTGAGCTCAGGAGTTTGAGACCAGCCTGGGCAACATAGTGACACCCCAGCTCTACAAAAAAATTAATAAATAAAGAGGCCCAAGACTAAAATGTCTGAGCACTACTGTGCTATACTGCGTTTGACACCAACTAAAAATATGTCCTGGTTAATACGTTTTTCACACACAGGGCACCAATTTTGGAGATAACTAGATATGTGCATTTAAAACAAACCACATTGATTTAAAAAAAGAATCTTGCCTAGACGGGTGGATCACCTGAGGTCAGGAGTTCGAGACCAGCCTGACCAACATGGTGAAACCCCATCTCTACTAAAAATACAAAAATTAACTGGGGCATGGTGGCACATGCCTGTAATCCCAGCTACTTGGGAGGCTGAGGCAGGGGAATCTCTTAAACCCAGGAGGCGGAGGTTGCAGTGAGCCGAGATCACACCACTGCATTCCAGCCTGGCGACAGAGCAAGACTCTTGTCTCAAAAAAAAAAAAAAAAAAAAAAAAATCTTGCCTAGAAAACTCAGGCCATATTTCAGCACATCCATCACTGTGCTGTGCTGACAATGGGGATAAGGGCTAACAGAGTTGGCTTTGTGGGAAGGGACAGGCAGCCCTCTGCCCAGCATTCCGGTGAGCACACAGCTGTAATTTACATAGCAATTCTGCCAGCTCCAAACACACTGATGAGCTACTGAAAACAGACTCACTGATTGGAAAGGACGGCATAAGCATTTTAGAAAGAATTTTAGGCATGACTATGTTTTTCTGAGAACAGCAGAAATTTTTGTGGATTGGATTTTTTTTTTTTTTAAGAGAAGGGGTTTTGCTAGGTTGCCCAAGCTGACCTCAAAGTCCCAGACTCAAGGAATCCTCCTGCCTCAGCCCCCTAAGTAGCTGGGACTAGAGGCGCACGCCACCGTACCTGTCTCTGGATTTTTAAAATGAATATGATTAGCTAATAACTTAATAAGCAACAAAATAAAAATATCCTCTAAGCAACAAGGTATAAAAGAGGGAAACACCCATGTACATGGCTTCTTGGTACGATACAGGGGAGATAGGCCCCCATTCCACTGCTCCCTACTACCGAAGAGGTCAAGGTTAGTTTACTCATGAAGATGGGAGGCAACCACGGCTCCGCCCACCCGCTTCCGTTACATGGAGGACAAAGGCTGGCTTCTGTCCCCCCATACTCCTGTGTGGCAGGGAGCATAGGAGGCAGGGCCGTGCTCATGCATGCTGCCCACCTGGGCTGGGGACAGCACCTGGGCACAGCTCCTTTCACCACTACTCACATCCAGATGCCGCTGGATCTCCTCCGTGAGCTGCCTGGACTCCTCCAGATCATTGGTGTTCATCAGTTTCCTTTTCATGATGGTGAGAGGCACATCAGGGCTGGGGGTGAGGTCAAGGTGTGTGACTGGAGGTAGGGGGACGGGAGAACTGGCTTTGCGTTTCATACCCTGAAACTGCATCACTTTCATGGTGGAGATTGTCTGGGGAGACAGACAGCAAGAGAGAGCGAGAGAGAAAGCGAGAGAGAGTGAGAGAAGGCCAGAGAGAGAGGGAGAGAGAGAGCTGGTTTGAGTGGGAGGAGCAGAGGTGCCCAACATACCCCAAGTCCAGCCTCTCCCTCAGAGGCTCACATTTACTCCTCATGCTTTCAGGACCACAGGGCCACAGTCACAGTCTGAAAGGCATGGTCACCCCAGCAGTACGCAGGCAATGCACGGGAGCCCCTGAAATCTACCAGTGAGTGACTCAAAATGCCTGGCATCCTTTGCAGAACTGCTATTCTTTCACCAGACAGCTCTGGTCCAAGCTCTGCCTGACTGCATCAGCAGTGCCCTTCATATGTAAAAGAATAGCAGTTCTGCTGCAAAGGATGCCAGGCAAAGAATGTCACCTGCAAAGGATGCCGCCTATCCAGGCGGGTGACCTGTATGTGCTCACTCCCCCGCACTCACCTGCAAGTCCCTAAGGACCAGTAGTGGGAAGGTACAAAGCATCTGCCCAGGTTAGAGCTGAAGTCTGGGTCCACTGGGAAGGGCAGAGCTAAGGCCACAGAGAGGCCAGGCTGATGCTTGGCATCAAGAGCTACCAAATGGGCACAGCGGCCAGGCTCGATTTGGCTGTAGCGGTCACTACAGACTGGCTCCCAATCAGAAGGGAAAATGCTGCAAGCGTTCTCTTCCTAAAGCAAGCAACAATAATCTAACAACAGTTCTAAAATCAGCAATACCACACACACCAATCTATATAAAAACACAGAGTTTGGAGAAGATCCACCACAACTCCTCAACCAAGATCAGAAATGGCCAATGATGAGGACACTGTGAAGAGAACGGAAAGCCCAAGGCGGGGCCCCCACATGGCCAGGGCTATGCCACCACTGACCCTGCCTTCTCCGTGTCACCTTTCCCTGGCCGTCCCTCTGCTCCAACTCTCTCCTACACCTGCTCAAAAGCCTGACCAGGTCATTGTGCCCTGGGTGCAGGTCTCATGTCCCCCATCCCATGCCCTGCTGAAGGGCTAACCATGGCTGGATTTACTGACTCCAGTTTCTTCTAGAAGGCCAACGTTTGTGCCCAAGGAACAGATCTCAGCTGGCGAGCTCTCCGCTGGGGGTGGGCTTCTTGGGGGATGGTGAACAATTGGGAGGCCCTGCACATTTGTTACGGTGTTTGCACATCCCAAACGCTAGCCCCAGCAGCTTCACTTAGGGCCCAAGCTTTTAGCAGCCACTTACTGCAACACCATTTAACCACACAGGTCCCTTCTGGACATATTTGGAGGAGGATAAAATGTCTCCAATTTATAGCCAAAGGGTAAAGGTAACAACCTGCCATTTGCAAAGGGGCAGGACCCCAGAAAATCCAAGGTGCAGAGTGGCTGTGGGACAATCTACAAACCGTAAAGCAGCAGCTTTTGAGTCAGTGATCCCTTGCTGCACACTAGGCCTGTGTTTAGCATAAGTAACGCATAGCCCTCTTGCATGCTCCTAGCTACCTTGTACGCTTGGGTTTCAACCAATGAGAAAACAAATTCACAGAAGTGAAATCACTTGCCCAAAGTCTCACAACTCTGCAAGTTTGAACCTAGAAAGGTCTGATTCCAAAGCCCACAGGTCCCCAGGATGGAGTGGCATGAGAGGCAGAGGCATCCCTGCCTCAAGCATTCCTCACTCAGATCCCATGTCTCTTTAGCAAGAGATCAATATTCCAGGCAAGTCCACCTAGGACACAAGGAACAGAGGGCCAGCACGCGAGGCTCCCGACTCACTTTGTTTCCATACTGCATGACGTGGCTGGTGTTGGTGTGCGATTTTACCAGGTGGTACTGCTTGTGCAGGGTCTCTTTAGTCAGATCTTCCTGCAAAAAGTGAGACCATTAGAGACCTTTGACAATCAGAGTCTGACGGTTAAACCCCAGCTGAACAGCCAGCCCCCAAAGGGCTCACCACGTCCGAATCTTCCATCCAGTTGACGCTGTACCAGTCCCCCAGGTACGTGGACCTCTTCTCATCATAGTAACAGGCGTAGGACGACTCTCTGGGGTTGGCAGCAGTAGTTGCATAAACTACGAGGAATTAAAGATGATCTTTTAGTTGCATTTTATTCCTGCCTTGGATTACGCTTGAAGCTTGAGTCCTTCTTTCTCCCCCGGTGAAATCGAAGCATGCTACTTATGATCCACACAGGAGGGCAGGGACACGTAACTATACCCAGACTTGTGTATTCGATTACAATAACTCATCTAAAATTAAATGCGGAAGAAAGAGGAGCCAGCTGGTGGATGTTTTTTGCAGCAATTGGCAAATTGGCATGCTTAGGACATCATGCTATTCTGGAAGAATGCTGACATTTCCACAGCACAGGAAACTTGAACAATATGGGCTTACTTTGGTTTCCAGAGAGATCTGACATTTATTGAAGAAACATCTAGATTAACTGAACCTATACAAAAGCTACCACTTACTATCTCTCTACCATGGGCTTAGAATTGTGCTGGACAAATGCTAGTGTTTAAAATACAAGTCTCCCAACAGACACACACTATCTTTATCCCCATTTTACAGATGGGGATAACTGAGGGTCAAAGAGAGTCAGTCACCTGCTTTGAGGTCAGAGTGCAACCAACACATTGCAAAGGATGGAGGCTAGTCCAAAGCCCATGTAGTTTTAGCTTCAGTAGTTTTACGAGAACCTGGAAGAGCACTGTGAGGCTCACATACAGATTCTTTATTCCCTGACTACCAGTGCTTCAGAAGCAGAGGAAGCCCAGAGCTACCTGCAAGTATCTCCCCACTTCTATGGCCCAGGCTGCCCTCAGCAGCCCCTGCTTACGGAGAATGCTCAGTTCCATGTCAGCGGTGTCTGAGCAACCTGCTTGCCAGCCCAGGTCGAGGCCGGCGCCCCAACCACCTACCATTGATGTTATCCGGCAGGTGGTTCATCATGGACCCAGACTCACAGGCTTCAATGTAGAACACCATCTGTGAGGCAGACGGGGCAGGTGAGCTCACCCCATCCAGGTACGGGCCTCCAGCCATGCTACTGGAGCTCTGCCCACTCTCTCTACCCATTCCTAACAAGTCCTCCAGGCTTGCTTCTGGAGACATTACTGCTGTAAAGAGGCTGCTGCCAGAAGCTATGGAAGCTGCTGCCACACAAATTTATTCATTGCTAATGGAATAAAATCGTCTAGTAGCTGAAATAATGCAGAGAAAACGGAGCCATGGGATGCTAAGGAAAACGGTTCCACCATCCAGTGCAGGGAGGAGTTTCAAAGACCATACAGTGCAGCAGGCCATCTTTCTGCGTTACTGTCACGTATCACCCAACCCATGCAGGTTTTTTTTTGTTTTGTTTTTTTGTTTTTTTAGTAGAGACACGGTCTCACTATGTTGCCCAGGCTGGTCTTAAACTCCTGGCCTCAAGTGATCTTCCCGCCTCAGCCTCCTAAAGTGCTGGGACTACAGGAGTGAGCCACCACACCCAGCCAAAAACTCTGGCCCTGCACAGTTTCCATAAAGGGTGCTATAGGGGTGAGAAAGGCTCAAAGTGAGAATAAGATAGTGGTATTTTCCTCCCCAGCTGCCCGAAATTGAGGACAGTCCTAGGAATAGGAGTCTGCAAAGTGTGGGCCGAAGACCAGCAGCAGCAGGATCACATGGAAACCCAAGGCAAATTCTCAGGCCCCCTCCGCAGACCTACTGGGTCAAACTCTGGGGGCGAGGCCCACACTGTTTTAACAAGCTCTCCATGATTCCAGTCTAATAGCTAAAGCCGAAAGCCTCATCCTGGGAAACCAGGGATTGGAAGGATCCCCTTTCTAGAAAACACAGCACCCACAGTTGGAGGACGGTCACGGGACTGTGGGCTCTGCACTCACGGCTTTCCTCACACCCCCCGCCCCCACAAGGCTGCCCCAAGGGCTGAATTACCTTTCGGTACATTTTGTGTTTGTACATGTAATGGATGGTCTCATTCAGGTCCTTTACATGAAGCTGAAAGGTGAGAATATTGTCAGACCAACACATCAAGAGAAACTATTTGCTGGATAAGCCACTAGTAAAGTTCTGATGATCCTTCATAAACTCTTTTCTACCAATCCCTAGAAGTAATCATGGTGAAGAACATAACCCCAGAATGTCGTCACATGTTTTATGCACGCATTTAAAAAGGGCAAGAGGATGTACCTCTTCACCCATTACTTTGTCCGGAGCTTTTGGTCTATTCTCAGGTCTAGTGTGATACACCCACATCCTGAGACAGCTACCGACGCTGCGACATGAACAGAAAAGCAGGGAAAACTGTCTGGAAGAGATGTCCTTGGATAGATTTCAAGCTGCTAAACCTGTCCCCCACTCCCACCCACCACACGTACAAACCAACCCTGGCAGGACACTAGAAAATACACGCTATGGGTTTAATCTCGACACCTAGGCTTGCTTTTCTGTTCTGCTAGTTTGTCCTTAAAACGTTAAGAAAACTCACATCTTCATTGGGAAAAACCAGTATTCCAGTAGATCCATGGTCAGTGAAGTAAATGAACACGTGATCCTGGGGGCCACTGCCAAGAAGGAATCGGGGGTCAATCATTTCCTTTTTCTGTTTTTACTTCTATTTCTCTGAAAAGCTGCCCTAATCAAAAAATTAAGAAGTTTGGGGAGTAGAGTTGCCCAACCAGGTTTGAAGATGAACACAAGGGCCCGGTGCCCGGTGTCTGGCCTGTCCCCTCCACTCCCCTTGGTGTGATTCTGAACCACAGTATAGATCCTAGAGCCTCCAAATTCTGAACTACGGCTGGAAAGGAGGAGGGGCCTTTCCTGGGCAACCCATCAGACAGACCTGGTGTGAGGTGGATAGTGGGGTCCTTTGGCAATTGGGCCTCATCCCAGGCAGCCACACTCTCCAACCAGATCTCCCCAAAATGACCTCAACACAGGCCTGCAGCCTCCCCCCCTCCAGGCCTCCTGTGGCCCACAGTCTGGATGCCCACCTACCTGCCTCACCAGGGCTTCCACCAGATGGCGCTGCTTCAAAGTGGCAGAGATGTAGTAACTTACATGAAGCCAATTTGGTTCACCCTCACAGATGTCCATCTCCATACTAATTTTTTTTTTTTTTTTTTTTTTGAGATGGAGTCTTGCCCTGTCGCCCAGGCTGGAGTGCAATGGCATGATCTCAGCTCACTGTAACTTCCGCCTCCCAGGTTAAAGCAGTTCTCCTGCCTCAGCCTCCCGAGTAGCTGGGATTATAGGCACACGCCACCACGCCTGGTTAATTTTTGTATTTTTAGTAGAGACGGGGATTCACACTGTTGGTCAGGGTGGGTGTGTGTGTGTGTGTGTGTTTGAGACAGAGTCTCACTCTGTCACTCAGGCTGGAGTACAGTGGCACAATCTTGCCTCACTGCAACCTCCACCTCCTGGATTCAAGCAATTCTCCTTCAGCCACCAGAGTAGCTGGGATTACAGGTGCATGCCACCACGCCTGGCTAATTTTTGTATTTTTAGTAGAGATGGGGTTTCATCATGTTGGCCAGGCTGGTCTTCAACTCCTGATCTCAAGTGATCCGCCCACCTTGGCCTCCCAAAGTGCTGGGATTACAGGCGTGAGCCACTGTACCCAGCCTCTGCACTAATCCACACGAGCTTACTTGTGCCCAGGCCTCCCTTCCAGCTTAAAAGAAATATGCTACTAGAATCTCTGGCATCACATAAAAATGCCACATGAGCAATTACTAAACAACAAGACATCTCTAGCCCACAGCCAGTGGGGGTAAGCACTGGGGTTCGTGTTCCCCAATATGAAAGTCCACTTCCTCCAATATGAAGGGACTTACGAATGTGCCTCTCCCCGCTGGGCTGATCTGTGATCAGAGCACAGGGCTGGTGGCCCTGCAATCTGGGCACAGGGATTCAGATTCACACCTGCCTCAGGGGCTCCGCTGGCAGTGGGACATCCCTGTGCTATGATCCCCAGACAAGGAACGAGGAGTTTAAGTGATAGGAACATTTTATTAATAATGAGGGGCCCTGGATCATAAGGTGAATTCAGTGCAGAAATGGGCCACCAAGAGAAGCCACTGAAACAACAGCCCTAAGCACCTGTCCTAAGTCAGAACAAAACTCTCCACTCTGTAATTTCTCACAGGTAAACAGGCTAGGGGCACAGAACAACACCTGTTTCAATTCTCTATACGGGGGTCCCAAGCCATTGAGAGAAGTGTAGTATCCGTAAACAGACATTACCTCTTCAGGACTTTGCCGGATCCTATGCCCTTCACTGCTTCTGCATCGCCTCTCAACACAGCAAGGAAATTTTGTGGGGTAACATCCTACAAAGAATTAGGAGCCACAATCAGATGCAGCTGTCGCTCCAACCCAGAGAGTTGGCTGAGTCTGCAACCGACCCATGCCACCAGCCTGCACATTCCAAGGCTCATGGCTTAACAGCAAACACTTTTGGTCGGGTGCCGTGGCTCACGCCTGTAATCCTAGCACTTTGGGAGGCCGAAGCGGGCGGAACACTTGAGGTCAGGAGTTCAAGGCTAGCCTGGCCAACACAGTGAAACCCCATCTCTACTGAAAGTAGAAAAATTAGCCAGGCATCATGGCACCTGCCTGTAATCCCAGCTACTATGGAGGCTGAGGCAGGAGAATCACTTGAACCCGGGAAGCGGAGGTTGCAGTGAGCCAAGATTGTGCCACTGCACTCCAGCCTGGGTAACAGTGCAAGACTCCATCTCAAACAAACAAACACTATACAGAAACAATTTCATTAAATACGGTCATCTTTTTTACCTGTATGATATGTTAAATTTAATTGTATTTGACTTTAAAAGAAAAATAAAATAAAATGAAACAAAGAATTGTTAAACATCAGATAAAAGTTTCTTATCAAAAGGATAATTAATTCCTAAAAGATCCGATATTTAAAACAGACTATGAAAACCAGGTGAATGAAGGCATCACGGTCGATTTTAAAAATGTGTCAATTGAGACAGTCTCAATCAACTAGGAGGAACAGAAAAGTTTTTGGAAGTAATATACTATTATAGCTATAATACACTATATAATAAACTATATAACAATAATAAATGAAAAACTATCTCAGCAAAAATCCTGAGATACTTTGCACCAAGCCTGGTACTGAGAAAACTGATTTTTATAAAAGAGCACAGGTAATCTATGATCAGATTAATGGTGATATCTCAAGAAAGGTTAATATGGATGAAACTACATGGTCAGGCCTAAAGTATGAGAAGACTGGGAACTATCAGTGGATTGCAACTTATTCTAAACATTCTCTTTTCCTCTGCTTTCTTTCAAAACTCTCATAATTTACTCCTCAGGCAAAAATCCTAATACGAATGTGAAACACCGACCAGAAGCCAGTCTAGGGAGATTCTGATTCTAGAAACAGAAGAAAGAGGGAAAAATCATCACTAAAATGAAAACTAAACCAGCTGGCTCCAACCGTAGAAGCCACTCACCTCTCCAGTGTAGTCCTTCGGGACTCCCTGATAGACATCTGTGCCATTGGGCCTGTTGATCACAATTCCTGGAGTGGGATTGCTGAAAATTAAAGGACACAATTTAAACGAGATGTGGCATGCCTCCGAAATCTCTCTCTTCAAACACATGTATGTTATGCGAAAAAATAGTAAACGTCTATGTTGGTCAAAGAAACAACTTATGGCCTGCAGGGTGGCCAACGTGTGAGTGGTTTGAGCAGCTTGGGGATCTCAGCAGTCCCACAGCCCAAGAGCTCTTGGCAGAGGCAGTGAGGAGCTGAGCCCGAAAAGCCTCGGGCAGGGACCAAAGCATAGGTGCGCCTGGCTGCCTGCTGGAAACCAGAGAGCATCGTGAGGGCAAGGTCTCATCAAAAGCTCTCTCAGAGTGAAACTACTTTCAGAAAGAGACAGGACAGAGAACAAGACTTTAATACAAGAGCTTAGGCGTTAAAGCGTCAGAGTGGGTGATGTATGAGCTGAGAATGTGACCACAGTAAGGGTAGCGTCCTTCACCGCAGCAGGGTGACCACGGAGCTAGGAGGTTAGAACTCGCTGAGTTTATGCCCATACTTGCTGCCTCTGATCTCTGCAAGAAATCAGATAAGCAGGCACAAGGGAACTATTTGTGAAGTTAAACTCAGCAAGTAATAAAATAAGTATAGAAAGAAGGTAGTAGGAGTATCTAACCTACAAACAAAAACATTCTACGTGCAGGTCCCCTGTGCTGCAGCCTGCTCGGAGCTTAGGAGCAAGCACCATAGAATCCAACAAGTCCTCGAAGGTGAGGAGGAACTCGGCTTTAGACCCTTTCAAAGCAGCGACCAGCACCCACTTCCTATGTCTTTGCCATTCCCAGGGCACACCCAAGTTATGGTCGAAGCTCAACATGAGGGCCAGACATGGTGGCTCACATCTGTAATCCCAGCATTTTGGGAGGCCAAGGCAGCCGGATCACTTGAGGTCAGGAGTTCAAGACCAGCCTGGCCAACATGGTGAAATCCTGTCTCTACTAAAAATACAAAAATTAGCTGGGCATGGCAGTGCACACCTGCAGTCCCAGCTTCTTGGGAGGCTGAGGTGGGAGGATCACTTGAACCCAGGAAGTGGAGGTTGCAGTGAGCCGAGATCGCACCACTGCACTCCAGCCTGGGCAACAGAGCAAGACTGTCTCAAATAAATAATAATAAAAAAAAAAAAGCTCAACATGAGGTATCCCTGTGATCTTCTGTCTGGGAGTCTCTTATATATTTTAACATTAGGCCACTAGGATTCCTGTGAGTCTATGTGACCTTTTTTTAAATACCCTGAAGTCCTTCCCCACCAAGTTCCAAGTGTTCCCCACTTACTCTTCAGAGTAAGCAATGTCATCGTACATCATCACAACGATCTGTTCGTCAGGAATCCCATTGCGGTGAATGATCTGGTAGGCATGGCACGCGTCTGCCTGGGAGAAATGATTTGGTGAAGTTTTAGATCTTGCCTGGGAGGCCAATTTTGGAGTTCTAAGGAGTGATGTGTTCTGTCTCCTGGAAGACTTACTGTGAATCATCCCGTCGGTCAGGCATTTAAATTATTATTTTAAAACACATACATTGATATTTTTTATCTCAATTTAAAAAGATCTCCCATCCATCCAAAGTATTATTCAGCAGGAAACTAGTGCACACGTGGGCTACGTACACATTGCACATGTGAGCACACGTGCACATACACACCCCACCACCACAACCACCGCCACCGCCACCACCACCGCCACTGCCACCACCACCACCACCACCACCATCACCACCACCGCCACCAACACCACCACCGCCACCAACACCACCACCGCCACCGCCACCACCGCCACCACCACCACCGCCACCGCCGCCGCCGCCACCGCCGCCGCCGCCGCCGCCGCCACCGCCGCCACCGCCGCCGCCGCCACCGCCACCGCCATCACCGCCACCACCACCAACACCACCACCACCACCAACACCGCCACCAACACCGCCACCAACACCGCCACCACTACCACCACTGCCACCACATATATAGGTAAGAAGGACCTCTGAAAGTCCTAAGTAACTTGTTTTTATTTTTCAGACTATATAATAGTCTCTGGAAAGCATAGATTTTAGTCTCAAAAACAGAATGACTCAGAATGATCAACAGAGCTAGTTCTATTTCCCACAGGATTCTTCTGATCCAAGTACTTTGTCTGCCAAAGACACTGTTTAGAGAACTGACTGAACACTCAAAAGTCCAACTCAGGAATTGAGAAATTGCTCTTAAGTTTTAAAAAATAACAAGAATACAAAGGAAGACAACATTATAAATAAGAGAAAAATGTTCCTAATGCAACTCCCTGTCCACGCAAGGGTGAAGACAGGCTTGCGTCCTTATCTCAGGTGAAACATACTACCACTTCATGCCTTGCAAATCATCTGAAGACAGAAAGGAAAAATGTTGCCTGTCTGCTTACATTTAATTTTGTCATTCCTAGAACAAAGACATAAGTAAGCATAAGGAGAGGCGTGTGCCCAGCGATTTGTCTCCCCAAGGAAGACAGCCTGAGCAACTGGGTGTACACACAGTGCACTCTAAACAACACTGAGCACAGCAATAAAACTAAAGCTCATAAAACATGCAGACTGGCACTTTGCCTGTGGATGTCCCAAACAAATGGACTTATTTTATGACAAAGATGGGTGCTTGGTATACAGCTTTTGAAGGCTGAATGGGTGAGGTCCAGGGCCTGGCACTCAAGAGCGATTAGATGAATGGATGACTCAATAAATAGGAAAACATTTTTATTGACTTGCTTCTATTTGTCCAGCACTGTGCTAAGACTTTGTAGGCCTTATCTCGTTTAATTCTCACAGCAACCCTTGATGATAAAGGTAATGATCCCCATTTTATTATGGATAAGGAAAACGCAGCCTTTGGAGGTGAGGTGACCTGCCCAAGTCACACAGAGTTCAAGTGAAAGATCCCAGGCATTCTGGCCAGGCACAATGGCTCATGCCTGTAATCCCAGCACTTTGGGAGGCTGAGGCGGGCGGATCACCTGAGGTCTGGAGTTCGAGACCAGCCTGACCAACATGGTGAAACCCTGTCTCTACTAAAAATACAAAATTAGCCAGGCATGGTGGTGCATGCGTGTAATCCTAGCTACTTGGGAGGCTGAGGTGGGAGAATCTCCTGAATGCGGGAGGCGGCGGTTGCAGTGAGCCGAGATAGCACCATTGCACGCCAGCCTGGGCAACAAGAGCAAAACTCTGTCGATTGTTAGATGCTCAAACACTAATTGTGGTAGGCAAAATAACAGCCCCCCAAAGGATGTCCACATCCTAATCCCTGAAGCCTGCACTACATTACATTACATTACAGAGCAAAGGGTTATTAAGATAGCGGATGGACTTAAGGTTGCCAATCAGCTGGTCTTAAAATAGGGAGGTTTTCCTGGATTATTCCAGTGGCCCAATGTCATTTTTGTTTATTTTTTTGTTTTTGTTTTTGTTTTTTTTTGAGACAGGGTCTTGCTGTCTCCCAGGCGGGAGTGCACAGGTGCAATCTCAGCTCACTGCAGCCTCGACTTCCTGGGCTCAAGTGATCCTCCCACCTCAGCCTCCCAGGTAGCTGGGACTACAGGCACACAACACTGCACCTGGCTAATTTCTAAAATGTTCTGTAGAGTCAGGGTCTCGCTATGTTGCTTTGGCTGGTCTCGAACTCCTGGGCTCAAGCGATCCTCCCACCTTGGATAGAGAGTGCTTGGATTACAGATGCAAGCCACGGCGCCTGGCCTTCAGTGGGCCTAATGTAATCACAAAGGCTTTTGTATGTGGAGACAGAGGCAGGAGTCAGTGTCCAAGTGATGCAGTGTAAGAAAGATTCAACTGACCCTTGTTGGCATTGAGGATGGAAGAAGGGGCCATGAGCCAACAGCTGCAGGCAGTGTCTAAAAGCTGGAAAAGACGAGAAAGTGGAGCCTCCACTACAGCCACCAAGGAACACAGCCCAGGCAACACCGTGATTTAACCCAGTGACAGCCATTTCACATTTCTTACCTCCAGAACTGTAAGATAATAAATTTGTATTGTTTCAAGCCATGAAGTCTGTGGCAATCTGTTTAAGCAGTGATAGTAAACTAATACAGCTATGATGGAAGTATAGTGTAATTGGCACTCCACTCTGGAAAACATCTTGACATTATCAATGAGGTTGAACCACACACCCTCCAACCAAGCAATTCTACTCCTAGCCATATAGCCTAGCAAAACTCTATCTCCCACAGATAACCAGAAAGTGTTCACAGCATCACTTTAACAGCAAAAGCCAAGAAATAACTCCAATCATAGTCAACAGCTGGAAAAATAAATTGTCATAAGTTCACATAAATGGAATACCTGAAAATGAACGAACTACAACCCACTACTCAGGTGATGGGTACCCAAGAAGTGCAAACCCCACCACTATGCAATGTATCTATGTACCCCCTGAATCTATAAAAACTTTTAAAAATACGCAAACAAGTACAACCCGGGTTTCAAAATAGATGACTCTTGGGAACATAGTGAAAAAAAGAACAAGTCATAGAAAAATACCTTCACTATGATTACATTTGCATAAAGGTCAAAACAGGCAAATGTAAACATTATGCTGTTCACAGTTAAATAGACATACAGCAAAACTATAAAGCAAAGGAATGAATGACAAAAAATTCAGGAGCTTGGTCTCTGAAGGGAAGGGAAGGAGAGTCCATCAGACAGGGGACAAGGTACTAGTATAATTTTTTTTTTTTTAGCAAGGTGCAAGGTACACAGGTATTCATTTTATTATTCTTTAAGGTGTACACATGTTATACAGACATTATTTGTCTGCCATTTAATTTAAAAATGAAGTCAGGCCAGGCGCAGTGGCTCACACCTGTAATTCTAGCACTTTGGGAGGCCAGGGATCCCAGCACTTTGGGATCACTTGAGGTCAGGAGTTCGAGACCAGGCTGGCCAATATGGTAAAACCCCATCTCTACTAAAAATACAAAGAAATTAGCCAGGCATGGTGGTGCATGCCTGTAATCCCAGCTACTCGGGAGGCTGAGGCAGGAGAAATCACTTGAACCCGGGAGGCAGAGGTTGCAGTGAGCCGAGATTACACCACTGCACTCCAGCCTGGGCGACAGAGCAAGACTCTGTCTCAAAACAAAAACAAAAACAAAACTTTGATAAATTGGCTTAGCAAAATTAAAACCTTTAGTGCTTCCAAAGACATTATTAAAAAAATGAAAAGACAAGCAACAGACTATGAGAAAATATTTGCAAAACATATATCGGATAAAGGGCTTGTACTGAAACATCTAAAGCACTCCTGTATCACTGAGCCAAAAATAGGCAAAAGATTTCAATAAACATTTCACCTAAGAAGATATACAAATTGTTAGTCAGCACATGAAAAGATGTTCAACATCACCCATCATTAAGAAATGCAAATTAAAACCACACTGAGCTGCCACTTCACAGACAGACGGACAATAACTGGGGAACCAAGAGCCTCCATACATACACTGCTATGGTAATGTAAAGTGGAGCCGCGATTTTGGAAACGAGCGTTATAGTTTCTCAAAGAGTCAAACATAAATTTACCATGTGACCCAACAAGTCTAAATTTTTTTTTTTTTTTGAGACAGAGTCTTGTTCTGTCGCCCAGACTGGAGTGCAGTGGTGCGATCTCGGCTCACTGCAACCTCCGCCTCCCGGGTGCAAGCGATGCTACTGCCTCAGCCTCCTGAGTAGCTGGGATTACAGGTGAGCACCACCACACCTGGCTAATTTTTATATTTTTAGTAGAGATGGGGTTTCACCATGTTGGTCAGGCTGGTCTCAAACTCCTGACCTCGTGATACACCTGCCTTGGCCTCCCAAAGTGCTGGGATTACAGGTGTGAGCCACCACATCTGTCCTGCAATTCCAACTCTTAAGTACCTACCCAAGAGAAACAAAAAAATGTATTCACACAAAGATTTGCATGCAAATGTTCTCAGCAGCATTGTTCATAATAACTAAAAATTGGAAACAACCCAAATGTCCATCAACTGGTAAATGGGCAGGCAAAACGTGGTCTATCCATACAATGGAATGCTATTTGGGAATAAACAGGAGTGAAGCACTGATGCATGCTACAACGTGAACAAACTTCAAAAACATGACACTAGGGGAAGCCAGACACAAAAGACCACACGCTGTTTAGCTCCACTGATAGGAAATGTTCAGAATAAACAAATCTATAGAGATAGAAAGTAGATGATTAGCAGTTGCCTGAGGCTAGAGGTGGGAACTGCAAATATGCCCAAACAACTTTTTTTTTTTTGAGTCAGTCTTGCTCTGTTGCCCAGGCTGGAGTGCAGCAGTGTGATCATGGCTCACTGCAGCCTCTGCCTCCAGGGTCCAAGCGATTCTTGAAACTCAGCCTCCCAAGTAGCTGGGATTACAGGCATGTGCCACCACGCCCAGCTAATTTTTGTATTTTTAGTAGAAATTGGGTTTTACCATGTTGGCCAGGCTGGTCTCAAACTCGTGGCCTCAAGTGATCCATCCGCCTTGGCTTCCCAAAGTGCTGGGATTATAGGTGTGAGCCACCACCCGGCCTGCCCAAAGGATCATACTGGGATGATGGAAATATCAAACTGATTTATAGTGATGTTTGCACAACTTGGTAAATTTACTAAAAAATCATTGAATTAGATTAATTAAACTCAATGTGTGAATTAAGATGATATGTCTTAAACTAGGCCTCAATAAAGTTATATATTTTCTGCAGGGGCAGGTTCAGAGTGCCTTGTGTTGTTACTCCTGCACTGTTTGGGACCCCCAGCACCCTTGAGAGGTAAATGCTTTCATCCCCATCTTACAGACAGGGACTAGCTCAGGAAGGGCCATGGCTGACCCCAACTGTGCCTTATGCCCCATCTTCCACACTCACTGCCTCCTCATCAGGCTGTGACTCTCTTCTGGGCCTTGGAGGCACTTGGTTGCCTCTACCTTTGTTAACTCAGCGGGGTTCTTCCATTAAGTCAAATATTTACTAGCACTCAAAAGAGATACAAGTGGGGTTCAACTCAAACAATGTGAAAATGGTGTTACTGACTACTTGTATTACTTCCCCTAAATCCGTGTGACCTATACTGTATTTTCCCCGCATAAGCCCAGAAAAGTCATATGAGGTCATATTCGAGAGGAGGGTATTGAGCAAGACTTCTAAGAGGCGCAGAGCCCTCCGGAATGACAAACAGAGATTGTGACTTGGCTGGTTTGATAGCTTGTGCTGGGAGTTCCGCTGGTCTTCCTAATGCCTCCCGTGATTTGCCGATAGGGCAACTGTCCCTACTCTGTCTGCTTGTACTGCCTCCAGCTTGGCCAGCTGTCAGCTAAACAAAGACAAGTCGAACAAGGTCTAAATACATTGGCGTGCCCCATGTCACAGTTGCTGTAAAGGGTCCGCTCTCCAGCCAGCCCTGCTCACCTGCCAAGTATACATATATGATCACTTCCCGACACACAGCTGAGCAGTGCTGAGGTGAGGCATCAGGCTGGGGTTTTGCAGTGTGCCTCGCTGAGCCCACTGCCAACCCCAGAGAAAGAATCTGACAATGTAGTTTGTTCAAACTTACACAGCACATAACTGGAGAGAAGGAATGACACCTGAGGTCTGAGCAAATCCAGAGCCATGGTCTTTCCAAGGTCCTGTGCTGCCTCTGGCATTTACAAGGACGGCCCTGCTGCAAGAATGGGCCCAAGCCCATATCCCACATGCTTGGCATTCCCTTGCACAGTCCCCTCTGTCCTCCCTCCTAATCTCTTCCCACCATGCCCTCTTTAAAAGCAGATTTCAGGCCAGACACAGTGGCCTGTAATCTGAGCACTTTGGGAGGCTGAGGAAAGAGGATCACTTGAGCCCAGGAGTTTGAGACCAGCCTGGGAAACATAGCAAGACTTCATCTCTATAAAAAAAAATTTTTAACTAGCTGGGCATGGTGGCACACCTATGGTCCCACGGTTCCAGCTACTCAAGAGGATCCCTCGAGCCCAGGAGTTTGAGGTTGCAGTGAGCTATGATCACACCACCGAGCTCCAGCCTAAGTGACAGAATAAGACCCTGTTGCTGAAAATAAAAATAAAAGCGGATTTCTTTTTTCTTTTTCTTTTTTTTTTGGAGACAGAGTCTCACTCTGTCACCCAGGCTGGAGTGCAGTGGCACGAACTTGGCTCACCACAACCTCTGCCTCCCAGGTTCAAGCTATTTTCCTGCCTCAGCCTCCTGAGTAGCTGGGATTACAGGTGCATGCCACCATGCCCGGCTAATTTTTGTATTTTAGTAGAGATGGGGTTTCACCATGTTGGCCAGGCTGGTCTCAAACTCCTGACCTCAGGTGATCCACCTACCTTGGTCTCCCAAAGTGATGAAATTACAGGTGTGAGCCACCACACCTGGCCACGGATTTTTTTAAATATAAAAGTGATATTGTGCAACAACATGGATTAATCTCAAAACACCATAAGTTATGAGCTCATCTGACCGGGCACAGTGGCTCATACCTGTAATCCCAGCACTTTGGGAGGCTGAGGCAGGTGGATCATCAGAGGTCAGGAGATCGAGACCAGTCTGGCTAACATGGTAAAACCCTGTCTCTACTAAAAATACAAAAATTAGCCGGGCGTGGTGGCAGGTGCCTGTAATCCCAGCTATTCGGGAGGCTGAGACAGGAGAATCGCTTAAACCCAGGAGGCGGAGACTGCAGTGAGCTGAGATCACGCCATTGCACTCCAGGCTGGGCAACAAGATTGAGGCTCTGTCTCAAAAAAAAAAAAAAAATTAAATAAGTAAACAAATAGCTTGTGAGAAACAGACTGTGAGTCACCACCACCTCCTTCCTGCACTCCCTGGCCACTCCCTCTCGCCTCCGTCACTGCAGTCTGCCCAGCCTGTCTTTGGCCCCGCCAGCCTCGATTTTTGCCCCTTGGCCCACAAAACCTCAAATATCTACTATCTGGCCCTTTATAGAAAAAAACTCTGCAGGCCCCAGTCTTGAGCCAGACAGCAATGGTGAGGCTCTGAGTGTGTGGGGGTGGGGAAGGGGCTTGCCAGGAGCACACAGAGTGAGGAGCTCCCTGTTCTTGTCATTGGTGACATGGCGCCTGTCCAACCCTTTATCTACTTCTGAGTGGAGAGGTTCTGTCAAAGGGAAAGAAAGGGAGAGTTGCTGACTGGGCCTTCTCCTCCTAACACGCCTCACCATGCCCTCACCCTACCTTGCCGGTCTCCTTCTCCCTCGCTTCCTCCTCCCCATCTACCTGGGCCATGCACTGTCCTTGCATGCCCTGTGGCCACCTTCCTTTCCACCAGGGCCCTGGCTTTGCTCAGATGACCTACCCAGCTCCAAGTGGTCACAAGTGGTCAGGAGCTTCCCTGAGTGTGAACTGGAAATCCATTTCCCCTCACCAGGAACTGACTGACTTGAACATGAGCACGTGATGCAATTCTGGCCAGGAAGACTCGGGACAAAGTCCACCCATGGCTCCAAGAAAAGATGTGCATCTGATAAAGAGCAAGCCAAACAGACAAGACACATAGATGCCCTCTTTTTCTTCTTTGAGATTTTGTTTGGATGTGACACCTGGAGCTGCTGCAGCCATTTCGTGACTATGAGGAGAGTGTATTTGAGGACAGTTCGTCACAACTATGATGACAGAGTAGCAAGATGAAAAGAGGCTGGGCACAGTGGCTCACGCCTGTAATCGCAGCACTTTGGGAGCTGAGGCGGGCAGATCACTTGAAGCCAGGAGTTCAAGACCAGCCTAGGCAACACGGCAAAACCCCGTCTCTACTAAAAATATAAAAATTAGCCAGGCGTGGTGGCAGGCGCCTGTAGTCCCAGCTACTCGAGAGGCTGAGGCACGAGAATTGATTGAACCCGGGAGGTGGATGTTGCAATGAGCCGAGATTGCACCACTACACTCCAGCCTGGGTGGCAGAGCAAGACTGCCTCACAAAAAAAAAAAAAAAAAAAAAAAGGACCTGGGTTTGAGATAAAGAGGCTAAACTGCTTAATTAGCCAACCCTGGAGTCTCCACACTCTTTCAAACCACCAGGGAGGGCTCTGGTACATGCACTTGAAGGCACCCGATGTGCTGGCCACGCCCCTCACTGTGATTTTATATTCCCACTGCCAGCTGATGCTCTTCCCTCCACGCGGAAAGAGCTTCTGTGGAAATCCCGTCATCCTTCAAACCCACGTCAAGCCTCTCCTCCAAGAAGCTGCATTCCCATCCCTCTCCTGATGGACCTCATCTACTTCTGGACCCAAACCCGGCAACTGGAGCTGCTGTAGAGACTGCTCTTTCTCAGCCTCGAGTTCAGGTATTTGTACACCTACCCTAAAAGGCTGGGGGCTCCTGATCAGAGGGCCCTGACTCCCCATTCTCCACAATCCTCCCCTACACCCCTTGCAAACCATGGGCCTCAAGTGAAAAACATTAAACTAAACAGACCAATACATCAAGTCTGTTTTAATGCTCAGAAAAATTCTGCCGTGTTTGCCACTTTCAGAATGCAATGCCAGCAACACTGAGTCTATGTAGCAGTTGTGATTGCTTAAAGACAAGGATGCATTCTGAGAGATGCTTCACGAGGTGATTTTGTCGTTTTGTGAGTATCATAGAATGTATTTACACAACCCTAGATGGTCTAGCCCAGCGGTCCACGACCTTTTTGGCACCAGGGACTGGTTTTGTGGAAGACAATTTTTCCACACACAGGGGTGAGGGGCAATGGTTTCGGGATGAAACTGTTCCAGCTTAGATCACTAGGCATTAGTTAGATTCTCACAAGGAGTGCGCAGCCTGGATTCCTCATATACGCAGATCACGATAGGGTTCACGCTCCTATTAGAATTGGCATCGGTGACCTGACAGGAGGTGGAGCTAAGGTGATAATGTTTGTTATAACGCTCAGATGGTAATCCTAGGCCATCCACCTGTACTGCACGTTACTGTCATGAATACTGCAGACAAATGGAACACAATGGCAAGTATTTGTGTATCTAAACATAGGAAAAGTACAGTAAAAATATGCTACTATACTTTACAGGACCACTTGTCGTGTATGCGGTCCATCACTGAACAAACTTGTTATACGGCGCATGACTAATTACAAATGACCTGCTTCCTTTGGCTGTGTAAGTTTTCTATAATAAACCTTAACATGTTAAATTTTTAATACAAAAAAAGGAAACTATTTTAAAATAAAAGATAAAGTAATGCCAAGATACCCATGCCACATGACTAGAGTAGTGATTATAAGCATGGGCTGTGGAGCATGGACTGCCTGGGTTAAATCTCAGCTCCACCCCTTACTGGCTGTGTGACCTTAGATAAGTTACCCAGCCTTTCTGTGCCTTAGCCCCACCCCCACATCTTACAATGGAGATCTAATAGGACCTATCCTCTTGGGTTGTCTGAGGATTGAGATAACACGTGCCAAGTGCTTGGAACTGAGCCCTGCACACAGGAAGCGCTTAGTCAAGGGCAGCCTTCTTCCACCAGTATGTCAGCACTGCAGAGCAGGTGGGGTGACATGCATCGCCAGCACCCTGAACGGCATCTGACTCACACGTGCTCAGCAGGAATGAGCTAGGTACCATTTTCAGTCAGTTCTGCTCCTGGGCCACTTCCACCTGCTCAGCTTTTCTTTTTTTTTTTTTTTTTTTTTGTTCGTTCTGGGATTGCGCCACACTTCCCAGGTGCCTGCGCACCTCTGCCCATCCTGGCCCATCTTGCTGGCCCCTCTCCCAGGTCTGCCTCTGTCCCCACTCCCTCCCAGGCTGGCCACACCCTCACACCTCTCTGGCACTCATGCTTGGCTGCTCCCTTCTCCCCATTATCCATGCAACCCCCCACCTCACTCTTCCAGCTCTCTCTGATCACCCCAGACTCTACTCTGATTCCACGACTTCCAAAGGGGCCCTCCTTACTCACCCCATGCTCAGGACACAATGCAGAATGTCCTGCCCACATCACCTCAGATCACGCCCCCCCCCCCCGCCCCCGTTAAACACTTAATCCCAGCCCAAAATGGAAAAGTGAGAAATCCAATTTGGTCAAGACAAAACAAGGTTTAATTAACAAGTATAACACATAGGAAAGCACTTAGCAATGATTTATTTGTGCCTGGTGTGCCACTCTTCCCTAAACAAGAGATTTGTGGTAAATGAATGTTGTGTTAATCCAAGGAAAATATAAACCTCTATGAAAATGTAAGTTTAAAATCTGCCTAGGTTCTGTGGAGACCGTTCTTTTGAACACTCTTTTAATGATAAGCCTCCAAAGTCAAGAAGGCAAATGGCAGCCGGCTGAGGACAGAAGCAGCCCCTTGGCAGGGAGGGCTGAGGCAGGGGTGAATCGGCACAAATCTCACCTCCACCGGCCTTAAGGCCATCATCCTCTCTTACTCGGGGACGAATATTTCAGTCTGGGCCACTTCTTTGGCCTTGTTTCCCTTTGTTCTATTTTGATAGTTAGTATTTTACTCAGGGAAATTAGCAACACTAAAAAAACAAAAAGGTTTCTGGGAGCAAAGGTAATTGGATAACCTCTACTCAATAATGTTTAATAAATACATTTTCTTAAAAGCTGGTTGTATAAAAATCACGGTGGTTGATGAGTAATCGTGTTAACTCTCTGTGGTCTGTATTTCACAACTAATCTTTCCAACTTGAGGTTAGAGGGGGAGAAGAAAACTGAGAGCTGAACAGCTGTGTGCGCGGGCTGCTCCTCTTTACATGGGTCAGGTCTGTGGTTAAGTATTAAAGGGAGAAGGGATCATTTTGCCATGATAACAACTTTTTAATCAAGCCAAATTTCCTATTCGGCTAACATACAAAAACGATTCGAGAAATGAGTTATTCATTCATTCCGTGAATGTAAATACAGACTGGATTTCAATGACTTAGTACAAAATCAAAGAATGTATGATATCTCATTATTATCATTTTTTTTAAACAAGGTCTCGCTCTGCTACCCAAGCTGGAGCGCAGTGGCTATGCACAGGTGCGATAATAGCTCACGGCAGCCTTAAATTCCTGGGCTCAAGCAATCCTCCCACTTCAGCCTCCAGAGTAGCTGGGACTACAAGCATGCTGGCTGGTATCTTATTATTAATTTTTTATATTGATTACATGTTGAAATGATAATGGTTTGGAAATACTGGTTTAAAGAAGATATTAAGGCCGGGCATGGTGGCTCACGCCTGTAATCCCAGCACTTTGGGAGGCTGAGGCAGGCAGATCACCTGAGGTCAGGAGTTAAGACCAGCCTGGCCAACATGGTGAAACCCGGCCTCTGCTAAAAATACAAAAATTAGCTGGACCTGTAATATCAGCTACTCGGGAGGCTGAGGCAGGAGAATAGCTTGAACTTGGGAGGTGGAAGCTGCAGTGAGCCGAGATCGCGCCACTGCACTCTAGCCTGGGACACAGAGCAAGACTCTGTCTCAACCAAAAAAAAAAAAAAAAGAAGTTATTAAAATTAATTTCACCTTCTAAATGTGGCTACTAGAACATTTACCATGGCTCTTTTACCAGACAGGGCTGCTCCAGAGCCAGTTGGCCTGGGTTTGAAAACTGGCCCCACCACTTGTGAGCTGTACCGCTTTGGGCAAACTACTGACCTTGCCTATGCCTCAGTCCAATCATTCGTAAAGAGGGAGTAAGAACTGGACCAATGGCACATAACCCCACTGCAGGAGTTAAAGGACTCTGTGTAAAGCGCTCTTAGAAGAGAGCCCAATATATAGATACTGCAAGTCTAAGCATTTGTTTCTGAGACTGACAAGATTAAATGACTTTTTAAAAAAATAACAGCTGTATTGAGATAGAGTTCATGCACCATAGAAGTCAGTCTTCTAAAACAGACGATTCAGTGGTTTCTAGTATGTTCACCAAGTTGTGTACTCATCACCACTACTTCTAGAGCATTCTCATTCCTGCAAAGAGAGACCCCATGTCCATCGGCAATTACTCCCCAGTCTCTCCTTCACCCAGCCCTTGGCAACTACTAACCTACTTTCTATCTCTATAGATTTTCCAAATTTGGGCTTTCATTTAAATGGAATCATAACATATGTGGTCTTTGTGACTAGCTCCTTAGCATGTTTGTAAGGTTCACCCATGTTGAAGCATGTGTGAGTACTTCTTCCTTTCTTACGGTCAAATAATATCTTCTTACATGAATAAATCACATTGTGTTTCTCCATTCAACCTTTGATGGACATCTGGCTTGTTTCCACCTTTTGGCTCTTATGAACAATACTGCTATGAACAGTCATGTACATGTTCATGTGTAGACACATGTTTTCACCTCTCTTAAGGACATACTTAGGAGCGGAATTGCTGGGTCATATGTTCAATTTGATGTTTAAATTTTGAGGAACTGCCAGACTCTTTCCCAAGGTGGTTGCACCATTTTACATCCCACAGGGAGGCTGGACTTTTCATGGACACTCCGATGTGGCTTCTTTTCTTCTTCTCTCTACCTTCTGGTAGGCTGATGTGGGGAAATCCAGGAAAGATGGGGGAGGAGGGTGTGAAGAGAGAGCAGTAGGGCAGAGAGGCCTGGGGGTCCTGTCACCAGAGTCCTGGCCTCAGTCCTGTCTGGTCCCCACTTGCCATGTGACCTTGAGCAAGTCACCTCCACTCTCTAGGCCTCAGTTTCCTTATCTCTAAAATGAAGATGTTGAACTAAGTGGGTCTCAGCCTGGGTGATCTGGCTCCCTGGGGACACTGGGCGACGTCTGGAGAATTCTGCGTTATTACAGTGGAGCAGGAGATGCTGCCATCATCTAACGGGTAGGTGTCATGGACGCTGCTAAACCTCAAATGCACAAGACGGCCCCCAACAACCAAGAATGACCTGGTCCCCAACTATCAACAGTGCCAAGGTTCAGAAACCTTGCATCAGATTAAGATGGCCCTATCAAAACTTCTGAGGAATGACCAAACTGTTTTCCAAAATGGCTACACCATCTTATAATCCTCCTGGCAACATATGAGGGTTCTGATTTCCCCACATCCTCGCTAACACACCTATGTTACAGCCAGCCTAACAGGTCCGTCAATGGCTTTTCAAGTCTTTTCTATTTAATATTAACAGTGTCTGGAATTGTTTTCAGAATGCCAGTGTCCTTAACAAAAAAAAGATTAGTCATTTTCTTACCTGGTGCCTATAATTATACCAGCCATTTGAACCTGCCACGATCACCACCCAGTGCTTGCCTCCATCTTCAGGATCATCTATAGGAACGGCACCAATGCCCAGGGCCACACTGAGGAATACAGCTACTTTCCAAACCATTCTGCACCTTGGAGTTCAATTGCAGACACCTGAGAAGGGAAACACAGAGTCAAGTACAAAGCAACAAGAACTGATAAACATTGGCTGGGCGCGGTGGCTCACACCTGTAATTCCAGCACTTTGGGAGGCCGAGGAGGGTGGATCAAGAGGTCAGGAGTTTGAGATCAGCTTGGCCAACATGGAGAGACCTCATCTCTACTAAAAATACAAAACTTAGCTAGGCGTGGTAGCACGTACCTATAATCCCAGCTACTCGGGAGGCTGAGGAAGGAGAATCACTTGAACCCAGAAGACAGAGACTGCAGTGAGCTAGACTGTGCAACCATACTCCAGTCTGGGTGACAGAGTCAGACTCTGTCTCCAAAAAAAAAAAAAAAAAAGAACAGATAAACATTGTCAGCCCCTAAGAAAATATCATAGTAAATGGGTCAAAAAGATAAGGTCATTTAACCACCAGAGTATGTTGAAGATAACAGAGAGGGTTTCTATTTTTAGCTCTATTGCTCCAGCCTGTGCGTGGAGAAGGGGCTGTCCATACCTCCCAATCTTCACTACAAGTCCAAGTCATGCATATAAAATAAAAGAATATCCAGAAAGGGCTCTGGGCACTTTTTAAAGTTTTTGACGTAACTCAAAATACAGCAGATAAAATTCATCAACAAAATTCACTATTGGAAACATATCTACCACATACTATGAAGTATTTGTAAGAAAAGAATATACATGTAAAATAAACTGTGCAGGCTGGGTGCAGTGGCTCACGCCTGTAATCCTAGCACTTTGGGAGGCCGAAGCAGGTGTATTACCTGAGGTCAGGAGTTCAAGACCAGACTGGCCAACAAGGTAAAACCCTGGCTCTGCTAATACAAAATTAGCTGGGCATGGTGGCACATACCTGTAGTCTCAGCTACTTGGGAGGCTGAGGCAGGAGAATTGCCTGAAACCGGGAGGTGGAGGTTGCAGTGAGCCAAGATCAGGCCACTGCACTCCAGCCTAGGTGGCAGAGTGAGACTCTGGCTCAAAACTAAAAATAAGAATAAAAAAAGCTACATAAGAAAAAATAAATTTTAAAAATAAATAAAATAAACTACACAGAAAAATATGGAAGACAGACAAAATGTTAACAGTAGTTATTGGTAGGTGGTTGGCAGGATCAAGGGTGATTTTCTTCCTCATTTTTGTCTCCTTTTAATACAGTTAATGTGTATTACTTAATAAAGTTTCTAAAAATTCAGTATAGGTTTAATAAAAACATTGATGGGCAATTTAAGTTTATAAGGTGAACTATCTGGATGAGCTATAGTCAAACATTAATTCATGTTGTCTTTGCATCACACTTACAGAGCATGGACATACCATCTGTACAACATGCAGGGCAAACATTTTCATCCTTGTTTTACAGAAAGGAGAGGTTAGGGTCTGAGAGCAATGACCTGCCTAATAGCCATGGACTGTCAGCGTTGGCCAGAGCTGGGACCATGCCTTCTGAACGGCTGGTCCGGCACTCTTTCTGCTATATGGCTCTCCATCGCAAGACTTTATTATTACTGAGGCCGGGCGTGGTGGCTCACGCCTGCAATCCCAGCACTTAGGAAAGCGGAGGCGGATGGACCACATGAGGTCAGGAGTCCAAGATCACCCTGTCCAACATGGCAAAACCCTGGCCAACATGGCAAAACCCTGTCTCTACTAAAAATACAAAAATTAGCCAGGCGTGGTGGCAGGAGCCTGTAATCCCAGCTACTCAGGAGGCTGAAGCAGGAGAATCACTTGAATCCGGGAGGTGAAGGATACAGTGAGCCTGCATCATAGCACTACACTCCAGTCTGGGCAACAGAGCAAGACTCCGTCTCAAAAAAGAAAAAAAAAAAAAACTTTATTATTATGGAAGTACATGCTCTCTTTTATACTTCAATTCCAAACCCTTAAATACATTGTTAAAGTATAAACGGAAAACAGCACCAAGCCTGTGCCTCCGCGATAAGAAGAAAAATATATAGTCACTGAGATGTGGGGACTCAGGGCGGCAGATGTGTGAGGCTGACTTCTGTCCCAATGCCACAAGCAGGGCTGGTGGTGCTCATTCATTCCTTGACTCGCCACTCAGCCAGAGTCTCTGCAACACCTACTTTGCCAGACAAGGTGCTGGGTGCTGGGAACTCAACAGGGACAGAACAAAGCCTGTGTCTTCATGGAGGACGCACCCAGATGAAGGCTGATCCACCTCTAAGCTGAAGAAACCATCTTCAATGTTCTGAGTCTAGCCCTCAAAGCGATGGATTTCCTCCAGTAACTAAATAGGAAGTGCTGAGTCTTGAAAAGTGTCTTAGACAAGTAATTCTCCCACTTGAATATGCACCTAGGTCACCTGGGGATCTAGGAGGCAGATTCTGATTCAGTAGGCCTGGGGCAGGGCCTGAGACTGCATTTCTTTTTTTGAGACGGTGTCTTGCTCTGTGGCTCAGGCTGGAGTGCACTGGGGCAATCTCAGCTCACTGCAACCTCCGCCTCCCAGGTTCAAGCGATTCTCCTGCCTCAGCCTCCTGAGTAGCTGAGATTACAGGTGCCCACCACCATGCCCAGCTAATTTTTGTATTTTTAGTGGAGACAGGGTTTCGCCATGTTGCCCAGGCTGGTCTCAAACGCCTGACTTTAGGTGATCTGCCCATCTCGGCCTCCCAAAGTGGTGGGATTACAGGTGTGAGTCACCGCACCTGGCCATGAGACTGCATTTCTAACAAGTGTCAGGTGACACTATGCTGCTAGCCTCAGATTACCTTTGATGTGGCAGAACTGCATTAAATCCCCCAGCCTCTGGTCCACTTGTCCTCAACCCAGCATCCTGGTCAACAGACTACACTGCTCCACCCTCAAGCACTGCCTCCTAACAGGAACTTAATTCTTAATCCGAAAGCCTGAAATCGTGCTAAATGTAGGTTTCTTTAGCTCCACTGCAAGGTCAATGGACGGGCAACTGGTAACTACAGTAAGATGCTCCCAGATTTGTTTTTTTCAGGTTTTTTTTTTTCTTGGAGTAGCGGCTAGTATGGCACATAACAGATAGGTCAGTGGAGTGCTGGGGACCCCCAGTGCTAGAACCACGGGTCTGTTCATGTGCACCTGAGGAGGCTCCCCACAAGTCCACTCGACCTGACAAGGGCTCGCTGTGGGGCTGTGTTTCCAGAAAGGGGTCCTGATCCAGACCTCAACAGAGGGTTCTTGGACCTCATGCAAGAAAGAATTTGGGGCAAGTCCACAGAATAATGTGCAAGCAAGCTTATTCAGCAAGTGAAACAGTGAAAGAACACATTACTCTACAGACAGAACAGGGTGTTCCCAAAAGCAAGAGGAGGACCATGTCTACCTTAGGTGCAATGCTTGTTTAGACATAAGACAACAAAGCAAAACAAAGTCACAGGGAGATGTGCCTGCTACAAGGCAAGATTAACGGACAGAGGACCGTTAATCTTTGTAGAACTGCTGTCTTTCACAAGAATCTATGTTATTATCTTTAAGGTGAAACTTATGGCCAGGTGCGGTGGCTCACACCTGTAATCCCAGTACTTTGGGAGGCTGAGGCAGGCGGATCACTTGAGGTCTGGACTTCAAGACCGGCCTGGGCAACAAGGTGAAACCCTGTCTCTACTAAAAATACAAAATTTAGCTGGGCGTGGTGGCGCACACCTGTAATCCCAGCTACTCAGGAGGCTGAGGCACGAGAATCACTTGAACCCGGGAGGCAGAAGCTGCAGTTAGCCAAGATTGTGCCACTGCACTCCAGCGTGGGTGACAGAGCGAGACCCTGTCTTAAATAAATAAATAAAATAAAGTGAACTTATTATTAAACTAAAAATGCTTTTGTTCTTAAGATATAGGGACATCAGGACCTTTCCTGGGTCTGTTTGGTAAACATTAACCTGTTCCCTTAACCATAAACATCCTGTGACTAGGAATACCTAACCTCCTGGGACTGCAGCCCAGCAGGTCTCAGCCAAATTTTACCCAGCCCTTGTTCATCATGGAGTCACTCTGGTTCAAGCACCCCTGGCAGCTCGAAGGTAAGGAACCAATACAAGATGCAATTATACAAACTTGTGAAGAAGCAACAGTGAGGACAGGCGAGAGAGAGTCAAGGAGCAAAAATATCCATGTCCCCCAAGCTCTTCAGTGACCCCACAAGAGAGGTGTGACAGTCACTACCAAGGTGTTCCAACCAACGGCTCTCACCTACTCGGAGCTCACCCAGCAGCCTCCCTGGAAAGCCTTCCCCTAGGGTAGGGGTAGGCTAACTTTCTCTGCAAAGGACCAGAAAGTAAATATTTTTGGCTTTGCAGGCCAGGCCATCTCTCTCACAACTATTCAACTCTGCCACTGTATCTTGAAAGCAGCCAGTCACCAAGTACTTGCATTTTTCTAAGAGATGGTTGAATTATTTTTGTCTCTCCTTTTATCATTCCTCTGGTTCCCCGCTTCCTGCTTAGCCCTTGAGAAACACAAATATAGCCTTTTACCCGCCCCTCCTTCACCAGACACTCCCTACAGGGCAAGTTCACCTAACTCCTCAAGAGTTAAGAGTTGATTTACAGACCAAAGCATGCCCAATACAGAACTCTCACCTGCCAGGAGGTTGCCTTGAGAGATACTAGTCAAAAAGCATGCCTGCTACTCCCTCCCACCTGGGGAGTTTTTGGCCTAGTCCTGCCCACAAAGATGCCAGCAGTCACCAGCTCAACCGACAGACAGCACAGTAGATAAGACACCAAGCTAACACGTGGACACCCCACCTTGCTTGCTTCCTCCCCTGCCTTTTAAAAGTGCCCACTTTCTGCTCCAAAAGCAAAGCAGTACATCTAAAGGTGGGATGCCTGTGTTTCTTCCCCTAAGCAACTTGGAAATAAATCACTTTCTTTGTACCAGATCTTGCTCTTGTTAATTGGACTCTGGAAGTGATGAATTACTAACCCATGAGCCAGTTACAGCCAGAGACAATATATAAACAAAAGAATAGGTTATGTTCCAATAAAACTTTATCTATAAAATAGGTGGTTTGTTTGGCCCATAGGTCATAGGTTGCTGACCCTGTCTGAGGGAGTGAGAAGATGCCCCCAGACCACATGGCAGGCACAGCCTGGCTGTTACTGTCATCTTTTATCAGCAATAAATGGGTTCCCTAGTTTGCACACCTGTTTATTCTGAGTTTCGTTCATATGACATAGTCTCAAAGAGCGTCATTCCTCTGGGGGCAATGGTGTGTGACTTTTACCCCCTCATATTTAGGAGAAAAATGAATAAATAAAATACCAGAAACAAACGGTTGACCTGACTGTGAACAACAGAACGGACACCACCTACTTATCCACCTAAATTAGCAAACACACAGCAGGCACCAAAAAAGCACCACTTGGTTATTTTTACAAAATCGAGTTAATCCTTCATTCTTCTAATCCTCTGTGAGAAAAGTGCCCTACTGATACAGAAAATGACATTTTCTTTTTCTTTTTTTTTTTTTTGAGACAGAGTCTTGCTCGGTTGCCCAGGCTGGAGTGCAGTGGCGCTATCTCGGCTCACTGCAAGCTCTGCCTCGCAGGTTCACACCATTCTCCTGCCTCAGCCTCCCGAGCAGCTGGGACTACAGGCGCCACCACCATGCCTGGCTAATTTTTTTGTATTTTTAGTAGAGATGGGGTTTCACCGTGTTAGCCAGGATGGTCTCGATCTCCTGACCTCATGATCTGCCTGTCTCAGCCTCCCAAAGTGCTGGGATTACAGGCGTGAGCCACCGCGCCCAGCCAAAAAAAATGACATTTTCATAGTCTCTACTTGGTGATGGTCCTGCTCCATCGTTCTTTTTTCTTATAAACACAGAGTCGTGATTCCCTGACTACAACGCTATATTAAAAGCCTCACATTACGTTGCCGAATAGAAAATGCTACTTTAAAAACCACATACATGGCCGGGCACAGTGGCTCATGCCTGTAATCCCAGCACTTTGGGAGGCCGAGGTGGGCAGATCGTGAGGTCAAGAGATTGAGACCATCCTGGCCAACAGGGTGAAACCCTGTCTCTACTAATAATACAAAAATTAGCTGGGCGTGGTGGTATGTACCTGTAGTCCCAGCTACTCTGGAGGCTGAGGCAGGGGAATCGCTTGGACCTGGGAGGCAGAGGTTGCAGTGAGCCAAGATCGCACCACTGCACTCCAGCCTGGTGACAGAGCAAGACTCTGTCTCAAAAAAAAAAAAAACAAAAAAAACCCCACATACACTAACACTATTTTGGGAAACACATAAAAATAGAAAGGCCTGGGGTGAAGAGAGACACAAAAGTAAAATAATCATTCCATTACCCTTGGCAATGAACATGCCTCAAAGTAGCTACCTTACATGCTAATTTCCTATGGGCATTTATTGTATGATTTTTGACAAAGTCAAGGTATCAAAACAAAGTCACCAATAATCTGGCAGCATCCCTATGATTCCTGGTTTATCAAAGTGAAAAACTGACAAAAAAGTGAACGACGCCGGCTAAACTACTCATTCTTTGTGACTCTGCTGTTTTTGGCTGTGGCTCTCCAGGGTCCCCATTACACAGGCCTCATCTCACAGAGGCATCATCATCATCTACCTCCTCTCCTTTAACTTCCTCTCCTCCTATCTACTCTCTCCTACATTCACCCCCACCCCGAATCCATCCAACAAACACGGACTGAGCACCTGCTAGCTGCTCACAGGCACTGAACAGTGAACCAAACAGACAAAACTCTTCGTGGAGGTGGCATTCCAGAGAGAAGAGACAGACCATTTAAAAACATAGGTTGTCAGATAGTGATGACAGTGATGGACAAAAATAAGGCAGGAGAGGGAGGGAGTCCCACTAGGAGTGGGAGGTGTCATTTGTAAAAGGGGAAGAAACTATGGAGGTGAGGGCACCAGACCATATATTAGGGCAAACCACTGGAAGCAACATAAATGTCTAGCTGGATCAATTACAGTACAGCCTTATGGTGGGATACTGTGAAGGCTTTAAAAAGAACCTAAGGCAGATCGTAACGTGCCAAGACTGGAAAGATCTCCCCCAGGGGCGCTGTTGGGACACATGCATCGTCTGCTAACCACGTGCAGGGAGAAGACAACACAGACAGTCGTTGCCCCAGCCAGGGGAGATCAGAGAGAAAGACTCCCAGCTGGGCACGGTGGCTCACGCCTGTAATCCCAGCACTTTGGAAGGCCGAGTTCGGAGGATCACCTGAGGTCGGGAGTTCAAGACCAGCCTGACCAAGGAGAAACCCCCGTCTCTACTAAAAATACAAAATTAGCTGGGCGTGGTTGTACATGCCTGTAATCCCAGCTACTCGGGAGGCTGAAGCATGAGAATCACTTGAACCCGGGAGGCAGAGGTTGCAGTGAGGCGAGATCGCGCCATTGCACTCCAGCCTGGGCAACAAGAGCAAAACTCCGTCTCAAAAAAAGAAAGAAAGAAAGAAAGACTCCCAGAGACTGGGATGTGTTGCGGAGTGGCACAGAGTGGCACATTTGTGGGTTATCTACTATGGACCACACAACGTGCAAGACACTTTATTCACACCATCCTCACAACAGTTCTCTGTAAGCAAGGATCCCCACTCCCTTCAGACAGGTGAGAAAACTGAGGCTCAGAAAGGTAGAGAAACTTGGTGGTCAGTGGCACTGCTGGGACCACGCAGATCTGACGGCAAAGACTGTGTTTGTTCCACTACATCACCTGCTTGTCACACAAAGAAAGAGTTGCTTATGTGAAAGTCTGGGAGGCCCCGGAACCACAGGCACTGCACCCTGCACCCCAGGGCCCGAGCACAGAGCAGGCCCTCACAGTTTCCTCCGGCAGTAGGACACCCACGGTGCTCTTTCGTGCCCTACTATTTTAAGGCACTGGTGGGCTTGCTGCATAAACAGCTCTTGTCTTAGAAGAGCCTATCAATGGAGTATCTGAGCTACACAAAGTCAAAGTCAATGAACAAGCCTTTACAGACTTCACCAGCCTCCAATGACAAGTCCTCTGCTGTTCCCACTCGGACTTCATCCCTGCTCAGGTTACAGGGCTATACCAGGTCAGTAATTCACTTAAAAGACTTCACTTGGGGCCGGGTGCAGTGGCTCATGCCTGTAATCCCAGCATTTTGGGAGGCCGAGACGGGTTGATCACTTGACGCCAGGAGTTCGAGACCAGCCTGGCCAACATGGTGAAACCCCATCTCTACTAAAAATACAAAAATTAGCCAAGTATGGTGGCACACACCTGTAATCCCAGCTACTCGGGAGGCTGAGGCAGGAGAATTGCTTGAACCCGGGAGGCAGAGGTTGCAGTGAGCCAAGATTGTGCCACTGCACTCCAGCCTGGGCAACAGAGTAAGACCCTGTCAAGAAAAGAAAAAAAAAAAAAAGACTTCACTTGGATCCAAGAAATGTACCATCAAGTCAGGTTTAATCCATTTGAGAAGTTTGGGATGCAGTGCCCATTCCAGATAAATTATCACCAACAATGCAAGTAATAAGGTCAAGTTCACAGGGCCATCTAAGTAGCAGAGTCAAGTTCACATCCAGGTCTGATACCAAAGCCTACACCTTAACCACCATCAGGAGTGACCCCTCAGTGCCAGCTACTGGCTCTGGGTTAGACACAGAAGACCATCAAAGCCAAGCAAAGCAGCTAGTTAGACAATGAAATCTGTAAAGAGCCTTCCAAACCTAAAGGTTTTGATCCTACTCTCTGCTTTCTAGGGGTTTAAAATAAAATCATCCTGAAGGCCAGGCACGGGGGCTCACACCTGTAATCTTAGCACTTCAGGAGGCCGAGGCGGGCAGATCATTTAGGTCAGGAGTTTGAAACCAGCCTGGCCAACATGGTGAAACCCCGTCTCTACTAAAAATACAAAAATTACCTGGGCATGCTACCTGTGCGTGGTGGTGGGCACCTGTAATCCCAGCTACTCGGGAGGCTGAGGCAGGAGAATGGCTTGAACCTGGGAAGCAGCGGTTGCAGTGAGCTGAGATTGTGCCACTGCACTCCAGCCTGGGCAACAGAGTGAGACTCCACCTAATAAAAAGAATAAAATCATCCTGCAAGGTTTTTCGGCTGACAATGTGCAGAAGAAATAAGGACAGGTGACAAGAACTGTCTCCTTGACCAAACCTTAGTCAGGCTCCACTGAGCCCTCTTCTCCACAAGGCCTTGGTCTGCCAGGTCCAGTTTTAGCAAGAATCCAGAAGAGAATCTCTCACCCTCGATATCTAATGAAGTTCCTCTTAGTAATATTCTATTGATGGGGTTCAGGACCCACTACCTCAAAAAATGGCACCTTAGTATACTGAATATTTTAAGGAATTCCACTAACCCCCCCTCACCTTGCCCATGGGCTATAAATCCCCAGCTGACCTTGCCATCCTAGAGCTGAGCTCCATTCCATACTGAAGTCTCTCTCTCCTATTGCAGTAGCTAAAAGAAAATGTCTTGCTGTTTTTTGTTTTGCTTTTTTTTTTTTTCTTTTTTTTTGAGACAGAGTCTCACTCTGTCGTCCAGAATGGAGTGCAATGGAGTGATCTCAGCTCACTGCAACCTCCACCTCCCAGGCTCAAGCGATTCTCATGCGTCAGCCTCCAGAGTAGCTGAGATTACAGGCATACACCACCATGCCAGCTAATTTTTGTATTTTTAGGTTTTGCCATGTTGGCCAGGCTGGTCTCGAGTTCCTGGCCTCAAGTGATGCACCTGCCTTAGCCTCCCAAAGTGCTGGGATTACAGATGTGAGCCACTGCACCCAGCCTGTCTTGCTGTTTTTAAAAAATACCCATGCGTGGCACACTGGCATATGCCTGCAGTCCCAGCTACTTAGGAGGCTGAGGTAGAAGGATTGCTAGAGCCTGGAAGTTTGGGACCAACGTGGGCAACACAATGAGATCCTGTGTCAAACAGAAAAAAATTTAAGAAGCATTGGATACAGGCTGGGCGTGGTGGCTCGTGCCTGTAATCTCAACACTTTGGGAGGCCAAGGAAGGAGGATCACTCAAACCCAGTAGTTCCAGACCAGCCTGGGCAACATAGGGAGACTCTGTCTCTGCAAATACAGCCAGCATGATGGTGCATACCTGTGGTCCCAGCTACTCAAGGGGCTGAGCGGGGAGGATCACTTGAGCCCGGGAAGTCAAGGCTATAGTGAACCATCCGGCCTGGGTGAGAGAGCGAGACCTCTGTCCTCTGTCTCAAAAAAAAAAAAAAAAAACATCTGATGCAATTTTTCTTTAACAAAAGATATAGCTACTAACTCAGGGGAGACCCTTCCTCTCTCTGGGCCTTCACAGTCCATCTGTGAAATGAGATGGTAGAGCTTATTAAAGGGTCATTCAGTCCTTTAAATCCTTTGATTTTCTGGCTAAAGAATGGGATTAAAACAAAATCCAGGGCCGGGCAGTGGCTCACGCCTGTAATCCCAGCACTTTGGGAGGCCAAGGCGGGTGGATCACGAGGTCAGGAGATCGAGACCATCCTGACTAACACAGTGAAACTCCATCTCTACTAAAAATACAAAAAAAATTAGCCAGGCGTGGTGGCGGGCACCGATAGTCCCACCTACTCGGGAGGCTGAGGCAGGAGAATGGCGTGCACCCGGGAGGCGGAGCTTGCAGTGAGCCAGGATTGCCCCACTGCACTCCAGCCTGGGCAACAAAGCGAGACTCCGTCTCAAAAAAAAAAAAATCCAGGCCTGGTGTGGTGGCTTGCGCCTGTAATTCGAACACTTTGAGAGGCCAAGGTGGGTGGATCACTTGAAGCCAGGAGTTCAAGACCAGCCTGGCCAACATGCGAAACCCCATCTCTACTAAAAATACAAAAATTAGCCAGGCATGGTAGCATGCACCTGTAATCCCAGCTACTCGGGAGGCTGAGACATGAGAACTGCTTGAGTCCTGGAGGCAGAGGTTGCAGTGAGCCGAGATCAAACCACAGCACTCCTAAGCTGGGCAGCAGAGGGAGACTCTGTCTCAAAAAAAAAAAAAAAAAATTATCGTTATCATCATCATCATCCAACTAGATCTTAACTCAGATGAAAAATCTAGGCCAGGAGCAGTGGCTCATGCCTGTAATCCCAGCACTTGGAAAGGTTGAGGTGGGCGGATTACAAGGTCAAGAGATCAATACCATCCTGGCGAACATGGTGAAACCCCGTCTCTACTAAAAATACAAAAATCAGCTGGGTGTGGTGGCATGTGCCTGTAATCCCAGCTACTCGGGAGGCTGAGGAAGGAGAATCGCTTGAACCCGGGAGGAAGAGGTTGCAGTGAGCCGAGATCGCGCCACTGCACTCCAGCCTGGTGACAGGGTAAGCTCTGTCTCCAAAAAGAAAAAAAAAAAGAAAAAGAAAAATCTATTTTACTCAGCTTCGTTTATTGTTGTTTTTTCCTACAGAGAAAATATGATTCATTGGCAAACTAGCTTCTAGATTAGAGCATACTCTTCACGGTTATCTAATTCTAATTTATAGGAGTTATTTTATAATTCTGCATACTATGGGTAACAGCAATGCAAATAATTCTAGTCTAGACAGGCAAATGCATGTTACCAAATGTAGGTTCATTTGACTTCCTTCCCCCTCTGTAGAGAGGCCAGTTTTGTCTTTCATTTGCAAATTCAATTCAGTATTTCTAATCTACAAATTGGCTGTACTTTGCAGTCTCCAATACCTCATTAATGAGTTAAATAAAATCCTTAACACATGTTCAGTTTTACATTTTACAGAGTAATGACTTTATCTTTTTTTTAAGGAAATTATCCTTTAGTTTTTTTTTTTTTTTTTTGAGACGGAGTTTCGCTCTTGTTGCCCAGGCTGGAGTGCAACGGCACGATCTTGGCTCACCACAACCTCCACCTCCCAGGTTCAAGCAATTCTCCTGCCTCAGCCTCCCAAGTAGCTGGGATTACAGGCATGCACCACCACGCCCGGCTAATTTTTTGTATTTTTAGTAGAGACGGGGTTTCTCCATGTTGAGGCTGGTCTTGAACTCCTGACCTCAGGTGATCCGCCCGGCTCAGCCTCCCAAAGTGCTGGCATTACAGGTGTGAGCCACCGCGCCTGGCCTATCTTTTAGTATTATGGAAAGTATAAGCAAGTAACACGTATTTCAAAAGAAGCAGTCAAAAAATGTTTTTAATCTATTAATGGTTAGAACTTAGGTTTCTAGGAAAGGAAATTTGGGTCAACGGTGGGCACAGTGTCTCCTGCCTGTAATCCCAGTACTCTGGGAGGCCGAAGCCAGAGGGTCACTTGGGCCCAGGAGTTTGAGACTGGCCTGGGCAAGATAGTGAGACCCAGTCTCTACAAAAAACAAAAAAATTTAAAAATCCAAAAATGTCGCTCAATGCTTAATAACTTCTCCACATTTTAATTTTTAATGCTTATTTGGCATTTGAGTTTTCTTTCACCCAACTTACTATTTTTGAAACCTGGGACCAGTGCAGTTTGCAGCCTTTTCCCAAAATGACTGAGCCTAACTTTTTATAGCTACATGTTAACTCAAGTTAAATTTTTACTTTAACTTTTACTTCAAGAAATTGAAGGGTGGACATTAACCTATAGAAATGTACAAAGAATAACATAAAACACCACTTACCTATCATCCAGACCATTCTCTGTTATTTTATAAACCCACTCATCTTTTTTCCACATTACAGACGAAATTGTTCCTTCTGTCCCATCCCATCCTCCCCACACTGCAAAGTTATCACTATCCTAAATTAGCATTTCTTTCCAATCGATTTATTATAAAAAGATACATACCCACTCTACAAGCATTCCCCTAGTAATGGACATTTAGGCTGTTTCCAATTTTTTAAACCATTATAAACAGTGTTGCCACAAACAACCCTAATATCCTGCCCCTTGTATACAAATGTCTCTGGCTTCTTAGTATTTTCTAGAAGTGGAACCACTGATCTTAAGATATATCCAATCTGCTAGTGGCTACACTGCTCAAAGATACACTTGCAACCCATAGTGAAGGAGAATCTCATTTTCTTTTTTTTTTTGAGATGGCATGTCCCTCTCTGGCCAGGCTGGAGTGCAGTGGCGCCATCTCGGCTCACTGCAACCTCCGGCTCCCTGGTTCAAGCAATTCTCCTGCCTCAGCCTCCCGAGTAGCTGGGATTACAGGCACGTGCCACCACACCTAGCTAATTTCTGTATTTTTTAGTAGATACGGGGTTTCACCATGTTGGCCAGGATGGTCTTGATCTCCTGACGTCATGATCCGCCCGCCTCGGCCTCCCAAAGTGCTGCGATTACAGGCACGAGCCACCGCGCCCAGCGAGAATCTCATTTTCTTCAAACGCTTATCATCTCTTGATAGTGTCAAACTTTGCAATTCCTAATCTGATGAACATACAATGATCTAATTATAGTTTCAATGTGCATTTCCTGGATTACAAGAAAATTTGAGTCTTATCATATGATTATTTAACCATTCAGATTTCGATACCCTCAGTACATGTGACAACTTCCCCCTGATAAACTGGGATTCCAATTATGGTCTGCAAAGCAACTTGTGCAGTTAAAAAAAAAGAATATGCTGGACATTTCTTCAAAAGATAGTCATCGGCTGGAAACCTCAAGAGACAGAGTTTACTTCTACATATTTCTTACTGATTAATGCTGTGGTATGGTGTATTCTACCTCCTTAGAGCTATCAAATCTTTTCTCCTCCCGTCCCACTGCAACTGTCTTTAAAACCCTTGTAATTCTCCTGGGGATTACTGCAATGACCTCCGTATCCTTAGTGTGGCCTTTCTCCAACACTTTTCCACACTACAGAGTATCTGAGATACAGATCTACAGTAAATGTGGCTTCCTGGACATTCAGGATAAACTCCAAATCTCTCACAGCAGCACAGGAAGCCCTGGAAGATGTACCCCTCTATTCTCACACTCATAAAATCCCACCACCAGCCGGGCGCGGTGGCTCACGCCTGTAATCTCAGCACTTTGGGAGGCCGAGGGGGGTGGATCATGAGGTCAGCAGATCGAGACCATCCTGGCTAACACGGTGAAACCCCGTCTCTGCTAAAAATACAAAAAATTAGCCGGGCGTGGTGGCGGGCGCCTGTAGTCCTAGCTACTCGGGAGGCCGAGGCAGGAGAATGGCGTGGACCTGGGAGGCGGAGCTTGCAGTGAGCCGAGATAGCGCCACTGCACTCCAGCCTGGGCGACAGAGCGAGACTCCGTCTCAAAAAAAAAAAAAAAAAAAAATCTACCACCCACATGAAATCCCTTTACTGCACCAGACTCCACGACTCCAGTGCAAAAAGCATTGCTCTTTCTCTGCCTTCATCATGCTGTTTTCCAGATGAAACACTTTTCTCTTCCTTCATCTCACTAGGTTCTGCCCAGCCCTCAAACTCCAAGGCGAGACGTGGTGACTCATGCCTGTAATCCCAGCACTTTGGGAGGCTGAGGCGGGCGGATCACTTGTCAGGAGTTCGAGACCAGTCTGGCCAACATGGTGAAACCTCGTCTCTACTAAAAACACAAAAATTAGCCGGGCATGGTGGCAGGTGCCTGTAATCCCAGAACTCGGGAGGCTGAGACAGAAGAATCACTTGAACCGGAAAGGTGGAGGTTGCAGTGAGCCGAGATCGCACCACTGCACTCCAGCCTGGGCGACGGAGCGAGACTCCGTCTCAAAAACAAAACAAAACAAACAAACAGAAAAACACATAAACTCCACTCAAGCCTCCCCACCTCTGCGAAGTCTCAACCTCTCCCACAAGTTAGGGTTAGATGCTGCCCCTGTACACACGTGTATACTCCAGCCCTTTAACACTGGAACTGTTCACTAGAGATTGTCTCTCCCCTTTATGAAACAATCTCTGCTCAAAAAGCTTAGTAAGGCTCGAAAATGTTTGCTATGCAAGTCCCAGAGTAAAGAAAGCTGGGCTACTCCATTCACCACATACCACAGGGCTAGTCAACTACCCTGGGCACTCCTTTTCATCTATAAAACAAAGCACGCGACACAAAGTTTCTTCTTCCAGCCCCCAGATACTATAATGCTTGGCATAGAACACTCCACGTAGGTATAACCTCAAATCAAATAGGGACGGGAAAGGAAACCAGTTAACTTTCACTTCCAAGATTGAAGCGGGTGGTCCTGAAACTCTCACCAGCTCAAACCTCCCAGAACCAGAGCTTCCCTGACTTCTCTAAATAGATGTCTTTATAAGCTTGGGTATTTCTGTTGTCGTCGTTAATAGCCCTTTCCCACGGGTGCAATCCTCCACATTAAGAACATCAAAAGTCTGAACTGTTCCTAGGTCGTAAAGGCTGGAACCAAGCCCCAGTCCCAGTAGGGGCCCTTGGCTGCGGGATCTCAGCAAATCCCGTCTCCTCCCGCGCCTCAGTTTCCCCCTCCAGAGCACTGAGCCCTTCCAGCCACAACACGCGTGAGAAACGAGAAACCTCCACCCCCAGCCCCACCAAGCAGAGGCCACAGGGTTTCCCTTCCCTCGGGATTCACTGTTTCCTGAAATTCCCCCTCGCACGGTGAGAAACTGATTACTCAGAAAGGGACGGGAAAAATGAAAATCCCAGCCCTGAGGTCGAGAGCCTGAGAGAGCAGACGGGAGGCCCTGGCCTCGGGCGTGGGGACTGAACCCGGTTCTGTGCTGGGGCTCGCGGTTACCTGTGGCAGGCGACCGTGGTGGCAGTGGTGGCGGCGGCGGCGGTGAGTGACCGCGGTGGTGGCGCCGGCGGGACCGTGAGAACTCGCGGCGGCTCGCAGCCTCACACCAAACACCCACGACGTCGGCACTGCTGTGATTGCTGCGGGCGCCGCCGCTCCTCGCTTAAGGGCCACTGTGCCGCGGTGACTGGTGGAGCTATGGGGCGTGGCATCTGCCAAAACCAATGGGAGGAGAGGACGAGGCCGGCGAGCCAAAGGGACTACAAATCCCAGTGTGCATGGGCAGGGGCTTCTGGGCTGGGCGCGGGGGTGGAGGGGCAGTAGTTGCGCACTGAAGTGAGGTGGGGAATCCGAGGTACTTGAGGTCTGGGGGCGCGGTGATTCCAGAAGCATCTACCGAAAGATCATACCAGCTCTTGGAGCAAACCTGTCCGCACATTGGAGCCACTTAGGAAAGCCTCAAAAATACTGATGCCCCTGTGAAAATAAAATTGAAAAGCTGTTGGAACCCCCCCACCGAAAAAATATTTTAAGCCTTGAACTGACTGTAATGTCAGTCACGTATGCTTACAACTTCTATTCCCACATTATATTCTCGCTTTCTTTTATTGAACGATGTCTAGGAAGAATTAAACGGCTTCAGGGACAAAAGCTCCTGCCTTGTTAAGTAATGAACCTTGTTATAGATTATAACTTCTTCCCTCTGTTATCCTGTTTTGCTTAGACCAGAGACATAAAACCTATGATTATTACACCCTATGTAAAAAATGTTCAATGTTCCCTTCCCAAAAAGAAACCAATAACCAATCAAATTGCTGTACCTGTGTGCCAACCTTGTAGGAATACTGTTATCCTGCTCAAAATTCCTATCTCTACCTATATAAATGAAACCTTAACTTCCCTATTTTAGAATGCCAAATCCATTCCTTTGGAGTTGGTGTTTCTGGGTGGTCCATCCTCACACTTTACGCCTAAATAAACTCTTCTTTTAGGTTGACACCTCCGCCTTACCCCCAGGAATTGTGATTTTGTTGGTTTGTATGTGGTCTGGGTTTTGGAATCTTTAGAAAGCCTCAGGTGATTTGGACCCGTTTAGTCCCCATAACAACCCTTTGAGAGAGAAAGACAGTTATTGTCACCCAAGCTTTACAGATAGGGCAACTGAGGGAGGTTAAGTCAGGGAGGTTAAGTTAATTTTGCAAAGGTCACATATGTCTTAAGTGTCAGAGCCAGAACTATGACCTAAGCAGTATGGTTCCAGAATCCCAACCTCTTACTTCCTTCACAATGCTACTTCTCAAATGTTTGGTGGCATTGCCTCCCAAGAAACTTGAGAGAAAAACAAACTACGATCCATTCGAGTGCCATGTAGTGAGGCTCAGTCAATTGAGTTAAATGGAATTAATGTGATGTAGTATGTGCACTCCTGCTCAAGGACATTCCAGCACAAGAGTTCGGGCTACCTTCATGGGTTGTCTCATGTGGTCTTCTTCTACAATCTTTTTTTTACAGTAAGTTATAGATCAGCACACTGCTGTCACCTATTTTTGTAAATAAAAGCTTATAAGAACACAGCCACACCCATTGACTTAGGTATTATTGAGAGGTGAAGCCAGCTGGGCTTCTGGGTCAGGTGGGGACTTGGAGAACTTTTCTGTCTAGCTAAAGGATTGTAAACACACCAATCAGTGCTCTGTGTCTAGCTAAAGGTTTGTAAATGCACCAATCAGCACTCTGTAAAAACACACCAATCAGTGCTGTGTCTAGCTAAAGATTTATAAATGCACCAATCAGCACTCTGTAAAAACGGACCAATCAGTACTCTGTAAAATGGGCCAATCAGCAGGATGTGGGTGGGGCCAAATAAGAGTATAAGAGCTGGCCACCCGAGACAGCAGCGGCAACCTGTTGGGGTCCTGTTCTGTGCTGTGGAATGTTTGTTCTTTTGGTTTTTGCAGTGAATCTTGCTGCTGCTCACTCTTCGGGTCTGCACTACCTTTATGAGCTGCAATACTCACTGTGAAGGTCTGCAGCTTCACTCCTGAAGCCAGGGAGACCACAAGCCCACCGGGAGGAACAAACAACTCCGGACCTGCCACCTTTAACAGCTGTAACACTCACTGCCAAGGTCTGCGGCTTCACTCCTGAAGTCAGTGAGACCACGAACCCACCAGAAGGAAGAAACTCAGGAAACAGCTGAACATCTGAAGGAACGAACTCCAGACACACCGTCTTTAAGAACTGTAACTCACGGGCACGGTGGCTCATGCCTATGATCCCAGCACTTTGGGAGGCTGAGACGGGCGGATCATGAGGTCAGGAGACCATCCTGGCTAACATGGTGAAATCCCATCTCTACTAAAAATACAAAAAAAAATAGCTGGGCGTGGTGGCGGGCGCCTGTAGTCCCAGCTACTGGGGAGGGTGAGGCAGGAGAATGGTGTGAACCTGGGAGGTGGAGCTTGCAGTGAGCCGAGATGGCGCCACTGCACTCCAGTCTGGGCGACAGAGCAAGACTCAGTTTCTTGGTTTGGTTTCGTTTTTAGAGGAACACTCACCGTGAGGGTCTGCAGCTTCTTTCTTGAAGACAGCGAGACCAAGAACCCACAGAAGGAACCAATTCCGGACACATTATCTCTGGCTATTTTTACAAATAACACAGAGTTGAGTATTAATAGCTATGTGAGAAGCCTTATGGCCCACAAAGCTGAAAATGTCTGCTGTCTGACTCTTCACACAAGGGAAGTTGCCAAGCCCTGGGTTAAGTACATGGTCCAGCATCATAGCTTCAAAGTGACCTTGGGCTTCAAGCCCAGGTCTGCCCAAGTCCTTTGCCAACTCTCATGAGTGCTATGCTTTCGCAGTCTTCTGCAATGGGGAGCATCAGGAGTTCATTCATCTGTTTATTCCACAGCACATTTAGTAGGTGCACGTTTTATGCCAGGTGCAGCTGAGCATTGAGATGAAAAGGAGTTTGTTCCTTCCCCTCAGGAATTCACTGTCTAGGAAGTGAGGCAGAGTGTGTCCTTAACCAATCCCTAATTGAGAATAAATCCTGGCTTTTGCCTGATTAAGGCTTTAACGGTTGAAGTTGGGATAAAAATAGTAGCCTGCAGCTGGGTGCAGTGGCTAATTCCCGTAATCCCATCACTTTGGGAGGCTAAGACAGGAGGATTGCTTGAGGCCAGGAATTCAAGACCAGTCTGGGCAATATAGTGAGACCTTGTCTCTATCAAAAATTTAAAAAATCAGCCGCATGTGATGGTGCACGCCTGTAGTCCCAACTAATTAGGAGGCTGAGGCAGGAACATTACTTGAGCCTGGGAGCTAGAGGCTACAGTGAGCTATGATCGTACTACTGCACTCCAGCCTGGGCAACGGTGAGACCATGTCTCTAAATAAAAACAGTAGCCTGATGCCTGGCATGTTTAAGCAAACACAGGACAAGAGATAACCCTCTTGGTCCCCCTCAGCAACAGTGTGGGCTGAGAGCTCAAAGTGTGAACAAGACAGGGTGGCTGCAAGTTGTGGGCTAATGGGAGGGGTTACTGGAGGTTGCCACGGTGATGGTGCAGGCTAGCCCCAAAAGAGGCTTAGGCCAGCAGCAGGGAGGAGGCTGAGATGAGAGAGGCCTGGAGTAGGGGTCGGGTGCATATGTTGAGCTCTGCAATCAAGGTACCTGGATTCAAATCCCAACTCTACCACTTACAAGCTGTGTGAGCTGAGCAAGTTACTTAGTTTCTCAGCGCCTGGTTTTTCCCAAGTGTAAAATGGAAAAAACAATACCTACTTCATAAGGTCTCTCTGTGGATTAAATTTGTTCACGCAGTGCTTAGACCAAGTCAGTGCCCCATACTCATTAGCTACTCCCTGGGTTCAGAGGATCCCTTTGGCTGCTGGGTTGTAACTTGAGAATTCCACTGAGGAAAACAAGGCAGGAATCTGTGGCCTTGGGAAGTGCCCGTGCTCCTGTTTCTGCTCATGGGATGACAGTACAGTGTAGAAAGTGCTGAGCTCACAGGAAACACCAGGAGCAGAGGTGGGCACTGAAATAGCCCTGGGTGGCAGGAAGGGGGAGGTGGCAGGAAGGTGGCAGGTTCCCTGTGTTTAGATAGGCATGAGGACCTCTCCATCAAATGCCCCCAGCAGAATTCTCACAAGAAAAGTCATGTCTGGGACTTTTGCTACCATATCATGCAACCAGAGGTTAGTGAGACTGGTGCCAGGTATGAATAAGTGACATCATGAGAATGTGGCAGATAACTGATCAGCAGAGACAATAGCACCAAGGAGTAATTTCAGAATAAGAATCTTTTAAAAAAATCTAATAATGAGGCTGGGCTCGGTGGCTCACACCTGTAATCTCAGCACTTTGGGAGGCTGAGGTGGCAGATCACCTGAGGTCAGGAGTTCAAGACCAGCCTGACCAACATGGTGAAATCCCGTCTCTACTAAAAATACAAAAAATTAGCCACGCGTGGTGGCGCGTGCCTGTAATCCCAGCTACTAGGGAGGCTGAGGCAGGAGAATTGCTTGAACCCAGGAGGCAGAAGTTGCAATGAGCTGAATCACACCACTGCACTCTAGCCTGTCTCAAAAAAGAAAAATCTAATAATGGGAGATTGAGAGGTTAAGATTATAAAGCAACAACAATTGGAGAGTGTGAAATGTATTGGTTAGGTTTAGAGAAGAGTTTCTCTACCTGATATGGTTTGGATCTGTGTCCCCACCAAATCTCATGTTGAATTGTAATCCCCAAGGTTGGAGGTAGGGCCTGGTGGGAGGTGACTGAATCATAGGGATGGTTTCTCATGAATGGTTTAGCACCATCTTCCTTGGTACTGTTCTGGAGATAGTAAGTTCTCCCGAGGTCAGATCATTTAAAAGTGCATGGCACCTCCCTGCTCTCTCTCTTCCTCCTGCGTCAGCCATGTGAAGTGCTGGTTCCCCCTTTGCCTTCCGCCATGATTGGGAGCTTCCTGAGGAATCCCCAGAAGCAGAAGTCAATGTGTTTCCTGTACAGCTTGCAGAACCGTGAGCCAATTAAACCTCTTTTATTTATAAATTACCCAGTCTCGGGTATTTCTTTATGGCAGTGTGAGAACTAATACACTACCTCAGCACTATGGACATTTGGGAGTGGGTAATTCTTTGCTTTTGTTTTTGTGGGTTTCTGTTTGGTTTGGTTTTGGGGGGTGTTGATTCTTGGTTGTCGGGGGAGCTGTACTGTGTATTGCAGAGTGTTTAGTAGCATCCCTGGCCTCTGCCCACCTGACGATACTAGCATCCCTCCTCCGAGTTGTTAGAACCAAAAATGCCTTCAGACAGTCCCAAAAATACCCTGGAGGTGGGCAAAATGTGCGCCACACCCCCCATGTTGAGAACCACTGGTTTCTAGAGGGAGTTAACATATTCATTCATTCATTTCACTTGATGTAATGATTAGAGGTGAGGGCTCTGGGCTGGGCGCGGTGGCTCACGCCTGTAATCCCAGCACTTTGGAAGGCTGAGGTGGGCAGATCACTTGAGCTCAGGATCAAGACCAGCCTGGGCAACATGGTGAAACCCCATCTTTACTAAAAATACAAAAATCTAGCTGGGTGTGGTGGTGTGCACCTGTAGTCCCAGCTACTCAAGAGGCTGAGGCAGGAGAATTGCTTGAGCCCAGGAGGCGGAGGTTGCAATGAGCTGAGATCACGCCACTGCACTCCAGCCTGGGCAACAGAGCAAGTCTTTGCCTCCAAAAAGTAAAATAAAATTTAAAAAATAAAGGTGTGGGCTCTGGATCCAGATTGCGTGGGTTTATATTCCAGCTCTGGCAATTACTGACTGTGTTACCTTGGACAATTATTATACCTGTCTATGCTTCAGGTTCTTCATTTATAAAATAGGAAATCATAGTTACAGTGCTCTATTTCATTGGGTTGTTGCAAATATGAAATGAGTTAGTATATGTAAAAAAAAAAAAAAACCTAAGAACAGGGTCTAACCATGTGTCAGCTGCTTACCAAGTGCATAAGTATCAGCCACTCGCCTCCTCTCTCAGGGTTGCCACAGTCAATTCTCCCCACCATAGATGGAGTCAAATGTGAATATTTCAATTGAAGTATAAAATATAGGGGAAAATGCTCAAACTATAAATGCATGGCTCAATAAATAAAATTTCAGAAAATGAAACACCCAGATAATCAACACTCAGAAAATTGAGCCTAGGAGCACTCCAGAAGTTTCCCTTGGGCCTCCTTCAGGGGATTTTTTTTTTTAACTTCTCCTGTGTATTTAATTATGCTGTTTCCTCTGGTCCCCGGCTCCCTTTTTTAAAAAATTCTGACCAAGCACTATTTATTCTTTATTAAAAATTTTCTTTTTAAGTTTTTTAATTGTAGTAAATGCATATATAACATAAAATATGTAATTTTAATAATTTTTAAGTGTGTAGTTCAGTGGCATTAATTAAATCCACATTGTTGTGCAGCCATCACCACTGTTTCTAAAAGTTTTCATCATAATTCCAGCTTATTTGTTCCATCCTTCCTAAAATAAGATCCTGCCCAGTTAATATCACCTGATTTCTGCTTAGCCCCATGACCTCATTTACTGCTACCTCACCTGCTCCACTCCAGCCACAATGGCCTTCTTGTCTTTGTATTTGCAGTTTCCAGTTCCTAGAATGCCTTTCCCCTTCCAGTTGCACAGCTGGCTTCTATCCAAATGGCACATCCCTCTTAGGCTGTCCTGAGCCATGGACCTAAAACAGCTACAAACCTCCATCACGCTTCAGCCTTCAACCTTGCTTTACTACCTGACTATGTACACTTGCTTGTTTATTTCCTGGCTCACCACTAAAATTTAAACTGTTTAAAAACAGGGGCCCAGCCTATCTTATTTATTTTTATACCCCCAATGCTCAAAATAATACCTGTCATATAGTCAGTGCCCAGTGAATATATGTCAACTCAATTCCATGCTATGATGAATGGAAGGGAAGTATGCTGTGCTCCTCTGCACAGAAGAGACACCATTTCTTCCTCATTGTTTTTTAAGGATTTCCAGTCAATCAATACACATTAATTAACTCTGTGGTAGGCAGTATTCTAAGTGTGGCCCCAATAACACTCATCTATGCATAATCTCCTCCCCTTTGAGAATGGGTGAAACCTCAGAATATGATGACATCTCACTCTGGTGATTATGTCATGTTTTGGCAAAAGAGAGATTATCGGGGCAGGCAGGCCTACTCTAATCACATGAGCTCCTTAAAGCTGAGAGTTTTCTCTTGCTGGTAGTAGAGAGGTTCACTGGTGGTTTGAAGTTACAGGGGTCACGGGCATATTGGCCGCCCTAAGGAGCTAAGAGAGCCCCTGACTGACAGCCAGCAAGGAAATGGGGCCCTCAGCTTTACAATGGCAGGGAATGGAATTCAGCCAACAACCTGAAGGAGCCTGGAAGTGGATTCTTCCCCAGAGCCTCCAGAGAAGAGCCCAGAATGGTGTCAAAGAAATCATTTTTCAATGATACTTGTTAAAACAAAGTAAAGAAGACTTTATTCAGGACCCTCGAGATACAGGGACTGCTGCAATGGGATTTTGCAGTAGGAAAGAAAGAGATTGGACTCAACTCCAAATACAGCAAGTAGGACTCTACAGCTGTCCTTAGTCTGTTTTCTGTTGCTATGACAGAATACCTGGCCAGGTACGGTGGCTCATGCCTGTAATCCCAGCACTTTGGGAGGCCAAGGCAGGTGGATCACAAGGTCAGGAGTTTGAGACCAGCCTGGCCAACATGGTGAAACCCTGTCTCTACTAAAAATACAAAAGTTAGCCAAGCATAGTAGCGCATGCCTGTAGTCCCAGCTACTCAGGAGGCTGAGGCAGGAGAATTACTTGAACCTGGGAGGCAGAGGTTGCAGTGAGCCGAGATTGCACCACTGCACTCCAGCCTGGGCAACAGAGCAAGACTCCATCTCGGGAAAAAAACAAAAAACAAACAAACAAACAAACAAAAAACAAAAAACGGAATACCACATGCTGGGTGATTCATAAAGAAAAGAGATTTATTTAGCTCATGATACTGGAGGCTGGGAAGTCCAAGACTGAGGGCACATCTGGTGAGGGCTCTCTTGCTGCAACATAACATGGTAGAAGGCATCACATGGTGGTGAGTGGGCATGAAAGACAGAAAGAAGTGGACCAAACTTCCTTCTTTTATCAGGAGCTCATTCCCACAAGAACTCACTCACTCCTGCAATAATGGCATTAATTCATTCACGAAGGCAGAGCCCTCATGACTAATCACTTCTTAAAGTTTCCAATCTCTTTTTTTTTTTTTTTTGAGATGGAGTCTTGCGCTGTCACCCAGGCTGGAGTGCAATGGTGCGATCTCGGCTCACCACAACCTCCGCCTCCCGGGTTCAAGCAATTCCCCTGCCTCGGCCTCCTGAGTACCTGGGACTACAGGCGCATGCCACCAGGCCTGGCTAATTTTTTGTATTTTAGTAGAGACGGGGTTTCACCATGTTGGCCAGGATGGTCTTGATCTCCTGACCTCATGATCTGCATGCCTCAGCCTCCCAGAGTGCTGGGATTACAGGCGTTGAGCCACAGCGCCGGGCCCCAATCTCTTAATATCATCAAAATAGCAATTAAATTTCAACATGAATTTTGGAGGGGACATTCAAACCATAGCAATAACCAAAAAGCAGGGTGGGGGACAGTGGATAAAAAATTACTAAGATGAAATATCAGGATTAAGGGGGATTCTGGCTAAACCTACCTAACAGGAATTTTGCTGAAGACAGACTAAGTTATTGGACATCACCTGGAAGATGAGGGAGGATGAGGAACACGATCAGATAGATCTGCTATCGAGGGTGATCAGATATGGAGGATGAGGGGTTCTTGCCAAACTGACTTAGCAGGGTTCTTACTAAAACTGGATTTTACAAGGAAGGGCATAGACAGGCCTAGGAGAAGGTTCAGGAGCCTGACCAAAATTTGATCAAGTAGAGAATCTTTGTCCCTGCCCAATCTGTTGATTTTGGCCTGTGAGATCCTAATCAGAAAGCCCAGGTGCATTCCTCTGAACTTCTCACCCACAGAACTGAGATAATAGATAGGTGTTGTTTTAATGACAAATAACTTGTGCTATTTCTTATACCGCAATAGGAAACTAATACAAACTCCTACTGTGCAGTCAGCACTATGCACACACGATGGGGAATTTCAAAGAGCTTGTAGTGGGGTTGAATAAATACAAAGGGGATGAGATTTGGCTCCTGTATTCTGTTGTCACTGGAAGAACCCTTGGAGCTGCATTTCCCCATCATGTGTCCCACCTCTCGAAGCCCCAGGCAGCTCTGGACCACCCTGATCCATGGGCCCCACCAGTTCCCCTCCCCAGACACTGCCCACATGTCCTCCCACTCTTAGACAAGTGCCTCAACCATTTGAAAAGTAAAACTCTGATATAGTATGGCTGTGTTCCCACCATCTCATCTTGAATTGTAGTTCCCATAATCCCCACGTGTCATGGGAGGGAGCAGGTGGAGATAACTGAATCATGGGGGCAGTTTCCTCCATCCTGTTCTCATGATAGTGAGTTAGTTCTCACGAGATCTGATTTTTTTTAAATTCTATTATTGATCTGATGGTTTTATAAGGGGCTTCCCCCTTCCCTGGGTACTCATACTTCTCCTCCATGCTGCCATATGGAGAAGGACATGTTTGCCTCCCCTTCCACCATAATTGTAAGTTTCCTGAGGCCTCGCCAGCCACACTGAACTGTGAGTCAATTAAACCTCTTTCCTTTATAAATTACCCAGTCTCAAGTATGTCTTTATTAGCAGCGTGAGAACAGGCTAATACAAACTCAGATTTGGATTGGCATTGTGATCTTTTAAGAGCAATCTTGAGGTTGATAATGAGCCCTCTATATTTTGTACAGTATTTGACATTGGAACAGAGACTGCCATCTCTTATTATAATCTATGTTCTCTTCTTCCTCCTGGGCACATTGCTAGATCACATTTGGCTATTGGCACAGTTGGCTGTGGGCGTGTGACTGAGTTTCAGCCAATAAAATGTAAGAATCTCAATTCCTATGAGACCAGGAACCACTTTTAGGCCCGGCCCATAAACTCTTCTCACTGTGTTCTTCCACACTCCTTCTTCTGAAATGGCCCTGGAAGCCATGTGTTAAGTTAGCAGAACTTCCTTCAGCTTGAGTTCCTGTGTGATTATTTGGAATACATGTTCACCTACCTAGGACTGTTATGTGAACAAGAAATAAACCAATATTGTGTTTAAGCCATTATATATTTTGGGGCTACTTGTTACAGTAGTTAGTCTACCCCAGTGGTTCTCAGAGTGTGGTCCTTGAGCCAGCATCACCTGGGGGCTTGTTAGAAATGCGAGTTCCTGGGACTCAGTCCATATATTGCCTCCTCCCAAAATTGTCTACTTCCTAATCCCCAGAATCTGTGAATATATTACCCTCCATGGCAAAAGGCATTTTCCAATGTGATGAAGACTTTGAGATGGGAGATTATCTTGGATTACCTAGTGTAGGCCCAGTGAAATCACAAGGACCCTTATAAAGAAAGGAGGAAGATCAGATTAAGAGAAGGAGATGCGATGATGAAGTGGCTACATTGTCTGGGGTAAATCAATACCTGGGGTTCATCATCTCATGCCAGGAAAATTTAGGACATGGACACACACGAGGAGTTTAGGAGAGGAGGTTTAATAGGCAAGAGAAAGGGAAAGAAAGAGACACAGAGAACAGCTCTCTCTCTCTTTAGTGAGAGAGAGGAGACTTCCCAGAGGAAAAGGTTAGCAGGTGGTGAATGCACTGGATTTTATAGTCAGGCTTGAGGAGGCGGTGTCTGATTTACATAGAGCTCACAGATTGCTTCAATCAGGCATGACATTTACATAGTGGGTGGAGAAGGCTGGCCACGCCCCCACCCAGTCTTATTATGCACAAGAACTTTCCCCTTGGCCAGTGCCATCTTGTCTGCTCCTTACTGTACACGTGGCTGGCAAAAAAGGGAAGATGGAGCCACTATTTTGAACATGATTGGCACAACTGCTGGCATCTATGTTTGCAGCTCGATTTTATAGGCCCCACTTTGTTAGAAAGGAAAATAATTTGGGGCTGCTTTTCATTAAAAGGAAAACCTTACTGAGGACTTTCATACCCTCACTATCTGCCTATGTAATTTCTTCTTAACTCCTGTATCAATGATAGGACTGTCAGGTCTCTGAGCCAAGCTCAGCCATTATAACCTCTGTGACCTGCACATACACATCCAGGTGGCCTGCAGGAGCCGAGAAGTCTGAAGCAGCCAAAAAACCACAAAGAAGTAAAACACCCAGATCCTGCCTTAACTGATTAACCAAAATTACAACAGTTTACCATTGTGACTTGTCCCTGCCCTACCTTAGCTATCAATCAACTTTGTGGCATTCTTCTTCTGGATAGTAAGTCTTATGATCTCCCCACCATGTACCTTGTGACCCCCTCCTCCACTAACAATAGATAACCACCTTTTACTGTAATTATCCATTACCTACCCAACTCCTATAAAGCAACCCCTTCCCCATCTCCCTTTGCTGACTGTCTTTTTGGACTCAGCCCACCTGCACCCAGGTGAATTAAAAGCTTTATTGCTCACACAAAGCCTGTTTGGTGGTTTCTTCACACCGACGTGCTTGACATTTGGTGCTGTGACTCAGATTAGGGGACCTCCCTTGGGAGATCAATCCCCTGTCCTCCTGCTCTTTGCTCTGTGAGAGAATCCACCTATGACCTCGGGTCCTCAGACCAGCCCAAGAAACACCTCACCAATTTTAAATCGGGTGAGCGGCCTCTTTTTATTCTCTTCTCCAACCTCTCTCGCTCTCTCTCAACCTCTTTCTCCTTTCAATTTCGGCATCACCCTTCACTCTCTCTCTCCCCTCCCTTCATTTCCTTTCCCTTTCTGGTAGAGACAGCGGAGACATGTTTTATCCGTGGACCCAAAACGCCAGCGCTGGTCACGGACTCGGAAAGACAGTCTTCCCTTGGTGTCTAATCACTGTGGGGACGCCTGCCTGATTATTCACCAGCATTCCAGAGGTGTTCGATCACTGCGGGGACGCCTGCCTTGATCCTCCACCTCGGTGGCAAGTACTACCACTCCTGGGTGGCAAGTACCACCCCTCCCCCTTTTCTTCTTGTCTCTACCCCCTCTTTTCTCTGAACTTACCTTTTTACTTTGGGCAACCTTCCACCCTCCATTCCTTCTTTTTCCCCCTTAGCCTGTGTTCTTAAAAACTTAAAACCTCTTCAACTCTCACCTGACCTAAAACCTAAGTGTCTTATTTTCTTTTGCAACACCACTTGGCCCCAATACAAACTTGATAATGGCTCTAAATGGCCAGAAAATGGCACTTTCAATTTGTCCATCCTACAAGATCTAGGTAATTTTGTCATAAAATGGGCAAATCGTCTGAGGTGCCTTACATCCAGGCATTCTTTACACATTGGTCCCTTCCTAGCCTTTGCTTCCGATGCGATTCATCCTAAATCTTTCTTCTTTCTCTCCCGTCCGTTTCTTCAGTCTCTACCCCAACCTCAGAGTCCTCTGAATCCTCCTTTTCTGCAGACCCCTCTGACCTCTCTCCCCCTCCCCAGGCCACTCCTCGGCAGGCTGAATCAAGTCCCAATTCTTCCTCAGCCTTCGCTCCTCCACCTTATAACCCTTCTGTCACCTCCCCTCCCCACACCCGGCCCGGGTTACAATTTCGTTCTGTGGCAAATAATCCTCCACCTGCCCAGCGATTTCCTCTTCAAGAGGTGGCTGGAGCTGAGGGCATTGTCAGAGCGCATGTGCCATTTTCTCTATCAGACCTTTCCCAAGTTAATCAATGCTTAGGCTCCTTCCCCCTCAGACCCCACCAAATATATACAAGAATTCCAATATTTAACTCAGTCCTACAATTTAACCTGGAGTGACTTAAATATCATCCTAACTTCTACCCTCTCCCAAAATGAATGGGAAAGAGTATTTTCTCTGGTCCAGTCCCATGCAGACACCTGCCAGCGTCATGAGCCAGACCTTCAAGAAGGCATCAGGGCAGTTTCCTGAGAAGATCCCCGACGGGAATATCAGGCAGATTCCCCAGGTATAGCTAGGTGAGATTACATGATTTCCTGCCTAGTTGAAGGGCTTTAAAAGGCAGCTTACAAAGCTGTTAATTATGACAAACTTAAGGAAACTACCCAAGGTAAAGATGAAAACCCAGCCCAGGTCATGGCTCGTTTGGCAGCAACCCTGGGACGCTTTACAGCCCTAGACCCAGAGGGGCCAGAAGGCTGTCTTATTCTCAATATGCATTTTATCACCCAGTCAGCTCCTGACGTTAGAAAAAAGCTTCAAAAATTAGAATCTGGCCCTCAAACGCCACAACAGGAATTAATCAATCTTGCCTTCAAGGTGTACACTAATAAGGAAGAGGCAGCCAAGTGGCAACACATAGTTCTGAGTTACAATTACTTGCCTCTGCGGTGAGACAAAACCCAGCCTCACCTCCAGCCCAAAAAAAACTTCAAAACGCCGAAGCCACAGCAGTCAGGCATTCCTACAGGACCTCCTCCCTCAGGATCTTGCTTCAAGTGCCAGAAATCTGGCCACTGGCCCAAGGAATGCCCACAGCCTAGGATTCCTCCCAAGCTGTGTCCCATCTGTGCAGGGACCCACTGGAAATCAGACTGCCCAGCTCACCCAGCAGCCAGTCCTAGAGCCCCTAAAGCTCTGGCCCAAGGCTCTCTGACTGACTCCTTCCCAGATCTGCTTGGCTTAGTGGCTGAAGACTGACGCTGCCCGATCGCCTCGGAAGCCCCCTGGACCATCATGGACCCTGAGCTTTGGGTAACTCTCACAGTGGAGGGTAAGTCTGTCCCCTTTTTAATCAATACAGGGGCTACCCATTCCACATTACCTTCTTTTCAAGGGCCTGTTCCCCTTGCCCCCATAACTGTTGTGGGTATTGATGGCCAGGCTTCTAAACCTCTTAAAACTCCCCAACTTTGGTGTCAACTTGGACAACATTCTTTTATGCACTCCTTTTTAGTTATCCCCCTTCCCAGTTCCCTTATTAGGCAGAGACATTTTAACCAAATTATCTGCTTCCCTGACTATTCCTGGGCTACAGCCACACCTCATTGCTGTCCTTCTTCCCAACCCAAGCCTCCTTCGCGTCTTCCCCTTGTATCCCCCGACCTTAACCCACAAGTATGGGACCCTTCTACTCCCTCCCTGGAAACCAATCACACGCTCATTACTATTCCATTAAAACCTAATCACCCTTACCCAGCTCAGTGCCAGTATCCATCTGACAGCAGACTTTAAAAAGACTGAAGCCTGTTATCACTCGCCTGCTACAGCATGGGCTTCTATAGCCTACAAACTCTCTTTACAATTCCCCCATTTTGCCTGTCCCCAAAACCGGACAAGTCTTACAGGTTAGTTCAGGATCTGTGACTTATCAAGGAAATTGTTTTGCCTATCCACCCTGTGGTGCCCAACCCATACACTCTTTTGTCCTCAATACCTTCCTCCACAACTCACTATTCCGTTCTTGATCTTACAGATGCCTTTTTCACTATTCCCCTGCACCCCTCATCCCAGCCTCTCTTTGCTTTTACCTGGACTGACCCTGACACCCATCAGTCCCAGCAGCTTACCTGGGCTATACTACTGCAAGCCTTCAGGGACAGCCCTCATTACTTCAGCCAAGCTCTTTCTCATGATTTACTTTCTTTCCACCCCTCTGCTTCTCACCTTATTCAATATATTGATACCTTCTACTTTGTAGCCCCTCCTTTGAATCTTCTCAGCAAGATACTTTTCAACATTTATTCTCTGAGGGATATCGGGCATCCCTCTCCAAAGCTCAAATTTCTTCCCCATTCGTTACCTACCTCAGCATAATTCTTCATAAAAACATGCGTGCTCTCCCTGCCGATCGTGTCCAGCTGATCTCTCAAACACCAACTTATTCCAGGAGACAGGGACTACTGTACATATTATCTTTCCTATATAGGGTCTGCAAACAGGACTATTCAACTCCTCCATTCAAAATGCCACTCACACCTTTTGGAAAAAGTGAATATAATAGACTCTTGGCTAAATGCCAGGGGGTCCATTCGTATGAGGGAAAATGGCAACAAAAGGTAGGAATAAAACATTATTCCTACCTTGGCCAAAAAATTCACTGCCACCTACCTTAAAGCTATTATGCTTAATTGCTATTTTTAGAGAATTTAGGAATGTGCCTAGGCAGGCATGCAGGTGTGCTGGAGGGAAGCCAAGAGAGACCTACACACTCCAGAGTAGTTTGGAGAAGCTGGCTAAGGGTTTCTGGATCCTTGCAAAGCACAAAAGCTCAGAACAACTCTGTGGTGTGCAGCATGGTGCCAGCAGCAAGTCTCAGTTCAGCACCTTGAAAACCCAAGTGGGACCAGCCAAGCAAGCACCAGGGCCCAGGAACTAGACCGGGCAAGTCTCAAGACATCAGAGACCAGTAAACCTAGAAGAACAGCATGTGACAAAGGGTCCTCTTCCCACTGCCACGAGGCTACAGAAGCCCACCCTGTCTCCAGATGCCATCTTGGAAAAGAGAAGTGGGAACAGGAAGTGTATTAGTCAGAATGCAGAGTCAGCTACCATGACAGAGACCAAAGTGACAGTGACATAAACAAGATAGAAGGTTTCTCTCTTGTGAAGCATCCAAGTATTAGCAGTCCAGAGCTAATGGAGAAGCTCTTTGGTGTTGGAGACTCAGGTTCGTTCTCCCTTGAGCTCTTCCATTCCTAGACTGTTGGCTTCATCTGGTCTAAGATGGCTCCACACCATGGCACTTTCCAGGCAGCAACATAGAGACTGTATGGATATTATCCTATTGGCCAGAGCTGAGTCACATGGCTGTACCTGGCTTCAAGTGAGGCTGGGAAATGTAGCCTTTAATTGGGAAGCCATGGGCCTGGCTAAAGCTCAGGAGTTCTACCACTAAAGGAAGTAAGGGGGCTGCCAGGAAGACAGCCTGAAAGACGAATCCACTTTTCCAAAGGAATCTGAAGGAAAGTGATTTAAACCAGTGGAATCTGAGCTGTCTCTAAGTGGCAGCTTCAAGGCACCTCTTCCCCATGCCCTGCTCTTTCTCCCTACAATGGGGTTCCAGATCCAGAGAGCAGTTAAAGGAAATAGTGAAACACAATATCTTTTGCAGAGCTGAGGGTTACTTCACATATTTTCAACCCTTTTGAGAGAAAAAAACAGAGAACTGGGTGAAGTTTGAATTGCAGCTCCTCTGTTTCAGAGCACTCAGGCAGGCTGGCAGCTCACTCTTGGGAGAATAGGAGGGGACAGGCCTCTGTCACCAGCATTAATGGTCATCCCACAGTAGGTCTACGGAGAGGCACATCAGTCTTCTAAGGAAGTCTCATGAGTATTCAACAAGTATCAGATGATGACAGAATAGGAGGAGGTTTAGGGTAGGTAGGAGACAGGCCTGAAGTCAAAGACCCCATGAGCCCAATATTAAAATGATTTTCCCCCTTTGGTATTAGAGGAATAATAAGTGCTCTTGTTTTGTTCTTAATACCAGCTCAGAACCTACTAGCAGAGTATTATTTTATCAGCCTATCTTCATGAAAAATCTGTGAAGCAGGGACTATTACTATTCCCATTTTACAGATGAGAAAATGGAACCTCAGAGAAATTAAACAAGAATGACCCAACATCTCTAAGGGAGGTGAGCCTGGAGAGCAGAGGAATTGAGCTGGGCTGGGGCTTTTCTTCCCTAAGGATCCTACGGAACATGTTGCATCACCATCAAACATGGTGGAGTATGTTTCTTAGAAAGATGGAGGAAGAAATTCCTGGCAGGTCATGGTGGCTGATGCCTGCAATCCCAGCAGTTTTGGAAGCCAAGGCAAGAGAATTACTTGAGCCAGTACTTCCAGACCAGCCTGAGCAACACGGTGAGACCCTGCCTCTATAAAAACACAAAAAAATTAGCAGTATGTGGTGGCACATGCCTGTGGTCCCAGCTACTCGGGAGGCTGAGGCCAGAGGATCACTTGAGCCCAGAAGGTTAAAGCTGCAGTGAGCCATGATCAAGCCACTGCACTCCAGCCTAGGAAGCAGAGCAAGACCATGTCTCAAGAAGAAAGAAAAAAGAAAAAGAAAAGAGGAAGAAATTCCTGACTGCTCTTAATATAGTTATTTTCCAAAAGGGAGACACTGAATTTATAGGTGATATGTATAATGATCATGTGTGTGTGTGTGTGTGTGTGTGTGTGTGTGTGTGTGTGTGTGTGTGTTGATAAATAGACGGCTTATTGCAAAATCTGTGACCCACCCAAGGGAAGCCCACAGTTTTGGGACTCACTTCTAGACACATTGTATGTCGCCACCTCTGTTCTGTCTCCTTATACTTCCACTTTTCTCCCCTAAATCATTCTTAATGCAGAAACTTGTTCTTAGGAGGAAAAGACTTGACTCTGTGGAGTCAGCGTCAAGTGCAGTGAGGTGTGTGCAGCTTTTAGCTGCACAAATGGAGAAAAACATTAATGATTTTTTGTTTGTGTCAAGCAACACTGAGGACAATGAATTCCCTATCTTTGCTATGATGAACTTCCATATAATATCTTGCAAGACAAATCAGGATATATTAATACTAGGAAGACAGGGACAGGCCATAGGAACTGTCAGAGGCCACTTCCGTAGATGCAAAGCCTGAGATGTGTTGCAAGTGAGTTATGGAGGGCATGCTCTCAGGAGAAACCTAGAGGGAAGGGAGGGAAATGGAAGAGGGCAAAGGAAGATGCTCTGTAAAGACGAAGCTTCCAGAGGAGGTGGGCCTCAGCCTGATCCCACAGGGAGCTCTGGAGCATGGCTGCTGGTACCATAGAGATAGATCCTTCTGCCCAGAGGCAAGAAGTTTGAGCTGTTACAACCCCCGCATCCATCAGTCGTTGGCCAATAAGGCGGGTGTAGCCTCCCAACCATCTTGTGTGGAGATCTGGGGGACAGCTTCCACAACCAAGAGCAGAATGAGAACCAGCCTGAGAGGGGTGCAGAGTGTGCTTATAGCAGCCAACACCACAGCAGGGAAGAGGCAGTGCACGGGCCCAGGACAGGGGACCTGGGCAGGCCACCAAGAGCATTTTCTACACTTGGAGTTATCACAACAGATGCATGATACTAAAAGCACAGATCTATGATAGATTTTTCGTTGCATTAACTATTCTTTTTATTCATTTTTAAAGGACTTTATTTTCCAGAGCTGTTTGAGGTTCACAGCAAAATTGAGTGGAAAGTTCCATTTTTCTTAAACTCTGTGTTTAACACAGAGTTCCCATATTCCTCCCCCCACCCCCAGCTTGTTTACAATCAACATCTCACATCTGAGTGGCACATTTACTTCAATCAATGCACCCACACTGATACTTCATTATCATCCAAAGTCAGTAGTATATATGAAGGTTCACTCTTGGTGATGTATGTTTTACGGGTTTTGACAACCGTCCAATGACATGTGCCCACCATTGCAGTATCATAAAGAACAGTTTCACTGCCCAAAAATCCTCTGTGGTCTGCCTATTCATCTCTCCCAACCCCTGGCAACTGCTGATTTTTTTGACTGTCTCTATCGTTTTGCCTTTTCCAGAATGTCATATAGTTGGAGTCATGTAGTATGCAGCCTTTTCAGATTGGCTTCTTTCATTTAGTAATATGCATGGAAGCTTTCTCCATGACTCTTCCTGGCTTCCTAGCTCATGTGTTTTTAGCACTGAATAATATAATATTCCATTGTCTGGATATACTACATCTAATAAAGAACATCTTTTTTTTTTTTTTTTTTTTTTTGAGATGGAGTCTCACTCTGTCTCCCAGGCTGGAGTGCAGTGATGGGATCTCAGCTCACTGCAAGCTCAGCCTCCCGAGTTCATGCCATTCTCCTGCCTCAGCTTCTCGAGTAGCTGGGACTACAGGTGCCAGCCACCATGCCCGGCTAATTTTTTTGTATTTTTTTTTAGTACAGACGGGGTTTCACCATGTTAGCCAGGATGGTCTCGATCTCCTGACCTCATGATCTGCCCACCTCAGACTCCCAAAGTGCTGAGATTACAGGCATGAGCCACCGCCCCCAGCTTTTTTTTTTTTTTTTTTTTTTGAGTTGGAGTGTTGCTCTGTTGCCCAGGCTGGAGTGCAGTGGCACAATCTCTGCTCACTGCAGCCTCTGCCTCCCAGGTCCAAACGATTCTCCTCCCTCAGCCTCCCAAGTAGCTGGGATTACAGGCGCCCACCACCAGGCCTGGCTAATTTTTTTATTTTTAGTAGAGATGGGATTTCACCATGTTGGCCAGGCTGATCTCGAACTCCTGACTTCAAGTAATTCATTCACCTTGGCCTCCCAAAGTGCTGCGATTACAGGCATGAGCCACCATGCCTGACCTTAATAAGGTTGATTAAAAAAAAAAGGAAAAGAAAACCTTGGACTATAGAGCTAACAGGTATAAAAATTTTAGTTGAATATTCTCTATAGATATTTTTAATAAAAACTTGGGCTTCAAGTCAGGAACATTTCTTCCATTTCTACATAACTTTAGTATCACTTTCTCTTTTAATTTATGCTTTTTATTTTATGCATCCTTGAAAGCTGCCTTCAATCCATTCTGGAATAGGATTGGGTGGAAAAAAATAGATAAAGACACCAACACCTGTTTCATCTTTGTATTCCCCAAGTGCCTTCAGCTTTAAGAGTCTGGGCAGTTTTACAAGTGCATTTGTGGTATATATCCAGTAGCAAGAGTGAAACTGAGATTGTGGTGACAAGGTCCAACCCCAGAGGTAACAAGTTATGTGTTCCACTCTGCTGAGCCTTGGGGAAGTACCCTTAGATACCAAGATCAATAGTCAACATCTTTTCCTTTGGGCCAGTAAGCACTTTTTAGTCACATGGTAAGTGCAATTCACAGACTTTGGCTGCCATATGATGGCGTAGGCTGGTCTAGGTCAGGTGATTTATCCAGATTAGTTCAGCTCAGTTGAGCTAAGCATTTCCCTGAGATCTGTGTCTTGGCAAAGGGCTTCTTAATGTTTTGAGCTGCCCAGAATGTCATTCCCTATAGTGTGCCGATAGGCAGGTTAACAAAGAGTTCTTAGATTCCTGGACTCAGAAGACACCTTGAGGTGAACAGTGACAGTGGAAACAACATGAACGCCCCAGAGACTGGCTAGGTAACCCTGGACAGGTAGCAACACTATGGTGGGCCTGGGCCTCTTTCTCATCTTGAAGGTGAAAAGGTTGAACTTGAGGATTCATAGGATCTCATCCAGCTCTTGCAGATCAGCTGGTCTAGCGCTTTGCAAACTCTTGGATTTTACAGATCAGTATAGTTTTTTTTAAGAACTGACGCAAGGTGTTCACTTTTTTTTTTTTTTTGAGAGGGAGTTTCATTCTGTCCCCCAGGCTGGAGTGCACTGAGGGAGTTTCACTCTGTCACCCAGGCTGGAGTGTAGTGTCGTGATCTTGGCTCACTGCAACCTCCACCCCACTAGGTTCAAGCAATTCTTTTGCCTCAGCCTCCCCAGTAGCTGGGATTATAGGCGCCCACCACCACACCGGGCTAATTTTTTTGTATTTTACTAGAGACAGGGTTTCACCATGTTGGTCAGGCTGATCTCAAACTCCTGACTTCAGGTGATCCACCTGCCTCAGCCTCCCAAAGTGCTGGGATTACAGGCATGAGCCACCATGCCCGGCCACAAGGTATTTACTTTTTATTTTCCTAGGAAGGACAATAAAAATCAACTACTACTGCCATTTTGTATCACATCATTTCCAGAAGGAAAGATCATATTAACAATGACAACAACCAAAAAAAAAAAAAAAATGGAAGGAAATAACTTCAGCACAAAAGACGGTGCTTGCTAGGACAAGTGGGATGGCAACTTTACTTCAGCATACATGCTTGCTGTGCACTGGCTCTTTCTTCTTCAATTTTTTTTTTTTTTTTGAGATAGGAGTCTCGCCCTGTCGCCCAGGCTGGAGTACAGTGGCACCATCTCAGCTCACTGCAACCTCTGCCTTCAGAGTTCAAGCGATTCTTGTGCCTCAGCCTCCCAAGTAGCTGGGATTACAGGCATGTGCCACCACGACGAGATTTCACCATGTTTGCCAGGCTGGTCTTGAACTCCTGACCTCAGGTGATCCGCCCACCTCGGCCTCCCAAAGTGCTGGGATTACAGGCGTGAGCCACTGCACCTGGACCATTCCTCCTTTTTTTTTTTTTTTTTTTTAAGACAGAGTTTTGCTCTTGTTGCCCAGGCTGGAGTGCAATGGCGTGATCTCAGCTCACTGCAATCTCCACCTCCAGGGTTTAGGTGATTCTCTTGCTTCAGCTTTCTGAGTAGCTGGGATTACAGGCGCGTGCCACCACACCAGGCTAGCTTTTGTATTTTTAGTAGAGACGGAGTTTCACCATGTTGGCCAGGCTGGTCTTGAACTCCTGACCTCAAGTGACCCACCCACCTCGCCTCCCAAAGTGCTGAGATTACAGGCATGAGCCACCGCGCCCAGACTCATACATTTGTTGTGTGTTTGAAATATTTTATGATAACAAGGTAAATTATTTCTAAAAACGCCACTACACCCATTGCCACGCAATACTGTACTAGAAATCCCAGCCAATGTAATGAAACAAACAAAAAAAAAGAATTAAAGTATTTTAAATGTGGGCAAATGGTCTGCATACTGCTGCAGTACCTGAAATAAGAGACCTTTTAGAGGACTTGAGTAAAGAGAATTTTCTTTTTTTTTTTTTTTTTTTGGTAACATGAGATCATTTGTTCAAGAGTAAGAATAGTATGAAGACAGGAGCTCCTTCCCTAAAGGATATAAGGGACGATAAGGGACTCTGGGAGTTTGTTAGCATAAAGCATCCCTAAGAGGATGGCTCTTGAATCTATTCATCCACCCTACAGAGTTTTTTGGTTGATTCAGGTTCTGCCACTCATTTATGAGAGCGTGATGTTTAGGAGAGTTTTATTGAATACAATGCTTTGCTAGTCATTTACTGCTTCCTGTTTTGACTTTTTAAATTTCCAGTCAGCAATCTCACTCTTAATCAAATGCCTTATCATACAGAGAAAAGAAAAAAGAGGAATCCTGTTTTTCTCATGTTAACTATTTTTATTTTTGAACTAATGTGAATTCTTGCGTATGTGTTTTTGCTGAACATGACAAATCAGTCTCACTCTTGTTGCAAGTCAGCCCTGGTTTGGGAAGTCATGGGTTCCAGATACCAGACACAAATAATAGTGACTTTTACCAATGTCTTTTTATGCTTATTAGGGCCTGAAGGTAGAAGATAAGACAATAGATAATATCGATAGTATTTCTTTGATTTACTGAACCCTAAATTCAAAAAAGAAGTTTTATTTGGGAGAGGAAATACAAGAAAATGAGACAAGGAACTTATCTCAACAAATAAGCAGTAACTTTCAGGAGATGTCTGAAGGTCAGCCCGGATTCAGCCCAGAGTCTTAGACTCATTTACCCATAGCAACATCTAGAGAGGTAGCTGGGCTGGAAACCAGAGCCACTGCTTTGTGGCTAATTTGCTGTGTGATCTTAGGTATCATACCTCCTTCGGTACCTCAATTTCCTCATTTGCAAAACCAGAGTCCCTGGGTATACCATCTCCAAAGTTATTTCAGTTCCAAATTCTATAGCCAAAAGTCAGAATGGGACTTCATTTCTTCTAGAAAGTCACCAGAAGTTGGAGCAAAGAGCAAAGTTGGAGCAAAATGGCTCTTCTGGTGAACTCTCATTTATTCATTGAATATTTGGTCAATATGTGCTAAGTGCTTACAGCAGGGATCCCCAGCCGCCAGGCCACAGACTGGTACAAGTACCTATATGGACCAGTTCTGTGGCCTGTTAGGAACCCAGCCATATAGCTGGAGGTGATCAGTGAGCGAGCAAGCAAAGCTTCATCTGTATTTACAGCCGCTCTCCATCATTGGCATTACTACCTGAGCTCCACCTCCTGTCAGATCACCAGGGGCATGACAGTCTCACAGGAGCACAAACCCTATTGTGAACTGCACATGCAAGGGAGCTTATGAGAATCTAATGCCTGATGATCTGTCACTGTCTCCCATCACCCCCAGATGGGACCGTCTAGTTGCAAGGAAACAAGCTGAGGGCTCCCATTGAGTCTACATTATGGTGAGTTGTATAATTATTTCATTATATATTACAATGTAATAATAATAGAAACAAAGTGCACAATAAATGTAATGTGCTTGAATCATCCCCAAACCATCCCCCTCCCTGCCGTGGGTCTGTGGAAAAATTGTCTTCCATGAAACCTGTCCCTGGTGCCAAAAAGTTTGGGGACTGCTGGCTTACACGGGATAAAAACACAGGCCAGATTCTTGCCCATGGGCTAAGCAGTGATTTCTGGGCAAGTTGTGGTTGAGGGAACCAAAAAAAAAATCTGTCAAGAGGATTTTGGCCAGGTGAGGTAGCTCACGCCTGTAATCCCAGCACTTCGAAAGGCCGAGGCAGGAGAATCACTTGAGTGGTAGACCAGCCTGGGCAGCATAGTGAGACACTGTCGTCTCTCCAAAAAAAAAAAAAAGAGAAAAAGAAAAGAAAAAATAATTAGCCAGGTATGGTGGTGTGTGCCTGTAATCCCAGCTACTCAGGAGGCAGGAGGATCTCTTGAAGCCAGGAGTTCAAGACCAGTATAGGCAACAGTCTCTTTAAAAAAAAAAGAAAAGAAAAGAAAAGAAAAAAATTAGCTGGGGGTATGGTGGTGTGTGCCTGTGATCCCAGCTACTCAGGAGGCAGAAGGATCTCTTGAAGCCAGAAGTTCAAGACCAGCATAGGCAACAGTCTATTAAAAATAAAAAAGAAAGAAAGAAAGAAAAAGAAAAAAAAGAAAGAAAAAAGATTTTGACAGAGCTGAGTCTTCCTCAGCTAGGAGCTTGGGCAAAGGGCTGTCACAGATAATTTTCCAGGGAGGGGAATTTCTTGAAACCTTTAGCTTAAGCGCTAGGGGAAATCTGGTTTTAAGAACTTTGAGATATGAATGGAGATGATGGAAGAAAACATCTTTTGAAAGGATGAAGCAGAGCTTTGGTTTCATCTGTGGGGATGCTATTGCTGTTCCTTCGCTCTTGGAAGACTGTGAATAATGATCACACACATGATTCTGTATAGGGCTGCCCATATGCCAGATATTATTCTAAGCCCCACTCAGCATATACCAACTCATGAATCCTCACAAGGGTGTGAGGGGAGTATTATTATTATTAGCTGGGGAAGCTGAGGCACAGAAAAGTTAAGTAACTTACTCAAGTACCTCCATACAGTAGGTATTGGAGCTGGAATTTGAATCTATACACTGGCAGACCGTGCCCTTCATCCCAACCAATGATGCCTTCCTAAATGGGTCTGTTAGTGATGTAAAAGTAAAGTTGAGGTTACTACATGACCCTGTGACTGCGGAAACAAATTACCACTAATTTGGTGTCTCCATACAACACAAATTCATTATCTTCCATTCTAAAGTTTGGAAACCCAAAATGGGGCTCACCCAAGGTCTAAATTCAAGGTGTTGGCTGGGCTGCATTCCTCCTGGAAGTGCTACAGGGACACCTGTTTCCTTGCCTTTTTCAGCTTCTAGAGGCCCCCCCATTCTTCAGCTCATGGCCTCCCTCCATCGTCAGATCCAGCAATGGCCACATGAGCCATTCTCAAGCTGCATCACTCTCACACATTCCCTGTTTTGTCCCTTCTTTCCTTTATCATGACCCTTGTGATTACATTGGGCCCACCCCAATAATCCAAAATAATTTCCACATATCAAGATCCTTAATCACATCTGCAAAATCCCTTTTGCATATAAGGTAACATGCTCACCGATTTTGAGGATTTGAGGATGTAGACATCGTTGGGAGCCATTATTCTGCCTACCACACCCATCAGTTCCACTCGTAGGTATGCACCCAGGAGAATTGAAAACATGGTCCACACAAAAACTTGTATGCAAATGTTCACAGCAGCAATATTTATAATTGCCAAAAAGCGGAAACAACCCAAATGCCCATACACAACCAAGTGTCCATCAATAGATGAGTGGATAAACAAAATGTGGCCTATCCTTACAATGAAATGTTTTTGAGCCATAAAAAGAAATGAAGCACCAGGTGCAGTGGCTCATCCCTTTAGTCCCAGCACTTTAGGAGGCTGAGACTAGAGGATCACTTGAGTTTGAGATCAGCCTGGACAACATAGTGAGACTCTGTCTCTACAAGAAAAAAAAAAGAAATTAGGCATCGTGGTGCACGCCTGTTCCAGATACTCCTAAGGCTGAAGGAGGAGGATTGCTTGAGCCTGGAGGTCAAGGATACTGCAGTGAACCATGATCGTGCCACTGCACTCCAGCATGGGTAACAGAGCAAGACCCCATTTAAAAAAAAAAGGAATGAAGCACTCACTGGTGCATGCTACAACATGGAAGAACCTTGAAAACATTATGCTAAATGAAAGAAGCCAGACACAAATGCCACATAATGCATAATACCATTATATGAAATGTCCAGAAAAGGCGGAATTTATAGAGACAGAAAGTAGATTCGTGGTTGCCTGGATCTGGTGGATGGGAAAAGGAGTGACCGCAGGGATCTTTTGGGGATGGTGGAAATGTTCTAAAATTAGATTGTAGTGTACTTGCACACTCCATGAATTTACTACAAATTATTGAATTGCACACTTAACGTGAGTGAATTGTATGGTACGTAGATAACACCTCAATAATGCACTTTTTAAAAAGGAAGAATGGGGCCGGGTGCGGTGGTTCATGCCTATAATCCCAGCACTTTGGGAGGCCAAGGTGGGCAGATCACCTGAGGTCGGGAGTTCGAGACCAGCCTGACCAACATGGAGAAACCCATCTCTACTAAAAATACAAAATTAGCCTGGTGTGATGGCCCATGCCTGTAATCCCAGCTACTGGGGAGGCTGAGGCAGAAGAATGGCTTGACTCTGGGAGGCGGAGGTTACAGTGAGCAGAGATTGGCAATTGACTCCAGCCTGGGCAACAAAAGCGAAACTCTGTCGAGATGGTACCACTCTATTCCAGCCTGGGCGACAGGGTGAGACTCCCATCTCAAAAAAAAAAAAAAAGGAGGAAGAAAGAGCCGGTGCACAGCAAGCATGTATGTTGAAGTAAAGTTCCATCCCACTTGCCCTAACGAGCACTATCTTTTGTGCTGAGGTTATTTCCTTCCACTTTTTTTTGGTTTTTGTTATGTTAATACGCTCTTTCCTTCTGGAAACGATGTGATTAAAAAATGGCAGTAGTAGTTGATTTTTATTGTCCTTCCTAGGAAAGTAAAAAGTAAACACCTTGTGTCAGTTCTTAAAAATTGATGAAACTATACTGATCTGTAAAATCCAAGAGTTTGCGAAGCGCTAGACCAGCTGATCTGCAAGAGCTGGATGAGATCGTACAAATCCTCAAGTTCAACATTTTCACCTTCAAGATGAGAAAGAGGCCCAGGCCCACCATAGTGTTGCTACCTGCCTAAGGTCACCCAGCCAGTCTCTGGGGCGTTCATGTTGTTTCCACTGTCACTGTTCACCTCAAGGTGTCTTCTGAGTCCAGGAATCTAAGAACTCTTTATTAACCTGCCTATCGGCACACTATAGGGAATGACATTCTGGGCAGCTCAAAACATTAAGAAGCCCTTTGCCAAGACACAGATCTCAGGGAAATGCTTAGCTCAACTGAGCTGAACTAATCTGGATAAATCACCTGACCTAGACCAGCCTACACCATCATATGGCAGCCAAAGTCTGTGAATTGCACTTACCACGTGACTAAAAAGTGCTTACTGGCCCAAAGGAAAAGATGTTGACTGTTTATCTTGGTATCTAAGGGTACTTCCCCAAGGCTCAGCAGAGTGGAACACATAACTTGTTACCTCTGGGATTGGACCGTGTCACCACAATCTCAGTTTCACTCTTGCTACTGAAAATATATCACAAAGGCACTTGTAAAACTGCCCAGACTCTCAAGGCTAAAGGCACTTGGGAAATACAAAGATGAAACAGGTGTTTGTGTCTTTACTTATTTACCCCCAATTTATTCCAGAATGGATTGAAGGCAGCTTTCAAGGATACATAAAATAAAAAAGCATAAATTAAAAGAGAGAGTGATACTAAAGTTATGTACAAATGGAAGACATGTTCCTGACTTGAAGCCCAAGTTTTTATTAAAAATGTCCATAGAGAATATTCAACTAAATTTTTATACCTGTTAGCTCTATAGTCCAAAGTTTTCTTTCTTTTTTTTTTTTTTATAACAACCTTATTGAGGCCAGTCACGGTGGATCATGCCTGTAATCCCAGCACTTTGGGAGGCCAAGGTGGGCAGATTAATTGAAGCCAGGAGTTCAAGACCAGCCTGACCAACATGGTGAAACTCCATCTCTACTAAAAATACAAAAATTAGCCGGGCCTGGTGTCAGGCGCCTGTAATCCCAGCTACTTGGGAGGCTGAGGCAGGAGAGTTGCTTGGACCAGGGAAGCAGAGGTTGCAGTGAGCTGAGATTGTGCCACTACACTCCAGCCTGGATAACAGAGCAACATTCTGGCACCACAAAAAAAAAAAAAAAATTGTTCTTTATTAGATGTAGTACATCCAGAAAATGAAATATTATATTGTTCAGTGCTAAAAACACATGAGCTGTCAAGCCAGGAAGAGTCATGGAGAAAGCTTCCATGCATATTACTAAATGAAAGAAGCCAATCTGAAAAGGCTAATACTACATGACTCCAACTATATGACATTCTGGAAAAGGCAAAACGATAGAGACAGTCAAAAAAAATCAGCAGTTGCCAGGGGTTGGGAGAGATGAATAGGCAGACCACAGAGGATTTTTGGGCAGTGAAACTGTTCTTTATGATACTGCAATGGTGGGCACATGTCATTGGACGGTTGTCAAAACCCGTAAAACATACATCACCAAGAGTGAACCTTCATATATACTACTGACTTTGGATGATAATGAAGTATCAGTGCGGGTGCATTGATTGCAGTAAATGTGCCACTCAGATGTGAGATGTTGATTGTAAACAAGCTGGGGTGGGGGAAGGAATATGGGAACTCTGTGTTAAACACAGAGTTTAAGAAAAATGGAACTTTCCACTCAATTTTGCTGTGAACCTCAAACAGCTCTAGAAAATAAAGTCCATTAAAAAATGAATAAATAGAATAGTTAATGCAATGAAAAACCTATCATAGATCTGTGCCTTTAGTATCATGCATCTGTTGTGATAACTCCAAGTGTAGAAAATGCTCTTGGTGGCCTGCCCAGGTCCTCTGTCCTGGGCCCGTGCACTGCCTCTTCCCTGCTGTGGTGTTGGCTGCTATGAGCTCACTCCGCACCCCTCTCAGGTTGGTTTCCATTCTGCTCTTGGTTGTGGGAAGCTGTCCCCCAGTCCTCCACAGCAGATGGTTGGGAGGTTATACCTGCTTTATTGGCCAACGACTGATGGATGCGGAGGTTGTAACAGCTCAGCCTTCTTGCCTCTGGGCAGAAGGATCTATCTCTATGGTACCAGCCATGCTCCAGAACTCCCTGTGGGATCAGGCTGGGGCCCACCTCCTCCTGAAGCTTCGTCTTTACAGAGCATCTTCCTTTGCCCTCTTCCATTTCTCTCCCTCCCCTCTAGGTTTCTCCTGAGAGCATGCCCTCCATAACTCACTTGCAACACATCGCAGGCTTTGCACATAGAGAAGTGGCCTCTGACAGTTCCTATGGCCTGTCCCTGTCTTCCTAGTATTAATATATCCTGATTTGTCTTGCAAGATATTATATGGAAGTTCATCATAGCAAAGATATGGAATTCATTGTCCTCAGTGTTGCTTGACACAAAAAATCGTTAATGTTTTTCTCCATTTGTGCAGCTAAAAGCTGCACACACCTCACTGCACTTGACGCTGACTCCACAGAGTCAAGTCTTTTCCTCCTAAGAACAAGTTTCTGCATTAAGAATGATTTAGGGGAGAAAAGTGAAGTATAAGGAGACAGAACAGAGGTGGTGACATACAATGTGGCTAGAAGTGAGTTTGAAAACTGTGGGCTTCCCTCGGGTGGGTCACAGATTTTGCAATAAGCTTTCTATTTATCAACACACACACACACGATCATTATACGTATCACATATAAATTCAGTGTCTCCCTTTTGGAAAATAACTGTATTAAGAGCAGTCAGGAATTTCTTCCTCTTTTCTTTCTCTTTTTTCTTGAGACAGGGTCTTGCTCTGCTGCCCAGGCTACAGTGCAGTGATCCTCTGGCCTCAGCCTCCCGAGTAGCTGGGACCACAGGCATGTGCCACCACACACTGCTAATTTTTTTGTGTTTTTATAGAGGCAGGGTCTCACTGTGTTGCTCAGGCTGGTCTGGAAGTACTGGCTCAAGTAATTCTCTTGCCTTGGCTTCCAAAACTGCTAGGATTACAGGCATCAGCCACCATGACCTGCCAGGAATGTCTTCCTCCATCTTTCTAAGAAACATACTCCACCATGTTTGATGGTGATGCAACATGTTCCGTAGGATCCTTAGGGAAGAAAAGCCCCAGCCCAGCTCAATTCCTCTGCTCTCCAGGCTCACCTCTCTTAGAGATGTTGGGTCATTCTTGTTTAATTTCTCTGAGGTTCCGTTTTCTCATCTGTAAAATGGGAATAACAATAGTCCCTGCTTCACAGATTTTTCATGAAGATTGGCTGATAAAATAGTACTCTGCTAGTAGGTTCTGAGCTAGTATTAAGAATGAAACAAGAGCACTTATTATTCCTCTAATACCAAAGAGGGATAATCATTATAATATTGGGCTCATGGGGTCTTTGACTTCAGGCTTGTCTCCTACCTACCCTAAACCTCCTCCTATTCTGTCATCATCTGATACTTGTTGAATACTCATGAGACTTCCTTAGAAGTCTGATGTGCCTCTCCTTAGACTTACTGTGGGATGACCATTAATGCTGGTGACAGAGGCCTGTCCAGTCCCTTTCTCCCAAGAGTGAGCTGCCAGCCTGCCTGAGTGCTCTGAAACAGAGGAGCTGCAATTCAAACTTCACCCAGTTCTCTGTTGTTTTTTTCTCCAAAAGGTTGAAAATATGTGAAGTAACCCTCAGCTCTGCAAAAGATATTGTGTTTCACTATTTCCTTTAACTGCTCTCTGGATCTGGAGCCCCCATTGTAGGGAGAAAGAGCAGGGCATAGGGACGAGATGACTTGAAGCTGCCACTTAGAGACAGCTCAGATTCCACTGGTTTAAATCACTTTCCTTCAGATTCCTTTGGAAAAGTGGATTCGTCTTTCAGACTGTCTTCCTGGCAGCCCCCTTACTTCCTTTAGTGGTAGAACTCCTGAGCTTTAGCCAGGCCCATGGCTTCCCAATTAAAGACTACATTTCCCAGCCTCACTTGAAGCCAGGTACAGCCATGTGACTCAGTTCTGGCCAATAGGATAATATCCATACAGTCTCTATGTTGCTGCCTGGAAAGTGCCATGGTGTGGAGCCATCTTAGACCAGATGAAGCCAACAGTCTAGGAATGGAAGAGCTCAAGGGAGAACGAACCTGAGTCTCCAACACCAAAGAGCTTCTCCATTAGCTCTGGACTGCTAATACTTGGATGCTTCACAAGAGAGAAACCTTCTATCTTGTTTATGTCATTGTCACTTTGATCTCTGTCATGGTAGCTGACTCTGCATTCTGACTAATACACTTCCTGTTCCCACTTCTCTTTTCCAAGATGGCATCTGGAGACAGGGTGGGCTTCTGTATCCTTGTGGCAGTGGGAAGAGGACCCTTTGTCACATGCTGTTCTTCTAGGTTTACTGGTCTCTGATGTCTTGAGACTTGCCCGGTCTAGTTCCTGGGCCCTGGTGCTTGCTTGGCTGGTCCCACTTGGGTTTTCAAGGTGCTGAACTGGGACTTGCTGCTGGCACCATGCTGCTGCACTACAGAGTTGTTCTGAACTTTTGTGCTTTGCAAGGATCCAGAAACCCTCAGCCACCTTCTCCAAACTACTCTGGAGTGTGTAGGTCTCTCTCGGCTGCCCTCCAGCACACCTGCACGCCTGCCTAGGCATGTTCCTCTGCCATTTCTTAACGACCCCCTGAATGTGGGCCTGTGTTATGGGGGGCTTGCAGATTCCTGGCCTGTGTGCTGAGAAGTGGAGAGAAAATCCTATGTACTAGGACTTCTCTAAGCACCTATGTGCAGCCTAGGAACCCCCCCTTTCACAGTTGAACTTGGGGGTGGGGAGGAGGAAAGAAGGGCCTTGCACTTTGACCTCCCTTTCCCACCCACCATCCCAACACAGAGAGACGAAGAAGATTTCTCTTGCTGGATGCAAGCATCTCCAGATCATATTGTCCCTCTTTCCCTCCTCTGTGGGTTTTTCTTTTTGAGACGTAGTCTAGCTCTATCACCCTGGCTGGAGTGCCTTGGCGTGATCTCAACTCACTGCAACCTCGGCCCTCTGGATTCAGGCGATTCTCCTGCCTCAGTCTCCAGAGTAGCTGGGATTACAGGCGCACGCCACCACCCCGGCTAATTTTTGTATTTTTAGTAGAGATGGGGTTTCGCCATGTTGGCCAGGCTGGTCTTGGACTCCTGACCTCAGGTGATCCGCCCGCCTTGGCCTCCCAAAGTGCTAGGATTACAGGTGTGAGCCACCACACCCGGCCTCTCTGTGACATTTTGATACTCCCCCCACCCACACTCCATGTTCAAAGACAAACTTCAAAGTTTAGCTCAGTGGTTCTCAACTGGGGATAATTTTGTCCCCTAGGGGTCACCTGGCAATGTCTGGAGACATTTTTAAGTGTCACACCTGGGAGAAGGGGGTTTCTTACTAGTGTCTGGTGGGTAGTGGTCATGGATGCTGCTAAACATCCTCCAATGCACTAACAGGACAGTGTCCCACAGCCAAGAATTATGCAGCCTAAAATGTGAATCATGCTGAGGTTGGGTGACCCAGACTTAACCTTTACTGAGGAAGCATCGTAAGGCAATATGATTTGCAAGGGAAGGAGAAAGAGCTAGGTTTAATAATCTCCTGTTACATCTCTGCAGATCAGTGTCAGATGTGGCATTCAGCTCTAAGAGAGAACTAAGACTGGGGCTTGCCAAGGTTATTCAACAAGTATGTACTGAACACCTCCTGTGTGCCAGGCACTGTTCTGGGCACGAGGTAAGCAAAACAGACAAAGCTTTCATCCTTCTGGAGCTCATATTCTAATGGAGAACAAGGTAATAAATAAGTAGCGGCCCCTGTGCCATTGCCTGGCTCTGCCACTTATCAGCTGTGTGACTTTGAGCATGTTAATCTCTCCGGCTTTGGTTTCTTCATCTATAATATCGAGCTAATAATAGGACTCACCGCATAGGCCTGTTCCTCACAGGGTTATAATGTGAATTGAAAGAATGAATATGCGCAAAGCCTTTAGACCACAGCTGCTATCTGTTAAGAGAATAAAAATAACTCAACCACATAAATATGACATAAGAGAAATAAATGTAGAATATGATGTCAGAAGTTAATGAAAAATAAAACCAGGTAAGGGAATAGAGAATGAGAGATGGGAGCCCTGGGGAATTTATCATATAGAATATTCAGGGAAGCCTTTCTGAGAAAATGACATTTGAGCAGAGACCGAAGGAAGGGAAGAAATACCTCATTCAACATACAAAAAAATCCATTTCAGGTGGATTAAAGACCCCAAACAAGATGCCTATTATAAACCTACCAGATTGGCAAAAAGTAAAAAGTCTGACAATAGCAGATGTTGGTGAGGTTATGGAGCAAGTGATACTTGCAGACACGTTGGTGGGGACATAAAGAGGGACAACCCATTTGGAAACTGGTTTTGCGTTACAAAGACAAGTTGAAAATGCACTCTTCTTGAGATGCAGAAATTGTATTCCCAGGCATTTACCCAAGAAAACTCATGCATATGTGCATCAGGATACATGAATAATCATATTCCCATCAGTATTACTCCAAATCTGGAAACAACCCAAATCTCCATCAGTAATAGAAAGATAGGCCAGGGACGGTGGCTCATGTCTGGAATCCCAGGACTTTGGGAGGCTGAGGTTGGCAGATCACCTGAGGTCAGGAGTTCCAGACCAGCCTGGCCAACGTGGAGAAACCCTGTCTCTACTAAAAATACAAAAAATTAGCCAGGTGTGGTGGTGTGCACCTGTAGTCCCAGCCACTCAGGAGGCTGAGGCATGAGAATCACTTGAACCTGGGAGGCAGAGGTTGCAGTGAGCAGAGATCATGCCACTGCACTTCAGCCTGGGAGACAGTGAGACCCCCCTCTCAAAAAAAAAAAAAAAAAAAAAAGACAAAGCTATAGAATATCTAGCACCCATTTACCTACCACCAACTTTATCAAGTGATGACATTATGCCATATTTTGTTTCTTACCCTTAAAAAATCATAAACATATTTCTAAAGGCATCTGTCCCTGCTTTCTCCATCCAGAAGTAACTACTATAATAAATTAATGTTTATTATTCCTGTAAATTTTTTACCCTTAATATGCATTTCAATATCTATACAAATTATATAGTATTATTTTATAGGTTTAAAAGTTTTAAATAAATGCTATTATATCATACATGTATTTCTGCAACTTATTTTCTTAATAATTGTGTTCACTTCTAGCTAATTCTGACCAACTAGGCAAGTGTGTATCAGATACTCTATAAGGCCTGGTGAAAAGGTGAACTTGGGTTTGGGAATAGCAGTTGCTCCACTCTGGCTGAACAGGTGAACTCCCACACTATATACATTGTCTTTTTTGTTTTTAACTTTTTATTACAAAAAATCTCAAATATGTAGTAGCGTAGGCAGCACAGTGTAAAGGACCATATGTAATGATCAGCCAAACTCAGTGTTGATCAATGATGAGCAGTCTTGTCTGATTTGTACCCTCGCCAACCCCAGTCCAGATAATCTTCTAGCAAATCGCAGACATTACTTGTCAACAATCTGTAATTGTTGGCCCCAAGATGGCCCCTACAGATCCTCACCTCCTGGTACACATGCCCTCCTGTATTCTCCTCCCACAGTGAATTGGGGATGGTCTGTGAAACTAGTACAATATGATGGAAACGTTGGTTTCTGACTTCCAAGGCTGGATTATAAAAGGCATTGTGGTTTCCTCATTGGTCCCTTAGATTGCTCCCTGTAGGAGATAAGGGGTGCAGAGAGTAAATTTCCAGGCAGTGAGAATAGCAAGGCCAATGTTCCTGAGGGCTGGATGGCTGGAGCATGTGGGTAAGGAGGAGAGCAGTTTAAGATGGAGCTGGAGAGAAAGGCCTTATTTGGACAAGGTCTGATCAGTTGCCCACCTGTAACTGACTGAAGCTCTGCTGCTATGATTGGCTGAGACTTTTGTTACAAAAGTATACTCCTAAGTTAGGCTTTCAGTTTATGTGCCAAGTTAGGTTGCAGTTCCTTATGTAAGAACTCAAGTATAGAGGCATCCTCAGGCCAAATTTAGTTCAATTTAGCACTTTAAAGAAATAATTTTGGCTGGGCGCAGTAGCTCACGCCTGTAATCCCAGCACTTTGGGAGGCCAAGGCAGGCGGATCACAAGGTCAGGAGTTCGAGACCAGCATGGCCAATATAGTGAAACCCAGTCTCTACTAAAAATACAAAAATTAGCCGGGCGTGGTGGCAGGAGCCTGTAATCTTAGCTCCTCGGGAGGCTGAGGCAGGAGAATCGCTTAAACCCGGAAGGCGGAGGTTGCGGCGAGCCAAGATCCCGCCACTGCACTCCAGCCTGGGCGACAGAGCTGGACTCCGTCTCAAAAAAAAAGAAAAAGAAAAAGAAATAATTTTATGGCATAAGAAGCAATCACCCACATACACCTTATAAACCACCAACTGAGGCCCTGAGAGAGTTGTCCATGACGCCATAGCAAGGCACAACATAGTTTGTTTACTCCCAGGCTTGTGCTATTTCCAGGACAACGTAAAGCACTTTCTCCGCCCAGCCCCACTACCAACATGGGGACATATCGGGGTTGGAGGGCTCTTCAAAGGCATGGACAGCTGAGGATAGGGAGAGAGGGGGATCTAAGAGGTTCATCAGGGGCTCAGGGGTGAAGAGATTTATCCCTGGGAGCAGTTTAGCAGCCCAGATAATATGGAAAACACGAGAACTGGCCTGTCACATCTGGGGAACTTCCAAAAAGGTGTAGGAATATAAAATCCCCTTGAGTCATCCAAGGTCAATTCATAAAAATACTACACTCTGTGCTCTATAAAAGAAAGGATACAGCAATACTTATGTTACTTGTCAGTCTAGATATACAACATACATACAAACATAAGGTACATATTTTTAAGTACTAAGTGCCCTCTGCTGCTGGAAGATAAAAATGCACAAAAAGGCTCACAATTTCATTCTCTACATCTGTGCAAAGTAGAATCACAGCGCTAAGGAGCTGAAAGACACAGGAATCTTCTAGTGAGGGTCACAAAGTCCCTGGAGGAAGCCTGCAGGGGCTGAACAGATACTTTAAATGTGGGGTATAAGGATTCACAGAGGCAGGGCTGTGAAGACATAGAGAATACATTCTATCTCCTGGGGTATTCAAAGTTTAAAATAATTTTTTAATGTTATTTACTTTCAAAAATAAGATTCTCATGGTACAGAGTTCAAAGGGTACTTACAAAAAAGGATACATTAAAAAATAAACCCATTGGGCATGGTGGCTCATGCCTGTAATCCCAGAACTTTGGGAGGCCAAGGCGGGTGGATCATCTGAGGTCAGGAGTTCAAGATCAGCCTGGCCAACATGGCGAAACCTCGTCTCTATTAAAAATACAAAAATTAGCCAGGCGTGGTGGCTCACTCCTATAGTCCCAGCTATTTGGGAGGCTGAGGCAGGAGAATCGCTTGAACCTGGAAGGTGGAGGCTGCAGTGAGCCGAGATCACACCACTGCACTCCATCCTGGGTGACAGAGCGAGACTCCCTCTCAAAAATAAATAAATAAATAGATAAACCTTCCTCTCACTCCTGTTACCTAGCTAAGCCCTCCTCTCTGGATGCAAACAAGGTGTCCTTCAAGACATAGACTCTACCTATAAAAAGTATTTTTACACAAATGACAGTGAAAGCACATTTGCAAGATTATGACAGTAAGAAAAATCTGACATAGCTGATTCCATCTTGCTTCTAACTTCCAAGCTATCCTTGTTTATTCTTGAGCATAGGCCAAGCTGGCTCTTGGAGAAATTTAGTTTATAATTTAACCTTAAAGCAAGGATGATAGTATCCCTTCCGCAAACTACCCCCTCCTTTTCTGGAGACTAAAACCACCTTTTAAAAACTAACGAAAGGCTGGCTAGGCGCAGTGGCTCACACCTGTAATCCCAGCACTCTGGGAGGCCGAAGTGGGCATATCACTTGAAGCCTGAGTTGGAGACTAGCCTGGGCAACCTGGCAAAAACCCATCTCTACTAAAAATACAAAAATTAGCCAGGTGTGGCAGTGGGTGCCTATAGTCCCAGGTACTCAGGAGGCTGATGCAGGAGAATTGTTTGAACCCAGGAGGCAGAGGTTGCAGTGAGCGGAGATTGCACCACTGCATTCACCTGAGCAACAGAGCGAGACCCTGTCTCAAAAAAGCAAAACAAAACAACAATAATTGAAAAAAAGTAAAAAAAAAAAAAAAAAAAAGCGAATGAAAGGCCGTAAGATTAGTATTATGGGAGGGGCCTACACCTGCTAAGATATAAGTGTAGTTAAACTATAACTAGCCATTGTTCTGGAGGTCACAATATTTGTAACCTCCCCGTTTGCTCCTGTAGACACCACCACTATTGTTAAAATCTGAGATTGGTGTTGATGGCATTTTTCAGACCCCGTATTCTGATGGACCAGCTGGTGTTGTTGTAGTCTCACCAACGCACCACAGTGTAGTGATCTCTCTTGTGAGGTATCACTCGGAGTTCTTTATCTCATGTCCAAGATGATTAAGGAGCACAGACACAAGGGTGAGGTGGGAGCGAAAGTTTAATAAGCGAAAGACGAAAACTCTCCTCCAGCAGAGAGGGAAGCCTGAATGGGTTGCCCACTAGGAGGCTGGGGTTCAGGGATTTTATAAACTGGGAAGGGGAAGGAATGTGCTTAGTCTGTGGGCTGTCTTGGAGAAAGTGACTCAGCTTGGCCCAAGGACCTTAGCCTGGGACCAATCAGGGGCTGAAGTGATGATTCATAGAGGCTAGTCTCACAATCCAAAAAGGAAAGGAAAAGTGCCCACCAGAACCCACCAGAGCCCACTGTGTTCATGTCCTAAAAAGGAGAAGAAACTTTTTCCCAGGAGCCCACTGATTATGAAAAGAAAAAGTCATTTCTATGTCAGGCCTTGTTCCCTTATCTGAGTGAGCTGGAGGTTTGTGCAAGTTTTTATCTGAACGGGCTGGAGGTTCTCCTATCTGTGAAGCCTCGGGCATGTCTCCAGGCACAGCCCTCTGTGCTAGTTCCCTTGTTGTTGCTTGCAGCTTGATTTTTTTCCCAGGCTGCTTTTTCTGTTATGTGGGGATGAGACAGGTCATCCCCTGTGGGTTGGGGGCTCTCTGGGGACCCTTCCCTTGCTGTCTACATAAGGCAAGCTGGCTAACTCCTCTCAGTGCCACCTGGACCTGTAACCCATACCAAGAAACTGGCTCATCTGGTCTTGCGATCCACCAGGAAATGACTCAGCACAAGAAGATAGCTTTGACCCTCTATGATTTCATCCCCAACCCAACCAGTCAACATCCTTCATTCCCTAGACCCCAGGCCACCAAGCTATCTTTAAGAAACCCTCACCTCCAAATTTTCAGGGAGACTGATTTCAAGTAATAAGCTCCCATCTTCCACTTGGCTAGCCTTGTGTTAATTAAACTCTTTCTCTACTGCAATACTGCTGTCTCAGTAAATCTGTGCAGTGGGCAAGAAGAACCTGTCAGGCAATTACAAAATCACACTATATACACCATTATTTTCCTTTTGTGTTTTTTTCTAATTTAACATATATTCTTAAGATCTTAGAGCTTTTTTCGTATCCTTGCATAAGACATCCTTTTTCTTTTTAAAAACAGCCACATAATATTCCACTGGAAGAATGTACCAAGAGTTTTAAAGCAATGAACATGTAACTTCTTATTTGCTGTTATAAGCAACACTGTAATTAATAACTTCATATATGTCATTTTGCATAATGTGAGTGTATCTGTAGGGTAATTTCTTAAAAGTGGAACTGCCTTCTTAAAGGTATGTATTTTTTGAAATTGTTTTAAGTATAACATGATATATGTAAACAACTGTTGTTGAATAAAGTGTTGGATGGATTTTTACATATGTATCTACACCTATAATGAATACCAATGTTAAGATGTAGAACACTATGAGCACCTCCACCTTGACCACTCCCAGTCAATATCTGCCCTCCCAAGAGATAACTGATGCTGTAACTTCTTCTTTTCTTTTCTTTTTTTTAATTTTATTTTTTTGAGAGAGAGTCTCACTCCATCACCCAGGCTGGAGTGCAGTGTCGCAATCACGGCTGACTGCAACCTCAAACTCCTGGGCTCGAGCAATCCTCCTACCTCAACCTCCTGAGTAGCTGGGACTACAGGCACATACCACCATGCCTGGTTAATTAAAAAATTTTTTTGTAGAGATGGGGTCTTCCTGCATTGCCCAGGCTGGTCTTGAACTCCCAGGCTCAAGTGATCCTCCTGCCTCAGCCTCCTAAAGTGTTGGGATCACAGGCGTGAGCTACTATGCCTGGCCTTATTATAACTTTTGTAATCACAAATTTGCTTTGCCTGTTCTTGACCTGTAGAGAAATAGAATTATAGTCTTTTTGGACTGGCTTTTTTAAGGCAAAATTATACCTATGAGTTTCATCTATGGTGTTGCAGTGTCTTGTTTTTCACTGGTGTGAAGTATCATGTTGTAGAGCTATACCACAATTTTGTAATCCATTCACCAGTTTATTACCATTTGAGTTGTTTCCAGTTTGCGTTATTATGAATAAAGCTGCTTTGAACATCCTTGTAAATAAATGTCTTTGGGTAGGTACTTGTATTCATTTCTCCCGAGCAGAATTACTGACTCATAGGGTAAATCTATGCTAGGTCATAGAGTAGGCCTCTGTTTAATTTTAGCAGATATACCCAATGTTTTCCAAAGTGGTCCTATCACTTACACTCCTCTCAGAAATGTATGCCTGTTCCAGTGGCCTTATGTCCTCATCAGTACCTGGAATTTTCCATCTTTTTACATTTTAGCCATTCTGGTGGGTATGCAAATGTATTTCATTATAATTTTAATTTGCATTTCTCTGATGACTAATAATGTTAACACCTTTTCATGTGCTTTTGGATATTTTCTCTTGCAAAGTGTTTATTAGCTCATTCTTATTAGGTGGATTTTTTTTAAAATTTTGATTTGTAAGAGTGCATTATATTCTAGATATGAGTCCTTTGTCAGATACATGTGTTGTAAATGCCTTCTCCCAATCTGTGGCTTTCCTTTCATTCAATTTTTATGAACAGAAATTCTTAATTTTGGCCAGGCACTGTGGCACACAACTGTAGTCCCAGCATTTTGGGAGGCCAAGGTGGGTGGATTGCTTGAGCTCAGTAGTTCAAGACCAGCCTGGTTAATATGGTGAAACCCTGTCTCTACAAAAAAATATTAAAATTAGCCAGGCATGGCAGCATGTGCCTGTAGTCCTAGCTACTTGGGAGGCTGAGGTGGGAGGATCACTTGAGCCCAGGAGGTTGAGGCTGCAGTGAGCCAAGACTGCACTACTGCACTCCAGCCTGAGCAACAGAATGAAATTAAACACTGTGCTGTTTTAACTTAAAATTTAAATTAAAACAAAATTTAATTTAAAACAAAACAAACAAAACGAAAGCAATTAATTGAGGCTGCAGACTTGTGATCCCTAATTCTAGTTCAATATCTCCATTTAATAAATGATGCCTGGGAAGAGAAGGGGTTTGCTCAAGTTCCCACAGCTAGAAACTAGAGAATCACAATTAGAACCAAGGTTTTCCTACTTTCTAGCCTAGATATATTCTAGTTGAGTACAGTCTTTTTTCCTGATAATAAAATTGAGGGTCAGAAAGATTAAGTTACTTGAGGATAATTAACAGCCATTTTTAAAAACCAGTTCATCTGATTTCTGCCTCTTTTCCATGCTATCTCAATTTACTGAACATTATCATTCATTCATTATTCAGTATGTAGGAGTATCTTCTTGTGCCATGTCCTTTGCTGGGTTCTGTTGAAACAGCCATAGACAGGACAGACACTGTCCCTGCCCTCCCTCATATAATTACAATTGTGTAAATGTTATGAAGAAGTATAGAGTAGAAGAAAGAGTATATTGGTTGTGATGCCAGTTAAATGGGAGACTCAGAAGGGGAGTTACTCCCAAAAAGGAGCTTATGTTTCCACCGCTGGAGGAGGGAAACACTCTGAGATATTAGTTTAATTGCTTATTAGGTAGCCTCAACTCACTGGGGACACTGACAGGAAATGGTTTAATTTCTTCCAATAATTCTCAAAGATATTTATATCAATTCCCATTTTTTCCTCTGAGCCATAGTTTCCTTGATGACATCTTGCCTGCTTCCATAATTTTCAGCCACTTTTAGTAATTAGAACAGACTTGTTTCAGTATTTAACACTCTGCTCTATTTAATTTCTTTATGCTCGATTTGAATTACCACCTGGTGTCACTTCCTTTCAGGTTGAATGATTTTCTTTATTATTTCTTATAGGGCAAGTCTTATAGGACTAGCCACAACTTCTCTCAGTCTCTGTTTATCTGGGAATGTCTCTATCTAGCCTTCATTTTTGAAGAATAGTTTTGCTGGAAATAGAATTCTTGGTTGACAGTTTTTTTCCCCTTTAGGATTTTACATGTTATCCTACTGCCCTCTTCCTTCATTGTTTATGATATGAAGTCAGCTGTTATTCTTGTTCCTCTATCTTTGATGAGTCATTTTCCTCTTACAGCTTTTAAGATTTTCTTTGTCTTTCAACAGCTTGACTGTTATGTGCCAGGTTGAATGTCCTTGTGTTTGTCCTATTTGAAGATCATTGAGCTTCCTAGATGTACAGATTAATGTTTTCATCAAACTTGGAAAGTTTTTGGCTATTTTTTTTCCTCAAATATCCCCCCTCCTCCCAATCCTTCTCTCCTTCTGAAATTCCCATTACATACATGTTGGTATATCTGATGATGTCACACAGATCTTTGAGAATCACCTCATTTTTTATTCTTTTTTCTTTATACTGATTGGACAAATTCTATTGATCTGTCTTCAAGTTTTCTAATTGTCTCTTCAGCCCACTCAAATTTGCATTGAACTCCTCTAGTGAAATTTTTTATTTTTTACTTATTGTACTTTTATTCTAGAATTCCATTGCTTTTTAAAATAATCCCTATCTCTTTACTGATATTCCCTATTTTATGAAGCATTGTTGTAATTTTTTTGTTTTTGTTTTTGGTTTGTTTGAGCCTGGGTCTCACTATGTTCCCTAAGCTGGTCTCAAACTCCTGAGCTCAAGCAATCCTTCTGCCTTGGCCTCCCAAAGTGCTGGGATTACAGGTGTGAGCTGCCACAGCTGGCTGCCATATTTTCACTTAGTTCTTTGGACATATTTTTTTTCTTTTTTTTTTTAAATAGAGTAGATGTGCTGTGTGAGACTTGATCTCATGGTTGAGTAACTTCCTTGAAGTCCTTATATGCTAAGTCCAACATCTCACAACATTTATACTGATTTTCACCTCTGTGTATGGTCAATTTTTCTGTTCATTTGCATGTCTGCTTTTTTTTAATTGAAAACTGGACAATTTAGATAATATAGTGTAGCAACTCCTGTGTTTTGGTGTGCCCCTCAGAGGGTGTTTTTTGTTGTTTTTCTTAGTTTATACATTTGTTGTGTGACTTGCCTGGACTAATTCTGCAGAGTTTCTCTTCCATAGTGTGTTGACATTGATGTTTCTGCTCAGTTTTATTTTTTTCTCTTTTACGTTTATTTCTAAGGTTGGTTTTCTAAGGTTTTCACCAAGGTCAATATAGCTTAGAATTTAGTCAATGATTGATCAGATGTGGTAATTAGACACCTCAAGCCAGTAAGACTTCTACCCTTTCTTGATGGACCTGTGTCATCTAAATGGGTTGAAGAACATTCAAAATTCAGGCAATTTACAAGACTGCTCTGACTTTTGTTTTGCTGGGTTTTCTTGTGTCTCCTCTGCATCTCTGCAAGGCTTCTCTGGCTTTTGTTTTCCTGTGTCTCCTCTGCCTCTGTGCAAGGCTTCATGTTCCGCCAGGGTTGAGTAGATGACTGGGGCTTTTGCCAGACTCTCCTGAACTGACACAGCCTTCCAGACCATAAGCGCATCGCCAAAGCCCACTATGGCTATCTGATTCCCTGGATCTCACTGCTAAACTTCCAGCAGGCTTTCTAATCAGCTGTTTGCTCAACCAGTCTTGCAGCCCAGGTAATTGTGATGTTGGCATTCCCAATCAACCTTTCTCCTTGGCCATGGGGTTTTGCTGGCACCACTCCTTACCAAGTCAGCCCCCTCTGGCAGCAAAGCTGCTGGTTTTCACATTTACGCAGCCCTGACAGAACTATTCCCATGGAACTGGAGGAGAGGGATTGGGAATTTCCCCATGGTAACGTGTCACAGACTCTCACTGTTGTTACCCAAGGTTTAATAGTTTTTCTTGAATAAATGCATTTTAATTTATGTTATACCTGTGGTGGATTTCCAGGAATTTGAAATGGTTGTTTTTTACAATTGTGTCCAATTTCATCATTGTTTTTTGGGGAAGAGAATTTGCTGAATTCCTTACTCTGCCATTCCAGAAGTCACAATATAGCCCCATTTGTTTAAAACTTCATCCTTAAGCTCTATTCAAAGTTCTTTCCCCTGATCTCTGGAGCAGACTAGCTTGGTTGCCCTACAGCTCTAGAGACTTCCTTCTTCCCCTTTCTTTTCTAGGCTTTAGCTCCACTGGTGGCATTAGGGCAGGGAGGAGGTGGGAAGAAAAGAGCAAATTTTCTGACCCATTGGGCAAGGTTGTAGCCTCTCTCTGTTGTGCTGTTTCTCTGGCTAATCCACCCTGGCCCCAATAATGTATGCATGGCAGGCATCTATATGCTGACCTCTTAGGGGGTATATGTGGGAATTCTTGAAATACTCTTTTTTGGGGCCTGCCCATTGCCATTTTTTGGAATATCTGAATTAAGTCTAAAATCCACATTCAATAATTCAAATACTCAGGACCCACTATGTGCACAGGATCAGGCCAATTTGGCCCTAATGACAAGCCTACAACATGGCCCCTAGTCTTCATCTTCAAGTTGAGGAAAGTAAGACTCAAACAGGTTAAGGGCTGGGCACAGTGGCTCATGCCTGTAACCTCAGCACTTTGGGTGGCTGATCAGGCAGATTACTTGAGGTCAGGAGTTTGAGACTAGCCTGGCCAACATGGTGAAACCCCGTCTCTAGTAAAAATACAAAAAATTAGCCAGGCATCATGGCACACGCCTCTAGTCCCAGCTACTCAGGGGGATGAGGCAGGAGAAACACTTGAACCTGGAAGGCAGAGGTTGCAGTGAGCCGAGATCGCGCCACTGCACTCTAGGATGGGCGACAGAGCAAGACTCCATTTCAAAAAACCAACCAAACAAACAAACAAAAAAAACCCAAAAAAATAGGTTAAGTAATTTGTCTAAGATCATCAGTCCTAACAAGGAGTCCACATTACTCCGAAGCCTGTGCCCTTAGACTCAAAGTTTTGTCTCCAGATTAAATATTGGGAGTAATTACAGCTCCTGCTTTTCTTCCTCTCAGGTCAGGTTTCGTCCAATACAGTGGAAGACTGGTTCCTCCTCAACTTATTTCATTCTCATCCCTTCGACAATTAAAACACTGTTTCTAGAGTCACACTGTCCCAAGTTTGAATCCCAGTTGTTCTACTTTTGCTTCTATGTGGCCATGGGCAAGTAACTAAACCTCACTGAATCTCAGTGTCTTCATCTGTAAAATGGTTTAATATATTAATAGTAGTATGATTTTATTAGGTAGGGCTGTGTAAAAAACAATCCTAAATCTCAGTGACTTATAACAGCAAAAGTTTATATGTCACTCATGTGACATCTCAAATGTGAGCTGCTTCACATCCCCTTTTTCTTCCAGGACCAAGGCTGAAAGAGCAGCCCCATCTGACACAGACTATTCTCATGAAAGGAAAAATTTCTCTGGTTGAAATACGTAATAACTGTTAATACTACTGCTCAGAAAGACCCCCTGCCAAAAGAAGATCATACAATCAAGCCTGACATCAGTGAGGCTGGAAAGAATGCTCCTCCTACAGGATGCACTGCAGTCGCATGGCAACGGGCGATGATGTGTAATCCTTAACTGGAAAAGCAACTTAATAGTTAGGAACAACAATACCACCTACCAGAGAATAATAGTACCTTCCTTATGCATGTGAGATTAAAATGAAGTGAGGCACATGCAATGCTTAACACAGTATTCTACACTTAATAAAAGGTTTGATAAATGTTAGATGCCATTATTATGATTACCACCTCCTGGTGCTGCTGAAAATTTTTCTCTTCACCGTACTGGGCTAAACCTCACCTGAGAGCAATAAAAGCAGGAGCTGTAATTACTTCCAATATTTAATTTGGAGACAATAAAGCTTTGAGTCTACGAGGAATAGGCTTTGGAGTAATGTGGACTCCTTATTAGGACAGATGATCTTAGACAAGTTATTTAAACTGTTTGAACCTTACTTTCCTCAATTCAAAGATTTGAGACTTGGAACTGTGTTGTAGGCTTGTCATTAGGGCCAAGTTAGCCCAATCCTGTACACATAGTGGGTGCTGAGTATTTGAATTAGTGAATGTGGATTTTAGACTTATTTCAGATAGTCAATGAACTGTATGCATAACATAACCACAATACTGCCTTTTCCATCCTTTGGGTCTCAGCTCAAATATCATCTTCTCAGAGAGACCTTCCCTGACCACCTGATTTAAAGTACCTCCCGTGCCTCCAGTCACTTTTCCCCGTTTTCTTGTCGTTACAACTCTGGTAACGCCCTGAAATTGTCTTGTCCATTCACTGTTACGTAATATCTGTCTCTGCCACTAGAAAGTAAGCGCCATGCAATCCGGATCATGTTTTCTTATTTCCACCTTCTGCCGTGGACCTCTGGCATTCTCGTCTGTAAAACTTAGGGGAGATGGTGAGGAAAGGGAGAAACACGAGGTCTAGCCGGTCCACCCGGGTCTCAAGCCCCGCCCAACTCAGGCCTCGCGTTCCTTCCAGGCTGGGCACCGCCTTTGGTCACCCACGTGGCCCGCAGTAAGGCCCCGCCCTTTGTGGGTGTGGCCTTTCACGGCGTGCGGGCCGTCCACCGGCGGCGAGCCACGTCACACGCACGCAGGCCATGCGCCGCGCCTGTTCTCGCCGCGGGCGGAAAAGGGGCGTGGCCATGCGCGAGGACCCCGTAGCCGCCAGCGCCACCGCCTGAGTCGCCTGCAGGTGGCTGTTCGCGTCTCCCTGCCGTGCAGGCAGCTCGAAAGCCACTCTGTTGTGGGGTCCTCGCTTCCCTTCCACGTCTCCCGGAAGCGGTAGCAGGGCCCCGGCGGGTCGGGGAGGAGGTTTACTCAGCTTGGGCCCCCTCCGGGCCAGCCGCCGAGGGGGCGCGGCCCAGGACGGCGGCTAGGCCGTAGTGCAGCCTCTCCGGAGTCCTCAGGTGAGGCGGAGGCGAGGGCCCACTGGACGAGACGGGGGTGTTAACGGTCCTAGGAGCGGGGGCGCAGTCCCTTCAGTGGAGACCCTGGTCTCTCCGTTTTCTTTCGGGTCGCGCTCATCTTCGCCCTGTTAGGGGCTGAGGAGGGTAACTGGAGAGACTCCTTGGGCTTCAGCCGACGTCGTTTACTGCCCTCCTCTGTCTTCCTTTCTCCTGACCCCTGCCTGGCCTGGCCGTTCTTCCCGCACGGAACGAGATGGGTGGGGAGCAGAGTGGGGGTCTCTGCTCGCTTACCTGAGATTCCCCAAACTGACAGACCCCAGGGCTCTACGGACTGGGCCTGACCGACTGACCTCCAGCCTCCCTCCCTCTGTGCTGACGCCTGGCCTTCGAAGCAGGCCCTGCCGCAGCCCTTTGCAGACCCATCCCCATCCCACGCACTCTCTGCCCCTGGGCAGTGTCTGGGGAATTGACGGGTGCCTCTGAAGTCCTTCGTGTCTTTGAGATGTTTGCCCAGGGCCCATCTAAGTATTTAATTAGGTAATCGACATTAATTGCAACATTAGTAGCAGTTGCATGGTATGTTTTAAAGCCCAATTAATTTTGAAATGGGAGGCAAGATATAAAGAATTAATGAGCGTGTTTTGATTTTTTATTACTTTTTTTGTAGAGACAGGGTCTTGCCATGTTGCCCAGGCTGGTCTCAAACTCCTGGCCTCAAGTGGTCCTCCCCGCTCGGCCTCCCAGTGTGTTGGGATTACAGGCGTGAGCCACAGTGCCTGGCCTGTATGGTGTTCTGTATGTTACAGAGCATTTCATCTCCATTTTCATTTGATTTTTTATAAACTCCGAAATACATAGGCATTTAATAGTCACATGTGTAAAGAACAGATTTAAAGGATGAGTTTCTTCTTGAGGTTTTTTAGATTTTGAGCTGTATGGTATAGGGAGGCAAGGGTTAAAAGTAGGTTTGGCACTAGGGTAACTTAGACTTGAGTATCTGAGCTGCTGTCTAAACTCTGGGATCTTTCTAAACCCTTTCCACATTTGCTTTAAAAAAAGGATATTGCTGTTTACCACATAACGTGGCTGTGAAAATTACATGTGATAAAAGATACATGTGTACCTGTGTACAGCATCAGTCATATAAAAATTCCACTCAGCAGTATTTGTGAGTGCCTACTGTGTGCTAGACTCTGGGAATTCATTGGTGAGCAAAACAGACATAATCTTTATCCAGCCACTGCCCCACTTTCCCCAAGAACAAGAAGCATGTTAAAAAAATACGTAATTATAAAACATGAAGGACTGTGAAGCAAAAGAATAGGGTATGTACAGATAATGATTGACCTAACTTAGCTGGAAAGGAGAACTCTGAAGCAAATGACATTTGAGTGAAGACCAAGAACAAGAAAGTTAACCATGAAAGAGTTCTTGGCAAAAGGAACAACGTGCACATTCTAGAAATGGTTGTGGACTTTATTATAGAGCCCTTCTGTATCTATATCTTCATCATTACTTTGATGTATTGTGGCACACAATAAGTACTCAAATATATGTATGGAATGAGTGGTTATGCAATTTTGGTTTTTATTCTGGACTTAGCTTAATGTGCACATGGTAGGTATTGAGTATGTGAATTATTGAACATGTACTTTAGATAAATTATGTGCACACCTAAATTATATGTAATAGTGCTGCAGTTTAACATTAAGATAGCTTTTGTATTTAACGGAAACGTTTTTTCAAGTTTTAGCACTTTAAAACAAACTTCAGTGAATTTTATTTTTATTTGGTTGTACTGGAGTTTTGCCATATTGGTTATTTGCTGTTTGGATGTTGTTTTAATTTGCTGCTGTAGCAAAGTACCACAGATTGATTGGCTGGGCCAACAGAAATTTATTTTCTCTCAGTTCTGAAGACTTGAAGTCCAAGATCAAGGTATTGGCAGAGTTGGTTTCTTCTGAGGCGTACTTCTTTTGCTTGCAGATGTCTGCCTTCTCCCTCTGTCCTTTCTGTATGCCTGTTTGTGTTGAAATTTCCTCCTCTTAGAAGGACATGCCAATTATATTTGATTAGGGGCCACCCTGACGACTCATTTTAATTATCCTTTTAGAGATCCTATCTCCAAAAACAGTCACATTCTGAGGTCTGGGGGTTAGGACTTAAATAAAGGAATTTGGAGGGATGCAGTTCAGCCCATAACAGATGCTTTTGCTACATTAAGATTTGCCCGGCCGGGCGCGGTGGCTCACGCCTGTAATCCCCGCACTTTGGGAGGCCGAGGCGGGTGGATCATGAGGTCAGGAGATCGAGACCATCCCGGCTAACAAGGTGAAACCCCGTCTCTACTAGAAATACAAAAAATTAGCCGGGCGCGGTGGCGGGTGCCTGTAGTCCCAGCTACTCGGGAGGCTGAGGCAGGAGAGTGGCGTGAACCCGGGAAGCGGAGCTTGCAGTGAGCCGAGATTGCGCCACTGCAGTCCGCAGTCCGGCCTGGGCGACAGAGCGAGACTCCGTCTCAAAAAAAAAAAAAAAAAAAAAAGATTTGCCCTTCTTTGAAATAGTAATAATAAAAACAGTAATTTATTATTACTTTGAAATAGTAATAATAAATAATAAAAATAGAAATAATAATAAAAACAGTAGTGGTAGTTGTAATAATGGTAATAGCAGCCACTAAAATGAGTGCTTATTATGTGCCAAGCATTTTGCAAAGTGTTTTTTATATATTATTTCATCATAAAACCATCCTATAAGGTAAGTACACTTTCCCCCCCATTTTCTAGATAAGATTTCTCAGCCTCATTTAAGTAGTTTTCTCAAGGTTACCTAGCTAGTAAAAGGTAGGGTTAGGATTTCAACCCAGGATTGCCTGACTCCAGAGTCTGGTCTTAACCATTTATCATACTCTGCCACTATGCCACACTGATCATTTTATGTCCTTTTTACAGGTTTGCCAATAGGATTATCCTGCTGCCATCATGTCTTGGTTTGTTGATCTTGCTGGAAAGGCAGAAGATCTTTTAAACCGAGTTGATCAAGGGGCTGCAACAGCTCTCAGTAGGAAAGACAATGCCAGCAACATATATAGCAAAAATACTGACTATACTGAACTTCACCAGCAAAATACAGATTTGATATATCAGACTGGACCTAAATCTACGTATATTTCATCAGCAGCTGATAACATTCGAAATCAAAAAGCCACCATCTTAGCTGGCACTGCAAATGTGAAAGTAGGATCTCGGACACCAGTAGAGGCCTCTCATCCTGTTGAAAATGCATCTGTTCCTAGGCCTTCATCCCATTTTGTGCGAAGAAAAAAGTCAGAACCTGATGATGAGCTGCTGTTTGATTTTCTTAATAGTTCACAGAAGGAGCCTACCGGGAGGGTGGAAATCAGAAAGGAAAAAGGCAAGACACCTGTCTTTCAGAGCTCTCAGACATCAAGTGTCAGTTCTGTGAACCCCAGTGTAACCACCATCAAAACCATTGAAGAAAATTCTTTTGGGAGCCAAACCCACGGTAGTTAATCAGTCCTCTTATTTCTTTTAGAGTTAAGCAAATTGAATGTGTCATCATATGATCCGATGGTGTTTCTCATCTACTGTTATGGAATCTGTCTCCACTGGTGTAAGGGCAGACTCTCTGCAAATGTGTGGTGTAAACAAGGGAGACATCATTGACTACTATTAGTCAATAGACAGTTGTAGCAGGGACTTCATGTTGTCTGGAGGGCAACTTCACCCACTCAGCATCTAACAAAGTATTTCAAATTTGTTTCTCTAAGACATTTTAAGATTAAAAAAAGAAAATTTTGAAATCTGAAAGAAAACATGTCAGTTTGGATCGGGGACTATCCCAGTTGATATCTTTTTGTTACTAGGATTATAAAAATGACAGGAGGCTGTACTTCACGTATTTTCTGGGTTGTGTTTTTTGTGTGTTTTTCCCCCCACATCCTCCACAAATAAAGCTGAGAGACTGAACTTTGATCCAAGTTGAAGAGTTGAAGGCATTGACCTAGTAGTGAAGCAAGAGCTTAGAACTCTTGTTTTCAATTGTTTAATTCCCTCTGAGATTACCTCTACAAGTACACCTTCTTTCTTGTGAAATGAGATTAACGTGGTAAATGTGGCTAATTCAAGTACCTACTAACTGTTTTAAAATAGCTATAGGCTGGGCGTGGTGGCTTACACCTGTAATCCGAGCACTTTGGAACGCTGAGGCAGGCAGAGCACTCGTGCCCAGGAGTTTGAGACCAGCCTAAACAACATAGCAAAACTTTGTCTCTACAAAAAATACAAAAATTAGCCAGGCACAGTGGTGCATGCCTGTAGTCTCAGCTACTTGGGAGGCTGAGGCGGGAGAATTGATTGAGCTCAGGAGGTCGAGGTTGCAGTGAGCCGAGATTGTACCACTACACTCCAGCCTGGGCCGTAGAATGAGACGCTGTCTCCAAAGATAAAAATAGAAAAAAGGCAAAAAACTTGATAGTAGGTTCTTGCAGGGATTCTTTTGTTGTTTTGAGACAGGGTCTTGCTCTATCGCCGAGGCTTAAGTGCCGTGATGCTATCACAGCTCGCACTACCTTTGACCTCCCCAGGCTCAAGCGATCCTCCTGCCTCAGCCTCCTGAGTAGCTGGAACTATAGGTGCACACCACTGTGCCCAGCTAATTTTAAAAAATTATTTTTAATAGAAACAGTGTCTCACTGTGTTGCTCTGGCTGGTCTTGAGCTCAAGTGATCCTCCTACTTTGACCTCCCACAGCATTGGGATTATGGGCATGATCTACCGTGGCCTGGCCATAGGGATTTTTTTTTTTTTTTCTTTTTTGAGACGGAGTCTCACTCTGTCACCCAGGCTGGAGTGCAGTGGCCTGATCTTGGCTCACTGCAAGCTCCACCTCCTGGGTTCATGCCATTCTCCTGCCTCAGCCTCCCAAGTAGCTGGGACTACAGGCGCCTGCCATCACGCCTGGCTAATTTTTTTTTTTTTTTTGTATTTTTAGTAGAGACAGGGTTTCACTGTTAGCCAGGAGGCTCTTGATCTCCTGACCTTGTGATCCGCCCGCCTCGGCCTCCCAAAGTGCTGGGATTACAGGCGTGAGCCACTGTGCCTGGCCTTTTTTAATGTTTTTATTTATTTATTTATTTATTTTTTTGTGAGACGGAGTCTCGCTTTGTCGCCCAGGCTGGAGTGCAGTGACGCGATCTTAGCTCACTGCAACCTCCACCTCCTGGGTTCAAGCGATTCTCCATTTCAGCCTCCCGAGTAGCTGGGACTATAGGTGTGCACCACCACCCTTGGCTAATTTTTGTATTTTTTGGTAGAGATAGGGTTTCATCACGTTGGCCAGGCTGGTCTTGAACTCCGGACCTCAAGTCATCTGCCCACCTTGGCCTCCCAAAGTGCTGAGATTACAGGCGTGAGCCACCACACCTGGCCAGGGATTCTTTATAGAGTTGATTATTGATGGGAGATTGTCATGTTCTTGGATGTTATAGCTTCTTTCATTGTCTTGGCTGTTAGTGAATAAAATCTTTCTTGTATTTTCAAGACAAAAACTTGTATAGAAGAAGACGTTTTGGGTTGTGAAAATAGGATCAGGCAGTAGCAGTTGATTAATATGTTCACATATTCCAAAATTTCTTCTCAGCTATCTTTCAATTAATTACACAAAGAACCTACTAGGTGCAAGGATATGGAAGTGTCCAGTGGGTGAGCTAGACATGTAAACAGATAATTTACTTGTGGTCTAGTAAATGTAGCAATTAAGTATGGTCAGAGTGTTGTGGAAGTATGAAGGAGGAAGTAACTAATTGCCTAGGGTATTCAGAAAGGATTCACAGAGGGTCTGTATTTTTAGCTGGGTCTTAAAGAATGAACAGGAGTTTGCCAGGTAAAAAGTTAGAGACAGCATTCCATGCAGAGAGAACAGACTCTAAGAGGCTAGTAGAGTAGAAAACATTGTAACAAAGTTGGAAACACTGAGTGAGTTGGAGGGTGATGAAGAAAATGTAGCTAGCAAACAAAGTTGGGACCTGTTTGTGAAGGCCCTTGTGTCATACTGTTTATGCAATTAAACCCATTACTTCTATAATCATTGTTAAAGATTGATTCCTGAACAACAGGCTTTAGAATCGCTTGTGTGTTGTTAATTTAAAAATGAATTATTGAGTGCCTTCCCAGGCTTCCTGAATCGTTATTTTCTGGGGATGGAGCCAGGGCATCTGATTTTGTTGTTGTTGTTCTGTGGGTGGTTCTTAGCCAATAAAAGTTGAAAGTGGCTGCCATAGCCAGTGTGATGCTAGTAGAGATCTTTAAGTCAAGAGTTGACATAGCTTATTTTTGTACTTTTAAAGAAAGCAGCTTGCATTTAATTAGAAAGAATGGACCTAAAGGGAACCTCGTTGTCAGGGAAATGAATTAGAACTGGTTATAATACACAGGAGTTATAAAAATTGTTTCTCTTGGGTAGGACCTCTCAACCTTGAGACTTGGTGTTTTGGGCCAAATTAATTCAATAGTGTGGGAAGCCCTCCTGTTCTTTGTAGGATGTTTAGCAGCATCTCTGGCCTCTTAGCCCATTAGGTGGTAGTAGCACCCCCAATTGTGACAACCAACAATGTCTCCACAAATTGCCAAATGTCCCTTGCAGGGCAAAATCATCCCAGTTGAGAACCAATGTCCTGAGATGCCTAGAAATGTGTAGAAATGGGATTGCTGAGCTGTAGGGTTTAACAATGTTCAGCTACACTAGTAATGCCAAAGTGGCTTTCTGCAGAGGTTGTGCCAATTTATACTCTAACCAGCTATGGTTAAGAACTTCTTTTGCTCCACATTTTCACCAACATTTTTTATTTTCAATTTGACTTTTTACTTTTTGCTGATCAGATTTGTCGTTGATATTATTTCCTTCATTACTAGTGTGGTTGAAGATCTTTTCAGATATTTGACTATTGAACTTTCATTTTCTGGAAGTGTCAAGTCTTTTTTATCAACTTTTTTCTGTTAGATTATTTGTCTTTTTTCTTCTTGATTCATAGACATTCTTTATATATTCTAAATTCTAAATTCTTTTCCTCCTCCAGTTTTACCTTGGTTTTTCCCCTCCCCTCTGTCTATGGCATCTCAATGAATAGAAGTTCTTAATGTAGATGGCATGTGGCTTGTGTTTTTTGTGTCTTGGAAAATCTTTCCTTACACTGAGATCATAAAGATATTTTTCTGTATTGTCTTCTATAGTGTGCGATAGGCATTCAATTCCCTTTTTCTTTTTTTTTTTTTTGCCATAGGGAAATCAGCTATTCTAGCATCATTTATTGAACAGAGTCTCTTGTCCCTACCAATTTGCAGTACCACCTGTCTTATATATCAAGTATTCATTAGTGTGTTTCTGGCCACTTAATTCTGTTTTATTGGTTTATTTGTGTATCCTTGTGCCAGTGCCACCCTGTTTTAATTAATGTAGTTTTATGTGTCTTGATAACTGATAGGGTAGCTTCTTCCACCTTGTGGTCTTTCTTCAGAAATGTTTTGGCTGTTCATGGACCTTTCCACTCCTGTATGCATTTTAGGATTTGCTCATCAAGTTTCACAGAAACTCTGTTGGTCTTTTTATTGGGAATTAATTGCTTCTATATAGACAGTTTGGTGAGAGTCAGCACTTTTGCTATACTGAGTTTTCTTATCCACCAATGGGATATAATTTCAACATATTTTGTAGTGTCTTTCATTAAAATTTTATTGTTTTCTCCATAAAGATCTTATATACTTTATGTTAGATTTATTCCTAAGTAGTTTATATTTTTTGAAACAATTATATGTGGTATTCCTTAAAATGTTTTGCTTTGTTATTGCTGGTGTATTTTTTGTTGTTTTTTTGTGTGTACATACATAGCAATCTAGATGGCTCTTAATCTTCATGTTTTTCTGGACATAAATTTAGATTTTCAACAACACAATTATCTGTGTATAATGACAGTTTGTTTCTTCTTAGCCCTTTTATCTTTTAAAAAATCCTTTTCTTCATTGGCTAGGACTCAACGACCAGTTTTGTATCTTGTTCTTTGTCTTAGAGGGAATACTTTGTTTCACTAAGTATGATTTTACATTAGGTTTTTTATAGTTTTTTTATTTGTTTAAGGAAGTTCCCATAAATGTCTAGTTTGAGGTTTTATCATGTTGAATTTTAGCAATGTTTTTTCCTCTACCCTTGGAGATAATATAGTTTTTCTTCTTTAATATTAATATAGTATACAAATCAATTTATTTATTTTTAATAAATCAATTTATTTATTTATTTTTAATAGAGATGGGATCTTGCTGTGTTACCCAGGCTGGAATGTAGCGGCTATTCACATGTATGATCATAGTGCACTGCAGCCCCAAACTCCTGGCTCAAGTAATCCTCCCACTTCCTCCTCCCAACTCACTGGGATGCAGGTGCACACCACTGCACCTAGCTCCAGCTCCAGTTGATACTTTTAAATATAAAACCAAACTTAACTTTCAGTTTGCTAATATTCCCTTTAGGATTTTTGCATTTATTTAGTTAATTTAATTTTTATTTATTATTATTTTTATTATTTTGAGACAGGATCTCACTCTGTCGCCCAGGTTGGAGTGCAGTGGTGGGATCTCAGCTCACTGCAGCCTCAATCTCCCAGGCTCAAGCAATCCTCCCACCTCAGCCTCAATAGTAACTGAGACTGCAGGCACACACCGCCATGCGTAGGTAATTTTGTTCATTTTTTGTAGAGACAAGGTCTCACTATATTGCCAGGCTAGTCTTGAACTCCTGAGCTGAAGGGATCCTCCTGTGTTGGCCTCCCAAGTGCTAGGATTACAGGCATGAGCCACCACACCTAACCTTTTGCATTTATTTTATAAGCGAAATCGGCCTGCGATATTGTTAGGTTTTAGTATTACAGTTATATTAGCCTTATCAAATGAATTGGAAAGTATTCCTTCTTTTTCTGTTGTGTTAATTAATTGGTGTAAGACTGAGATTATTTATTTCCTGAACGTTTGCTAGAACTCTGTGCTAAAACCATCAGGACCTGGGGTATTCTTACTGAAAGGTTTTAACTATTGATTCAGTTGGCTTTTCATTTCTTCTTGAATCTGTTTTTGGTAAGTTACGTTTTTTTCCCCAAGAATTTGTCAATGTCATACACATTTTGAGGGGTTATACTTATTTAATTTCAGGAAAATAATGTAGGGGTCACAGCTGAAACTTTCAACGCAACCAAACATTAGTTATTCATACCAACCCTGCAAAAACCAATGCTTGATCATGCATACTGTGTGAAGAATATCAGTATCTGGCATATATTGAATCCTTACCCTGTTTCTGGCACTGCACTAAATGCCTGCTTTTTAAAACAGCTTTAATGAAGTATAATTCACATGCAATAAACTGCACGATAAGTATTGTGCAATTGATAGATTTCAGTATCTTGTACATTTTAAAATTTGATGGCCTAATGTTGTTTATATCTGTCCCAGGGAACCACTTTTGGTTATGCTGATCCTCTCTAGTATGTTTATTTCCTCTTTTGTTAATTTTTGCTTTCTTTGGGTTTGTTCTGCTGTTTTTATAGTTTTTAAGATGGATATACAACTCATTAGTTTTCTTCCTTCCTGCCTTTCATCTTTAATGTAACCAAGGCTATAAATTTCCTTCAGAATACTGCCTTAGATATCATCCCACATTTGGATATATACTTAATTTATTTTTTGAATTTTAATATTTTATTTTTTATATTATTTAAAAATTTTTTGTAGAGACGAGTTCTCACTGTATTGCCCGGGCTGGTCTCCAACTCCTGGACTCAGGCAGTCCTTTCTCCTCGGCCTCCCAAAGTGCTGGGATTACAGGCGTGAGCCACCACGCCTGGCCTACTTCATTTCTTTTTAAAATCTTTATTTTAGAAATTTCAAACATACCAAAATAGAACGTAATGACCTCCTATTATCCAACTACAGTAATCACTCATGGCCATTCATGTTTCATTTATACCCTCCCATTTCCCATCACTTTCTTCACCTGCACCCTCCGCACAATTAATTTGAAGCAAATCACAGATCTTATATCATTTTTTCTATAAACATTTCATTTTCTTACTCTAAAAATACTCTAAAAGCAAATGTTCACACCATTATCACCTTAAAAATGTAATAATTTCTTTCTTTTTTTTTTTTTTTTTTTGAGACAGGGTCTCACCTTTTGCCCAGGCTGGAGTGCAGTGGTGCAGTCTCAGCTCATTGCAACCTCTGCCTCCCAGGTTCAAGCGATTCTCCTGCCTCAGCCTCCGAAGTAGCTGAGATTACAGGCACCCGCCACCATGCCCAGCTAATTTTTAGTAGAAACAGGGTTTCACTATGTTGGCCAGGCTGGTCTCAAACTCCTGACCTTGTGATCCGCCTGCCTCAGCCTCCCAAAGTGCTGGGATTACAGGCGTGAGCCACCACGCCCTGCCAACACTCCCATTTTTAAGTCACGTCTTAGGTGCCCATTCCCTACCCCACTTGATTATTAGCTTTTTGTGGTTATTTTTTCTTTTAGGTAAAATGTACATATATTAAGATGCACACAAATCTTAGCTATATGACGAATGGCAATACCTGTGTAACCCACACCTTTACCGTGTTATAGATTTCCTTTGCCCCAGAAAGTTCCTCATGTTCCTTTCCACTTAATCTCCTCACCCCGTCCCTGAAAGCACCCAGTGCTCTGATTTTTCTCTCCTTAGTTTTGCTTGTTCTAAAACTTCATATAAATTGAATCATATAGTATATATACTTTCTAATCTGGCTTCTTTTACTGAACTGTTAGTGAGATTCATCCATGTTACTGTTCTTTTTTTATTCTGTTTTATTATGTAGTACTCTATTATACGGCTGTACCACAGTTTATCTATTCTCTTTTATGGACATTGGGTTTGTTTCCAGTTTTGGATTATTGTGAATAAAACTGCTATAAACATTTTTGTACTTGCTTTTTTGTGGGCAAATGTTTTCATTTCTCTTGTATAAATACCTAGGAGTGGAATTGCTGGGTGAAACGGTAGCTGCATGTTTAATTTCATAAGAAATTGTAAAACCTTTTCCCCCAGTGATTGTACCATTTTATAGTCCCACCAGCAGTGAGAGGTCTAGTTGCTCTGCAGTGTCACCAACATTTGGTGTTTTTAATTTTAGCCATTCTAGGGGGTGTCTGTTGGTTCTCATTGTGATTTTAATTTGCATTTCCTTGATGACTAAACATGTTCAGAACTTTTTCATTTGATTATTGATATTTGTTTATATAACCTTATAAAGTATCAAGTCTTTTACCCATATACTGATTGTTTTAGTCAGTTTTATTATTTAGATATATAGTTCATTTTCATCACATAATTTTTAGAGTAATTTAAAAGTATACTTGCATTATATTTAGTAACAAAAACAAGATTAATCTGAATTCATGTGTCTCTATCTCTTTGGGTAAGACATGTTAGATTCCAGTTTGATTAAAAAAAAAAAACAAAAAACCTTGTAGTGACCTGTTATTACTCTTCTTGCCTTGAAACCTGCAGCTACTCTATTGTGCCTTCCCAATTTTTCAGTATTTGAGACTTCTCCTGGTTTTTTTTCCCAAAAGCATTTTGGAGACAAAAGGAAATCCAAACCCATTTTACCTGAACCCAACCACTCACATGATCTCTGATGTTCTCCCCAGAATGGTGTTGTACTGTCTGTTGTCATTCATTCAGTGTATCCAGACTTGAGTATCCTTAGAGGTCCATATGCCCCATTTATGAGAATGAAATTTAATCAGAGGGAAGACTATTGAAAATTTGTTTATTTATGTATTTTTTTTGAGATGGAGTCTCGCTCTGTTGCCCAGGCTGGAGTGCAGTGGTGCAATCTTGGCTCACTGCAACACCTTTGGCCTCCCAGGCTCAAGTGATTCTCCTGCCTCAGCCTCCTGAGTAGCTGGCACTACAGGTGTGTGCCACCACACCTGGCTAATTTTTGTATTTTTGGTAGAGATGGGGTTTCACCGTGTTGGTCAGGCTGGTCTCAAACTCCTGACCTCAAGTGATCTCCCTGCCTCGGCCTCCCAAAATGCTGGGATTACAGGCATGAGCCACCGCGCCTAGCTGAGAATTTACTTTTTATGGTGTTTTAGCTGTAGCAGTCAACTTGAGCATCCTACCAAAGCAAGTTGTTAATGCATATGTGATGAACACGCCAATGTAACAAAAACGTATTCTTTTTTTTACAGAAGCTGCCAGTAACTCAGATTCTAGCCATGAAGGTCAAGAGGAATCTTCAAAGGAAAATGTGTCATCAAATGCTGCCTGCCCTGACCACACCCCAACACCTAATGATGATGGCAAATCACATGAACTGTCTAACCTTCGACTGGAGAATCAGCTGCTGAGGAATGAAGTTCAGTCTTTAAATCAAGAAATGGCCTCGTTACTCCAAAGATCCAAAGAGACTCAAGAAGGTAGAGGCTTAAATTGTTCAGGATTAGGAATTTAACTTTTAAAAATAAACTTAAGGCTGGACGCAGTGGCTCGTGCCTGTAATCCCAGCACTTTGGGAGGCCGAGGCGGGCGGATTGCCTGAGGTCAGGAGTTCAAGACCAGTCTGGCCAACATGGTGAAACCCTGTGTCTACTAAAAATACAAAAAAATTAGTCAGATGTGGTTGCAGGCACCTGTAATCCCAGCCACTCAGGAGGCTGAGGCAGGGGAGTTGCTTGAACCAGGGAGGTGGAGGTTGCAGTGAACCGAGATTGCACTACTGCACTCTAGTCTGGGCAGCAGAGCAAGACTCTATCTCAAAAATAAATAAATAAAAATAAAATAAAATAATAAACTTAAAAACTTTAAACTGTTAGAAATATTTACATTTAAACTGTGAGAAATTAGATGCGACTTGTAAAATGATATTTTCATAGAAAAACTGCCCAGATTTGGAAATGGGACCAGTCATCCTCCCACCAACCCAAAACATAAGAGTATTCGCTTCTTTGGTCATCCTTTAAGAACCATGAAATTGAAGAACTGAGAGGAACAAACTAGTAGTAGTCTAGTTCATTCATTTATTCTGAACTTTCAAGGGAAGCTGTTCCATTAAACAAAGTAGTAGGCACTAATAGAGTTGCAGTGTTGCTGCTCTAGGGCATATAAAAGGTACATGGAATTCAGTTCAGTGCCCTTGGGAATTGTGCAGTGAGGTGGCCCTGGAGTAGAAAACCTCAAGTTCCTCAGAAATAGGTAATTAAGAAGGAAATAATCTCATTATGGAGGTAGTGACTGAGGAAGATGTGAATGTTATTGTAAGTGTGGCTGAGAAGAAAACGAGTGACAAAATTGCTGCCTTGGTTCCTGGGGCTAATTAGAAAGGAGTGAGGGGATGGTGGGAAAAGTTTTGCCAAGCCATGGATAGAGCCTAGAAGAGAGGAAAGGGAAGATAGTTGAAGACTCACTAAGCTAGGCGTGGTGGCTCACGCCTGTAATCCCAACACTTTGGGAGGCCGAGGCGGGCGGATCACAAGGTCAGGAGTTCAAGACCAGTCTGGCCAACATGGTGAAACCCGTCTCTACTAAAAATACAAAAAAATTAGCTGGGCATGGTGGCGCGTGCCTGTTATTCCAGCTACTCAGGAGGCTGAGGGAGGAGAATTGCCTGAACCCAGACCCAGGACCCAGGAGGTGGAGGTTGCAGTGAGCCGAGATCGTGCCACTGCATTCCAGCCTGAGCTACAGAGCGAGACTCGTCTCAACAACAACAACAACAACAACAAAAACAAAGTACTCACTAGTCAGGCTGACTTTAGAAAAAGCTTTACTTTACCCACACTAATTTAGACATAGAAATAGAGCTGTTTGGCCAGGCACAGTGAGTCACGCCTGTAATCCCAGCGCTTTGGAAGGCTGAGATGGGAAAATTGCTGAAGCCAGGAGTTCAATAACAGCATGGGCAACAGAGTGAGACCCCTGGGCTACAAAAATCAATTTTTTTTTGTTTTAAATTAGCTGAATATGGTGGTGTACACCTGTAGGCTGAGCTACTTTGGAGACTGAGGTGGGAGGATTGCTTGAGCCCAGGAGTTGGAGGTTGCAGTGAGTCATGGGCCATGATCATGCCACTGCACTCCAGCCGGGGCAACAGAGTGAGGCTCTGTCTCATGTTTTTGGGTTTTTTTTTTTTTCTTTAAGAAAGGTGTGTCTCACTGGAAAAAAAAAAAAAGCTTTGAGACCCTATAAAGTTTGATTCAGTATTTTTAAAATGTTGTGGTGGCTAACTGCAATTACATATGGTATGTGAGGGTATGGAAATGCCATTGTATTCTGAAATAGAGCACTACTTTGCTCTTTTTGCATTGATTTCCTAGGTCAAAAGAATAACATCTTTTTGCAACAGTAATTGAAAGCAATAGATTCTTTTCTGTGTTTAGGTTTTGTTTTGTTCTTACTAGGATGTACCTTTGATTTGGATTTGCATTCCTTTCCCTGTCACTAGCAGAACTTTACAAAATATACTCTGCTATCTATTAATACTAGTTTCGGCTCCCAGATGCTTTATCATATAGAAACAGCATTGTAGAAGAGCAGCTAGCTTCACGCCCCTTTCTAATCAATTAACTATAATCTAGCTGTGAATATTGCCCTTGAAAAGTGGATGACCCTTTGGGGCAAAGAAAATTGAAGACGTGTAAGTTCCCAATTTTGTCAATAAGGAAAGTACTAAAGGCACTCAAAGTAGAAACTGTACGTGCTCTGAGAAAAATGTGTTTGGTTTTGCTTGTATAGAGAAATTTAAATTTTTTAATAGAATTAAACAAAGCAAGAGCAAGAGTTGAAAAGTGGAATGCTGACCATTCAAAGAGTGATCGAATGACTCGAGGACTCCGAGCCCAAGTAGATGACCTGACTGAAGCTGTGGCTGCAAAGGATTCCCAGCTGGCTGTACTGAAAGTGAGACTCCAGGAAGCTGACCAGCTACTGAGTACTCGCACAGAAGCATTAGAAGCCTTACAGAGTGAAAAATCACGGTAGGTGATTCTATGAATAATGAAAAAAATGAGCAAGTAATGGTAAACATTGTAGTGTATCCACTTATGAAACTTAGCTTTCTTGGAAATTTACAAGAGGGAATATTTCTTTTGGTAGTGTTAGAAATGTGTATGATTAAAATGGATTCATTGGCTGGGCGTGGTGGCTCAAGCCTGTAATCCTAGCACTTTGGGAAGCCGAGGCAGGTGGATCACCTGAGGTTGGGAGTTCGAGACCAGCCTGACCAACATGGAGAAACCCCGTCTCTACTAAAAATACAGAAAAAAAATTAGCCGGGGGTGGTGGCACATGCCTGTAATCCCAGCTACTCAGGAGGCGAGGCAGCAGAATCACTTGAACCCAGGAGGTGGAGGTTGCAGTGAGCTGAGATTGTGCCATTGCACTCCAGCCTGGGCAAAAAGAGCGAAACTCCATCTCAACAACAACAACATAAAATGGATTCATTGTTTGAACCTTGAGATGCATTGTTAGCAAATTCTGAATTTAAAAGCATTTGTTGTGTCATTAATCTTTCATTATACGGTATGTACTTAATATTTGGATGCCTAAAAATGTAGATTATGTTCCATTAGAAAGGAAAGATTTATCTAAGAATATTTCAGTCAAATTATCTTTTTTGTGCTTGACTAAAGCTGACGCTCTAAAAATTATTCTGCCTTATCACTTGTACACTGTAGACATGAGTTATTTCACATGATGCATTTTCCTTTAGAATAATGCAGGATCAAAGTGAAGGTAACAGCCTGCAGAATCAAGCTCTGCAGACTTTTCAGGAGAGACTGCATGAAGCGGATGCCACTCTGAAGAGAGAGCAGGAGAGCTATAAACAGATGCAGGTTAGAATGAGAGACAGCAGATTCCTATTGTTACTTGGACACGGAAAAAATGACTTTATGCTGTTTCATAGCACATTAACTGTCTAATATAATTCTGCAATGCATTTCAGAAAATTCTGTTTCTGTGACAAAAATCAGATATTTGAAAATTTAGCTTGATCCTTGCTAAATGTATTTAATTTTATGTGTTGAGAGACAATTAAAATAGTTAATGTGCATTAGAGATATACATCTTTTACTTAATTTTTGCAACAATCATTGTCATTATTTGATTAAATGCTAATGGTTGGGGGATCGTATTTGTTTTTTATTAATTTAAGTTTTTCTGATTCCAGATTAATCTGGCTCATTTATTTCAGGAGAAAATTGTATGTAATATGTAAAGAGTTTTACTCTTAGATGAATATTTGCATTTAGTTCAGTCCCAGCCCTGTCTACACGTGGGAATCACTTGTGTGATACCTTGTGCTGTCTGAGCTCCATATGCAGTCACATTCCATTGTATGAGGTAGGGACTAGGTATTGACACTTTGGTTTTAGAAGGTTCACAGGTGTATCTAATGAGCAGTCAGGGTTGCAAACCACTGGTCTGGGCTAGCTTTTCAACAGGTGAAAGTAATTCAGTCCTGAAAGTAAATATCAGGTAGTGTGTGTCTCTTAATTTTAACACAATATATCCAAAGTATTAATTATTTCAATATGTAGTCAATATTAAAAGTTATTAATGAGATATTTTACATTATTTTTTGAATACTGGTTCTTTAAAATATGGTGTAATTTACACCTATTTATTTACTTATTAAATTGGAAACAGTTGATCAGCTAGTATCAGACCAGACCTAGTATCCAAGTGACCAGGTTCACCTGGGAAATTTCTTAAAAAACAGATTCCCAGACCCATCTTGAAAATTCCAGTTTAGTAAGCTTGGGAAAGGCCTTGGATGGCTATATTTTTAACAAACTTCCTGGTTGATTTTAATGCATTGCCATGTTTGGGAGTTACAACTTTACATTTCCTATACTTTAGCTCCTAACAAATTAAGAATTTTTTCCCATCCCTACTATGTTGTTTGGCTGAGCTAATAAATCCCATAAGATATCCGAATGGATGGTTGTAAAATATGTTTCAAAGCTAAATGATATCATTAATTATGATATAAAAATTTGTCACAGAGCGAGTTTGCTGCACGCCTTAATAAAGTGGAAATGGAACGTCAGAATTTAGCAGAAGCAATTACACTGGCCGAAAGAAAATACTCAGATGAGAAGAAGAGGGTTGATGAACTGCAGCAGCAAGTCAAGCTGTATAAGTTGAACTTGGAGTCCTCTAAGCAGGAATTAATTGACTACAAGCAAAAAGCTACTAGAATACTGCAAGTAAGCATGAAATGTACACTTTTGGATGTTAAGATGTGCAAGTTAACTGAAAGGCAATTTGAGACTGTGTAGATACTGTGTGAGGTGCTTTGTTCATGTTCGTCTGATTGGCTAGCTTTAGGTGCCTTACTCTACTTTAGAAATTTTATTAAAGGATGCAGTGTTTCTTGTTCCTACCACTTCTTTTAAAAAAAAAATTCATTCTGCCACTGCCTAGTTCAGGTCTTCAACCTGTCACCTTACTCACTGTGATGATATTAATGCTTGTTGTTGAGCAGCTGTTTATTCTTCCTTGTTGATCTCCTATTGAATTTTTGCAGCAACTGCTTTAGGACTCATCCAGTTCTCAGAATTGTCTCACCCAGCTTTTTTTCCCCTCCTTCAGATCTAAGGTGATCTTACCCTCTACTTTACTAAGAAAGACTACAGTCATCTAATGTCGTTTTTGAATTCTCTTTCCTTTGTCCCTCAGAGGGAAAACATGTCCTTTCATTTTTTTCTAGGATCATTTTCCTGCCTGTGCATTGATTCCATCTCCCATCTCATGTGTAAGCCCTTTCTCCATAGATCTATGCCCTTCCTTCCTGTGTGTGCCTCTCTGCTGCTGCTGCCTTCTGGCTCAGCTTACTCAAGAGCACATGGTTATTTAGTGGAAAAATGAAGACTAGATCTCGGACTCCTGCCTAAGAGAAAAACAGTCTCTTTTAGCTTTGTGACCACTTTGCACTATTTCCCTATCTTCCTTTCTTTCAGTGTCATGCTTACCAGAATTGTGTACGTGCTGTCTTCATTTCTGTAGAACTTGTTAACTCTTATCTCCTTCTTTTCCTACTACATGTCTGAAATTTCTTCTCAAAAATATTTGATGACCTAAATAAATATTCTCTGTCCTTTTCTTAGTCTCCATACCTTGTATTTTGGTAGAACATTTGGCTCTGTTAACCCTCCCACTTCCTTGGAACTCCTGCCTTCTATGCTATTCACATCTCCTTGGCTCTCTTTTTGTCCTCTTCTACTGCTGTTTCTGTCTCTCTTGGGCGCTCTTCCCAATCTCCAAAGAGTCAGAGTCCTCCTAAGCTCTGTCCTGAACCCTCTTTCATTGTCCTTTCTTACCTTGCACTGCTGTATGCTGCCTCTGCTTCTAATAGCCGCCTGCATATGACTTCAAGCATGTTTCCAAGCCTGACCTCCTGACCTCAGTGCCCAGCTGCCTACTGTGCAGGCATGGAGTGTTCAGCTCCCAGACCAACTTCTCCCTCATTCTTCTGTTCTGGTCAACGTTACTGCCATGTGGCAGTAAAGCTTGAAACCTCAGGGTCATTTTTGACTTTACCTTTTTTCTTTAGTCTCAAACTTCTAATGGCTATGAATACCTTTTTTTAATGCTACTTCCATGAAGTATCATATTGATCTCCTCCTCAAACTCTTCTTTCTAAGTACTTTTTTGTATCACCCTAATTTGTTAATTCATTGAAAAGTTACTTATTGAGCACCTAACTACTCACTAGGCACAGAGGATACAAAGCTCAAAAGATGTGTCCTCTTCCTTTAAGAAAACATTCATCTTAGTGGAAAGAAACAGATAATTGACGTAATAAGGTTATTAATGCAGTACAATGGGAGCTTGAGAGAAGAATCCCTTAAAACTTGCCTGAGGCTGTCAAAGATCACTGGACTGAGGAGATGTGGTATAAAGAGAAACTTGAAAGATGAATAGGAAGACTCATGATAGGGAAGAGATTTCCGAGAGAACAACCTGTGCCAGAGCAAGGGGGCCAGAGAGAACATGGCATATTTAAGGGACTGCAGCTAGTTCCATACTGCTGGAACATAACGTCTTCAGAGATGGGAGGCAAAAGACTCATAAAGTTCAACGGCAGGCAGAAGCCATGGTCAGGTTTGAGTGTGAGAACTGTGGCAGCCTGATGAAAAGGTTAGGGGAGATTTGGGCCTCTGTCTTGTTCATCGTTGTATCCCCAGCACAGTGCCTGGTATTCGGTACATTGTTGAAAACATGGAAGTGATAAGGGGTGGCATCAATGGCATGTAGATGGTGAAGAGGTGATCATAAGAAATAATGAGGACCTGATCAAAGTTTTTGGCAGTGAGGATGGCAGGCAGGGGACAGCTAAGAGATATGTGGGAGATAGAATATATGACATGTGGAGATTTAACTGGAAGGATGGGGGAAAAAGGCAAATGGAATCCAGGATGACTCCAGGTTTTTGGTTTAAGTGTATGAATGATGTTTCCTTGTGTTAATAAAAGGGGAAACAGGAAAGAGAACAGGTTAGGGTTAAAGGAGAGTATGACGAATTATGGTAAGTATGCAAAATTGATGCAACATTGAGGTGACAATGTTAGAAAGGTAATTAGAAGTAAGTTGGGAGAGTAGGTAAGTTTAGGCAAGAGCGATGTGTAACCTAACGGGGAGAAAGGCTGAGGTCTAAAAACACAGTCTTAAACATCAGCATTTACAAATTGGGCAAAAGGATAGCCTGCAAAAGAAAAATACTGAGAAGGTGAGTGGTCAGAGATTGGAGAGAACCAGGAGGAGACTGATGCCATCCAATGAAGCCAAGCAGAGGGAGAGTTTCAAGTGGTGCATGATCACCAACCACAGCACGCGGCTCTGATGTGACAAGTCCCGAGCTAAATTCCTGGACTTGGCAACTAGGAGGTCCCTGGGGACCTCTCAACAGAGAGTTCCGGGGTGCGCTGGGAGCTGAAGACATGGAGGCAGGGTACTTGACCATGGACATGAGGACAGTAGCTAGATGGGGGAATGAGGTTGGGAGGTTTCTGGTTTTTTATTAAAAAAAATCTTAAAATGTTATAAATGATCATGTTTATTATAGAAAATTTGAAGAATACAAAAGAAGTTTGAAGAAGGAAATGGAAATAACCCATAATCCTACCACCCAGAAAAGGAAAAATTATTTTTGATGGAGGAGAATGACTTTAAAATATTTTAATTTAACGTGAAAGCTGCTGGTCCTTGTTGTTCCTAGTCTAGAATTAGGACTTTATAAACTGGTCTTTGCATGTCAAATCTCTTCTTCAAACTCATCTTTTATCTCAGGGGTCAGAAAACATTGAGAGGGTCAAATAGTAAATATTGTAGGCTATGTTGGCTACCTGTAGTCTCCATCACATATTCTTTGTCTTTATTATTTATGATCCTTTTAAAATGTAAAAAAAAAATTTAGCTTGCAGGCTGTACAAAAACAGGCCCACGGACCATCATTTGTGAGCACCTTCTTCATAGCACTGCCAGGTTAGCCTCCTAAAATGCATCTCTAGTCATGTCACTCCTCTCTCTACTTTTTGGTAATTTGTTTTAGCCTGCCATATAATATTAAAACATTTTAGCCTGAGATCAGGAGCCCCTCCAAATTGGTGCTAAAATACTATCTGAGCTGCATCTCACATTATTTTCTTACAGACTTTGTGTGCTTTTGCATTTTTATGCTTTGCTCTCTGTTTTTCTCTGCACTTTAAAAAAGTCTACCCATATTTCAAGGCCAACATTTATGCTCTCTTAAAGTCTCCTCTTACCCAGAAGTGGTTTTTCCTCTCAGAACTCTGCAAGTAATCTGACCATATCCTTTTCTCTACTTGTGTTGATTGCCTTCTGCTGGATACTTGTAACTTCTCTTTTAGTTTGTAAGGCAGAGGGTACTATCTATAGAGAGAGACATTATCTTTATTGCGCAGAACACTTAGCACCATTTACTTGTTGGGTAGAATGTGTTGGAAAATAAAAACTATGAGAAGAAAATGTGAGAAAAGTCTTGTTTGGCCAGGTGTGATGGCTCACTCCTGCAATCCCAGCACTTTGGGAGGCTGAGGCAGGAGAATTCCTGGAGGCCAGGAGTTCAAGACCGGCCTGGGCAACATAGCAAGACCGTATCTCAAATAAATAAACACAAATTTTTTTTAATCTTTTTTTTTTTTTTTTTTTTTTTAGACGGAGTCTGGCTCTGTCACCCAGGCTGGAGTGCGGTGGCGCGATCTCGGCTCACTGCAAGCTCCGCCTCCCGGGTTCACGCCATTCTTCTGCCTCAGCCTCCCTAGTAGCTGGGACTACAGGCACCTGCCACCATGCCTGGCTAATTTTTTTTGTATTTTTAGTAGAGACGGGGTTTCACCATATTAGCCAGGATGGTCTCGACCTCCTGACCTCGTGATCCGCCCGCCTCAGCCTCCCAAAGTGCTGGGATTACAGGCGTGAGCCACCGCACCCAGCTGGAAAAAAAAAATCTTATTCATAACAAGCTTTCAACTTTACCATGATTGTGGGGCTAAAGTCCAAGGACATTATACAGCAAGGCTCTGTTGTGTTTTTTATCCTTAGGGATTTAAGAAAATCTGTGGACTTTCTTTGATGGAGATAATGGAATTTTTTTTAGTGGGTTATTTTCTGTATAGTAGATGATATTCAATATACAAACTAATCTCTGCTTTGCTTAAACATATTTCTTCTTTTATAATAGTCTAAGGAAAAATTGATTAACAGCTTGAAAGAAGGCTCTGGTTTTGAAGGCCTAGATAGCAGCACTGCCAGTAGCATGGAGCTGGAAGAACTTCGGCATGAGAAAGAGATGCAGAGGGAGGAAATACAGAAGCTGATGGGCCAGATACATCAGCTCAGATCCGAATTACAGGTAAGATTCATGGTGGTTCAGCTTAGTAGACACCATTTACCCTCAGGTGTTAACAGTTTGAGAGGTGGGGAAACAGCATTACTAAAGCGATAGGTTTCTCGCTTCTCTTCGCTTCGCTTCGCTTCTCTTCTCTTCCTCCTCCTCTTCCTCTTCTCTTCTTTTGGAGTCAGGATCTTGCTCTGTCTCCCAGCCTGGAGTGGTGTGATCATAGCTCACTGCAGCCTCGAACTCCTGGGCTCAAGCAGTCTTCCCGCCTCAGGCTCCCAAGTAGGTGGAACTACAGGCACATGCCATCACGCCCAGCTAATTTTTATATTTTGTAGAGACAGGGTATCCCTGTGTTGTCCAAGCTGGTCCCAAACTCCTGGCCTCAAGTGATTGTCCCTCCTCAGCCTCCCAGAGTGCTGGGATTGCAGGGCTGTTGCAGCCCGTGCTGGGCTAAAGCAGTAGGTTTCTTTCTTTCTTTCTTTCCTTTCTTTCCTTTCTCTCCTTTCTTTCCTTCCTTTCTTTCCTTTCTTTCCTTCTTTTTTTTGAGATGGAGTCTCGGTCTGTTGCCCAGGCTGGAGTGCAGTGGCGTGATCTCGGCTCACTGCAACCTCCACTCCACCTGCCAGGTTCCAGGGATTCTCCTGCCTCAGCCTCTTGAGTAGCTGGGATTACAGACGTGCGCCACCACACCTGGCTAATTTTTGTATTCTTAGTAGAGATGGGGTTTCACCATGTTGCCCAGGCTGGTCTTGAACTCCTGACCTCAAGTGATCCGCCCACCTCGGCCTCCCAAAGTGCTGAGATTAGAGACGTGAGCCACCATGCCCGACCAGGTTTCTAATCCATAAGTTGACCATAAAGTTATGGTGATAAAAAACAGATCAATTCATTCAACAAATAGTTACCAAGTGCCTGCCATGTGCCTAGGTTTGGAATTAGAACAGGGTCTTCATAATTATAGATCTTACATTCTAGTGGTTAAAAGCAAATCAGATTTGAGCTCCTATGTGAAGCTGAGATGTTTTCTAATATTAGTATGGGCTCAGGGATGATCTTCTAATTACAGTTTTATCCTTATTCTTATAATTTATAGTTTATGTATAATTACTATATTTAAAAGTAAAGTTGGGCCATTTATTTTGCTTAAACTTCGGGGTCTTTGACATAAATATCGTAGGAAGGAGTCTCTGAAGGTGAGAGAAGATAAAGTGCAGCATAACGAGCTTCCTTTTCTTAAAAGGAAGAAACTTTTTGTAGAGAATGTTCATCCATGCATTAACTCTGCACATTGTGAGACTTGTGAACTACAAAAGAAAGCGTGAAAGTTGTGAGAATAGGATACCTTGTCTAGAGCATAGACTTGAATAGCAGACAGACGTGGATAGATTCTGTCTTTGGTACTTAACAGATGCTGCTTCCACAAGGCACTTCATCTTGCGGAGCTTTAATTTTCTCATCTATAGAATGCAGGTAAACAAAGGTTCTCTTGACAATAAAGGATAATATATGAAGAGCCTAGCATTGTTTCTGACATGTAATAGACCCTCAGTTAAATAATAGCTGCTATTATTTCTGGGTTTATTGTTATTCATTAAAGTAGGATTTTTTTTTTAATCTGTGAATTTGAATTCCAAAGAATTCAGTCCTGCAAACTTAGAAATTGGGTAGATGCTAAACTTACTCATATCTGTTCATGTCTTTTTGGTGAGATTATGAAAAATACTTGTTTTATTTAATATATCAGCATCATTAATGACATTGACCCATTTTCTTACCCTTCTCAAAATTTATGCAATGTATAATAAGTGTTAGGTCTAACAAAATGAAAGAATTGTAAATAATTACAATAGCTATTGTTTACTGAGCACGTATGTTCCAGATACTGCACAGAGCACTTAACATATATCCTTACATTTATTCCTTACCATAACTCTGTGAGGGAGATGATGATATTCTCATTTTATAGTTGAAGAAATTTAGGCATGGAGAAGGAAAGTAACTTGCTGCAAGACTAGTAAAGTGGCAGAGCCAGGATTAGAACCTAGTCTAACTCCAGGACATGTTTTTGACCACTGTGCATACTGCCTGCCTCTCAAGAATTTGCCCGATGTAGTCAAATTGATGACAAAGATTAATCTACCTTCTGCTAACCTGAAAACTCAAAGGTAGGGAAAAATAGTTGTCATTATTGCTTTTTCCTCTAAATCTACAAAGTTGTGTGAGTTCAGAGGATTGCACTGTGATTATCTGGGCATCTTGTTAGTCTTAGTTCTTTCAAACAGCATGTGAAGTTCCAAGGTTTGTGGTGATGAGTATGAAACAGAATGTACCAACAGATAAAAAAGCAAAAATAAGATGCTGATTTTAATCTTCTGTTGTGCCATATGAATGGACTCATGCTTAATCCATTTGGGGAAAATATAGAAACCTAGAGCCATGTTTTTGCTACTAGGAGATTTGACAGGAAATCCAGAAGGTGAGTTCAAAGAAATGAGAGTAAGAAACATAAGAACATGTAAAAACCAATAATAGTAATAAAGTAATAAAGCTAAAAGAAGAAAATTATATGCCAACTTCTGGTGATATGCAAGACAAGTTATATTCTTATCATATGTTGATTACTGGGGAACAGATGCACACCAAAACTAATTATAACCTGCAATTTCAGGGGACTAATGCAGTGAAGTCCTTTGTGCTATTATGTTTCTGATTTTTTTTGAAACTGTTAGCTTTTGAGTAAAGATATAAGTCTCCCAGTGAGCCTCTGCCGATACTCGTGAAACCACATGGCTTATGTGCTGCAGCAGCTGTAGCGCCCCATTCATTCTGCTGTTAGCCATAGTAGACAATGAAGGTGTCAGGTTATATGCTCCCTATAGGCTGAAACCATGTCTCATTCACCTTTATTCCTCAGTGCCTCCTGAGCCCAGCACATAGTAATTGCATGGTAGACAGGTTGTGTGGCTCAACACCTGTAATCCCAGTGCTGTGGGAGGATTGTTTGAGGCCAGGACTTTGCAACCAGCCTGTGCAATAAAGCCATATCCCATCTCTTAAAAAAAAAAAAAAAAACTTAAGCCAGGCCTCGTGGCATGTGCCTGTAGTCCCGCTACTCGGGAGGCTGATGTGGGAGGATCCCCTTGAGCCCAGGAGTTTGAGGCTGCCATGAACTGTGATTGTGCCACTGCACTCCAGCCTGGGTGACGTGAGACTCTGATTCTTAAAAAAGAAAAATTGCTCAATAAATGTTGAACTGAATGTTAATTATTGCTTTTACATGTAAGCTTTTTCTCTTTAGGATATGGAGGCACAGCAAGTTAATGAAGCAGAATCAGCAAGAGAACAGTTACAGGATCTGCATGACCAAATAGCTGGGCAGAAAGCATCCAAACAAGAACTAGAGACAGAACTGGAGCGACTGAAGCAGGTCAGGATTTGAGATTGATGACTTCTGAGACTCTGTCCTCTAGCGGTCATATGAGCAGACCTCCCAGGAAAGCAGCTTACTGAAATTTTTAGAGTATGGGCTTAGGGTTACCCCACAAGTTCCTCCTGCCTTCCCATCTCATCTGAAGGGGTGGCCTGCCCCTCCACACCTGTGGGTATATCTCATCAGGTGGGATGAGAGACTGAGAAAAGAAATAAGACACAGAGACAAAGTATAGAGAAAGAACAGTGGGCCCAGGAGACCGGCGCTCAGCATACGGAGGACCTTCACCGGCACCGGTCTCTGCGTTCCCTCAGTATTTATTGATCACTGTTTTCATTATCTCAGCAAGAGGAATGCAGTAGGAGAGCAGGGCGATAGTGGGGAGAAGGTCAGCAAGAAAACATGTGAGCAAAGGAATCTGTGTCACAAATAAGTTCAAGGGAAGGTACTATGCCTGGATGTGCACGTAGGCCAGATTTATGCTTCTCTCCACCCAAACATCTCAGTGGAGTAAAGACTAACAGAGCAGCATTGCTGCCAACATGTCTCGCCTCCAGTCACAGGGCGGTTTTTCTCCTATCTCAGAATAGAACAAATGTACAATCGGGTTTTATCCTGAGACATTCAGTTCCCATGGGCAGGCAGGAGAAAGAGGCCTTCCTCTTATCTCAACTGCAAGAGGCCTTCCTCTTTTACTAACCCTCCTCAGTACAGACCCTTGACAGGTGTCGGGCTGGGGGACGGTCAGGTCTTTCCCATCCCACGAGGCCATATCTCAGGCTATCACATGGGGAGAAACCTTGGACAATACCCGGCTTTCCAGGGCAGAGGTCCCTGCAGCTTTCCGCAGTGCATTGTGCCCCTGGTTTATCGAGACTGGAGAATGGCGATGACTTTTACCAAGCACACTGCCTGTAAACATTTTGTTAACAAGGCACATCCTGCACAGCCCTAGATCCCTTAAACCTTGATTCCATACAACACATGTTTTTGTGAGCTCAAGGTTGGGGCAAAGTTACAGATTAACAGCATCTCAGGGCAAAGCAATTGTTCAGGGTACAGGTCAAAATGGAATTTCTTATGTCTTCCTTTTCTACATAGACACAGTGACAGTCTGATCTCTCTTTCTTTTCCCTACACCATCCTCCTTGATTTTTGTTTTTTAACAGATGAGAAATGGAGGCACAGAATGGTGATGGCACTTGCCTGGTACAACTAATTAAAGATGGAATAGAACCAAGGTTTCCTGTTTCTGAGCCCAGAATGCTTTCTATTACCCTGTCTGTATTTTGTTATATCTCCTAGTATAGAAAACTTCAAAACATATTATATTCATCAGTTGGTTTTCATAGTTTATTGCATTTGTGCTTTCTAGGAACAGCAGTAAATATTATTTAATAAAAATACAGATACAATATTAGTGCCATATTAACTGTTCTTTCTGCTTGAGAAAAAAGTCTTATACAGACTCTTCTAACAAATCATGTTTAAAATTATATTTCATTGTTCAATTAGCAGTTGCATGTTCCCAAGCCAAATTATTTTACTTTAATGTACTCATATAATAGTTTCAGTATTAACAGAGTTAAACATAGCCACATTTTCAGAATAAGATTCTATATCTAATGTTAATAACATCACTAATTTACTAAGTGACAACATTGTTATAGGCATTTAGTACATATTATCTTATTTCCTACTCACAAGTAAATCACTACTATTCTCTTTATTTTACAGAAGAGAAAACTATTCTTATAATTCTCAGTGCTTTACTGTTAGTATTTCCATCTTTGTGTATTTAAATTCTTTAAAGACGTTTTTCATTAGGATTTATTACTTCTGAAACTTGTTCTTTTCTCAGAGAAATGTTTTTTATTATAAAAGTTGTAATTCAACTCTATTTCCTGAGTACTCAGTGAAAAACTCACCAAGTAACAACGTGCAGGGTATGTCATAGGCAGTTTTAGATAATTTAGTTATGAGATTAGCGTCCTTTCAGAAATTGCATTTTAATTTATTCAAGGCACTATTATATATTAAAAGGCAACAATTTAATGTTCTTGATGCTTAATGAGATAATTTTCATTTTGTTATGGCAGATGGTTTTACCGTACCTCTTCCCAGTGCCTTTTTAAAATGAGGGAGTTAAATAGAAGAAAATGGAGCTTAATGTAGCTGTGGGCTATTTATTTAGTATATGTTCCAAATGGAAAGTGTTTAATCTTGCAATTGAAGAGTCCTTTAGTGCTTCTTATTAATTTAAGTAACACCAACCTTAAGTTTTGTACTTGCCTAGAGCTTAAAAGAAATCAGACAAACCTTGTAAAGTGTGATTCTCCTACCCTAATTACCTTTCTCATAATCTCTTTTCTCACCTCTCTTGATTTTTTTCCATTTGTGTGATGAACAACTTGAGCTAAATGTTTAACAGAGTCTCTAGCAGTGTGCTGCCATATCACCTTTACTTTTTCAGACAGCTCCCGAACTGCTGCTGTACTCTTCACTGTCTTCACTGTTAAGTGAAAAGCTTTTGAAAGTACTTAGTAACTCCAGTTACTCCTTCTCTGTTCTACGTTGTATTTCAGTGATTTGGACACATTTTTGGATTGGCATGTGCTTTACTCTTAGATTCTGAGCTGTCTCTGAGTGATCCATTGTACAAACGAGCAGTGCATTAGTGCAGTTGTTAATGAGTTTAGAGGTATTAGCCTTTTTGGGGAGATTAGCCTTTTGTCTATAATATGAATTGCAAATAATTTTTCCCAGCTTGTCATCTGTCTTTTAGTTTGCATAGGGTTTTTATTTTGTTTTGTTGCCATGCAGAAGTTGATTTTTGAGACGGAGTGTCGCTCTGTTGCCCAGGCTGGAGTGCAGTGGCGCGATCTCGGCTCACTGCAACCTCCGCCTCCTGAGTTCAAGCAATTCTCCTGCCTCAGCCTCCCGAGTAGCTGGGATTACAGACGTTCACCACTATGGCTGGCTAATTTTTGTATTTTTAGTAGAGACAGGGTTTTACCATGTTGGCCAAGGGCTGGTCTCAAACTCCTGACCTCAAGTGATCCACCTGCCTCAGCCTCCCAAAGTGCTGGGATTACAGTTGTGAGCCACTGCACCCGGCCAGAAGTTGATTTTTATGTAGTCAACTTTATCATTCTTTTCTACCAAGGCTTCTGGATTTTCAGTCACCGTGTTCCTCTTTGTGAAATTATAAAGAAATTTGCCTCTGTAGTTTTCTTCTAGTACTTTTTTGGTTTGATTCTTGCATATAAATCTTTGATTTATTAGGAATTTACTCTGATGTGTGAGGTGAGCTACAGATCCAACCTAATTTTCTTCCATATGGCTACTTTTTTCCTAGTATCATTTTTTTAAATAGTTTATTGATTTGAGATGTCACCTTTATCATGTCCTAAATTCTCAAGGTATCTAGATCTGCTTCTGGACTTTTGTTCTCTTCCATTAGTCACTTTGTCTGTTTATGCATCAGTACCACATTGCTTTTAATTTCTGAGATTTTATATGTTTTAATGTCTTTATGACCCGTTCTCCTTTTCAGAGCTTCTGGCTTTTCTTTTTCTTTTCTTTTTTTTTTGAGCCATGGTTTCACTCTGTCACCCAGGCCAGAATGCAGTGATGCGGTCACAGCTCACTGCAGCCTCGACCTCCTCAGGCTCAGGTAATTCTCCCACGTCAACCTCCTGAGTAGCTGGGATTACAGGCACGCACCACCGAGCCTGGCTAATTTTTTTATATTTTGTAGAGATGAGGTCTCACTCTGTTGCTCAGGCTGGTCTTGAACTCCTGGACTCAAGCAATTCACCCACTTCAGCCTCCCCAAGTGCTAGAATTACAGTTGTGAGCTACCGTGCCCAACCTGGCTTTTCTTTCTTACAGTTTTCCATATGAATACTAGAATAACTTTACATAGTTTTTTTTAAAAAAAGCAGCTTTTGTTTTTGTTGAGATCATGTCAGACTTATGAATTAATTAGAGGAGAACTGACATCTTTATGATGTTGTATTCCTAAGAATATGATATGACTTTTTATATGTTCCAGTATTTTTTGTACCCTTTAGAAATGTTTTAAAGTATTCTTTATATGTACTCCACACATCTGTTGTTAAATTTGTTTTTGCTACTATTATTTCTTGGGGCCTTTTTCTCATATCTTCTAACTGCTTTATATAAAACTATTGATTTTTATATATTGTTTTATATTCTGCCACCTTACTGAATTATTGTTTTTCTTTGTCTCATGTACTTTGCCTATTTTTAAAATGTTCCTGGTTTGTGTTTTTAATCTATTTTATGAACATTATATTGATCTTTATCATATATTTTATGAATATTTTTTCCAGTTGTCATATTAATGCTATATAACTGAGATTCTTGAAGAGATTATCCATTCTTCCTCATTACAAGATAAACATTTTTTGTTTCTGATTATTTACACTGTTAATAATTATTTATTATGGATCTTTGTTTACAATACATACTGAAGTGCCAGCTTTTCATCAGACCCATCTGTTATTCACTTAATTATATACTCATTATATAATACACTCTGTTATAAACTCAGTTATATACGGAGTTACATGTTCAGCACATACTGATTGTCTACCATGTGCCAGGCACTGATTTAGGTACTGAGGATGGAATAGGGGACACTTATTTCGCTTCTGTTTTGTTTGTGCCTCACTTTGCAGGAGTTCCACTATATAGAAGAAGATCTTTATCGAACAAAGAACACATTGCAAAGCAGAATTAAAGATCGAGACGAAGAAATTCAAAAACTCAGGAATCAGGTATGAATCACTATTCACAACTTGTGAAAAGATGCCACTGATAAAGCTACATTTTTTTAAAAAGGACACAGTAAGAACTTTCCCCGTGTTTTCACCTGAGTTCTTTTGTAACAGTGGTGACAAAAGTTCTTTTCAACCTGGTATAGAAAATTCATCTAATGCCATTTGAGTCTACATTTGCTCTGTTCTATGATTTGCTTCTTATAGAAGTATCTTGTAGCCAAAGTCACGAAGTAGATGAGAATTACCCCGAAATTTCAGACCTTTGACATCAGTGTGGTTGTGCTGATTGCCAGGTTCATAATTGTGATTTCATTTTCCTAAGAAAAATCTAATGATACATCTTCCTATTAATGATTGATCAGTCTTCCATAAAGTCACCAAGATATTTTTTTAACCGTGAAAATGTAAAATGTACAGAAAATAATGACACTCATGTGCCTACCACCCAGACTTACCAAAGCCTTTATCATTAGCTGATAGAGTCACACGTTCACATTCCCTGTAATCATAGTTGTCCTTTCCTTCCTTAGGTTTAGACAATTGATTTAATGGACTTAATAATCATTTAAATAATTTACATAAAGATTGAGTCTTTATTTTTTAGTTAATGGCTTAGTTTGAACTATGAAAAGTCAAATAATTTTGGTCTTTTAAGTTTCCAGACTTGATAGTAGTCCATAATTTTAAATGTTTTGAAATACTTTGTCTTAATTTTTATAAGAGTTGAGAACAGCTCACTGATTTGAGCATTCCCTTCTTCCCTTGCCTATTTTGTGAAATACTTACAGATGGTCACGTGATGTGCTAGCAGAAAGTCAAAAGAAGGAGCAAAAACCACCAATTGGTTTAATCCTTTTTCTATATTTACTAAATATTTATTGAGTACCTACTGTATCTGAAGTATTGCACCATTTTTGTTAATCAAGAATTAGGCCAGGTGAGGTAGTTCATGCTTGAAATCCCAACACTTTGGGAGACCGAGGCAGGAGGACCGCTTCAGCTCAGCAGTTTGAGACCAGCCTGGGCAACATAGTGAGACCTTGTCTCTACAAAAAATCAAAAAATTAGGCGTGGTGGCACACACCTGTAGTTCTAGCTACTCAGAGGCTGATATGGGAGGATCACTTGCGCCTGGGAGGTCAAGGCTGCAGTGAGCTCTCAGTGCACCTCTACACTCCACCTTGAGTGACAGAGTGAGACCCTGTCTCAAAAAAAAAAAGAAAAAACAACCATAGGGTGGCTTATGCCTATAGTCCTAACTACTTGGGAGGCTGAGGCAGGGAGATCACTTGAGGTCAGGAGTTCAAGATCAGCCTGGGCAACATAGCGAGACCATCATCTCTAAAAAAATATTTTTAATTAGGTGCATGGTGGCACGTACCTGTAAGTCCCAGCTACTTGGGAGGCTAAGACATAAGGATCACATGAGCCTAGGAGTTCAAGGCTGCAGTGAGCTATGATCACCCCGCTGTACTCTAGTTGGGCAACAGAGAGAGACTTTGTTTCTTAAAAAGAAAGAATTAACCATAGGAGGATTTCTCTGAAAGGTTTTTCATCAAATTAGAAGAGAGCAAAACCTTTGTCCCGTAGAATTAAGTTGACTTGTACAATCTGAAAAGAGATCAGCATCTTAATACATTGCCAAAAAAAAAAAAAAATCACACAATTGGAGTGAGTTAAGATTTATTCTGAATGAACAATAAAGAATTATGCTTATTATTTTTGGGCTTTCTGCATGTAGGTTAAAAAAATAGGTTGCCAGTTTGAATGTTTTTTCATTTTTCACACCTGTAATCCCAGCACTTTGGGAGGCCAAGGTGGGCAGATCACTTGAGGCCAGGAGTTCAAGACCAGCCAGGCCAACATAGCAAAACCCTGTCTCTATTGAAAATACAAAAAAATTAGCTGGGCATGGTGGTGCAGACCTGTAATACCAGCTACTTGAGAGGCTGAGACAGGAGAATCACTTGAACCCAGAAGGCAGAGGTTGCAGTGAGCCAAGATTGTGCCACTGCACTCCAGTCTGGGAGACAGAGCCAGACTCTATCTCAAAAAAAAAAAAAAGAAAAAAAAGAAAATTATTGCATGGGAGTAGATGAAAACATACAGAGAAAAAAAATGAACCTTTATTTTTATCCCCTAATTAGACTTGCAAAGTTACCAAAAATTAATTTGAGATGACGCTAAGCCTAAGCTATAAAGCTTCTAGGAGAACGTGTAGGAGAATCTTTTTGCAATTTTGAGGCTGACAGATTTCTTAGAGAAGATACAAAAAGCGCTAACTGTAGAAGAAAATGATACATTGCTATTCATAAAAATTAAAATTTTCTTCTCATCAAAAGAGATTATAAAAATAAAAACAGGTAAGCCACAGATTGGGAAATAATATTTACTTTCTCTCTCTGTATATATATATCTGATAAAGGATTTATAACCAGGATAAGAACTCTTAATAATAAGGTGCACAGCCATTTCTTTTAAATAGGTAAAAGACTTGAATAGACCCTTCCAAAAAGAAGAAAAAAGCACACCTTGTTTTATTGCATTTCTCTTTATTGCAGTTTGCAGATACTGCATTTTTACCAAATTGAAAGTTTATGGCAACCCTGCATCAAGCAAGTCTGTCCACACCATTTTTCCAACAGCATATGCTCACTTCATGTCTGTGTCACATTTTGGTAATTCTCACAATATTTCTGATTTTTTAATTATATCTGTGGTGATCTGTGATCAGTGACCTTTTATATAACTATTGTAATTGTTTTGGGGGCACACAAACTGCATCCACATAAGACAGTGAACTTAATCCATAAATGTGTGTGTTCTGACAGCTCCATCAACTGGCCATTCCCACATCTCTTTACCTCTCCTCAGGCCTTTCTAGTCTTTAAGACACAGCAATATTGAAATTAGGCCAATTAATAAACCTACAATGGCCTCTAGGTGTTCAAGTGAAAGGAAGAGTCAGATGTCTCTCACATTAAGTGAAAAGCTAGAGATGATTAAGCTTAGTGAAGAAGGCATGTCAAAAGGCAAGATAGGCCCAAAACTAGGCCTATTGGCACCAGTCAGCCAAGTTTTAAATGCAAAGGAAAAGTTCTTGAAGGAAATTAAAAGTGCTACTCTAGTGAACATACGAATGATAAGAAAGCCAAACAGCCTTATTGCTGACAAGGAGAAAGTTTGAGTGGTCTGGATAGATCAAACCAGCCACAACATTCCCTTAAGCCGAAGCCTAATCCAGAGCAAGGCCCTAACTCTCTTCAATTCTGTGAAGGCTAAGAGAGGTGAGGAAGCTGCAGAAGAGAAGTTTGAAGCTAGCAGAGGTTTGGTTTTGAGGTGTAAGGAAAGAAGCCATCTCCCAAATGTAAAAATGCAAAGTGAAGCAGCAAGTGCTAATGGAGAAACTGCTGCAAGTTATCTGGGAGATCTAGCTAAGATCATTGATGAAAATGGCTGCACTAAACAACAGATTTTCAATGTAGATGAAACAGCCTTCTATTGGAAGAAAATGCTATCTAGGACTTTCATAGCTCCTTCTCCAGGAGAGGAGAAGTCACTGCCTGGATTCAAAGCTTCAAAGGACGGGCTGACTCTCTTGTTAGGGGCTAATGCTGCTGGTGACTTTAAGTTAAAGCCAGTGCTCATTTACAATTGTGGAAATCCTAAGACCCTTAAGAATGATGGTAAATCTGTGCTGCTTGTGCTCTGTAAAGGGAACAACAAAGCCTAGATGACAGCACATCTGTTCACAGCATGGTTTACTGAGTATTTTAAGCTCACTGTTGAGACCTATTGCTCAGAATAAAAGATTCCTTTTAAAATATTACTGCTTATTGACAACATTCCTGGTCACCCAAGAACTCTAATAGAGCTGTACAAGGAGATTAATGTTGTTTATGAAAACATTTTTGTTTCATCCATTGTTTATGAAATCATACCTGCCAATACAATATCCATTTGGCAGCCCAAGGTATAATTTTGACCTTCAAGTCTCATTATTTAATTAAATTAATTAATTTATTTATTTTTATTTTTTGAGACAGAGCCTGATTCTGTTGCCCAGACTGGAGTGCAGTGGCCTGATCGCAGCTCACTGCAACCTCTGCCTCTTGGGTTCAAGCAATTCTTGTGCCTTGGTCTCCCAAGTAACTGGGATTACAGGTGCATGCCAGCACACTGGGCTAATTTTTGTATTTTTGGTAGAGATGGGGTTTTGCCATGTTGGGCAGGTTGGTCTCTAACTCCTGGCCTCAACCAATCCACCTGCGTCAGCGTCCCAAGTGCTGAGATTACAGGCATGAGCCACTGCGCCTAGCCAGTTAATTTATTTTTGAGACAAGGTCCCACTCTGTCACCCAGGCTGGAGTGCAGTGGTGTGATTTTGGCTCACTGCAACCTCCACCTCCTGGGCTCAAGTGATCCTCCCACTTCAGCTTCCCAAGTGGCTGGGATTACAAGTGCAAGCTACCACGCCTGGCTACTTTTGTTTTTTTGTAGAAATGAGGTCTCACTATGTTCCCCAGGCTGGTCTCAAACTCCTAGGCTCAAGTAATCCTCCCCTCTCAGCCTTCCAGAGTGCTGAGATTACAGGAGTGAGCCACTGTGCCTGGCGAGTCTTATCACTTAAGACATACTTTTTATAAGGCTATTGCTGCCATAGATTCCTTAGTTGGATCTTGAGGCACAGTCAATTGAGAACCTTCTGGAAAAGATTCACTATACTAGATGCCATTAAGAACATTTGTGATTCATGGGAGGAGGCCAGAATATCAACATTAACAGGAGTGTGGAAGAAGCTGATTCCAGCCCTCAAGGATGGCTTTGAGGAGTTCAAGACTTCATTGAAAGAAGTAATTGCACATGTGGTAGAAATAGCGAGAGAACTAGAATTAGAAATGGAGCCTGAAGATGTGGCTAAATTGCTGCAATCTCATAATAAAACTTAAACAGATGAGGAGTTGCTTCTTACCGATGAGCTAAGAAAGTGATTTCTTAAGATGGAATCCACTTTTGGTGAAGATGCTGTGAACATTGTTGAAATGACAACAAAGAATTTAGAATACTACATTAACTTAGTTGATGAAGCACTGGCAGGGTGTTAAAGGATTGACTCCAGTTTTGAAAGATGTTCTGATGTGAGTAAAATGCTATCAAACATCATTACATGCTACTGGGAAATCTTTCGTGAAGGGAAGAACCCATCGATGTGACAAACTTTGTTGTTATCTTATTTTAAGAAATTGCCACATCCACCCCAGCCCTCAGCAGCCACCATTCTGATCAGTCAGCAGCCATCAACATCAAGGCAAGACTCTCCACCAACAAAAAGATTAGGACTCACTGAAGGCTCAAATGATGGTTAGCATGTTTATTTAAAGCAAGCTTGGGCCGGGCATGGTGGTTCACGCCTGTAAGCCCACCACTTTGGGAGGCCGAGGCAGGTGGATCATCTGAGGTCAGGAGTTCGAGACTAGCCTGACCAACATGGTGAAACCCCGTCTCTACTAAAAATACAAAATTAGCCGAGCATGGTTGCAGGTACCTGTGATCCCAGCTATTCAGGAGGCTGAGGCAGGAGAATTGCTTGAACCTGGGAGGCGGAGGTTGCAGTGAGGTGAGATCACACCATTGCACTCCAGTCTGGGCGGCAGAGCAAAACTCCGTCTCAAAAACAAAAGCAAGCTTGTCCGACCCATAGTCAACCCAACACAGAATTCGTAAACTTAAATCATTATGAGATTTTTTTTGTGACTGGTATTTTTTTTTTTTAGCTTATCAGATATCATTAGTGTTAGTGTATTTTGTGTGTGGCCCAAGATAATTCTTCTAGTGTGGCCCAGAAAAGCCAAAAGATTAGACATCCCTGATTTAAAGTATGCACGTTGTTATTTTAGACATCATGCTACTGCACTGTTAATAGACTACAGTATATTGTAAATACAGCTTTTTGTTGTTGTTGTTTTTGGGAGACAGGATATTTGCTCTGTCACCCGGGCTGGAGTGCAGTGGTGCGATCACAGCTCACTGCAGCCTTGACCTCCCAGGCTCTAGTGGTCCTCCCACCTCAGCCCCCCAAGTGGCTGGGACTACAGGCATGCACCACCACACTCGGCTAATTTGTAAATTTTTTGTAGAGGTGGGGTCTTATTATGTTGCCCAAGCTGGTTTTGAACTCCTGGGCTCCAGCAATCCTCCTACCTTGACCTCCCAAAGTGCTGGAGTTACACACGTGAGTCACCACACCTGGCCTAAATATAACTTTTATATGCACTGAGGAACCAAAAAATTCGTGTGACTGACTTTATTGCAATATTCACTTTATTCCAGTGGACCAAACCCATATTATCTCTGAGGTGTGCCTGTATATGAATGATTAAATAAGCATGTGAATAGGTGCTCAGAGTCATCACTAAGGTATACTACCACACACCCACTAGAATGGCTGAAATGGAAAAGATTGGCAGTAGCATGTGTTGGTGAGGATGTGGTGCAGCTGGAACTCTCACCCACTGCTGGTGGAAGTGCACAGCAGCACAACCACTTTGGAAAACTGGCTGTTTCTGATAAGGCTAACGTACATCTAACCTGTGACTTTAGATATTTACCCAGTGTAAATGAAGATGTATGACCACTAGAAGACTTGTACATGAATATTTGTAACATGCTTGTTCATAAATAGCCCAAATTGGAAACAACCCAAATGTCCATCAGCAGGTAATGGATAAACAAATTGCAAACCATTCGTCAAACTAACACAACTCAGATGAATTTTTTTTTTTAAAAGCCATGTGCAAAAGGATTCATACTGTGTGATTCCACTCAGGAAATTCAAGAATAGGCAAAACTAAATTCTGCTAATAGAAATCAGAATAGTGATTGTCTAGGGTGATGGAAACATTGTTTGTTTTGATCTTGATGCTGACTATACCGTCAAACATTTGTCACAGTTCGTTTTTTGCTTAATACCTGGGTATTTCACTATATAGATTTTACCTTGATTAAAAAATCTTGAAGTATGTTGATTAGGGGATCATAGTACCATCTTAAAATTGAGCATTCTTTTAAAAATAGTAAACCTTAGTTTATACTCAATAAAATTCCATCTGGTAGTTATTTGTTGTGGTGTGCTTAATTTGTGGGGAGTGCTGTAAAGGATTCATAAGAAAGGAAGCTAATTTTTTAAGTGCCTACCATATGACAGGTACCATATTAGGTGTTTTATATGTTAATTTAAGTAAGCATCATATCCTATGAACAAGGAAACAGGCTCAGATTTAATAGCTTTCCCAAGATACTGTAGCTAGGAAATGTCAGAGCTGGGGTTTTAAACTTAGATCAAACTTTTTTCAATACTGTATTGATGTAGACAATGATTCTTGCCCTCATGAAGCTGACTTACAGTGTCATTGAGGAGGCAAAATTGACTCCCATAAAACAGCGTTATCGGAGTGACTGATAAATACCAAGACATTTACCAAGAAAGCTAAGATTAACCTGGGCTAGAGTGATTAGAGAAGACTTCAACAAAGAGTATGAAGTATGTTGATTAGGGGATCACAGTGCAATCTTAAAATGGAGCATTCTTTTTTAAGTAGTAAACCTTAGTTTATGTTCAATATAATTCCATCTGGTAGTTATTTGTTGTGGTGTACTTAATTTGTGGGGAGTGCTGTAAGGGATTTATAAGAAAGAAAGGCAGGTGGAGCCTAGATAAGAGAAGGGGATTGAGTTTCCAAACAGAGGAAACGTGGCCGGCATAGCGGAGGCTGGAGGAGAGTAGAGGGAGATGGAGACAGATAAGACCAGATGGAAGATGGAATGAAGGAAGTCGTTAAGTATCAACTTTCAGCCAGAGTCTCCTAGGACAACTATCATTTACTGTCCCTAAATACCATGTGCAACGGGTGCTGTCATCTTCACTAACAGATGAGGAAACAGATTCAGAGAAGTATAGCAATTAACCTGAAGTCAAATAGCTTGAAAATTGCAGAGCAGAGATGAAAACCTCAGAGTGTGATCTTTGCACTGCACCGTAACTGTTGAATGACGGAGGCTTTTGAATCCCTGTTGAAAAGTGTGGATTGTGTCCTCTAAACCCATGCTTTGAAATACTTTGACCATGACGCCTCAGTGAGAAAAACAGTTTACATCGTGTCTCAGTACTGACATGCACTTACATGTACCAAACTGAAACAGGAGTTTCACAAAATTATACTTTTATATATACTATATGTTACATAAATATCAGAATATGTCCCATTCTATTACATTTTCTAAAATGCTGATTTTGACCCACCAAATTGATTTCATGACCCCAGTTTTTGAAAATCACTTTTGTAGACATTGAGTCAGTATAGAGTTTTGAGAAATCAATGAATGCCACAATTTACCTATGAAAATGTAGTAGTGTGATTTCTGTATTGTATGACTTTCATTTTATGTAAGAATTTTGTGAACACTTTCTCTTTCAGCTTACCAATAAAACTTTAAGCAATAGCAGTCAGTCTGAGTTAGAAAATCGACTCCATCAGCTAACAGAGACTCTCATCCAGAAACAGACCATGCTGGAGAGTCTCAGCACAGAAAAGAACTCCCTGGTCTTTCAACTGGAGCGCCTCGAACAGCAGATGAACTCCGCCTCTGGAAGTAGTAGTAATGGGTCTTCGATTAATATGTCTGGAATTGACAATGGTGAAGGTAATCAAAAAAGGAATCTCAAAAGAACATTTCATTCAAACATGCTTTTGAAAAGTTATAGAAGGACTATTTTTATTTGAAAGAAACTTCATCCAGTGAAGGACTCAATTTTCTGATATGAGACCTGGGCCACGTACTGTTTAGTATTGTTAGTGAACCGGATAATGGACTAATTAATATTCCTCACCAGTATTAGACTTGGGGAAAGTAGTCTGAGGATTGATAATTATATTGTAATGTCTGAGACACTTAACAAGATGATGCTGACAAGGCGAGGAATTCAGTAGAGAGGAGCTTTCAGGACACTTGAAACAAGATTTGCTTTAATAATCTTCCAGTAAATAGTTACGGGTATTAGAGCTAATACATAGTTCACATAACCATATCTAAAGAAATCTATAGATTCCCAACATATGTAATTAAAAAATAATGTGTAAGATAGTATAAGCATCAACAGATCAGATTTTTAATCTTGGAACTTCGTAAAGTCTACAAATTGTCATTCAGCAAATTTCTCAGTTCTTTGGCTTTAAATTATTTCTTTTAATAAAAAAAATTGTTTAAGAGACGCTGGGTGCCAGGTATGGGGATGGCACTGTAATTTAAAAAGGGTGATCAGGAAGACCTCGTTGAAAAGTGTCACTTCTTTTTTTTTTTTAATGTATAATTATCATTTTATTTGTAATTGTTAATTACAAGTAAAAATGAAATTATAAATAAGTAAATCATACTCCTTAATGGCATAAATAAAAAGTGCCTCGCTTAAATTAATAAAATTTTCCTGACCATAACTTCTGTGATTTTTTTAAGGGTTTTCAGTTTCTTTTAGGTTTCACCTTTTTTTTTTTATTTTATTTTTTTATTATTATTATACTTTAAGTTTTAGGGTACATGTGCACAATGTGCAGGTTAGTTACATATGTATACATGTGCCATGCTGGTGTGCTGCACCCATTAACTCGTCATTTAGCATTAGGTCTATCTCCTAATACTATCCCTCCTCCCCCCTCCCCCAGCCCCACAACAGTCCCCAGAGTGTGATGTTCCCCTTCCTGTGTCCATGTGTTCTCATTGTTCAATTCCCACCTATGAGTGAGAACATACGGTGAAAAGTGTCACTTCTTTAAAGTCCCAAAGGAGGTAAGATAGTGAACAATGAGGAGGCATAGAAAAAAAGTGTTCCAGGCAGAAAGAAGAGCAGGCACAAAGGCCTTGAGGCAGGCATGTTCCTGGCATATTTCAGGAACAGCAAGGAGGCCAAGGCCTCTGGAGTAGACTGAGTGAAGAAGACACTTGTGTAAGATGAATCCAGAGAGCTTAGAATAGGCCGTTGAGGCCTGTATGGGGACTTTTACTCTGAATGAGGTAGGAAGCCATTGAAGGATCTTGAGAGGGGGGACTGATCTGACTTGCACCTTAATAGGCTGCCTCTGACTGCCATGTCAAGAATAGACTGCACAGGGCTAAAAGTGGAAGCAGGGAGACAGGGCAAGAGGAGGCCGGAGGTGGGTGGGTAGCCATTGCATTAATCCATGTGAGAGATGGTAGTCTAGAACTGAGTGGGATTGTGAAGGTGGACTGAGAATTTATTTTAAAGGTAAGCTGACAGAATATGTTGGCAGATGAGATACGGAGTTTGAGAGAAAGAAGTCAAGAGTTTTGGCCTGAGCAGATGGAAGGATTGGAATTGTGATGTCCTGAGACAGGGAAATGGCAGCTGAGGCAGGTTGACAGCGAGGACAAGAACTCTGAATTGTAGTGTTAGGCAGGCTTTGGGGTGCCCGTTAGATATCTGGATGGAAGCGAATAGGCAGTTGGATGAGTCTGGCAGGGGATGAAGCCTCTGGGCTGGAGTACACATTTGGGAGTCCTCTGCTTCATAGAAAGACCACCCGGCCTCACTCCTCCTCACATAGGAACAAAGGGCCCATTAATATTGACTCTTGTCAACGCTTAGTATTTGTAAATTTCTTAATTTTTGCTAAAATCATTTTCTTATTTAAAACTTTTTTCTTGTTGTGGATATGGATGTTTAAATATTTATGTCATCAAATTTACCTGTCCTTTCTTTATAGTTTCATCTACTTTGGGGTGATGCTTAGAAAGTTGCCCTTGAAAATTCCTTCCACATGTAATACAGTGTATTTCCAATTATAATTGTCTTAGTTAATTTTTATGTCAGTACACTAATTTATTTTCTTATTTAAACAGGCACTCGTCTGCGAAATGTTCCTGTTCTTTTTAATGACACAGAAACTAATCTGGCAGGAATGTACGGAAAAGTTCGCAAAGCTGCTAGTTCAATTGATCAGTTTAGGTAAGCAATGCCAGTAGGGATGAGTGATGGACCATCAGCTGTTTTTACGTTTTTCAGGGTTTCAATCACAGTGACTCCCATCAGGCAGAGTCTATATTTAAAGTGACTTACTCCTTTCAAGATATTTTATACTTATATACACTTTTATTTATTTCACAGTTATATTACACTTTCATGAAGTGACTTCTTTCATGATATTTGAAATATCATGTCAGAAATTATGTCAAGAGGTCTGCCAATGCCTACATTTTATTGAAGATGATTAACCCTGACTGTATCTCTTTTTTCTATAATAAATTCTATTTTTAAAAACTTCATTAAATTTTATTGAGAAAGCCTCTACTTCATGTAAAAGTATCCATTTGAATGTTTTATCCCAGAATTTTATCATGCTATTAGAATAAAAGATGCTACTATATATAGCTGAACAGCACTCATTGTATTATATATTTTATATAAATAACAAAATTTATGTTTATGTATATGTAAATTTTTTATATTAGCAGACATCTGCCTTATCAAAAAAATATTTTAATAGTTTACATATAGCATTGATAAGGTTCTTGTCTAAATAACCTACTGTACCCTTTTTCTTTGTAGTGTTTATAATGAAAAGTTTTAATGAATTGTGGCATAATAATCTTTTTGTACCTTTTTGTGTCAGAATTGAGCTATTGTATTAAAAATAAGAATGATATACCAAGATGACTGAAGCCTCAGAACTAGGATGCCATAGCCATTATGTCCAAATTAAGCACATCTAGTTCAACTATTCATTTATTCAACATACGTAGTTGTTAGAGAACCTAAGTGCAAGACATTGTGCTAGTGGCAATGAAAGAAGCAGAAAGGGGTATTGCTTCTGCATGTATCTGTCTTGATAGGGAAAAAAATGTTGCAGAGGCATAATAGATCTGGACATCATATTGCTTCCACACTATTTATTCAAATGCATGAGTTTATAGCTTTGTACCTTTTAGAAGCATGTATCTATACAAAAGCTTCTAGATTAGCTATTTGCAGGTTAATGCCAACCAGACTCTTTTTTTCCCCAGTCACATAGTTGACACCCACCTAATCTTTCGTAACTTCTGTAATTCCACTAAAAAAAGATTTAGGCCGGGCACGGTGGCTCACACCTGTAATCCCAGCACTTTGGGGAGGCTGAGGCAGGCGGATCACCTGAGGTCAGGAGTTTGAAATCAGCCTGGCCAACATGGCGAAACCCCGTCTCTACTAAAAATACAAAAAAATTAGCCAGGCGTGGTGGTAGTGGCGCACCTGTAATCCCAGCTACTCGGGAGGCTGAAGCTGGAGAATTGCTTGAACCCAGGAAGCAGAGGTTGCCGTGGGCAGAGATCGCGCCATTGCACTCCAGCCTGGGCGACAGGAGAGAAACTCCGTCTCAAAAAAAAAAAAAATTAGGGATCAAGTTTGCCTCCTACAGTTGTGGCTGTAGAATTAAGAGAAATACCTGTGCTGAAGTTTAACAGCCAAGCCCCAAATAATGATAAAAGCATTTATTTACCTCTATGACATTTTTATATTATTATTTCAAGTAATCATTTAACAGTCTGCTATAAAAATTGTTCTTCTGTGGTAGCCACATAAATAGTTTAAATGAGTTAAATTTATCAGCATCATTAGATATTACCACAGGAAGATTTGTTTTGACTGTGACTCTTCTCTCTCCTCTCCCCCTCACACCTGTGTCTGCACAGTATTCGCCTGGGAATTTTTCTCCGAAGATACCCCATAGCGCGAGTTTTTGTAATTATATATATGGTAAGTAAATTTATTTGAAAAAACAATGATGCACTTGATTTTTAACTAGTTTTTTTTTTTGTTTGTTTGTTTGTTTTGGCTACAGATCTTATTGATATTTTAGCAATCAATCAATTTTTTTTTGTTTTTTTTGAAACAGGGTCTGGCTCTTTTGCTGAGGCTGGAGTTCAGTGGTGCAGTCTTGGCTCACTGCAGCCTCTACCTCCCAGGCTCAAGCCATCCTCCCACCTTTGCCTCCCAAGTAGCTGGGACTACAGGCGTGCACCACCATGCCCAGCTAATATTTGTATTTTTTGTAGAGACAGGGTTTCACCATGTTGCCCAGGATAGTCTCAAACTTCTGGGCTCGAGTGATCCTCCCACCTTGGCCTCTCAGAGTGCTGGGATTTCAGGAATGCGCCAACGCACCCAGCCAGCAGACAGTTTGGAAAGAGAGAACTCAGTTTTAGTAATTAAGATTTCTTTTGGTAGAGTATAAATTGACAATTCATTATGTCTAGAATATAAATTCCTCAAAGGCTTTTCCTACAAATAAAATTAAACGCAGTCTAATAGTTACCTCCATTTTAAAGCCCTTCTAATGATAAAAACAATTTGAATACAAAACAATTTTTTATCTTGACGTTGTAAAGTTGCTTTAATTGTTTTCATGTGTTTTGCTTTATTTTCTAAAAGAGCCTCAAGATTGATTTACTTTCTCCCAGATTTCTTACCTCTAGTAAAATGGTTACGGTAGTTTGGGATGCCATTTCGCATGTACCGTGTGCCTAAAAAGGCTGCTAACTATTTGGAGTGGGTATGTCTAAAAGTAGTTGGGTTGAATGAAAATGGGCTGTTTTCTTGAAAAGAAATTTCTTTAAAAAGAAATTTCTCTGTGATCCACTAGAGGGAAGAGTTATTCCTTTAAATACAGGTTTTGTGTTGTTTTTTTTTTCTGAGACTGAGTCTCGCTCTGTCACCCAGGCTGGAGTGCAGTGGCATGATCTTGGCTCACTGCATTCTCCACCTCCCAGGTTCAAGCGATTCTCCTGCCTCAGCCTGCCGAGTACCTGGGGCTACAGGCGCACGCCACTGCACCTAGCGAATTTTTCTGTGTTTGGGAGATGGGTTTTCACTATGTTGGCCAAGCTGGTCTCAAACTCCTGACCTTGAGTAATCCGCCCTCTTCGGCCTCCCAAAGTGCTGGGATTACAGGTGTGAGCCACTGCACCTGGCATAATAACAAGTTTTTAAGAAGGAAAGCGTGGGGAGTACAAAAAAAAATTGAATGGCATCAGAAAGCATTCAGAATATGCCCCAGAGGGGTTGATTTCCCAGGTGTTAGTGATGATGAGTAACACGGGCACTGTCATGAGATGGTGCCCATGAGATGTGATTTCTGGCACACGACAAAGTGGTGAGGCACTTAGTGATGGAATCTCGTATCATTTCGGTACTACCATGAGGGAATTAAATTTGTCACTATGAATCGTGTTCTGGGCCCTACATCAGCCTCTGAAACGACACATTATTTCTGTCTAGAATATTTTCCCATCTCTTCTTCACCGAACATTGGTTAAACTCTCTTTCAGAATACCAACTATAACTGTTCTAAAAGTGTTTTCTAACCAACTTCATGTGTATCTAGCAGTTTTAATCACTCTGCATTATAATCAACTGATTATTTTGCATACACGTGCATATTGTGAATGTGTTGAAGTTCAGAGCTGACTCCTCTCAACTGAATTCTGTAGGAGTAGCAAGTCTTTATTACCTTCCATTGCACTGAGCTCATTTAGTTGTTTCATTCATTCCTTCATGTGTCCCATAGGGGATACAGAGGCAGGTAAGACACAGTGCCTGCCCTCAGTGTACAGTGGGCCTTTGGTAAAAATTGGTTTATTGGCTAATCCACAAATTGCTTTTTCTTTCTCTAGGCTTTGCTTCACCTCTGGGTCATGATTGTTCTGTTGACTTACACACCAGAAATGCACCACGACCAACCATATGGCAAATGAACCAAGCCCAGTTGTTGCAGTGATTGGTTGTCTTTTTCTAGACTTGGGATCTGCAAGAAGGCCAATTGCCTAAAATTTCTGAGAACAGTGCACAAGATTATTTTATCACTACAAGCTTTTAACTTTTTAAGTTATTGTACAAGTATTCTACCTAAATCTTCCAATTTCCTTTAAATGGTAAGAGTTTCTAAAACAGACAATAATTTAACAAGCTCAGCTCTGCTTTATCTGAGTTTAGTGGTCCTAATATATATGTAGAGAAAGATGGTGGGGTTGTTCACCTCTGTACAGACCATCTGTATGTTAGGTGACATTGATTATGGGTTATAATCAGGGAAACTAATTGTATTTAGTGACAAAAATAAAAAGTTTTTTTTTATAATTCAGTCTGCTTTTGGATTTTCATATATTTAACTTTGCAAAAAGATTTACTTTGTACATGTTACAGGCTTGATTGGTGTAAATCTTTTTATAAATACATAAATAAAAGAAAAATATGCATTTTTCTTTTCTAAAATAATGGTTTTTCATCCCCATTAAACAAGACCTTTCCAGACGGACTTTAGTGAGTAGAGCCAGACAGAAAGCAGCTGAAGTCACTTGTAAGTAATTCTTAGTGTTTGCCACTTCTTCCCAATGGATGCTCCTGTCTTCCCCTTTCCAGCTCCCTGTGCTGTCTTCCTTGGATTCTTACTCACTCATTGCCTTCCTTTTCTCCAGCCTATATGTTGAGTTAGCTCGTGATATGCATAACCCCTGCTTGTAGTGTTTAGGAATCAAACCTGCCTTAGCAACCTATGCTTTTTTAAGGTACTCTAGTGCAGAGATATTATTCGAAATGAGACATTTTCTTTGAAAATGTCCGTTGTATTGTCTCTTTTACATTGGGCCCAATGTATTATCTGTTTTGACTTTCATTTTCATCTTCATTTTTTTTTGTTTTTTAAAGAAACAGGGTCTTACTCTTGTCACCAAGGCTGGAGTTCAGTGGCACAGTCGTAGCTAGCTGCAGCCTCGAACCCTTGGACTCAAGTGATCCTCCTGCCTTAGCCTTCCGAGTAGCTGGGATTACAGACTTGAGCTACCACACCCAGCGAAGAGCAGTTTTAAATTTTGAGGTGTCCAATTTGTCAGTTTTTAAATTTTCTTGTTCATACTTTGTGTTCCTATCAAAGAAACCTTTGCCTAACCCAAGGTTACAAAGATTTTCTCCTATCATTTCATCTAGAAATTTTATACTTTTAGGCTTTCCATTTAAGTTTACGATCCATGTTGAGTTAATTTTTATATCAATAAACCCTCCAACTTGATTTAAACTTTTTTTTTTAATTTTTAGAAATGGGGTCTTGCTCTGACACCCAGGCTAGAGTGCAAGGGCACCATCATAGCCCACTGCAGCCCCAAACTCCTGGGCTTAGGCAGTCCTCCCACCTCAGGCTCACAAGGAACTGTGACTACAGGCATGCACCACCACACCTGGCTAATTTTTTTTTCTTTCTTTTTTTTTTTTGTAGAGACAGGGTCTCACTATGTTACCCAGATTGGTCTCAAACTCCTGGCCTCAAGCAGTCCTCCCACCTCAGCCGCCTAAGGTGTGGGAATTACAGGCATAAGCCACTGCACCTGGCCCTGCATGTCTGAATTATTAAGTTGTTCTGTCACCCGGCTACTCTCTTCATAGGTAATTAATATATGTGGATCTTGGGCTGTGCAAGGGTACAGTCCTTCCTGTCAAGGGGAACATCTTGGAAGCAGTCTGCTTGGTGCCTCACTGAACGTCTGACTGAAGTTTCTACTCTTTAAATGTGTCTCCATCATGACTTTAATTGACATAGAAGCCCTATAAATTCTTCAGAAGTTCTGGTACACTATTAGATGTGTATGTTTCTTATTTTTCATTGGAAAATGAAGTTTTAAAGGTCATCTTAGGTGTGTTTGGGCCTTTTTTTCCCAACTTGGCATGGGTGAAAAATGCAGAAAGTTCCCCATCGTATGAGAGCAGATGTTGGGATTGGAGGTAGAGGCACATGACTTAAGTTTGTCTAGGACTTATGGCACAGTCTTACTCTGGTGTGATAGCCCATCACTGTCTAAGCTGTTAAGTCAGGGCTGCTCTCAAACAGAATAAAGTAACAGTTTAGTCTTGTGAATATATTTTATTTTATTTTTGAGACAGAGTCCCACACTATCCAGGCTGGAGTGCAGTGGTACGATCTTGGCTCACTGCACCTTCCACCTCCTGGGTTCAAGCAATTCTCCTGCCTCAGCCTCCTGAGTAGCTGGGATTACAGGCATGCGCTACCACGCTCAGCTAATTTTTGTATTTTTAGTAGAGATGGGGTTTCACCATGTTGTCCAGGCTGGTCTCCAACTCCTAGCCTCAGGTCATCTGCCCACCTCGGCCTCCAAAAGTGCTGGGATTACAGGAGTGAGCCACCACGCCTGGCCTTGTTATTATATTTTAAAGGTTTGATTTTTCCCCCCCCCTCTTCTAATTTGGAAATATTTCTGGAAAATGATTAAAACCAGGTTACAAACTTCAAACAGAGAACAGCCCATGCTTCATCATCAGGTGTTGCCAGACTTTCCATCTCCATGGACGTCCTCCTGGCTTTTGTTGAGATGTCTCTAAGTCCTTTGTTCAGTCTTTACACATTCTTGGCTTTGAAAATAGTTTGACAGTGTGCTTCCGGGATTGTTTTTCTGCAGTTACTTAAATATTTAATTGGGTTTCAGTTTCAGGAACCTTGACTACTAACAAACTAGGCAGTTTTTTAAAGCGCTACCATTCCTTATCCTCAGATGACACAAAACTTTCTTGACCTAATTAAAGGGGTTGCATGAGAGCGGAGTTTTTTTCCTTCTCAAATCAATATATTTATTTAAAGACATTGTAAATTGTATGCATATATTTACACGTACATGTTATCAGAGCTCTTATACTGCTTTTTATTTATAGGTGTCAATTGGAAAATAAGATTATTCTAAAATTTCCCTTTCTCTAGACTTTGTGCTTACTGAAAAATACCATTTTGGGCCAGGTGTGCTGGCTCACACTTGTAATCCTAGCACTTTGGGAGGCCGAGGTGGGAGGATTGCTTGAGCTCAGGAATTTGAAACCAGCCTGGGTAACATATTTAAAAAAAAATAAAAAGAAAATGCCATATTTATTGCTGTGGAACAAAAACTTCAAAGAAAAAGCATGGATTTTATTAAAATATGGTGGAAATAGGCTTTCCTTGTTAGCTCTGTAAATGAGGTAATAGAATATCTGGTCAGGGCAGTTCAGCTTTACCTTAAAACTAAGACCCATCTCACCCTGTGGGGCAGGGAGGTGGAAGCTACTTAAATATGTCTTGCTGGACTCCAGCTCCCTGGTGCAAGAGGCCAGCTGAGTGTTGGAAAAGGCTGGTATGTGTGTCTTGGTCTGGTAGGAAGTAGAAGGAAAGGACTAGTAAAGCCTAAGGGGTAGTTAAGGACTAAAGACCTAAGGGACTTCAGGCTCTAATTGGCCAGAAAAAAGAAATACCTGAGAAGGGTGTCTTAGTGGCTGTTCTGCACACATTGAGACTGCTACCGTATTCCTATTCTTTCCTGAATGAGAAGAACATGAATTAAATGATTCTGAACTTACATACTTCTTTTTTTGGTGGGCCAGGGACAGAGTCCTGTTCTGTCGCCCAGTCTGGAGTGCAGGGGCGCGATCTCAGCTCACCACAACCTCTGCCTCCCGGGTTCAAGCAATTCTCCCTGCCTCAGCCTCCTAAGTAGCTGGGATTACAGGTGTCTGCCACCATGCCCGGCTAATTTTTGTATATTTTTAGTAGAGATGGGGTTTTGCCATATTGTCCAGGCTGGTCTCAAACTCCTGACCTCAAGTGATCTGCTCTCCTCGGCTTCCCAAAGTCCTGGGATTACAGGCATGAGCCACCGCGCCCGGCCCCAAACTTCCATACTTCTAGTCGGTGATCTGCTTTCCAGACACAATAAAAACACACAAACACTCAAAATAAGTGAAACTCTTTCATAAGCTCACTTGAGCAACAAACATGCTACATATGGAAGGCTTATTTAGAGAAGATGTCTCAAGGAAAAAAGTGGGTAGTGAAATAATTTTGTTTTAAACCACTATAAGACTGCAAAGTAATTTGAATTATGAGGACCCTTTGTGCTGGCCACTGGAACTGGGGATAGAGTGGTCAACAACAAAGTCCCTGCCTCTGCGGAGCTTTCACTGAAGTGGGAAAGACAAGACTACAAACATACACATCACGTCACTCAGCGTTAAGTGTATGAAGAAAAATAGAATGGGGTGAAGGTATAGAGTAGGTTGGAGGGTGACCAGCAAAGTTGTCTCTGCAGAAGTGGCAGGGCCTGAATGAAGTGGTGGGCCATGGGAAATACAGGGCGGGATTTCTGTGCAGTAGGTTCAGCAAGAAGCCCAAAGCTTCTGAGTGGGCGCGTGCTTAGTGTGTTCGAGAACTAGACTGGCAGGGAGGCCAGAGTAGCTGGAAGGGGACAAGTGGAGGAGAAGAGGAGGGTGGAGCCAACCCTGTAGGGACCTGTATGCCAGCGTTAGGACTTTGTATTAAAAATCGCTTTTTTGTTTCTGCTTGGTAACCCCCTCTGCCCCTGAACCACTACCTTCTTTAAACAGAGAAAACCTTTAAAAATCTACATTTGGGCATCTACAGACTACAGTTGTTCCACATGCCAATGCTGAATAGTAAGAATTCATTTTGTGGAGAACAGGCTATACCTGAGGAGGTACTTTGCTATGTACTAAGAACACCAAATCAGTGAATTTGTAGATTCCCCAAAAACTTTTGGTCTCCACATTCACAGTCAACTCATCTTTATTCAAATCAGGGACAAACCAAAAGATGAAATCAAGAGTAGAGCCCTTCGTGTCTGAAGGCAAACATCTTCCATCCTTTGACCAACCCTAGTGTGACTCACTGCCTGGCATCACCGCTCTTGTGCTGCCAGAACTCATAAGCTGAAATGGCTTCAGACCTTTCTGATCCCCTGAGAGGAATGACATTACTTTTTTAGCCACTATTGTATTCCCCAGTGCCTAGAACAGTATCTGGCACGTAACTGGCCTGCACTTGATGTTCATTGAACCTCATTGAATCGAGCAAAGCACTAAGCTCATGCACGAGTCTTTAAGCTTCCTAGACCTTCACTCAGCATCTATCCTATTTATACAGCTCATCTGGTTTCTAAAACCATAGCAAAGAAGAGAAATTGTAACTGGCCAGGTACGTTGACAATAGTGTGGATTTAGATCGGGCAGCTTGGCAGGGCTTCCTCCAAAACGGGAAAAGCCATAAGAATTTGAAAGCAGAAGATGGCCTGAAGATATTGCTGGCCATAGATGTTCATAGTTGTGTTAGTCTGTTTTGACTGCTATAATAAAAGAACATAGACTGGCTTATCAACAACACAGGTTTACTTCTCACAGTTCTGGAGACTGGGAAGTCCAAGATGAAGGCATCAGCAGATTTGGTGTCTAGCAAGGGTCCTTTTCCTCTTAGACAGTCTTCTTACTGTAACCTTACATGGCAGAAGGGGTGAAGGATCTCTCTGGGGCCTCTCTTTTTTGTTGTTTGTTTTTGTTTTTGTTTTGAGACAGTCTCGCTCTGTCACCCAGGCTGGAGTGCAGTGGCGCAATCTCGGCTCACTGCAACCTCCGCCTCCCAGGTTCACACCATTCTCCTGTCTGGGGCCTCTTTTATGGGCACTTATCCCATTCGTAATCCATCCTCAGGACCTAATCACTTCCAAAGACACCACCTTCAAATAAACTTAACTACTAGCAATTTGCTTTAATTCATAAACATGGCACAAGTCACTTGAATCAAAGAATTAAAACTTAATTAGGACTAGAACACACATTCTCAACATAGGTGATGTCACTCCCAAGGGGGTTAAATTTCCTAGGAGGGTAAAGATATCTTACTGTTTTTATCTATAAAGAGCCCAGATATGCATGTGGTATGTAACAGTATATCTGTGGTATTAGGATTGTATGTGTGGGCCGGGCACAGTGGCTCATGCCTATAATCCCAGTACTTTGGGAAGCCAGGATAAGCAGATTGCTTGAGTTCAGGAGTTCACAACCAGCCTGGGAAGCATGGTGAAACCCCATCTCTACAAAAAAAAAAAAAAAAAATTTAAAGCCGGTTGTGGTGGCATGCATCTGTAGTCCCAGCTACTCAGTAGGCTGAGGTGGGAGGTTTACTTGAGCCTGGGAAGTTGAGGCTGTAGTGAGCTGTGATCATGCCACTGCACTCCAGCCTGGACAGCAGAGCAAAATCCTGTCTCAAAAAAATAAAAAAGACTGTATTGGGATAGTAATAATGAAAAAAAGTATTGAGAAACACTGGGCTAGAATGATAAGGCAGAGACCTATTTCCTGCCCTCATGGAGCCTACATTCTAACAAATGGAACTGTTTTTTAAATTTTTAAATCAGAACATACATATTTTTGGGGTACAGTGACAATTTAACACATTCATACAATTTGTAAAGATTAAATTAGTGTCATTGGGATATTCATCACCTTATTTGTCTTTATGCTAGAAATATTCTAAATATTCTAGCCATTTTAAAATGTAAAATAGATTATTGTGAACTATAGTCACCCTATGGATTTATCAAACAGTGAGTCTTACTCCATCAACTGTGTGTTTGTATCCATTAATTCGCCTCTCTTCATTCCCTCCTCCAAACTACCTTTCCTGGTCTCTGGTAACTGCCAGTCCACTATCTTCTGAGATCCAATTTTTTACCTCCCACATACGAGTCAGTACATGCAATATTTGTCTTTCTGTGCCTGGCTTAGTTTACTGAACATAATGACCTCCAGTTCCATCCATGTTGCTACAAATGACAGGATTTCATTCTTTTTATGGCTGAGTAATATTCCATTGTGTGTATATGCCACATTTTCTTTATCCATTCATCCATAAATAGGCACTTAAGTTGATTCTATATTTTGGCCATTGTGAAGAGGAAACTGGTTTTTAAAGTCATGCATGACCTGGCCCTCACTACCCCATGACTTTCCAGCCACTCCCCACATCTCATTCTACCCTCATCTCTCTGACCACTATGCTAGTCTATTACTGTTCTGATTATTCACTGCCTCTTACTGTGGGAGGATTTTACTTCCTGTCCCACTGATATCAGCCTTGGCCACATGACCTGACTTGCTTTGACTCACCAGCCAAATGTTAGTGGTGAAATATTAGTGGAACAGTTCCCTTCCTCAGCAGAAGCTTTAAGAGTCATCTGTGGCTTTGACACCTAACTTGTTCCTCCTCCATGAGTTTAGCGTGTCCCAGATAGGGGCTGTCCTTCAGCCTAGGCCCTGGAATGAAGCATGTCCACAGTGGACATGTGGCTGGAATGAAAAGTAAATCTTTGCTTTTGTGGATTCCTGAAATTAGGAGGAATAGCTAACAATAGCTGACTAGTGTGTCCAACAGTGCACTAACCAAGTTTTCTCCCTGCCTCCAGACCTTCCCTTCTTGGCTTTTGTCCCCTCCTAATGTCAGCATAGATGCCACTTGGTGAAATCAGAACTCCATCTTTCCCTGCAAAAAGAAAAAAAAATAGTAGCCTAGGTGTTCGTAGGCAGAATGATGCTCCCCCACAAAGATGTGAGTGCCCTTCTTTGCCCTCGTCACTGAAACCTGTAAATATGTCATCTTACAAGGCAAAGGGGGTGTTGTCCATACGGCTAACGATCACAAAATATGGAGATTATCCTGAATTACCCCACAGGGATCCTTAAAAGATGGAAAAGGAAGCAGAAGAATCAGAGACGATGTGACAAGGGAAGCAGAGGTTGCAGCAATGCCATTGTTGGCTTTGAAGGTGGAGGAAGGAAGGGGCTCTGAGCTGCAGACTGCAGGAGGCCTCTAGAAGCTGAAAAAGATGAGGAAACAGATTCTCCCCTAAAGCCTTCACACGAAATGCAGCCCTGCGACACCTTGACTTTAGCCCAGTGAGACCCACTCCAGACTTACGCTCTCTAGAACTGCAAGATAATAAATTCGTGTTGTTTTAAGCCACTAAGTTTGTGGTAATTTGTTACAGCAGCTGTACAATATGGGCGTGGCATCCCTCCCTGGTGAGGAGCTCCCACAGCACCCTCATCACAGTCCTTGTGCTTCACAGGGCTGCCTCTTCACTTTCCACCCTGCCAGCAGGACTCCAAGCTTGACATTTCAACTCTATCACAGTTGTCTCCTCAGAGCCCAGAATAGTGCAAGGAACTTAGTAAGTACTCAGTGCAGATTTGTCAAATGAACAATTTTCAAAACCAGGACTAAATTAGAGCTGAATGCTACTATTTTCTGACTTGATGGCTTAAGTAGCTGTGGTCCTTAGAAGCCACTTACCGTCTCTGACCCTCAATTTCCTTGTTGTTAAAAATGGAGAAAATGCCACCATCACAAAGAAGTCCCCCACAGGGAAAAAGAGCATTTTCTAAGCTGTAAAGTGCATTCCAATTTGAGTTTTATTGGATGGCATGTTTATAAAGTCAAATGAAGCTGAGATAGTGAAAAACGGCCCTGCTAGACAATCAACCATGTGTCCAGCAGAATATAAACAATACTCAGAACAAGACATTGACAAGGCCAGTCTTGGGAGCACAAAAATTACTAAACATTCCCTTCTACTAATAAGCATTGCCCCTTTCTGAACAACTGCTGCTGCTTTGCCAATAACAACTCAAGCCCCCATGTTAACCCTCCTAGATAGCAATGATTGAGATACTCAGTCACGAAATTGCTCCTGCTTCTCGACAACATGCATCCCAGAACTGGCCCCCATTACTTATTCTCCCTCACAATGTTCCAAAACAAGCCAAAACCCTTTAAGAAACCCCTGTCAGCTGGGCTCAGCAGCTCACGCCTATAATCCCAGCTCTTTGGGAGGCAGAGATAGGAGGATCACTTGAGTCCTGGAGTTCCAGACCAGCCTAGGCAATACAGTGAGACCATGTCTCTACAAAAAATTTAAAAATTAGCCTAGTGTGGTGGTGCACACCTATAGTCTTAGCTACTTGGGAGGCTGAGGTGGGAGGATCACTTGAGCTCAGGAGTTCGAGATTACAGTGACCTATGGCCACTGCACTCCAACCTGGGCAACAGAGGGAGACCCTATCTCTTAAGAAAAAAAAAAAAAAGACCCCTATCATCTCCCGTTACTGAGATATTCTTGGGTACACAGTCTCCCTTGCTGCAGCAAGTCTAATAAACCTAATTCCTAATTTTGGTAGTTTTGTTTTGTTTATTTGACTACAAGTGTGGTCTTCAGTCAGCTCTGATAGAAGCTCCTCATATTCAGTTCTATAATTTTACAGACAAGCAGACAGATCCAAAGACCCATCAAGGTCCTCCAATTAGCAGTAGAAATGAGATCAAGCATATGTTTTGTTTGTTTTCACATAGCCACGGGTTTGGCCTATTTGGTTACTAAACATGTCAGTGTATCAAATCTGTCTGGCACAGAATCTTCTATTTCTCATCTTGACTAGGACCCTCCAGTAGCTTTTAGGCAGGGAGAAAACCTGCCATATTTTTTCAAATAATGCTTAGTTCTGGGACAAAGCCAGATACGTTCTAATGAGAGTTAATTGTTCTTTATCAGCGTGAGAGGAAGCAGGTGTGTGTTCCCCGCTGACATCTGATTTATTTCTTTGAGATCTTGGAACAGACACTTAATCAGCCACCCAAGCAGGAAATTGCTTTTCTGCAGAAGGTAAACAAGAGGGTTTTCTTTATTTTTGGCCATAAAATTGGACCCAAAAAGCATTTCAAATCACTTGGAGTTTTTTTTTCTTCTGATTATTTGAATTATATTCCTTAATTGTGGGAAATACAGAAAAGAAGAAAATATTCACCCATAGACCCAACACTCCAGACTAATAAGTTGTCCCATTTGGCCTGTTTCCTTCCAGTCTTTTTTTTTTTTTTTTTTTTTTTTTCCAATTGTGAATGTGTATGTATGTAGGAAGGTCTGGAAGTGGAGGGAGAGCAGCTTTTAGTTGAAGCCATACTGAATATATGATTTTCATTTTCAATTGCATTTTTAAATTACATAACACATGAATACATGCTTACTGCAAAGATCCCAAACAATACCATATGCAGAGCAGAAAGTTCTAGTGCTCTTCAGCACTGCACCTTCTTCCCATTTTCCAGTGATAACTACCGTTAAATTAGGAAAAACGGGGATAAATACCAGGGTACATTACTTAGTACTCACAAGTACTCAGTAAGTAAGTGCTTAGCAGTGGGTAAGGGCAAGTGTGGCAGTTGGTAAGTGGATTCTTCCCATCCCATCAGTGGTGAACAGACCCCTACTTGAACTCCAGTAGTCTCCTGCCTCCTGGTCATGCCTTCATGTAATTCCCTCCTTATGAGTACACATGGGACCTGTGACTTGCTTCTAACCAACAGAATATGGCAAATGTGAGGGGATGTCACTCCTAAGACTGGGTTACATTCTACGGCAAAGGTGATAAGCTGTCAGGCTCATGGCTATATTATGTTGTAGAGGATTACATCTTCCCTGGCTGGACCCTTCCTGTTGGCTTGATGAAGTAAGCAGTCGTGTCGGGGAGCCCATGTGGCAAAAGACTATGGGCAGCATGTAGGACCTTAGGCAGCCTCCAGCAGACAGCCAGCAGAAAGCCGGGCCCTCAATAATACAAGTGCAAGGAAAGGAATTCTGCCAGCAACCTGAATGAACTTGGAAGCAGATTCTTCCCCAGTTGAGTCTCTAGATGAGACCACAGGCCTGGCTGACATCTTAGTTGTGGCCTTGTGAAACCAAAAATAGGGACCTAGTTAAACTACGCCCAGATTCTTCACCCACAGCAATTGTGAGATAATAAGTGTGTGGTGTTTTAAGCAAAGCTGCTGAACTTGAGGTAATTTGTTACATGGTGGGAGGAAACTACGTTTTCTATGCATTTCCATCCTGCAGTGGTCAGGACTCCTCAGGTTTTAAGTAGGAAATACACAACTGACACTGGCAGGAAACCCAGTTTCACCTAACTTCAGGTATGTTTACATTCAGTGGCTCAAACACTGCAGACTTTCTCCTTTTAGCTCTTTGTTGTGTCAGCTTAATTCACAGGCAGCTACTTCCCAAAGATGACCACATCATTTAGTTCACATCCAGTCAGCTTGGTGGCCTCAGGGGAAAAGTATGCTGCCTTTTCCCAGTATGTCCAGCAAAAAGCCCCGGGCTTGGTGTCTGTTGGCTCTGGTTGGACTAACTTAAGACATGTGCCTACCAGTCCCTGGGGACAGGTGGATGTGGTTCATATGCCCTATCTAGACCTCATGAGCCAAAAAGGGGAGAGCTGAGCACTAAAAGAAAATAAGGGGGCCGGGAGCAGTGGCTCACACCTGTTATCCAAGCACTCTGGGAGGTGGAGGCAGGCAGATCATCTGAGGTTGGGAGTTCGAGACCAGCCTGACCAACATGGAGAAACCCCGTCTCTACTAAAAATACAAAAAAAAAAAATTAGCCAGGCGTGGTGGGGCATTCCTGTAATCCCAGTTACTCAGGAGGCTGAGGCAGGAGAATCACTTGAACCCAGGAGGTGGAGGTTGCGGTGAGCTGCGATCATGCCACTGCTCTCCAGCCTGGGCAACAAGAGCGAAACTCCATCTCAAAAAAAAAAAGAAGAAACAAAATAAGGGTGCTGCCGGGTGGAGAAGGTGGAACAGAAGCTGAATTAAAACAGCAGCCATCCAGATCATGGATATGTATCTTCATATTGCATACAATGGAATATGGAATTGCATATTCATTTGGATACATATCCATGTATCCATTGTTGATGTAACAATATAACAGTATTACAGTAAACACCTCCCATAAACTTTCTAACATGTTTATGAAAGTAAACATGAAGCCCAGGTGGAGTGGCTCAGGCCTGCAATCCCAACACGTTGGGAGACCAAGGCAGGTGGATCGCTTGAGCCCAGGAGTTCAAGACCAACCTGGGCAAAATGTTGAAACCTTGTCTCTACAAAAAAAAAAAGTTAAAAAATTAACTGAGCATGGTGGCACACATCTGTAGTACCAGCTACTCAGGAGGCTGAGGTGGGAGTATTCTTTGAGCCTGGGAGGCAGACATTGCAATGAGCTGAGATTGTATCACTGTACTCCAGCTTGGGTGACAGCAAAACTCTGTCTCAAAAGAAAAAAAAATTACAGACAAGTTGAAAAAATAACATAATGAATATCTATATGCCCTTCACTTAGACTTCATTGTTAACATTTTGCCCCAGCTGTTCTTTTTTTTTCTGAATAACTTAAGATGAATTATAGACCTCATGACACTTTATCTCAGGATATTCCAGCTTGGACCTAAGAATAAAAGTAGCCTCCTGTATAACAACAAAATCTTTAACACATCCAACAAATCTAACATTGTGCAATGATATTATATATGGTCCATATTTAAATTTTTCTAACAATCCAAAAAATGTTTTTGTGAGCTATTTTTAATTTTTTTTCTGATCCAAGATCCAACCCAAGATTGCATTGGATTATCATTCTCTTCTGTCTCCTTTATCTAGAACAGCTCTCTTTCTTTCCTTTTTTGGTCCTTTATGTGTTGATATTTTGAAGAGTATGAGCCACTTATAACATAAGAATTTGTTTATTTCTTTGTGATTAGGTTCAAGTTCAACACTTTGGAAAGAATACTATATAGGTGATGTTGAATCACTATGTCACTTCAAGAGGCAGGCAATGTCAGGGATGCTAACTTTGATCATTTGGTTAAAATGGTTTCTTCTAGTTCTCTCCATTATAAAGTTGTATTTTCCCCTTTTTTGTCAATAAATGTGTGACACCTTGAGACCTTGCAAATTTCCTATTCCCTAACAAACTTTCAGCAATTTTAGAATGCATTGGTGATCCCTGTCTGAATTATTTTAGATGCAAAATGGTGATTTTCTAATTCTATCATCATTCCTTCTATTGTTAGTTGGCTATTTTCTCTCTCTCTCTACTCCCCCTTTTTAAAAATACTATCACGGCCGGGCGCAGTGGCTCATGCCTGTAATCCCAGCACTTTGGGAGGCCAAGGCGGGCAGATCACCTGAGGTCGGGAGTTTGCAACCAGCCTGACCAACATGGAGAAACCCCATCTCTACTAAAACTACAAAATTAGCCAGCATGGTGGTGCATGCCTGTAATCCCAGCTACTCAGGAGGCTGAGGCAGGAGAATCGCTTGAACCCGGGAGGCAGAGGTTGCAGTGAACCGAGATCGCACCATTGCACTCTAGCCTGGGCAACAAGAGTGAAACTCTATCTCAAAAAAAAATAAAAATAGGCGGAGCCAAGATGGGTGAATAGGAACAGCTCCAGTCTACAGCTCCCAGCGTGAGCGACATGGAAGACGGGTGATTTCTGCATTTCCAACTGAGGACCGGGTTCATCTCACTGGGGAGTGTCGGAAAGTGGGTGCAAGACAGTGGGTGCAGCACACCAAGCGTGAGTCGAAGCAGGGTGAGGCATCACCTCACCCGGGAAGCGCAAGGGGTCAGGGAATTCCCTTTCCTAGTCAAAGAAAGGGGTGACAGACTGCACCTGGAAAATCGGGTCACTCCCACCCTAATACTGCGCTTTTCCAATGGTCTTCGCAAATGGCACACCAGGAGATTATATCCCATGCCTGGCTCGAAGGGTCCTACACCCACGGAGCCCTGCTCATTGCTAGCACAGCAGTCTGAGATCAAACTGCAAGGTGGCAGCAAGGCTGGGGGAGGGGGGCCCGCCATTGCCGAGGCTTGAGTAAGTAAACAAAGCAGCCAGGAAGCTGGAACTGGGTGGAGCCCACCGCAGCTCAAGAAGGCCTGCCTACCTCTGTAGACTCCACCTCTGGGGGCAGGGCACAGCCAAACAAAAGGCAGCAGAATCCTCTGCAGACTTAAATGTCCCTGTCTGACAGCCTTGAAGACAGTAGTGGCTCCCCCAGCACGCAGCTGGACATCTGAGAACGGACAGACTGCCTCCTCAAGTGGGTCCCTGACCCCCAAGTAGCCTAACTGGGAGGCACCCCCCAGTAGGGGCAGACAGATACCTCACACGACCGGGTACTCCTCTGAGACAAAACTTCCAGAGGAACAATCAGGCAGCAACATTTGCTATTCATCAATATCCACTGTTCTGCAGCCTCAGCTGCTGATACCCAGGCAAACAGGGTCTGGAGTGGACCTCCAGCAAACTCCAACAGACCTGCAGCTGAGGGTCCTGACTGTTAGAAAGGACATCCACACCAAAACCCCATCTGTACGTCACCATCATCAAACACCAAAGGCAGATAAAACCACAAAGATGGGGAAAAAACAGAGCAAAAAAACTGGAAACGCTAAAAATCAGAGCACCTCTCCTCCTCCAAAGGACCACAGCTCCTCACCAGCAATGGAACAAAGCTGGACAGAGAATGACTTTGACGAGTTGAGAGAAGAAGGCTTCAGATGATCAAACTACTCCGAGCTAAAGGAGGAAGTTCGAACCCATGGCAAAGAAGTTAAAAACTGTGAAAAAAAAATTAGACGAACTGCTAACTAGAATAACGAACGCAGAGAAATCCTTAAAGGACCTGATGGAGCTGAAAACCAAGGCACGAGAACTACCTGACGAATGCACAAGCCTCAGTAGCCGATTCAATCAACTGGAAGAAAGGGTATCAGTGATGGAAGATGAAATGAATGAAATGAAGCGAGAAGAGAAGTTTAGAGAAAAAAGAATAAAAAGAAACGAACAAAGCCTCCAAGAATATGGGACTACATGAAAAGACCAAATCTACGTCTGATTGGTGTACCTGAAAGTGACAGGAGAATGGAACCAAGTTGGAAAACACTCTGCAGGATATTATCCAGGAGAACTTCCCCAATCTAGCAAGGCAGGCCAACATTCAAATTCAGGAAACACAGAGAACGCCACAAAGATACTCCTCGAGAAGAGCAACTCCAAGACACATAGTTGTCAGATTCACAAAGTTGAAATGAAGGAAAAAATGTTAAGGGCAGCCAGAGACAAAGGTCGGGTTACCTGCAAAGGGAAGCCCATCAGACTAACAGCTGATCTCTCGGCAGAAACTCTACAAGCCAGAAGAGAGTGGGGGTCAATATTCAAAATTCTTAAAGAAAAGAATTTTCAACCCAGAATTTCATATCCAGCCAAACTAAGCTTCATAAGTGAAGGAGAAATAAAATACTTTACAGACAAGCAAATGCTGAGAGATTTTGTTACCACCAGGCCTGCCCTAAAAGAGCTCCTGAAGGAAGCACTAAATATGGAAAGCAACAACCGGTACCAGCCACTGCAAAAACATGCCAAATTGTAAAGACCATCGAGGCTAGGAAGAAACTGCATCAACTAACGAGCAAAATAACCAGCTAACATCATAATGACAGGATCAAATTCACACATAACAATATTAACCTTAAATGTAAATGGGCTAAATGCTCCAATTAAAAGACACAGACTGGCAAATTGGATAAAGAATCAGGACCCATCAGTGTGCTGTACTCAGGAAACCCATCTCACGTGCAGAGACACACATAGGCTCAAAATAAAGGGATGGAGGAAGATCTACCAAGCAAATGGAAAACAGAAAAAGGCAGGGGTTGCAATCCTAGTCGCTGATAAAACAGACTTTAAACCAACAAAGATCAAAAGGGACAAAGAAGGCCATTACATAATGGTAAAGGGATCAATTCAACAAGAAGAGCTAACTATCCTAAATATATATGCACCCAATACAGGAGCACCCAGATTCATAAAGCAAGTCCTTAGAGACCTACAAAGAGACTTAGACTCCCACACAATAATAATGGGAGACTTTAACACCCCACTGTCAACATTAGACAGATCAACGAGACAGAAAGTTAACACAGATATCCAGGAATTGAACTCAGCTCTGCACCAAGCGGACCTAATAGACATCTACAGAACTCTCCACCCCAAATCAACAGAATATACATTCTTCTCAGCACCACACCACACTTATTCCAAAATTGACCACATAGTTGGAAGTAAAGCACTCCTCAGCAAATGTAAAAGAACAGAAATTATAACAAACTGTCTCTCAGACCACAGTGCAATCAAACTAGAACTCAGGATTAAGAAACTCACTCAAAACCGCTCAACTACATGGAACCTGAACAACCTGCACCTGAATGACTACTGGGTACATAACGAAATGAAGGCGGAAATAAAGATGTTCTTTGAAACCAAAGAGAACAAAGACACAACATACCAGAATCTCTGGGACACATTCAAAGCAGTGTGTAGAGGGAAATTTACAGCACTAAATGACCACAAGAGAAAGCAGGAAAGATCTAAAATTGACACCCTAACATCACAATTAAAAGAACTAGAGAAGCAAGACCAAACACATTCAAAAGCTAGCAGAAGGCAAGAAATAACTAAGATCAGAGCAGAACTGAAGGAAACAGAGACACAAAAAACCCTCCAAAAAATCAATTAATCCAGGAGCTGGTTTTTTGAAAAGATCAACAAAATTGATAGACCACTAGCAAGAGTAATAAAGAATAAAAGAGAGAAGAATCAAATAGACGCAATAAAAAATGATAAAAGGACGCAATAAAAAATGATAAAAGGGATATCATCACCAATCCCACAGAAATACAAACTACCATCAGAGAATACTATAAACACCTCTATGCAAATAAACTAGAAAATCTAGAAGAAATGGATAAATTCCTCAACACATACACCCTCCCAAGACTAACCCAGGAAGAAGTTGAATCTCTGAATAGACCAATAACAGGCTCTGAAATTGAGGCAATAATTAATAGCTTACCAACCAAAAAAAGTCCAAGATCAGATGGATTCAAGGCCGAATTCTACCAGAGGTACAAGGAGGACCTGGTACCATTCCTTCTGAAACTATTCTAATCAATAGAAAAAGAGGGAATCCTCCCTAACTCATTTTATGAGGCCAGCATCATCCTGATACCAAAGCCTGGCAGAGACACAACAAAAAAAGAGAATTTTAGACCAATATCCCTGATGAACATCGATGCAAAAATCCTCAATAAAATACTGGCAAACCAAATCCAGCAGCACATCAATAAGCTTATGCACCATGATCAAGTGGGCTTCATCCCTGGGATGCAAGGCTGGTTCAACATACGCAAATCAATAAACGTAATCCAGCATATAAATGGAATCAATGACAAAAACCAGATGATTATCTCAATAGATGCAGAAAAGGCCTTTGATAAAATTCAACAACCTTCATGCTAAAAACTCTCAATAAATTAGGTATTGATGGGACGTATCTCAAAATAATAAGAGCTATCTATGACAAACCCACAGTCAATATCATACTGAATGGGCAAAAACTGGAAGCATTCCCTTTGAAAACTGGCACAAGACAGGGATGCCCTCTCTCACCACTCCTATTCAACATAGTGTTGGAAGTTCTGGTCAGGGCAATCAGGCAGGAGAAGGAAATAAAGGGTATTCAATTAGGAAAAGAGGAAGTTAAATTGTCCCTGTTTGCAGATGACATGATTGTGTATCTAGAAAACCCCAACGTCTCAGCCCAAAATCTCCTTAAGCTGATAAGCAACTTCAGCAAAGTCTCAGGATACAAAATCAATGTACAAAAATCACAAGCATTCTTATACACCAATAACAGACAAACAGAGAGCCAAATCATGAGTGAACTCCCATTCACAATTGCTTCAAAGAGAATAAAATACCTAGGAATCCAACTTACAAGGGACGTGAAGGACCTCTTCAAGGAGAACTACAAACCACTGCTCAATGAAATAAAAGAGGATACAAACAAATGGAAGAATATTCCATGCTCATGGGTAGGAATAATCAATATCGTGAAAATGGCCATACTGCCCAAGGTAATTTATAGATTCAATGCCATCCCCATCAAGCTACCAATGACTTTCTTCACAGAATTGGAAAAAACTACTTTAAAGTTCATATGGAACCAAAAAAGAGCCTGCATTGCCAAGTCAATCCTAAGCCAAAAGAACAAAGATGGAGGCATCACGCTACTTGACTTCAAACTATGCTACAAGGCTACAGTAACCAAAACAGCATGGTACTGGTACCAAAACAGAGATATAGACCAACGGAACAGAACAGAGCCCTCAGAAATAATGCCACATATCTACAACCATCTGATCTTTGACAAACCTGACAAAAACAAGCAATGGGGAAAGGATTCCCTATTAATAAATGGTGCTGGGAAAACTGGCTAGCCATATGTAGAAAGCTGAAACTGGATCCCTTCCTTACACCTCATACAAAAATTAATTCAAGATGGATTAAAGACTTAAATGTTAGACCGAAAACCATAAAAACCCTAGAAGAAAACCTAGACAATACCATTCAGGACATAGGCATGGGCAAGGACTTCATGTCTAAAACACCAAAAGCAATGGCAACAAAAGCCAAAATTGACAAATGGGATCTAATTAAACTAAAGAGCTTCTGCACAGCAAAAGAAATTACCATCAGAGTGAACAGGCAACCTACAGAATCGGAGAAAATTTTTGCAATCTACTCATCTGACAAAGGGCTAATATCCAGAATCTACAATGAACTCAAACAAATTTGCAAGAAAAAAACAAACAACCCCATCAAAAAGTGGACAAAGGATATGAACAGACACTTCTCAAAAGAAGACATTTATGCAGCCGAAAGACATATGAAAAAATGCTCATCGTCACTGGCCATCAGAGAAATGCAAATCAAAGCCACAATGAGATACCATCTCACACCAGTTAGAATGGCGATCATTAAGAAGTCAGGAAACAACAGCTGCTGGAGAGGATGTGGAGAAATAGGAACAATTTTACACTGTTGGTGGGACTGTAAACTAGTTCAACCATTGTGGAAGTCAGTGTGGCGATTCCTCAGGGATCTTGAACTAGAAATACCATTTGACCCAGCAATCCCATTACTGGGTATATACCCAAAGGATTATAAATCATGCCGCTATAAAGACACATGCACACATATGCTTATTGTGGCACTATTCACAATAGCAAAGACTTGGAACCAAGCCAAATGTCCAACAATGATAGACTAGATTAAGAAAATGTGGCACATATACACCATGGAATACTATGCAGCCATAAAAAATGATGAGTTCATGTCCTTTGTAGGGACATGGATGAAGCTGGAAACCATCATTCTCAGCAAACTATCGCAAGGACAAAAAACCAAACACCGCATGTTCTCACTCATAGGTGGGAATTGAACAATGAGAACACATGGACACAGGAAAGGGAACATCACACACTGGGGCCTGTTGCAGGGTGGGGGGAGGGGGGAGGGATAGCATTAGGAGATACACCTAATGTTAAATGATGAGTTAATGGGTGCAGCACACCAACATGGCACATGTATACATATGTGACAAACCTGCACGTTGTGCACATGTACCCTAAAACTTAAAGTATAATAATAAAAAAAATAAAAAAGTAAAAATACTATCACTATGTACTTACAGATTGTTTTTTTAAAAATTAAATATGTTAAAATCATTATCCTCATTATTCTTATATATATATATTTATTTTGAGACAGGGTCTTGCTCTGTTGCCCAGGCTGGAGTGCAGTGGTGTGATAACGGCTCACTGCAGCCTTAACCTCCCAGGCCCACGCAATCCTCCCACCCCAGCTGAGCTGGGATCACAGGCATGCACCCCCATACCAAACTATTTTTTTTTTTTGGTAGAGATGGGGTCTCACTATGTTTCCCAGGCTGGTCTTGAACTCCTGGGCTCAAGTAATCCTCCCACCTCTGCCTCCCAAAGTATTGGGGTTACAGATGTGAGCCCTGCACCAGCCATTGTTGATATTTAAATTGTCCCAGATTTGGCCAGTGGGAGCCCCTTCAACCTGTGGCCTGACCTCTCCCCGTTAGTTTTCAAGCACTTCTTTGCTTTCTTTACTTTGCTTCTTTGCATGCCAAGATATTCCAGTCTAATCTAGTTCTTCCCTTATCTGGACCTGGAATCAGCCATTTCTGCAGAAAGCCTTGTGATTCCTTTTAGCAGAGAATGCTATTTAGAACCCAAGGGCCTCACTTTAGGATCTCCCATACAATTTTTTAGGTCGCTAACCACCATTTTACTTATTTATTAATAATTTTTTGGGACAGAGTCTCCTTCTATCACCTTGGCTGGAGGGCATGGTGTGATCTCGGCTCACTGCAACCTCCACCTCCTGGGTTCAAATGATTCTTGTGCCTCAGCCTCCCAAGTAGCTGGGACTACAGGCATGTACCACCACGCCCAGCTAATTTTTGTATTTTTAGTAGACATGGGGTTTCACCATGTTGCCCAGGCTGGTCTTGAACTCCTGACCTCAAGTGATCCGCCCACTTCAGCCTCCCAAAGTGCTGGGATTACAGGCGTGAGCCACCGCACCCAGCCAAGAATGGTATTTAGAATCCAAGGACCTCACTTTAGAAACTTCCATACAATTTTTAAGGTTGCTAACCACCATTTTAAATTGCTTCATAATATTTCCATGAAGTGGTTGGACTACAACTTCACTATTTTAGTGATAATGGGTATTCTGAAGAGTAAGAATCTTTCACTATTCAAAATAATACTGTGATAAAAGGCTGTGTGCATAAAATTTTGTTTTGAATCAAGAATGAGTGCCTTAGGATACATTCGAGAATAACTGGGTTAAAGGGTGGAGACACTTTTGAGACTCTCTTTGCAAATCACCTAGTTGCCCTCCAGAAAGATTGTTGTAATCTGCCCACCCACCAGAAGTGAATCAGATTCTTAGTGCTCTCTTACCGGCAGTAGCATTATAATTTAAAAATTGGTGGCGGGGGGGCGGCGGAAAAGGAGAGGGGAAGGGGCAGCTCTGCAAATCCATATCCATAGAGAGCTTGGTTCTCCTTAGAGAATATTCATGTCTTTGATTAATGAATCAGGTTGAATATCATGTTTCCTGTTGATAATTTGAGCATGTTTTATATAATCAGGTTATTTCATAATGGGAAGACTCAGCAAAAGAGGAACTAAGCAAATACTATTGATGTTCTCCTAATGTATGGATAATATGCACAGCATGATCCAGGAGTGGGAAGACTAAATTAAGACAACATGGTCACTCCTAGGCATGGACCGCTCTGTGGCAGACACATTGCTGGAGTCATCACCAACAAATAAGGCTCAAAGGTCCAAAGCCCCACCACCAGTCAGCACCAGCTGCAGCCTCTTCTCTCAGGACCCAAGGACTCCCAGGGGAACATGTAGTCCCCCTACCCATGGCAAAACAGCTACAGGGGAGAACGGGACCAAGGCAAGACTTAAGCCTCCGGTTCCCATTCCATAGCTGCATAAGCCACAGGTGGTGGGACCCCATCCCCCCACCTCAGCCCAAGTACTTCATTCTGAGGGTTAACATGGCTGTCGGGAGGAACAGCATTCAACCTGGGTTTTGAAAGGGAGAAAGATTTCAAATAGATGGGTCGAAATGCAAATGAGAGCATTCTACGAAGAGAAAGCAACACCCCAGTGTTCTCATGCCGGCCTCACCCAAGCACCCCAGCTTCTCATGCCATACCCACCCATCCACATGTCACATGCACCTGCAAAGCATCCTCCTCACTGGCTCAGTCTTATCCTAGCTCAGTCACCACCATCGCCACCCCCAAACCCTTCCTGGCTACACACTCGTTCCATGCCCACCATCCCCCCGGCTTTGTTCATTCATTCATTATCCAAAAGTGTCCTGGAAGCCAACCACGTACTAGCCGTGTGCCAAGCATGTGCTAGACACAAGGACTACAGTCACACACAAAACAGAATCTGTCGCTCCCTCCAGGGATCTCATAGCTAAGGGGAGGAGGCAAATTAAATAACAGATAAATGTGCAATTTTCAATGCCATGGGTTGCGATGCCTGCTGGAAAGGAAAAGTAAAGACTGCAACAAGAAACCACGGTGGGCTCCACTAACCCAGGCAGATAACCCTCCACCCCACTCCCATCACCCACGTTGGAGGCATCTCCTTGGCTGTAGCCCTCACCACTTGGGCGCTCTTTGAGGGCAGGAACTGCATTGTGATCATCTTTGTGTCCCCAGCACCTTGCAGGGTGCCTGGCTTCTGGTCCTTCCATCACATGAATGGTGACAAAGGCCAGCAGGGACACACATCCAGGGCATAGTGATGGATGGAGCTCAATAAACTCAGTTTTCAGAGGCAGCAACACTGTCCCCCACCCCCACGAGCACCACCAGCTGGGTACCAGGGGACGAACCCTCTCAATACCCAAGAGCTTCAACCTCTGCATTGGTGAGAAGTAGAAGCTTAGGGAGGCACCTTTCAGAATGCTGGGACATGAACATTTCTGGGAACGTTCACCCTTTGTCCCTGTATACCACAGAGGTTCTGCGGCCTGACAAAGGATGATCTGTAAGTGTGCAGAATCCTGCTCTGATGCACTTTGGTCTCATGCTCCACAAGAAGTTTGAAATCGCAGCCATATTAGGTAAAGATCGCCTTTTCCGTGGCTTCCAAGCCCAATTGAGATTCATTCCTGGGGAAACTGGAAACAACATATGGGAAGCATTTTGTAGTTGCTTAAAACAAAACAAAAAACACCAAGACTGGAGTTGCTGGAGGTCATGGAAACTCAGCTGGGGCCCAACAGACCCTGAAAGAAATGGGAGAAGCCTGCTCCAGCCCAGAAGGTCACTGAGCTCTGCAGCCTGGGAGCTGGGTGCAAGGTTCAGATCCCTCTCCCTGACTTCCTCTACACAGCCTGCACCTCCAGGGCAGAGTCTCTGTATTAGTCCTTTTTCATGCTTCTGATAAAGACATACCCAAGACTGGGAAGAATAGGTTTAATAGACATACAGTTCCACATAGCTGAGGTGGCCTCACGATCATGGTGGAAAGCAAGGAGGAGCAAGTCATGTCTTGCATGGATGGTGGCAGCCAAAGAGGAAGAACTTGTGCCAGGGAACTCCTCTTTATAAAACCATCAGATCTCATGAGGCTTATTCACTATTGTGAGAATAGCACAGGAAAGACTTTCCCCCATGATTCAATTACCTCCCACCAGGTCCCTCCCACAATGCGTGGGAATTGTGGGAGTAACAATTCAAGATGAGATTTGCATGGGGGCACAGCCAAACCATATCAGTCTCCTTCCCCAAGAGCACCTGGGCAGGGCCCCTCCTACCCAGAACTGTCCCCAGCTCTCCTGCTGCTTGCTTTGCTAAGGTTGCCCATGCCTTCATCTCTCTCACCCCCACCCCACTCCACACCCTGCCTTGGCTCACTCCAGGCCATGTTTGGTTTCTGAAAGGCCACTGGTGTCTCTGCTGCTGAGTATGCCAAGGCACCTGGGCAGGGAGGGAGCCTCATCTTGTCATACAGACCTGGGCTCTGACTGTCCTGGGGGCCTGGACATGTCACTCAACAGTGCTGACCCCATCTGTGCAGGACAAAGCTGCCCAGGCCACAGGGTAATGGAGGCTAAGAGGGGAGGATAATGAAGCAACTCTGTGTGAGGGGCAGCATCACATGTGGTCCCCTGTGGAAAACCACCCTTTTATCCTCACCCCTCACAGAACTTGGTCTCACTCTTACAGTACTTAGGAACATAATAATCACTATAGCTACTGTTTTTTGAACAAATGCAAGTTACCTACCCTCTCACAGCCTCCATTTCCTCATGTTAAATGTGGCTAATGATGTCCATTGCTTTGGGTAGTTATAAGGGTTTCAATAAGATGATGTGTGTGTAGTGCAGGGCCTGGTGTATAACAACAATTACTGCAACAAAAATAAAATGGTTACTGGTATTATAGCAATATATAGTATACTAATGAGTATACACTTAGTAAGTTCTGCCAGGCAATGTTATGTTTGCTGTGATTCATAATCAATTTCCCCACTACTGTCTGGAAGGAAACATAATTATTATCCCTTGTTTATACATGAGGAAACCACAGATGGTAAGCAGTGAGTGTGGCTGCACCTGCCTCAGTCCTGTGGAGTCCTCAACGGGAGGGCCTGCACTTTCCCCTCCATTGGCCCCCCCGCCTTCATGCACACGTGATGCCATGTAACAGGTGTTCTTTCATCCAGCGCCTGTTTATTGAGCACCTGTTATTTGCCAGGCATTATTCTTGGTGTTAGGGATATGTCTTAGCTCAGGCTGCTGTAACAAAATATCATACATTGGGTGGCTTAACCATTTATTTCTTACATTTTGGGGGGCTAGGAAGTCCAAGATCAAGATGCTGGCAGATTTGGTGTCTGGTGAAGCTCTTCTTCCTGACTTGTAGATAGCTAACTGCCTTCTTGTGGTGTCCTCACATGGCAAAGACAGAGCAAGAGCTCTGTTGTCTCTTCCTCTTCTTATAAGGACACTAATAACATCATGGGGATCCACCTAATTAGGTTTCATCTAAACCTAATTACCTCCCAAAGGCCCCACCTCCAAATGCCATTACTTCGGGGACTAGGACTTCGACATATGAATTTGGGGAGGACACAAATATTTAGTTTATAGCAGGATATGAGCTTGAAACAATGTTTAGGAAATTTTAAAGTCTATTAAAGAAATGGTCAAAAAAAAGGGAAAGAATCAAATGGAACTTCTGGAGATAAAAGGTATAACAACTGCAATGAGATATTCAGTGGAAAAAGAAGCAGACATCCAAGAGAATAAAAGGACCAAAAAAAAACAAAAAACAAAAAACAAAACCATATACACATCTCTATTAACACATTAAAAAACAAGACCATTCATTTAAATGTAGTAAAGTTAAAGTTAAATAGTATTTTTCAAAGACATTTCAGGGCGAAGGCTGCTCTTAATTTGCTTTTATAACATTAAACAGTGGTCTTGACTCTCTTCCTTTCCATGTGCTGATCAATAAGCAATCATTGATAGAAGATACTGGACACAGTGGAGGACTAACTCAACAATGTGAAAGACACAATGCCACCATTTTTGGATGAATGATTATTGAGTATTGAGTTGCTCAGTAATGGGCTAGCTACTTTGAACTAGGCGTCCATGGACAGAAAGACTTTGATTACATGCAATTCCCCGGTAGGTTTAATACTACGTTTCAAAGTTGTAAATAAATGTAAACAATAATTTAAGATATTTGCAATTTCCACTGGTAACAAATTCACAGGCATAAAATTGTGGTTTGTTGTCTACATTCATAGTTATATAAAATGCTAAATTTAATTTCATTTAACTTAATTTTTTTTTTTTTTTTTTTTTTTGAGACGGAGTCTCGCTCTGTCGCCCAGGCTGGAGTGAAGTGGCATGATCTCGGCTCACTGCAACCTCTGCCCCCCAAGTTGAAGCGATTCTCCTGCCTCAGCCTCCCGAATAGCTGGGATTACAGGCGCCTGCACCACACCCGGCTAATTTTTGTATTTCTAGTAGAGACGGGGTTTCACCATGTTGGCTAGGCTGGTCTCAAACTCCTGACCTCAGGTGATCCACCTGCCTTGGCACCCCAAAGTGCTGGGATTACAGGTGTGAGCCACTGCACCAGGCCAAATGCTAAATTTTAGAGAGTAAAGAAAGTAACAATGTAATTTTTCCATTTAAGTTAACTGACTCCCTAAATTCTATTTATGGGCTTCTCACAGATCCAACAGCAGACTCTAGGTTGAAAACCCCTGCATTAGATGGAAGGCACCTAGGTCCCTAGGCCCCCTGTTCAGAAGACAGTTGCATAGTTGGCCACCTAATGATCACCCAATGAGCTTATTCTACCACGTCATTGAGATTTGGAAGTTGTTTGTTACAGCAACTAGTATTACTTATTTTAACTAACACAGAAATCAAACTTTAGATTTAAGAAGTCCAATAAATAAAAAGCAATTCACGCATAGACAAATCATAATGAAATTGCACAAAAACAGAGAACGAGTTTTTTCCCCTTTCTTTCTTTCCCTTTCTTTCTTTCTTCCTTTCCTTTCTTTTTCTTGTCTTTTCTTTCTTTCTTCCTCTCTCTCTTTCTCCTTCGTTCCTTCCTTCCTTTCTTTTTTTTTGTGAGAGGGTCTTTCTCTGTCACTCAGGCTGGAGTGTGGTGGTACGATCATAGCTCGCTGCAGCCTCATACTCCTGGGCTCAAGCAATCCTCCCACCCCAGCCTCCCAAGTAGCTGGGACCACAGGTCTGTGCCACCATGTTGGCTAATTTTTTAAATGTTATTTTTGTGGATATGGAGTCTTGCTTTGCTGCCCAGGCTGCTATTAAACTCCTGGCCTCCCAAAGCTCTGAGATTACAGGTGTGAGCCACTGCACCAGGAAGAGAAGATCTTTAAAGCAGCCAAGGAGGAAAGAGAGACTGCTTTCAGTGAGACTAACAGCTGACTTCTCATGAGCAATAATGGAAGTCAGAGGACAGGGCATGATTACCTTCCATGTCTGAGAAAGCATAAACTGTCGGTCTAGAATTCTATATTCAGCAAAAGTACCTTTTAAGAATAAGGATGAAATAAAGACATTTTTCAGACCTAAAAAAGAAATGGCTGTTTGAAGTGAGTTATACCAGATTCTGGGAGAATTAGAAGGATGAATCCCATGATCTACCTTCAGATTGCTCTGGGCTATCTACTTTTGCCCCAGCCTGAGCAGCAGGGAATGTGAAATGTGAACCATACTGTGCCCCACCACCATTCTTGCCTGAGAATAAGTTACATAAATGGCAATATCGGTTAGCTACTGCTGTGTAACAAAATCCCTCCAAACTCAGTGATGTAAAACAATGGTATTGCTCATGAGTCAGTAGGACAATCTGTTCATCTGGACCAGGCTCAGCTGATCTTAGCTGGGCTTACTCATGGTCTACAGTTAGCTGGCAGGTCTGCTGGATACTGACTGGTCTAAGTGGCCTTACTCATACATCTGAGTTGGCTGGCCATTGGCTGGAGTTGATGGGGGTAACTGGGCTATGTGTCTCCCACCATCCAGCAGGCTAGCTTGAGCTTGTTCACATGGGTGGCAGGGCTCCAAGGGAGTGAGGAAAACTGCAAGACCAGGCTTGGAACTGGCACATTGTCACTTCCGTCTCATTCTGTTGGTCAAAGTGTAAGGCCAGCCCAGCTTCAAGAGGTCAGGAAACAGATTCTGCCTCTTAATGGAAGAAGCCGAAAAGCCATCTTACAAAAAGGCAGGGAGGGGAATCATGAATCATTGGGGCCATTTTCCCCCACATTTATCAAAGTGACTTTGAAATAAAGGCCACAAGCCAGTGTGGTATGGCTCCAGAGGAAGAAATCTTGGGGAAATTATGAAAAGTCCCAGGTGCCATACCCTATAAATATATCATTTGATCTTTGTAACTACCCAAACAGTTAGGTGCCATTGGTGAGGAGAGCAAGTAACCTGACTGAAGCTGCCTTGATAAAGCCAGGTCAATGATAAAGACAGGACTTGAACCAGGTAGTCTAACATCAGGGCCAGTCTCTTACCCACCTACTCCACTGCCTTCCTGACGATGACACTGAGAGTGTGAACTTGGGTGTGTGGCTCTGTGTACGTCACAATCTTTCTAGGCTTCAGATACTTCAGTGTTTTGTTTTCTTAATAAACACACATGTGGCCAAGATGCAATAATTCTTGTTAGTGCTGTAGAGAAAGAAAAGCACTACATAAGCTCAAGATTACAGAAAAAAACATCATGAAGACTGTCCCTCCAGCAACAAGCAGTGGAAATGGAGGGGCCTGCAACTCAGACAGGCCTGGCTCTGCCAATTGCTTAGCAAGTCACTGGGTCTCTCTGAGTTTTCCTCATCGGTAAAGCGGGGACCCTTCTCCCACAGTGGTTGCAAGGATTTGATGAAATGATATATTTGACAATGCCTCGTTTTTCTCAGCGTACAGCAGGCACTGGCGTCTGTTTCCTTCCCCAGTATCTCCTTCTATGCACTGGGAAAATCCCAGGGGCTTGGAGCAGCTTTGCCAGGCCACCTGATGAGAAGAGGACATTTTTGCAAGCTCTATTTCCTCAGTCATCCTACGTGGATTGCTATTTCTGCCAAAGTATAATTAAATTCTGGAGTAGTGAGCACAGATAATTAATGGTGAGCCTTGTTAGGTGTGACTTTGGTTAATGTCTGCAACTGTGGAAGAGCCTAGTCACAGACAATTAGTATTTATTGTGTAATTAGGATGCTCAGTTGGCAGGAAGAGGGCGAGCAGCTTGCCTGTCTGGGGCGGCAGATGGAGGGCTGGGTCTCCCCTGGGCACAGCAGGCTGCACGCGGGCAGTACAGGGGCAGGAGTCCCGGGGCGGGGGGTGTAGCCCAACTGCTCTCTGTGCCTTTTAAACAACAAAAGTTTATTTATCACAGTTCTGGGGGCTGGGAAGTCTAAGATCAAGGGGCCGGCATGGTGGTGGGCAAAAGAGCTGTCTGATGATGGTCCACTTCCTGGTTCATAGATGGCATCTTCCTGCTGTATCCTCACATGTTGGAAGGCGTGAGGAGTCTCTCTGGGGTTCTTTAATAAAGGACACTCTCCCATTCATGAGGGCTCTGCCCCCGTGTCCTAATCACCTCCCCAGGGCTCCATTTCCTGATACCATCACATTCATGATCAGGTGTCAACATATGAATTTTTGTTTGGCAGAGGTGGGATGTACCAAAATATTCAGACCACAGCAAAAATATTATTCAGCCTTTAAAAGCAAAGAAATCCTGTCACATACTTCAACATGGATGAACTTTGAGGATACTATGCTAAATGGAATAAGCCGGTCACAAAATAACAAACACTAAGTGGAAGGCAATCTGATTCCACTTATATGAGGTACCTAGAATAGTCAAATGCATAGAAACAGAAAGTAGAATGGTGATTTCCAGGGGCTGGGGGAAAAGAGGAGTTGCTGGTTTGGTTCCTTTATTTTTGTTTTTTGTTTGTTTGCTTGCTTGTTTTGAGATGGAGTCTTGCTCTGTTGCCAGGCTGGAGTGCAGTGGCAAGATCTTGGCTCACTGCAATCTCCGCCTTCCAGATTTACGCCATTCTCCTGCCTCAGCCTCCTGAGTAGCTGGGACTACAGGCACACACCACCATGCCCAGATAATTTTTCTATTTTTAGTAGAGACGAGGTTTCACCATGTTGGCCAGGATGGTCTCAATCTCTTGACCTCGTGATCGCCTGCCTCAGCTTCCCAAAGTGCTGTGATTACAGGCATGAGCCACTGCACCCAGCCGAGGAGTTGCTGTTTTAATGGATATGGAATTTCAGTTTTGCGAGATGAAAAAGTTCTGGAGGCCGGGTGCGGTGGCTCACGCCTGTAATCCCAACACTTTGGGAGGCTGAGGTGGGCAGATCATGAGGTCAGGAGATCGAGACCATCCTGGCTAACACAGCAAAACCCCGTTTCTACTGAAAATACAAAAAATTAGCCGAGCGTGGTGGTGGGTGCCTGTAGTCCCAGCTACTCGGGAGGCTGAGGCAGGACAAAGGCATGAACCCGGGAGGCAGAGGTTGCAGTGAGCCGAGATTGCACCACTGCACTCAAGCCTGGGCAACAGAGTGAGACTCCATCTCAAAAAAAAAAAAAAAAGAAAAAGTTCTGGAGATCTGTTTCATGACAATGTAAATATACTTAACACTACTGAACTGCACCCTTAAAAATGGTTTACGATGGTAACTTTTGTGTTTTGTGTTTTCCACCACAATAAAAAAAAGTATTATAAAAGAAAGAAATCTTGGGGATGTCTTAAAAACGTTCATGCTCTCTGTCTCAGCTACTCCACTTCCTAGCAAGTGGAAGCGTGGAGGGAGGGGATCTATACAACTAGTTAAGGACCAAGAGCTCAGGATAAACTTATTTATATTAGCACAAAATTGAAAACAGCCCCAAAGTCCAGAAACAGAGGCATGGTTAAGAACTTGTGCTATCCGCCAGGCGCAGTGGCTCACGCCTGTAATCCCAGCACTTTGGGAGGCCGAGGTGGGTGGATCACGAGGTCAGGAGATCCAGATCATCCTGGCTAACACGGTGAAACCTCGTCTCTACTAAAAATACAAAAAATCAGCCAGGCGTGGTGGCAGGCGCCTGTAGTCCCAGCTACTCTGGAGGCTGAGGCAGGAGAATGGCGTGAACCCGGGAGGCGGAGCTTGCAGTGAGCCGAGATCGCGCCACTGCACTCCAGCCTGGGCGACAGAGCGAGACTCTGTCTCAAAAAAAAAAAAAAGAAATTGTGATATCCCCACTCAAGGGAAATCACTGCAGACATTTAAAACAATGCACAAGGCCGGGCATAGTGGCTCACGCCTGTAATCCCAGCACTTTGGGAGGCCGAGGTGGGCGGATCACCTGAGGTCAGGAGTTCGAGACCAGCCTGACCAACATGGAGAAACCCTGTTTCTACTAAAAATACAAAAAATTTAGCTGGGCATGGTAGCACATGCCTGTAATCCCATCTACTTGGGAGGCTGAGGCAGGAGAATCGCTTGAACCCAGGTTGCGGTGAGCCGAGATCGTGCCATTGTACTCCAGCCTGGGCAACAAGAGCATGTCTCAAAACAACAACAACAACAAAAAAAAAAACACAAGAAAAAATGCTTATGAAGAATTTACAATATAAAGGGAGTTCAAGTGATAATTAATGAAAAAAGAGGAATCAAAAATTTTCTGCACCATGTGACTGTAGCTACAAGTCAAGCCAAAATGATGTCCACACATTCATGCATACACATGTGTGCATGCACATACACACACTAGAAGGAAATACAGCAGAGTATTAACAGTATGGTCTTTAACAGGTAGAATGACAGGATTGGTTTTTTCCCTTCTTTCTTAGGTTTCCTCATTTTCTAAAGATTAACATAATTCTTTAACATGAAAAATTTCTCATTTTTGAATAAACAAACTGTGGTGTATCCAGACGATAAAATATTATTGAACGCTAAAAAGAAATTGTATTAGTCCGTTCTCATGCTGCTAATAAAGACGTAACGGAGACTGGGTAATTTATAAAGGAAAGAGGTTTAATGAACTCACAGTTCCACATGGCTGGGGAGGCCTCACAATCACGGCAGAAGATGAAGGAAGAGCAAAAGATGTCTTACATGGTGGCGGGAAAAAGAGCTTGTGCAAGGGAACTCCCGTTTGTAAAGCCATCGGATCTCGTGAGACTTACTCACTACCCCGAGAACAGCATGGGAAAAACCCATCCCCATGATTCAATTATCTCCACCTGGCCCTGCCCTTGACAGGTGGGGATTATTACAATTCAGGGTGAGAACTGTGCGGAGACACAGCCAAACCATATCAGAAATGTACCTATCAAGCCACGAAACAACATGAAGGAGACTTAAGTGCATATTGCTAAGTGAAAGAAGCCAACCTGAGCAGGCTGCCTATTGTATGATTCTAACTATATGACATTCTGGAAAGGGCAAAGCTATAGAGAGAGTGAAAAGATCAGGTTGCTTGGGAGGCCGAGGCGGGTGGATCACCTGAAGTCAGGAGTTTGAGACCAGCCTGGCCAACATGGCCAAACCCCATCACTACTAAAAATACAAAAAATTAGCCAGGCATAAGTGGCGGGCACCTGTAATCCCAGCTACTCGGGAGGCTGAGACAAGAGAATAGCTTAAACCCAGGAGGCAGAAGTTGCAGTGAGCCGAGATCCCCTCACTACACTCCAGCCTGGGTGACGGAGCAAGACTCTGTCTCAAAAAAAAAAAAAAAAAAAAAAAAAAGAAAAAGTTCTGGAGATCTGTTTCATGACAATGTAAATATACTTAACACTACTGAACTGCACCCTTAAAAATGGTTTACAATGGGAACTTTTGTGTTTTGTGTTTTCCACCACAATAAAAAAAAGTATTATAAAAGAAAGAAATCTTGGGGATGTCTTAAAAACGTTCATGCTCTCTGTCTCAGCTACTCCACTTCCTAGCAAGTGGAAGCGTGGAGGGAGGGGATCTATACAACTAGTTAAGGACCAAGAGCTCAGGATAAACTTATTTATATTAGCACAAAATTGAAAACAGCCCCAAAGTCCAGAAACAGAGGCATGGTTAAGAAATTGTGCTATCCGCCAGGCGCAGTGGCTCACGCCTGTAATCCCAGCACTTTGGGAGGCCGAGGTGGGCGGATCACCTGAGGTCAGGAGTTCGAGACCAGCCTGACCAACATGGAGAACCCCTGTTTCTACTAAAAATACAAAAAATTTAGCTGGGCATGGTAGCACATGCCTGTAATCCCATCTACTTGGGAGGCTGAGGCAGGAGAATCGCTTGAACCCAGGTTGTGGTGAGCCGAGATCATGCCATTGTACTCCAGCCTGGGCAACAAGAGCATGTCTCAAAAAAAAAACACCACAAGAAAAAATGCTTATGAAGAATTTACAATATAAAGGGAGTTCAAGTGATAATTAATGAAAAAAGAGGAATCAAAAATTTTCTGCACCATGTGACTGTAGCTACAAGTCAAGCCAAAATGATGTCCACACATTCATGCATACACATGTGTGCATGCACATACACACACTAGAAGGAAATACAGCAGAGTATTAACAGTATGGTCTTTAACAGGTAGAACGACAGAGGATTGGTTTTTTCCCTTCTTTCTTAGGTTTCCTCATTTTCTAAAGATTAACATAATTCTTTATCATGAAAAATTTCTCATTTTTGAATAAATAAACTGTGGTGTATCCAGACGATAAAATATTATTGAACGCTAAAAAGAAATTGTATTAGTCCGTTCTCATGCTGCTAATAAAGACGTAACTGAGACTGGGTAATTTATAAAGGAAAGAGGTTTAATGAACTCACAGTTCCACATGGCTGGGGAGGCCTCACAATCACGGCAGAAGATGAAGGAAGAGCAAAAGATGTCTTACGTGGTGGCGGGAAAAAGAGCTTGTGCAAGGGAACTCCCGTTTGTAAAGCCATCGGATCTCGTGAGACTTACCCACTACCCCGAGAACAGCATGGGAAAAACCCATCCCCACGATTCAATTATCTCCACCTGGCCCTGCCCTTGACAGGTGGGGATTATTACAATTCAGGGTGAGAACTGTGCGGAGACACAGCCAAACCATATCAGAAATGTACCTATCAAGCCACGAAACAACATGAAGGAGACTTAAGTGCATATTGCTAAGTGAAAGAAGCCAACCTGAGCAGGCTGCCTATTGTATGATTCCAACTATATGACATTCTGGAAAGGGCAAAGCTATAGAGAGAGTGAAAAGATCAGGTTGCTTGGGAGGCCGAGGCGGGTGGATCACCTGAAGTCAGGAGTTTGAGACCAGCCTGGCCAACATGGCCAAACCCCATCACTACTAAAAATACAAAAAATTAGCCAGGCATAAGTGGCGGGCACCTGTAATCCCAGCTACTTGGGAGGCTGAGACAAGAGAATAGCTTAAACCCAGGAGGCAGAAGTTGCAGTGAGCCGAGATCCCCTCACTACACTCCAGCCCGGGTGACGGAGCAAGACTCTGTCTCAAAAAAAAAAAAAAAAAAAAAAGATCAGGTTGCCAGAGGTTTGGGCAGGAGGAAGGAGGAATGAATAGGAGGATTTTTAAGACAGTGAAACTACTCTGTATGATACTGTAGTGGTGGCTACAAGTCATTATGCATGTGTCCAAACCCACAGAATGTACATCTAAAGTGAAGCCTGTGGGAACTTTTGTTTCATGGATACAGAGTTCAGTCTGTGAGATGGATCCTGGTGATGGTTGCACAGCAGTGCGAATGTTTTTTGCCTTCTTTCTTAGATTTTCTCATTTTCTAAAAATTAACATAATTCTTTATCATGAAAAATTTCTCATTTTTGAATAAACAAACTGTGGTGTATCCAGACGATAAAATATTATTGACCGCTAAAAAGAAATTGTATTAGTCCGTTCTCATGCTGCTAATAAAGACGTAACTGAGACTGGGTAATTTATAAAGGAAAGAGGTTTAATGAACTCACTGTTCCACATGGCTGGGGAGGCCTCACAATCATGGCAGAAGATGAAGGAAGAGCAAAAGATGTCTTACGTGGTGGCGGGAAAAAGAGCTTGTGCAAGGGAACTCCCGTTTGTAAAGCCATCGGATCTCGTGAGACTTACTCACTACCCCGAGAACAGCATGGGAAAAACCCAGCCCCACGATTCAATTATCTCCACCTGGCCCTGCCCTTGACAGGTGGGGATTATTACAATTCAGGGTGAGAACTGTGCAGAGACACAGCCAAACCATATCAGAAATGTACCTATCAAGCCACGAAACAACATGAAGGAGACTTAAGTGCATATTGCTAAGTGAAAGAAGCCAACCTGAGCAGGCTGCCTATTGTATGATTCCAACTATATGACATTCTGGAAAGGGCAAAACTATAGAGAGAGTGAAAAGATCAGGTTGCTTGGGAGGCCGAGGCGGGTGGATCACCTGAAGTCAGGAGTTTGAGACCAGCCTGGCCAACATGGCCAAACCCCATCTCTACTAAAAATACAAAAAATTAGCCAGGCATAAGTGGCGGGCACCTGTAATCCCAGCTACTTGGGAGGCTGAGACAAGAGAATAGCTTAAACCCAGGAGGCAGAAGTTGCAGTGAGCCGAGATCCCCTCACTACACTCCAGCCCGGGTGACAGAGCAAGACTCTGTCTCAAAAAAAAAAAAAAAAAAAAAAAAAGATCAGGTTGCTAGAGGTTTGGGCAGGAGGAAGGAGGAATGAATAGGAGGATTTTTAAGGCAGTGAAACTACTCTGTATGATACTGTAATGGTGGCTACAAGTCATTATGCATGTGTCCAAACCCGCAGAATGTACACCTAGAGTGAAGCCTGTGGGAACTTTTGTTTAATGGATACAGAGTTCAGTCTGCAAGATGGATCCTGGTGATGGTTGCACAACAGTGCGAATGTTTTTTCCCTTCTTTCTCAGATTTTCTCATTTTCTAAAATTTAACATAATTCTTTATCATGAAAAATTTCTCATTTTTAAATAAACAAACTGTGGTGTATCCAGACAATGAAATATTATTGACCGCTAAAAAGAAATTGTGTTAGTCCGTTCTCATGCTGCTAATAAAGACGTAATTGAGTTATGTCTTTTCTACCTCTTAAAAAACAAAAGAAATTGTGATATCCCCACTCAAGGGAATATCGCAATTTCTTTTATTTTTTAAGAGGTAGAATAACAGAGGATTGGTTTTTTCCCTCACTCCATTCAGTGAGTTAATGTCACTGAATGGTACAATTAAAAATGGTTATAATGGCAAAAATTTATGCTACGTATATTTTACCATGATTAAAAGAAGAGCAAGAAATCGGTAATCTATGGGCTTTAAGTAATAATTATGTAACAATATTGGCTCATCAACTGTAGCAAATGTATAACACCAATGGGAGCTGTTAACAAGGGAAGTGGGGGATGGTTAGTGGGTGTCTGGGAACTCAGTATTTTCTGCTCAATTTTTATGTAAACCTAAAATTGCCCCAAATATAAAGTCTATTACTTTTGTTTCAATCCTCATTTTGCTTTTCATTAAAAACAAGCCCTGGGTAGTGTCAACAGCTGTCCTGTGATGAGCGTTCCGCAGGCCGTGTGTCTTCCCGGCGGATCTGGCCCCGCTCTTGCACTGGGAGAGTGGGGTCAGCTATGGATCATTCCCTGGGTCAGAGAAGTGACAGGTCTGGGCCAGGACTGGAGAGCAGCCGTTTATCATCCTGGCAGGAAACTGCGCTCTCCAGGAGTGCTCACAGGACAGCGAACACTTGTGAGTCTCACCTCCTGGGCAGGTCAGTTCTCAGGCGGTTGTGTTCAGGCAGTGTGACAGCAGGGATGGGGAGGGGTTCTTGGATATCGGGCATGGGAATGGGGGCATAGATAGAAGGAAAACCTGCCACAGCACCCTGCAACCCCACAGCTCCACTGGGCTTTCAGCCTAAAGACATCAGCCACCGCATCTATCCAATGGAGACAATACTCTTTCTCCCCACCCCTGCCACATCTCCCTGGACCCATGGCTACTTGGAGGGAAGGGCTGATGGCACAGGCCCTGTCCTGGGTGCTCCAGGGGAGAAAGCAGAGGCCGAGGAGAGAGCCAATGACTTGCTTCAGGTCACTGTCCCCTTCCACCCAGGGTGACTGGGCTTTGGGAATACTGATGCCCTTGGACAATTGGCTGGAGTAATTTCCAGTGGTCTATCTATGGTGACCTTGAACCCTATGCCAGAGAGATCCTGTACCCAAGGGCACTGAGATTAAGGCTACTTTCCTGCTCTGTATTTATTGTTTTAAATAATTTACTATTGTTTTAAGTAATTGCATTTATTGCTTTAAATAATTCCTGACTGCCTTAAATAATTTCATTTATTGTTTTAAATAATTCACTGTGAAACTGATCAGTGTTCTATGTAGGACAGTCAGAGCTTACATATAAACACAAAGGGGAAAATTAAGATAACCTGCATTACACCATTCAGAAATACAGCCTGTGGATTTTTTGAAGTATGTTCTCTGGTCCTATTTTCTATGGCTCTTTGCTCGTTGATTAAACAACACTTATTAGCACTCCCTGGGTGTTAGGCACTGTCCTAGGCACTGAGAATATGATAATGAATAAGATTTGGTTCCTGACCTCAAGGAGCTTAAAATGGACCCACCGCAACAACCCACACACATGCACACACATACACACACACACACACACTCACTTACGGAGTTGGCTTTGAGTTTTGACTGGTACTGAACATAATGTCTTGGAACCTTTTTTTCCCCCCACTGAATATATTATGAACACTTTCCCCTGTGATTAAATATTGTGTCACAATATCATTTCAATGGTTACACCGTGTTTCATTCTGTGAACCTATCATCATTTATTTCACCAGTCTATTGTGGAACAGTTAGTACTTTGGTGAAAACCTTTGTGGCTCGATCTTTGTGCACATCTATGGTTCGTTCTCTCTCTTTTTTTTTTTTTCCAATTTTGTTATTGTGGTAAAATATACATAACATAAAATATACCATCTTAACCATTTTAACTGGACATTTCACTGGGTATTAAATATATTTATAATGTTGTACAACCATCACCAGAACTCTTCGTCTTGTAAAACTGAAACTGTACACCCATCAAACAGCAGCTCCCATTCCCCTCTCCCTCAGGACCTGGCAGCCACCATTCTACTTTCCGTCGCTATGAATTTGGCCACTGTGGATGTCTCATGTAAGTGGAATGAATCGCACTGCATTTGGCCTTTTGCGGCAGGCTTATTTCACTCTGCATCATGTCCTCAAGCTTCATCCATGTTGTACCCCGTGTCAGAACTTCCTTCCTCTAAGACTGAACAATATTCCACTGTATGTATAGATCATATTTTCTTTATCCACTGTATACTTATTTCTCCAGACTAAATACCTAGAAGTGGAATGACTGGGTCAAAAGCTTTGCTATTCATTACCTAATTCTCTTCTAGCACACAGGTGCCAGTTTCCTCTTCTTCCACTCCAGGGACAAGTTTTCATTTCCCTGCACTTCTGCCAGCACTGAGCACTATAAGCTTTTTAAAAACCTTTTGGATATGATTTCAAATTTACAGAAAGATTGCAAGAGGAGAACAAAGACCTCCCCTGTTACCTAGATTCACCAAGTGCCAACATTTGCCCCATTTGCTCTCCTCCTCCTTCTGCCTCCCTCCCAACCCCATCCATCCTCTTTCTTTTCCTTTCTGGACCACTTAAGAGACCATTGCAAACATCACAATGCTTTATCCCTAATTATTTCAGTGTGCATTTCCTAACAATCTCTTACATAAACACTGTACAATTATAAAAATCAGTAAATTCAACCTTGATGCGATTACTACTTTTTTTTTTTTTGAGGCAGTCTCACTCTGTCTCCCAGGCTGGAGTGCAGTGGCGCAATCTCGGCTCACTGCAGCCTCCGCCTCCCAGGTTCAAGTAATTCCCCTGCCTCAGCCTCCTGAGTAAATGGGATTACAGGCGCCCACCACCATGCCCAGCTAATTTTGTATTTTTAGTAGAGACGGGGTTTCGCCATGTTAATCCCAGCACTTTGGGAGGCCGAGACGGGTGGATCACTTGAGGTTGGGAGTTACTACTATTTTCTAATCCACAATCCATATTCAAATTTTACCAAATTTTCAAATTATGCCCTCTCTACTTCCCCCCATCCCAATCCGAATGCAGGATCCCACATTGCATTTAGGTGTTACATCTTTTTAGTCCCTTTTCATCTGGAGCATTATAAAGTTTTAATACGTTTGACAATTTAAAAGGCCCAAATGTGTCCTGTTGTTGTTTTCATTTATTTTATTTCTGCCAAAGCTGAATATTTCTTCGGGTGTGAATTGCTCTTTTGTATATTTCCTTTTGTGCATTGCCTGGTGGTATCCTTTGTCCCTGCTTCTCTCCTGGATTTATACCAGCACCAGCACTTTAGTCACCAGACATGACCTTCCACAAGCAGCCCTTGACCTGGAGAAAGCGAAGACCTTCTGTCCCCCTGGATCCTCCCAGTCCTGTCCCCTTGGATCAGCCGCTTGGCCAGGATTTTGAAATAGTACAGTTGTCTGGTCTGAGCAAGGACGCCCCATCTGTCCTTCCAAACTCCAGGGAGTACAGAGAGTTATTCCTGTTTGGGTTCGACATTTCCTGCGGGATCTGACCTGCTGCCAACCCCAGTTTTGTTTCCAAGAGGCCACCTGCTGAGTGTCAGCAGCGGTCAGCGGCCTCCAAGGTTGCTATTGATCAACGTCCGTTCCAGCGGGTTCCTGGCATCCGAGGCCTGCTCTGTGTCCCGGGAGAAGGGATTGTGGTGCAATGGAAAGCTCCCAGGGCACACTGCGGGGGCCCCACAGAGCTCAGGATGCAGACGGGCTTCACCTGCTGAACCTGGATAAGCCCCTGCGTGTAGCAGAGCTCGTTTCCTCTCTGGAAAGCTGGAAAATGCCAAGGCTCACAGACACTAAGACAACAACAGAGGAAGAATCCTGCCGAGGCCACCAGGACACCATGCTGACTTGTTGCTGACCATTGCTATTTTGTGTGTAAATTTTTATTAAATCAGTTATCACTCTTTTGTGCAGTCATAGAAAAGAAAATATAAGCAAAATAAATGTCAATATTCTGGGCTTGGCTCTTCCTCATCACAGTTTTTCCATGTCTTAATTTTTTTCTAATGAAGGAAAATGTAAATACATAAAATGAGAGAAAATAGGCTGATGAGCCCCCAGGTGATACTCATCAACCCTGGCCTCATCCAATCCCCCATTACTACACTCCCTCCAGATTATTATGGGACAAACTCCAGACATCGTAGACTTTCCTCTGTAGACGTGCAGACACTTCAGTTTGTGTCTGCAGAAGATAACGTACCCTTTGTTTTGAACATCATCCTAATAATGGATTGCACCTAAAAAATAACAATGACTTAATAGTACCATGGAAATATCTACTCAATGTTTAAAGGTCCTTATTTTTCTATAGTTGCTTTGTTCAAATCATCCCAACAAAGCTCATCTTTGCATTTGGTTGGCATGTACTGTGGTTGGAATATGTCCTCCAAATTCATATGTTGAATTCAAAATTTCCAGTGTGATAGTATTTATTTATATTTATGTATTTATTTACTTATTGAGACAGAGTATTGCTCTGTCACCCAGGCTAGAGCACAGTGGTGCAATCATGGCTCACTGCAACCTCAACCTCCTGAGCTCAAGCAATCCTCCCACCTCAGCCTCCCAAGTAGCTGGGATCACAGGCAAGCACCACCATACCTAGCTAGCTTTTTAAATTTTATTTTTATTTTTGTACAGACAGAGGTCTCATTGTGTTGCCCAGGACAGTCTTGAGCTCCTGATCTTAAGCCATCTGCCTGCCTCAGCCTCCCAAATTGCTGGGATTATGGTCGTGAGCCACCATGGCCGGCTCCTGTGTGATAGTATTTAACAGTGGAGCCCTTAGGAGGTGATTAAGTCAGGAGGGCTCTGCCTTCACAAATGCGATTAATGACCTCATTAAAGGGCTGGAGGGAACTAATGTTCATTCTTTTTACTCTTCCAACATCTTCCTGTGAGAACACAGCCTTCATCCTCTCTGGGGGATGCAGCAAGAAGGTGCCATTTGGAAGCAGAGAGCAGCCCTCACCAGACAGCAAACCTGCCAGTGCCTGGATCTTGGACTTCCCAGTGTCCAGAACTGTGAGAAAATAAATTTTGGTTGTTTACAATGTACCTAGTCTCAGAAATTTTGTTATTGCAGATCACGTAGTCTGAGATAGCATGTCTCTTAATCTCTGTTAATCCATTTGTTATCCTTCCCTCACTTCTTCTCTTGCAATACATTTCTGGATGAAACTGGGTCATTTGTCCTGTAGAGTTCTTTGCATTTTGCTGTTTGCATTTTTATAGTGTCATTTAGCCTTGCTTGTCCCTTGTATTTCCTGCAAACTGGTAGTCAGACTGAGAGCTGTTTTGACAACCCAAAGAGAAAGCGTACCGAGAAGACTGTCAGTCAGTGTGAATTTCCCTTAAAGAGGGTTTGGAAAAGAGTTAGGGGACACTAGGGACGGGTGTCAACAGACCAGCTCTGTTACCGACCCACCGTATACGCCATTTGGGGTGGAACAGTGGGGTTTTTTTGTTTTGTTTTTTGAGATGGAGTTTCGCTCTTGTCACTCAGGCTGGAGTGCCATGGCGCAATCTCGGCTCGCTGCAACCTCTGCCTCCCAGGTTCAAGCGATTCTCCTGCCCGAGTAGCTGGGATTACAGATGCCCGCCACCACACCCATTTTAAAAAATATTTTTAGTAGAGACGAGGTTTCACCATGTTGGCCAGGCTGGTCTCGAACTCCTGACCTCAGGTGATCCACCCACCTCGGCCTCCCAAAGTGCTGGGATTAAGGCGTGAGCCACTGCCCCTGGCCTGAACACAGTGTTTTCGTCTGTTACATGGGGAAGGGAGTAAGGGAGATGGACCATGAGGTCTCAAAGCTCTTCTATGGGGCTGCTTTCTGGAATCAGTGACTGATACGCCTCCAGGGACATCTCTGCTTAGCGCAATAAACTCAGCCCAGCCTCTCCAACTCAATAACCGAAGACAACGGGTCTACCCAGTACAAGGAGGCCCCAGCTCCCTGCACAATCACTGTTGGACCCTTAACAGGGCACTCAGGAATGGGGCTTGGGAAGCCCACCTGGGTTGCAGATTTCCCAATGAGGTTTAGATCCACCTGCCTCCTGGTCACATTGACTGGAACATTTGTTCCCAAGGCCCCAGTGAGTCCTGGTTCTCTTCTTCAATAACTCCAGAGAGGGCAGCAGCAGAGCTCCCTGTGAACAATTCACAGCTTTTTTTTCCCTTCTCTTTCCTTTCCTTTTCTTCATTCCTTCTCTCCCCTCACATCTCCCCTTCTCTCTCCGCTCTTTTCCCCTCTTGGATAATCAATTCTGTCATTTTTTCAGTGCACTAGGGGGAGCTGCTATTTAACAAAACCTGCAGGACGCTTCTCAGCTTGAAGAGCTGGTTTTGCCCCATGGGGAAGGATTGGGTCACAGCAGAGTTGCGTAAAGCAGGGTCCGCCTCCATTGAATTGGCTCGATTACCCGCAACGCACAAATACCGGGGTCGGGAGACCTGGATTCGAGTTCTTTCTCTGCCCTCACCAGCTACGGGAGGCTCCTTTCTGCCTCTGGCCTGGTGTCCTCAGGGACCGTTTGTCCAGTGGTTAGGTGTGTGGTTCTAAATCCCAACCCTGCCACTTGTCTGCTGTGTAAACATGGGCAAATTAGCCCAACCTCTCTGAGTCTTCCTATAAGTAAAATAAGGCAGACAGCCCCCACCTCCCTCTTTGCACAGAGCCCAGAGCACAGTAAAACACTCCATCATACCATGATGGCTGAGATAAGGTCAGCCTTATTTTAAGGTAAAGGGTGGGGCAGGCACAGGGAGGTGGAGAAGAACAGCGGAGAGGCAAACACGCCTGGAGCCTGGCCCTGACTTTGGAGCCAGCAGAGGGGAACCAGGATGTGTGGTCGTGGTCTGTGCTTCACTCCGGGCCATGGCAAAGGGGCTCTGGAGCTTTCCCTGGTGTAGGAGGGTTAGGGGACCCAGGTGGCCTCTGTCAAGGCTCCAGGGAAGCATCTCCTCCCTTCAGGTCTCCGACGTGGCTGGGACCTGCTGGACCCTCTGCTCACGCCTGTAGGCCCAGGATTGAGGCAGCCTGGAAAAAGGAGCACTCATCTCCTGCTTCCGAGTCTTCCACCACCCCGAGCAGCTCAACACCAGCATCTGGGGCCTCGGGAGCCACTGGTCCCTTCTGGGGATGGGCTTGGGAGATCCTCGCCCTGTGTCAGGGGTGACTCGGAAAAGCAGTTGGTGGGCAGGGAGGGTGCTCATCTCTGCACAATAGGAATAGAAACCTGACATAAAGAGAAGATAAAACATGAACAAGTTAAAGAGATGGAGAAAATGAAGGAAAAATTCAGAGGCCTGGGGGATAAAATGAGAAGGATAAACTACAGGAACAGGGGTAACGTAATATTGGAAGAAGTCGTGGCTGGGAATTTTCCTTGTACTGGGGAAAATTCCCAGCCATTATTTATAGAGGAAGGATATAAAACCTGGAGTTGAAGAAGCACAATGAGTCTTGAACAGGATAAAAATAAATGATTCCACAATTAGATATAGTTTAGAGAAACTTTACATCCCTAAAGTAGAAGAGATCTTAAAGACTCAGAAAAGACAAACTGTCTACAAAGTAACAACAAACTCTCAATCACAACAATGGAATCCAGAGGATAATGAAGTAATATTCTAATCAGATTTTGAAGTGCTGGAGGACATAACTACCAGCCAGCATATGCATCAATTCAAAAATGAGGGTGACTTTGGGAAGCCAAGGTTGGTGGATCACCTGAGGTCAGGAGTTCGAGACCAGCCTGGCCAACATGGTGAAACGCCGTCTCCATTAAAAATACAAAAATTAGCCAGGTGTGGTGGCGGGCACCTGTAATCCCAGCTACTTGGGAGGCTGAGGCAGGAGAATCGCTTGAGCCTGGAAGATGGAAGCTGCAGTGAGCCAAGATCACATCACTGTATTCCAGCTTGGGCAACAGAGAAAGACTCCATCTCAAAAAAAAAAAAAAAAAAAAAAAAAAGAGGGTGATACAAAGGCTGAGAGAGTCACCATCACTAATCCATGTTAAGCACTACTAAAGAACGAGCTAGAGAAAAAAAGAAAACCCAATCTTAAGGAAGGAATTAGTTATTCAAAGAAATCTTGATCAAATAAATTGGTAAACATGGATAAATTCAAATGAATATTCACTATGGGAACCACAATCATAAATATGATTAATTTGAAGAAGTTTAAGCATAAAAACTCTGGTTGACAATAACATGTAAGACAAGAGGGTAGAATTGAAGGCAAACACTTTAAGGCCCTTTTATTATTTGGGATGAAAGAGAAATCTTGGTTAACCTTAGGGTTTATTAAATCAAATGTGTTAAAATTTTAAGAGTAACCACTAACGAAGAAAATTAGAATGCATTTTTCTTTATACTTTATACTGGTAGAGGAACAAAGAGGAAATAAGAAAACCTGATCAATCCAATATACAACATTAAAGAAGGAAAAAGATGAAATAGCCAGGTAAATGGGAAACCTAAAATAAAGAGTTAAATACAAATCCAAACTATGACTAATCACAATAAAGGTAAATGAACTATATACAAAATTTAAAAGATACGGATTTTCAGATTGGGTTTCAGAAAAGTCTACTGTCGGCCAGGCATGGTGGCTCACCTATATAATCCCAGCACTTCGGGAAGCTGAGGCTTGAGGGCTGCTTGAGGCCAGGAATTCAAGACCAGCCTGGGCAGCATAGCGAGACCTTGTCTCTACAAAAAATTTAAAAGTTAGCCTAGCGTGGTGGTTCCCACCTGTAGTCCCAGCTACTTGGGATGCTGGGCGGGGAGGATCACTTCAGCTCAGGAGGTCAAAGCTGCAGTGAGACATGGTTGTGTCACAGTACTCCAGTCTGGGTGACAGAGCAAGACCTTGTGCCCCACCAAAAAAAAAGAATGAATGAATGGAAAGAAAAGTCTACTGTCTGCTGGTAATAAGAAGTTTGGCTTTTCTTAACCTCACAAATTCAGACTGTTGTTCCAAAATACTTGTCATTTGTCATGAGTATTGTTTTTTCTTTTTTACCATTAAAAGTTCTTTCATCATTTTCCAACAGTCAGATATGAGTATCCCTATTATACAGAGGGGAAAACCAAGGCTCAGATACATTACATCATGTCATGCCATGTAATGTACATGTCACATACATGACATCTCAGGGTCCCCAGGATTTCAGCCCAGGTCTCCTGACTCCAAGTATAGTGTTCTTGAAATCTGTGCTTTATTTATTTATTTATTTATTTTTGCTTTGCCTGTCTTCAAGTGTCTCCACAGGATCCCTTACAGCTGCAAACCATCCATTAGGGTCTGCCTCAGTGATGCCACTGTGTCCATTTATCTGTTTAATCCCACACACCACTACTACATCATCTTAATTATTATTTTTTTTATATTTTCATATTAGGTTATGCTCATTTCTTTTTTTCCACTTTTTTTTTTTTAAGAGACAGGGTCTCACTCTGTCACCCAGGCTGGAGTGCAGTGGGGCAATGACGGCTCCCTGCAGCCTCAAACTCCTGAGCTGAAACAATCCTCCTGCGTCAGCCTCCTGAGTAGCTGGAACTACAGGAATGCGCCACCACGCCTGGTTTTTCCAACTTTTAAAAACTGTATTTTTATCTTTATTTAAAAGATAAAATTTAAATAAAGGTAAACATTTTAAATTTTAAAACACAGAACTTTACTGCTATTTCATTTCATTTGCTCAGTATTCACATTTTCTCTTATCTCCTTCAGTCAGCATTTTCCAATCATCCGTTCCCCAGAGATTCTACAATATCTTTCTAAAGAGGTCCCTCCCCTCAGAGATTCACTGGACTCGTAAGTTACACTATCTTCAGATAAGGTTACTGTGTCTATTCCTTTCTGAGAGCTGTAACTTTTATGATTATATCTTGCTTAGTGACCAGAACCTCCAAAACACTATCTAATAATCGTGACTGTGGCAGACCCTATGAACTGCCTAACCTAACCTCCATCTCCTTTTCTTATTTAATTACAGAGCCCCAGTTTTCAGCTGAGTACACTGCAACTCAGCACTCTTTGCAGGTCTTCTCCAGGGAGGCTTGTAGCTGCTGACTGCCTGCTGCAGGAATATGAATGCCCAATAGGTCCCTTGCCTGGAGTCCAGAAAAAATACGAACCAGGTGCAGTGGCTCACGCCTGTAATCCCAGCATTTTGGGAGGCCGAGGCGGGCAAATGGCTTGAGCCCAGGAGTTTGAGACCAGCCTGGGCAACATGATCAAAACCCATCACTACGAAAAATAAAAAAAAATTAGCTGAGTGTAGTGGCATGTGCCTTTAGTCCCAGCCACTCAGAAGGCTGAGGTGGGAGGATAGAATGAGCCCAGAGGTGGAGGCTGCAGTGAGCCGTGATCACACCACTGTACTCCAGCCCCAGTGACAGAGTGAGACTCTGTCTCCAGGAAAACAAAACAAAACCTGAGATCTAATTTCCTCCCCAGAGCTTTCCATGGGGTCAGGCTGAGTCTGGGACTTGGGCTGAGATCCCACGCTTGCTCGGCTTCTCCCTTTTGCCTGTCCTGTTTTCCCCAGCCCCTTCCTAACATCTCTACCTGCACAGCACTTCTTAATAAATCACTCACCCGGGAATCACCAGGTCAGGGTTTGGTGTAAGCGAACCTGACCTAAGACAACCTTTGTGAGGAGATGAGTCTGAAACTGAGACCTAAAGTGTGAGAAGTGGCCAGTCATGGGGAGAGCCACTGACGGGCAGCTGAGAAGCTGAATTCCAGGGAAGAGTGTGAGGAATGGGGATCTGGACAGAGGAAAGGGCACGTGCAAAGGCCCTGTGGTAGGAAGGAGCTTGCTAAGTTTGAGGCTGAAAGTGCATGTTTTGTTTTGGAAATGGTGAGGGCTTTTTGAGTGGGAGGGAAGGAAGGTGAGGGTTGAAGTGTGAAGGGCTTTGAATGCAACCCCAACGTGCTTAGATTTTATCCTGTAGGTAGTGGGAATCTGTAGGCAGATTCTGAGCCAAGGAGAAACAGAACACAACAATGGCAATGATGGTGTCCTATACTGTGCACCCAGGGAGCTAACTTCAGAGTAAATCTCACAGAAAGGCAGCCCTGGAGCCTCCCTGATCACTTCACCATCCCTTGGGGGCTCTGGTGCCCCTGTTGGTGATTGGAGCCACTGAGGTTTTCAGCAGGGGAGAGCCTTGGCCAGATCAGCTTTTTAGAAAGACCTGCAGGCAGTAACACAGCAGACATGTAGAGGACATCAAGATAGGGACAGCGAGATGGTAGGGGCAGGATAGGGGTGGCAATCGTTCTGGTACAAAGTCATATGGGCCTGACCTTGGTGGCCGTGGGTGGAGAGGGTAGCAAATTGCTGAGTAATTAGGAGATAAAATGGAAAACTCAGGGGGCTGGGGAGTATAATGGAAAGAATTTTAATTACAAAAGTAATATTCGAAAATGAGGTAATTAAAAATGATACAGTTGACTCGAAGGCGAAGGCTTAGGAATAAGACATTCTTGGAATGGCAAGGAAGTCTATCTCTCTGAGAGGCAGTTCCAGCACCTGTGAGCTGAAGGTGTGCCTACACCCATGCAATTGTTGGGAGGAAAAAAATAGGGAACATAGAATTCATCACGTTCCCTCTCTCTCAGACCTTTAAGCTGAAAGGGCTGAGCCAGGAAGGCGTGCTGTCATTTTTATCATTCTGCAAACCGAGTTGCTGGGGGCCCGAAAGCCTTGTGTTTAGAAGAAGCGTGCTTTCCAGGTAAGCAGAGAGCGGCGGAGCCAATCGCCATCAGAGGCGTTAAGTGGTTTCTGAACGGCTGCAGCATGATTAAATTAACCACTTAACCAAATTGCTTTCTATTGCCTTGATCAGATGCAATTGCAAGGAGATAAAGGGGCTTAATGTGAAAAGCATGGCTGGCCTGAGGACTAATGAATTAACTGTTCCCTTCCCCACGCAGCCTCCTGCCTGCTGGCACCCAGCTGGCTCACTGGTCCCCTCTCCTGCCTGCCTATTCCCTGGGCCGAGAGCACTCATGTCATGGAGATCATGGCACCAGGAGGATGGCCAGCATGGGTCCCTCGTTGCATGCAGCCCTGGCATTTCCCCCTCGTTAGCATTTTCTCCCCACAGCTGACAGTGGTCAGGTGATTCTCTCAGGAAAAAGACAGCATGGTGGAGCGAGAAGAATTATCACTCAGAGCTTGGGCTCTGGGGCCAGCTCCCACTCCAGTTAGTGCTAGTCCTTACTAGCATGGGGCCTCAGGCAAGCAACTTAGTCACAAACAGAGCTCCAGGACCTAAGCACTTGTGCACACCAAGAGCCTCACTAGGTACTTTCCCACGTTATCTCTGCACTTGTTCAAGCTCCCCTCAGCTCTGGGAGAGTGGATGTCTTATTGACCTCTGTGTCACCAGCTCTGAGTTTAGGGACTGGCACACAGCAGGCTCTCAGGAAATGAGCTGTGCAAAATGATGGGTACATGGGAAAATGAATAGTTGGGAAAGTGATTAGGTGGAAGAAAATGGATAAATGAAGAAATGGAGGATTAATAGATGAGTGGAAGGATGAGTGAAGTGATGGATGCATAGATGAACTGACAGAAGAAAGGATGGATGGCTCATGGACAGAAGGATGAAGGATGGAAAGATGGAGGGCAGGAAGAATAAAAGGATGGATGAATGGATAAGTAGATGGATGGAAGGAAGGGTAGATAGATGCATAGAAGGATGAATGATGTTTGGATGGATGGATGGAAGGAAGGATGAAAGGATGGATGGATGGGTGGAAAGAAGAATACTTACAGATTCTGCTCCTCACACAGAGGTAGTGGTCTGAGAGGTCAGCCCAGCCTTTTTTGTCTAAAGCCATCCGTCACATGCCTGGAAGTGACCCAGTTGTCCTGAACTTAAGTCTCTCTCATGCCCATCTTACAATCATGGGTTAGACTTTTAGGTAATCTCTAAGGTCTTCATATCAGTTCCTCCCCAGTGAGACATTAATTCTCACTGGAGGGAGAATGATAATAGTTATCATTGTATCCAGTTTTATAGTTTGAAAGAATATACATGAGCATCATTTCATGTGAGCCCCAAACAACCCCGTGAGAATTGCAGGGCAGCAATATTATTATCGTCCCCATTCCACAGATAGTATTGCGTGGTATTTAGAACATGTACGCTGGAGCCAAGTGCCACTGAGGAGCTCCCTAAACCTCTCTGTGCTTCTGCTTCCTCATCCAAAACATGGGTAGAGCAATACTTGCATGAGGGCTATGTGAGGATTCATAAGATCATTCATTCACTCATCCACATAGGAGCCTACCACATGCTGTGCACTGTTCTAGGCACCAGAGGTGCAGCAGGAAGAAAAAATCGTAACCCCTACCCTCATGGAGCTAATAGTCTAATGGAGGAAGACAATGATGTATAAATAGGTGGGAAGCTCTAAAGAGTGACAGCTGGTGATGTGTTCTAGAGAACGATGAGGCAGAGAGGGCCTTACCTGGAAGGTGACATTCGAGTCCAGACCTGAAGGAGATGAAGGAATGAGCCAGGTGTGTATCTAGGACGTTGCGTTCCAGGCAGAAGGCATGATAAATGCAAATTCTGTGATACAGAAGCAGAGCTGGTGTGTTTGAGGGGTGGTATGGATGCAGTAGGGGAAGAAGATTGGAGATGATGTCAGAGAAGTAACAGCGGCAGGGGGTGAAGATCATGTATGGTCTTCAGGGTCACTGTGAGGCCCTCAGATTCCACAGTGAGTGAGATAAGAAGCCATGGGAAGGTTTTGCACAGAGAAGTGACACGATCTGAATAAAGTCTTAAAAGGACCACTCTGGCGGTTGGGTTGAGAAGAGACAGTAGGGGTGGAGGACAACAGCGGAGTGAACTGTTAGCAGGCAAGAGCCAGGTGGCTTGAATCAGAGTGGTAGCCATGGAGGTGGAGAAAAGTGGGTGGATTCTGAATACGTTTTGAAGGTAGAGCCATGGGGATACTGAGGAGTTGGATGTGGGTAAGAGAGAAAGAAGTCAAGGACGGCTCCATCATCTTTGGCCTGAGTGCCTGGAAGGATGGAGTTGCTGATTCTTCAGATGGGGAGAACTTCAAGGATCACATTTTGAGGGGAAGGAAAGGCATTTGCCATGAAATGAATGGGATCATTAAGGGAGTTATAACAGAGGAGGAGCCCTAGGTCTGAGGTTGGGGAGATATGGAGGAGCCAGCTATGGAGAGTGAGAAGGAGCCATCACTGGGGTAGAAGGAAAGCCAAGAGACTAAGGTTCCTGGAAGCCAGGAGAAGAATGTGTTTCCAAAAAAAGTGCATGTGTCAAATGTTGCCAAGATCTAGTAAGCTGATGACTGACACTGGCCCTAGATTTAGCAATGCAGAGGTCACTGGCAACTTCCTTCAGCACAGTGTTGGTGGATTAGTGAAAGCCTGATTGGAGGTGGTGCAAGAGAGCATGTGAGAAGAGGAAACAGACTGGTATAGTGGATCACTCTTGTGGGAGTCTTTGTTATAAAGAAAGGGAGGTGAAGTAGAATCAAGGGAGTTTCTTGCTTTCTTTTTCAGATGGGAGAAATTACATGTTCATATATTGAAGGAAACAATGGAATCCATCCACCCACTCATTCATCCATCCATCCATCCATCCAAGCATCCATCCATCCATCCACCCATCCATTCATTCAACCATTCATCTATCCATCCTACCAACACTTTCTGGGCACCCCTATGTGCAGGCCCTGAGCTTGGAGCTGGGGTGAATAAGCCATCTGCCTCACAGAACTCACAAGCTGAGAGTGAGACAAAGACAAATCAATACTATTAATGGCAAAGTGTGATGAGTGCTGTAGTCAAGGGGTGTGCAAAGGATTATGGGAGTACAGAGTATAGGGTGCCTGGAGAAACTAAGAAGGCTTCACCATGGAGGTTGATCTTAGGGTCTTAAAAAAAGAAGAGTTTGTTTTGTAGACAAGAGAGGGGTGGCATTACGGAGAGATAAATGCTTATGCAAAAGAAAAGATGCATGGAACTGGGGAGGGCTTAGCTTGGAGCCAGGTTCAGAAGGCCTTCTATTCCTTCCTGCAGACATAAGGAAGCCCACGGAAGATCTCAGGCAAGACAGTGATATAACTAAGCATGACTTTTAGGAACAGGGGCCATCCTGAAGGATGGGCTCAGGTGTGGAGAGGAGGGCATGGTCAGGCTATAGGTGATAGCTGAAGTCATGAGCATGAATGAGAACACCCAGAAGGAAGGTGTAGAATGTGAGGCCAAGAGGGAGCCTGAGGGAACACCAGCCTGGAAAGAGAGGGAGCAGTCAAAAGAGGTGGGGTCAAAAGAAGAGGGGAGCAGTCAAAAGAGATGGGGTCAACAGAAAAGAGGAGCAGTCAAAAGAGGTGGGCCCCTCCACTGCCTCCAGCTCTGGTCCGTGCCCTGCCCTCCCTCCATCTCAGTGAACTGGCTCAACCTTCCCACTTCCTGGGGTTCTAGGAGGCACCTGGCCCAGCCTCCATTACTGCAGGACATCCCTCCTCAGCACCCAGCTTCAGCCTGGACACTCCCAGGGACTGGAGAGAAGAACTGCCTAGTTGGAAGCATTCTGGTTGCCCTTCAGGGGAAGTCTTGGCCTCCCTTCATCCTCCTACTCCTCTGCTCAACCCCAGCCTGGCCCTGGCTGCCTGCGATGGTTTCAACATATGACCCGAAAAGTATTATGTTGAAACCTAATCATTGGTGTGATGGTATTAGGAGGTAGGGCCATTGGGGGGTAATTAGGTCATAGGGGCATGGGATTAGTGCCCTTATAAGAGAGGCCCCAGAGAGCTGCCTTGCCCCTTCCACCATGTGAGGACACTGTGAGAATATGGCCATCTATGAACCAAAAGCAGGCCCTCACCAGATATTGGATCCACTGGCACCTTGATCTTGGAATTCCCAGCCCCCAGAACCATGAGAAGTAAATGTGAGTTGTTTATGCCACCCAGTCTAAGGCATTCTGTTATATCAGCCCAAAAGGACTAAGGCACTATCCATGCAGTCTCAACCCCAGTGGGCCCTGGAGAGGCGGTTCCCCTGGCCCTCAGAGTTGGAATTCTCTGTTTGAAAAAGAAATGACATTATTGTTTTTGCAAATTGAAAAAGTAACACGTGCTTGCTTTATTTTAAAAATTAAATAGTAGAGAAAGATAGAAAGATAATTGAAATTTGCAATCCCCTTCCAGAGTGAAAATCACTGTTTCTGTTTTCCATGTGTACCCTTGCAGAATGTTTTTAAGCAACAGGCACATGCACGCACACACATATCTTGTTAAATGAAAACAGCAACACACTCTACATGCTGTTCTGTAACCTGCTTGTGTCTTTCACTTACATTATGAGAATGTTCCCCTGTCAGTACGCTCAGATCTCTATCATTATTTTATCAGCTGCAGAATATTCTGTTGTAAGAAAGGGCCTTCCTTTAATCACACCCCTCTGATAGATACTGTGGTTCAGCACCCCTCCCAAAAACCTTTCCTATTATAAATAGTGCTCTGTATACATCCTTGCTCATAAATCTTTGAGCAATAAAATTGGACTGCTTAAACTTGGGGGTTAATGTGACCCTCTGACTCACGTCATAAAGGAAATTGATTTTTATTTTCAAAGTCAATGGTGAGTAAATGAACAATGGTTGCCAGGCAACCTGTGAGCAGGGATTGAGTAGAGACTAAAGCAAACAGCAGCCTCCACCCGCCACCCCAGGAACCTCGTGCTTCTAGGTAATGAATCTCCCACCACAGCTCCACTGGATGGAACCGCCCCAGCTTCCTCCAGCCCAAACTGCTGCACCCACCACCCAGAGAAATGGAAGTCAAGGACTCAGCAGTCCAAGGCAGCCCTTCTGAAGCAACTTCAGGGGCTCAGCAAATATTTGTTGAGAACCTCCTCTGTGCCTGGCTGGATCAGGGTGGGGCTGTAGAGCTGCACATCATAGTCTGCATCCGGGTCAGCCCTGAATCTCAGGCACTGGAAGGTCAGGGTTAGGAATCTGGGGTTGATATCCTGTAGCATCTGTAGTGTAAATCAGCAGTTTTCAATGTATTTACTGTTTCTCTTTCTGCCTCAGGTTACCCTGATGGGCAGGACCCACTCCCATCACTAAGAGAACATCAAAAGGGCAGGTGTGGGGGTGGATAGGAAGATCAGGATCTCTGAAAGGGTAAGTGTTTGATAAAATCCCCTTCCCTGTCCCCACAGCCTGGGACTCCTGGCACCCTGGGGAAGGGCTGTGCCTTCAGGGCTCGCCTTAGACCAGGAGAAGCCATGGAAAGATTTTCAGGAGAGGAGGAGTGGAGGTAAATCTACAGTTCAGCACTTCTCCCTCCACACAGTGGAAGGATTGACAGGCGATTGATTGGCAGGGGAGGTGCCCTAGTTTCTATCAGGAAAAGAAACCCTATGACCTGCATGAGCTCTAGGCATTGTGTGGGAAAGAGCAGAGAGAGCCAAGAAGCTCCCAGGGGGAGTGGACAGCACCCAGTGAAAGGAGAGACACTGAGGGAGGGGACAAGGATGCTCCTGCAGCCCCAGGGGAAGGAAGCCAGTTATCAGAGCCAGGTTCCAATCCTGCCTCAGCTACTACATCCCTCCCTGCCCTAAAGCTTAACAATCATAATCACACAAAAGTCATCCTCAGTCTCAGGTGTGGGCTGGGACTTTACACATTTTCTCATTTAACACTGAAACCACCTTTGCAAAGATGATGACAGTGAGAGAGTCCAGCATGGCTAACTCCGTCTTATTTCTAGCCCCACAGGCTGGCTGTCCTCACTCTTTCCCGAACGTAGGCCAAGCAAACCTGGGGAGGAACTTAGTTTATAGTTTAACTTTGAAGCAAGGATGATAATAGTCCCTCCCTAAAACTAACCCCTGAAACCACCTTTGTAAAACTAATGAAAGCCTACTAGATTAGAAATGTGGGAAGGGCCTGAATTCTGCTAAAATGTCTGCATAGTTAGATGATAACCAGTCATTGCTCAACATCACTATTGTAGAACCTAAGATTGGTCTTTTGAGATGTTTTTCAGAAATTTGCATTGTGGTAACCTACAGACTCCACCTGGACCCATGATTCATGACTCAACCAGTCCACCCAGAAGCTGACTCAGAGCATAAGGAGCATTTTCCACACCCCTAGGATTTCATCTCCAACCAATCAGCATTCCCCATTCTCTAGCCCCTGTCCACCAAACTATTCTTTAAAAACCTTAGCTCTAAGCTTTATTTATTTATTTAAGTAATACACTCCTGTCTTCCACTTAGCTGGTTCTGTATTTATTAAACTCTTTCTCTACTGCCATACCGCTATCTCAGTAAATTAGCTCTATCTGTGCAGTTGGCAAGAAGAACTGGTCAGGTGGTTAAAACACTACAGATAGGCATTGTTAAACAAAACAATGGACTAAGCCCCTGCACTAGGCTCCAACAGAACAGACAAAATCAAAATGGAGTCACTCATGCTAAATGTCATATAATCAAACTGAAACTCTAAGGAAGCTGATAAATCCTAAAACAGACCTTTTTTTTTCCTGAAAACAGGAAATTTCAGTCTACCAGAGTCAACCTAGTAAGAAAGTTGCCTCTTCTTTGACCTTTATGAGAAAGTAACCTGAAGTAACCTGACATTAATGAATCAGCTTCTCTTCTACTATTCTGTTTCCTTACTCCCACCTTACAAAGCTCACTGCTCTGCTTGCCCTAGTGAGAGAACTCATTCTATTGTGTAGAGTAGAGTCAGCCATGATTCATGAATTATGAATAAAAGACAATTAGATCTATAACTAAGTTTGCTGTAATTTTATCTTTTGACAGCACTATTGATATGGTTTGGATGTTTGTCCCCTCCAAATCTCATATTGAAATGTAATCCCCAGTGTTGAAGTTGGGGCCAAGTAGGAGTGGTGTGGGTCATAGGGGCAGATCCCTCATGAATGGCTTCGTGCCCTCCCTCACAGGAATGAGTAGTTCCCACTCTACTATTCATGCAAGAGTTGGTTGTTTAGAAGAGGCCCGGCATCTCTCTTGCTCTCTCTCTCTCACTATGTGACACGCTGGCTCCCTTCCCCTTCTGCCATGATTAGATGCTTCCTGAAGCCCTCGCCAGAGGCAGATGCTGGCATCATGCTTCTGGTGCCATGCTTGTACAGTCTGCAGAACAATAAGCCAAATAAATCTCTTTTCTTTAGAAATTACCCAGCCTCAGGCATTCCTTTATAGCAACACAAAATGTACTAACACAACTATTATCGCCCCTATTTTACAGATGTGGAAACTGAGAATCAGGATATTTTGTTGTCTTAGCCAAGGAAAAATAGCAAGTATTGTGGTGGAGATTTGAGGCCATCTGGTCCAGTGTCTTTGCTTTTTCCTACACCACTTTTTAAAGATGAGGTTTTAAAAAATGGCCCTAGTTCCTGAATACTTGCTGTTGGGAGTAGCTGTGTTAGGAAGAGAGCTTTGGCCCATGTCCTACCACATATGACTTCAGCCCTGCCTCTCTGGCCCACAGCCTGTCACCCTGTCAGAGAAGGAAATCAGAGTCCACCAAAGTTACAGTAATGCCCCCTAGATGGCCAAAGAGAGAAGTAGACAAGAGTCCATTGCCATGGTGTTCAGCTTAGACTGGTGGGCTGGAGGCTGTTCTCAGGGTCCTACCAGCCCCACAGCTCTGGGGGAGGAGTTGGTGCAGCCACTCACAGGGGTGGGAGAGACAGCCAGATGGGGCTGGCTCATGCAGGCAGGGGTGGGTAAGCCTTTCTCTCCAGGATGTCAGGGTTATTAGGAGGGTGCCCAAGTCACTACCACAAGGTAGCCTAGAGTCTGCATCCCCCAGGATGTCCCCAGTCATCCTCACCTCCTGGTATTCATGCCATGGTCCAGTCCTCACCCACACTGAATAGAGCTGACCTGTGTGACCAATAGGATATTACAGAAATGATGGTAAATGACTTCTGAGGCCAGGTCGTAAAAGACATTACAGTTTCCAGCTGGCAGTTTCTTTTGGATTATTCTCTCTGGGGGAAGCCAACCACCATGTCAGCAGGATGCTCAAGCAGCCCATGGAGACACCCATAAAGTAGGGGACTGAAGCCTCCTACCGACAGCTAGCACAAATTATTTTTTGGAGACAGGATCTCAATTTGTCTCCCAGACAGAGTGCAGTGGTGCAGTCATGGCTCACTGCATCCTCAACCTCCCAGGCTCGAGAGATCCTACCTCTTCAGCATCCTAAGTAGCTGGGACCACAGGCATGTGCCACCATGCCCAGCTGATTTTTTAAAACTTTTTTATTTATAGAGACAGGGTCTCCCTGTGTTGCCTAGGCTGGATCACCAATTTTTCACTTGTGTGTGAGAGCCACCTTGCAAGTGGGTCCTCCAGCCCTAGTCGAACCTTCAGATGACTGCAACCCTGGCCCACAACTTGACTGTGTTAACCTAAATAACAAATATAGAGAGGCTGTCTAAAAGAAAAGATGTTTATTTGGGACTAGAGCATTGCAATGGGAATATGTGTGCCATAGTAAATTATGTGCATATTCATGGAGGTAAAGGAGGGCAAAAGTTTTTAAAGGAAAAATGAGGAGGATTACATAATTGTCTTGAAATAATTATCCCTGGCTACAAAAATCAGTAACAAGGGTGATGGCAGTTCAAGGTTGCACAGGCATTTGCCGGGCAGGTGTCCTTGCAGATGTATTTTTTGTGTAAGGTTGTAATGGCCTCTGTGCAAGGTTGTGGTTTTTGTAGTCTTTTTCATTATCAGGCATACAAGCGTGAGAAGCCTCTATTCACAGCCTTTCCTGGCTCTATTTGTCAGGGTTTTCTTAGCATTAGTGACTCCATTTTGATTCTTACACTTTCACAACTACAACCACTTGACCACAGCCTCATGATTCTGAGCCAGAACCACCCAGCAAAGCCACTTCTGAACTCCTAACCCTCAGAAACTGTGATAATAAACATTGAGAGTTGTTTTAAGCCACTTTGTTTTGAGGTACAGTTGTCCCCCATTATCAGAGGTTTCACTTACTGTGGTTTTTATTACTTTTGGTCAACTGCAGTCTGAAAATATTAGGTTGAAAATGTTATACATTAACGAGTGTTTTAAATTAGTCGCCATTCTGAGTAGCATGATAAAACCTTGTCATTCCATCCTACCCGGGATGCGAATCATCCCTTTGTCCAGCATATCCACCCATCAGTCACTTGATAGCCATCTTGGTTATCAGGTTGAAAAACATAGTATATATAGGATTTGGTATTATCTGCGGTTTTAGGCATTCACAGGGCAGGGGAGGGTCTTGACACATATCTCTCATGGATAAGGGGGCACTGCTGTAATTAGTTACACAATAATAGATGACTAATACTAACAGGATATATCCAGAGAAACTGGCATAGCTTGAGCACTGTAAGGGTCTGGATGATTCTGGAAATAGAATAGATACATAGATAGATGATAGATAGATAGATAGATAGATAGATAGATAGATAGATAGATAGATAGATAGTCTCTTTCTGTCATTCAGGCTGAAGTGCAGTGGTGCAATCATAGGTCACTGCAGCCTCGAACTCCTGGGCTCAACTGATCTTCCCACCTCAGCGTTCTGAGTAGCTGGGTGTGCACCATTACGCCCAGCTAATTTTTTTATTTTGTAGAGATGGGATCTTGTTGTGTTGTCCAGGCTGGCCTTGAACTCCTGAGCTCAAGCAATAACACCACCTAGGCTTTCCAAAGTACTGGGATTACAGGCAAGAACCACCATGGCTGTCTGGAAAAATATTTAAAACAAAGTTTTCACATTAGGACTCAAGAGTGACATCCAAGAGACATTAGCCTTGGGACACGTGTTAGTGAGAGTTCTTTCATTTACAAAGGATGGAAACTTAAATGAGCTTAAACACATTTTTTTAAATGTAAGGGAGGTCCTATCCTATAACTAGATGATGTGACTTGGAAGGAGGGGTGGAGTTGCCATTAGGCAAGGTGGGTTCTGGGTTTATCCAATTTCAGGCTCCCTGGACTGCAAGGACATGAGCGAGGGGCGTGGACCTGGGAAAGGGGCTGGGTCAGCAGAGCACGAACCTCCAGCAGACTCAGGACTGGGAGTAAGAACATGGGCGTCAGAAACACACCTGGGGGCCAGGAGGCAGAAGGTGCCAACATACTTGTAGGCTGGTCCTCCGTGGGTCCCTTAAATCCCAGTGCCCTCGAGCTTCTGTTCTATTCCCTCCACTCTCCCCAGCCCACCCTCCCCATTTCACATCAATGCCTGTGCTCCTGTACTCTGGTCACCTCTCCCTTGCCCCTGGTCCCGGGCCCTGACCCTCACCACAGCCAATACTTCTTCCATCTGCTCCAGGCCTGGTGCTGCCCTTCAGGACTGCAGCCACAGGCAGCGCCATCCATTTTACCATCTGAGCCTGAATCCAGTCTTTGCCCCTTCCCCCCTCGCCAAGCCACCCCGACAAACCCCCAAATCTGCATTCCCACAACCTCCACCCTGCTCCCAGCCATTACCTCCTCCCCTGGATGACAGAAACCATCCTCAGCTGGTCTCCCTGCTGCCTGTTTTACCTTCCCTTTTCTATCCGCACCGGCAACATTTGCCCAAGTCATCTGCCTAAAACAGACGTCTCTGGGATACTAATCCTGCTCACCACCCTGAGCTCCCAAGACTGCCGGCAGCTCCTTCATGCTGCATGCTCTGACCCTCAACACGATCCTGCCTTAGGCTGCAGGCTCTGGCTTTGTGCAAGGAACCAGGATGCCAGGGGGCACGATGGAGCCAAATCATCGACAGTTTATTTCTTCGTAAACAAAAAAGGTCTGAAGCAAATAGCAAACGTGAAAATGTGAAACCTGGATTCTTTTCTGTATTTAGGAACTATTTCATGATTTTAAAATACATTCTCTGTAATCCCAGCACTTTGGGAGGCCGAGGCGGGCGGATCATCTGAGGTCGGGAGTTCGAGATCAGCCTGACCAACATGGAGAAACCCCATCTCTACTAAAAATACACAATTAGCTGGGTGTGGTGGTGCATGCCTGTAATCCCAGCTACTCGGGAGGCTGAGGGAGGAGGATCGCTTGAACCTGGGTGGCAGAGGTTGTGGTGAGCCGAGATTGCGCCATTGCACTCCAGCCTGAGCAACAAGAGTGAAACCCGTCTCAAAAAAAAAAAATTCTCTAAATGTAGGGGAGCGGGGCACAATCCTATGCAGAAGGTGCTGTTGTTGTCCTCACTTTACAACCAGGAAGCTGAGGCACAGAGAGGTAAAGTGACTTGACCAGGGTCACACAGACAATCTAAGGTGGAGATAGGATTCAGACTCAAGCAGCCTGGGTCCTCTTGGACCCTGCAGGCACACCCTGCAGTCAGGTGGGCGAGGCAGACACAGCCTCAGTCAACCAGGAGGGGTGCAGGCAGGCTGTGGGTGGGGAGTGGGGCTGCCACGGAGGGGAGGAAGTTAGGAGAGGAAACTCACATTTGTGGAGCCCTGACATGTTCCAGGCACTGGGCTGGACTCTTTATCTGTATAACCTCATTTAATCTTTGTAACAACTCCAGAAAGTATTATTGGCCACATTTTTACACATGTAGAAAGTGAAAGCTCAGGAAGGTGATGTGACTCACCCAGTGTCACAAGCTGTGTAGGATGGAGGCGGAAACTGAGCCCCATTTCTGCCAGACTCCGCAGCCTCTCAGCTCTGGCACACTGAGTCCCTGCAGGCTCAACTGGAGGGTCTTGGGCTCAGGACCAGGTCTCTAGTCCACTGGAGGGGAGCAAAATGAGGACTTAATTAGCCTGGTCCATGGTAGATTTTCCCCTCCCTTGTGTTGGGGGATAGACTTCTAGTAATGCAACCTGAGATGACCCTGGCTTTGGGGTTTCATCTTCCCAATCCAATCCTGGCTCACCTGTAGGCCAGAGCAGGACAGCCCAGTGCCAGCCTGCCTTCTGTATCATACTTAAAATTAACTTTCAATTGCAGTGAGTCCCAATTCATGCCCCGCCCCTGCTGGATCAACATAAGGATTTCCACAGCTCAATAGCTCACAGCTCCTGGTGCTAGATGATGGGTGTATGGTGGGGTGGGGGCCCTTTTCCCTTTGTGGGGATAACTTCCCTCTGTTGCTCAGCTTCGCTCAGCAACCACCCACCTCCAGCCTTCCCAGCTAATTAACCACTTTCTGTCAGCCCTGATGCGATTCACCTGAGCCACCACCCTGAGCAGCAGGAAGTCTGACTCGGACTCCAATTAGCAGAGGAAGTGGCTGACTCCGGGAGGCGGAGGGGCGCACGGGGCAGAGGGGGGAGGGATGAACAGAGTTGTTGGGGGGCACAGAGAAAATTCAACGACCTCCCTGGAACTTTCATCCTTTGGAAGCCACAGAGGATGAGTTCAGACATTCAATAAGTATTAAGTGAGCACCTACTGTACACATACCCCGATTTTTGGCATGCCAGTAAGAAACAAGACAGACAAGGTCCCCATCCTGTCTTCATGGGGCTGATGTTCTAGACAAATAGAAAATACGCTGCTAGTTAGTGATAATTGCTATAATGAAAAATGATATCTAAGCCACCCTCCCTGTCAGAGCCTCCTGGAGGTTTAAAGCCACCTCTCATGCCCCCATCTGATTTTTCTCCTGCGAGCAAAAGCCCCCTGCCTCCCCTCCCCACTCCTCATATGGCACGTCCTTTACTATGGCATGTCACCTGCTGAGCACAGCACTGGTCTGCCCTCAGATGTTTGATATTGTTATTCTACAGAAAAGGAAACCGAGGCAGACGGGAAGAGAAAGATGGAGCCGGGGTTAGAGAGCAGGCCCTGGTGCCACATTCCTCATTCTCCTGGGGGCTGTGTTCCTGTTCTGGGAGGGCATGAGATCAGGAGGCCAAGGGGAAGCTGTGCCTCTGGTTGGCCCATGAAGAGCCACGCAGGGAGCTGGTGGCTCACACACTCTGGACACACAGGCCACGTCCACAGAATATGTGTCCACTTCCTGCTGTTACGACTCGGGATGTAAGCATTTGTGGGGTGGCTGGGAGTCAGGGAAGAGGGCCCCTGCAATTTCACATTTGGACAGAGTTGGCTGGGAATAGAGGAATTCAACTGTGCAGGAGTCTGGAGGTAAAATATTCTCATCTTGGAGTCACCGATCATCCAGTCCAGCCCTTATCCAACTCCTCTCAATACATCCGCTTCTGGGCAGGAGTCCCCAGCACAAAGCGGACAAGAGAGGAGCTGTTGGCTAAGCAGGACACAGTGGGAATGGCCACCCTGTTGGCCACGCTGCTTCACTTCCAAACATAGGTGTATTCATCTGTTTTCATACTGCTGTTAAAGACATACCTGAGACTGGGTAATTTATAAAGAAAAAGAGGTTTCATGGACTCACAGTTCCACATGGCTGGGGAGGCCTCATCATCATGGCAGAAGGCGAAAGACACATCTTACATGGTAGCAGGCAAGTGAGAAGGAGCGCCAAGAGGAAGGGGTTTCCCCTTATAAAACCATCAGATCTCGTGAGACTTATTCACTATCACGAGAACAGTATGGGGGAACCACTCCCCATGATTCGGTTACCTCCCACCAGGTCCCTCCCACAACATGTGGGAATTATGGGAGCGACAATTCAAAGTGAGATTTGGGTGGGGACACAGCCAAACCATATCAACAGGGCAACAGGCAGAAGCCTCTATCAGTGACCAGGGCCACCTGGGCTGAGAGGAAATGCTTGGGTTCCAGGCCTGGCTCCAACTGTCAGCTCTCCTGGGGCTTGGTTCGTGGATGAGTTAGGATGAGCGAGGTGATTCTGCAGTAACACCTTAGGCTCAAAACAGCAAGAGTTTATTTCTCACTCATTTAAAAAAATGCATTGCTGGTGTGGGCAACTCCAGGGTCACTGTCCTTTATAAGGTGGCTCAACAATCCAGCTACTTCAGTCTGCTAGCACCTCCATTTCACTGCACTGCTTCAGGGCTGCCAGTGCAGGCAATTGAGCAGGGAGCAGGCCCGCGGGCTTCTAACTGCCTTCCTCTGGAAGTGACACACATCACTTCTGCTCACATTTCATTGGCCAAAGAAAGTCATGTGGTCAACCTTAATTCAGGTGAGCAAGCTAGTATCATCAGAGGATAACAATGTATGTCTATAAATTGTTGGTGAGTGGTCAGACATGGTGACTCACACCTGTAATTCCATCACTTTGGGAGGCCAAGGCCAGAGGATTGTTTGAGGCTAGGAGTTTGAGACCAGCCTGGGCAATATAGCAAGACCCCATCTCTACATAAAATTGAAAAATTAGCTGTGCATGGTGGTTCACATCTGTAGTCATAACTACTAGGTTGGCTAAGGCAGGCGATCACTTGAGCCTGGGAAGTCAAAGCTGCAGTGAACCATGATTGCACGGTTGCACCACTGCACTCCAGCCTGGGCAACAGACTCAAAACGAAACAAAAGCAGAAAAAAAAAAAGCCAGATGCAGCGGCTCATGCCTATAATCCCAACACTTTGGGAGGCTGAGGCAGCTGGATTGCTTGCACCCAGGAGTTCAAGACTAGCCTGGGCAACATAGTGAAACCCCATCTCTCCAGAAAAGAAGAAAAAAGAAAAGAAAATACAAAAATCAGCTGGACATGGTGGTGCACACCTGTGGTCCCAGCTACTGAGGAGGCTGAGGCAGGAAGATCACTTGAGCCTAGGAGGTTGAGGTAGCAGTGAGCCGAGATCATACAACTGTACTCCAGCCTGGGTGACAGACTGGGAAGGAGAGAAAGCCCTGTCTCAAAGAAAGAAAAAAAAATAGAAATTGTTGATGAGCACTAGAAATGCCAACCATGGTTCCCAAATCTACAAAATAGTCAAGATAATATCTACTATCATTTCTTTTCTTCTTTTTTTTTTTTTTTTTTGTGATACAGTCTCACTGGAGTGTAGTGGCGTGATCTCGGCTCACTGCAACCTCTGCCTCCCAGGTGTGAGCGATTCTCCTGCCTCAGTCTTCTGAGTAGCTGGGACTACAGGCATGTGCCACCATGCCCTGCTAGTTTTTTTATTTTTTAAATTTAATTTAATTTTTTTTTTGAGACAGAGTCTTGCTCTGTTGCCCAGGCTAGAGTGCAGTGGCATAATCTCAGCTCACTGCAAGCTCCGCCTCCCGGGTTTACACCGTTCTCCTGCCTCAGCCTCCCGAGTAACTGGGACTACAGGTGTCTGCCAGCATGCCCGGCTAATTTTTTGTACTTTTAGTAGAGAAGGGGTTTCACCGTGTTAGCCAGGATGGTCTCGATCTCCTGACCTCGTAATCCACCTGCCTCGGCCTCCCAAAGTGCTGGGATTACAGGCGTGAGCCACTGTGCCCAGCCTAATTTTTGTATTTTTAATAGAGACCAGGTTTCACCATGTTGGCCAGGCTGGTCTCAAATTCCTGACTTCAGGTGATCCATCTGCCTCAGCCGCCCAAAGTGCTGGGATTACACATGTGAGCCCTTACGCCTGGCTTAATTTCTTCACTCACTCATTCATTTATGCATTCAACCCATGAATTTCGAGTGTGTAAGGTGCTGTAGGTTTGGAACTCAGGTCTCCTGACTCCTCAGCCAGGGCATCACTATCTTCCTCCTCCTCCTCCTCCTCTTCCTCCTCTCCTCCTCCTCCTCCTCCTCCTCATGCCTTCCGCAAGCCTGGCTCACATTTTGGTCTTAGCTTGAGCTCTTCCTAAAGCAGAGCCTGAGACAAGGACTCGGGTGCAGGGAGTTGACATGGAATCCATGCCAGGAAACCAAAGTGAGGGCGTAGGAGAGTGAGATCAGGAAGGAGAGAAAACCACTCAGTGCATTACTGAGTTGGCTACTGATGTGGGTAACTGGGCTTGATTCCACTGGGAACCCTGTGAGGAACGGTGTAAAATGCACCTCAGGATTGTCTTGAATGATGATGAGGCTGGGGTGTGTACCCACGGACCACTGTCCCCCAGTCCCCACGCTTTGCTGGGAAAAAATCTGAAGAACAGAAGCTGAGAGACACAGTAAAGCTTTGAGTTGGGAAGCCACCATCAAGCACGAGGACAAACCACCAGGGACACAGCTGATGTCAGCGTGGGGCTGAGGGGACATGGCTCAGAGCAACAGCGTTTACTACAGATGCCAAGGGAGAAGCAACGCCTGTACGAAGCCACGTGGAAACCCGACCCAAACCCGGCACTGGCCAATCAAGGGCAGTGCGCGACTCAGGACAGCTGTCACACTATTTTCTTCCAACCTCCTTTCCCGATTTGGAAGGAGGTAACTCCTCCGCATGAAAACAATAAGAGAAAACAACGGAACTCGGGGACCAATTGATTGAGGCGTGGGAACGGGATGGCAGGCAGTCACAGGGGTCCGAGAGGGAGGCTTCTTGCCAGCTCAGGCACAGGCTGTTCAGAAGTCAGGAAAATGTAAATGGGACATTCAAGGACACAGAAATATGTCTATTAGGACACCTTCTGTGATCCGCATGCTGGGAATCCCAGGAGATAGAGGACACCGCCCCGCCTCTCTCAGAACCTTTTCCACAGCAAAAGGCAGAGTGCTGCAGGCAGAAGAGTCCCAGCCTTGGAAGCAGAGATCTCAGGTTCAAGTCTTGATGCCACTAATCACACAGAATATTGTGTGTGAAGCTCACAGCTGGAAGGCGCAGTGATGATGCTCGTCATCTGACCTTCACGAGCCACTGCCAGCCTCCATGTCCCACGACGCAGATGAGGCACCAGAGATCAGAAGGTGACTCACCTGCCCCAGGTCTTGCCTCCCAAACTATCAGACCTCAGACTTGAACCAGCCCTCTTTGAGTCTCAGCTCAAAGGTCCTCTGATCTCGTGTTTCTGGAATAAACCCAAAGGCAGCTTTCTGGGTGGAGACACCCACAGGAAGACCTGTGCACTCCCACTCTGACTTCCTGAGCAGGTGAGGGGGCAGGACACACAGGAAGGGGGGTGACCATGTGACTGGGCTGCATTTCTGGCAGGTGCAAAGATACCCTTTTAGGATATTGGAATGAGGCAGGGAGTAAGGACCAGGGCACAGGTGTCGTGGGCTCTGGACTCTAGTCCAAATTCCACTCGCCTTCAGGCTGGTCTTGGTTTTCTCATCAAGGTGATTGGTAGGGTGCCTTCAGGGTCAATGATCTGACGACCACAAGCTCTGAGAGGTCCGCCAGGGCTGGAGGGGCAGCACAGCCTCCCTGGGAGCTGGCCTCTGGGGGCAGCGGGGAGGGGGAAGGGAAGGCAACCCTGTCCCCAGGGCTCTAGTGACACTGTAACAAATGAGTACAGACCCCCCGTATTTCAGCACTGAGGACCCTCTAGCTTGTTCCCTAACTCCCAGCACCTCTGGATGAGAAGTGGGCTTTCATTGCACTCTGTCTGGCTCAAATCCCTGCGACCTTCTCACCGGACCCAGGGCCTGACTTCTACTTGGTCATGTATGAGGGCTCGGGTGTGTTGAGGTGTGGGAAGAGGCCAGAGGGGAAGGGGAGTCCCATGTTCCCCCACAACGTTTCTCAGAGACCTCCTCCCGTCCTGAGGCCATTGGGTGTGTCAGGGTTGCTGGAAATTCTCCCCAACTCCCAATTCTGAGCATTTAGTCTAGGTAGGCCTTGTCTTGGAGCCAGCTTGTTGGCCTGGGCCAGTGGGTGTGTGCTTAATTTCATGGCAGCCTTATAGAAAAAGCACAAGGATGTAAAAGATTGATGCTAGAATCAGAGACCAGCGAGAGGAAGATGGGGCTTGGGACCTGAGGAGGGAAGTCTTAACTCTCAGATCCAGCTATATTTGGATCACCAGAAATCAGATGGTGACAGATATCTCTCCAATATTATTTTTGAGTGGGCAAAATCATTAACCTTTCTCCACCTCAGTTTCCTCGTCCAGTACAGGGGATAATAATAGTGCCTCCCTGAAAGGGCTGTTGCACAGTAAATGAATTAATACCTGTGCAGCACTCAGAATAGTGCCTGGCACATAAGAAATTCTCAATCATCGGGCTGGGTGCAGTGGCTTACGCTATAATTGCAGCAGTTTGAGAGGCTGAGGTGGGCAGATCACTTGAGGTCAGGAGTTTGAGACCAGTCTGCCCAACATAGCGAAACCCCATCTCTACTAAAAATACAAAAATTAGCCGGGTGTGGTGATGGGCACCTGTAGTCCCAGCTGCTTGGGAGGCTAAGGCAGGAGAATCACTTGAACCCGGGAGGTGGAGGTTGCAGTGAGCAGAGATTCTGCCACTGCACTCCAGCCTGGGTGACAGAGCGAGACTCCGTCACAAAAAAGAAAAGAAGAATGAAATTATCAATCGATGAGAGTAATTTTTTGGTTATTGTTATGATTATTACTATTAATGTTTTCATTCAAGTACAAGGCCTTGCAGGTGCTCAGTTAGTGTCGCATGAATGATTGAAATAAACGTAACTGGATAAAATGTTTGAAGTAGATGACATCAAAGATTGAAATAAACACTTGCTTTGGTCTAATTAGTTATGATCTGGTATCTATGGAAACTGCTAAATATTGAGACTGAAAATAGATAGCTTTTCTCTGCACAGAAAGAACCAAGGTACATGTGTGGTCTCTACACTTTGTATCCCGAGATGAACCGCCTCATTCATCTCTGTCCACCAGTGAATTCTTCGAGAGCAGGGCCTGTGGCTAATGGGCATTCAGAAACCAAGTGTCTGAGTGTTGGTACACAGCGAGTGCTCATTCCTATTTGTTGAACAAGTGAACAAATGCATGAATGTTGTCTGATTGCCTCAGGAAATGGCAGGACTGAGCCTTCAGATAAGGACCTCAGAGCCTTCTTAGGGAGAGGCTGGGGAAGGCAGACAGTGATTACTTCTTGCAGTGGATTAAGTGGTGAAGAGTATGGGCTTTGGGGCCAATCAAATCTGGGAGGAAATACTGGCTCAGCCACTCGCTAGCTTCATGAACTTAGGCAAGCTGTTTAATTCTTCCAGGCCTCAGTTTTAACATCTGTAAACTGGGCCTAATACTGTTTACTTGTTGTGCAGATAAAATGGTCCAGTGTGCGTCAATGTCCATTTCTCCCTAGGAAGGGATCCATACCATCTTCATGGTAGACACCGGGATAACAACAACAGTCCTCTCTTGTTTCAAGGGATTCGGAACCACCCATGGCATAAGTAGTAATGAAAGAGTTCTTTGTAAACTGTAGAGTGCTCCGCACACGTGAGGGATCATAGGGTGGCTTGCGTAACAAGGAGTTGCAGAGAGAATCTGAACTTGGATCACTGCTGGGGAAAGCATCTCAACTAGTGGGGTCGGGACTCAGAAATGCAAAGACCCCAGAAAACTGGTGGGGAATTTCAGCCACAAGACAGGGACTTGGAAGTCAGGCTGCCTGGGTTCAAGGCCTATATTTGCCCCTGTCTACTTTCTGTGACCTTGGATGAGTGACTTGCTCTTGGGAGGCTTCAGTGTTCTTCTTGGGGAAGCTGGGAGGACAGTGAATACTTCACAGGGCTGTTGTGGGGATTAAAGGGGATAGAGCGTGTAAAGTGCTCTGTCTAGTACTGGGCTACAGGAAGTGCTCAGCAAACACAGCTGCCCCATTTCTCCACATTCTCCTTCTCCCATCCACTCTCAAGGCTCAAGGCCTCCTGCCTCAGCTTGTCCCTTCTCTGGTTTGCAGAGTCTCAGGAGAACATAAAGTAGAAGGACAAGCAAGGGGAGGGCAAGTGGGGTTGACTGAACCTTACATGGCAGGGTCGTATGGGGAAGGGACCGTTGTTACCCCCATTTCACAGGGGTGGTCACTGAGACCCAGCTGGTGCCAGGATGCATACCCAGGTCCGTCCACACACAAAGCCTGCGTTCATTCAGCTTTTCCAGGATCCCACGCCAGCTCTGACTCCAAATGCTGTGGAGGGCCCTGCAGCGGGGGAGGAACACAGGGACAGAAACCAAGTGTTTCTGGGGCCCAGCCTGGCACCCCCACCCCTACCCACCCCCACCTCCTACCACCTCCTTCCCCTCTACCCCCCACTATGACCCCTTGCCCAGGAGAACTCTTCTGGGCAGAGTGGCCCTGCCAGCCTCTCAAGGACACGGGGACGGGGCAGGAATCCCCAGCTTGGCCTGAGTCCTTCTCTGCCATGGACACAGGTTGTTAGATAATTGCCTTTGTCCCTTATCTCATTCCCACTCTTTATTACTTCCCTGGGGAGATGCTGCAATCACAGCCTCTCTGCAAATGAAGCCAGCCTCCTGGCTGCAAACACAGGCTGAGGGACCACGACTGGGGGAGGAGTGTGAACTGAAGGGGAGATTATACCTTCAGGTGGCAGGGACACCATGTCCCTCAGCTCAGGGCATGCCGATAGGTTCTGGGAGGCTCCTGGAAGCACACTCAGTGCTTTGCAAAGAAAGCGCTGGATCCTGAGAAGAAAGAATCTGGCCATGGGCTCTGCCCGGACTAGCACTTAACCCCTCTGGGTTCCAGGTTCTGTGTGGGTGAGATGAGGACAGCAACGCTCTCCCATGATGACCAAACCAGCTTGAAACTGGGAGGCATCGACTGTTTTGCCTCTATGCTCGTGGCAGCCTCTGTTTTAAAAACAGCTTTATCGACATACATTTGTACATGTTTAAAGTGCGCAATTTGGTAAGTTTTGACATATGTATATACCTGTGAAGTCATCACCACAATCAAAACAGTGAACACACACCCCTCACCTCCCAAAACTTCCTCCTGCGCCTTTGCAATCACTCCCTCTCTCCACGTTCCACCCTCTCCATCCCCAGGCAACCATGAACCTGCTTTCAGCCACTGCAGATTCATTTGCATGTCCTAGAATTTTATATAAATGGAATTATCCAGAATGTATTCTTTTTGTCTGGCTTCTATTTTGAGATGCATCCATGTTGTTGCATATATCAATAGTTCATTTATTTTTATTGCTAAGTAGTATCTCATTATGTGGATATACCACAACTTGTTTATTCATTTATCTATTGATAGATATTTGGGTTGTTTCCATTTTGGGGGTATTACAAATAAAGTTCCCATGAATATTCATGTACAAGTATCCAAACGCTTTTATTTCTCTTGGGTAAGTACCTAGGAGTGGAATGGCTGAGTCATTTAGGAGGTATATGTTTCATTTTTTAAAGAAACTGACAAATTGCTTTCCAAAGTGATTGTAGCATTTCACATTCCCACCAGCAGTGTATGAGAGTTCTGCCTGGCGTGGGGGCACATGCCTGTAATCCAAGCACTTTGGGAGGCCAAGGTGGGTGGATTGCCTGAGGTCAGGAGTTCGAGACCAGCCTGGCTAACATGGTGAAACCCCGTTTATACTAAAAATACAAAAAAGTAACTGGGCATGGTGGCACGCACCTGTAATTCCAGCTACTCAGGAGGCTGAGGCAGGAGAATCACTTGAATCTGGGAAGTGGAGGTTCCAGTGAGCCGAGATCTCACCATTGCACTCCAGCTTGGGCAACAAGAGCAAAACTCTGTCTCAAAAAAAAAAAAAAAAAAAAAAGAAAAGAAAGAAAAACAAAATACCACTGGGGCTGGGCATGGTGGCTCATGCCTGTAACCCCAGCGCTTTGGGAGGCTGAGGCAGGAGGATTTCTTGAGCCGAGGAGTTTGAGACCAACCTGGGCAACACAGAGAAACCTCATCTCTACAAAAATAAACTAATTAATTAAAATAGAAAAGAAAATACCAGTAGGCATAAAGAAAAAAATTTTTAACACCCATAAACCCACCACCTTAAACAACTATTGTTAACATGATGTATGTCTTCAGACATTTTTCACATATAATGTACATAGGAAGGTATACCATACATGTCTTCTCCATTTATATATCATGAATATTTTACCGTGTTGTTACATTTCTTTTTGTTTTTTGAGGTGGAGTCTTGCTGTCACCCAAGCTGGAGTGTAGTGGTGTGATCTTGGCTCACTGCAACCTCTGTCTCCTGGGTTCAAGTGATTCTCCTGTCTCAGCCTCCCAAGTAGCTGGGATTACAGGTGCCCGCCACCACGCCTGGCTAATTTTTTGTATTTTTAGAAGAGACAGGATTTCACCACATTAGCCAGGCTGGTCTCGAATTCCTGACTCCAGGAGATCCACCCGCCTTGGTCTCCCAGAGTGCTGGGATTACAGGCATGAGCCATTGCGTTCGGCCATGTTGCTACATTTCTAAAGCATTAGTCCAAATGGCTGTATAATACTCCATTATGTATGTGAATTAGTTGATCCCCAGTAGATAGATATCTGGATGTTTTTCATTTGGGGGCTTTCATAAACATTGCCACAAGAAACTTTTATTTTATTTTATTTTTCATTTTATTTTGTTATTTTGGAGACAGTCTCTGTCACCCCAGGTTGGAGTGCAGTGGCATGATCTTGGCTCACTGCAACCTCTGCCTCCTGGATTCAAGTGATTCTTATGCCTCAGCCTCCCAAGTAGCTGAGACCACAGGTGTGTGCCACCACACCCGGCTAATTTTTTTTTTTTTTTGTATTTTTAGTAGAGACAGGGTTTTGCCATGTTGTCCAGGCCGGTCTCAAACTCCTGAGCTCAGGCAATCCACCCGCCTCAGCCTCCCTAGTACCTCCCGAAGTGCTAGGATTACAGGCGTGAGCCACCACGCCCAGTCTGAACATCTTTATATACCCATATTTGCATCCTTGACGAATGTTGGGTTAGAGGACATGCACATTTTAAGACTTTTAAATTTATATTGCCAACATATTTTGGTCACTTTTAAAATCTGAGTGTTTCGGCCTGGATTTGTAATATCAACACATTAACCACCCCCCTCTCTTTCTTACACCACATCATGAAGAAGCCAAAACTTTTCATTCATTCAGTCAGTCAATCAACATTCCATATCATCATTACCATCCTTTTCATCTCCCTCCTTTCCTCTTCCTCCAAGGCCCTAGCCAAGAGAGACCCTGCCTTCCTCTGAAGCAATCTCAACAGCTGGCTCAGAGCCCTCTGAAGTCTCCCCAGGCAATAGAGAGCAAGCCCTGTGAAAAGAGAGGCCCTGCCTGTGTTGTTTGTCGCTGCATCTCCAACACCAAATGCTGGCCCTGGCACATAGTAAATGCTCAGATAAATAGTTGTTGAATTAATACATGAATGAGTGAAATAGTGAATGGTCATTGAACAGAACTGAGTATTCTCCCAAGTTAGTAATGGGGGGCTTCTCCCTGTGAGGCCCACTCTTATCGCGGAAGGACATCCCAAACACTTGCTCCTCTGCACCCAGTTCCAACTGGCAGATGAGAAAACTGAGGCCCAAAAGGTTTAAGAACTATGCTCAAGGTTGCACAGTAAGCTCTGCTCAGAGAAGCACCTGGGTCCCCCAGGCCCCTTTCCCTGGACCGGGTTTTCTTTCTTAGTTGGGAGGTGAGGTTGGGCTTGGAGGTCCCTGGAGTGTTTGTTTGTTCGTTTGAGGCAGAGTCTTGCTCTGTTGCCCAGGCTGGAGTGCAGTGATGCAATCTCGGCTCACTGCAACCTCCACCTCCCGGGTTCAAGAGATTCTCCTGCCTCAGCCTCCCAAGTAGCTGGGGAACTACAGGCGTGCACGACAACATCCGACTAATTTTTGTGTTTTTAGTAGAGAGGGGGTTTCACCATGTTGGCCAGGCTGGTCTCGAACTCCTGACCTCAAGTGATCCGCCCACCTTGGCCTCCCAAAATGCTGGGATTACAGGTGTGAGCCACCATACCCACTCCCCCCAACCATCCAGAGTTTTCTGTATGCATCTTTTGTTCTTCCTTTCTGCTATCAGCGAGGCTATGAGGGACACAAGGTGACCTCCTGAGGACCTTTCTGGCCCGGTGATTCTAGGACAAATGCACTTGAGGCTCAGCTCCCCGCTTTTGTAAAAATTCTCTGCCCTCTCAGTGTCATTGTTCTGTGCCTACTCTGGCATTTATTTATTTATTTATTTTTAATTTATTTTTTTATTGATAATTCTTGGGTGTTTCTCACAGAGGGGGATTTGGCAGGGTCATGGGACAATAGTGGAGGGAAGGTCAGCAGATAAACAAGTGAACAAAGGTCTCTGGTTTTCCTAGGCAGAGGACCCTGCGGCCTTCCGCAGTGTTTGTGTCCCTGGGTACTTGAGATTAGGGAGTGGTGATGACTCTTAACGAGCATGCTGCCTTCAAGCATCTGTTTAACAAAGCACATCTTGCACCGCCCTTAATCCATTTAACCCTGAGTGGACACAGCACATGTTTCAGAGAGCACAGGGTTGGGGGTAAGGTCACAGATCAACGGGATCCCAAGGCAGAGGAATTTTTCTTAGTGCAGAACAAAATGAAAAGTCTCCCATGTCTACTTCTTTCTACACAGACACGGCAACCATCCGATTTCTCAATCTTTTCCCCACCTTTCCCGCCTTTCTATTCCACAAAGCCGCCATTGTCATCCTGGCCCGTTCTCAATGAGCTGTTGGGCACACCTCCCAGACGGGGTGGTGGCCGGGCAGAGGGGCTCCTCACTTCCCAGTAGGGGCGGCCGGGCAGAGGCGCCCCTCACCTCCCGGACGGGGCGGCTGGCCGGGCGGGGGGCTGACCCCCCCACCTCCCTCCCGGACGGGGCGGCTGGCCGGGCAGAGGGGCTCCTCACTTCCCAGTAGGGGCGGCCGGGCAGAGGCGCCCCTCACCTCCCAGATGGGGCGGCTGGCCGGGCAGAGGGCTGATCCCCCCACCTCCCTCCCGGACGGGGTGGCTGGCCGGGCGGGGGGCTGACCCCCCCACCTCCCTCCCGGACGGGGCGGCTGGCCGGGTGGGGGGGCTGACCCCCCCATCTCCCTCCCGGACGGGGTGGCTGGCCGGGCTGAGGGGCTCCTCACTTCCCAGTAGGGGCGGCCGGGCAGAGGCGCCCCTCACCTCCCGGACGGGGCGGCTGGCCGGGCGGGGGGCTGACCCCCCCACCTCCCTCCCGGACGGCACGGCTGGCCAGGCGGGGGGCTGACCCCCCACCTCCCTCCCGGATGGGGCGGCTGGCCGGGCGGGGGGCTGACCCCCCCACCTCCCTCCCGGACGGGGTGGCTGCCGGGCGGAGACGCTCCTCACTTCCCAGATGGGGTGGCTGCCGGGCGGAGAGGCTCCTCACTTCTCAGACGGGGCAGCTGCCGGGCGGAGGGGCTCCTCACTTCTCAGACGGGGTGGTTGCCAGGCAGAGGGTCTCCTCACTTCTCAGACGGGGCGGCCGGGCAGAGACGCTCCTCACCTCCCAGACGGGGTCTCGCCGGGCAGAGGCGCTCCTCACATCCCAGATGGGGCGGCGGGGCAGAGGCGCTCCCCACATCTCAGACGATGGGCGGCCGGGCAGAGACGCTCCTCACTTCCTAGATGTGATGGCGGCTGGGAAGAGGCGCTCCTCACTTCCTAGATGGGATGGCGGCCGGGTGGAGACGCTCCTCACTTTCCAGACTGGGCAGCCAGGCAGAGGGGCTCCTCACATCCCAGACGATGGGCGGCCAGGCAGAGACACTCCTCACTTCCCAGACGGGGTGGCGGCCGGGCAGAGGCTGCACTCTGGGCACTTTGGGAGGCCAAGGCAGGCGGCTGGGATGTGTAGGTTGTAGTGAGCCGAGATCACGCCACTGCACTCCAGCCTGGGCACCATTGAGCACTGAGTGAAGGAGACTCCGTCTGCAATCCCGGCACCTCGGGAGGCCGAGGTTGGCGGATCACTCGCGGTTAGGGGCTGGAGACCGGCCCGGCCAACACAGCGAAACCCGGTCTCCACCAAAACCAGTCAGGCGTGGCGGCGCGCGCCTGCAATCGCAGGCACTCGGCAGGCTGAGGGGAGAATCAGGCAGGGAGGTTGCAGTGAGCCGAGATGGCAGCAGTACAGTCCAGCTTCGGCTCCGCATGAGAGGGAGACCGTGGGGAGAGGGAGAGGAGGGAGAGGAGGGAGCGGGAGAGGGAGCGGGAGCGGGAGAGGGAGAGGGAGAGGGAGAGGGAGCGGCATTTATTATTTATTAGCACTCAATGCCTCAGGAATAAGATCTCTCACTGGGATCTAAGGATGAGGTGGTTGCAACACCTAGGGAGGTCCAGGCTTAAGCGAGGGCTTTATCTACCCACTGGCCCTGAACCACTTGTCCTGGAGCTGGGAGCCAAGGGGGCTGATGGGAGAGGGAGGCTGTGGATTCTTCTGAGCCCCTTCATCAGGGATATGACAGCAGCAGGAGGCCTCTGAGATCCTCCACGCTGGGAAGGCTCCCTGGTTCTGAGGCCAACTCAGTAGCCTTTGCTGTCCTCAAAACCTCCTGTTCAGGCACAGACCTACTCCAGAATGTGTAGACACCTCCCTACTGCTTACATGTGGGACCAAGTGCTTTTTAACACGTGACTTCCAGCAGGAAAGCTGGGATATGGGTAAGGTCACCGCTACATGAGAGAAGAGGAACGGGTGTTTTTGAATGTCCTTCTGCGATGGGAGTGGGTCTCACATGCAGAAGCCCTCCCCTTGTTACTAGCAATTGAAGTAAGGCCATTTGTGAGAAACTGCCTTTGAGCTTGATGCAGGGAATGACCTAGATTTTCTTGTTTATTTTAAAGAGCTTGGGAGGAAAGGCTCACAGAGATGTGAGAGACAGGGGCATTGAATCAGGAGCCACCACTTCAGCAAAGAAAGGGATCTCTGAGATAATCAAGTCCAAATCTTCTGCACCATCACTCCCACCATTTTACTTTATTATTATTATTATTATTATTATTATTATTATTATTATTATTATTTTGAGATAGAGTCTCATTCTGTCACCCAGGCTACAGTGAAGTGGTAAGATCAAGGCTCACTGCAGCCTCTACTTCTTGGGATTAATTGATCCTCCTCCTTAAGCCTCCTGAGTAGCTGGGGCTACAGGCATGTGCCATCATGCCTATTTTTTTCTATTTTTTGTAGAGATGGGAATCTCACTATATTGCCCAGGCTGGTCTTGAGCTCCTGAGCTCAATGGATCCTCTGCGTTGGCCTCCCAAAGTGCTGGAATTACAGGCATGAGTCACTGTGCCTAGTTACTGCCATAATTTTAGAAAGAGAAAATTGAGGCCAATATAGGTGAATTGGCCTGTCCATGTTCACCCAGTCAGTAAGAGGTAAAGCTAATATGATGTCTACAAAATGATGTAAAAATGTGGGAATGCACTACTTCATGGAGCAAGCTGGGTCTTAAAATCATAAAAATATTGTGAGCGACATGATGGAGGAGACATATGACTTCACCTCCAGTTTCTCAAAGGTAAAAAATGTCTGACTATTGGAAATCTGATAAAGCTCCATGAATTTTTGAGAATTTTGAGAAACAAAGCCATGATTCTAATTAATTATCTGAAAATTTCAAAAGTTTAAACAGCTAGAAAAAAAAAGTAAGACGTTAAAACTATAACCCCTGGGAGGTGTTAGATAAGAGTCACCAAAATCAGTACCCAGGTTTCCTCCACAGAAGGTGGTAGTTCAGGACCACGGACAGCAGCCTGCGAACCTTGAGCGCTGCATTCCGCCCACACTGGAGCAGACCCACAGAGCATCGCTTGACCTACTCATCTTTACATGAAGAGCCAGTGTGAGTACTATTCACAGGGTGACACACAGGCAGGGGATCCAGAAAGGACCCCCCGTCATCCCCATCAAACACCTCCCAACCAGTCTCCTACCTTGTGAAAAATCCCATTGTCCTCATATTTGGGTTAAGCTATTTTTCACCTCCATGAAAAAAAAAAAATAGGTCATATTCCCATAGATGTAGGGTCTGGGATAGTTTGAAGCAATGTCCTTCCCCTAAAAAGGCTTGAAATCTAGTTGGGCAGATAAAAGATCTGCATAAGAACCAGGCTCAGTGGCTCATGCCTGTAATCCCAACAATTTGGGAGGCCAAGACAGGCAGATTACTTGAGCCTAGGAATTTGTGACCAGGCTGGGCAACATGATGAAACCCTGCCTCTACGAAAAAATACAAAAATAAGCCGGGTGTGGTGGTGCACACCTGTAGTCCCAGCTACTCCAGAGGCTGATGTGGGAAGATTGCTTGAGCCCAGAAGGCAGAGGTTGCAGTGGGCCGAGATCATGCCACTGCACTCCAGCCTGGGTGACAGAGCCAGACTGTCTCAAAAAAAAAAAAAAAAGATTTGCATACAAAGTAATCTACACAAAGAGCAAAACAGTATTTGGCAGGAGCCAAGTAGTGGTGTTGAGGATGGTAAATGCTAAAAGATCTCAGCAGACAGTGATCTCCTGAGGTGGAAGGCATGGAGTGGAATTGAGCTGAGCCTTAATGTTTGGGGAAGATGAATAAGCAAGAGAAGAAGGCATTCCTGGCCAGGGCACATGTGGAAAGGGACGGAAGCAGAAACATGCATGGCACATGCATATGCCACAGGGGAGGTGGGACTCCCCTAGACTGGTGCAGCTGAAGCTGCATTGCTGATGAGGGGATAAGAGTGGGATAACAAGAGAGAAAGCCAAAGAAATATGACAGGATCATTCTGAGGGTATAAATTTCTAGTTTTTCTGGAAGATAAAAGTGGTTTGGTGCCATTGCCCCACCTGCATGGATCCCCCCATACAGCAGAGAAAATGACCGAGAATGCTTGACATGTGGCATCTCCTGTTGGGAGTGAGTTGGGGTGGGGCTGCTGAGCTTTGACCACAGGGATGAAGTCCTCATCATGGAATTCAGACACAGAAGGAAGAGAAGTCTTCTTGGGCAGGTGGATGAAGATGAAGACACCAGGTCAGTGCCTGGATTGAACTGGGTCCAGGTAAGGAGAAAGGTCCATGATTAAGGCCCATTGGGTCCTGGCTTCTCTGCTGGCCCTTTGAAGGTTGGGGATGCATGAGGAGAAATGGGTAACCAGACTGCTCAGTCTCTAAGCTATGGGGATGAGGGGAGGGTGGAGGAACAGCCTGTCCTTTAGTGGGGAAGCAGCTCAGCTAACTGATTCTGAAACATCATTTGGCAGAAGACAAGGGGCCTCAGCTCTGCCTTGCAGGCCCCACCATTAGGGAGTGCACTGTGCATCCTCTCTCCAGGCCAGAGCTCCCCAAAGACCTTTCTGTCTGTGCCTCTGACCCTCAACTGGGCTGGCTCTGGAGAGGCAGGGTCTGAGGGCTGGGGTCATGAGCTCACCCTCTGCTCCTCAGTGGAGAGCAGGAGCAGCACCCCTCAGTTCACCAGGGACCCCCATCTCATTTCCTGCCTCTCCTTCAGGGGGCACTAGACACAGCCATGTGTAGCTCAACCATCCTGAACATCAGAGATCCTCAGCCACCTGAAAAACCACATCCCAAAGCTACGAGAAGAACAGGCAGGCGCTGCCACTGAGTCCACACTCATCCAAGCCAAACTCTGTGTGACACACCTGATGCACATTAACTCCACGAGGCCTCACAAGAGCTCTAGGAGGTGGGTACTGATATCAACAGCCCTATCTTCCTGAAGAGAAAACAGAGGCTCTCTCAGAAGCTGAGCTGCCAAGTGCTGCTGATGCTGAGGCTTGCAGGGCATGGCTGACTTAGTCAGTCAGCTGCAAATGGAGCCAGGTGAACCCAGGGCTACAGCCGAGGACAGAGCCTGGGGGAGAGAGGGAAGGGAAGAGCTATGACATCCACCTGGGGACAGTCACAGGTGCTGAGCACCCTCAAGGGCCAGGAACTGTGCTGGGACTTCCCCTCCCGTTGCCAACACCGCTGAGCCGGCCCCAACATAGTAGCCACTGATAAATGTTGGTGAGACTGAACCCTCCTAGTGAAATTCACAGAAATCACAGAAGGGATTATTTGGGTCATTTTGTAAAAGAGGAAGCAGAGGCTCAGAAAGTGACTTAATGTTTGCAAGGCCACACAATGGGTATAGGAAGAGCCAGGGTTTAACCCAGGTCTCTCTGGCTCCAAAGTACAGCTGTCCCCACCATTCTTAGATGCTTCTGCCACCCAGGAAAGACCTCTAGGGACATAAACCACCCTTAAGTCACTGGAAGTTTCCTCCCTAGGAGGCCCTATAGGTCAACCATTTTTGAACCCACGAAGTTGAGGGGTTGGAGCCTGGGCAGGGGGTCTTCTCTGTTCAGAGACTTCACTGCTGGGCCCATCTTAGAAACACCTCTGCTTTGACCTCCCTCTCCACCACAATGACTTATCGAAGCAGCCATGTCAGTGCCTCCCACTATCTTCCACCGTGGACCTAACCTGCAGCTTCCTATGTTCTGGTTTGCCGGGTGTGAGTTTGAAGTTTGCACGTCACTAAGCAATTGCCCCGTAGCGCCTTCTTTATGGAGCCTCTACAGTCCCATCTCTCAGGTGATCTCCCCTTGGAAGCAGAAGCTCTGACCTAGCGGTGTCACCCTAGAAGACATCATGTTCAAGAGGGATCAGCATGCCGCTGGACCCCGGGGAATATGGCCCTGGGAAGGAGAGGAGGTGGGGCACAGGGCAGATGTCTCTCACCTCTCGGTGTGGGCCAGGCCCACTCCTTCTTCCAGCCTGCTGTGCCTCGTGCCCCAGCCAGCCTCGGTGTCCAGGGCTTGGTGTGCCTGGCACCCTCCCCCTACCTTTCCCAACACCCTCCTTGGCGGAAGCCTACCGAAGCCCTCCTACACCCACTGAGGAGGCCTGCAAACTGTTTTATTAGATTAAAGCAAACATCTGCTGAAGAAGGAAAGCAAAACCTTAATTGGAAGCCCCCGGGGATGTTTACAGAGACAGATGGGAGAGGATATAATGAAATCACTTCGCTCTAGCCTCCATGCAGACCTGGCAGATAAGGCAACATTGCCAGGCAACAGGGCTTTTCCACCTGGAGGCCTGATAAGGGGCTTGGGGGAGCTGTGTGTTTGGAAAATATGATTTTGTAAGTGGGACGAGGGTGTATTGACTCTGCTGTTCCATGGCCTGGGCCCCAACATCAGATAAGCAGCTGCCGCTTTCCCTGGGGCACAGGCAGGACCCCTGGCAGGAACCACTCACATGGAGAAGTCCTGAGCCTCAGTCAGGGGAGCAGCCACTCACCCCCTGGGATCTGATGCTCACCAAAGGGGACACTTCTGGCTACCAGGGGCTGGTGGTGGCAATGGCTTTCTCTTTTCCTCTCCTGGACTCTGGTTCAGGCCTCCTGGGATGGAGTTGGGTGCTGGGGCTGCTGGGAGCTTGCTAGATTGGAGGGCCCATCCATAGGATGTATTGTAGACCCCAATGCCTCACACCCTCCCCACCCATCTTCTCCCAGTGACTCCTGCCCTTCTCAGAGTAAAAATCAAAGACCCTGCCAAAGCCCATGAAGCCCTGCGTGATGCGAGCCCACACCACGGCATCTCCTACCACCCCGGCCTCACTCTCTCCCAGCCACCTCGGCCTTTTTGCTCCTTCCCAAGCCTGCCAGGCATGCCCCCGCCCCAGGGCCTTTGCACTGGCTGTTGCCCCCCACCCCAGGGCCTTTGCACTGGCTGTTCACTCTGCCTGGAAATTTCTTCCTCCATACACCTATGTGGTTTGCTCCCTGGACCGCTTCAAGTCCTCACTCAAGTTACTGTCTTAATGAGGCTTACCTTGGCCACTTATTTAGTGAGGCCCACGCCCTCCCACCCTGGTATTTTACAGCCATCACCACCTTCTACGCCACTCTAGACTGCACATATTTATTATGGTTTGCTGTTGATGTCTGTCTCAGCCTAGGACATAGGCTCCAACAAGGCAGGGGCCTTGCCTCTTCTCTTTAGCAGCATATTTCAAGAATCCAGAACAGAGACAGGAACACAGCAGGTGCTCAAGACATGTTAGTTGAATGTCTCCCCTTCCCAGACCCCAAACAGCTTTGGTAGAACTGGTGAAAAAGAGGATGGATCCAGAGAGGCCGGAGTGTGGCAGGGCCTGGACTGCTCATCTCCAAGGCAGCTGAGCAACCCTGGGCAATACCTGGGGGAAGCTCATTCCCCCATAGCACGATCACATGGGACATTCAGGGGAAAGCAACCTTTTCCAGGAAGGAAAACCCAATGCTGGGACCCAGGGGAGCTTAGCTCTCAACCCAGCCCTGCTATTGATTTGGATTTGCTGTGTGACTTGGGACAAGACACTATCTGTCTCTGAAACTCAATTCCCCTTTTGTCAGACAAAATTAGCATCTACCTAAAAGCAATAAACTTCCACATTTATCTAAAACCAATAAACATCCACGTTACTGTGTTGGGGACCCACAGCCTGAGGTTAAATCCTTCCTCTGCTACTTGCTAGCTGTGTGCTATTAGGCAACTTAGGCAACCTCTCTGACCCTCTACCTCCTAATCTACAGGTGAGGATGATGATAGTGACTGCATCACAAGTACGTGAGCCTTTCACCTGCATGGACTGCTTCACTCTTCACACACTTGTGAGCAATTCTATCATCCTCCTCCTCATGGGAAGTCATGGGAAAGTGGCTGGCATGGGCCGCTCAGGGAGTTGATGGAAACCCCAGGGTAGGCTGTGTGTCAGGCTGACCCTAGAGCCCCGGGCTCTGCCCACCCCTTCATTCTGTCACTGCACCTTGGCTCATGGAAGGCCCTGTTCAGTTTCCCAACCAAGTGCATTCTGGCCTCGGCCCACCCTCACCATTTGGACCACAACCTTGGTCGGAGGCATTGCAATGACCTGGAGCTGACAAGACACTTCCTAGGTAGGACAGGTGTTTAAAGAGCCACCCTCCACACTAACACCAACCAAACCCCGGAGCCAGGGACAGAGGAGAAACCTGCCAGGGCCCGAGAAGGGATGAGGCTTGAAGGGCACTGAGTTCCATGTGGCCACAGTACCAAGGACCATTGGAGGAACGGGAAAACAGACCACCCACACCTCAGACACAGAGCCGGTGCTGGTCAGCGTCTTAGCTTGGGTTCCCTGAGACAAGGATTTGAGTGCACGTGGCTGACAAGGAATCCCTGGTAGAAGACCAGGAAGGGAAAACGGGGCGGGAGGGTGAATGGGTCGGGAAGGGAAAGGAAGCCAATGAAGTGTGCGCTATCAATAAAGTGTGCGCTGTCAATAAACTTTGCGCTGTCAATAAAGTGTGCGCTATCAATAAAGTGTGAGCTATCAATAAACTTTGCGCTGTCAATAAAGTGTGAGCTATCAATAAAGTGTGCACTGTCAATAAAGTGTGCGCTATCAATAAATTGTGCGCTGTCAAAGTATGCGCTATTAATAAAGTGTGCGCTGTCAATAAAGTGTGCGCTATCAATAAAGTGTGCGCTGTCAATAAATTGTGCGCTATCCATAAAGTGTGCGCTGTCAATAAAGTGTGCGCTATCAAGTGTGCACTGTCGATAAAGTGCGCACTGTCAATAAAGTGTGTGCTGTCAATAAACTGCGAGCTGTCAATATAGTGCGTGCTGTCAATAAAGTGTACGCTGTCAATAAAGTGCACACTGTCAATAAAGTGCACGCTGTCAATAAAGTGTGCTCTGTCAGTGAAGTGTGCGCTGTCAAAGTGTGTGCTGTCAAAGTGCGCGCTGTCGATAAAGTGTGCACTGTCAATAGTGTGTGCTGTCAATAAAGTGTGTGATGTCAATAGTGTGTGCTGTCATAAAGTGTGCGCTGTCAATAAAGTGTGCACTGTCAATAAAATGTGGGCTGTCTAAATGAAGTGTGCGCTGTCAATAAAGTGTGCACTATCAAGCCAGACATCACTGCTGGGAAATGGTACCAAAAAATCCTCCTTCGAATTATCCCACCCAGGGGTATTTACAAGTAAAAGCCTGATATCACCGGCTGAGGGCTGCTCCTGGGGGTAACTCCCTGAACTTGCAGCTTTCTGCAGGCTTCTGGGTTTCTAGGTTGCAGTGAGCCGAGATCGTGCCACTGGAATCCAGCCTGGATGATAGAGCAAGACTCCGTCTCAAAAAAAAAAAAAAAAAAAAAAAAAAAAAAAGAGCCTGTGGGCACAGAAGGGTAGATCCCAGCGGTGGGAGGTTCGTCAGGGCCCTCAAAGCACCAAGAGACATGGGCAGGGCTCTGACTGCACTGTTGGAGTTAGATTCACGCCTGGCTTTTGGGGAGCAGCAAGAGGTCCTGGCCAGCTCTGAGCCTACATCTCCCCATGGGGGAGAGAGAGGGCTACTTTTGGGGCCTCTCTCGAAATCAGCATTCTGGAGAGGAGAACATCTGTGAGAATCCTCCCTGGATCCCAGTAGACCAAGCCCGGGCAGGGGCTCTGGTGCCCCTCCCCTTCTGTTCACTAGTTCCAGTGCCTGTGGTGCTCCCAGAGATGCTGGCTGGACAGCTTCTGTCCTCCAGGGAGGCCAGGACACCTGCTCTGCCCCCTGCTCTCTATCCTCCAGGCTAGAACCAGCCACCTTCTTGCAGTCAACATCCCCACAAGACACTGAGAGTGATTTTTTTTTATTGTGATAAAATATCCCTAACATAACATTTACCATCTTAACCATTTTTAGGGGCATAATTCAGTGGCATTAAGTCCAATTATGTTGCTGTGCAGCCATCATCACTATCCATTTCCAGAACTTTTTCATCTGCCCAAACTCTGTACCCATGAAACACTAACTGTTTCCTCCTCCCCCTCAGCCCCTGGAAACCAGCATCCTATTTCCCATTTCTGTTGTTGTTGTTGTTGTTTGTTTGTTTGTTTGAGACAGAGTTTCACTCTTGTTGCCCAGGCTGGAGTGCAGTGGCATGATCTTGGCTCACTGCACTCTGCCTCCACCTCTTGGGTTCAAGCGATTCCCCTGCCTCAGCCTTCCAAGTAGCTGGGATTACAGGCATGCGCCACCATGCCCAGCTAATTTTGTATTTTTAGTAGAGATGGGGTTTCACCATGTTGGTCAGGCTGGTCTCGAACTCCTGACCTCAGGTGATCTGCCCGCCTCAGCCTCCCAAACTGCTGGGATTACAGGTGTAAACCACTGCGCCCAGCTGACCCACCCTATTTAAGTATAACCCCACCCTGTCTCAGCACAGCCGTCCCCTTCCGTGCTGACAAACTGTGGGTGTTACTTCTTATTCATTGTCTGTCTTCACCATCTAGAATGTAGGGCTTCTGTCTGTTCTGTTTAATGCTGTACCCTCAACTGTGTACTGTTCTAGGATGTTCTAAGCACATAGTAGGTGCTTAGCAAAGCAAATATGTAAATTCATGAATGTGGCCATTTCAGTCTCCTTTGAGCTCCCACCAGGTTCTCATTTAGGGACAGGCGTGAGCACAGGTGTGGGAAAGGAAGTATTAGTAGAAAACAGCAGCCGCAGATGGAGAGGGGTGGGCAGGAAGGAGGGGCTCTGGACGATGCCAGCCAATGACAAACCGTCACCCAGATCCCAGGTTCCCTGTGACAGTGGGGTCAGGTGGCAAAGAGCTTCCAACACGGCCCCCAGAGCTGGAGCCCAAAGAGCTGGAGCATCAGGGGCCCCAGAAATAAGGGAAGCCAACCAGGAAACTGACCTTTTACACAAAATATCCAGGTTTTGAGAATGCTCAGGAAGAGGTGAGAGCTGTTCTCAAATTCAGATGGGCTGCCAGTGGCAAGAAGGTGATGCTAAGGGGTTGCACTAGGGCTAATGGGTAGGTGTTGCAAGGACTCCTATTTTGGCGGATGTAATAAGAACTGGCCCCCACTCCTCCCTCTACCTAACAAGAGGTGTCCAACAGTGGCTTAAGCTTCCTGGTGAAAGTGAGCCCCTGGTTCCCGTGTGTATGCAGAGCCCAGGATTCACTCACCCATGGCTTGAACCTTTAATGGATACATTCATCAGTTACCTGTCAAGTGCGTTTCCTCTGTGCCAGATTGTGTGGCGCTCAGCACTGTGAAAGTAATGATGACTAAACATTATTCAAATAAATACACATTCAACAACAAAGTGTGAAGGCACAAAACTAGCTTGCCAGAGAGAGAGAAGCCTCACTCAGACAGGGGATCAAAGGCCCCTCTAGAGCCTCCTAGATATTGGAGAGAGCCATGAGTGATGGGCATGCCTCCAGCCTGTGAGACCGGGGGAGCATACCCCAGGCAGAGGGCACTTAGGAAAAATAGCACGGGGTGCTAGCGCTGCCAGGGACCTCAGTACACATGGAAGAAGGCAAGGTCCAGAGATCCGAGTGACTTGCCCAGGGACACAAGGCAAATCGGTGGAATCGTCGAGGGGTGGAGGATCAGCCACAGCCCCCCGCCTCCCACGCCACCTCTTGGAAACCAGATACCCGCCTCGCGGCCAAGACCCACCAGCTCCAAGCGGCGGAGGCCAGAGGTAGCGAGGGGTGAGGTTAGAGGTGGGGGCGAGCGGGGACTGGACACCTGGGGAGTGGGGAAAGGGGAAGGGGGCGGCACCGCTGACGTCATTTCCGGGGTCGGGGTATATAAGCGGGGCGCGAGGGCGCTGCTGCTGCCACCGCTCCTGCCACTGCAGTGCTCGAGCCCCGTGCAGGGGAGCTTGCGGGAGGATCGACCGACAGACGGACGCACGCCGAGGCACTGCGCCCCCAGCCCCGCGCCGGTGCCACCGCAGCCCGACCCCGGCCGCCAGTCCAGCCGCCCCTCGCCCGGTGCCTAGGTGCCCGGCCCCACACCGCCAGCTGCTCGGCGCCCGGGTCCGCCATGCGCTCCGCCGCTGTCCTGGCTCTTCTGCTCTGCGCCGGGCAAGGTGAGCGAGCGCGGGGAGCTCGCGGGAGAGGGTTCCGGGCGCCCCTGCCCACCTTGAGGTCCGGGCACCGCGCGGCGCCCCGCACCCCTCCACACTTCCCTTCGGGCGCGGCGAGTTTTCAGCACCGCGGACAGCGCCTCCGCCTCCCGCCTGACCCTGCAGTGTGGCCTCCGCCTGGGACCCACAAGACACTTGGGCCTGACTCCCAACCCCCCGGGGCAACTCCCCCTTGTGCCCACCCCTTGTCTGGGCTTGGCGCCTCGGTTGCATCAGGGCCAGTGCCGGTTGCGCGGTGGCCGGCCAAGGTCACTGCGGGGAGGTGGGAGCATGGCTGCTCGCAACCCTCCACCCCTCTTCCCCTTTCATCTCACGCTCCCCGCCTTTCTGCCCTTGACTTCTACTTCTCCATATCATCCCTCACAATCCCCTTCCTCCATCTCTTCCCCCGCCCCCCCCACCTCTGGGGTCTCTCTCCCCTTCGTCTGTCTCCCACCCGTCCCACTGTGCAGCTCTTGGCCTTGTTTGATGGCGCTCCCCGCTCCAAAGCACACCCGCTCCAGAGCAAGAGTTTCCAAAGGGGGAGGGGGAGGACCTCTCAGTGCAGCCTCTGGGGACCACCCCACTGTGGGCAGCAACCAGGGAAGGGAAACAAAATCAGCCCTAGCCTCTCTTTTTGGTGGGGGCAGTTTTGAGGGGTGGCATTGGGTGAACGGGCCCCAGTGAGCCCGGTCAGAAAGGACTGGCCTCCACTTGGAGCAGAGGAGTGACCCCAGCACTCTCTTCTTCTTCCCAGTCACTGCGCTCCCTGTGAACAGCCCTATGAATAAAGGGGATACCGAGGTAAGAAGGGGTGCTGGGGATGAGGGGTAGGAGGCTCCAGTGGACACTTCACAGCCAGTTCTTGGGCAGCTGCAGGAGTAAGTTCGGCATAAAGCCAAGAGCCAGCACTGCGGCTGCTGAGCCTGGGGACAGCTTGCAAAAGAAGATATCAAAGATTGCTTGCTTTCCCTGCTGTCCTGCTGTGGGGACTTCCCCAGCTTCCTCTGAGCTGCACATGCAGCGGAAGAGGCCTGCATCTTACCTGCTGGGCCGAGGTGCCTGGCTTCAGGCTGTCTTGAACACTCTGAATCCAGTAGGCTCCCCAGGGGCTGGTGGGGGTGGCTTCTCTGTAGTTGTAGTTGTCCACAGACCTGTAAAAATGGCCTTTGCCTGCCTGGCTCTGGCCTCCCCGCTTTGCTCTTTCTCCCTGAAAGGCTCTGCCAGTAACAACCCACACCCAGCAGGCTCTCCAGCCCTGGCTGTCCCAAAGGAACACAAGCAAAACATCTTGATCATGGCTCCTGCACCCACGGTCCCACCAATAGGGGCTAGTTGTGGAGGTCACCCAGGAAAGGGCCTTAGGAGACACTAGTAGGGGTTTCTCTGGCAGCAAGAGACACACCACGCTGGGTGTGTACTTGGAATTCATTCATGGCTGAGCTGGGGCTGTTTTTTCCAGGCTCTAGTGCTCATCCAAATCTCTGACTTGAGGGTCAGAGAAATTTCTACTCCCCACCTTCCCAGAAACTATTCTCTTCCACTAGACACCACAGTTAAAATCCAAACCATCCAAGAGATTCCAACCTCTGTTTGCTCAATTATATTTCCTATGTTTTAGTTGCAGATAGGACAGAATTTAAACCTCTACCACTCATTCTAGCTGTGTGACCTTGGGAAAATTCCTTAATTTCTCTGAGCTCCGCCTTTTTCTCCTTTTCCTTGAGGGGAGGTGTAAAGAGTAGGAATCATGGATGTGAATTGCCTAGCACATAATAGGTCCTCAGTAAATGGGCACTTTTATTCCTAGAGCTGCCTTCTTGATCTCCCCATCCCTCTCCAGACCCTCTACCCAATTCCTGCCTCCCAGAAAATGCCCTCTCGAACAGGTGGTTATCTGATATTCCCAATGCAAGGTCCGGGGTTGCAGGGAGATACAGGGTACAGGCTGCTGTGCTCTCCTTGCTAGATCCCTTATGGGAGACACCCTGGTCACCATATTATACCCAGCAGCCTGTGGTCAGGGGCACCAGAGCAGCTGGCTAAGACCTGAAGATTCTATACGAGGTTGTTGTGACTACATGCATTATACAGCACTTGCCAGTTTGCCATCTTGGATCCTTGGACCGGTTGCCTTGGCATCCCGTAGACACAGCCTCCCACCCCCTCACTCCCTGCCGGTGTTGCCTGATGCCTGTCTGACACCTCCTGCTCTCTACTCAGCTCTAGGCTGTGGAAGCAGGGCTGGAGTTGTGAACCCCTCCCTGGGCGTGCTGACACTCCATGCTTGAAAGAGTGTTTTTCCATCTGTACCTCATTACCCTGGGAGAGCAGTTGGGAAGGTATTCTCACTCCCGTTTTACAAATGAGGACACTGAGGCTCAGAGAGGTTAAGTCACTTCTCCAAGATCACACAGCTAGGATACCACATTACGGTGGGCACCATCATCAAAGATCACTCATTTATCAGATGCCTAATTATCCACAGCACCTTTGCAGGCACAGGATAAGACTTTCAGAGGCGTGGCTGTGGTTGACCTGGGATATGCTCCCAGGTGTAGTCAATGTGTGCTCACATGCCGCCCAGGGATTCACCCATCCCATGATGAACATGGAGTGAGAATATGAAGCTGTGACTCCTTGCATACGACAACACCATGGGTGTTTGGAGACAGTAACCTACATCCTATTTCCAAACAGGGTAGAGCCAGGGAAGGTCTTTGTCTCCTCTGGGCAGTCCAGAAGGACTTCCTGGAGGACCTGACCTTTGGGCATCTTCACGATCAGAGCACTTTTGTAAGACATCATTTTAGTGCCCTGAGGCAGTTTTCTCATGTTTAGAGAAATAGCACTTGGGGATGAGAAGGTACCAGGTACCATTCCCTACACCCCATTCTCACTATGATCCACCTTGGAGGGGAACCTGCTGGCCATGTGGTTGGAGTGGCTGACACATGGTAAGCACTGTGTTAAGGGTTTTCTATTATCATTGCTATCACTGTCTGGCTAAGAAAGCAGAGCTGTGTCCCTGAGCCAGGGATCATGGACTCCCAAAGACAAAAGCAAATACCCTCTGTCCTCACTAGAAATTCACCCTAGAGCCTCCAGGGACTGAGCCCCATGCTCAAACCAGCCCCAACCTGCCCCTGCACTGTGTTCCCAGGTGATGAAATGCATCGTTGAGGTCATCTCCGACACACTTTCCAAGCCCAGCCCCATGCCTGTCAGCCAGGAATGTTTTGAGACACTCCGAGGAGGTATGAGCTGGAGGCTAGGGGTGAGGGCTGCTGCCTGCTGGGCTGGGAGGCTAGGACATGGGTGTGTGGCTTTTGGTGGAATTAATGATTTAACTCAACAGTCACTGACTGAGTGCCCGTCATGTCCAGGCACTGCACCAGGGTCCAAGGTGTACAGACAGTTGAAGGGGTTGTAGCCCAGGTGCTTACAGACTGGCAGAGGGGATGCATATGAACACAGTTAACTAGAACTCTGGGCAAAATAAAACCAGGGCTGAAACAGCAAGCCCCCAGACTGTGAGCTCCCTATGGACAAAGATTTTGTGTGCTGTATCCCAGTGCCTAGAACAGCCTCTGGCCTCTGCAGACACCCTCTAGATGTGTGATGAATAAAGGAATGTTATGGGTGGACAGGAGAAGGACGAAATCTTTCCAGGCAACCAGTCAAGTTTTTACTAACTGCTGGATAGAGCCAGCAGCATTTCGGTTGGGCTTTAAAAGAAACATTGGAAACCGATGAGTGGAAAAATGAAGACAGGGTTGTCCAGGTGTGGTAGACAGTGTGAACACAGGCATGGAGATGGGAACCTGTTGTATTTAAAGAGACCCCACTCATCCTCAGGGGTTGCCACCCTTTGGCTAAGGTCTGGCTGCTGGGGCAGTGGCTGACTTCTCTGATGTAGTAGGAAACTGACACATACCTTGGAAAGGAGGTAATTTCAAAAGTGTTATCTGAAGACCCAATCTTGCTGCCACCACCCTGGTTTTGAGTTTCCAGAGTAAATTCCTTGTGCTCAGCTGAAAATATTGATGGTAATCTCTTTCTCGGCTGTTCTCTGGAAACCACCCATGATGACTCTTCTTCATTGCAGATGAACGGATCCTTTCCATTCTGAGACATCAGAATTTACTGAAGGAGCTCCAAGACCTCGCTCTCCAAGGTATTTTCCAGCCACTGCACTTGACTCTGGGTAAATTCCAGTAACTGAGAGTCAGAAAATCTGGTGGAAGATTCAGCAAGTTCCTCTCTGGGACTGTCATTTCCTTTTAATTATAAAGCGGAAAAGCAGGATCCGCCGTGCCACCTGGCTCAATCTGTTATTGATATTGTTAAAGAAATCAAGGCCCAGAGAGGTTGAGTGACTTGTCCAAGGTCACACAGTGAATAGAGACATGCCAGGTGCAGCTTCCCTAAAACCCACGGCCTCTGCAGTTCAGTCATTTTAGGAAATACCTTTATGAAGTAGTGAGCCACTCGTCACTGATGATATTCAAGCCAAGCCTGGACAGGATACTGGAGTGGAGGGTTAAGCTGCCATCTTCCCACAGTTAGCCTCTATGCCCAGCCCCCCAGCTCCTTCCAGGCTTGATGCAAAGCACGGCCCTAGCCTTGCAAGTCAGGAAACCTGAGTTTGGCCCTGCACCTGCCCCGGCTGACTTCCTGTGGGAAGCGGCCGTTTCCACCAGGGCAGGACCACTGGTGGTGGTGTGTCTCTCCATGAGAACAGGGCATTACAGCATGAATCCAGCATCTGCTTCCCAACGAAGCGAGAGTGTTTTTCAGGGCTGGGCTTGTGTCTGGGGTGGGGTGGGGGTACGAAGGCTGCTCTGGCTTCAGGATGGGCCCCACTCTGAGGCCTTTGGGACAGACCAGGCCATGTGTGAGAACAGAGAGGGCTTTGGGGAGGAGGCACGTAAACACAGCCACGTCAGTAGGATTCCTGTGGCCCTTTCCAAGCTAACACACTGTTCTTCCTCCCACTCATGAGCCAGCCTGGGCAGCAAGCACCCACCTCCTACTGTTGTTGGAGGGGGCAGGGAGTGCTGGGCACAGCTGGGACTATTATTACCTGGATAGTTATGTCATCATCAGTGACCTTGGACTAGTGTTTTGTTTTGTTTTTAACTAAGCATTAAATATTTTATTACAATTGATAACTTTAAAATTAAATATTGAATGACTAACTGATTACATTTAAATAATTAAATAGACTGTCAACAGAGACTATTATAGGAGAATGTGTCCTGAAACATCTCTATTCACATGCACGTGTGTATCCCGTATAAGCAGTATCCAATATATGTATATATGACTATTTTCCATTAACAGATTCCTGGATGTATTTCTGTCCATCCGTCTATCCGTCCACTCCCTCTTGGGCTCCCATAACATCTTCTGTGTGCCTCTGTCTTAGCATTTACCACACAGCAACCCTATTTTCTAGACAAGCACCCAACTCTTGGAGAGCCCAAGTTGCCCATGGAGCTAGGAAATAGCCAGAAGGGGACTGGAACCCACGTTGCCTGAGACCAGGGCTGGGCATGCTCCCTGGCCCACAGCTGCCCAGGAAAGCCCATTGTTGGGGAAGAAATGAGCTGGGCTAACTGAGGGGCCAACATCAGGAATAAGGCACAGGTGTGGGGACAGTCAGAGGAGGCAGCGGCGGCGGGGGGAGAGGGGTCTCTGGGTCATGGCTGCAGGCGCCAACCCTGGGCTCAGATGTAGGCACAGGGCTTGGCCTTCTCCCCGGGCCTGGACTCAGCGTCCAAGGTTAGCAGAGCTTGCCTGAATCAAGAGCTGTCACCATTACTGCCTGCTGCAGGGTTCCTGGAGCTACCAGCCAGGTCCTGAGGGGTTCCCCACCCCCAACTCCTGCCCAGCCAGGTCCTGAGGGGTTCCCCACCCCCAACTCCTGCCCAGCCAGGTCCTGAGGGGTTCCCCACCCCCAACTCCTGCCCCTGGGATCCTTGCTCCATTTGAGCCTTTCTTGCTGTGTGGCCACAGCACGCTTGCTCTGGCCTCCCAGGGAGAAGCTGAGTCTGGCGAGGCAGGGTGGCTGCCTGAGGGCCCAGCTGAGAGAGGTGAGGGACGCCAACCCTTCACCGCTCCCCAAGCTCACGCCCCATCAGTGTCTCATTGGGCAGGCCCTGAACATGATGTGCCCAGCTTACAGATGGGGAAATGGAGGTCTTCACTCTTATAGACAAATATGCCACAGCTGCACCCAATGGGACTTTTCCCTCCTTTTCTCATACCAGGCGCCAAGGAGAGGGCACATCAGCAGAAGAAACACAGCGGTTTTGAAGATGAACTCTCAGAGGTTCTTGAGAACCAGAGCAGCCAGGCCGAGCTGAAAGGTCTGTCCCAGCCGGTCTGGCCGGAGGTGGGGAAGGGAGGGTGGCAGTGGGAACAGTGGCTATGATGGACCCAGGGTTCCAGTGAGTCGGGAGCCCCACCCATAATCCCTTATTTCCCTCTCTCTACAAATGGGGAAACTGCTGCTCAGAGAGACTAGGTCCCTTGCCCAAGGTGAGTGGCATGACCAGGGGTTTCGATCTGGTCCTGCCTCACACCAAAGCCCTCGCTCGGTCCCGTCTGCCCAGAAGAGGGGCTGGCACTCTAGGGCAGGAGATCTCTGGCATGGCAGGTGGACAGCTTCAACTCTGGGTCTACCCAGTGGCCACTGTAGCAGAGCCCCCACCCCCAGTGCCTGTCCTCCTGGGAAGTGGTGGGGCCTCAGAATAGCCAGGATGCAGGAGGACCACAGACAGAGTAGGTGTGAAACGTGAAATGAACCCAGATCATCTTTCTTGAAACCAAAGAGCTTCTAGGAGTCTAAGAGGTCATGCCTTAGGTCAGTGCGACACTCTGAGCCATCCTCCCTTCCCGGGGAGAGCCACAAACTGGCCCCGTGGCGCTTCTGCTCTCCATGTAGAAGATGGGCCGGTAAGGCCGGTGTCCAGGAGCTGGATCCTGGTGTCTCCCATCTGGGGCTGAAAGGGAAAGCCCGCAAGTGAAGCCCAGGTGCCCCCACTTTGGTTGAAGCTTTAATGAGGCAGGCAGCCATGTGTCAGTGCAAAGAGATCCCGAGCTTGTCATTTGGAGGCTTGGGTTCCAGGCTCAGCTCTGCTGCCCGCAAACTGTGAGATGGACAGGTCATCTTACCTTTCTGCAGATCATTTTGGGTTTCTGTGAAATAGGCATAGGAGCACCTTTCACCAGAGTCCTGGTGAAGCTCAGATGGTGGAATGTACTTGGGAGCACTTTGTTCAGTGGTTATCATTCTAATGACGGGAGGAATTTTCACTTGTTCAAAGGCTGTCTTTAAGGCAGCCACAATAAAATACCTTTTAATGAAACCCTAAAATATTGCAGAATTGAGCCCTTTCACAGGATGCTGAAGACAGAGAAGCCCCACATGGAGGGGAGAATGAAGTTGCAGTCATGGTGCCTCTTACACAGAGAGGTTAAGCAACTTGCCCAAGATCACACAGCTGACATTAATTTTCAGTTCAGGCTTTATCTCCTGGATTAATCTTAAGGTCTGGTTTTTTGTTTTTGTTCTTTGAATAATAACCTGTTTTAAAAGTCAGGATTAAAAAGAAAGAAACAAATCCAGCTGTGCTCAGATCAAGCCTGGACATGGACAGAGGGGTAACCCTAATCGTTGTCCTGGGCTGGGCTCGCTGGAAGCCAAGAAACATAATGAGTAACATCTGAAATTAGCCTGTGGGGAGGCCCCACACGTGGCCCAGTCCTCAGGGCCTGACTTGGCTGTGCTGTGTCTGCAGAGGCGGTGGAAGAGCCATCATCCAAGGATGTTATGGAGAAAAGAGAGGATTCCAAGGAGGCAGAGAAAAGTGGTGAAGCCACAGACGGAGCCAGGCCCCAGGCCCTCCCGGAGCCCATGCAGGAGTCCAAGGCTGAGGGGAACAATCAGGCCCCTGGGGAGGAAGAGGAGGAGGAGGAGGAGGCCACCAACACCCACCCTCCAGCCAGCCTCCCCAGCCAGAAATACCCAGGCCCACAGGCCGAGGGGGACAGTGAGGGCCTCTCTCAGGGTCTGGTGGACAGAGAGAAGGGCCTGAGTGCAGAGCCAGGGTGGCAGGCAAAGAGAGAAGAGGAGGAGGAGGAGGAGGAGGAGGCTGAGGCTGGAGAGGAGGCTGTCCCCGAGGAAGAAGGCCCCACTGTAGTGCTGAACCCCCACCCGAGCCTTGGCTACAAGGAGATCCGGAAAGGCGAGAGTACGTATGATGGCGAAGACCTCAACGAACGTGTCTGGGAGAGGGGGATGGGTGGGAGGAGAGCCTTCTCCATAACCTCATTCCACCTTCATAACAACCCTGAAAGGTAGGTATTAGCTCCATTTCCCAGGTGGACAAATGAGGCTCAGAGAGGTTAAGTAATTTGCCCAAGGTCACACAGCTAATTTGTAGCAAAAGCTGAGGTTCTACCCCAGATTTATCTGACTCCAAAACCATGCATTTCCCACTATTCCACATAGCCTCCCCCCACCAACCCCAGAAGCTAGGGGTGGGTGATGGGTGGGCTGGCTTTGGGAACAGAGACCATGGCAGGAGCGCACAGGCTGATCTGGGAACAGTGTCAGCTTCAACTACGGTTTAGGAGAGGCCCTGGCTCCCGCTGCGGGCCTGTCAGGGTCTTTCCTCACTCTCCAGCTGCCGGGCTTCTGGGGTGAGGATGAGGGGAAGAGGCAGGCTCCAGCTAACCCACCCCTCTGAGCCGAGAGGGTCTTGCAAAGCCTGGCATCAAGAAGGTTTTTCCCGCTAAGCGTCATCACTGTGGAGAGGCTGGGCTGTGGCCGCAGCAGAGGCCCCCAGGGAGTGGCAGAGACTGGGAAAATGGTGGTCCCCCACCCATTCTCCTGCTCTTGCCCACCACCTGCTCCAGGTCGGTCGGAGGCTCTGGCTGTGGATGGAGCTGGGAAGCCTGGGGCTGAGGAGGCTCAGGACCCCGAAGGGAAGGGAGAACAGGAGCACTCCCAGCAGAAAGAGGAGGAGGAGGAGATGGCAGTGGTCCCGCAAGGCCTCTTCCGGGGTGGGAAGAGCGGAGAGCTGGAGCAGGAGGAGGAGCGGCTCTCCAAGGAGTGGGAGGACTCCAAACGCTGGAGCAAGATGGACCAGCTGGCCAAGGAGCTGACGGCTGAGAAGCGGCTGGAGGGGCAGGAGGAGGAGGAGGACAACCGGGACAGTTCCATGAAGCTCTCCTTCCGGGCCCGGGCCTACGGCTTCAGGGGCCCTGGGCCGCAGCTGCGACGAGGCTGGAGGCCATCCTCCCGGGAGGACAGCCTTGAGGCGGGCCTGCCCCTCCAGGTCCGAGGCTACCCCGAGGAGAAGAAAGAGGAGGAGGGCAGCGCAAACCGCAGACCAGAGGTTGGTATGGGGCGGGAGCCAGCTCTGTGCCAGGCCACGGAGCAGCAGGGGGCAGCCGCACCCAGACACACTGCCCCTGCCCCACTGAGGGGACAGGGCCCCCCCGCCGAAGTCTGGGGATGGAGAGATGCTCAGACCGGGGGCTCTCAGGGTGGGAGAACACCCCAGCTCACAGGGGGCACCCAGCAAAGCTGGCTGGGAGATGGGAGGAGCTCAGGTCAGCCTGTGGCAGCGGGGGAGGCGCTGAGTGGGGACGTTGTCCAGAAGGCAGTAGGGTGCCCTGGAAAAACCATGCGGTGGGTCTGACCGTGTCCCCTCCTGGCCCCCAGGCAGCCCAGGCACAGCCTCCTCCCAGGCTCAGGCCCTGCCTCTGGCCCATGAGGGTAACGGGGCAGGGCAGGGGCAGGGCCAAGGGATCTCTTGCCTGTGGGGAGTGGGTGGGAGCCACACCGGATGTGAGCTGGAAGACCTGGGCTCTGCCTCCTCTTGGCTGCGTGGACTTGGGAGGGTCACTCCCCTCCCCGAGCCTCATCAGTTCCATTTATGAAGTAGGGGTAAGGAGTCTCCTCTGCCCACGTCATTACCATGATTGGAACACACAAAGGCTTTGAAAACCAGGGCCCCTGGGGAAGACAAATGGGGCGTGGGGACACAGCCCACAGGAGCAGGGGGGAGTTGGGGTCCCTGGCAGCTAGGCGGCTGGGATACCTGGTTCAAGCCTAGTGTCCAGGTAGGAACCCAGGCTCTGTGGGAAGGCTGACACCTGTCCGCAGCCCTGACCCCAAGGCTCTTCTCTGCCCACCTAGAAGAGGGTGTGGCCCCTTCACTGGGCCCCCGACCCCCTCTCTGGGCCTGGCAGTCTGAGAGGAAGAAGGCTCCATGTTGGCAGCTGTAGCGGGAGAGGGCATCTGCCCACGTGCCTGGGAGCCCAGGGCGAGGGGCTGAGGACAAAGCTGGAGAGAATGGGGGCCCAGAGGTGCCACCAGCTTCCTTTCTCCACAAGCAGAGGGAGCTCTGGACCGCAGGGCAGAGAAACTGGACCCCTGAGGCATATGGAGAGGATGGGGTGGGGGCCTCCTCAACACAGCCCAAGGGTCTTCTTAGAAACCCGAGCCTCGCAGAGCACCTGCCCCAGGGCCTCCTCCAAGACTAAGGGGCTGTAGAGTCTATTTCCACGGCCTGCAATGTCGGGGTCCCTGGGCCAGGATGCCCTCGGCAGCCTCAAATCTGGCAGTGACCCCGGGAAAATGACCCCTCCCAGGTCAAAGGAGGCAGCCTTCCCTGCGCTCCTGCTCTAAGTCTTGAGGTTGTGCTCTTGTGGGTGTCCAAGTTCTGAGGCCTGAAAGCTTCTGCAGACGGGCATAGAACAGGGCTCAGAGGAGGGGTCCCTGCTTCCCTAAACTTGGGTAGCCAGAGTTCGGGATCCTCTCACAATCAGGACCAGGGATCAAAGCCCAGCCCTAGGCAGGCTGATGTGGGGCAGCTCCCCCAGCATGTAGCCCTGTCTCAGGCCCCACATTCCCCTCAGGTGGGAAGGCTGCAGAAGACAGACCCGGAAGTCCCAGGCTGGCCTCACCCTGGGTCCTGGCAACCATGGGCTAGGCCGAGGGAAGGGGGCTCTTCAGGGCACTGTAAGCTTTGTTTTCCATGTGCCCTAAAAGAACAGACTCCCACCTGTGCGGAACCATTTGAGAGGAAGTGGGGCCTGGATAAGAGGCCACCAAGAGCAGTGTGGGGACAGGGCCCCCGGCATCAGCCACCTTCTTGTGCATAATGATCCCGAGAGCAGTACAGTAAGCTCATTATCACTGTCTCCATGATGGATGAGGGTACAGAGAGACAAAGCCACCTGTCCGAGGCCACACAGCTAACCCAGCGCCTTTCTGGCTTACTGTGCCTTCCATGCCACTGGCCAGGCTGGCCCGAGTGAACCCCAATGTCTCTCCTAGGACCAGGAGCTGGAGAGCCTGTCGGCCATTGAAGCAGAGCTGGAGAAAGTGGCCCACCAGCTGCAGGCACTACGGCGGGGCTGAGACACCGGCTGGCAGGGCTGGCCCCAGGGCACCCTGTGGCCCTGGCTCTGCTGTCCCCTTGGCAGGTCCTGGCCAGATGGCCCGGATGCTGCTTCCGGTAGGGAGGCAGCCTCCAGCCTGCCCAAGCCCAGGCCACCCTATCGCCCCCTACGCGCCTTGTCTCCTACTCCTGACTCCTACCTGCCCTGGAACATCCTTTGCAGGGCAGCCCCACAACTTTAAACATTGACGATTCCTTCTCTGAACACAGGCAGCTTTCTAGAAGTTTCCCTTCCTCCATCCTATCCACTGGGCACAACTGCAATAACTTCTGACCTTTTGGTGAAAGCTGAGAACTCCTGACTGTAACATATTCTGTATGAACTTTATCTAAAGAAAAATAAATCTGTTCTGGGCTCTTTCCTCTGAATTTTTTCGCCTCTCAACTTAAGAGTGGAGTGAGATGCACTGGATTTGGGCGAAGGGACAAAGGGAGGTTCAGTCCTCCTGGGGACCTCCTTTCTGGGCCACTTCCTGGCTGTGGGATCTTGAGCAAGTGACTTTGTTAGCTCTGAGCCTCAGTTTCCTCATCTGTAAAACGGGAATGCTGACCTGCCTCAAAGAGTGTGTGCAGGGATTAAAGCACACTTGCTGAGGGCCTCCAGGTTCCTTCCTCTCCCCGTCCCCAGCCACACCTGAGCTGGGCCATGCAGAGGCAGCGCCAGGTGGGGACACGGGCTCTGTTTCCTGAGATCAGGTCGCCCCTCCCTGATGGTCCCCGCCATCCAGTCACCTGTGGTGCCGGGTGGAGGCCCTGACAGCCCCAGTCTAGTGCCTGTCGCAGGACACAGGCATCAGACTTGAGCCTCTGAGCTGCAGGGACCCCTTGGCATAACCACTTATTAGGCCCTGCTATGACTTCTGGCCTAGGAAGAAGGCATAGGAATGTGGGGCGTCTGAAGATCTCGTGTATGTAACGCTTCACTAGAGCACGGGCTGCTCTTAGTCCCAGTTTTGTGAATGAGGAAACTGAGGCAGAGAAGGTGAAATGACTCACCCAAGTCACAGGCGGGGATGATGCTCAGAACACTGAAGCGTGGGGACTGTGAGGATTACACAGTCAGGACCCATGTGTACTGGCTGAATATCAGGGCCCATCATTCAGTCACTCGTCAAACATTTGTGCATGGCTGCTCTGGGCCTGGTAGGCCTGAGCATGGCTGAGACAAGCCCTGGCTTTAAGAAGCTCACTGTCCAGCGGGGACAGCTGCACCCTTCAACAGCCAAAGCAACCCATGGGGACAAAAGTACGCTCAGCAGGAGGAGCACACGCCCACGCTGGAGGGCGCTCCTTGCAGGCCAGGAGGAGGTTGGGTTCGAGCCAGGTTCTGCTGGACTGGCTGGTTAGCCTTGGCCAGTCACTTCACCTGTCCAGGTGGCAGTTCTGGGGCTAACGTCCTTGGCCTTTGCAGCTCAAACACGAGCAAGCCAGGGAGGGTGATGATCCCAGGCAGTGGTGGAGAGGGTGCAGGGAGGGGCCTCGGCCTTCGCAGGCTGCCCACGTGGTGTCTTCCAGGTAGGAATGGGAAAGACATGGGCATTGTGGGTGGGTGAGGCTCAGAGGCATCGCTGCCACCCTCCAGGGTCCCAGGCAGAGCCAAGTCCAGAGGCCAGTTGGGATTTGGGAACCAAGTCCCTGAGGCTCTGCCTGGTGAGTCTGAGCAGGCAAGGTTCCATGGTGGGAACTCAGATTTGGACCTAAGACTGGAGTTGAACTCCCCAGCCCAGCCATTAATGAGCAGGAGTCTTTGGGCAGGCGCTCCTGGCCCTCTCAGTGCCTCAGTTTCCTCATCTATAAAATGGAGACAATACTTACTATCTCCTTACCAGATTATGGTGATGATCAGGAGCCCACACAGAAAACCACTGCAATGGTGTTGAGTCGTTTGAGGGGTCTCGGCAAGTCTGGGTTTCTCTGATGAGGATGGGCTGCTCATGGCGGCTAATGCGCACCCCCTGCCCCCTGCAAAGCACAGAAGGACACCCTCCGAACGGCTGGCGCTATTGTTTATTTCTTCATGTTTCCAAAAGTTAGGTTTATACTCCACCCCTACAGTTACAGAAATAAACACAACATTAACTGTACTCCACTAGACCGTTAGAAATCAAAACAAGACTAGTTAGCAAATACAGAGATCATAGCGACACCTTGTCCCTGAAACCACCCATCCCAAAGCCACCCGCAGTGTCCTAACCTCATGGAGTGAACATGCGACCAGGCGAATGAGCCAATGGACAGAAGCCATGGTGTCTGTATCTCATACATGGTCATGTATATTATGCATATGTATGTACACAAATTAAGTACGAACCAGCTTGGGATTCTGGTGAAGTTGCTTGTGAACAGCTTGAAGCAAACAGCATTTGTCACAAAGCCCAGGTGTCGGCAGGAACAGCAACATCCTGGTGAAATCCCTGTGAGTGGCTTTTCAGAGTGAGCTTCTGAGAGGTGATTCCACACAGCCCTGGAGGAAGGGGGTCGGCCAGGCTGCAGGAGGGGACAGTCCCTCCACACCACCAGGTCACAGATGACTCTTGAAGGGAAAATGTAATCATTTCTGAAAAGGGGGGGTCTGGGTGCTCCTGCGGGTGAGAATCAGAAGAAGACCCCAACCAGCAGGAGGCCATGGAGTCATGCTCACCAGCTCTCCCCTGAGCAGTGCGGGAGGCTCACTCACTCCAAACCACACTGACAATGGCTGTGCAGAGAGAAGGTACACAGCACAGACCCTTTCTCACAAGGGGAGGACCCATGGGAGAAGCCTCGCCTGTATCACCTGAGTCAGGCTTATGCCTGGGCGGGGCAGATGACTGTGGCATCGGGGTGTGGCCAGGCTGGCCTGAGGCAGCAGAGGCTGGGCCTTTGTCAAGGACAGCTGCACTTCTCTGCCTCCCGGTCACCAGGCTGGAGGGGTCGTGCTCCTTTAGGGCAGCCAGCACCCAGCTCAAGGTCTCTGAATCCAATGGCCCATGAGCCACAGCTCGGGAAGGAGAAGGAGCTGCCGGGGATCCCACCGGGTGAATGATCAGAGTTTGTTTGTTTGTTTGTTTGTTTTTTGAGGAGTCTTGCTCTGTTGCCAGGCTGGAGTGCAGTGGTGCGATCTTGGCTCACTGCAACCTACGCCTCCCGAGTTCAAGCAATTCTCCTGCCTCAGCCTCCCAAGTAGCTGGGACTACAGGCGCCCACCACCATGTCCAGCTAATTTTTGTATTTTTAGTAGAGATGGGGTTTCACCATGTTGGCCAGGATGGTGTCGATCTCTTGACCTTGTGATCCACCTGCCTCAGCCTCCCTAAGTGCTGGGATGACAGGCGTGAGCCGCCATGCCCGGCCAGAGTTTCTAGGGAATAGAAGAGAGGGCAGATACAGACCCCAGGGACATTAGTGAAGCCATTCAGCAGTTGTGGCCAGTGGCCAATGTGAGTGCCCAAGAGCCAAGAACTGGTCTTCCAGGCTAGAAGGACAAACGACAGGCTGGCTCCCTTGGTCTTGGGGTGGCTGTCTGGCAGGCAACAGCTGCTTTGCTCAGTTGGCTCAAACATGTGACAGCTTCCTACTTCAGTCGGTCTTCCAGCCTTCTATAAAGCACACTTGGCAGTCCCCTGGGTACAGAGAGGAATGTTTTTCCCAGGTTGCTTTCTCCTTTATTGACAGGCATGAGACACAGGCAGGCCCAGGCACAGGAAGCCCCATGGAACCTGCCAGGTTGCAGCTGGGTCCAATCCCGCCGGCCATGCTGGGTGACTGCAGGCCCAGCCCACCCACCACGTGTGGACCCAGACACCTCCATGACACCAAGGGCAAAGCACCAGTTCCAGGGTGGCCTCCCCTTGGCTCTTGGGGTGGGGACACCCAGCAGCTGGCACTCAGTTGGGGGGTTATGTTTGCAGAATCACATCACCATATAATCAAAGCACTGTCAGGCAGAACTTGACCCACGGCCTCAGCCCCAGGGTGCTCAATGCAGACTGTGCAGGTGACCCTCTGAAACTACCCAAGGACTCAGCCAAAGTGTGGTCTGGCCCCTTGCTCCTGGAGCCCTTCAGCACATCCAGGGACCACCATCAAGACAGGCACTGCAGGGCGCAGAGCCAACGTGCTGACCAACTCAGAAGCAGAAGCTTAGGAACCAGAGCCCCAAGCCACCCCGATGCTGGCGGGGCCAACTCCAGGCGCCGTGCCTGCACAGCACCACACAACAACCTTTGCTAAGTGGGTCCCTTCCTTGGACCCAGACACTCTCAGTGACTCTGCTCAGGAGGCAGCGCCACCATGCTCTGGAGAAGAGGAGGCCGCCAGAGCCCGGGTGGTTTTAGTGGGTCTTTCCCTGAGGCAGAAACTCCAAGGCCAGGGACAATGTGACCGAAGGGGAGACAACTCTATGGACACTGTCCAGGGATCAAAGATGGTCAGCGTGCACCCTTAGGGTACGTTTAGCGAGCTGGGCTCCATCTCTGCCGCTCCCAGGTGCGGGTCCCGCGTCGCTGTCCAGGCCCCTCATTGCTGACACTCCCCTGGCTTCACTGGGCAGAGTCCACCGGCCCCCCAGCCCTGGGTGTGGCTGGCCCCTCCCTACCTCCCATGTAGCTCCCAGGCCTTTACGAAGCAAATCTCCATCCTCCATCTCCACTCTTGGAAAATGCAGCTGCCCTGCACACCCACAGCCCCGCCCCCGCCCCACCACGGAGGCCTATGGACGCCACCACGACACCACATGGCAGTTACTCGGTATCTGGGCCCTGGACGCGCAAGACCCCGGAGGCCACAAACGGTACAGGAACACAGCCAGGAGTCACGCTGCACACCCCCACCCGTACCTGAGGCAGACTGGGATTGAAATTTTATTTTTAAAAGGTAAAGCTGTTTTATTAAACGTCTTTTAAGGACTGGGAGTATGACATAACAAACTTGAGCAACATGTGTAAACACGTGTGAAATGCGGTTTGATTTCAGTAGTTTATTTTGGAGACAAAGCAGTGCAAGAGGCCAGCCACGCTTTCCTGTTCCCCAGGGCTCAGGGTCAGAACTAGGAAAGGTGACGTACAGACATTAATCGGGGTTCAAAACTCAAGTCGTGTAAACGTGGTTAGTTGTTGGGTCCTCAGTTTCCAAAAAAGCCGGGCAGTTCTGATGGCCTCTGCCCCTCGCCCAAGCCCTGTGCCTCCCTCCTCAAAGTGGGCATCCTGCAGCCCAGCTGAGCCAGGCCGAAGGACCTCCATGCACTGGCTCGGGGGCCTCTCTCGGGACACTCAGCACTTTCTCTAGCGTCCTCCATCTCACTGGGCAGAGGACAGCCCGGAAGCCTTTTTCACTTTTTCAAAGTAAACTGCTATCTTAAGACACAAAAACATACTTGTGGGGGCTGATGCCTCTCACCCAGCACCCCACATCTTCCAGGACTGCAGAGGCTTCTCCCCAACCCTTTTCTCTGCAGAGGGGGCTGCCTGGATCAGGGGTCAGACGGCAGAGCCAGTGCTTTGCTGCCAAGGTGATGGGGTGAGTCTGAGGTGTGCAGAAGCGATGGGGGGCGGGTGGCTCCCTGGCACCTGCTGGCTCAGTGCTTGGGGCTTGCAATGAGAGGTGGACCAGGCCTGCTGGGTGAGGAGGGACCCAGCAGGTGTGAAAAGGAGTGAACCCACTGGGAAGAGGGCCCCGATCTCCATGGTGTCATGCCGAGGCTCCCGCGCCTATCCTCACCTAGGTGACTTTATGGAAAGGCAGGCTGCATCCCAGGGGTTAGGGCACAAAGCCAGCCCTGTGGTGCTCTCTGATCTCAAATGTCCACTAGAGACAAGGGGGTGGAGGCCCAAAGACCTGGAATGATTTGCCCAAATCACAGCACAAATCCTCAGCACAGGCGCCATCGGCTCGGGCCTCCAGCCAGGCAGCCTCCTTCCCGGGCTCCAGGGAGCAGCAGTGCTGGCTTAGGGGAAGGAGACCGCTGTGCAGGGCTAAATGGGACGTGTGTTGGGGGGCCCAGAGGACGCCCAGCTTCCTTTCCTTCCCTTTAGTGAGGGAGCACAGCCCAGACCCCAGCGCGGAACTCCCCTGAGGGGTCTGTGGCCTCCTCTGGCTGTGGGGAGGGAGGGGTTAGCTGCACACCAGGCAGGGTGGGGGCTAACAAAGCCTTGGTGGAGACCAGTAGGAGGAAAAACAAGGAAGGGGCAGGTCAGGGAGTGGGGAGTCAGGCAGAAGGGAAGCCACTCTCACATGCACCGATCAGCCTCCCACAGCCCGACATGGGCAGGCTTCCCCCAAGGGTCCCGGTCCACAGTGGCCATGGAGACCAACAGACAGGGATGTGCACAGACACTGGCATGGCAGCCATACGCACACCCCTCACCTCCCATCCAGACCTAGTGTTGCAAACACAAGCGTGTGTAAACTCAGTTAGGAGGTCTGCACAGTAGAGAGCAGGCGGACGGCCCCACTCCCCAACGGTGGACCACCTGGTACTCTCTTCCATCCCCCACTACCCCTCATTTAGATCATGACATCAGAGAATCAGGTTAAAAATTAAAAAACAGAAGAATCAGATCACTGGGGATTCTTAGTAGTAGCATCGCCGTTGGGAGCTGCTGGCCCAGCGGGTGTGCTCTGCGCCCTGCGCTGCCCCTCTGGGTCCCGGCTCCGTGGCTACTGGGAGGAGGCCTTGGTGGCCAGGGAGGCCACACAATGCTGCTGGAAGCTGGGCGACACGCCGGCGTTGCAGCCGAGTCTCTGGTGCGGCAGCTTGGCGGTGCCGCCCGCGTCGGCCTCAGCCTTCCAGGGCGCGTCCTGGCCCATCATGCTGCCGCAGCAGCCGGGGCTGGCGCTGCATGTCCGCTCGCCCACCAGGCCGCCCGCCGGCTCGGCCAGAAGCTTGCTGTGCCTCAGCAGGGCCACGTCCCCTGTGGCTGCCATGGCTGTGCTCTGGCCCTGCAGGACAGTGGCGATGTGGTTCAGGAGGTCTGTGAAGAACTCGCTCACGCCCTCGTAGCCTGGGGGTGGGAGAGAGACAGCACAAGGGGCGTGAGCCAGGGGCACGCATCATGCAGGGAGGAGGAGGAGGAGGCAGAACCGATGGGCTCCTGGGATGAGGCAGGGTGTGCTGTCAGCGTCCCATTTACAGAGAAAACGTGAGGCTCAGCAGATAAGGGGGGCTGAGGGGAGTCAAAAAGCTTGGACGCCCAACCAGGTGCGTGCTCCTCGACCTTCAGCTGTTGCCAGGGTGTGAGAAGCTGAAGAACCTGAGCTGAGGATGAAACTTGCTTGTCCCTGTTCCTCTCAGGCACAGCTCCACTGTCTCACCCACCCATCCACTTGCATGGTAAAAGCCAGTACATGTGCAGGGGATGTTGGCGTGGCTGGAGGTAGCAGCACCAAAGCCAGCTCCACACACTTGGAGTAATAAATACTCCTGAGGCCCAGCTGAGTCTGGCCTCAGGCTGAGTCCCGGAGACCGCTTCCACCCTGAGCCTCAGCTTCCCTGTCTGCAAACTGAGAAGAGAAGGCTGCCGCCCAGGTGGAGGCTGCTGTGGCACTACTGAGAGAGGCTGGGATGTGAGTGGTGTCTGCTTCACAAAGCAGCTGCCGCCCCAACTGAGTCTGCTTCCTTCTCACCACAAAATACCTGCAGGGAGGCCCCCTGTGTCCCATTCTCTGAGGATCACAGCCAAGGAACGGAAATGCTGGGCATCACTAGCAACATCCAGGCCTGAGACAAGCTCCAGGGCGCAGCATCACATGCTCCCCTTAACAGAGGGGAACAGAACAGAAACCATGGTACCTGCCTGGGGCAAGTGCTTCCTAACACAGTTGCGAACATCAGCAGAGCCCTCGGGAGCCACCAAGCAGGTTTCGGATCTCAGGGGAGGATTCTGCTGGCTCCCAGCAAACTGCTCCAAAAGAGACTCACACAGGGCAAGCGCCCTGCCTGCCTGAGCCAACTTGGAGGGGCGGGAGTTTTCAAAAACCCTGGGCTGTCCTCTGGGACAACATTTACAACCATCAGCCCCACCAGGGTGGGAATGAAGGTTCAGACGGGGGCACCCTGTGCCACCTCTTACAGTGCCCAGGGGCCTGGAAGATGAGACTGCTGAATCTGCCCATGCCCTTACTTATTCAGCAAACAACTGCTGTGGTTTGAGGAAGCCCAAGTCTGAGAGGGGATGCAGGTGCCCGCGGTGGAAATAAAGATGGCTATTCTGGCCGGCAAGCGGCGCCTCCCGAGCTGGCACTGTGCGAGCGTCCCGCAACATCCTCTCGCCTAATCTTCATAATGCTGTCCCCAGTTTACAGATGAGGAGGCATGACCGTTAACCACCACGGGGAGGGCAGTGATGACGTCCATGGCGTTCACAGCACTCGGGAAGTAGCAGCCACTGGGCTGTGAGCGCCACGGTCCTCAGCCCACCGCACCCCTGCAGCCCGTTTCACAGGTGAGGACCCTGAGGCTCAAGGTGGCTCCTAAGAGGCAGAGTGGGATCTGAAGGACGCCCTTGGTCTTGTGTGTGTCTTGAATACCACATGGTGCCAGGTCCCCCACCATAGGACCCGGGGTGTCCGTCGGCCCTGGGCTAGGCCTGGAGGGCAGGGTAGGTGTCCCGGGCACGGGCATGGCTGTTGGGTGCCTAGGGAGAAATGCAGTGGAGGAGCTCCACCATCAGGTCAGCGCCAGGGAACAGGGAGCCATTCTCCAGCAACCTCCTCCAGCATCCCCAGACAACGCCCAGTGGCCCAGGGCAGGGAGGCCGCTTTCTGTGGTGGTGCAGAGACGGCTGCCTCCACGGAGGCCTGAGGATAAACAGGAGCTCGGGGAGCGGACTGAGGCATGAACCTGCAGGGCAGGGTGCCAGCTCCATACCAGCACTGTGCAAAAGCCATCTCCTCTGTCTGCAGGGTGGGAAACTGGTTCCCACTGCAGTGAACACTGAGACTTAAACGTTAGGTGGCTTGTGCCATCACAGACTGTAAAGGCAGAGGCAAGATTCGAACCCATGGCTGGAGCTGAGAGGTGGAAAGGCTGGGGCTGACAGTCTGGGCCCCATCCAGCTCCACCACGTGACTTTGGACAAGCCACTCAACCCCCAGCCTCACATTCTTATCAGCAACACAGAGATTCCAGCGGCCCTTTGCACAACGCCTCGTGAGGACGAAGTGAGGCGTCGGGGCAGGCCTGGCTCACGGTGTCATCAGCGCTTGCAGCTGTTGCGGTTATTACTCCAGAGCCAGCCCCTCTCTGGAGGGGCCCTCTCCCAGGCCTCTCCCACCCACGTGCTGCTGGACACCCATGGCCCAAGGTGCCTCCTGTGGGGTGCAGGAGAACAGGCCTGCTGCTCTGCTTGGCCCCAAAAGGGTGCTCTATGGTAAGGCGGACACACTGAGCTATCTCCCGGGGAACCAGCTCTGCCCTGCCAGAGCCCTGGGCCTCTCCTCAGTACCAGGCTCCCTCACCAGTCTCCGCCAGGCTCAGCCATAGTCCCACCCCATCTGGGTGGCCCTTCTCTTGGCTTCTCTGGAAGAACCCTCCCTGTCCACACTGGCTCACAGTGCCCCACACTGACTCACAAGGCCATCCCTTATCTGCACCCATAGATCGCGACCATCTACACATTTTGTGTTGGGAGGCACTGGCCTTGCTCAGGTGCAAAGCTTCCCACCCTCTCCTGTCTCCTCCCTCCTTCCAGAACTTCTCTTCTAACAGGCCTCCCTGTGCCCCCCTGGCCCTCCAGCCACTGACGTTGTCCCCTTTTCATTCTGCCACTCAAAACATGCTCCGTGGTTTAGATCCCACACTTCCTTATCCTGAACGTCCCTTGCATTATCCTGAATGTCCCTTGCGCCCTGGTTCCCTCATACCTGCCAGCAAAACCCCATGAAATCCCAGCTCCAGCTAAACCCATGGTTTCCTCCCCACTGCACCCAGAGGCAATGGAGAAAAACACGATCGTCGCACGGGTCTGCCCTTTCAGTTCACAAGCACAGATCTCACGGTGGCTGCTCCCCGACTCCCAGGGAGAGCTCCAACGTCCTCAGTTCACCACACGCAGCTCCCCTGACTCTGTCCTCCAGCCTTCCTGCCCCGCAGCTGCACCTGCTGTAGCCACAGGGCTCCACGGTGCCTCTCCTGGGACCTGCCCCTGTGCTCCAGTGTCACCACCTCACAGAGGAGCCCGCTGACCGCCCGCTCTGTCCTCCGCCTCCTCCAGACAGGGGTGAGCTCTCCCCAGGCAGGGCATGGCAGTGGAGCTCAAGCTGCATCAGCATCTGGACCAGCTGGGACACACAGCAGCCCTGGGCGACAGCAGCCCTGGGTAAACACCAGCTGAATGACAGGAGCCAGCACACTCCTCTGAGCCTTGGCTTCCTTGCTGTGGCCGGTGCTGCTGACTGCGCCTGCGCATGCTCTCAGACGAGCGGAGGTGACACACACAGAAAGTGCCCAGCCAGTGTGTGGGGCCAAGGTCCTGCCTCACCTCCACGATAAACAACCCCGAGTCCCCACCTGCCAGGCACAGTCTCTGAAGGCAGGAGGCATTTCCTGAACGTTTTTGCACCTCAGCAGCTAGCAAGGCTGGCTTCACCTCCACAGCAGATGCTTTACAAGGGTCAGGATGGAGAAAGGAACGGGGGACCCCCATCTGGGGAATGGCAGGCACCAAGGCATCAAGCGCGGCTCTGTCTCTGAGCTGCTGCGGGAGGTAAACAAGCCACTGAGCCTTGGTGTCCCCAGGGCGAGGCACGCAGCCTGGTGACCGCGAGCTGTGATGTCACACCATCGTTCCTCATGCCCTGTGCTGGGGCTCTGCTCCTGCGGTCCCCATAGGGCCCCTCACTGAGAGCTGAGGGGCACATGGCAGAGCCTGGCTCAATGCCAGTGGGTTCCTAGGGCCCAGCTGGCAGCAGGGAACAGACTCCATAGCCCAGGGCTCCTCCCCAGGCCTCTGCCCGGCGCTGCAGTTCAGGGTGGTGGAGGCAACGTGAGCCTGGGAGTCTCTGGCCTGCCACCAATGTGCTGTGGGGCCTGAACAGCTTCCTCCTCTCTAGGGCCTCAGTTTCCCAACATGTAAACTGCAGGGGGCTGTAATCCCTTCAAGGTCCTTCCTGCTCCTTAAATCGAGGAGGGCCTGGGGGAGGGGCTGATCCACCAATGACGCAGGTGGAGAGAGGAGGTGAGGGACATGCGTGCTGTGGCCACTGTGCCTGGCGCTCCCCAGGTGGACGTGCAGCTCTCCCTCCCTCCTCGCACACCCCGTAAGCCCATCGCGCAGGTGAGGCTGAGGCTTCTCGGGGCTGCACCTCCCCGGACCTCGTGGTGAGGGAGAAAGCTGGCTTTCTGGCCTCAGTCACCCCGCCTCACCTGCCTGGTCACCTGAGGACAGTCTCTGGAGGCCGGTCAGTGGAGGTGGCCTGGCCGCCACTCACCTGGGAAGGCATTGATGTCAATGACGGCGTGCTGCCCTGTCTGGTTGTTGATGATGATGTCGATGCCGAAGAGTGACACGCCCAGTGCCTGCCGCAGGGCCCGGGAGAGCTCCCGGATGACCTCGTCGCTCGGCCGCTCGAACACGCCCTCGATCTTGTCCAGCTGCCAACATACACAAGGAAGTCAGGCCATGGGCCGAGGAGCTGCGAAGCCACACCACACAGACAGACCCCCCACACCAGCTGCCACGAGGCCCTGGCATGCTTCAGGCCAGGAAGCCAGACAGACCTACTGTGGTGAGCACGGGGCGGCCACTGGCCAGGTCCTGCCCTCTGAGGGCCGCCAGGCACGAGGTGTGTGAGGCTCATTACCTCCTGTGGGCTCATCACAGCCTGGAAGGCCAGTGCCAGCACTGCACATTACACACAGGGAAACCGGAGCTCAGAGAGGGTTGGGGCTGGTCTAAAGTCACACAGCTCAAAAGCACAGGGCAGAATTTGGACCCATATTTTTTAGCCTCTAAAACCAAAGCCTTTTAACAGGGAGGAAGGAGATGGAGAGTGTGTCAGGGACCCGGGAAGACATGGTGCAGAGCACCGAAGCCGGAACTTGGAGGCAGGAGGATGTGGGCCCCTGGGAGGGGTGGGAGAAGGAGAGCGGCCCCAGGGAGGACACAGGGGAGGCAAAGGTGCTGAGGCCAGCAGCTGCGGGACATGGCTAGGAGCAGCTGGGGCGCAGAGCCGGGCACAAGTGAGGAGTTCTGATCAGACCCCCACTTGCCTGCCATCACAGAGACCCCCAAGGAGGTGAGGGTGAGGGCCCTGTGGCCCAGCAGGCCAGTCTTCCTTCCCAAAAAATGCTGTTTCCAAATGAACTCACACCCTAAACAATGCGGGCTCCCCAGAGAGGCTGCTCTGCTGCTCCTGCCTGCCTCCTGGGGTCCAAGCTCAGCTTTCCTCAAGGTTTCCATGTGCTGGTCAGGCCACCCTGCTCTGTTCTCCCTCCCAGCCCGGCACTCCCCTCTGCCACTCAAGTCCTGTGCCTGTCGCAGCTGGCCTGGGACAGGCACACACTGTCATGGGCTCAGCCTGCCCCCAGCCAAGGCCTCCAAGGAAGTGGGGCACTGCACTGGGAAGGATTCTGGAGTCAGAGAGACGTGGGTTCCAAACCTGACAGTGAACTCCTAGCTCTGTGGACTTCGGAAACAGTACTTGGCCTCTCTGTCTCAGGTTTGCTCTTCTGTAAAAGGAAGCAACAGGCCTCCATCTCAGACTTATGTTGATAAGGTGTGGACAGCATGTGCCCGGCTGGGAGGAGATTCATCTGAATTCTAGGGCAGGAACTGCATCCCGTCTCCTCTAAATCAGCCAAGGGAGGGCTCACACTAGGTGCTCAATAAATAGTGAAGTTTTGGGGGTTGTGGGCTTAGGGGCCAAAGGGGAAGGGAGTGGCTGATCCATGAAAGACAAAAGTGAAGCTGGGTTCAAAAGCTGGAGATGGAATAACCATCTGACCTGGCAGTTCTGCTCCGGGGTACACACCCCAGAGCTGAGAACGTGTACTCAAACGGATGCTGTCCACCCACGCTCACCGTGGTGTTATTCATACCCCAGCGTGCATCCACAGATGAACAGCTACAAAAACTGGTCTATCCATACGACGGAATATTGTACAGCCATAAAAAGGAATGAACTTCTGACATATGCCACAAAGCGGAGGAACCCTGAATACATCATGCTGAGTGCAGGAACCCAGACACAAAAGCTCATATATTGTGTGATTCCATTTCTACGGAATATCTAGGACAGGTAACGCCACAGAGACAGCAACGAGCTCAGCGGCTGCCAATAACATGAGGTGGGGGAAATGGGGAGTGAGTGCCGGTGGGCCCAGGGTTTTCTTCTCAGTGATGAAAATGTTTTGGAACCAGATAGAGGTGGTGATTGGACAACACTGTGAAGGTACTAATTGCCACTGAATTATTCGCTTTAAAATGGTTAATCTTATGTATGTGAATTTACCTCAATTTTATTTTATTTAGAGACAATGTTTCACTCTGTCACCCAGGCTGGAGTGTAGTGGTGCAATCACGGCTCACTGCAGCCTTGAACTCCTGGGCCTCAGCCTCTGGGGTAGCTGGGACTACAGGCGTGTGCCACCATGCCTGGCTAATTTTATTTGTTTTTTGTAGGGACAGGGTCTCACTATCTTTCCCAGGCTGGTCTCAAACTCCTGGCCTCAAGTAATCCTCCCTCCTTGGCCTCCCAAAATGCTGGGATTACAGGTGTGAGCCGCTGTGCCAGGTGCACCTGAATTAAAAAAAAAAAAGTGAAAGCAGATCGACAGGGCTGGGGACAGAGCCCTGGTCACCAAGAAAAATGGCCCTTACCCAAGCACAGGAGGCTGAAGTAACCACTGGGAACTTCCAGGGAGGGAAGCGCTGAGCAGGGACCCACGCCCGGGCGCCGCCCACGCTCCGAGGGACCCATGCCCGGGCACCACCCACGCTCCAAGTCCGGGCGCCGCCCACGCTCCGAGGGACCCACACCCGGATATCACCCACGCTCTGAGGGACCCACGCCTGGATATCACCCACGCTCTGAGGCCTACACCAGCGCATCTCCCACCCCGGCTTTGCAGGACACACAGGGCCCCCCTGCTCACAGCCTCAAGGCCTTGGTGTCGTATCTGGAAGAAATACTTTCTAGGGGGCAGGAGTGGCCTGGCTGTAAGAGACACTCATCCCTTAGCACTTTTCTTTCTTTTTTTTTTTTTCTTTTGAGACAGGGCCTTGCTCTGTTGCCCAGGCTACAGTGCAATGGCGAGATCACAACTCACCGCAGCCTCGACCTTCCGGGCTCAAATGAACCTACCACCTCAGCCTCCTGAGTAGCCGCAACTACAGGCAAGCAACACTACGCCCTGCTAATTTTTGTATTTTGTTTTGGTAGGGATTAAAGATCTCACTACGTTTCCCAGGCTGGTCTCAAACTCCTGGGCTCAAGCGATCTGCCCGCCTTGGCCTCCCAAAGTGTTGGGATTAAAGGTATGAGCCACCGCGCCCAGCCACTTAGCTTTTCTGAGCCTCCTGGGTCACTCTTGCCAGTGGGGGCCAGAGGCTAAGCCTAGTGGGGCAGCTCAGCCACTCATCCTGCAGCCCAAGGCCCTCACTGAGTCAGAGAGACCCTGGTGGATACCTTGGAGCTGCCCACTCTCCACTGTGTACCCTAAGCCATAACAGAACCCTTCTGGGCCTTGTTTTCTTGCCCCAGTAAATGGGGTAATAAAAACATCTCGCTGTGAGATTGTGGTGCCGACGACGGGAGGAGCTGCTGCCTCAGGCTGACAGCACAGGCCCAGCAGCAAGGGAGCTTGGCTGCTGCACTGCCACACGCCCCATGGCACGCCATTTACAAAAGTGCTCTCGGCCTGGTTGCAGAATCTCAGAAATCCTTCCGAAGTTGTCTGGTTATCCAAAACCAAATAGCCATCCTAGGACAAGATGCCTGGGGCCCTCAAAGCAAGTGATCTGATGACGTTCTGGAAAGCAAGGAGGTGACAGAGGAACTGGGAAGGCGTTCATGGGTCCCCAGTGGGCCTCGGCACCCGGCTGCCGAGACCGTGCCCATACTGCACACCTGGCAACTGCGGTGGGTGCTTCTCACCCAGGAACTCCCTGGACTCCGGAATCCTTCTGGGGCAGGAAGAAGAAACCAAGGCTCAGAGAGGCGACGCGACTCGCCTTAGCTTGGGCCGGACCCCAGGCAGTCCCGTCAGAGTCTGTGCTCTTAACTAATACCCTAGACTGAATTTCGAAAAGCAAAAAATGTATGGGGCCCTCCAAGTTCGGTGGGGCTAGGCCCATCCGCAGGGGCATCCCACTGGGAAGGGAGGGGGTGCTTTAAGGCCAGAGGAGGGCTTCCTGCACCAGACTCCCAGGGAGGCCAAGGCAGGACTGGAGGAGCCCCAGGTGGGCAGGGGCAGGTGGATGAGCAGCAAGCGTGTTTCCGCACCTGGGAACAGAGCTGGCTCTGTCAGGCCAGCCTGCGGGCGTCCAGGAGGGGCTGATGTCCCAGTGGAAAAGGTGGTGCTGACCGCATTTCTCTTTTCTATTTTTGGAAATCGTCAGTCCTGGCAGATTCCTGACTAGCAGCCATGTGCTGAGGGAAGGAGGAGGTGACTGCAGACCTCAGAGGTGAAGGGAAGGGCCCTGCAGTGTCTCTAGGCTGACCCCTTCCCGTTTTACAGATGAGGAGATTAAGGCTGAGGTCAACAAGTGATAATCCAAGACAGTGACTTCTGGATGGGTCCTTCTGCCATCACGGCTGCTGGCCTTGCCCCTGAGAGGACACTCAGTCTGCAAATGCCAAATCCCCTCCATTGCATGGGCTGCCGAGGCCCCCAGAGCAAAGCCATGCACGGAAGAAGCCCCAGGATTCTGAAGCTTAGAAGAAAGCCGTCTCTTGCACAGAACATCTCATAATATTCTCAGCCAGGCACTGAGGCTCTGTTGAAATCTGTTCCCAAAGCCTGATATGTTCCCAGGGGACATGTGTCAACATCCTGAGGGATGGCGATGTTCCCTCCAGGTCCTGCCCACGCCTGTGCTCTGTCTAATCCTCAGCACACTGCTGGCTCCTCAGAGGACCCTGACACAAAAGACAGACAGACAGACAGGCCATCTGGGTTCTGGGGCAGCCCCCCGAGGGACACGAGCACTGCCACTGGAGTGGAGGCTGGTTCGTTGGAGAGGCCAGCCCAGGACAGGGAGGAAGAGACCAGCAAAGCCCCCCAGAAGAGCAGCACACATGCATCCTCAGAACAGCAGGCTCCCTGGCAGAGGGCTCTTGAGTTTAGGGAAGTAGCCGCTGGCTCTCTGGACTTCGGGCAAACAGCAGAGGGTAGCCTTTCCTAAATTCTTTGGGGTCAGGTGCTCAGGAATCACTGGTGAGGTCAGAAGTCCTAAATTCCTGGAAGATCCAACTTTGGAGTCAGACAGATCTGGGGTCAAACCCCAGCCTTGCACCGTGTGAACAGCCTTGTGAACGTGCAAAGATCACTGAGCCTCTCTGATGCCATGAGACCTGATTGCGACCCGCACTGCAGGGCACCTGGGCTGACACTGGCCACAGCAACACTCACTGAACGGCCAGAACGCCCGTTACCCATAGTGCTGGGGGCAGGGTAACACTCCTGCCAGCCTCAGGACCACTGCAGGACAAAGGACTGAGATGGTGCTGCCTCCACAGCCTTTTTGAAAATCAGGAACAAGGCAGATTAGAGAGCAGTTCTTCCAATTCCTCATGCTGGGAGAAGGGTCAGCACACCTTCTGTGTGGGCAGCTTGCAGTGAGTGGTCTGTCCCTGCAAGCCCAGTGTGCCCCTCACCTCTCCCTGTGCTGGGCCGGGCTGCAATGGCTGCTAGCATGAAAACTCGAAGCAAGCAGAGGAACAGGGGGCTCTGGAACCTCCTGGGGCCTGTGGCATGGAGGCAAACGTCCTTCCCACCCTACCCTGCTGGAGAGCTTGGCCAAGGACCCCATGGCCACAGCAGCCCACACCTAGGCCCACGGGAGGGCAGTTTCAGGCCAGGCCATCCCAGCAGAGGGACCCACCTCCGTCAGGACCGATGACGACTCCGGCTTTGACACGTTGTGGCTGTTGAAGAAGATGGACTCACGGTCTGAAAAAGCGACAGGAAGGAGCCGGCGTTAGAACCTCAATGCAGGGACCACACTGCCGCCACCTGACACCAGGGGGCAGCATCACCCCAGGCACACAACACGTGGCCCCCGGCTCTGCAGAGCCCTGGGCTCCAGCAAGCTGGGCACCAGCCCTGGGCACGGATGTGTGCCCCATCAGGGCTCCGGTTCACCTTCTCCTCCCACATAAAAGTAACCGATGTAATGAGCTGACCTCTGCTACCATCTCACAGCATCACATCTGGTTTTCCCTGAGGCCCTGTTCCCAAAGTGTGCTGTCACTATACAGGGAAGTAGGGGAAAAGGGCTCGGTGGGACAGCTAAACACCTGAATATCACGGCCAGAGAGGGCCCACATCAAAGCAGCCTCTTGGTGTTATTTAGGCCAGTGCTCCCAGCCCACGGGACTCTCTTTTGGGGAACATGCTAGAGACATAGGGACAGGCTGGCACCGGCACGTGAGCACTTAAAATACAAAGGGTTCTGGTGGTTCTTAGCGACTTAGGGAAAAAAATAGGAAATCAGAGAATGTAGGCTTCCACAGGATCCGTCCAAGAAAGCACACAGCACAATTTCTCTTTGGCAACGGAAGCTGGCACAGAGAGTCTGAAATACCCTCACCCCACACGTCTGGCTCCCGCCTGCCTCCCACAACACCCGGCCCGTACAGGCCCACTGGGGACCCGCAGAGGCAGACCAGTCCAAAGAATACTGAAAGTGCAAGTAGATCCCACAGGAGAAATGTCTTTGGGGAGTAAGCCAAAGTCACTTGGGGAAAATGTCAGGTCGGTTGGTCAGAAACACGCTTGTAGGCACTGGGAAGCATTGGCACGCAAATGCAAGAATTGCAGAACCATGAGCCTCAGGCCGAGTTCTGGAAAAGGCTGTCTGTCACCATCCCACGACTTCCCCCAAGGCTGGCACGGGACCGTCCTGGGCCGCCAGCCCCAGCAGCCCCTCCTTGAGTCCTTGCAGGGTGAGGCATTGTGGCTCCCACCCCCAGGATGCAATGCACACCCCTGGCACCCAGGCGCCTATGTGCGAGGACAGGAGGGCACTGGCTGAGGGCCGCTGCGTGCTGGGGGCCATGCCAATGGGGCACCTGATCTGGCTGCCAACGACCCATCAGCTCCAGGACTTCACAGCGCCGCAACAATTATGCATGAGGGAGTGATTCGGGCGGAAGCCAAGCAGGCAGGCGCTGAGATGTACCCGGCGTCCCTCCCGCTAGCGGGGCACAGAGGCCCCTGGCTGCCCTGGTGTGCCCGACAGTCCTCCTGCTGCTCTGACCAGAGCCAGTCCAGACGGGGGCCATGAAATATGGTCCTGGGGAGGAGCCTGGGGAAAATAAACACCCCGCAGGACATGTGTCATGTGGCCCCCAGGATCTCTACTCCCAAGGCACCGACAGCCAAGAAGAGGGAGTCTGTGGGGATGGCATAAGCCCTGTGGGCTTGCGGCTGGAACAGCTCGAGCAGCTGGGAGGGGAACGCTGCCCACCTTCTCATCCTGTAGCCCAGCCTGGCTCAGCCCCCTGAGCTCAGGGCACCTTCCCACCTATTTCCCTGTAGATCCTGAATAGCAGTTGCCGAATGGCGGAGAAGGCCCAGGGGGAGGAAGGGCCACCAAGCGCAGGTAGACACAGCAAAGATCAGGGAGGTTGGGAAGTCTGCAGGAGCCGCAAGGAGAACACGTGGGTGCTGAGTGGGTGCCAGGAAGGGCCAGAGCTGGGTACTCAGAGGGGCCGGCCAGTGTCTGCTCACCTGGACAGATCATGCAACACAACAGTTTCTCCTGGCAGGAAGAGCTGGAGTCCAGGACATTTCAAAAGGGGCTCTTTTCTCCTCCTGGCTAATTCTGTTTTTCTTTTTATTTTTTTGAGATGGAGTCTCACTCTGTTGCCCAGGCTGGAGTGCTGTGGCCCGATCTCGGCTCACTGCAACCTCCGCCTCCTATGTTCAAGTGATTCTCCTGCCTCAGCCTCCTGAGTAGGTGGGATTACAGGCACCTGCCACCACGCCTGGCTAATTTTTTGTATTTTCAGTAGAGACGGGGTTTTGCCATGTTGGTCAGGCTGGTCTTGAACTCCTGACCTCAGGTGATCTGCCCGCCTCAGCCTCCCAAAGTGCTGGGGATATAGGCATGAGCCACCGCACCTGGCCCTTCTGGCTAATTCTGACCTGGGAGCTCTGGCCAGAAGACCCTTTTGGCAGGGCAGTGAGAGATGGTCTGGGCTCAGTTCCTCTCTATGTGCGGTCTGAACAGGGGTCGGAGGGAGTAGGAGCAGCCTCCTGTGGCTGCCAGTCACCCAAGAGATGATGGAAAGCTGAGGCAAGTGAGAAGGCATCAGGGAAAGAAACCTGGTGGCCAGCTCCAAGAGAGTCGGTTCCTCTAACACACCAGACCAGGGCGTTGCTCCCAGCATGTATCAGCAAGCCCTCACTCACGACAGCACCCTGGATTTTGGGTGCCCCATGCAGTCTGTTCCTGGACTAGCCCAATAGCACCAGTGGAGAACTACCACCAACGTTCTACAGGGAGGGAGGGCAATGAAAGGAAGAATGTGTGTGTTTTCTTCTCAACTTATGGATTTAAAAAATAGGTTTAAAAGAAGAATAAATGATAAGATTAGCCCCCAAACATCCCAGCAACTCAGCCGTACAGCCACGAGCTGGGCCACACTGCTTTTAGCCTTATTTCCTTCATCTCCTCTCTCTCTCTTGGGAGGCGAAGGGGATGGGGAGAATGTGTCCTAATGCTACAGATGGTGACCCAAGTCATCTTCCAGTTGCCATGAGTATCATCTCTGCAGAGGGAAATCCTGAGCTGCCCTTTCCAAGTGGCTCCCCTCACCCAGTGGTATCCCAGGACATATTCTCTTCCCCTCAGAACCCCTTATCTCAGGCCACAGTTGACCCTTTTCTTATTTCTCTCCTTGTGTGCAGTTTCTCCCACCAGAATACAAGCTCATGAGGGCAGGAAGCTGGGTGCCTGCCTAGTCCCTGACTGGATCCCCAGCAGCTCACGCAGGGCTGGGCACATGGTAGGTTTGATAAATGCTGTATCACTGACTATTAAGAGGCTCTGGAGAGGAGCTCAGCAGACTATAGGCTGTAAGCCCGGCCACCTGCACTTGTAAATAAAGTTTCATTTGAACACAGCCGTGCCACTCATTTACATATCTACAGCTGCTTTTGCACTACAACGGCAGCATTAAATAATTGGGATGGAGCTGGAAATGTTTATAATTTGGCCTTTTGCAAAAAAAAGTTTGCTGCCTCCCGCTCTACATGGTGAGAGGTACCACTCATGCATGCCTAAGAGAAACAAGGCTCAAGCTGGAGAGAATAATGGAGGGAACCTGCATAAAGCTGGGAGCCTGCGCTGCGTCCTCAGGGTAAAGACGAGCAAGAAATAAACCCACTCTATAGAAAGGGAGAGCAAAGGAACCCGCTAATCTCTACCCTGGCACAGGGTGGAGGGAGGGAAACAGTCTCTCTGTGAATGCGAACCACAGGCAGAGAACACAAAATGTTCCTGGTGGATGGCACAAGCCACAACCTGACTTCAGCTCCAGCCAAAGCCTCTGCATGGATGCCACTGGCTATAAGGCACACTTGATTTGAGATGTCAACACGTAAAAAACAAAAGTGCAGCTGACAGGCAAAGGAGACTGGCAGTTGTCGAGTGAAGACTCATGTCCCTGTCTCTATCCCAGGTCCAGAAAAATCCCACTCAAGGAACCCCCATCCCTGCGTGGCCACGGGAAGTTGGGGGACATGTCATTGGGCAAAGGAAATTGGAAAGCTGGGGTGAGGGCCGGAAAGAGGCCAGAGTCCCAAACCCCCTTTCCAACTGGTCCAGCTTAAAAGGCTGCTGTTGCATTACACTTCTTATCCAGAAAGAGAACATACACGTAGAAACCAGAGGACCCACGTTAGCTCCCTGGCACAGTGCCCTAGAGATGGGGACACAGAATCAGCTTTGGGGATGGAGAGACACACTAACAGTTACTTAGTTCACGTGAACAGAATAAACATTTCTCCTTTTTAGCTCTGTGTGTTTCTCTACTATTTGGGCTTAGTCTGCTTTTTTTTTTTTTTTTAAGAGGCAAGGTCTTACTGTCACCCAGGCTGGAATGCAGTGGCATGACCACAGCTCACTGCAACCTTAAACTCCTGGGCCCAAGCGATCCTCCTGCCTCAGCCTCCTTAGTAGCTGGGACTGCAGGTGCACACCACCATGCCCAGGTAATTTTTTAATTTTTTTTTTTTTTTGGTAGGGATGGAGTTTCACTATGTTGCCCAGGCTGGTCTCAAATTCCTGGCCTCAAGCAATCTTCCCACCTTGGTCTCTTCAAAGAACTGGGACTACAGGCATGAGCCACCACGTCTGGTCTCCTGGTATGCATTTTATGGCAAACTGGCAACCTAGAAATAGCCACACAAGAAGACACACAGGCAAGGAGTCCTCGTCCTCACAGATACAGGATAGGAGCCCACACTCTGCTGTTAATGGTTCCCAGCGTCGAGACGGAAACTGGCCCAGCATTTTGCAACCAGAAGGAAAAAGGAGAAAACAGAAAAACCCAACCACAGTGGATAAGAAAGGAGATCTGACAGTAAATTTCTTTTAGAGATGGAGTGACCTGGGTAAAAACAGAAAGGAGTTGATATAAAATATAACTCCTCTTAATTTAATATATTTTCCATAGACTTAAAGCATTATTATTTTCTTAAATCAGGGAATAAACAGCATTTTAAAAAATGTCAGCCTCTTCCAGCCCATAACTTGGAGGAATATCTCTTGGTGGTATATAGCCACATATAAAAATATGCTTCCAGCATTTGGCTCCCACCCAGTGGGCAGGGGCTGGGACCATGATGTCCCAAACCCTGAAAATACAGCCTTGAGTCTGGGAGCCACACGCCCAGCTAGGAAGGCCACCTGCCCTCGGAGGAAAATGAACACCTGCACGTTTCCAAAGTATCCACGCTCTGCATGTGTCCATGGAAAGAGAAGAGGCATCTAGGGGAAGAAGGGCTGAGAGGGCAACCGCAGCACTGCAGCCCCTCCATGCCGGGCGGCACACCAGCCAGGAGATGTGGATGGCCACAGGCAGTCCCCGGAGGAGGGATGCCAAGAGGACACATCTGTTTGCTCAGCTGGAGGTAAAACAGCCGGCGTCTGAACGCTTCTGATGATGTGGGTTCCCCTTGCTGAAAGAAATGTGCAGCTGATTTGAACAAGCCACAGCGGGGCAGTGAGTGTTCTCCAAAGGGTCCTCCTGGAAAGCTACTTATCCCAAGACACTGCCACTGTTCCAAAGGTTTCCAGAACGTGCCTTAGAGATGCCTTCAGAAGCCACTAGAACATCCTTTCGAGCAGCTCCACTGCCAGCAAATCTTTAACTCAGTGTCCGTTTTTAAAATGGCTGAGGCTGGAGAGGGCGGTGAGCAGCTGGCGGAAGGAAGGCCCCTCAGCGCAGTGGGGTCCACAGGCTGCTCCCTGGGAGGCTGCTTCTCAGGCCCAGCGACAACAGCATCATGCAGAGAACGCCCTATGTGACACCCACGGGACTCCTAGACCACCGTCCACTGACTCAAAACACGCTCACTGGCACGGTAGGAGTCCTGCACCTAAGAAGACCTGTAACCCGGCAGCTGCTGCTTCTCACAGTCTGATTTACCCTGGCAGCTATGCAGGTAGCAGCAGGCAACTCTGTCTCAGGCTCCCCAGGGGAAAATGAGACCCAAGGTAAAGATGGCTCAGCGGGAGACAGCAGGCAGCACCTGCCCTGGCTTCCCTGGAAGGCCAATCCACGCCATGCTGGCCACACCTGTCCCAGCGTGTTCCTCCATGAATATCATTATTGTGTGGGTCCCCCAGAAGCATGCTGGGGACAGAACACTTCTGGATGCATCCTGGAGTCTACGGTGGTTCAGGTGGGTGGGGCCCCCTACAATGACCCAGGGAATAGGGACATTTTACTAGTTCCCCAAGACCTCTTTATCCACCGTACACAACTGTTTCCACCTTTAGAGCACCTCTCCATCCCACCAAGAACACAGGGTGGTTGGGGCAGTGCCGAAGGACAGACAGCTGCTGCCACATCCCAGCTGGGCCCCTGAGTCTTGCTCAGCCCAAGATGGTGAGAAGAGCAGTTACCTGATGTGCCTGCGGAGAAGTTCTTGAGTGAGGGCCTCTGGACCACGGTGTAGGACTCGCCAACCACGAACACCTTGTACAGGACGGCGTTGTGGTTGATGAAATTCTGGACCACGCAGGGTGGCTGGATGGCGTTCAGGCCCTCCTGGTTGAACACGATAGCCATCTGGGAAGACAAGGGGTCAAAAGCTCTGTCAGAATCCACCACCTTCTCAGCCTCCAACACACAGGTGTGTCACCTGTCCAGAGCACCTCCACCAAGGCCCATCCCTGGTCCTGTGGCATGAGGACTCCCCTAGAGGAGCCTTGAGCCAGGGTGAGTGGAGTGGGACTTGTGAAGAACACCTGGGGATGCATCCCTTCTGCCACGGGGTTGGAGATCCTCCCTTCACCGGGCCTGCCATGTGAGATCGAGCTGGCTGTGCACTGCACAACTTCTGAGAGCGTGACACCACTTGTCGCACTGTGGTCCAGGGAAGGGGGCCGCTGAGGTTGTGTGCTGCTCAACCCTCTGACATCCTAAAGGATCCTCCACAAAGACCCGGGAGGAGGAAGGAAGCAGATGACTCGGGCGCAGGAGTCAGGAGGCCTTGGGTCAAAGCCTGTCTGATGACAACGGCTGCCTCTTGTCAAGCAGTTGTGACAAGCCGGGCCCTGTTCTGAGCACGTACACCAGTTACCTAGTGTCTCCCTCACAATGCACATCTGAGGTGAGCATACAACCTTTCACAGATGAGGACGATGAGGCGCTGAGAGGTTCAGTGACTGCTGGACAGTGAGTGAGCCCGGGATGGAACTGGGTCTGCACAGCACCCAGCCGCGCCCCTACACACGGAGCCATGTGATACTCCGCAAACAACAGGCCTTTGTGCTCCTGGTCCCCGACTCCTCTGGGGAAAAAGGTCCCTGACAGGAGGATCTGGTAGGGGCTGGGGTAGGGAGTGCAGGGGGGCAGCTGCCAAAACCCTCTCAGCCCCGGCCAGCACGGGCTCTGCACAGGGTCTGCTCTAAGGACAGAGGGGTGGGCCCTAGGCCTAGCCGATCCAGCTGCTGGTGCCAGGGTCATGGCTAATCCCTCAGCCCGCAGGGCCCCAGGAAGGAGCCACCAGACGGCTGGGGCTGCTGAGCAGGGATAATGGGCCCCGGAGAGCTGGCTGCCTCCCCAGCTGCCACCCCTTGTGTCAGCTGTCACGGAGCGCCGGCCCTACGTGCCTGGAGCTCAGCTGGGCAGGACAGACGTGGAAATCCAGGCCACATGGGAAAAACAAAAAGTGTGTGTCTGTGCTGGGGGCGTTGGGGGGCAGTGAACATCTCCTCAGCCTTCTGACAAGAATAAAGGACAGGAAAAACACGAGCAGCTCTGGAGTCAGGCAGGGGCTGGAATGCCTGCTGAGCACTTGCTGTGTGAGCCGAGGCTGGGCCCCCACCCTGCTTAAGCGCCACTGTCTTCCTCTGCAAAATCATGGGTGGCTTCAGGGATGCTTTGAGCTTTTGGCTAAGTTATAGCTTAAAAAAAAAAAAAGATTCCACTGTGGAGCAAATGAGTACCCTCACACTGGCTCAAAAACAAAACAAAAACCCAAATAAAAGAGTTCTGAGAACATAAAATGAAGACAGAGTGGTTTAGCAGAAATGGTCCTGGTTTTGGTTGAGTCTCGGGCTGGGAGATTCAGAGGCCGGGAGTGCGCGGGCTGGGATGCAGACGAGGACTCCCGATCAGAAGCACCTGCTGCCCTATCTAAAGCCAGCCATGCACAGTGCTATTTTCTGCCCCTGCTGTACTTGGCTTCCCCGGGTACCCCTGGAATCTGTGAGAAGCTTGTCCCCCAACCTCTGCCGATCTGGTGGACAGTGTCCACCCCAGAGGGCACGTCCCTGCAATGCTAACATGCCCCGTCTGCACAGAGAGTCCGCTGGGGTCTCTGAGTACATGGGACGTGGTGGCACACCTTGCCGGCAGTGGACCCAGACAGCCGGCTGGGGAGTAGAGGGAGGGGCACCTGTACAAACATCCTGGAGCCAGGCGGCTAGAATGAGGAGTGATTTATAGCTTCCCCTGAGCGTGCTGACCCCATACTTGAGGGCTGAGAGTCCCGAGGCCCATCAGGGGCATCCTGAGAGGGGTGCACCTGGATCCAGAACCCCCATCCCCTTCAGCAAGTACCGGGCAAGTACCAGGGCAGCTGGTTCCGGCAGCTCATCCAACAGTCCACCCAGGCAACCCTGGCAGTGACCCCTCATCCTTCACAGAAGCCGCTAACGTCTCCAGTCACAAATGTGATACTCTGGGTGGCTGGGTAATTTGCCAAAGTCGCACAAATGGCAACACACGGCACCAGAATCAGTCCCAGGTCTCTGGGATTCCACAGCCCCGGCCCTCAGGCCTTGAGTGACTCGCAGAAGTGGCTCCCTCCTCCCGGGCTGCCAGGTTCTGAGTTAGGCGGATCTACTCACGTTAATAACTACGCTCGTGCTTCCATCTGGGAACACCCAAGCAACTCACACACAGAGGAACCACTGGGTGGTTAAAGGGGCTGGTGGAAGGCGGGCAGGCAGATACTGGGGCTGAGGGGGGCCTGGGGACCAACGCTGCTGCTCTCGAGCCTTCCTGCTCCCTCCCTGGCCTGGTACATCCTGGAGGGTGCTGCCAGCACCAGGCACAGAGCCCAGGTAGGCTGCGGCAGGAGGGCCAACACCCACAGGAAGACTACGTGAGGGCTCCTGATTTCAGACAACTGACAACGGGACGGCGGGCTGTCTCCACACTCCTTCCCATCACAGCATGTGCTGCGCTACGCTGACACTGTCTGCTGATACTTCCCCGGAAGTGCAGGCCAGGGATAAAGAGCAGTACATAACCCAGGAAAGGCCCATGCTGCTGCATCTTCCCCTTTTAGTCGTGAGCTCTGGGGAGCATTTCTGTTGGTGGGGCTTTCCAAGGACAAGCCTTCCCCAGAGAGCCCACTCCGGTCAGATGCCTGTTGCCCAGCATACCCCAACATGTGCCCACTGGGGAGACCCCAGGCAGTGCTGTGTCCAGGGCAAAGACAAGGCCCCAGGTGTGGCTCCTGAGGGTGGTACGGGCCCTGGCCCCAGCGAAGCCCCTGCATGACCATCCACTCCTCTAGCCCCTGGAGTCCTCACAGGCTCCTTGGCTCTCTCTAGGGACAGGACTCACATCCTATGCATCTGTCTCCTGGTCTCCATGGTCCTCAAGGTGGCCGGGAACATCATAGAGTGAATAAAAGAATGAATGGGCGGGTGGGTGACTCATGATTCAAAGCATTCCACAGGGTTGATTCTAAGCAGCCCTCTTTTCCTCCCTGGCCCGTCTCAATTCAGCAGCATGGCAGACCCCTGTGGCAGTGACAGAGCCTTGTCAGAGCTAACAGCCCTCATGTGGGCCCAGCCCGGTGCCTGCCACAAAACAGGCCCTCGAAGAGATGACACTGATGGCCCAAAGGATAGCCAGCCCTGCAGGGCGGGCCGGACTGAGGCATGACTCGCACAAGCTCCCCTATGGACTGAACGTGTGCCCCAGAATTCCTACGCTGAAGCCCATGCCCCACTGTGGTGGTATCTGGAGGTGGGGCCTTTGGGAGGTCTTGAGGGCAGGGCCCTCAAGATGGGATTAGTGCCCCTATCAGAAGAAATCAGAGAGCTTGCTCTTGCTTTCTGCCCCTCCCCATTCACACACACAAGAGGCCGTGTGAGGACACAGTGAGAAGGTGGCCATTTGCAAGGTAGGAAGAGAGCCCTCACCAGAAACTGACCCTGCTGGCACCTTGACCTGGGACTTTTAGCCTCCGGGGCTGTGAGAAAATAAATGTGGCGAAGCCACCCAGTGCCTGGGGTTTGTTATGGCTGCCACAGCTACGACAGGCTCCACAGAGGACAGGTGGGTCCCCAGCACATCCTCCTGCCTTAGGGACAGGACAGGCATTGAGGTGAGGTTGCAGACAGTGCATGAAGCCACAGCACTCCCGCTCGATTCCTCTGGAGTCCAGGGAAGGGAAGGAGGCTATCTACCAAGGAGCCAGGACTAACAGCAGGGCAGGAGCAGTGGCAGTGAGGAATCCGGCAGGGTAGCAGTGAGACACGATGAGCTGAAAGGATGGGGGTCAGGGACAACAGTCAGATCTTCTTCCACTCACCTCGTGAGAGTTGGTGCCATGAGCCACTCTGGTTTTGCAAACTATGGGTTGGGGAGAGAAAAGCAGAGAGAAATTAGTGAGGCCGTTCACCCACAAGGCAGGTACTTGGCACGTCTAGAAAGGAACTCTAGCTGAGACACAGACTCTGGACACCTGGTATCTGCACTGAGGGTGACGTGTGGGTAGACACCCCCAGGCCAGGCAGGAGAGCACGTTGACCTGTGTCCCCTACCAGGACCCGTTTCTATGGTGTGGGTGGAGGTGGGACCCAGGGCCATGTGCTCATCCATCCTCGGGTGAGCTTAAATCCAGAGGGCACTATAAACCCAGCCCCTCCCCTATGCTGGCCTGCGGTCTACAGCGCCTGCCCTCAGGTGGAGCTGGGATGGTACGCACTGAATGGGAAAGTCAAGCCGTTCTTCTCCAGCAGCCGCATGGTGTCATCCCCGCACAGGCTCGTGAGCTCCATGAAGGGTGGCGAGCAGATCCTGTCGTCTAGGGCAGAAGGGAGGCCTGGTCAGCACAGCTCCTGGGCAGCCGCCCCAGGTGCACGTCCTGTGACAGCCCGCCCCACCCCAGGGGCCTTCAGTGCCCCCACGCTCCTGGATCTGACCGTCCCCAACCTCTGCAGTCCCATGTGCTCGTGTGTGTGAACAATAACCACAGCCCTGCCGTTACATTGTCTAATAACATTTCTGTAATTACAAAACTCGTGTATGATCACTGTGTAAAATCCGAAGAGTACAGAAAAGTAAAAAATGTACATATTGACAAGACATTACAACTACTACCCCACCACTGTGGACTTTTACCCACGCGTACATTTACACGCAGAGAGCTGTACAAATTTTGTAACCTGAATCCTAACTTCATAAGCCATGACCATTTTTTCTGGTTCAATAAAGACTTTCCCACCATGTGATACACTGGCTTAATAATAATCGCAGTGACAATATAGCTCTTAGCATGCGTCTGGCGCTGTACCGAGGGCTTTGCCGGCATCACCTCCACAGTTTGCAAAATAATCCCATGAGGAGGAAACTGGGGTCAGAGAGATTAAAGAACTAGCTGGTGGTGACACAACTGTTTCCACATGGACACTGCCTGACCCCTCACCTGCAGACTACTTAACATAATTGAGGGCATTGTGTGGAGCTCCAGAGGTGGCCTCCCCACCACGCTCACTGCATCTCTGCTGCATGCTCCAGCCCAGGCCGCGCCTGGTCCCCCTGCCAATTCCTCCTCGCCCTTCACAGCTTGGCATTCCTGGGCCCCTCTCCAGGCCCACCCAGTGGATTCTAAGAGTGAGTCCAACTTCCTAAAACCCTCAAAAGCTGACCTGTTCTGTTCATCCTGACTCGTGCCTGGCACCGAGCAGGGGTAAACTGATTTTTTGTGGGATAACAAAATGTATTTGGAATCTCTCTGCTGATGATGAAATTACTGGTTTGTTATTATTGTTTCTTGTCATTGTCCCCCTTCCCTGATAAGACCACAAAGGTGGGACCACCCTGTACTTCAGGGCACAGGGGCCAGGAAAGGCTGAGTGTGAGCGGGGCGGGGGCGGTCTGCCACCCACAGGCTTGGAAACCAAACCAAAAGTAAACAGAGCAAAGCAGACTGTCTCGAGCTGCTAGCTACTTGGCTGGCTAGGAGGTCAGGACATTAAATCAAGGTAGATCCAGCCTCATTTATGTCATAAAAACAAATGCCAAGAATTACACAGGGCATATAAAATTGCTTTTATCTCCCTCCTCATCCTCATTCCCCCGTTCCCCGACTCCTACCCTCACAGTCTAAACTCCAAACAGAAAGATTTGGGGGGTTGCAGTTTCTCTGGGGCACTGGGAGGGTGGTCTGGAGCCAGTGTTTCCTGAGCCCCTGGCAGACAGTGTTGCAGGCCCTCTGCACAGAGGCCTGTTCAATCCCAAGCGGTCCCTGACAGTGTCCAGAAACAGGCCCCAAGGTCATACAGTGGTCAACGGCAGAGCCAGGACAAGGAGCCAGGCTCACCTGGCAGCACAGGAGAGGGGAAGTCAGGAAAGTCAGGGTGGGGAGGGAGGGGAGCTGGTGCTCAGCTGAAAGCCATTTTCCAAACAAGGCCCCAGGCAGGGCGGGAATGCTGTGAGGGCTGGCAGGCCCTCCATGGCTGTCAAGGGAGGAAGCAGTCTGAGCAAAAGCCTCCTCGCTGCAAACACACCGCCCCTGCAACCCAGTCCCAAAGGATATGGTGCTCAGGCCTGAATTTAAACTGGAGGGTTCTGCCATAGGCAGGCTTCGGACGGGCGCTCACCAGCCTGGGCTCCACCCTTGGCCCCTCCTCCCACAGGAAGATTTGGAGGCTGCTGGGGTCAAACAGGCCACCTCCTGGAAGAGCTTCCAGACTCCCTGTGGCCCCCCGGAGTTTTTAGAGCAGGTGAATCAGCTTGGCTTTCAGATTTCAATGCCCTCCTCAACTGTCCCTCCCCACCCTGGCCCATCCAAGCTTTTACATAATGTCACTAGTGGCCAGTAGCCAATGTCTCAAAACACTGCATGTGTTCCATGCCAGAAACTGTTCAACGTAGTTACACAGTAACTCATTTACCCTCATAAGAACCCCACAAGGAAGCACTCCTGTCCCCTGAGAATTTTACAGATGAGGAAACTAGGGCACAGAGGTGGCATTTCCCTGCATAGAGTTCCATGGTGAGCCAGTGGTACAGCCAGGAGGTCATACCCAGACCATCTGACTCCCAGGCCCCTGCTGTTGACTACAGCCTCCCTCGCAGAAAAAGTGCCCATGGAGCTCCCTGGCTCAGGGGGTTCCTGACAGCATGCTACTCTGCTCTGTGGCAAACCTCATAACAATAGCAGTGTCAACACACAGAATCAACCAAGGCAATACACCATATCAATAGAGGACAAAAACCACATGATCATCTCAATGGATGCAGAAAAAGCATTTGAAAAAATCTAAAACCCTTTCATGGCAAGAACACTCCACAAACTAGGAAAATAAGGGAGCTTCTTCAACCTTCTAGAAAAACCCAGACTCCCCAGTGAAAGACTAGACACTTCCCCTAAGACCAGGAACAAGATAAGGAGGTCTGCTCTTGCCACTTCTATTTAACACTGTACTGGAGGTTCTAGCCACGGCCATTAGGCAAGAAAAATGAAACAGCATACAGAGTGGAAGGGAAGAAGTGAAACCATCTCTACTTGCAGATAATAGGATCTTATACATAGAAAATCCCAAGGAATGCACATATTTAAAAAACCTCCAAAACTATTAGAGCTAATAAATGAGTTTAGCAAGGTTGCAGGATACAAGATCAATATATGATAAGCAACTGTACTTTTTTAATTTTTAAAAATTATATTTATGGGTCTGGCATGGTGGCTCACGCCTGTAATCCCAGCACTTTGGGAGGCCAAAGCAGGCGGATCACCTGAGGTTGGGAGTTCAAGACCAGCCTGATCAACATGGAGAAAACCCGTCTCTACTAAAAATACAAAATTAGCCAGGCGTGGTGGTGCACGCCTGTAATCCCAGCTACTCAGGAGGCCGAGGCAGGAGAATCGCTTGAATGCAGGAGGTGGAGGTTGACGTGAGCCAAGATCGCGCCATTGCATTCCAGCCTGGGCAACAAGAGCGAAACTCCATATCAAAAAAAGAGAAAATTATGTATGTGTATTTTAGACAGGGTCTCACTCAGTTGCCTAAGCTAGAGTGCAGTGGCACGATCACAGCTCACTGTAGCCTCAAACTCCCAGGCTCAAGGGATCTTCCCCGCTCAGCCTTCTGAGTAACTGCACCACCATACCCAACTAATTGGTAGAGATGGGGGTCTCACTATGTTGCCCAGACTTGTCTCAAACTCCTTGGCTCAAGTGATTGTCCCGCCTCAGCCTCCCAAAGTGCTGGGATTACAGGTGTGAGCTACCATGCCTGGCCTCAACTGTATTTCTATACCCCAGCAATGAACAATCCAAACATGAAATTAAGAAAACAATTCCATTTATAAAAGCATCAAAAAGAAATAAATTTAAAAAATAAGTGTAAGACTTAAACACTGAAAACTGCAAAATACCATTGAAAGAAATTAAAGAAGACTTCAATAAATGGAAAGACACACAAGGCTCATTAATAGGAGATTTAATATTGTTAAGTGGGCAATACTCCCAAATTGATCTATAGACTCAATATGATAGCCATCAAAACTACAGCTTTTTCTTTGCAGGAAATGACAAGCTGGTCCTAAAATTCCTATGAAAATGCAAGAGACTCAGGACCACTAAAATATCTGGAAAAAGAAAAACAAAGTTGGAGGACTCACACTTCCTCAATACGAAACTTACTACAAAGCTACAGTAATTGAGGCAATGTGGTACCAGCCTAAGGACAGACATACAGATCAATGGAATAGAACAGAGAATCTGGAAATAAACTTGTGCATCTATGCTCAACTGATTTTCTACAAGGGTGCCAAGACAATTCAAGGGGCGGAAAGAATATTCGTTTCAACAAATGGTGCTTGGACAACTGGATATTCACATGCAAAAGAATGAAGATGGAACCCTACTTCACATCGTATACAAAATTAATTCAAAACTGATCATGATCTCATTATAACAGCTAGAACTACAAAACTTTAAAAGAAAACATAGATGTGAACCTTCATGACCGTGCATTAGGCAATGGCTTCTTAGACAGGACACTAAAAGCAAAAGCAACCCAAGGAAAAATAGAATTGGGCATCATCAAAATTTAAAATGTTTTGCTTCAAAGAGCACTATAAAGAAAACATAAAGACAACCCACAGAATGGGGGAAATATTTGCAAATCATGAGAAGCGTCTAGTATCCGAAATATATAAAACACTATCAACAACTGAACAATTAAAAAGATATCTCTATTTAAAAATGGGCAAAGGATTTGAATAGAAAGTTCTCAAAACAAGACATATAAATGGCCAATAAGCACCTTATTAGCCATCGGGGAAATGCAAATCAAAACCACAATGAGACACCACTTTACACCTACCAGGATGACTATAATAAAAGAGACCAAAAATAACAAGTGTTGCTGAGGGTATGGAAAAAATTCCAACCCTCATACATTGCTGGTGGGAATAGAGAAATGGTACAGAAGCTTGGGAAACAGTCTGGCAGTTTTTCAAACAGTTAAACAGAGTGACCATATGATCCAGCAATTCCACTTCTTATACCCAAGAGAATGGAAACATATGTCCGCATAAAATCCTAAAAATGGTTCACAGCAGCATTACTCATCATAGTCCAAATGGGGCAACAATCCAGAAGTCCATCAACTGCAGAAGGAATAAACAAAATGTGACCTACCCATACAATGGAATATTATTCAGCCATGAAAAGGAACAAAGTATTGAGACATGCTACAACATGGAAGAACCATAAAAACACTGGGCTAAGTGGAAGAAGCCAGACACAGAAGACCACATACTGTAAGATTCCATTTATCTGAAATGTCCAGAACACGCACATCCATGGAGACAAAAAAAGAGATTAATGGTTGACAGGAGCTGGGGAAGGAAGGAACTGGGAGGGACTGCAAATGGGTACATTCCTTTGGGGGTGATGAAAATGTTCTAGAATTAGTAGTGATGACCGCACAATTTTGTGAATATAATCAAAACTACAGAACTAGATGTACACTTAAAAAAGGTAAATTTGGCTGGGCATGGTGGCTCACAACTGTAATCCCAGCACTTTGGGAGGCCGAGGTGGGCCGATCACCTGAAGTCAGGAGTTTGAGACCAGCCTGGCCAACATGGTGAAACCCTGTCTCTACTAAAAATACAAGAATTAGCTGGGTGTGGTGGCACATGTCTGTAATCCCAGCGACTCGGGGAGGCTGAGGAAGGAGAATCCTTTGAACCCGGGAGGCGGAGGTTGCAGTGAGCCAAGATCGCGTCACTGCACTCCAGCCTGGTAACAGAGCGAGACTCTGTCTCAAAAAAAAAATAGAAAGGTAAATGTATGATACATAAATTGTATCAATACATTAAGGGGAAAAAAAACCTAGTAGCAGTAGCTGTCATCCAGAGTGCTTGCCCTCTGCAGGACACTGGGCTAAGTAAATGCTTCACAACCACGGTCTCCTCCAGTCCTCCCTACACACGCATTGAGTCTTGTTCCTCATCCCCACTGGGTCTGAGGTGAAGTCAGAGAAGGAACAAGGGGAGCCCATCTTCCTCCAGAGATGTCTGGAGTCCAGACGAAATGCAAGAACAAGACATTTTCAAAGAATGGGCCACATCCAGCATCAGGCCAGACACCCCCACCCTTCTGAAATCCCAGGCTCTGTTAAGACAGCAGCCTAGGTGGGAGCAGGAATTGGGTGGCCAGGAAAGGTCTGCACGGTCATTCTTGTTCATTCGTCCCAGGCTGGAGCTTGCTGACCACACTCTGAGCGGCAGACACACCGGCTGCCTGGACCACTCCTGCTCTGGCGTGGGGTGGGGACTCAACTGAGACTCGCCCAGCCACACTGCTAGGATGAGCTCGTATTCCAAGCTTGGGCACCAGCCTTTGCTGAAGGCAGTCTTGAGCCCACAGAGCACATGCTGGGAAGGACCCCATCTCTCAGTGGACACAGACTGTTTTGCATCCCGAGCTGCCCCCGCTCGGGTTGCTGGGCATGACAGGCTGCTATGTCTGCACCGCTTGAGTCAGTTTCTGGTAGCCAAAAGCATCCCGACACACCCATGAAGTGAGAGTAAATAAGAAACGTAGAGTACTACTGTTCCAATAACCATTCACCAACAGAAAAACATGTTGAGCCTCTACTAGATGCCAGGAGCTAACAATATAGTAATAAATAAAACAGAGGCATCCCTGTCCTCGAGGAGCTTACATTCTAGTGGAAGGGACCCAGACAATAATCCAGAGAGATAAATGAAATGTATAGCTGGCCGGAGCTGGCAGGGAAACATTAACCACAAAATGGGGGTGCCGGCAGAGGTGGGGTATGCGATTTGAACAACATGGTGAGGGGCACCTTCCAAAGACTGGGGGGGTGGGGAGGCGCCAACGAGGCACAGGGAACAGCCGGTGCAAAGGCCCAACCTGCTGCTCTTAGGATGTATGAACTGGACCCAACCTGAGAACGCTCCAGCTGAGTGGGAGGCTGGGAAGGAACCAGGCCCAGCTGTCTTCACTGGCAGGTGGCGCCCAGGTGCACCCCCACCATCTCAGTACCAGCAGACAAGCCCCTTCTGCCTGCCTGAGGGACAGCGACAGCAGGGGTTCCTCCCTCTCGATCACGAGAAGCTCGCAGTGGTGGCGCCAGCAGCTCTTCTCCCAGAATAGAGACAGAATGAAGACTTGGGAAGTCAGAGCGGGGAGCCCGGGAGGCTATTTCTGGTTCCCTGAAAAAGGCGACTGTTGCTTATTTCTCTGCCATCCTTATTTTTGGATGGGAGGTGGAATGAGGCTTTCTTTGGTTGGATGGTGGGTTGTGTTCTTTTGAGAGCGAATATCAGCCCCTGGGAAACGGAAATGCTCCCGTCTTCCCTCTCTGCCTTTCCAAATCAGACACCATGAAGCGGGAGGGCACGTGGAGATGGGCAAGTCCCAGCCACAGGCTTCCACAAGTCCAGAAAGGGGAAGGAACTAGTTCAAGGCCACACGAGTTACCAGCAGAGCCAGAAAAAGGCTGGCCTCCCGCGTCACACCTCATTACCCATCCACTCCACCAGGTGACCTTTCCCTCATCCGACCGGTAGCAGCTACAGAACTTACAAGAAAACAAAAGTTCAGTGACAAACAGGTGGACCCGAGAGGACAACAGGGGTGGAGGGAGGAGGAAATGAGCACCTGAAGGGGCAGTTTTGAAGCCAGCCAGCCCGACGCTGGACCTGGGGCAAACTTCCACTAGCTGAAACCTTGGGCACACGACTTAACTCTGCTGAGCCTTGCTTTCCTCTCTATAAAATGGGAGTGTTGCTTCCCTAGAGAGCTGCTGGGAGGCCTGGCACACGACAGGCACCCAGCGGGGGATGCCCTCAGGGGAGGAGGCAGGTGTCAAACAGTGGTTACTGGTCCACATCCCAGGGCGCCCCTGCACGTGGGAGACCCCAGCTATGTGTGCCTCCGACACCGGCTCTTAGAGCTGCGCTCAGTCCTGCTTCCTGGGCCACTCCCGGTTCCTAGGGGCCCATATTATATGGCAGGAAACTGGGGCAAGAGGGGCCCCATTGTGTTGCTGATAGAGCAGGGCACTGGGGACAGGATCAGCAGGATCTAAGTTCTCGCAGCATCATTTTTTTTTTTTTTTGAGACGGAGTCTCGCTCTGTCGCCCAGGCTGGAGTGCAGTGGCGCGATCTCTGCTCACTGCAAGCTCTGCCTTCCAGGTTCACAACATTCTGCCTCAGCCTCCCAAGTAGCTGGGACTACAGGTACCCACCACCATGTCTGGCTAATTTTTTCATATTTTTTTAGTAGAGATGGGGTTTCACCGTGTTAGCCAGGATGGTCTCGATCTCCTGACCCCGTGATCCGCCCGCCTCGGCCTCCCAAAGTGCTGGGATTACAGGCATGAGCCACCGGGCCAGCCTTACAGCATCTTTTGAAAGTGGGGGTTGGAGTGAAACCCACCCCCGGACTTCTCAGGCCCCAGGGCAGCTATCTCAGCCCCACACGCCCTTTCTTTCCCCTCCCAGCACCAACCCATGGCCTGGAAGACTCCTGCTTATCCTCCAACATGGGTCAGGCACCCTCTTCCTGCTCACCTGGGAGCAGCCCCCTTGCTGTGCCACCCAAGGGCCCCACGCTGCTCATCTTGGCCAACTAATGAAGCATCCACCTCCCCCACCCGACTGGGCACTCTGCAGGATCCACAGAGGACCTGGGCTGTCTGGGTTTTAATCCTGGCTCCATCTTATATCAGCCGTATGACCCTGGCCAAGAAATTTTGCTTTGTTTTGTCTCAGTTACCTCACTATGCCTCAGTTTCCTTGCTGTAAAATGAGGACTAGAACAGCATCTGGTTCAGAGGGCTACTACCCCTCCCCCACTCATCGTCGTGGTCCCACTGCCCTCACTCAGAGGTGGCCAGCATCCAGCAGATGCTGAGGATGGGCCTCATGTTTAAACCCTGGCACTAGCAGGTGTGCATGAAAAACTCGCCGTACTATTGTCGTCATCACCTGGACCGTCATACGCAAGGTCTGCTGGGGAGGGTCCAAGAAGTAGGTCAAATGTCAGTAACACGCCAAGGAACAGGGGCACCCAGCACTGATGCCACAATGCCCAGGGCCAGGGAAGCCAGGGACACTGCAGGGAGGAAGCTGTCATGGCAGGGAAAGCCCAGGAAGCAAAAGGAGGGCCAGCCCAGTTGCCATGACTGGGACCGCCAATGCTCTGATCTGATATCTGTAAACTAGGCCAGTGATGCCGCCCACCTCCCGGGGTGGTTGCAGGGACGCGGTGAGGCCACGCCCATGAGGGGCATTCGGAATGACTGAGAATCGTATTGTCCAGCCCTGTTTCCATGGATGCCCACCCTCCTCGGGGTGCCTGGTACCCACCAGCACAGCACCCCCAGCCTGCTCTGGCCTGCCCTCCTGGGACACTGATGGAACAAGGGCTGTGGCCCAGCACCGCGACCTCTTCCCAGCTCCTGGAATCGATGTTCCTGAAGTCTGTTAATCCAGGAAGCCCCTTGTTGGTCCCCTCACTCCATAATCATCATCTCCACACACAAGATCCTCTGCCCACAAACCACCGTCCTACAGCTCTCACCTGTACTGAGACAGCTCCCAGCAAGGCGTCCATGCCCCGCGAGTGAAGCCCACAGCCTTTCCAGGCCTCCGCAGCCTGACTCTGTACCTTCCTGTGATGGGCTGAGCGCTGTTTCCAAGTTGATATTGAAGCCCCAATCCCCATGCCTGAGAACGGGACTGCACTGGGAGATAGGGTCTTTAAAGAGGTAAAATGAAGTCAGTAGAGTGGGTCCTAATCCAATAGGACTGGTGTCCTTATAAGGAGATTAGGACGCAGACACACACAGGGGAAGACCATGTGCAGACGTGGGGAGATGAGGGCCATCCGCAGGCCAAGGAGGGAGGCCTCAGAAGAAGCTAACTCTGCCAACACTAAGATCTGAGACTTCTGCCTCCAGAACTGGGAGGCAGTGCATTGCTGTTGTTTAAATGCAGCACTGTCATGCAGCCCACGCAAATGAATATACTTCCCAACTCTTTTGTTTGTTTGTTTATTTGTTTTTCTGAGACAGAGTCTCACTCTGTCACCCAGGTTGGAGTGCAGAGGCATCGTGATCTCAGCTCACTGCAACCTCCCCCTCCCGGTTCAAGCAATTCTCCTGCCTCAGCCTCCCAAGTAGCTGGGATTACAGGAACACGCCACCATGCCTGGCTAATTTTTTTGTCTTTAGTAGAGACGGGGTTTTGCCATGTTGGCCAGGCTGGTCTTGAACTCCGGACCTCAAGTGATCTGCCCGCCTCGGCCTCCAAAAGTGTTGGGATTACAGGCATGAGCCACCGCGCCCAACTCTTCTCTGACCGCACAACCCAAGATCGTTCCCAGCCAAACCCTTGTGCCAGGTGGATATACTGTCCCCACTATATCTCTGGGATGGTCCCCGTTCCATGCCTCACTTGGCAACACCTGCTCTTCCAAGCATCACAGAATCCCAGCTGTTCTGCAGAGCCCCCAAGAACACGCTGTCCCATGCTGCTGCCTCGAGTGGCATTCACCCTGCAACTCCTACCCACAGTCACGTCTTTCTAGTACTTTTTCTGGCACTGCTACCGAGTTTTGTTGTTTACCTCTTGTACGCTATTAAATTTTCATATATGGGTTCTGATTCAGTAACTAGGCAGTATGTTCCTTGGGGACAGGAGAAGGCAGGCCTCAGTAAGAACCATCTCTCTGGCACATGTGCACGTGTGAAGATAAGTTGATGGATGGGATAAGTGAGCCGTAAGCACTGGAAACAAAAGGAGGAGGGAAGCCCAGTGTTGGCACAGCCTGCAAAGGAAGGAGGAGGGGCCTGCAATCTCCCGCCTGGCCACCCTGTGGCGCTGTGGGTCTGGAACAGCCTTGAAGATGGCTGTGGCAGGACTGGAAAGAGCCTGGCCGGCCCATCTGTAAGTTCAAGTGCTCTGGACTCATTCAGGCCCTGGACTCATCCAAAGTCACCTTCCCTCTGTGGTTATGCAGTTAAGGGGCGGGAGTCACATGCTCTTGAATTCTAGACAGGGAAGATGTTCTGTGCATCCGGGTGAACCAAGTTCCAGCCTGACAGCAGCTCTGGAAACAACCCAAATGGCTTTTTGGCCAGCGATGACGATGGCAGCCACCCAGTAACACCCACAGTCAACTCACAGGCACGTGGGTGGGAGGGCCGCACAGGCCTGAGCCAGGAGGGGGATGCCAGGAAGGGCCCGGGTGAGAGGCCCCGGGATGCAAGCGACAGAGAGACAGAGGTGGTCCCAATCTGAAGGGACTTAGAGCCAGAAGAGAGGGGCTGGATGCACCCTCACCACCACAGCACAAGGTCCTGTCCACGTGGCCTGGCTGGAGGGCTCCAGGCATTCCATCCTAGAAAGCCATGTGCCTTGCCCGCAGGCAGGGCCCCTCCATGCCCCTCTGGGGTGCCTGACTGCCTAGGCCCCCACCCTGCCCTCCTGCAGATTGGCAGAGCACCAGATCCCTCTGGCTATGCTGAGGAGCTGCCCTTGCCCTGTGCCTCCAGGGTACATCCCTAACACCTCCGAACTGTCCCTCTCGCTTAGGATGAGTGACTCATCTCTCCCTGAAGTTGGGGGCCCCTGGAGGGTGGGGCCCCTGCAGGGGCTGGCACTGAGCAGGGCTGGATTTGTAGGGGATTTGGGCGCTTCCGAAAGGATGGAAACAATTGGATGGCAGTGACATCATCGTGTGTTAAAGGTCTATGAACAGTCCTGGATGAGATAAAACTGGAATGACATGTTGTGTTTTGTTTGTGAAGACATTAAAAGTTCCAGATCCTGAAGCTGGCATGCCCTGGGGATGCAGGACAAACAGCCTGGCTCCTGGAAGCCACCTGAAAATCTATGACAGCCCTGCCTGGCTCCTAGGAGCAGTGGACCCTCAGCCTCGCAGCCCCTTGTAGCTAATGCAGCAACCTCAAGGGCCTTGGGCAGGCCAGGCATGTGCAGCGATGCATACATGTAGGACACAGAGCTACGAGCCCAGGTTCCAATCCAAGGTGCACAGTCTCAGGAGCTCCCCAGGAGCTAGCATCTCTCATGGGCATCGGGCGTAAGGACACAGTGGCCCTCTCAGGTGCCCTCGTGGGACAAGGGAGGAGAGAAGGCACTTCCCGTGCTGCTTAGGCACTGAGGAACTCAGAGCTGAAGGCACTCAAGGCCAATGGCAAAAGGCCCATGGGGCCTGGGTCACTGAAAGGCAGCCTGGAGTGAGTCTTCCCCAGCAGGACTGGGTGCTGCCCAGCCGTCCGGTTCACTGAGGAAAGGAAGGGTCACATGAGGACTGTGGTCACAGGAGGAGCGGGGGTGTGAGAGAAGGCCAGGCCCTTGCCACATGGACTAAGCAGTGACTTCACAGCTTCAGGGCACAGGGGCTAGGGCAGGACTGTGTCTCCTCCCTTGGACCCACCATGAGGAGAGGGTAGGGAAGTGGCATCTCCTGAGTGTTGGCATGCCTCATGCTGTTGCGAGGGGGCAAGGGAGAACTCGGGAGGTGTGACCTGTAAAGCCCAGCCTAAGGCTGAGCCGCTGCTCCATGCTCCCCAACGGCTCCCATGGCCTTCGGAATCAGGTCCAGACTCCTTGCCAGCCTTGAAGTCCTCCATGGCCAAGGGCCTGCCTATGCCTCCCTCCTCCCAAGCTCTGGGCAAAATGAGCCTTGCTCGGTTTCTCAATCAAGCTCCGCCACAGGGTGCAGGCTCAGTGCCCCAGGCAGTGCCCCTGACCCAGTACCCAGTTCCTCCGACATTAAGGCTTCTTGGGTGCCCCTGCCCCAGTACGCAGTTCCTTCCTCCCTGATGGAGGCAGATGAGGCAGGAGGCTCGGTGGGAGCAGGGACTATGCCTGCCTTGCTCATCTCTGTGTGCCTGGGACCTGCCCTAGAGCCTAGAACACAGCAGGCCTGCCATGGTGGGACGCTTAATTCTTGTCAGCTTGACTGGGCCACAGGGTTCCCACATATTTGGTTAACATTGTTCTCCGTGTACCTGAATGAGATTAGCATTTGAATTGGTAAACTGAGTCAAGCAGACTACTTTCCCCAATGTGGGTGGAGCCTGTCCAATCAGTCAAAGGCCTGAATAGAACAAAAGGAAGGGTAAGAAAGAATTCACTCACTTGGCCTCCCTGTTCAAGCTGGGACATCAGTCTCCTGCAGTAGAACCATAAATTATAGCATCAGCTCTCCTGGTCCTCAGGCCTTTGGACTTGGACTATGATATGGTTTGGCTGTGTCCCCACCCAAATCTCATCATCCCCATGTCATGGGAGGGAGCCGGTGGGAGGTAATTGAATCATGGAGGCGGTTACTTCCATGCTGTCTCATGATAGTCAGTTCCCACAAGATCTGATGGCTTTATAAGGGGCTCCCCCCATGCTCCCCTGCTTCATTCTGCACTTCTCCTTGCTGCTGCCATGTGAAGAAGGGCATGTTTGCTTCCCCTTCCACCATGATTGTAAGTTTCCTAAGGCCTCCCTGGCCCTGCAAACTGTGAGTCAATTAAACCTCTTTCCTTTATAAATGACACAGTCTTGGGTATGTCCTTATAGCAGTGTGAGAATGACCTAATACAGACTATAACTTACACCACCAGCTCTCCTAGGTCTCAAGTCTCCAGTTAGCAGATAGCAGATTGTGGGACTTCTCAGTCTCTATTTCTTACATGCTTCTTTCCATTATGAAGTAGACCCTAAATGCTGTTCCCTTGAATGTGAACTGGCCCTAGAGCCTCACAGATAAATAGAATATGGACTCTGGAAGCAAGGCCAGAGAGGCTGTCTTTCTCGGGACACACCCCTGGGTCCCTGAGCTGCCAAGTCAGTAGTCTGGCTACTCTGTCACCATCATGCTAAACTGCCATGCAAGACTGCATGGGAGAACCACCCAGCTGAGCCCAGCCAAGCTGCAGATTCATGAGCACAAGAAACACCATTATCATTTTGGATTTCCATCTAACAGACAACCAAAATGAAGGCTCATAGAGATGACATGTGTTGGGCACTTAACACAGCATATGCAGGGCTTAATGTCAACAATAACCAGACAAGCAATGCAGTGTGCTCTGCGCCATCAACAAGCACTTGCAGGCATCAACTTGTGTCATCTTTATAGCAATGCCATAGCACGGATCACTATCACCACTCCATTTTGCATGTGAGAAGCAGAGGCCCTGAGTTGGTTGCACGTTCAAGATCAAAGCCAGCATGTGGCGGGAAAGAATACCCTTGACTGCTGGGCAAACCACTGCATAATAGCCTTTGTCACTGGTCTCCAGTCTCATCATTCCCACTTAAGAACACTGAGTCTGGAAAGAGTTAAGGAAGGCTCCTTTCCCACTTCAGGGACCAGGAAACAGAGGCACTGGGCCAGCTGTGCTTCCCAAACACTGTAGCCAGTCCCAGAAGCTGCCTGGCTGAATGCTCCATACTGTGTGAACTTGAGACGGTTACTTCACCTTTTGGTGCCTTCATTTCCTGATCTGTAAAATGGCAATAAGAGCAGTCCTGCTCATAGGATTGCTGTAAGGATCAAACAGGTTAACACACAAAGCACTTAAAACAGAAACCAGCATGCAGAAGACACCAAGTGTCAGATCCCAACATCCTGTCCATCATTATCGTCATCATCATCACTGGTATTACTATTTGAAGGTCTGCCATTTAAAACCATCCAAGATCACCTTACAGAGCCTATCACTGCTCTGCAGTCTGACATGGCCCTGGGGGAGGCAGGGGAGAAAGAAGAGTAGAGAATACTGGAGGAGTGACATGTTTGCTTCCTCCTGCCCAAAGATGGAACTCTTGACCCTTAGGCATTAAGGAAGGTGCAGCCTTCTCGTCCATCTACCTACCATGACAGAACTCGAACTCAGATCAGCAGCAAACTTCTAAGCCAGCCGACGTGGTTTGGCTCTCTGTCTGCACCCAAATCTCATGTTGAATTGTAATTCCCAGCATCGGGGGAGGACCTGGTGAAAGGTGACTAGATCATGGGGGTGGATTTCCCCCTCGCTGTTCTCATGACATGAGTGAGTTCTCTCGAGATCTGGTTGCTTAAAAGGGTGTAGCACTTCATCCTTCTTTCTCTCTGTCTTGTCACCATGTGAAGGTGTGCCTGCTTCCCTTTCACCTTCCACCATCATTGTAAGTTTCCTGAGGCCTCACCAGCCATGCCTTCTGTATAGCCTGTGGAACCGGGAGTCAACTAAAACTCTTTTCTTCATAAATTACCCAGTCACAGGTAGTTCTTTATAGCAATGTTAAGAACAAACTAATACAGAAAAATGGTACCAGAGAAGTGGGGCACTGCTATAAGGATATCTGAAAATGTGGAAGCAACTTTGGAACTAGATAACGGGCAGAGTTTGGAACAGTTTGGAGGGCTCAGAAGAAGATAGGAAGGTGAGGGAAAGTTTGGAACTTCCCAGAGACTTGTGGAATGGTTGTGACCAAAATGCTGATAGTGCTATGAACAGTGAAGTCCAGGCTGAGTAGGTCTCAGATGGAGATGAGGAACTTACTGGAAACTGGAGTAAATGACATTCTTCTTATGCTTTAGCAAAGAGACTGGCATATTGTGTCCCTGCTCTAGAGATCTGTGGAACTTTGAACTTGAGAGAGATGGTTTAGGGTATCTGGTGGAAGAAATTTCTAAGTAACAAAGCATTCAAGACGTGGACTGGCTGCTTCTAAAAGCCTATGCTCATCTGCAAAAACAAAGAAATGACCAGAAACTAGAACTTATATTTAAAAGGGAAGCAGAGCATAAAAGTGAAAAATTTGCAGGCTGACCACGTGGTAGAAAAGAAAAACCCATTTTCTGAGGAGGAACTCAAAGCTGCAGAAATTTGCATAAGAAGCCCTGAAGGCTAATAGCCAAGACAATAGGGGAAAATGCCTCCAGGGCATTTCAGAGACCTTCACAGCAGTCCCTCCCATCACAGGCCAGGAGGTCTAGAAGGGAAAAATTGTTTTGTGGGCTGGGCTCAGGGCCCTGCTGCTCCATGCAGCCTCAGGACATGGCATCCTGCATCCCAGCTGCTCCAGCTCCAGCAGTGGCTAAAAGGGGCCAAGGTACAGCTTCAGAGGGTGCAATCCCCAAGCCTTGGTGGCTTCCACATGGTGTTGGGCCTGCAGGTGTGCTGAAGGCAAGATTTTAGCCTCTGCCTAGATTTCAGAGGATGTATGGAAACACCTGGATGTCCAGACAGAAGTCTGCTGCAAGGGTGGAGCCCTCATGGAAAACCTCTGCTAGGGCAGTGCAGAGAGTAAATGTGATGTTAGAGACCCCACAGGAGCACTGCCTAGGGGAGCTGTGAGAAGAGAGCCACCATCCTCCAGATCCCAGAATGACAGATCCACCGAGAGCTTATACTGTGTCCCTGGAAAAGCTGTAGGTACTCAGTGTCAGCCCACGAAAGCAGCTGTGAGGGCTGTACCCTGCAGAGCCACAGGGGTGGAGCTGCCCAAGTCTTGTGAGCCCATCCTTTGCATCAGTGTGGCCTGGATGTGAGACATGGAGTCAAAGGACATTATTTTGGAGCTTTAAGATTTAATGACTGCCCTGCTGGGTTTTGGACTTGCATGGGGACTGCAGTCCCTGTAGTTCTTGTTTGGGCTAATTTCTCCCTCTTGGAATTGGGTCTGTTTAACCAATGACTGTACCCTCATTGTATCTTGGAAGTAACTAACTTGTTTTTGATTTTACAGGCTTATAGGCAGAAGGGACTTGCCTTGTCTCAGATGAGACTTTGGACTGGGACTTTTGAGTTAATGCTGGAATGAGTTAAGACTTTGGGGGGCTGTTGGGAAGGCATGATTGTGTTTTGAAATGTGAGAAGGACATGAGGTTTGGGAGGGGCCAGGGTGGAATGATATGGTTTGGCTCTGTGTCCCCACCCAAATCTCATGTCAAATTGTAATTCCCAATTTGGGGGAGGGACCTGGTGGGAGGTGATTGGATCATGGAAGCAGATTTCCCTCTAGCTGTTCATGTGATAGTAAGTTCTCATGAAATCTAGCATGTCGCACTTCCCCTTTTGCTCTGTTTCTCTCTCCTGCTGCCACGTAAAGACATGCCTACTTCCCCTTTGCCTTCCGCCATGATTGTAAGTTTCCTGAGGCCTCCCTGGCCATATTTTTTGTACAGCCTGCAAAACCGTGAGTCAATTAAACCTCTTCATAATTTCTTCATAAATTACCCACTCTCAGGTAGGTTTTTTTTAATCCCTTTTTTTTTTTTGGAGACAGAGTCTCACTCTGTCACTCAGGCTGGTATGCAGTGTGTGATCTCAGCTCACTGCAGCCTCAGCCTCCTAAGTAGCTGTGATTACAGGCGCACATCACCACGCCTGGCTAATTTTTGTATTTTTAGTAGAGACGGGGTTTTCCCATGTTGGCCAGGCTGGTCTGGAACTCCTGACGTCAAACGATCCACCCGCCTCAGCCTCTCAAAGTGCTGGGTTTACAGGTGTGAGCCACCATGACAGGCCTCAAGTAGTTATTTATAGCAGTGTGATAACAGACTATACACCAGCCCCAGAGGAGCACTGAGGCCTGGATCATCTTTGGGCAGAACACACAGCTTCGATGCAGGATCCTCGTGTTTAAAATACAAGGCTGGATCTGGGGCTGTCAGTTGCCAGAACAAGTCCAGAGAAAACACAAAGAGAACACCACCCAGCCCTGACAATGTTCTTGGCTGAGCCAGAGCCCCTGAGGCAGCCGAGTGAACTCCATGACAGAAACTTCTCTGAAGGCTTGAGAGGAGGGGAGAAAGGTGGAGGGCTCTGGCCCATGACAAGGCCAACAAGTCCACTCCAAGCCAGGTGGAGGGGGCCTGTACCACCCCATGCCCCAAAACAAGAAAGGCTCTCACCAAGAGGGACCATCTCTATTCCTGGTGATAACTTGGCCTTTCTTACCTGCCTGGCCTTTGTCTGTGCTGTATCTGCCACTGGAATGCCCTCCCTTCTCATCTCTGCCTGTTGAAATGGAATCTTTATCACTGAAGCCCTGGGATTTGGCCCAGGCTGGGGACTTATTACTATTGGGGGCCTACAAAGGGTCCCTCTCTCATAGTTTGTTTGTTTATTTGTTTGTTTTGAGATGGAGTCTCACTCTGTTGCCCAGGCTAGAGTGCAGTGGTGCGATCTTGGTTCACTATAACCTCCGCCTCCCAGGTTCAAGCAATTCTCCTGCTTCAGCCTCCCAAGTTCAAGCAATTCTCCTGCCTCAGCCTCCGAAGTAGCTGGGACTACAGGCACGTGCCACCATGCCCAGCTAATTTTTGTATTTTTAGTAGAAACAAGGTTTCACTATATTGGTCAGGCTGGTCTTGAGCTCTTGACCTCAGGTGATCCACCCACCTTGGCCTCCCAAAATGCTGGGATTACAGGCATGAGCCACCGCACCCGGCCTCTCTTGTAGTTTTTCTTGGCCGCCGTGGAGACACCTGGCCCACCCTTGGAGCCCCCCAGCACTGTCCTGCCCTGTGGAGCTGGCACACAGATTGTGGTTATGGCTTGTCCTGTGTTTCCTTCTCCTTAACTCATCCCAGATAATAATGCCTGCCCTGATGCCTGCCAATGTTCCCCCTCAATTTCTGGCCTCCATCCTATTTCTTCCTGACCAGAGTCACCACCCTCATCACACCCTCAGCATCTTTTCCAGAAGCCACAGCAGCCTCCCAATGGCCTCCCTCTCTCCCCGCATAGGCTAAGCAGAAACTGGCCCTGGAGGCCCTCTGGGCCTCGGCATGGGGCTCTCTCCCGCAGCACCAATAGCCCCCATTTCTCCTGAACATCCTGCTCCCTCTCCCTGGAATGGCTCCCACCTTCCTCTAATTGAGCCCAGTATTTCAGAGCCGCTCCAAATACCACCTCCGCGAGAGCCCCACAGACAACCAGGACCACCCCTTCCTGTGGCCCCGAGCCCATGACCCCACCTGCCCCAGGCCTATCTCCCATGGGAGTGGGATTTCTGCTCAGAGCCTCCCCCAGTGCATCTCCTTCTTATGTATCTGATTCTTGAAAACATTCTTCCCTCCTTTGCATACTTATTGAGCAGGTACTATGTTCCAGGCCCTGACCTGTCATGGTCCCCAAAGACACACTCGCCCCTGTCCTCAAGGCTGTCACGGTCAGGTGGGGAAGACAGCGGCCAGCAGACAATGACGAAACAGTGGAATGAATGTGCGATGAGGGCAGCAAAGGGTCTGTGAGTAGGGAGGAAGGCACTGAGGCCCACGCAGGGAAGGGAGTGTGCAGCACAGAGGGCTTCTGGGAGGAAGTGGCCTGAGCCAAACCCCAAAGTTGGAGTTAGTCCTGGGGACCAAGAGTATTCCAGATAGGCAGAACACCATGGACAAAGGCCAAGGGTCAAGAGGGGTGCCCCTGGGGTTCGGCTTGGCTGCAGTGTGGAGTGCAGGGGCAGTATGACAGGAGACGCCACCCAGGAGAGGGAATGGGCAGGGGCGACATGCCCCAAGACACCCAGCACAGGTGACAGGGCCTGGAGAGATGCAATGATAGCAATTAAATTCCATTGAACTTATAAGTATGCAAGGGAAAACCATTGTATTACTCAGTGTGGCAGGCAGAATCTAAGTCAACCCCAAGATCCCTGTGGCCGGGCAACACCCTGCATGATCGCCAGAACTGCATGCATGATGGATGGGTTCTCCTCTGTGACTCGGTTCTGTTGCATTGCTGCCCTCAAAACAGGGAGATGGTCTGGGTAACTCTTAGGGCATCACACACAGAGCTTCTTCTCTGAAGAGGAAGCTGGAGATTCAAAGCACAAGGAGACTGGCCAGCTGTGGCCGCCTTGCAAGTAGAGGGGCACCGTGAGAAGAAACACAGGACCTGTAGGAGCTGCTGGCCAGCAAGGGTGGGGACCTCAGTCCTACAGCCACCAGGAACTGGATTCTGTCAATGAGAGTTAGCTTGGAGGTGGATGTTTCCTCAGGGCCTCCAGAAGATCACCTGCCCCTGCGGACACCTTGATTTCAGCCCGTGACACCCTGGGCCAAGAGCCCAACCACACCATGCGGGCTTCTGACCCACCCACCCATGAGATAATAAATGGGTACTGTCAGAAGCCACTCAATCTGCTGTCATCTGTCATGCAGCAATAGGAAATTAACACATCCAGCTACTATGAGCTTTCAAGGGGGAAACGCAATTGTGATATTTGGAGTCACTGGGGGAAAGCAGGGGGCATTTCGCCAGTGGCCACAGCCCCCTACCCTGCTCCTTGAAGGCATCTAAGAGACCCTATGGCCTTACCACAGGTGCAACCTCCCTGCTAGCAGCTAGATCCTCACTTAGCTACCTGGTGACAGGCAAGCTGTGGAGAGAAAACACTGGAGGACGAGAAGAGAAGACAACAAATGCCACAGGTGCAAAGTTACAGTCCAATACAGCAAGCCACGGGCAGGGGAAGAGCAGGTTTCCTCCCACCTGACTTAGCTAGTGACTCATTTCATCTTATGTGACCAGAGAGCTGTTTGCAACCACAATGTCCAAAGCCCAGGAGAAGAGGAGCCAGACACTGGCTCAGACAGAGACAGGCATTTCTGCGCCCGATGTCTGAGTCTGGCGGCAGTAGCTGGAAACGTGGGTAGACTCTGTGGCAGCTGCTCCCACTGATTTACAGCCCCTTCTGGACCCAGGCAGACGCTCACTGTCCCTGCTCAGCTCCAGCTCCCGCTCCCAAAACATGGCAGCCTTTTTTACTTTCAAGACATTTTTAAAATGTTTGGAGGGCTCTTTCTGGTAGTACCTATTCTAAAAGCAAAACATCTTAGCTTGGACCCAGAGCAAAGATGACGCTTACATTCATGAACCCGTCCACAATTTTTAACAATGGGACAATTTTCTTCATACAAAAAGGGATCTAATTAATCAACAAGCCCAACAACTCAACTAAAAAATAGGCAAACAACAGGCAAAGATTCATTCATAGAAGACAAGCAAATGGAGCCAGTGAATCCATGATGGGATACTCAATTGTGCCAATAACGACAAACACACATCAATCGAGGTGGGTACGGCTTCCCCAGGCAGACTGGCACCATCAGGAGTGAAATTTGCTCAAACTTTTTGAAGGGCAATCCAGTGAGATCTGCCAAAGTGAGGAATGTTTATAATCTTTGGCTGAGAAATCCCACTTCTAGGGATTAATTATGCAGAAATATGCAGGGAGCTGTTTACTGCAGCCCAGTTTGTTTAAAAAAAAAAAATCCAAACAAGACTGGAATGACCTTATGGGCCCAACATAAATTAGGATTCATTCATTCATGTATGGAAATATTATGCTGCCAGCAAAAGGGGCAGACCTGATCCCCCTCATCTTCATGGGCTAACATGGAAAGAAGCGAAGCAAGACACATGTTCAGTGGGGACAAAGAGCTGTATCAGGACACGTGTAAAATGACCCTGTTTCTAAATGTACACATTGCACTAGAGCCTACTGTAATGAAAAAATAATACTAAAAGTGCACATGTATCTCTACATGTATGAATAGGAAGGGTCTAGAAAGATAAGTTCCAAACTATGAACAGTGGCTGCCTCAGGGAAGTGAGGCTGGAGTTAAACAGATTCGAGAAGCACCAGCAATGAGGGCCCCACACACTAATACAGGGAACTCAAGAACAGACCTGTGCAGGGCCGGAAGTGAGGGCGGCCAGAAGGCACCCAGTCAGGGAATTCCTGAGTGTGTTGAGTGCAACAGTCTCTCAAGAGAAGCCTCAAAGAGAGGAGGGGACTCTATAGTTAACTGGATGGAAAAGGCTAAATTCTGCAGAACTTCACTGATTCTATGGCATGTTTTTCATATTTTCCATCTCTGAAATTGAGATGTGTCTCATAATTGATATTTCACAACTTACTTAGGATTTTTTTCTTTTTTATAGAATATGAAGTATCAGTGCATCTTACAATCGGTAATGAAATTCAACACTGCCCCCAGACTAAAGATTCATATTAACACATTACTAAGGCTCTGAGAAGTCCTGCAGCAAAGAAACATGTAATCCTGATTCTCCAACATATCTGACACTTTTCTCTTTTCCTTATTTTGCCTTTCCCTTTGTTCACACGTGAGATTATGCTGACACTCCACAAGGTGCCACCTGGTGCCCTGTGGATGTCTGCAAAGCTGCAAGGGGATCCTGTCACTTCTAGGGCAACTGGGGTGGTTGGGACACAGTTCTTATAATTCTGTATGATGACTGTTCGGTAAATACCACAGTAACAATGGCAACACCCATCCACGGATGCTACAAGAGAAGGGCAAACATATGAGAGACAGTCTGCAAAGAATCCTCTTAGAAGGTTCTTGCCAACTACAAAGGAAAAAATAGAAATTTAGAGTGGAAAAGCCTGGTGGACTTTAACCAAATAACTGCTGCTGAGCAGACAGAAGACATCGTTGTCCTCATGCACCTCCTGATATGACGCACTAGGGAGGGACTGGCACTGCTGGGTGGTGTTCCTGCTGAAAATGTATGACCTTGACCCAGTCACGAAAACACCAGATAAACCTGAATTGAGAGACACTCCACAAAATAAACAGTCAAGGTTCCAAAGTGTCAAGGTCAAAACCTGAGGCTCCATCCCAGATGGCAGGAGACCACAGAGAGCGACAACCAGATTGGATCCTGGACTAAAAAATGGGTATTAGTGGGACAACTGGGGAAATTCGAATTCATTTAGGTCTTTCAATTATTGAATAGTTATCAATGTGAACTTCCTGGTTTAGATAATTATGGTCAGATAGGATGTTAACACTGGAGGAAGCTGTGCAAAGGGTATATGGGAACTCTGTGTACTATCTTTGCAACTCTGTCAAAATTTCTTAAAAATAAAAATTACACTAAACAAACCTGTGCAATGTGAACTTTATTATAATAAATCTACAATACATCATCTAGTAGCCAATAAAGAGATTTTTAAAAGCCCGCTTGTGTTACATGATTGGTCACCCTGAAGACACTCTTGTTTGGGGAAATAAACCCAGGTACACATTTGCAAACACGGGGCTGGGCGTTTGGGCAGAATGGACAGAGGGGAGCAAATGCCTGGCAGGGTCTGGTCTCATGGGGGTCACTGCAAGCCTACCATCAGGGCGCCAGGGGCTGCTGCCTTTAGCACTAAATGCAAGTTGAGAAACACAGGACTCACAGGGTCACAGCACACAGGGTGTGGTCTGAAACTCACAATGCACTGTCTGCCAGGAGAGCTCCCATCTATTGAGGAATCCTTACAACAACCTATGAGGAAGGTGCCACCAACATTACCTCCCTCCCCATTTTACAGATAGGAAAGCTGGGGCTCAATGCAGTTAAATAACCTGCCTAAATGCACACAGCTGGGTGTTTAGGAGAGGATCTGAACCCAGGCAGTCTGACTTTAGATTCACTATGGCGCTGCTTCTGAAAAGACCCCTGCAGAGATGTGGGTCCCATGGAGACAGCACTGGACTGAGAGTCGGAAAGGTGCTGAGTGGTCCTGGGTCAGCCATGCAACCACTCTGGGCCTCTATTCTCATTGTTGAGGATGTGGAGAAGAGCAGTTTTTGTAGGGCTTCCAGAACTCAAGATCTCTTTCAGCTGGAAAAACACTAAGTGAGCTATAAATTCACACTAAAGTGTAAATGGCTGCTGTTGGATACCTTCTGACCAATCTGACCAACAAGGAGGTTTTGAGTACCCATGTACCCTGCTTATATCCCAGGGGAGCCAGGAGACTCAGTGTGAGTAGGGGGAAGAAAGCCTGGGAGTGGAGTCTGGAGGGAGTTAGTCAACACAGCCAGGGGAAAGGAATTTTGGGTGAGAGCCAGAGTCCCAAAGACAAACAGTCTGTTCACCAACTGGCCTAGGATCAGCAGCAGTGCCCTAGAAAAGTGATCGGAGCCAGCTGATGTCATTGGGAGAGTACCTCCTAGAGGAGGGGTGCCTGTGGGTTGAGAGGGGACAGAGGTTTTCAGAAAGCTCTGCAGGAAGGCCTGGGGCAGGCCCACCTGGACCAAGTGGGGTATCTCGTCCAGAAGCCACTGAGCTGGAGGGCGCTGGAGGGGTTGGTGGGCTGTGGGTGGAGGGGCCTTCTTGTTTTGCTGGGGAGCGGGTCCCTGCCATGGTCTTAAAGGCTCAGCAAGGTTAAGCTCTGAGTGAACAGACAGGAACATTCTTCCCTAGATGAAGGTGCATCTCTCCTGCAGGGTGCCAGCCAGTCGCCATGAGAGCTCAGTCCACTCCTTTGAGTCTCTCCTGGGAGCCTCCAGACCAGTGCCCTGGGCAGGAGGGACAGAGGGCAGCAAATGCCTGGCAGGGTCTGTTCTCATGGGGGTCACTGCAAGCCTACCATCAGGATGCCAGGGGCTGCTGCCCTGTCCACAGTGCCCACAGCTGTGGAAATGAGGAGCTTGGCAGAGAATCCAGCATCTGTTTCATCTCTGCCAGTGCCCTTAGGAGGCCTGGACCTGACAACCTCTCCAGGAAAAGCTGATCCAGGCTCCCGGGCCACTGTCCTCCAGGCACATACCCCAGTCCTGGTGGGACAAAGGGGTGAGGCTGCTGGAGGGAGAGTGGGGAAGCTCTCACTACTCTCCAGGGACCCCTGCTGCAGCTAGGCCAGGGAAGAGGAGATGGCACAGAAAGGGCTGCGAGTAGGCCTGTGGGCCTGATGTGGAGCTGGCTTTGGCTGTGGGGGTGCAGGAAAGGGGACGGGGCAGTGTGAATGTGGGGGCGTGCTCCCTGAGGCCCTGTCCTGCCCTGAACATCCCTGGCCTCTGCTGCCTCAACTGAGAGCCCGGCCAGCAGGACTGATGCTTCCGAGATTCCCAGGTCCTGGGGGCTGACAGGGTCTTGTCTTAGAATGTGAATGTCTGGATGGCTGCACAGGTGGCCCCTGGCTCCAGAGGACAGGAGCAGAACCCACAGAAGGGTCAGCCAAGGGCAGGGAGATGGGAGGGATTCTGAGAATCAGCTGTAAAATAGATGTTTGTTGTAAGGGAACAGGGTGAGCTTTGGCATCAACATGGAGCTCAGCTTGAAGATGCACCAGCTCTGAAACCTCAACTAAGTTACCATAACCTCTCTAAGGTTCCACACCCCCCATCTGTAAAGGGGGAACGCTACAGCTGAGGGAAGGAGCAGCTTCAAGGACAGGAGGAGCCACCCTTGCAGGCCAGACCTGGTTCCACATGCTCTGGGGCACCATTTCTTCCTCACCCCATGACTCCCGGACTGGGGGAGGGCACTGGCTTCCACACGGCAGACGCCAGGACGGCAGCTCACGCAGACTCAGACCAGGGCTAGCCTTGGTCCCAGCTGCCGCCTCATGCCGGCAACGCACCTACCCGGCCTGGTCTGCAGCTGGCGCTTAGCCGCCCCAGGGCAGGGGAGCCACAAGCACAATCCTGCTCTGCGGAGCCTCCCCTGCACTGAAAGGGCGGGTCTCAGCCTGGGTGGCAGACAACAGCCGATGTGAAAACAAAAACAGTGGTGCTCCCACACATCCCTGAAGTCCAAGAAAGGGAACCACAAACCAAGCACCTCCCCTGAGAGACCCTACCTCCCTGGCACCCTGTCCTCCCTCATTCCAGACCCTTCGATGGGGCACGCTGTCCCCTCACCTCAGCCCTGTGGTCTGGGCAGGCTGACACTGGGGGAGGCATGGGCAGGTGCACACCAAGGGGTCGCTCTGCCCGATCTGGGGTGGGGCCACCAGCTGAGACGCCCACTCAGCACGTCCGAGGCACTGGCGACCCACTTCCCAGATGAGTGAACAACTCAGGGGAGAGTGACTGGCCCAGCCCCCCGAGGGGCTAAGATTGGAAGCCTTATCAGCGACAAGGTCCTTCTTTCCTGCCATGATGTGTGGCTGCCCTCAAGTATCATTTCCTGGACCCCAGAGGGCACCCCCAGGGATGATGGCCATGCCACCAGCACCAGGTGAGCCTAGGCAGGACTCACCTGCAGGCGCAGAGCCCCATCCCTACCTATCTTTGCCTCGGTCCCTCTCCATCAGCCACAGGGGAACTGGGGGTGTGGAAGGGGTACACACAGGGGTGAGGGACAGGGCTTGGGAACCACTGGCTAAGAGCAGACCCACACTGTGTGGATTCTGATCCCAAATCTGCCCCACTAGCTCTGTGACCTCAAGTAACTTAAGATCAAAGCCCCTCAGTATCCTCACCTCTAAATCGGAGATGAAATCAGAACCTTCCTCATAGGGTCATTAAGTGGATTAAATTAGGTACTGTCTGTAAAGTATTTAACCCAGTGCCTGGCACACTAAGCACCTGCCTAAGCGCTGACAGACGCACAGCTCAGAGAGGCCACACAATTGGCGGAGGGTTGGAGGGGTGGCGGTGGCAATGGGCAGGGTCTGAGGCCTTGACTCCAAGTCCCCACCCCTCTGCAGCTCCCCGAGGGTTGAGAGCCAGTTCCTGCCTCTGGGAGCAGCTCCCCACCAATCACAAACACCCACCCCCAAGGCAAAAGCTTTTTGGGGAATTATTTCTCCAGGCTCTAAGGAATGTTACTTTCTCTTTGCTTTGTATCCAGACTACTCAATTTCAACCCAGGTTTCAAATGGCCTCTAAGATGAGCCCTAATTAAATTCCCGTAAAACCACAGGCAGAAGCATTCAATCTGCGGTATGCACCCCCCATCCCCAGGGAGGCCTGGGATCCCAAACAGGCCATCTGTCACCCCCAGAGCAGACACATGGGAACTTCTAAGAGAAGAAGAACAGGAGAGCCACCCATCACCCCAAAGCAGTCAGGGCTTTCAAGGATCTCTCCAGCCTGTTGCCCAATGGTCTGAGACCTGCTGTCCCTGAAGACAGGGACACAAACCCACGCCATGCAATTACGGCCCAGGTGCCTTCTCATACATGGTGCCTTCTCAGCCAGTTTGGGAGCCAGCTAGAGCCGTGCCCAGAATCGCTCACCCTAGGGTAGCACAGCCATGCCTTGGCTTTGGGGCTTCCATCTCTGGACCCTGGCCCTGGGTGGCAGAGTGGGCTGCTGATGGGAGAAAGAGCCTGCAAATTCAATGTTTGTTACTGCGGCCTCCTCCCTCCCTCCCCGAGGCCTGCACCAGGGAATGCTTAATTTCTAGGAAGAATTAAGTGCTTGGTTTGAATTGAATCCAGGCTCAACGCTGCCTGTGCCTCTGCCTAGGGGGTGCGGGTGTGGGGAGGGACATGGGTATGGGTATAGGCATGGCTGCCTCCCAGAAGCAGTCATCTATGAGGGAAAGGTAGGGCCCTGGCATGCTGGGGTGGGTCATTCTGCAAGCCTCCAGGATGCTGGTTGCTACAAAGAGGGGACTGCTGCTGAGGTCACAGGCCGAGGCCAAACCCCCAGCCAGAGGAGAAATTCCAAGGTTGTTCTGCCATGGGAAAGTTGGGTCCTCAGGCAGGGACCCATGTCTTGGAAGACTGCTAATGCTCCCCTAAAACTCGTTCTAGCCCTTCTTCCATGGTGATAAAACCCGAATTGTAGCTGGGCATGTGGCTGCTCAGAACAAGGACTCAATTTCCTGACTCCCTTGCAGCTTAGGATGTGACTAATTCTGGCCAAAGTCCCTTCTCCCAGCACAAAAACATGTCACTGGATTGCTTTCAGAACCCCTCCTTAAAAGAGAACTAGGCCTTCTTCTCATTTGCTTCCTTTTTCTTGATCTTCCTCTCCATCCTAATGTCTAGATCTTGGATGTGAGGGCTGGAAATACAGCCATCACCCAGGACCAGATGGGCAGACCACAGAAGAATAAGGAGCTAGAAGGAGCCAGGGTCCCAGCCCCTGTGCCCGTGCTGGATGGCCTTCCTCTGGGCTTTTACATCAGAGAGAAAGGAAGTTCTGTCGCATTTAAGCCACCATGATTTTAGGTCTGCTGTTAAAGCAACTTGAATGCTAATTGATACGAAGTGGGTGGGTTTGAAGCTGCCAGAGCCGAGGCAGAGAAATGACCCTGCTTCCCCTCCAGGCTCTGAATGAGACAAGAATGAGCTCTGGGAATGTGGAACTGAGAAGGCAGTGACCTCACACAGGCTGCCCGGAGACAGCGATGCTGGGAGCTCCCAGCAGCAGGCCTCATCTGTCTCCTGGATGCAGAGCTGGGGTGGGAGAGGCCCTCCACGGCTGATGCTCTGCAGGGAGACAGACGGCCCACCTGAGCACAGACCCTTATCCAAGGGCTCTGCCTGCTATTCCTGGGAGAGCCTCCCCTTGTGCCATGTCCCAACTGCCCACCCCCACCGCAAAGCAGGGGCTCTGGTCGTCTCCCTCCCACTGCTCATCAATGAGGATCCTAGCAGTCCCGAAGCACCCACCCGTCCCCCACCAGCTCTGTTTTCCCTGCAGCTGTCCAGAGTCTCTGAAAACAGAGCAGTCTTACTGCCGGGGCAGGGGGGGTGACAACCGGGGCAGGGGGGGTGACAACCGGAGGAAGTCTCACCAAGCTCCTTCTCCCAGCACAAAAGCGTGTCACTGGATTGCTGTGATTATCTGAGGGAACTTCAAGGGTAATTATGGCCATTTACAGTACGCCTGAAAGGGCTGAGTGCCTCCAGGAACAGCAGGCAGTTGAGGAGGGGGGCCCAGGGTGTGCTTCCCAGGAAGGCTCTCTGCCTCTGCAGCTGGTGGGGGCATGCAGCAGGGACCCACCCAGCGATGCTGGTGAATGGACAGCCACTGGGGGTCAGGAAAGGGCTCCAGGAAGTCCCAGCCTCTGACCGCCCTCCTGGAAGAATACAAGCCCAGGCTCGGCGTGCACGATAAGGAAAACCCAGCGTGCAACATTTATGGCCCACCCACCCTACACTTCCTGCTGATCTAGAACCAAGCATGCGTTAGGGTTTGGTCAACAGCTCTCCCTGGACCTGTTGAGGACGGGGCCCTCTCCTGGAACACCCACAGCTCTCCCCTTATGGGTAGCTCCTAAACTTTCTAATCTCCCAGTGAACTAGGACACACCCTGCTTAAAATTCCTGACCTGATTCCTAACTGCCTCCAGGAGAGGCCCAATTCCAAGCCAGGCGAGCGGGCAACAGAGGTACCTCCTGGGCCTTCCTCTCACCATGTGACTTCCTACGGTCCACCTCATCACCGGGTTCCTGCTCCTTGAACACACCGTGCACACACCCACCCTGAGCCCAGGCTCACCCTTGATCCCCAGCCCTGGGCTTCTACTCCTAAAAATCTAAGATGGATGTGAAGACTCAATTAGGATGCTGGGGTCCTGCCATCGTGGTGGGAACAGCTGGAGCAGCTGCTGTTCCCGGGTGACCCAGTGGGCCGGTCCCATGCTAAGTGCTCTGCAGACATCATCCCAGGTATCCTGACCCCTGACCCCGTGGCTGAACCAGGTATCACCCATATCTTCCAGAACACCAGCAGAACTCAAATGACTGATTTGTCCGAGACCACGTGGCTAACAAGAGCCCAGACAGGAACCCACATGCCAGAGCCTGTGCTTTTGGCTCCAAAAGGCCCTTCAGCGGCACCTCCTCGAATCCCACCCAAACCCATCACTCTTCGAATGGACTTGTCCGGGACATGAGATGTGGCTGCTGGTCTGCCACCTTCTTCTGCTAGCTGGGCCTTCTCATGTTCTAATACAGCCTCCTGCTCTTCACACAGGCAGTGTCCAACAAGCACACCTTCTGGAAAGAGGCTGATTCCCTTTCCCAAATTTTACCAAACCTTCACCCATGGCAGACTGAGATGAAGGTGACCCCAGGAGGGAACATACAGCTCTTTCTTCCCATCTGGGATTCTGGATGGATCCAGGAAGACAGTGCAAAGGGAGATGAAGTGCACAGCAGAGGCCAATCACTCCAGGCCTAGCAAATAAAGGCTGCTGGCATGTGCTAAGAAAGCCTGCCTACATGGGGCACCAGCATGACACCCCCATTCTCTGCACCCAGCGGTGTGTCAGGCATTCAGGGAAAGAGGCCTCGGGAGCCCTTCCAGGACAGCCAAATCCAGCAGCCAGCTCTTCTGCAGGGCACATTCCTCAGAGAGGGAACCGAGGACTCACCTACTCTCCAGGCCAGGGTCCTCAGTGGTACCCATTTCAGGTTCTTCTAGATCCAGGGCCCTCTGGCCATGGACATGAAAGTCAAGCTCAGGAATAGGGGCCGGGGAGCCTGAGTCAGACAGACCTGGCTGGATGCTGGCCCAGCCACCTGAATGCTGCGTGACGTGGCATGTCTGCTAACCTCTCAGAGCCTCTGGGATTCATCTGTAAAATGGGAAGGCTTATCATGCCCACTTCTAAGAGTACCAAAAGGGAGAATACAAGGAGAAGGCCTAACCCAAAGGCAGGAACACAACACATAGCCAATAAATGGTGGTCTCAGACTCCCATGCAGATGGTCTGCCTCTGGAGCTGTGAGCCAAATGGTACCCACTGGTCCCACCGGTCACCATCACAGGAAATTATGCCCAAGGCCAAGTCACCATCCAGGTCAGGGTTCAAGGCAGCCAGGTTAGGCCTCAATCATGGTCTGTAGGGCAGGGAGCAGGGGCTGCCTCCTTGACCCCAGGATAAATCCTCACAAAGCCGGAGGGCCCAGGCCAAGCACTTTTCCTTAAAATTAAACAAGAGCTCTCAGCAGGGCACACTTGGACTAAGCAGTGAACTAGGAGGTTACTGTTAACATGAATCTCTCCACAAAGTCTTTCTCACATAAACACCTTGAGAATGTGGCCTTGAGTTCTCTGGCTCTGCCTGCCCAAGGGGTGGGGAGGCGTCAGGGTGAGCCCTCAGGGACAGGAGCCTGCAGCTGGCAGGGGAGGCGCCGCAGTGAAGAGGGAGGCCCCTGCCCTCCAGAACAGAGTGGACCCATGAGGTCCAGCAGCCACATTACATCTCCACGTGTTTGATTAAAGGCCTTCAGTTTCTGTTTGTGTCCTCCGCGCAGTTACGTAACTCCACTTGCTTGCCTGCCACTGAGCTGTCTACACACACTCCTGCTCTCCAGCCACTGTGTTACCGGGACACTTCAATGTCACCCATGGGTTCAACACAGCAAAACAAAACCCTCAGAGCCCCCTTCCGCAAGAGCACCCTGAGGCTTTTGTTTCCTCACTGCTGGTCACAGGAGAATGAAAGGACCTCCCCAGAATGACTGCACCATGGAATTCAAATGCTTCCTGCCCCAAAGTGCTTAAAAAGACAAGACCCCTCTGTCTCCACACCTCAGGCCGTGGCCACTTTGTGACCACAAAGGTGGCTGCCTGCCACGGATGTGGTGCCACACGTGTCCCTACCTTCCATGTAGGCCTCAATCTTCCGGATGAGCTCATAGGACTTGGAGCGGTCAAGCAGGGTTCTGATGGCAGGGAGCGGGTCCAGGACGATGGTCTCAGGGTGGGCATCGATGTACTCCTGAAAGGGAAGCATGCTGCTCTGGTTAGAGCAGGGGTAGGGCCAGGTAGCAACTCACCCCTCGCGCCCTCTGCACGTCCATCCGTTCCTGTCCTATCCTCCAGCCCTAGCTTTGGTGGAGGGTGGTGCATTCCAGCACTGGGACATTTCGAGCAGTCACCTGGAGATCTGAGAGAGAGGCTTGACTAGGCCAAACTCAGAAATAGAGCACCACACAGAAGACAGAGAGGAAACTGCAACCAGGCTCAGGGCAGGCCGCCTGACTCCAGATAAAACCTCACCCGGAAGCAGATCCACTCCAGGCACTGGCTCCTCTGGGAGTGGCGGCCCCATGCCCCGCACTGATAAGGACTCTGAGGCAGGGGCGGGAGAGTGGGATGAGGCCAGGAGTCATCAGAGGGTCTGCGGGAAGGTGTGGTGGAGAGAAACACGCCACAGGGTGGGCACCAGCCACCCAACACTCCTCAAGTACTCCACTTCTGTACCTACTAGCTTTGGGGTAGGCACGAAGGAAATGCAAGAGAAACCGTGACAAAAACCAGTCTCTAAGGAACTTACTATCTTCTTAGGGGAATAACCCTAACTTACATGGGGGGAAGACACTGCTGTCCAGAACAGAACTCAATAAAATAATGGGCAGAACCCCACGCCACCCAGGTGGGCCAGACCAACCCGAGCTGACATAGCGAAGGAGCCCACCCTTGCTCCCAACCTCCATGATTCTAAGGACAAAACTGGAATGCTGGTGTGATGTGGGGGTCTCAGGGAAAAAGCTGGCCTGAAGAAGGCCTCAACCAGCTGCTGCGGGTTGAATTGTGTCCTCTCAAGTCTTAACCCTTCAGCATTTGTGAACGTGGCCTTATTTATAAGGAAACAGGGTCTTTGTGGATGGAACAGAGTTAGGACTCCATATGGGTGGACCACACCATATGGGTGGGCCTGAATCCCCTGGCTGGATTTCTTAGGAGAGAAATCTGAACACAGACGCAGGGAGGAGGCCGTGTGGAGACAGACAACTGCAGTGACACACCTACAAGCCAAGGAGGGTGGAAGGTGCCCACCACCACCACCACTGGGAGCCGGGAGAGGGGCAGGGAAGCTTCGCCCTCAGGGCCTCCGGAGGGAGCCACTGCTGACGCCCTGACTGGAGCTGTTGGCCCCCTGGGCTGGGAGATTCCTGCAGCGTTAAAAGCCTCCCTGTTTGTGATACTTGGTTGTGAGAGCCGGGGGCAGCAGACATGCCAGCGTGATTCCTCCGCCCAGCCAGCCCCCCTGCCCTCTGCTCACCCACTCCACAGCCCGTCAGTGAGGCCTGCACAGGCTGGGGAAACACACCCCAGTGCTGCCTTCCTAGTGAGCCTTATGGACAGAGAGAAAGAGCCATTTGGAATTATTTTTCTTAAGTGAACTTATTTTGGTCCTAGTGACCACTTGTTAAGCCAAAAGCCACTTTTAACACAAAAACCAGAGACTCATATTCCCACTTCTGCTCTGAAATCAGCCTCTCCTTGGATTTCGCGGCAGAGTATCTGGCCCTGGGCTCCTTTCTGTCTGAATGTTTAAAGACTTCCTCTGGCCTCAGTGGTGGCCGGCGTAACCTAGGGGAGGCCTCGCATTCCAGTCCTCACGCCTGTGACTCTCCTCACCCCTTAGCCATCCTCTCCCTGCACATAAGTGCGAGGACCTAGATGCGGGGCAGAACCCTCCAGCCGTCAGCAAGCCATTTGGCCACCAACCCACTGCCTGTAGACAGTGAACCAGGCACTGATGCGGGAGAGCCCAAGTCTGCCGCCCACATGGAGCCTGGGGACTAACCGAGGAGTCTCCTTAAGGAAGGTTTTATCTAGAGCTGCCCTGGGGCCAAGCAGCCACACCCAGTGCCTCTCTCCTGACAGTCTCAGCCTCACCCAAGCACCTACACCTGATCCCTCGTCTCATTTGGGAGCTCTCCATGGGCAACTACCCCTCTTGGCACCATTCCGTCATCAGAGCTTGTTCTTTTAAATGCAGTCCATGCTTCCAAGAGAGCAGGTCATGCATGAGGCCCTCCCCGCCGAGACTCACACATATGTATGAAATCATATTCACAGCCCAACATTAATAGCTGGGTGCAGTGGCACAAGCCCCTAGTCCCAGCTCCTTGGGAGGCTGAGGTGGGAGGATCACTCAGGCCCAGGAGATTGAGGCTGCAGCAATGCACAATGGTGCCACTGCACTCCAGCCTTGGCAATAGAGTAAGACCCTGTCTCCAAAAAAAATAAAGAAAAATAAATGTCAACATTAAAAGGTCATCCACTCAGCTAGAAACCATCACTCTGAGCAAACTATTGCGAGGACAGAAAACCAAACACTGCATGTTCTCACTCATAGGTGGGAATTGAACAATGAGAACACTTGGACACAGGGTGGGGAATATCACACACCGGGGCCTGTCGCGGGGTGGGGGGAGGGGGAGGGATAGCACTGGGAGATATACCTAATGTAAATGACGAGTTAACGGATGCAGCACACCAACATGGCACATGTATACATAGGTAACAAACCTGCACGTTGTGCACATGTACCCTAGAACTTAAATTTAAAAAAAAAAAAAGGTCATCCACTCAAGAGACTTCACATCACTGACAGTGCTCAGGGCATTATGTGGGGTGCAGCAGATACTCAGATGATCAAAAGCCTTCTCCGCTTCACCCCGCCAGATCTATAGTCCTGGCTAGCAAGTTCATGTCCTCGGTTATGAGCTAAAGGCACTTGGCTGTCCTCACTCCCTTCCCCTAAACACACCAGGAAGCAGCCTGGTGTAGTGGGAAGGCTATGTGACCTAGAGTCAAGAAACCCAGGCGCCCGATGTCGTCACCTCTCAGAGTCACCTTTGGGCAAGTCACTTGGCTTCTCAGAGTCTCAGTCTCCTCATCTGTGACATGAAGAATACTCCAGATGCCCTTAGGGTCTCTGTAAAGATGGCCTCTGGTTCCAAGGGTGTAAACAGACTGAGAAAATGGAGAGTGTATTTGTAAAGGTAAACTTGAAGGCTGCACAGGGGAGCCATTCTAGAACGGGATGGACCACCAGCTAGAGGCATTCCAGGTAACGGGAGGGCCACCCACGCATTCGCTGCCTTCCTTCCAAAAGGGGGCCAACAGCCGAGCACGTGGATGGGATGACCCAATTCTCCCTCAGCAACCGAGGCCACTTAGAACACAGATGTGCTCCTTCCTCCCCTCGAAGTCCCAAGAAAAGTCTCCGCTCAGCTCTGAATAAATGAGGGCGATTCTGATTCCATGTTTATGCGTTAGGACAGTGACCTTTAAAGAGAGAACTCAGATTCATTAAGACATGAAGTTAAGCCAAACTCATGAGGGAAAGCGGCTACATGAAACCAAAGGGGAAAACATCTGACAAGCAGGCGTCAACTAGCTTTTGACTGGGGATGAAAGCATCAGCATTAACAGAAGAATTCTTCCTAAACACGATCTCTTCTGGGATGGGAACAGAGAGGGCAAAGAATTTTTCCAGTCACCTCACTATCCACAAGCGGACTTTGTGCCAAGCTTTCCAGCTTACCTATTATACTGAGGGCCTCGTGTATTTTTCACAAGTCTCTTAGAATTACCAATCTGCTGGGTGGGTGAGCTTCCGTACCATTTTATCACCACTCAGAGGAAGAAGGGCAGCGCCGTCTCCATGGCAAATTGTAAGCACATGTTCCCTCGCAGGGCCTGCCAGCTAAAGGACACCAAGAGTGGGATCCTGGAGCTAACAAGGGCAGCCTGGCTCTAGGCAGAAACATTCAGCCCCTGCCAGGATGAGGGCTGGAACACACCTGGGGCAGAGCGTCACGGTGCCCACCTACAGCGCAAGCTCTCTCAGGGTTTTCAGAGGCCCCAAGCCCATGGAATGATGCCAACAGAGACAACTGGCCCTTTGCTAAGCTGCCACTGAGAATCTGAGCAGAATGAGATGAACGTCAGAGATACTCTTTCCTCCTCGATCCTCACAGGCAGGAAATGAGCAGGGAGTGAGACACAGGGATTTGCTCCTTCTAATGGAAAATGCTGTCAGAGTCCTGAGTCCAGATTCTGCCTCTGACATTGATTCTGTGTCTGGAGTTAACCCTCTGAGACTCATCCTGGGTAAGGTCCATTCTGAATAAAGCCTACCGGAGGCAGCTGCTGTGGGCATCATGGAGATCATGGATGCAAAAGGAGTTTGTAGACACAAAAATGAAAGGATTCTCATTACCCTGCAACACCTGGGCTCCTAGGGCTAAACCTGACGCAAGGTTTCTGGGCTCACCCTGCCTTGCCCTGTGCAGCCGACCCCAGAGGAGCCAGCTGTGCCCATGGAAGGGGGCTGTGGTTCTGGCCCATGCCCACCCTCCTGCTGATGCCTGGGGTGCAACACAACCTCCCAACCCCACCGGCAGCCCAGGCTCCAGGCAGCGACCTTCCAAGGGATTCGTTTTTCAGAGATGCAACTCAAAAAGGACTCACAGATTAAATAGGAATCTGGGATGTGTTTCAAAACAATCCGGGTTGGGGGCAGGGACAGAAGTAGGTGAGGGACGGATGAAATGAGAGTGGCTGCAGCTGCTGACGCATGAGGCTGGGAGGTGGCACCTGGGAGCACGTTGCGGCATTCTCTCTTCTCAAATATTTTTAATTTCCCATAACACAAAGTTTGGGGGGAAATGGGAGGCAGGTAATCAGATCTTCCCCTTCTACCCTGCACCCCTAAGTGTGCCAGAAATGGATTCAAACACCAATACTATCTTTCAAGAAGAAATAAGAGCCAGCTACCCAGATGGGAAAGACAACGAGAGATTAATTATAGTAAGGATAATAATAATAAATAAAAATGATCATCATCAGTAATCATTTAAAAATAAAGGCAGTGGCCACTTACCTGGGACTTGCTATATGCACACTGCTTCTTTCAATATAAAAACGCTATTGGGTAAAAGCCCAAACTATAAAACTTTTAGAAGAAAACACGGTCATAAATCTTCGTGACCTTGGATTAAACAACAGTTTCTTAAATGTGACCCCAAAAGCACAAGACAGAAAAAGAAACAGATAAAGTGGACATCATGGAAACTGGAAACCTCTGTGAGTTCCAGCCCCCATCTGCCCTAGGCCTGTGCTCTGAGGAGAGCCTGTGCGTGACCCGCCTGGCAGAGGCCCAGGGGCCCGGACTGACCCCTAAGCCAGCAGGGACGGCTGCGCACAAGGCAAGTCCTGGCAGGTCTCGCAGCACCTTCCCGTATTTGCGGGTCCCCCACAGCACAGAGAGGGTGGCAGGGTTTCTCCCCATTTTTCTCAGGACCCTGAGACTCTGAGAGGTTTTGGTCAGAGACAAAGTCCCGGGCTCCGGCCCTGCCCGTCCTAACAGCTTGCTCCTTCCTTCACTCAGGACCCAGGGGCTGAAATTCTGCCCACTGGGCTGCATGGCCTGAGCGCCGAGCGGGTACCATGGCAGGGCTGGGAAGGTCCTGCTCCACACGCTGCTTAGGAAATCTCTCCTCCAGTGGGTGGGGAGGCTGGAAGGGAGGAAAAGACCCCACACAGAGCCTGGAAACCCCTCCTCCTTGCTGGGCCTCAGCTCCCTTCTCTGTAGAGTGAGGGCTGATGGCATGAAGGGACTGCATGCCAGGGAGCTGGAGGCCGCCAGGCCCAGTTAACTGGGCCTTCCTCATTGTAAGCCCGGGCCTCACCTGTAAATGGAGATTGTACTTGTTCCTACCTCATAGGATTTTTATTAAAAACAGCCTGATTGAGATATCATTCACATACGATGCAATTTACCCCAAAGCAAGGGCTTTTGGAATATTAACAGGGTTGTGCAACGATCAGCTCAATTTTAGAACGTTTTCATCCCATCCGAAGGAAATCCCATTCCCTTTCACTCTCAGCCCCAAGTCCCAGCCTCTGGCAACCACACATCTACTTTCTGTCTGGGTAGATCTGCCTATTCTGGGCATTTCCTTCAAGCGAAGCCATGTGATGTGTGGTCCTTCATGACAGGCTCCTTTTGCTCACATCGTGTTTTAAAATGCATCCATGTTGCAGCGTGCGGCAGTGCTTTGTTCTTCTTTAAGATGAAATAGTACTTCACGGCATGGTGTAGTGTATTTTGTTTATCCATTCATCATTGGAAGGAATTTGGGTTGTTTCCACTTTTTGGCTGTTAGGAGCAATGCCGCTGTGAACATACGTGTATAAATTTTTGTGTCAACATACGTTTTCACTTCTCTTGGGTGTATAAATTGAAATGAAAATACAAAAGACCCCAGGATTTGGCTCCTCAGGCATGGATGTTTTAAATCATAGTCATAATGATCCACCACAGTATACAAGTGTAGCACTTTTCTGGTTCAACAAGGGCAGTGACACAAAATATTGCATTTGATTCTCAGAGCAGCCCCATGGTTTACAGAGCAAAACGTCTCTGTTTTTATTCCCATTTTATAAATAAAGAAACCAAGTTTCTGAGAGGCAATGTGACTGGCTCAAGGTCAAACACAACCAGCTGGGGGGCTTTGCCAGGATTCAAAATCAGCCATTCCAGTGTCAAACGCCAGGCCACTGCAGTGCACCTGGTCACCTACAGAAACAGGCTCTGTGACTGAACTGTTGTGCATCTCCAGAAAGGCTAGGGAGCACCTGAAAGCTAAACGTTAGTGAACTCGACATATCACTGTGGCTCGCGGTGGCTTGCGCCTGTAATCCCAGCACTTTGGGAGGCTGAGGCAGGTGGATCACCTGAGGTCAGGAGTTTGAAACCAGACTGGCCAACATAGCAAAACCCCCCGCAAAAATACAAAAATTGCCGTGCATGGTGGTGCACACCTGTAATCCCAGCTACTCAGGAGGCTGAGGCAGGAGAATCACTTGAACTTGGGAGGCAGAGGTTGCAATGAGCTGAGATTGCACCACTCCACTTCACTCCAGCCTGAGAGATAAAGTGAGACTCCAACTAAAAAAAAAAAAAAAAAAAAAAAGGCTGGGCACGGTGGCTCACGCCTGTAATCCCACCACTTTGGGAGGCTGACGCGGGAGTATCACAAGGTCAGGAGTTCAAAACCAGCCAGTTAGAGACCAGCCTGGCCAACATGGTGAAACCCCGTCTCTATTAAAAACACAAAAATTAGCCGGGCATGGTGGTGGGCGCCTGTAATCCCAGCTACTCAGGAGGCTGAGGCAGGAGAATCGCTTGTACCTGGGAGGCAGAGGTTGCATGAGCTGAGATTGTGCCACTGCACTCCAGCCTGGGTGACAGAGCAAGAATCTGTCTCAGGAAAAACAAACAAACAAACAAACAAACAAAAAACGGCAAGCACAGGCCTGAAAGTCAGCGTGGGCCTGCCTGGAGTTTGCTTCTCGGGACTCCAGCTTTCCACGTGGAATAGATCAAGCATCAGAGGGGGCACAATTCCGTCACCTCCCCCATGGCCACAGCAGCATCAGCTGGGGATGACAACAGCCTCCTGTACTGAACCCAACAGGATTCTAGAATCCTGATCACCACCTGGCTCCAGAAGGAGATAGGTGTCAGCACCAAGGCGAACCCAGCGTGCCACACCCAGAGGAAACTTCCCAGCCGACTCTAGGATCCACTGCATCAGGGCCTGTGTGTTCAGTTAACACTCAGCTACCCCACTAACACCAGTGATTCTACCCTTGACAGAAGAACTGAAATTACTTCCTTATGGCTGTTAAAAGTACTCACAGGGGCTTTCATGGGAAAGGAAGCGACCCTGGGCTCACTCAGCACAATTTCACTCCCCTGGCTCCTCCTGAGAGCACAGCCAGGCCCAGCTGAGGGCCACAAGGCCTGGCCTTTCCACCAGCTCCTCCGTACCCAGCGCCGGGTGAAACCCTGGAAGTCTCTGGTTCCTGAAGCCTTGGCATCTTGACGGGGGTCCTGCCAAGATTCCAGGGTGAGTTATAAACATGCTCACCACGCACGGGTCACAGACCTATACACCTTGCAGGAATGGACATGTTTCCCCCTCAAAACAACCCTATGTAGATCCCGTTAGCAGCCTCATTTGACAATCAAAGAAACTAGGCCTGGCCAGGTGTGGTGGCTCACGTCTGTAATTCCAGCATTCTGTGAGGCCAAGGCAAGTGGACTGCTTGAGTCTGAGAGTTCAAGACCAGCCTGGGCAACATAGCAAGACCCTGTCTCTACAAAAAATTAAAAATTAGCCAGGCATGGTGGTGCGCACCTACTCAGGAGGCTGAGGTGGGAGAATCACTTGAGCCAGGAAGGTCGGGGCTCCAGTGAGCAGTAATCACGACATTGCACTCAGCCGGGGCATTACAGTGAGACCCTGTCTCAAAATAAAATAAGAAGAAAAAAGAAAACAAAGTAGGGCTCAAAGCACCTAGTAGGTGGCCAGGGCTCTCCCTGCGAGCAGTGGCCAAGATGGAGTCTGAACCCAGGGCCTCTGGCTCCAGAGCCCTCCAGTCAAAGACCCAAGGCATGGAAGGCCTGGCGAAATGAAAAGCATCTCAACTCTAACTAGGGCCAGGGTTGCTCTGGGGCATTTCAGGAAAAAGGGAAGCCTTTCTCATGTTCACTACCCCAAGGCGAGGCCACCAGCCTGACAGTCCAGGGAGGCCGGGTGTGTTCCATTTGGGGTCTGCATGAGGTAGAGCATCCAAGAAAAAAAATAGTAGATCCAGTTTGCGATTTCCTTTCCCAGAGGGAAAGGCAAAGATGGTCAGAACTAGCAAAACCCAGATGGACCCTTCATCCAGCCCCCATCTTTTTGGAAAGGGGAAAGGCAGTGGTAGCGAGGCCAAGGTCGCAAGGGAGAGTGGCAGAGCTGAGACTGCAGCTCCCTTTCCACTGTTCCTCCCAACCCATGGTCCTCACTGGTTGTTTGTTCTCTCAAAGCCACAGCTGGACCAGAGGCTCTGCATCTCTTCCCAGCCCTGGAGCAAGACAGATGAAAGCAAATGAAGACACACACCCCTTAGGACAGTAAATACATGACATAACTGAAGGCCACAGTCCACAGGGCCTCTGTGAGGAGGGTCCGCGTGGCGCAGGGGGAAGAGCGTGTCAGGGCCAGCACTGCACTTATGCACAGGAGGGCTCCCAAGGCAGCTGCTGAATGGAGTGGCCCCTGCAGGGGGAGGACTAACAGACATAACAGTGTCAAGAGCAGTTGTACTTTCGAAGGCAGAAAGTGTGGTTCTGCAGAAAGCAAAGCCTCTCCCTGGGAGGTCAGGTCACATGGGGAGGGGGTGGGGCCAGGCCAAGCAATGCTTTCTGGGAAGGACAAGTAATGAACCCTCTTGGCAGACCACTGCAACCGTGAAACCAACCCCTGTTGATTAACTTGTCATCAACCAAGGCCAGCCGAACATCCCCCAGAAGAAGTCTTCCTGGCACCTCCCAGAACACCTGCCTGTTGATTACAGCTTACAGAAAACCACATGCCACAGATAGTCCTGGGAAATCCACACTAGGCCTAGGTGCAACAGAATGTGCCAGGTGGCCAGGCTGGCATAGGGTTGGAGTTGGAGATGCATGCAGGTAAACCTTGGAGGTGGGCTCTCAAGAGCCAAAAGGAGGTTGCAGCAGCATCCACTGTACGCTGGGACAGGACCACCAAGCCTAGCTACCCAGGGTGCCATTCACAAAGCCTACCACTGGGCTGGGCAGCGTGCAACCTATGTAACAGTCCTGACAGTCAGCCAAGGCTTCTGCCTGCCCATCACTGTCAGATAATCTTTTGCAGCCCAGCTACACCTGGCTAACTTAACCCGAGCGCGTGGGTCCTGGGGCACTGTGCAAGTTGAAACAAATGCAGAGTCAAGAAACTTGGGTTACAAGTCCTAGAACTGCCATTCACTTTATGTGTGTTTCTGAAAGTCACTTAAGTTATCTGTATCTCAGTTTCCCATCTGTAAGATGTGTGGGCTAGAATAATTCATTTATAACATCCTTTCTGCCTCTTAAGTTCTAGATTATTTGATTCTGTGATGTGACGAACAAACCAAAAACAGAGCTGTTAGGCCCCTGAACGGAGCCAGATGCCTCCCAGGCCCAGAGACATTCAAACGCAGGAGCCAGGGCCTGCTGTCCTCAGAGCACACCCACGGCATGGTCACTGCACGCATCCCAGTCGCCTGCAAGCCAGCGAGATCCATGCCCACCACAGGTGAGGGAGGGAGGCCAGCAGGAGGCACACCCTGGTGGGCAGTGGACAGCTGTGCATTGGCGACAGGCACCGACCACCAGCCCAAGCAAAGCTGTCCTCTGAGGCTGCGGTTCCCTGCGGTCTCTGTTTTGCCTGGATTCAGTCCTAGTGTGTTGAGGCCATTTCCTCACTCCTTCTTTCCTAACTTTTCTAAAACGGCTCCTTGGGAGAGTTGAGCTCCCCCATCAGCAGACACTTGGGTCTTAAGCAACCCTCATTTGTATTCCAGAGAAATCTCCCACGTCTGAGCACTCAGCCTGAGGCCTCCCAGACAGTACGAGAGCAGAAAGAGTGACAGCCTCTGAGAAGCACGTGTATGTGGGAGCTTGTGAGTGAGTGCGTGTGTGTGTATGAGTGTGAGAGCATATGTGTGTGTGTGTGAGAATGAGTGTGAGAGCATATGAGTGTGTGTGTGTGCGTGCGTGTGTGGTGATGGATGTCACCTATTCAGCTATAGAGCAGCCACATTCTCCCCACCCTCCCAGAGGCTCCTAAGTGGCGGCCATGTGGCTGAGCAAAGGAGAGGCGTGGGGCTGACCAGCAATAAAGGAGCAGAGGAGTGTGGGTGCGGGGGGCACAGGGTTGGGGGCTGGGGAGGAGCCTGCTGAGGTTGGTGATGTCAACCACAAAGGGCCACAGGCATGGGCCAGGGGAGAAAGGGTACTCCAAGCAGAGGGGACAGCAAAAGCAGAGGTCTGGGGTGAGGGAGTCCAGCACATTCACGGGCCTGCTGGGGGCCTGGCAGGGCTGGGGCGGACGGCAGTCTCAACATGAAAAGTGAGGACAAGGTAGAGAGCAGGAGACGGACCAGCTGAGGAGTTTGGACTTGACCCTAAAGCAACAGGGTCCTGAGCTGGGAAGTGACAAGGACAGCTATGGGTTATGGAGTGACCAGTCCAGCAGCCTGCAAGGCCACAGGATGGAGCTGGGGATGGATGCGGTCTTGGTGGTGTGTCAGATGTGGTGCTGGCCTTAGGGGTATGTGTGCTGGACCTCACTGTTCAGGAAGAACTGATGGGCTGCCTTCATCTTTTATACAGTGATCTCTGTGATTTGGTAGAGCTGGCAAAAAGAAAACTCTGATGCAATCTGCCTCTAGGTCTATCAGCTCCTGTGAGCCAATATTTAAACCCATGAGCTCAGGCTGGGGTGGTCAGACATGGAGTGCGGAAGAGAAAAGTGAAGTTTGAGAACACAGCACCAGACAGGGGCAAGATGGCCCAGATTCAGGGTCCGGGCAAGCCAAGTGAGGCAGCATGACACCACCCTTCCCAGGGCCTGGAGCTCCCAGCAGCAAAACCAACAGGCAAGAGGAGGAGACTGCCAGGATCCTGGCACCCTCCAACACTCTGTGACTCCATGCCAAGGTAAACTGATTAGAGACGCTTCCTAAGGTGGTGGAAAGGGACCAGTCCTTGGTTGGTGGCAGTGTAACTGGTACTGCTTCTGCAGAGAGAAACCGGACAACAGCCAAAATGCAGAATGCGCAAACTCAGCATCCCGATTCCTAGGTGTTTATCCTACAGAATTCCTCACCTGTGCACCCAAAAATACATGTACTAGGCTATTCACTACAGCATGTTTCTAAAACATGATCAGAAATGCCCTAGGTATACACCAGTAGAGAGCTGGCTTGGTAAAAAGGACAGGGAGGCCGTTTAACATGCAGCAGTTAGAATGAGGCTGCCTGCAAAAGACTAAGATGAGATCACTTCCAGGGCATACCGTACAGCCCCATTGTACAGGGGCTGTGCAGCGAGGAAGACTGTCTCTGTTCAGTCCCACAGAACCCCCTGGAAAGGCTCCAGGCCACTGGAACTGATGGCTGCCCCCCAAGATGGGAAGCGGCTGGCTGAGCAGCAGAGGGACTCTGTTCACAAACTTGTTCCAAATGCATGTGCCAGCTCGTTCAGGACTGCTGAGAGCCGAGCAGTGGTGCGCAGGGCAAGCCACACTTAGGATCCATCAGACTCACAGTCCATGTGCAAGCTGGTCAAACTCGGTGTCCCAGGCCCAACAAGGGGTAGGGGAAACGCTGGAGCCCTGGGAAGGGCTGGGGAAGCTTCCCTGGAGCAGACGCCAACAACAACCCATCCCCTCCCTGGTGAACAGAATGAATATAGAATAAGGGATTCAAAGCAACCAGGCTCCAGCCTCCAGGGTGAATGAACTGTACATGATTCTCCATTTCAGATTGGGGGAAGGCATTAAAAGGGGCTGTGTGGGGCGGAGCAGGGCAGGGGCCCGAGCACGCAAATGGGGCACCCTGAATGTGATTCTGCATGCAGACCCCACTGTGTCTCCTGTGGCCTGCAGGTCACAGGCACACCCATCCTGAAGGTGGGTGCTACCCACAATGGTCACTTCGGGTCATCCTCCCATGGGGGCTACTGAGGCATTACAGTGTCATGCTCCTCACTTAGCCGCCTGGCATGTGGTGTGAGCCACGGCTGGGAGAAACCACAGGCTCTCTGGGGGGGAAACTGTTGTTCAAGAGCCAGCAGGAAGACCCATGCAAAACAATGGTGTTCAGGCCAAAAAATAACCCTGACTGCTACAGAGGAGAGGGCTGGAAGGAAAGAGAACACTATTATTTGGAGACAGCAAACTCCCCCTTTTTCCAGGCCTGCCACTGAAAACAATACCTCCCCTCTGTCCCCAGATTTCACACCAAACTTTTATGAGCTTTCTCCACCTTCTGTCAGCGGGAGGCAGGCAAGGTGCCCAGCCAGAGCTATTCCCCTGACAAATGCCACATGCTGTGTCACAGCACCATCACACTAGTCAGGTCCTCTAGGCGACCAGGGAAGGATCCCGCAGGATGAAGGGACAGCTGGGATTTCCACGCAGATGGAGCTGGAAGGGGTCGGTCATCTGGCCCACTGTCACAGCTACCAGCTGAACAACAGGAGGGCAAGAAAGGGGCTGCCTGCCCAAGGTCACACGGAGCTGGGTTCCACCCACCTCAGCAGCAGCCCCACGCCCCCTAAGCACCTGTCTGAACCCCTACATGCATTCCCACGCACCTGCTCAGGTGGGCCTATGCAGCTGCCCCTCCCCTGTATACAATAATACACAGAAGAGCAGCTTCCCTACATCAAGGCCAAAGGTGACATGCCTGCTGGAGCCCCACCCACCCCACCCTGGCCCACAGTCGCCCGGCCGAGTCTGACTTTCAGTTCCCAGAATAAGCCAATGCCTCCTGGCAGCCCATGGGCTCCCCTGCCTTGTCCGTGTGATGCATTGCTGGGTTTGCAAATGTGACTCACAGCCAGCAGGGCTTACAAACTAGTGTCTGCAGGGAGAGAACAGTCATCCAGAATCAGGGCACAGTTTGCGGTGGTGCTGCTGACCTAGGCCAACTGGGTCACTGAGGCCAGAGGACCCCTGGGCTCCTCACCTCTGCATCCAGCCACCCGAGTCTTCTAGTTTCTGGTACAGGCTCTAGGTGCACAATAAGAGAGACAGATCCTGCTGCCAGGGGTGACCTGGCTACGACATCTACCCCGTGGATGACACTGGCCTCTGTTCCACATGTCAGCCATCCTCTTCAGTGGCTGCGGGCATGCTCAGAAGTGGGAGTCGTCCTGCCGCCCCAGGAGCTCCTCCCTGACCTCTGACTGCTGCAATGGGCAGGGCCCCTTCCTCCTCAGAGAGCTTGGGGACTAGAAAATGGCACGTTGTCTGTGGCTCAACTTGGGGCCATCAAAGAGGGGAGCTGGCACGATATTTTGTGTCCTCAAAGAGCTACCCAGCGCTCCCAGGAGGCCACCAGGCCCAGGCTCAGCCTGGCTCCTGCCAGCCCACTGCAGACAGCCCTATCCACCGTGCTCCAGCTGCACCCAGCTACTGCGGGTCCTTATGCCTCCATCCTGTTTCACTGAAGGGCCTGGTCAGGTGCTGCTCCCTTGCCTGCTCCCCTCCTGAGTGTCCTGCCCTTTAGGCCTCAACTCAATGTCAGCTCTTCAGAGGATCAGTAACAAGGACCTCCCTGTTCTCCCAGGCCTCGGTGTGTTTCTTCCTAGTACTCGCCATCACTGGGGCTGTGTTACCTTGTCCTCTATTTACCTATGTTTTGTTCCCATCATCCGATGCACTCACACTCAGATACAGCTCCAGCAGGGCAGGGGCTGCGTCCACCAGGTCTTATTCATTGTTGCATCTGTAATGTCTTTTAGGAGAACTCTGGCAGACAGTAAGTTCTCACTAAGACTTGCTGAATGAACATAATAGTTACTGATGAATGATCTCACAGATCAGTGGAGAGACAAACGGGTAGGGGCCAGGGCCAGATCCAGGGCTGGCTGCCAGGAGGCGTGGGAGGCCTGGGGCAGGGACCTATAGGGAGGGGCTCAGAGGATATCCTCATGCCTCACTCTGTCCATCCCAGAGGGCCGAGGTCAGCAGAGGCCCAGCGCGTGGTTTACCCGGCCGGCTGTGCTCTTGGCTGGTGAGGTGGCAATGGGATTTATTACATGAAGACAAAGGCAGACACAGTGGGCTTTATCACGGGCACACAGCCTGCACAGGCAGCACAGAAACACGTTGGGAAGTCATGCCACTCACACAAACCAGGAGGAAACAGAAAACAGGGTGTCCTTTCTGCCGCAGGTACTAATATTACTGAAGAAAAGAAGTGACAAGATGTTAGTCCTCTTGGTGTGTGATTCCAAACACTAAAACCCAGAAACTGCACCCAGTGGGGCCTCAGTGTCCACACAAAAATCAGAAACAACTTGACTGGCCCACCTGAGCTCTCAGAGCTGCTGGACCCATCTCTTACAAAATGCAGTGACGCTCGACCAGGGGTGGCATGGGCTCCCTCCACCAGGGAACATCTGGAGACATTTTTGGTTGTCATGAGGGGCAGGGTGGGGAGTGCTGTTGGCATCTGGTAATGAGCAGCCGGGAAGGCAACTAAGCACCCTGTATTGCCTGGGATAGCCCCTAGCAGTGCAGAATTATCCAGCCCAAGATGTCAATCATGTTGAGGTTAAGAAACCCAGAAATAATGTGCATAAAAGTTATTTCTAAAACTTTGGGGAAAATGTATTATTGATAAACATTGATATTTCTAAAACTCAACATGCCCCCAGACCTTGAGCTGAAAAACCCTGACCGTCCACACACAAGCAGAGGGGCTGCAGCCCACATGCTGGCTCAGAGCGCAGGCTTTGGGGTGCCCTCTCCTGCCCCTGTCCCAACTGGGCTGCACAAAGTCTAGCTCTGTTCCTGGTTGGTAAGAGGGCCACATGTCTTCCTGGGGACCAGGCTTGCTTTCCACAAGGGGAAGCAACTGCAACGGGCTAACGGCACAGAATGGTCCCACCCTCCCCGAAGCAGAAAGGGCGATTCCTGGCCTGGCATTGGTGCACAATGGACAGATTGTGTGGCTGTCTCCACCACAGGAGGAGTCGCCTATGACCCAGGGCAGCAGTCATCGAGAGGCTGACCTCACAGCAACCCCAGAACAGGACATGATCTGTTTCTCTGGGACCAGGGCTGCCAGATGCGTCCAACTCTGCCTCCCGTAGCATCTGCTGGCCAGCAGTCTCATCGTCACACGGCACCAGCTGTGTCAGAGGCAATCCCAGACGATGACCTCCTGCCAAGGTGGCCCTGAAATCACCAACCCTCACACCACCCACAGTGCCATCAGCTGTCACCAAAGCCCCTCCGAGCTATGATCCTGACCTTGCCACTTTCTACCTGACCCTGGGCAAGTGACTTAACTTCCCCGGGCCGCAGTTGTCTCCTCCTGAAAAATGGGGAAATAATTCCATTATCTCAGGGACTGAGATGGGGACCAAAGACATAAGAGATGAGAACGCCCGTGGCAGAATGGGTCACGTGGTACATTCTTAGAAAATAGGGAGCCCTCCCATGGCTCCCTGGTGACAACACAAACCCCTTCCCGGGGCCCATGGTTCTTACTCTGACCCCACTGGTCAGCAGGCACAAAGGCAAAGCCGACACAAGCCCACTTAGATTCTACGGTGTTATTTATCCTCTGATAGGTTTAGATGTTATCTTCCAAGTCGGACTCGAACACCTAGAACAACAAAAACCTTTGTTTCTTCTACTTCCTCTCCATCCCTGTGCTGGCGACTGCTCAATAAACATCAGGGGCCAACAGGGTTTGATTCAATGCAGCTGTGAAATCACATTTGTGGCAAACGTGAACCGCGGCCTTGGGTAGTCCTTTGGAGGCAGACGCAACAGCTCTGAAGGTGTTCTGTGCCATCCTGCACCTTCCCTATGCGGTAGGCAAGGGGACCGAGGCCCAGGTGGGCCAGCAGGTGAAGGGTGGGGCTAGGAACAGCACTTGAGTCCCTCTGACCCCCACCTGGCCCTGCCTTTTAGGCATTTCCACTGCCCTAGCACAGAATGCATCTCCCGTTTGGGGACACTTTCATAATCACTGCCTCACTGACTCCAATTAGGACTGAGAGCTCTCAAGTCAGCTGGGGCCACAGATAAGGCTGACAGAGTAGTCCTACTGTCACTGTAATAATAATATTGACATAAGCCACGGTGACTGATGGTTCACTAGGCGCCGGGCCTGTACTGAGTGGCTCGTACGCATCATCACACCCCAGGCACTCACAGTAAGCGTGGCTGACTGACCCTTACACACACGTGCACCACTCACACCATGCCAGGCATTCACAGTAAGCGTGGCTGACTGACCCTTACACACACGTGCACCACTCACACCATGCCAGGCATTCACAGTAAGCGTGGCTGACTGACCCTTACACACACGTGCACCATTCACACCATGCCAGGCACTAGGGGAATCGCAAATTTTAATTAGTTTAATGCTAACAATAACCCTACAAGGTATTTTAATTGTTTTTAAGAAGAAAAAGGAACTATGCAGTATTGGGTTCCCTTGCCTGTAGGGAGGTCCAGTGAGATGGATGAGTCCGTGTCACCACAGGGCAGACACTGAGAGCCAGCATAAGCCTCACTGCCTTCTCATCCCTCTGCCATGACGGCTGTCATTTCAGGCTGCAAAGCTGTAGTTAACCCTCCGTGACCACGTGGTGCAAGCCCAGCTAAGCCTGTGCTGGGTGAGGGGAGCTGTCTATCCCTGTGGCGAAGCCTGGCCTCGCTTGGCGGACTAGCAGGGAGGGCCCCAAACATCACCCCCTCCCACCAGCTCCCAGCCCTACTCACTTCCTGTCCCCTCAGGAGGATGGTGGGGTCGGGGAGGCACTACTGAAGGCTACACATGGTTTCCTTCCAGGGACAACATGAGAAGAACCAGTGTGGCCAAGTGTGCATTCTCTTCCGGCATCCTTCGGGGCAGGAGCTTCCTTCCCAGATCCACTTTAGATGATTACACACTGAGAGGAGCCAGGAGGTGAGTGCAACTTTGTCCTGTGTAGGCTGGGCAAGGCTCAAGCTGCTCAGAGGCCAGCCTTCATGGCAGCGGAGGGAGGGGATGCTCAGGACCACATGCAGGGGCACCTGGGGCTGAGGATGGGCACAACACTGAGCCTGGGGCCATGAGCTCCTTCTTCAACTTGGACGCACCTGGGCTCCAAAGAGTAAACAGTGTCCTCAGCTGCTCAGAGTTCATCTTGCACTGGCAATCTCCCCTTCCAAGCAGGGCCTCTCTCTTGCCAATTATATCTGATCATATCACCGCCATCCCCGCCCCACCCTCCCTGCAGGATAGAGTCCAAGCTGCACAGCCTGGCATGAAAAAGCCCTCAAGCTCCGGCCTTGCTGCTCCCTCTCCAACCTCGCTGACACCTGGAGACATCGCCGCACATGCCCATCAGGCAGCGCCATCTGCCTCATTAACGCTCCTGGCCTCCTCCCTCCCCGCTCCAAGCAGCCCAGCAGAGCCACGTCCTCCCTCCGCAAGGCCATCAGGGCACCCCATGAAAGGCCGCCCCAGCGCATGACCAGCACTGGGCATGCGCCGCCACCCAAACACTTAGGCACTGCAGGCGGCAATGGGAACACCAGCTGCTGGGAGCAGACACAATCCCTGCCGCAGTGAAGGGACAGACAATAGCCACTGATAAAGAATTACGAACTTCCGAAGGGCATGAAGGAAAAGTGCAAAGTTGGCAGGGCCTGGGACGAGAGATGTGTCATTAATCAGCTCACGAGGGAGGACATTTCTTGGGAAGGGGCACTGAGCTGACGGAACAGCTTGTGCAAAGGCGCTGAGGTGGACACACATCAGAGCCTGGGCAGCTGCTGAGGGGGCCAGGGAAGGAGCGGGTGGGGCAGATCACCGAGGCCCCATGGGTCAAGCTGGCAATCATGGCCTTCAGTGTCACAGCAATAAGAAAGCATGGGATGTTTTAAGCCAAGCTGTGCTGTGATCAGACCTGTGTTTTTCCTAACTCATCACTTTAGGGGCCGTGAGGTCAGTTCTGGGTCTGCCTGCTGGCCTCTCCTCCTGGCCAGGAGCTCGCGGGCAGGGCACCCAGCAGTGCTGCCGCAGAGGACACTCTCCTAGCAGTCTGTGTGCAGACCGGGAATTCAGGGGACATCTGAGGGACAATTACCGTCCTTCCAGCTGATAAAGACAGGGCAAAGGCAGCAGTTGAGACTGAAACTTCCTTCTTAGTCCTAAGCTTATTCAGGGAGAACCCCAGGAAGGTCCCCCGAGGCAGCCCCACATGGCCCATGGATCACAATCACAGCACCCCTTCAGGGGCAATTCCAGGGCTAGAAGGGGCAGCAGAAGAGGACGGTGGGCCCCTCCCTTCCCACCCTGCACCCACACCTGTCAGGTGGCTCTGGGCGCCACAGCGAGGAGAAGGCTCGTGTTGCCCCCCTGGGAAAGCCACTCACCAGGCCAGGAGGCCCCTAGTGTCCCCGAGCCTGAGGCAGGGACCCTCTCGGCATGCCGGCCCCACTTGCCCACGTGGGCAGGCCCTGGGGGCCCCTGCCTGGTTCTGCACACTGAGAACCAAACCTCAGGCAGAGCCTCAGGGGCAACAGGCTGCTGGCTCCACATGAACCTTGGAGCAGAAAAACAACTGAATCATCCCAATTGAGTCTCCAAGCCAAGCCATTTAGAAGCCAATCAAAAACACACAAAAAACAAACAAACAAAAACAAAAAAAATCCAAAACTCTGGGGCAGTGATGAAGGTTCTGTGACAAGCAGCTTTAATGTTCTGCAGTAAGCCTCTGGCCCACAGCCTCCACCTGCCCACCAGGGCAGCCAGAAGCAGGCACGGCCTCCTGGCTCTGGGAATTTCTTCCCTCCCTGGGGACCGGAACTTTCACAGAGGCAGCCCAGTGCAGTGCTCTGGGGCCCTGAGGAACATCTCAGAAATTCATTTTTCTCCACCCACACAGCCCCAAACCACTTCCTCCTCCCTCCCAGGACCTGAGTATGGACTGTGGAGAAGGCCCTTCAAGCTGAGTCCCTGCTGGGGCAAAGCATCTTGCCTCGGTTTCCCTGCTCACAACAAAATGGGAGGACCCCAGCTCTGGGTGCTGCTTCCCCTGCCTCTGCCTATAGCATCCCTATCCCTCCCAGTCCTCAAACCACACTCATGCCTCCTTGTTAATGTCTAGAGAATAAAATTTAAAACAAAAATCTGAAAACAAAGGGCACGACTGAGGTCAAGTGTCCGCCTCCCTGGGTCTATGTGGTCTGGCTCTGAACTTGCATCTTATGGCAGAGGGAAGGGGACGATCAATGCTGACAGCCCAGTGACCGGTGGTAGAAGGAAGCCTCTTCCCCAGCCCCCATCCCAGTGCCTCTCAGTCATTCTCTGTGCCAACCCTGCCTGCCTCCTCTCTCCTGGGGCCTCTGGAAAGTGCAGCCCCGCACCCTTTTCTCCAAAGGATTGTTCTCCTCACAAAGGAGGAAACTTCCCACCTTATCAGATATCCGGCCTCTTACTGAAGCACAGACGGTGATGAAAATTTATCCCAGAAATATCAGTGCTGGGAGGTTATGGTGAGGTCACGGCAACCATCCCCCAAGACCCAGACAAGACACTGCCTGAGAAATGCACCTGTGGCTGCCTGACAGCCTTAAGCCACAAGGCCCCATGCTGCCCTCCACACACGCTCCCTGTTAATATTGTTTTCTGCCCAGAAAAGGAACACAGCGGGCACTCTCATTCACTGTTTGGACATCACTTGCCTGGGCTGTGGGCTGTGTGTGTGTCTGGGAAGTGGGCAAGAGGGATAAGAGCTTGGGAGCAGATGTTCCAGAACTCCGGGCCCAGGCTAGCTGGGAGATGTGGTCTCTAGGAAGAGCAACCGTGTGGGTGTGATGAAGTGGCACTCAGCTACAATGGGCACTTTACACCCACAGGCATTTACTCCTCCCAGCAACCTGCCCACCCAAGGAGGAAGGAACTGAGGCTGTGGGGAGGCACGCGGTTCCTAAGTTTTGGAACAAGGATCTGCCTTGAAGACAGTTTGACTCCCAAGTCCTCCGCCTCATCCATCTCTGGAGAGGCCACACGACAGGTGAGGAGAGCAAGCTAGCGCAGGCTCAAATCCCACCTGGACCACTTTCTAGTTGTCCTGCAGCTGCTTCTTCCTCCACAGGACGGGAATCATTGAACCTTACAGCTCATGGGAGCAAGTGGGTCAACCGCCATGAAGCGCTTTCGAGCAGGGCTTGGTAAGCGGTAACTGCTCTGCAGTGCTTTCTGAGGTAACGGTAATCAGGCATCTGGAAGGCCATCGTCCCCCAGATGGACTCAGCAAGAGATGCACCATCCCTGCCCCAAAGGTCTGCGTGGCAGCCCAGGCATGGCTGTGCTCCTCCAGAGAATAAGCCCCAAGGGCACCACAGGCACATGAACTGGGCACTCAGGGGCCTTCCGAAGGAGACGGGGGTGAGGCAGGAGCAAATGGCTCAGGGGAGAGGAAAGTCGCTGTATGACTTGGGATCAGCTGGGACCACACCCCAGGACAGTTGTGTAGGTTGGAGGCAGAGAGGAACAGAAGAGCAAGCCCTCAGGATGAGCAGCGGCTCACCTGAGAAAGTCAAGACTGACCCCCGGCTCTGCTGGGTCCCTGTGGACAAGCTGCACATGCTTCCACGCCTCCACTTCCTGCTTATCAACAAGGCTGGTGAGTCTGCACTGAGGGCTGTGGGGATCAAATGTAGCACATGGGTGAGTGCTGATCAGCCCAGCCCTGGCACAGGGCAGGGACTCAGGAAGCAGCACATCACCAGGGCACACATCTCCTCTGTCTTGTTCCCCTCGAACCCCAGCACACTCCTCCCAACATGGTCTGAGCTTTTCTTATTCCTAGCACCCATTTTACAAATAAGGAAACTGAGGCTCCACGAGGTCACAGAGGAGCCCGACCATGTTTTTCCCACAGTCTCCAGTCCGATCAAGGAGACAGTGTTCAGCAAGTGGAATGGACTTGGGGCCACTGGCAGGGCAGACGCCCTGGAGGGCACAACGTGGGACATGCCCTGCCCCCAAGCAGGGGATGCCAGGAGCAGGCTGCCTCTGTGTCCGGGGCCACTTCCTGGTGGGAAGCAGGAATGTGCAGCAGGGAGTTGGCCAAGGAACGGGGTGAGAGCCCCAAGGAAGCAAGGGGGGCCAAGGCGGCTGACCCCGAACACACGGGGAGAGAACAGTGTCGGCAGGACGGCAGCACCGGGTGACTAGGAGGCGGGTAAGATTCCCTTTGTCCTGGTGAAGAAAAGCAGGGCACCAAATCTGCGCCTGTCACACGCTAGAAACCCCATCTCAGGCATCCCCATCCCACTAGGCACACCTGAAAACAGCTACCATCTTGACTGCACTTTCACTGACAATACAACTTTGTTTTTCATGACCTCTGAGCCGCTTTCTAGAGGACAGAATCACGTTCTTGTCCACAACAGAGAGAACACAGGACAAGTCAGTAGCCAGCATGAGAACCCCAGGGCAGTGGGCAGGTCACTGTGCGATCAGGACCTGGGAGGCCGCTGGGGAAGTGGTGTGGGGAGAGGGAAGCAGCCAAGGGACTCAGCAAGATACCTCAGGCCATGCTCAAAGGTGAGTACCCAGGTCAAAGTAATGGGCAGAGGCAGGGTTCTCCACCAAGGCAGGACTCAGTTCAAAGGCCCTCGGGGGTCCCCTTTACCAAGTGCAGCAGAAGGGTTCCATCCCTTGTGCCTACCTGAGCCAGGGGAAAGGGTTGCACATGCCTGTGCTGAGGACGTGGAGGCCACACTGGAACTCAGCGATGCCTCATCAGTAAACCGTGTCTACACAGCCAGGGGGTGGAGACGGCCCAACCATGCCCTGGTTCAGTCCCCACGCTACACCCGAGGACACTGACGCCGCACAGAAGTACCTGCCCACGAGCCCATGTCTTGCCAGTGGCAGAGCCATTTCTCCAGACTATACCTCCAGAGAGCTGCTACCGCCCTAAATACACACACGGCCATTCCAGGGCCTCCCCTCCTCCTCCTGAAAATGCCACAGCCAAGGGCTGCATGGTCCTCACTCACCTGGAACCTGTGCACCAGCTCCAGGGACTGGCTATCATTCTGGTCGGCTTCAAGGATGACGTCAGTCAGCTTGTGGATGATGACGTCCAGGGGGCCCTGCTCCTCGATCGGCCGGCTAAGGTTCAGCTGTGAGGCAGGGAACACAGACAAAAGCAACAACTTCAGCACCTGAGTCCACTGCCCCCATCCTCTTGTCCACCCTGGGGCATATCACCAGAGGACCCTCGAGCCTCCCTGTAGCACTCTGGAGATGGGGCAGGAGGAGGGCTGACATGGAAAATACAGACAGGACAAGCAGGACAAACCCTCCAAGACCCCACAACTCTTCTCTCCTGCTAACTCCTCAAGGGCACACCCCACGTTTGTAACTTCTGTTCCCCAAGCCCCATGCTACCCAGGATGCAGAAGACACATAAGAGGAATCAGGGCAATAGTGTCAACAGGCCAGGCAAGTGATGCTGAGAAATGGCTTTACAGAGAAAGGCTTTTCTCAACACACCCCATCTGCCCTAGGAAAACTAGGGTTCCAAGGGGTTATGTAAATGACTAACATCGCACAGCCAGATCAGAACTTAGATCTAAGTGGATACTGCTTCTGCTAATCTATAAAAAGCCTTAGCAAAGCTGTGGTCCTCAGGAATCTAGAAATTGCCGCTTTGAGCGACCAGCCACTTGCACTTCACACTGAAATCTGGGCTCATCGGGAGAAGCGAAGGCGCGTAGGGCTGCCTGCAATCTGTTCCATACTGCTCTCCTGCTATGCCAGGGAAGGTGTTTATTTTTGCAAGTGCCTGAGGTTGGGAAGATCAGGCCCCAAGAGAGCCAGAGCCTCTGGCCAACAGTCAGCGTCACCTGACCCCAAGACAGGAGCACCTGCCAAAAGCCAGGGCAGCCTGACCCCCGCTTCCTGACCCGCCACATGTCTCCCTCCCGGCACGCGGCCACCACCACCTGCAAGGCCAGTGCCTCGGAGGCAGCGGCGCCAGCCCGGCACCTGGCTGACCCCCAATCTGGCCTTAGCAGAGGCCAGAGAAGGCCACAAGCCCCACCCCTGCTCTCATCCCCACCCCCAAGTGGGTTTCCCTCCAGGATTCAAGGCTGACTGTTTTAAAAATGTTACGAAAGACATCATAATGACAACTACAAATGGTCACTGGCAGTGGGCACCACGCTCAAAGCTTGCGTGCATTTCTTTCATTGTATTTAACAACCACTATGAGAAGTGATTTTACGAATGAGAAAAGTGGAGGACGGAGACTTTTAAAACCTGCCTAGGGTCTCACAGCAGGAAGGCGGTGAAGTGGGGACACAAACTCAGATCTAAGGCTGCGCTTCTCACTCCATTCCCCGCTGCCTGCCCCTGCAACCCCGCTCCCCACGCCTGCTCTGTGCCCTAGGCAGCTGTCCTCTCAGGCCACAATCACCTGGCTGCCTTGTCCTCTGGCCAAGTCGGGCCAACTGGAGGCACAGCAGAAGATGGGCAAGAAGGAGAGAGGGAGGGAATGTATTTGCAGCATCCTCACGCCCCCACCCCCTGCCATATTTCTGGCAGCAGTCACAGCCCCCATGGAGCAGGGCAGCCCCTCTCTCAACACTACCGCCTCCCCTATGGCTCCAGGTACATTTTTGGTCCCCTAGTCCCCTCAGGCCTAGGGGTGGTGACAGCTCTCAGGGCTTGTTAGCACCGGGGAACTTTGTCCTGTGCTGGCTCTCGGGCCTGCCCACACCCTGTGATGGTCCCTTACTAAACTCCTCTCCGTTGCACCCCCGGAACGCAGCAGCTCTTGTCTGCTGGTGTCTTTAACTCCTCTTTCTTACTGTTTGCCAGGAAAGATGTTAAGGGATTTCCCCTATATAGAAAAAAAAAATATCCTTTAGACCTCACAATAAGAAACTACTAAGGAATGCTGTTCCCTCCCCATGGTGACAGGCCTGTGTACAAAACAACATAAAATAAAACCAAAACCAGGCTAGCTGAGAAGCTGCCCATCTCTGGGGCTCTTGGGTGAGGAAGGGGAAGGGAAAGACACTTCCCAATATCTCCTGAGACTTGGCGCCGGCTCATCCTCACGGCAAGCCCAGGGGCCGGGGAAGACGCTCCCTGCTGCAAAGACCAGGACACCAACGGCCCAGGAAGGAAAATGACCAAGCAAGGCCATGCAGGTGAAGCGGCCAGGATGGAGGCTGTGCAGCAATGCCCATGTGTCAGTCTCCATGAGCAGCCCGCTGACCTGGGCTCACCATCCCCTGGGGCCTCAGTTTCCCCTTTGATAGAAACAAGAAACTGCAAGAGCTTTGATGGCTCTCTTCACAGATTCCAAATTACACTCCACCCAATACCTCTTCCCAGAAAAAGCAGACTCTGAAGGAAGGTAGAGAGGCCATGGGCAGAGAACACTGGGCTCTCAGACAGAGCCAAACACCAACCCATTTCCACTACAGCCTGTGGCTTCGGTGGGTCAGGCACCACAAACGAGAGGCCAAGACAGCTACGAGCGCAGGGGGAGCCGGGCCACAGGAGCGACGCATCCGGGCCCACAGAACCCCCATGCCCACCAGCACCCACATCTCCAGACAGCCCTCCAGGTTTCCCTGCCTGGGAGAAACTGTGGGGTTCCCTTGGCGCTGGGGAAGGAGGTGAGCAGAGGGGACGCCCTTGGTGTCCTCCCCTGGCATCAGCCTGAGGCCCGTAGACCTGACAACCGCAGCTGTTTGGAAAATAAGCTCTCCGCATCCCCGGCGCTCCACTGAAGGTAAACAGCTGAGCTCTGGAAACGGGCCACCCTCCTTTGTGTATTTTCCAAGCATTTTCATGCCAGTAAAACCCTTCTGTGAGAACAGCAGCTTGGGACACACATCAGGCCTGGGCTGCTCTCGGGTGCGGCCGCCTCTCGCTGTGGCGTCTGTGCTGGGTACCAGCAGGGCTGCTGGCAGCTCTAGTGGCTCTTCCTCAGGTGCCTGACATGCCACAACTGCCCTGAAGGGGTCTGTCCCCTGAACACACTGCAAACAGGCTGCGGTCTCCCTCCACTAGCTAGAAAAGAGATGGGCCCTTGGGTGCGGCCCCCACAGGAGAAAGGGCCCAGCTCCTGAGACTGGGGAGGCCACGGAGAAAAGGACACTGTGCAGGGGGATGCCCGGGGGGAAGGACACCACAGAGGCAGGTCTCCCAGATGCGATGGGGACAGGAACTCATTTCAAGGTTGTCATTCTGCTTTTCTGACCACACTCTGCCCCCAGAAAAAAGAACATTCCCAGGGACTTCTTGTTCTCCTCAGAGGACGGGGTCTGGTTTGTCCCTCCCAGCAGGAGCAAGGGTGTCTCAATGAAAGGCTGCCCGCCGGGGCCTGAGGTCTGTGGGCACTCCGTTTCCAAGTCATGCCATCTCGCAGGGCCCATGCTGGATCCTGCTCTGTGTGGCGCTTGGAGTTCAGAACTCAGAGAAAACAAGGGGCCACTGTTTCCCTCAGGGACGAAGGCAGAGACTTACTAGAGGTGGGGGCAGGGCTGGGAGACGGCACAAAGGCCTGCAAACCCCAGTGGCCCCAGAGTCCTCTTTGACTTCCAAAATGATTAACCCAATCGTACCCAGCCTGGTAACCAAGCTGAGCTAGGCCCTGACACTATCCCTGTCTCTCCCAGGATCTGGAACTGGGGAGGGGTGGGCCAGGCAGACAGGCCTAGAAACCCATCTCCAATCCACTGCTTCTGAACAAGAGCAGGTCACTGAGCTGTGTGGTACCTCAGTTTCCCCAGTCATAAAATGAGGATGCTACTCACCCTTCCCTGCACCTCACAGGATTGTTATGAGTCCCAGAGCAAAAGTTCAATCCTCTTTCACATTTCTCAACTCACCTCAGCCCAAACAGGAAGAATTAGTGGCTCCCTTGTGTTGCCCACAGCCCCAGAACCCTTTGCACGTCGCTCCAGGATTGCACCGTAACCCCAGTTATGATGCTGATTCTTTAATCCACTGTCTCCTGCTCCTGCGCTGGGGGCTGCTCTTCCCCCACGGTATCATATAATCTTTCTGACCCAATTCCTCAATTTCTCAGTAACTGGTTTCCAATTACTCAGATAATGGGGAGGGCTGTGTGGCCACCGCCCTCTAGGAACCTCAGTTTCCTTGTCTTTAAAGCAAGAAGCCTCGCGATCCCAGCACTAGCACCCAGCTCTTGCACACTTGCTCGGTGCCAGGCTCTACTCTAAGCACTTCACATGCACTGAGTTGCTCAATTCTCACAATAGTCTGAGACGGGGACTCATGAGAGGCACAGGGTGGTTAAATAACATGTCACAGTCTCACAACTTCACACTCACTCTTAGCAGTACCTAGCCAGTGACACTCAATAAATGTCAGCTATTGTATTTCCCTATACTTACTATTCTTATTATTACTGACCAGTGGAAACTTCCGAAAAGTTTTGTCCCAACCAAGCTTGAGACAAAATGGCCCCAATAAAGGGTGAGAGGGCTGAAGTCTGACTTATTCCTCTGCCCTCTCCATGGATCTGAGAATCTGGGACAGAACTGCCATTGCCAAAGTTCAAAGGCCTTGCCAAGCAGAAGCAGGTCTCTCCAGAAGGGAAAGTCAGATCTGGGAACCTCATGGACAGACTTCCAGAAGGATGTTGGGGCCGGACATAGTGGCTTGTGCCTGTAATCCCAGCACTTTGGGAGGCCAGGTGGGCCGATCACTTGAGGTCAGGAGTTTAAGACCAGCCTGGCCAACATGGTGAAACCCTGTCTCTACCAAACAATACAAAAATTAGCCAGGTGTGGTGGTGTGCACCTGTAGTCCCAGCTACTTGGGAGGCTGAGGTGGGAGAATTGCTTGAACCCGGGAGGCGGAGGTTGCAGTGAGCCGAGATGATGCCACTGCACTCCAGCTTGGGCGACAGAATGAGACCCTGTCTCAAAAAAAAAAAGAAAAGAAAAAGAAAAAGAAACGAGCTTGGCCTCAGAGGACTCCATGCCAGTGGTGTGTTTTCAGTGGGTTTGATTCCAAAGGAAGACTGGAGAAGAGGAGATGGAGTCTTTTCCCTGGCAAGAACAACTCTCATTCTCAAAGGTGCTCCAGAGAGGTCAAGAGCTAAAGGTCATTTGGGGCTGCCACCAAGACCAGCAGGCTGGGACAAGGATGGTACTGGTCACCCTAGCAGCCTCTGCCCCAGGCTGGGGAGGGAAGCTGTTGAAAATGCTCTCTGACCCAATTCCCTGATTTCTGAGTAACTGGTTTCCAATTACTCGGATAATGGGAAGAAACGGCAAACTCGTGAAGGCATAAGAGTGGGTAACTTTTCTCCCTAGAAGATAAAGGGTCAAGACAACTAAATGGCCTGAGGATGGTGCTACCTTGCAGAGCCAAAGTTCTGGGAATTTACGAGCTGACATTAGACCCAGAAAAGCTACACCCATTCAGCAAGCACAGCTCCTTAAGAATAGGACTGACCCTGAGTTCTCAGGATGGGCCAGTCCTGTTCTGCGTTCCCAACACTGGGTGCTGGAAGGCCAGGTCCAAGAGCAGGCAAAGGATAAGCACACCCACTCCCAGGATGCTGGCCTAAGGAAATGATCAACAAGTGAAGGCCACTTCTGGCCTAGGGAGAGTCACTGACAACATATTGACAAGAGAAAAGACACAGAGAGCATGTGTGAAAACGGGGTGCTGGCTAATGCTGGGCATGCCACCACAAAGGGCTAGTCAAGAGCCACTGAGATGGTGTGGCTGGGCACAGTGGGGCACACTTGTAATCCCAGCTACTCATGGGGCTGAGGTGGGAGGATCATTTGAGCCCAGGAGTTTGAATCCACCCTGGCCAACATGGCAAGACCACATCTTTTTTTTTTTTTTTTTGAGACAGTCTCGGTCTACCGTCGAGGCTGGAGTACAGTGGCATGATCTCCACTCAGTGCAACCTCTGCCTCCCGGGTCCAAGTGATTCTCCTGCCTAGCTTCCCAAGTAGCTGGGATTACAAGCGTGCACCACCACACCCAGCTAATTTTTGTATTTTTAGTAGAGATGGGTTTCACTACTCATCTCTACCAGATGTTGGGCAGGCTGGTCTTGAACTCCTAAACTCAAGTGATTCACCTGCCTCAGCCTCCCAAAGTGCTGGGATTACAGGCGTGAGCCACTGTGCCTGGCCATATCTCTTAAAAAACAACAAAAACAAAAAAACAAAAACAAAGAAAAAAACAGTAACTGAGATGACAATGAAGAGGTCTTGATAGAGATAAGAGTAGGTGCTTGAATTACAACCACATGAACCAACATTTACTGTGGAAAAGGCTGATAAGAAAACCCAGAATATGAAAATAAAAGGACTGTGGGTATAGCAGCCCCTTTTCTGTTTTTGCTTGTTTGTTTGTTTGTTTTGTAGAGATGTGCTGGGTTTCACCATGTTTGGCCAGGCTGGTCTTGAACTCCTGATCTCATGTGATCTGCCCGCCTTGGCCTCCCAAAATGCTGGGATTACAGGTGTGAGCCACCGCACACGGCCTATCAGCCCCTTTTCTGGACACAAGGCAGGACTGCACTTCCTGATTCCCTGGTAAATGGGTGATCATGTGACTCGTTCTGGCCAATGAGCTGTGAGTGAAAACAGAACATGCCGTTTCCTGGGCAGAGCATGTAACTGCAGGAGTAAGGTCTCCAGAGCCCTCTCTCCCCTCTGGTGCAGGACCAGCAACCTTCCAGATGGGGCTGCTCAGTTTTAGATCTCTGAGTGAATAAGATGGACAGAGCCCCCAGCTGGCCCTGTGGACATGTGGCATGAGTGCGGAATAACCCACGGTTTTCAGCTAAGATTCTGAGGCTGTTGGTTAATACAGCACAACCAAATCTGTCCTCATAAAATAGCTGGTCCCCCTACCCCAAGCTTTTCTTTTTCATTTGTTGAAACAAAGGAAGGATGGAAGGGAAGGGAAAGGGAAGGGGAGAAAAGCAGATTAAGGCAAACAGGCCCCGACAGGTAACTGCAAGGTTGAGAACAGGATTTAGCTATGATTTTTTTCACATTGTAGTTTATTAGTATTTGGATGAGAGAGGAATGGGGATTTATCCTGTAAGGGGAAGATAACTTGTCAGAGCCCTTAGGAGCAAAAGGCAGGAGCCTTGATAGAGCCACATCACGACGTGGCTATTCCCCAGCATCCTAGGAAAGCTCACCCCTAGCAGTCCCCTCAACCTGCCAGATGAGTCCCTCGATCCCGTGCATCTTGGCCAAGGGGCTGCTTCATCTGTGTTATTGTTCACAGTGGCACCTGAGAGGCCAGAGTCAGAGCTGATAGGAGCTAACCCCTCCCCTCTGTTGCCAGGCACCAATCTAGTCCTGTCCTGGGGGGAAAGTACGAATCACAGGCTAGCAGAAAAAGAAAAAAAGGGAGCATAAAAGGGCTGGCAGGTCTGGATCCACAAGGTGGGGAGTCAGAAGCCACGTAACAAAGCCTGACCGCCCTGTGTGTGTTGCGGGGAGAGCGGAGAGGATCCCACACATGAACCTCCTGTTGCCAGGCCTGGAGGAAGGAACTCGCGGAATCCTCTTGCCCACAGCACTCCTCCATGGCTGGCCAGTGCTCTTCTTCCCAAGCCACCTCAAGCACAGAGGTGCTCCCTCCCCAGGCAGAAGGATGCCCAGGGGTTAGAGGGCAGGGGCTGAGCCTCCAGCTGTGCAGCCTGGGGAAGGGCACATCCCTCCCCTCCCCAAGCCTGCTTCCTCGCCTGTGGAGTGAGGGTAAAGAAATATCCTTCCTATAGTCGCGATGAGCACACAGCCAGGGCCAGCCATCGATTACCTCCCTCTGTGACTAGAGCTGACCATGCTGTACAGGTGTCAGCAAATAGGACTTTCTTCCTCACATGAGGCTGGATGTTCTCTGGCCTCAGCGGAGGCCTTTCTGGCCTTCTTTGGCTTTCCACCAGCATGATTCTGATAATCACCTCCACCAGAACTACCGGGACCCTTATATTCCAGGTGCTGCAGTGAGCAAATGACAGACCTAATCTCCTTAGCACATAATCTCCATGTCCTTAGGAGGCAGAGGCCACTGTCACCATTTTACACATGAAGCAAGGAAGTCAAGAGGCAAAACAACCGAACTGAGGCTGTATAACCAGCAAATCTCCCCCAACACCCCCAGGTCCCTGTGGCTCCGGGACACAGGCTCCTGAGCCTTCTGCCTTCATCAGGAAGGGGAGTGGGCCGACAACACAGCTGGCTAGACGTCCTTTCCTGATGTGCAGGGATTGAGGCTGGGGGGAGCTATCATGTGGTCCGAGATACAATCTGAGGGGGCCAGAGGCAGGGAAGCACCCACAAGCACAGCGTCAACAACCCAGACTTGCCCCAGTTCCAGGAGAACAGGACAATTCTGAAATCCTAGCTGGCAGGCCTCAAGTTTTCAACCACAACGCCATCTCCTGAGAGCCACCTGGGTCAGGAAGCGAGAACCTGTCCAGGGCTGGAATCAGGGTCTTTCCATCCTGCCGGCCACCGACACAGCACACCACTGTCAGCTTTGCAGAGTTCTCCAAGATGAAGGGCCTGGCACTGGCACCCCAACCCGGAAATCAAGAGCAGGAATGGAGGCTGTGGGGGCAAGCAGACAGTGGTAAGGCCTGCCTAGCGCCGCCCACGTTGCTGTCTTTCTACTTTAGTTGTGGTGGTTTTGCCAGGCAGAAAATCTTGACTTTTCTGTAATTCAAATGTATAAATATTTTCATCTTTTGATCTTTGCTCCCTAGACTGTTTTTTAAATCAGCCCACGGTTTTCTCAACTATTTTTACATTTTAAGTTTTTATCATTAAATCTTAAATCCACCGGGAGTTGTTTCAGTGAAAGACTGAGGTGTGCATCTGTGTATGTTTTCCTCCGGATGAGCACTCCAGTGTCTCAACAACATTTACTTACCCATCTTTTACCCACTGTTTGCAAATGCCAATATTTTCATAATTCTCACATTTTTTGGACTCTTCATTAACTTGTCTTTCACCAATATCACAATGATTTCGTTTGGTTTTCTTTTTCCCACATTGTTTTAATTACAATTGCTTCATGATAAGCTTAATACCAATAAGATCTAGGTCCTCCCTTTTTCACAATTTTCCTGACCAGTCATGCTCATTTATTTTTCCTACACATCCTTAAGAACAGGACTTGGAGCTGGGTGTGGTGGCTCATGCCTGTAATCCCAGCATGGGATTGTTGGAAGGTTGAGGCAGGTGGATCGCCTGAGTCCAGGAGTTTGAGACCAGGCTGGATGACAGAGTGAGACCCCATCTCTAAAAATATAAAAAATTAGCCGGGCTGGTGGTGCACACCACGCCCACGCCTGTCATCCCAGCTACTCAGGAGGTTGAGGCAGGAGGGTGGCTTAAGCACGGATTGCGCCACTGCACTCCAGCCTGGGTGACAGAGTGAGGCCCTGTCTAAAAAAAAAGAAAAAAAGAATAGGACTTGGATGGAGAATTACTTATATTTATGTATCAATTTAAGGAAAACCCATGGTTTGATCATGAATCCTCTTAGCCAGGAACACCACGTATTATATTTGCAGCTTATATCACAAATGACTAATCTCTCTCAAATATATTAAGATCCTACAAACTGATTTTTTTAAAAAGAAAACCTAACACAACAGAAAACATGAACAAAAGATATGTTTGAATGTTAAGTACAGAAAATTAACTACAAAAGGCTTCCAACATATAAAAATTAGAAAATACTCAACCTCATTCATACAACAAATGCAAATTACAACTACATTATGATAACCATGTTTTATGTACCAGATTGGTGAAAGTCAGAGAGACGGATAACAGACTGTATCGGCCAGGGCTGGGGGGATGCAGATTCAACCGTCTCGACGGCAGCAAGTTGGTAATATCCATCACAATATAAATGCATAACCTTTCTCGTCCAGGAGTCTCACTTCCAGGAGCTGATCTCACAGGGTGAACTCACCCACATATGCACTCACACACATTGCTGCACTGTTTGTAATCGCCAAAAATTAGTAACTAAATAAAAGTCCAACAAGAAGGGACTGAATCACTTATGAAGATCCATATGGTGGAAGACCATGCTGCCACAGAAGAGAACGGGGAGTGCTTTCTGTGGTGACGTGGAAAGATCTCCAAGAAGGGGCCGATCACTGAGTATACCATGCTAGAATATGTATGGGGAGGGGAAAAAAGGGTTACACAAAATCAACATGTGCTTGTACAGTAAGTCTTCACTGAACATTGGGGATAGGTTCTTGGAAAGTGCAGTATCAACTGAATTGTACAGCAGGTCCTTAAATAACATCAATTCCTTCAACGTCACTTTTTTATAACAGTGAGAAAAAAATTGGTTTCATTATATATTTCATTTAAAGGCACAGTCCTCAAGAACCTATCGAAGACGTTAAGTGAGATCTTACTGGATATGCACAGAGTATCTTGGGATGTGCACTAGAAACTGGTCAGAGTGGCAGCCACCACAGGGGAGAGGACCAGGGGGCTTGTGGGATCAGGGTGAAAGGGAGACTGCTCATCATGTGCTCCCAGAAATTTAAAACCAGTGAAATGTCTTATTTACTTACTGAAAGTTTGTAAATTACCAACTGAGCAGTCTCTAGGAAGAGCACACGTTTGGAGTCTGAGAGTCAGACAGGCTTAGATTCAAATCCAGCCAATAACTAACATCCATCGAGCACCTCTGTGCACCCAGCCCAACTCTACGCACTTCACATGAACTATCTCACTTAATCATCTCAATGACCCCATGAGGCAGAGCCAATTATTATTCCCATTGTACAGATGGGGACACCAAGGCAACTCGCCTTCATCCACACAGCTAATGATGAAGGAGCTGGGAGGGGGCCAGGGAGGCAGACTCTGGGCTAGACAACTGGAGAACCACACTCCAGATGTTCCAACACAGGGACACGTCTACAACATGTGCACGCACGTGGACAACTGTGTACACGTGCCTCAGGACTCCTCTGCAGATCTCAGAGCCCGTGCACTAGTCACTGAGTAAGCAAGACAGTCATCAACAGAAAACAGAAATGATTTCTGCTGCTGTCCAACTGGTGCCCCCATTCCCACCAAATGGCACACGTGACAACCTCAGTCTCACCCAGGGCCACCTGACCCAGCTGCTTTGGCTGAGCACAAGGGGCTCACTGAAAACCCTTCCCTGCTCTCAGTGCCCAAGGAATCCTGGCTCTCCTCTCTCCAACCTCTGCCCTGAGGCTTCAGTACTTTCCAAGTCACCCAGAGAGCAGTGGGAAAAAAAGGGGCTGGTCCTTGGCTTTCTGCACTGAGAGGACCTCTGTGGGAAACCGGCACTGTGGGTCCATGCACCTGCTGGCTCCCGCCAGAAACCCGGAGGCTGCTCTCCCACAGCCACACGCCCAACATGCCCTGGTTCCCTTGCACACGCACAGGAGCCACAGGACGCGTCCTGGCCAACAGAATGGGAGCAGACGTAGTGGGTGCTTCCAGGCCAAGCTAGTTCAAGTGTATGATGAACAGCGTGCCTTCCCTAGACCCCATTCATGTGGCTGACGAAAAAGACTTGGATGACAGAATAACCTGATGGAGTGAACACAGATTCTTGAGTCACTGCTTGGAGAGGCCGCTGGTCTCCACTGGACTGTGACATGAGCCGGAAACCAACCCCCAGAGGTACAGGGCAGCCTGTTCTAACACCTTCGCTCAGCCTGTTGACGAGCTCTCCAGCCAGGACAATCTCTCCCCAGGCACTGCTCACTGTGTGCCCACGCCAAGGATGGCTTTGGAACTCAAGTCCCAGATACTGGAAGCAATGGAGGGGTGGAGGCAGCTGTGGGCAGACCTGGGCCTTCAGTCAGTGATCTTCAACCCCCTTGAGACACTGTTTCCTCACTGGTACAATACAGCCGATGACAGCTGCCATCAGCATTCCACGAGACAGTGTTGGTGAAGCCTTAGCACCAAGCCTGGCCCAGAGCAGGCCCCCTGCAGGCACCTCCCCAAGCGGATGTCAGCTCTCAGACCCTCCGGAACCTCAGCAATCACAGTTCCCATTGGATCTCCCACCTCTAACGCCAAACAGTAACCGCCTTCAGGTTCAGCTTCGGCATTTCTAAGCCTCAGCGTCCCAGGCACGATGATGGGGCTGTGGCTCCTCCCTCCCATTGAGAACACTTCACTGCCTCCTCGCAGTGGTGCCTACTCAGGGAGAACAGAGACGCTCAAGCTGACTGAGCTTACGTGGCTGATGAGTTGCAGAGAGTTCTCCTTAGCCTGTGCCCCCTCCCTGAGGACAGGGACTATGTCCTATTCCTCCCCGTGGCCCCTGTGTGGCCTGGCATCATGCCCAGTTGTTCTAGAAACCAGCCAACATGGACTGAATTGATTCCCCAAAGCTGGAGGGATTCATGCCATTCACCTATCCATACAGTATATATTGGGCATTGGGCATTTCCATAACCACCCTCCAAGGACATGTTATCCCTGCTTTGCTCCGAAAAAAGGACATGATGAGATGAGGGAACTCGTGGAAGGTCACTGAGAGTAAGCGGCAGGCCCATGTTTTCTTACCACTCCCTTCCCTAGAGCCAACACCTCACACTGCCCGCCCCTCACCTCCACCTGGGGTCTGGACCCTTGGGGACCCTGAGCTTAGTTGTGTCTGTGTTGGACTCTGGAGGGTATGGTGGGAGAGGTGAGAATCTTCAGGTTAAAGAATTCCACGATGTCCCAAGCAGCCCCAGGAATAAGCCACACATGCCCTGGGCCTAGCAGGGTAAGAAAAATAAAGCCGTCTCTGGGCAACAGAGCAGGCAAGGACACCCGAGCCACCCGAGCTTCAGCCCCAGGGTGCACCTTGCAGAGAGGAGACATGGGCCCCAGGAAGCCCAAAAGGCACAGAGGCTCCAGGCAGCTGTGCTTTTAGCCAAGCCGGCAGGCCACAATCTTTGAGGGCTGAAGATGCCACAGCTCTGACAACAAGCACACAAGGCAGGAGATGAGCCACCACCCTTGGTCACTGGCACGGCTTCCTGGGCATGACTCTTGTCCTCCCAAGCAGGCCATGAGCATCTTGCAGGCCCCTTCCTCTACAGCCAAGCATAGTAAGGATCAAACAGTCACAGACACTGACCCTCCCAGGCCCAAGAGAGTGGACAAGGCAAGGGTAACAAAGGAAGCCACTGACAGTCCCCAGCAGATTGTCTTCGGTGCACCACATCTGACTGTCCCAAAGCTGTGGCGAGGGATGGATTTCTATCTGAGCTCTCAGCCAGATGAATTCAAAGGCTGCTACCCCCTTCCAGAAACCCAGCTACCCTGTCTCTCTGCACTTCCCACAGAGGATTTCAGATCCAGGACTGCACCACCTGGATCCCAACTTCCCTCCCAGATGGCAAGCACGAAGTTAGCGCGCAATGCAGGCTGCACTCCCTTCCAACTGCCAACATGGGAACTGAGGGTGTGAGAGCGGCACCCCGCATTTACACTCAGTAGAGCTGACTGGGGAATGTGCAAAAATAAAATGAGGTGACACGTCCCACTTGACAAATGCTGAAAACATCAAGAATGCAGTCACAGCCACCCTTCTTGCTTCTGCCCTTTATCCAAAATGTAAATAAAAGAGAAACCGTTACTGCTTCATGAATCACACACAAAAGCCTGTTCTTTACTCTCCTCTGGTTTTCTCAAAGCCTCAGTTTGTGTGAGTGATGCATGGGAAAGACAACAGGACTTGTTTTCTTTTCTTTCTTTCATTCATTCATTCATTCATTCATGCACTCATTCATTGAGTAATTAAGTGAACAGAGTAAGTTTGTGCCTAGCATTGCTCAAGCTCTGAAGATGCAACGTGAAGATGACCGCCAGGTCCCTGTCCTCAGTGCTCATACTCACAGCCTAGTGTGGGAGACAGACAACAAACAAGCAAAGGAAGCGACTGGAGGCACCACCGAGGGCTGCAACATCAATGAAGTGCAGAGGGCATGATAGGAAAGGGGGGCACTCGTCAGAGAAGGCCTGGTACAGGCTAAACTGTGTCCCCAAAAAACGGTATGTTGAAGTCCTAACCCCTAGTACCTCAGAACGTGACCTGGTTAGGAAATGGGGTCTTTGCAGATGACCTTTGTTAAGATGAGGTCATTCCAGAGCAGGTAGGTCCCTAGTCCACGATGACTGGTGCTCCTATAAAAAGGGGAAATTTAGACACAGACCCGCACAAAGGAGGAACATCGTGAGGAGATGAAGGCAGAGATGAGGGCGGTACTTCTACATTCCCGGGAACGCCAAAGATGGCTGGCAATCCACCCCCAGCAGGGAGAGATGGCTGGAACAGGCCCCGCTGCCTCGGAAGGAGCCCCACTTGGGATCTCAGACTTCTCACCTCCGGAACTGGGAGGGGTGCATTTCTGCTATTTAAGCTGCCCAGTTTGTGGCCCTTTGTGACAGCAGCACTGGCAAATGAATCCAAGGCCTCTCTAAGGAAGGCCTGGGCAAGAAGAAGGCCCAGGAGAGACCTGGGGAAGAATGTTCTGAACTAAGAAGAAGGCAAGTGCAGGGGTCCCGAGCAGAGGAGGCCAGCGTGGGTGCAGGGGACGGGGGACAAAGAGGTGGGGGCACGATTGGAGTCAGTGTCCTCAGAGTGGGGGAAGCTGGCAAAAGGCCATGAGTGAGGGAGTTAGATGCCTCAGTCCCTTTGGAGAGACCGCTGTGGAAGTTAACACAGGTGAGGTGTCAGCACCTTGCCTGGTACAGGCTGTAAGCGCTTCATACATGGCAGTTGCCATTTTTATGGCCTCATGGAACAAGGGACTTAGGTAAGATTTTCAGAAACCATGATGCTTCGAAGACAGCAGCGGGCCAGGGGTCAGGAGCCTGGCACTGACTTGCTGTGGGACCTCGAGCCATCATTTCCCTTGTCTGGAAGCTGGGGGCCTGGGCTTTAATGAGGGCCATAGACCCCCCTAAGGCCTCCTGGTCTGGCTCCAAGAGGTGGTGGTAAGAGAATAAGTGCCCATCCCCAAGTGGGATTCCGACTTCATGTCCCCAGACTCCTCCCTTCCACACCCTGGCTTCCGGCCTGGGATGTTTATTTTTGCTGACAATAAAAAACATATTTCAATGTTTGCTTTATCTCCATGTTCCCCCTAGAATGGCAACTGGCAGCCCCGGCCACAAGTGGCAAAGAATTCTCCAAGTCAAAAAAATTTTCTATGCATCCTTTTTAACAATAAGGAGGGAAACTCTGACTCAAACTCCTACAAAGCCTGCATAGATTATTATTTAAGCCCTGAAGCTGTACTCTTTCTATATTCATTGCTTTCCAATCCGAAGAGAGCATTCCTTGAGGCAGTTTTCCAAACTGGTATTTGATATAATAGTAACAAAGCAGCCGGGTGCAGTGGCTCACGCCTGTCATCCCAGCACTTTAGGAGGCTGGGGCGGGCGGATCACTTGGGGTCAGGAGTTTGCAACCAGCCTGGGCAACACAGTGAAACCCCATCTCTACTAAAAGTGCAAAAATTAGCTGGGCATGGTGGTGCATGCCTGCAATCCCAGCTACTCGGAAGGCTGAGGCAGGAGAATCACTTGAACCCAGGAGGCGGAGGTTGCAGTGAGCCGAGATTACGCCACTGCACTCCAGGCTGGGCGACAGAGCGAGACTCCATCTCAAATAATAATAATAATAATAATAAAGCATTAACAACCTTTTAAACATCACATGAAAAGGGGAAGTTCAGTACTCAAAATCATTTGCAAAGACTCGGTTGCGTCAAGCTAAGCAGCAGCAGAAGCTTTCCTGCAGGACTTCTCAGATACTTTAATATGTTCACTTGCACAGAGATTTGCAGAGAGGAAGAAGCTGACACTGAAACCCTTGCATACTCACTTGGGAGAATTCCAGAGAATGCTGCCAGGTCACAGAAATTTACTGACCCACATCTGACCTGCCCCACCCTCAATGGGAGGAAGTCCCCCAGGGACCACATACACACCATGCTGGGCGGGGCAGCTTGATGCCCTTGAATATCTTCCGATTAGCCTCATCTAGAAGGCACATGTCCACCCAGCTCTGGCTGTGACCCTGGTGAGTTGCTGGGACTCACGAAGGGGCCATCGCACTCTGCAGACTGCAGCGTACTCCACAGCTCTGAGCAGCTGCTCAGGGAATCGGGTGACAAAGGCCAGCACGGATCGGATCGTGCACCCTGCAAAGCCAGCCCTTTTCTCTAGGGGGTGAGCCCTTTAGCAAAGGAGCTGGTGGGCTTCATCTCCCTGGGCAGCAGTTGTGAGCTGCTGAGAAGGCATGGACACAGAGACACCTAGAGAGACTCAGGGTGAAAGCAGATCTGTGCCAATGCCCTGCCAGGGCTTGGGAAAGGTATAAGCATCGGTTTTCCCAGGGTCTACAAATGAAATCAGCACACTCAAATTTGTTGGGTCCCAGTTTTTGCTCAGAGGCCTGTGATTAAGTGTCATTTGTTATTCCTGCAATCCTACAGGTGAGAGTAGGACCGAAGGTCATCTCAGCCAGGCCTAGGGACAGGGTCAAGGGAGGTTTCCTGGGGTGGGTGATGTTAAGATAAACCAACTGTGCATTGGCACAGCAGTGCCTCAGGGACTCTGAGGCAGCAGCCATGTGACCTGTGAGCCTTGTGAAAAGGAGAATAAGAAAAGCTGGATCTGCTGCAATAACTTCCTAACCAGAGAAGGAAGGAGGCTTCCTCAAAGCCCCACAACAGCCAATGCCCCCCAACATTCCCCACCACCTCCTCTGGGCCAGCCCTGCTGAGCACAGACATCAGAACCAGGGTCTAGAGAGGGACCACTGATGAGTAATCAGTCAACAGTGACCACCCAGGAGTGAGGGCCCCAGGACAGGACTGGTAGAGGAACAGTGGGAGCCTTGGGGCTGGGAGGCTCCTGCTGAGAAAACCAAACAGCACTTCATGGAGGAAGCCAGGCCAGACAGGAGGTAAGAGGTACGTGTCTAAGGAAAGGCAGAGAGGAGAAAGAGGCGCTAGAGAGAGACAGACACACACCCACTGGTCCCCAGGGCCTCAGGAACCAGGGAGGGTTTCTCCTGGAAGAGAACGGAGTGTGTGAATGTGCGTGCCTGTGCATGTGGGTGTGTGGTGGGGCACAGGAGGGCTCTCGGGCAGCACAGGGGTAGCTAGGTGGAGAGGTCTAGAGCTAGGGCAGGAATGATGCAGGGGAGGAGACAGAAAGAGAAGCAGGACTGCACAGCAGCTGTGGGACTGGGGACTGAGGATGGGGCAGGGGGCAAGCACAGGACCTCTTCTGGTGAGGGGCAGGGGTGAGGCACCAGCTGGCAGCCTTTTTCCAAACTCAGGAATGGGGGAGAAAGAGTGGGCTCTGATGCTGGGAGCCCCCAGCTCCCTATCCAAAGTGTAGCCCCAAAAGCCGTCTAATACTTCCCCATGGGTCCCTGGTAAGCCCTGCCCCGACACCTTCCTCCCAGGTGCCCTCCCCCACATCCTGCCCCCAGCACACTGAACTGGGAGGTGGCTTCAGCCACACAGCACCTGCAGCAGCCGGGGGTTCCCATGGCAAACCACCCACCCCCAACACTCCCCCACCCCCTGTCGGAGCAGGAAGATGCTCTGGAAAACCTACCCTGACCAGAGGCAAAGTGACTGGGCTCACAAAATGCAAAAAGGCTCCTGAGTCTCTTGATTCTGACCCAGAAAACTCTTCTGGGGGCCCTACAGGCCTCCTCAGAGGGCGACTCCGGCCCCTCTGCCCAGTCTGTGCCTTCACTCCTGTATTTCTGTGCTTTTCCTCTCCAAGAATAGAATGGGGAGGCGGGCTCCACCACAGCTGGCCCCCACTGGGCTGGGAGATCTGTCTGCTCTGCTCCCCACTAGAGGGCAGGCCAGCCTGAGCTGCCTGGGGGCCCCTGGGACCTCCCACATCCTGCATGAAGGTGGGGACTCAGTGAAAGCCTATGGCTAAGTGGGCACATAATGACCCACCAAGCAAGGGAGAAGCAGACACTGAGATGGAAGCGGCAGCTGTGCCCACTGAGGGAGGGTGAAGAAGCCAGTTTAGCAGCGGAGAAGGCTGGCATGGCCCCAGCACACACGGGCAGTGGGCAGTGGGCAGTGCCAGTGCCCAGGGGCTATGCCCTGTGTGGGCCTGCACCACAGGGCCGAGGATTCAGTGGTTCCCTCCAACCTGAGGTCCTGGCCCTCCCATCACCTATGGGGCCTGGCAGGCCTTCCCTTCTCCAGCCCCACCCCAGGTAGCACTGACGGGCCTGGCCTCTGGGCACCTGCACCTACAAAGCAAGTCCTACAGGGTGAACACACCTCCTTCTTTTGGGTCCTGCCTCTTCTCCGCTAGGTTCTAGGGGCTTCAGGACAACAGCCTGCTGTCCTCTGCCCACCACCCCCTCTGAAACACACAGATGAGCTCACCTGAGCTCTCAGCTCACTAGGATGCTGATCTGTGGGACCTTGGTCACATTACGTTGCAGACATTCATTCAACAAATAGAGACCAGGCACTCGCTGTGGACTTCATGCTGCACCAGGGCAGCAGGGATGGCCTCAAGGGCAGACATGGTTGGCAGTTGGGCCAGTGAGGCAAAATAAAATGGAGGCTCTTCCAGAATGACCCAAAAGAGTGCAGTGAGCACACAAAGGCAGGCACAGGTATTCACGCTGGGCAGTCAAAAGCCGACTCAAAGGAGATGGCAGGTAAGCTGAGCCTTGAAGGACAGTGGAATGCCTCCCTCATCTCCCATGGGTGTGTATATCTGCACATGTACACCAGAGAGCCCCAAATCACCAGTGCAGACTGATGTGCTATGGAAATTCTGCACTGAGAAGCCAAGGGGAATGGGAGGTCAACAAATGGCCAAAGAGGCCATGCTGCCTAGGAAACAGGACGGGAGGGAGGGAGGGAGGGGGCTCAGGCCGCAGAAACCTGTCTGGCTGCTGTGACACTGGTGAGTGGGAGGCAGTGGTCTACCAGGCACTGCATGAGGCCCAGAATGGGAACAACCATGGCTGTCCAGGGCCTGGTGCCCGACAGCACCGTGAACAGCTGCCTCACCCTCCTGGGTACCAGGAGGTGGCAGAGGCAGGTTTCAACCCACCCAGGTCGGTCTGGACCAGAGCCTCCTGCTTCAGTTACTGGGCCTGTCACCTCCCACCAGAAACCAGCTGGGCCCAGGGCCTAGCCAGGAGACCAGAGAGGTCCAAGGCCTGGGCTAAGGGTGGCAGGCCCAGGTGGATGTATGTGGTGCCAAGTGGCTGCCTCTTCCCAGCCTGACTCCGGCACGTGATGACTAATTTGAATTGTTCTAATTCCTGAGGAGCATCCTCAGAGTTTGGAAACAGGTGGGAGGAGCACTCGCCAAGCCCAAGGCCACCCTTTCCAAGAAAGGGCTACGAAAGCAATGGTGGCGTCAGTGAGACCTGCCCCTCCCCAGGAGCCCAAGGTCCCAGGAGCCCAAGGTCGGTAACTTCAAGAGCTGCGGGGAGCAGAGGCCACAACCGGAGGGACACTGTCCCCGTCCTACTGGGAAGGGCCGCTCCTATAGCAACCAGCCCTGCCCCAGGAGGTCCACATGGTGCAGTGGACTGCAATGTCTAAAGGGCATCCGGTTGAGGCCACAAGGTCATGCTCTGTGACAGCGTGAGAAGAACTGCAAACATCTCACTGAGGTTTAAGATAAACCAAAGATGCTGAGAGAACAAATGTGACAGGCTCCTCAGTATTCACGGCTGCTTTCCCGCACGTCAGACACAGCCAACAATGACAAACACGTGACCTCCTCCGAGAGGCTGGTGGGAGCACGTGCCCCATTTGACCCCCACGGCTCTTGCTGTTTGCTGGTGGCAGCCTCTCCACACCCCCTAACCCCCAGCCACTCTCCCCGGCGTTCTGTGGCCCACACCCCTCATGACTCACCAGGCTCAGCACCCCAGGGGCCGGGTGAGGGCTCTCCCCCAGGAACACTGCCCCTATTCTCTGGGCTCTGGGATCGTTACCAACAACCCGCACCGCATTCTCTCCCACTCATCTCAATACCGCAGGGGAGGATGCAGCCCCCAGAACTTGGAAATGCCAAGAAAAATCCCCCCAGAGCAGAGCAGAGAAGGGCTGAGAGATGCTGACAGCTGCCAAAAAGGGACCTACCTGCTGTCAAGGGGTGGAAGCCCCAAACCTCAGTGCTTGTGACTGTCAGAGAGCTGGGAAAGCCACGGAACACACAGAGCCTCCCGGCTCGGCGACAATGCCCTGGCTGTTCCCCCGGCCCCCACCCCCTAACAATGCTCCTTTTTTCTTGGGCACTGACCCTCACTTATCAGGGCTCTGTCCTCAGAAGAGCCTGCAGGCCCAGGCAGCTGGACCAGGGAGGCCCTGGAAGGCTGTTCCCCTGCTCCCTGGGTGGCTCCTGCTCTGAGCCAGGCCAGTCCCAATCCCTGGGGCCTACACAGGAAGCCCCGGAACCACAGCAATTCTCCCTGCCAACCCTCTGACCCCGGGACAATGGCATCTCCATGCCCCTTGCATGGTCAACAGGGCAGTGTTGATAGGAAAAGAGGAGACCAGCATTTCTCAGCCTAGGACGTCAGATCCTGCCTGCATTTCACCATGGGTGTGTGTGGGTGTGTGTCTGCCTTTCTTTCAAACAGATGGTCAAGGTCAAACTCACTGAAAATTCAAAATTTGGTAAGAGTTATTAAAGGTATTTCAAGGAATGTGACGGTTGGGTTTCACTGCTGGAATAAACAGCAGCCACTGGCTGAAGGCGCAGGTAAGCTTCAGGATGTAGCCCCAGGCCCCAGCCACCTAGATGCACCTTACATGCTCACCTGAGCAGCCACCTGCAAGGCTGGCTCCCACTTCACAACGGGAGTCCAAGGCCAGGCCCAGGACTCAAGAACTCCTACTGGCGAGCCCGGGGCTGAGATTCAAACTCAGCTTCCTGACAAGGTGTGGTCCGGATGTTAAAGACAAGGAAGACAGAAGAGTGCCACCTGGGGCTCTAGGAACCCTTAACATGACCCAGCTGCCTCCTGCAGTGGAGATGGTGAGACTCAGGCAGAATAAAGATACCAGCTGTGTCTATAAAGTAATACAGCTTTTCAAAAAAACTGTCTTTTTTCTCTGATCAAATTAATGTCCATTGTAAGAGATGTTTATATCTCCAGTTATTTACTCAGGGATCGAAAAATTTTAACTTAATCTCAGAGATAGCCTGTAACATTTGTATTACATAACGTACTCCTCCAAGTTTTTAATATTTATCTTTGCTAAAACTGAAATTATACTACACAAACATCTGGATCCTACTTTTTAATTAACAAACTATAAGGAATATATTCCTGTGACATGACATATTCTTTTTTTTTTTTTGAGATGGAGCCTTGCTCTGTTGCCCAGGCTAGAGTGCAATGGCACAGTCTCAGCTCACTGCAACCTCTGCCTCCCAGGTTCAGCCTCCCAAGTAGCTGGGACTACAGGTGTGAGCAATCACACCCAGCTAACTTTTGTATTTTTTGTAGAGACGTGGTTTTGCCGTGTCAGCCAGGCTGGTCTCAAACTCCTGACCTCACGTGATCTGCCCACCTCAGCCTCCCAAAGTACTGGGATTATAGGTGTGAGCCACCACGTCCAGCCAACATTGCATATTCTTCTAAAGCATTATCATTAAAAGGTAAATCAAGCATAATTTATTTAATCAATTCCCTACCTTTTAATGTTTGGTTGTTTCTAATTGTACAATTATACATAACACAGGAAAAATGATTAAATTATATCCATATACTCTCTTTTGGAAGGGAAAGAAAAGTGGGATATATGTGGGTTTTTGTTTGTTTGTTTGTTTTTTGAGACAGAGTCTCACTTTGTCGCCCAGGCTGGAGTGCAATGGTGCAATCTCGGCTCACTGCAACCTCCACCTCCTGGGTTCAAGCGATTCTCCTGCCTCAGCCTCCCATGTAGCTGGGATTACAGGCATGTGCCACCACACCCGGCTAATTTTTGTATTTTTAGTAGAGATGGGTTTCACCATGTTGGCCAGGCTGGTCTGGAACTCCTGACCTCAAGTGATCCACCCGTTTCGGCCTCCCAAAGTGCTGGGATTACAGGCGTGAGCCACCGCACCCAGCCAGATATGTGTTTAAAACCGGAAAACCATTCTTCTGAAGACAAAGACATAAGTGCCAAGCAACTATCTAAAAAATGCATCCAGTGGAAAATGGCATTTCCTGGACATGCCAGAAAATAAGATACTCTAATACCGTTCCTAAAACCTGTGACCTATTTCTTGCTCAGTTTTTCTCTGAACTGAGCCCCAAAAGATGTCCCAAGTTGGGAGTTAAGTTCCCTTTGCTACCACCGCCGACCTTGCTGCCATGGCTACAGCGTCCGCCTGCATACGCCCAGCTCTCACGGGGGTGCTGCCAAACTCAAGAGCCCACCACTGACTTCCCCTTTCCTACTAAACGATGCCCAGAGTTCTGGGCACAGGCCTTTTGGGCAGGCTCTGGCCCCAGCATGCTTTGGGCTCCCTCTCCTATTTGCTCCATGCTCACCATACCCAGAAACACCCCCCACCTCCTTGTTCTACAGAGGCTGTTCTCTCTCCTTCTCAGCTACTCAACCTTCTCTCAATCCATGTCAACAAGACGCCTCCTCTTTTTTTGCTAGGCATGGTGACTCACACCTGTAATCTCAGCACTTTGGGAGGCCAAGGCAGGAGAATCACTTGAGCCTAGGAGTTCAAGATCAGCCTGGGCAACACAGCAAGACCCCTTGTCTACAAAAAAAAATTAAAAACAGAAACCTCCTCTTCCACCCTGTGCCTGCTGGAGACTTTGTATCTTTACCAGCCCAAGGTGCTTGGTGTCAGATCCCCAGACTCTGGAATCTTGAATCCGCTGCTCGCAGATCTGACTGGTCACTTAAACCCCACTGTGCTTCTGTGACCACTGAATGGGGGACCAGGACGCACCTACACCTCACAGGGTCGCTGTGATAAGTCGCTGAGGCCGTCTCAGCCCCACACCCTGCAGCAGGCCAGCAAGCTGTCAGGCTGGTATTCAGCCTCAAAAACACTTGAGGAGCTAAACTGGGAGTTCTCCCTGCCAAAGTCTCCCTTGCTGTCAGTTTCAGTACAGGAAGTACAGGGTGGTTGGGAGGGGACAAATGACACCTTTGCTTCTCCAAGGCCACTGAGTGTTCTTACTGGCCCTCTGTCCTCCCCACAGGGCCTCCTCCAGAGGGTGTCCCGCTGTGCAGGGCACCCAGAAACCCTCTGGATGGGGTCAGAGCGCACACGGGTGCTCCTGCCAGCCCCTGCTGGGAGGCACCCCACCTCCAACTCAGGCTGACGGGAAGAACGCCCAGTGCCACTTCTATTAATTCAGCCAATGTTTTGTTCTTTTTGGTTAAACTGCCTTAATCTTTAAAACCGCATATCCACACGTCTGGCAGGCTCTTTATGCTCATGATTTCTCTGGGAGGAGAAGCAAGACAGACTTCATAGCCACTTACAGACCAGAAAACTGAGGACTCAGAGGGTCTGTGTCAGGGTGGACAATGGGGAGCCTGGGCTTCAGCTACATGAAGCAGAGCTTTGCTTCCTCCTATGAAAGCAGGGCCTCGGCCCAATGTCCTTCACTGTGGCCTGGGGTATAAGGACAGAGCAGGGGTAGGGAGGGGAGATAGTGGAGGAGAGGCGGTCTTGGTCCACTTTGCCACTCCCCACCTGCAGAGGCCCTCACCACCAACAGAATGAGGTCAAGGCCCCTGGCCAGAGCACACATGGTCCCCTGCCACACCGCTTGGCCCAACACCCCTGCCCAGGCACCCTGCAGACACTGTATACACCAAATACTTGGAGTTCCCCCAAATGCTAAGCTGGCTCGTGCCTTGAGGCTTCCTGCACGCAGTCCCTCCTCTTCCTCAGGACCTGGTGAGCTCCCAGCCTTCTCTGAAGGGCCCATTCAATGCCCCCCTCTCCCCCCCGCAGGAGGCTGCCCAGCACTCCCTGAGCAGGAAGTAGCTCTGTGCCCCCTCTGGGTCACTGCCATTCTCTTTCTCTGGTGACTGCCTCCCTCTGGGTGGGGCCGTATGCAGCTGTAGGAAACAGCCAAGCTTGGGAGGCAGGAGAACTAGAAGCAAGGTCCTGGCTCCATCACCTGGATGGAAGGCCCTGGGAACTACTTCACCTCACCAAGGCCCCGTCTTCTCCCCTGTAAAAAAGGAAGGATCCTGCCTACATCTCGAGGTGTCGTGCACATTCAACAAGATAGGATGTCTATGCACTGAGCTCAGAGCAGAAGTGTAACTCTACCACTCCCCATCAATACAGAGTGTGGGGGGAGATGGTTGGTCTCGTATATACGACAGCCATGAACCTAATCCCCTGTCAGGAGGGGGCTATTTTGATCAGTGATTAGCCAGGCGCTGTCCTCAACCATTTACTCCTCACAAAGGCCCTATCCCACAGGCACTAGCATCATTTACATTTCAAAGAGGCTATAAGGCAAGGGCCAGGCTTCCACTGCCCGGCCAGGATCTGAACCTCCCTCCAGGCCCTCTGTCCTACAAAGTACCTTTCAAATGCCCCCTCCTCCAAGAAGTCTTCTCTGACTCCTCCCTGCGGCCAGAAGTGGCAACCCTGTCTCTGCACAGTATTGCCTGGGCATCCTTCCCTCCTCTCAGTATGAGTTACTCTGAGGCCCAGAGACCAGCAGGTTCTGGGATGTGAGCACCAGAACCTTCCTGGGGCTGACCTGAGCAGCAAGGGACCTCACTAAAAGGCCACTGTGCAGGTCAGAAAACACAGGAAGCTGGGAGAGCCACGCTCAGAAACCGGGCCTCTGCCAGGGAGGCTGTTCACCCAGAGAAGCACAGTGAAAGTAGGCCCTGTGGCAGGCAGGCAGGCAGGCAAGGCCCCTGCCCAGCCCACACCCGGGCACACAGGGCTCAGCATCCCATCTGGCACCTGCCTCTGCCACTGAGCCACCATGACGAATGCTCCCTGTCCTGCTTCCTGAATCCCAGCACCAGGGGGTGGGTCTGGCTGGCAGGCCCCAGTCCTGTGCTCGCACCCAGCACTACAGGTGACAAGAGTTCCTGGCCTTTCCTGTCTGGCCTCCAAGATACATATGGAAGAGAATCCTCAGATGTAAACTCAGAGGGGGTTCAGATGCTAGGAACTCCCAAAACACAGCAAATCTATCCTGCAGCCCCCTGTTAACCATATGTTCCTGGTAGCAAGGACCCTATCTCACCCAGCCTGTGTCCCCCGCGGTGTCTAATCCTAAGGGCCACCTACTAAATGACAACAGCAGTGACCGCCTACCACACAGCTGCCATGTGCAGGTGTCATGCTGGGTCCTCACAGACTTCCTCTCACCCAGTCCTCACAACACCCACTGCAGGAGGTACAAATCAAGTTATTTTATAAGTTGAGGAAATTAACCTTCTAGAGAACAAATGACTCAAGTGCCCTGAATCTCACAGTAACAAATCCAAGATTCTGACACAGGTACAGCAAACTGGAAACACGTTTTCTCTACTCCGCCACCCTGCTGTTCTAGTAAACGTTCATTCAGTGAATGATAGCCATATGTGAACAGAAAGTGGCTAAGAACAAAAACAGTCCCTCTCTCCCCAGCCAAGCAGCTTCGACCCTAATCCCTGAGTGGGCCTTGATGCTGGGGGTTTTGGAACATGCCTGGCACATGTTTGGGTCACCAAAACCCTCCTAACATGCAGCCATTTGCCAAAAGGATTTGTTTGAGGCTGCGATCTCTCTAGTTTTGAGGGTGCTGATCGGATACCCCTAACAGCGACAGGGCTGGGAACTGGGACAAGGCAGAGCTGGACTTAACACGGCTTTGAAGCAAAGATCCAAAACTCAGGCCAGTGCCCCACCTGCATGTCCTGATGGGCCTGACAGGGCACTGGGGCTTGTGGGGTGGCTGCAGCGCTCAGAGGGAGAAACTGGTGGGCAAAGAAAGGGAGAAGGGCCTCGGACAAGGAGAAGGAAATTAAAGTTTCAATCATGGCTGGCTGCGGTGGCTCACACCTGTAATCCCAGCACTTTGGGAGGCCAAGGTGGGCAGATCACTTGAGGTCAGGAGTTCAAGACCAACCTGAGCAACATGGTGAAACCCCATCTCTACTAAAAACTCAAGAATTACCCAGGCATGGTGGCGTGCACCTGCAATCGCAGCTACTCGGGAGGCTGAGGCAAGAGAATAGCTTGAACCCAGGAGGCGGAGGTTGTAGTGAGCCAAGATCGCACCACTGCACCCCAGCCTGGTGACAGAGCGAGACTGTCTCAAAAAAAAAAGTTTCAATCTTAACTCTACAAATTGACTTGAAGTCCAAACTCTTTCTCATCCAGCTACTGCCAGCTCCCCACCGAGGCCCACACTTTGGGGAAAACCCTTAGAAACTTCTTGTCATTGGTTAAAAAAATATTGACCCAGGATTGGCCACGTGGGCCACAGGTGGTTTCACAGCACACACAGAACCAGAAGCTGGGGCTCAGAGAAGCAAAATAACTTGCCCAAGATCACACAGCTAAGGAGATCGGATTGAAATCCACCCCAGTTTATGTGCACAGACAGAAGGGGAGAAAAGAGATGTGGGGCAGGTGGATTTCTGAGGGCAGGAAATACCAGTGGGAAAGCCGAAGACAGCACAGTAGAGACTGCAAAAGCCCAGTGCTCTGTGGAGTCACTGCAGAAAGCACCGAACACATCCAAGGCTCAACCCATCAGGCACTCTTTCCTTTGGGGCTACTTCCAACAGGAAATTCCAAGTGTCCCTGTCAAGCAGGGGAAATGCCATCCTGGGTCCAAGGCAGCAGGGCAGCCTCCCTGCCCCGCCCAGCCCCACCTACATGAAGAACAAAGTGCACCAGGCAGGAATGTGCACTCAGGCCGTAGCCAGCCTCAGCCTGGCTCATTCTTATCTGTGGCTTGATTAAAACAAGCTTGGATTACACCACAATCTTTAAGCCCCAAGGCTGGGGGTGGTGTCACCAGGAATCTGTTCCAAGCGCACGTCATGCCCAGGCCACCGTTCTCCTTCCCCTCATTGGTGGCAGGCTGGCATCCTGCAGGAGGCCCTTCCCAGACCACAGCCCCACCCTTCCTCTCCTGCCGCCCACCTGAAGGCCCCAATACACATCTTCCTACAGTTCTGGCTTCAACTCTGTTCCTGAGACCTTTACTGCCCCAAGTCCACTACCCTGAGTTCTGGGCAAATGAAAAATCTTTTCCCCTTCACCAGATTTCTCAAATCCAACCATTCTGGAACCCGGCTTGTGGATGGCTAGGCTCTAGCCTCCCTCCTCTTCTGTCCCATCACCCTGGGAAGACAGAGCCAGAGGGTACTGAGGAATTCAGGTGGGAGGGGTTGGGGGGGAGGTGAGGAGGGGGTCCTAGGAGCAAATGGAGGGTCACAAACTGAAGCGCCCATGGGGCAAATGTAAACCATGAGGCTGGTGGTGTGGGACAACAGAGAATGGTGGGGCCTAAGGGGCAACCAGCTTAAACACTGGCAACAAATTCAAAGGAAAGAATGTAAAATTCCTGTGTGGGCCAAACAGATTGCATGCAGGCCCAGGTATATCTGAGTCACCCACGTGTAATCTGGTCCAACCCCCTCCGCAGAGATAGGAAAGCTGAAATCCAGACACAAGGAAGGGACCATGAATAAGTTTGTGCTGGCGATTACTGAGAAAGTCTAGCATAAAAATTAAACCGAAGCCTAGGCCGAACACTGGCATCCCTCTGCTTGGCTGTGAAGCTGGTGAGGATGCTGCACTCGGCCTGGCAGCAGATGGAAACTCTGGAACTCGAGGGCCACGGATGAGCCACAGGGCCCCCCAGGTAAAGGACTGACAGCCAGCCATGCAAGCCCCTGGGACTGACCCAGATGCAGAACTGACCAATGTGGCGACAACCATCACCCAACCCTGTGGGGCTGTAGATCTCAGAGGAGGTGGGACAGTGGCCCAGCGGACAGCAACACGGCAGAGAGGGAAGAAGGGTGTGGCCTCTGTCTATGGCCTGGCCAGAAGGGCCACCGCAAGCACCAAGGCTAGCAAAGGAGGAAGAGGAAGAAGCAAGAAAAACCCGACACCGTGACGGACTAGCGTGGGCCGCAAGTCAGGGTTGTGGTTCTTTAGGATATATCTTAACAGGGTAAGGGCCTTAAATGCCCTTTCCCCACCAACCTGACAGGGTTTAGCACCAGGACTCCTGGCCAGGGCAGGCCCCAGGGCTCTAGGATCTGTCAGATCAGGAAGAAAGGGGCATTTAAGGTCTCCCTCCTGTAAGATCTACCTTAAAGAACCAGATCCCTGACTTTGCAGCCCAGTGCCATGCTGCTTTTGAGCCTGAAATGGAAGTCTGTGCCTTAGTTCCAAGTCACCAGGCACTGGTTCCTTGCCCTTGCAGGCACAGGGCATCAAGATCAAACCAAACCTCCAAGCCTCACCTCTCACAAATAAGCAGAGGCCAGTTACCCCTCTGGGCAAGACCTCAGGCCCCTGTCCCTGCCAGTCAGCAGCTCTGCCTCCCGCAGCGCTTGAGGGCTGGTCCATGCAGCCGGCCAGGAAACCACAGAGGCCAGGTCAGAGTGGCCTTTTAATTCAACTCCCCTGGTGACCCTGAAGAGCACTGCCGCAGACTGAGAGGCTGGAAGTAGGCTATGCTGCCCCTGCCCCATAACAAAGACTCTACAGCAAATCACCAGGATGGGGGAAGATTAGCGCAAAGTGGGTGGAGAGTCTCCCTGAAACGTACTGACAGCACTTAAAAACCAATTAGATGGCACGTGCCTGTAGTCCCAGCTACTCAGGAGGAGGAGGTGAGAGGAGGATCACTGGAGCCCAGGAGTTCAAGGCTGAAGTGCGCTATGATTGCATCTGTGAAATAGCCACTGTACTCCAGCCTGGGCAACACAGCGAAACCCTATCTAAGAAAATCCAATTAGAGACCTTGGCTTACATGCAATCAGAGAACTAATTAACAAGGACCAGTAATTAAAATTAAGCTATACTCTCTAATTCAGACTTTTTTTTTTATTCTTTCAGAACTAATTTCAGGATCCAGTTTCTAGCCTGGACACAACCCAATCCACCCTGGGCCAGAACTGCCAGAATACCTTCCCTGAAACTGTCCTCTGCAACTACCTAAAAACCTTCAATCGCTCCCCAGTGCCCCCAAATGAGGACCCACGTTGCCTCCGACTTCCTTTCCACACTCACAGCTCACTGCCTCCCAAGCGGTCACTGCTCTGGCGGGACGGGTCCACCAGTGGTCTGTGAGCCGGGCCTCAAGCCCTCACCAGGCACACACAGAGTCCTTTTTGACCCCATCCCCACCCCACGCTCTTTTCTTCTGCAAACCTCCCAGTGTGGTCTGGGGCAGTCAAGCCGCACCCCTCCCTCCTGACTCTCAGGGCATCTTGACCTCATCGCCCAGGCTGACCACAAGTTCCAAACAGGACTTTCTTGTGGCCATTGCTCAGGTCCCAGGCATGCACAAACCCACTCACAGACACTTGGCTGAGAGAAATCTCAACCATTAGTGCTACTCCCATTTTCTATTCTGAGGAGGTAGAAACTGAGGCTCAGAGAAACAGCGCTAGCCCGGGGCCCCACGGTGGGGACAGCAGGGTCTGCACAGGGTTGGCCTGGCTCAAGCTTCCTTTCCCACATGGCCCCATGTGCTCCAGATAAAGGCAACTATGAACCATGTTCCTGTCATAAAGGAGATAAGACATACACACAGGATATGGTGATTGGGCAGGACGCAATTTAGTGCTCAGACTTTCCTAAGTGCTCTGGGCTTCAAGACCTTCAGAAAAAGGCTAGGTAAGCAGGGATGGCCCAGCAGCCGGGGGCGGGGGGGGGCGGCGGGGGGAACACAAGCAAACAGAAACATCTCCAAATGAGTGGTCAACTGGAAAGCACAGGGCAGAAACAGGAGACTGGTGTTTTTCCATTTCTTTCGGACTGCACACTCCCACAGCCTTCTCCCACAGCAGATGAAAAACTAGTGAATGAATAAAAGCAGCAAACGATGGTTCATTACCATCAAAGCTCAGTCACTAGCTAGCCCACCCAGGCTGCGAACCCCCATCAGAAGCTCTGCTCGGTGGAACTCCCACAAGGCCGCACATGCAGCCCAGCACCTAGGCTATCTGAGGCCCATGCTCCAGCCCAGAGCAGGCGGCTGGTAGGGAAATCACAAGGGCCTCCCTGCTTTGGGTCTCCCTTCCCTCTCCATTCACCTCCAACTAAACTAAGCGCCCCCTCCTGCAGAGTTAAAGAATGGAAGTCAGGAAAGAGGGGACCGAACTGGGAGAGAAGAATCAGACCAATGGACCACTCCGGACTGGAAAGCTGGGGCCCTCAGGCCAAGCCGGGCTGCTGGTGAACCATTACCACCACTGCCTTTGCCAAGTTTCCATCTGTGGACTGCCCTCAACTTAGTTCCCTTGAAGAACCTTCCTCCCCGACGTTTAAGCCACGTAACTCCAGGGGGTTGACCCACACTCACTTTGGGGTGGGCAAGTGATACAGTCCTGGCCAGCTAGAGTATCATGTCATCCAGCCCAAGGACAGGTGTCATGGGTTGAACTTTGTCCCCCAACAAGATAAGCTGAAGTCCTAACCTCTGGTACCTATGAACATGATCTTACTTGAAAACAGGGTCTTTGCAGATATAATCAAATTAAGATGAGGTCATCAGGGTTGGCCCTGATTCAATATGACTAGTGTCCTTATAGGAAAAGGAGAAAGCCAGGTGAAGACACAGACACCCAGGCAGGACGGCCAAGTGGGGATGGAGGCAGAGACTACAGCGATGCTCCCACAAGCCAAGGCGTGCCTGGGACTATGAGAAGCTGGCAGAGGCAAGGAAGGCTCCTCCCTTCGGGGCTTCAGACGGAGCAGTGCCCTGCTGACATCCTGAGTCCAACTCCTAGCCTCCAGAACTGAGAGTGAATTTCTGTTCTCCTAAGCCACGCAGTTTGCAGTGACCTGTTATGGCATTCCTAGCAGGCAAATATGATATGTATGTGACCCAAGCCAGGCCAACCAGAGCCAGCCAGCACCAGCCAGCCCGACATCTGCTTCCTGCAGGGCTGTTAAGCCAAGGGGATGAAGCTGCAGGCAACCAGTTTCACATGACTTGGCACAAGCCCACCCAAAATGACTTTCACAAGGAGCATGAAAAGTGAAGAAATATTTCTGATGACAATACATGTGAGTTCTTAATGGCCTGAAACCTGCCAGACCTATCTCTGGACCTTCTGAGACATTCAGGCCAATAAATTCTATTTATTGACATTTCCTTAAGATTTTTCTTTCATATTGACAGCTGCTACTTACAACCTGAAGAGGCTTTACATTTTCTCATAACATGGTGAACATGGTATGATTTGTTTTCTGACATAACATGTCCAAATGAACAGGGTGCCCAACGGTCATCCTTTTGGGCACCTACATTTCTGACATCGATGGTAGTAACACTCAAAGCACTGGCATCCTTCTCTTTGGCAAGCGCCTTCGGCCTTCAAAGCTTTGTTTCAATGATGGCCAGTCTTTACGTCAAGGGTGCATTTGGTTTTCGTATAACAAAAAACAATTCCAACAAGCTCAGAATCATGAGTGAAGATGTGTCTGGTTTTAAGTGGTGACTAAAAATGGCTTTAATCATAAGGACGGAACGTTAGGAGGGAGTGGAGTCTCCAGGGTGTTTCAACAGGTTGACATCAGCAAGAACCCATACTCCTTTCAAGTTTCTATTCTGCCATGCTCGCCATGGTAGACCTTTGTCCACGTGCCTGTCGCCTCACGCTCACAAGACAGCTGCCAAAGCTCCTGATACTCCCACAAAATATCTGGAAGCGGGGAAGAAGGGGCCAGGGCGAAATAGCCAACCCTTTGAAAGAGAAGAAACACTCTTTCCCAGCTGGGCGCGGTGGCTCACGCCTGTAATCCCAGCACTTTGGGAGGCCAAGGTGGGTGGATTGCTTAAGCTCAGGAGTTCGAGACCAGCCTGGCCAACACCATGAAACCCCATCTCTACTAAAAATACAAAAGTTACCCAGATATGGTGGCACACACCTGTAATCCCAGCTACTCAGGAGACTGAGGCACAAGAACTGCTTGAACCCAGGAGCCAGAGGTTGCAGTGAGCCGAGGTCACACCACTGCACTCCAGCCTGGACGACAGGGCAAGACTCTGTCTCAAAAAAAAGAAACACTCTCTCCAGTCATGTCTTACTGGTTAGAAGTGCACATAACATGGGCACCCCCACTGCAAGGGAGGCTGGGAATGAAGCATCTCATAACAGGCTCAGGCCAATCATCACTGCCACCCAGAGGAAAAGGGACAGTGTAGACAATGAGAAGTGAAGATCTGCTGAGAAGGAAACTTTGCAGATATTAATGATACTAAAGAATAACAGATTCCATTTGCCCTTTAAAAGCCCTACAAAACCCCTTCTGTGGCTTCTAGGTAGACCTGGGGGGAAAGTCAGCAATACACAAGAATCCTGTGTGGAAGGCCTCCTGCATGCAGGGCTCTGTGCTAAGTACCAAGGTGAGTGCCTGCGAGGAGCCCACAGGTAAACACAGTCGGCTCAGAGGAGGTGAGGGGACAGAGGGGAAGCCAGGAATGCTTCTGCCAGCAAGTGACATCTGGCTGGAGTAGGTCGGACCAGCAAGTGCAGAGGCAGGGAGAGAGTGCGCAGGTGTTGCTGGTGTCTGAGTTGGGAATGGCAGGGGGTGAGGCTGCCTGGCTGGCAGGACCAAACTGGGAAGGGCCTCATAAACCATTCTCCAGGGCTTAGACTTTAACCTAAAGACAATGAAAGGCCAGGAAAGGTTAGATCAGTGGAGTGACTCAGATATTCTCGATGAAAGATCATTCTGCCAGGTGGGGGCTGGACTGAGGGTGGGAGAGCCCAGAGCTGGGGATGCCAGCCAGAGGCTTGGCAATAATGGGTAAGGGGGACTGGGAGACTGACCGGGGTCACAGAACAGAAGGACGGGGGTGGGGGGTGGGTAAGGAAATATCCAGAGGGAAAAATCAACAGAACCTGGAAACAGAAAAGATGTGGATGTGGAGGGACAGAGGCACCGGGCTGGCAGCTGGGGTGGGAGATGGGGGGAGACCTTCATGACCATCTAAGAAAACACAGCACAAGCAGATTTGGAAGGGACAGAGGGAGTCAAGTTACAAACACGGTCCCTCCAGGCAGAGGCACTTGGCAAAGGTTCTAGGCCTGCCATGGGGGTGGGCGCCGACAATCCCTGCTGCTGGGAAGTGCAACTCCTGCTCAGCTTCCCTTTCGAGGAATGGCCTTCCCGGGGCAAAACAAAGGCCAGGGGGCAGCAGGCCGTAGGAAATACTCTCACTGCCTTAAATAGAAGCAAACCATCTGGCCAGTTGGAGAAAGTTTACACAAGGAGGACTGGGTTGCACTCGGTGCATTTTAAAGAAAGCCCGGCGGACACACGGGTTCTCCTGCTGGTGCTGCCAGCCTGGAAAATGACAGCTGAGACTCAAGCAGGCAGGATCGGCTGCCTCATCTCCAATTCCCGTGTGTGGGGTGAGAGGAGGTACTTCCACTCCCCTACCTGGCTGCAAGCCCCCGAATATGTCCTGTCTAGGGAGGCCCTGCTGCCACACAGCAAAAAATAAGTGATTCACTCTTGAGTTCCACGTGCTCCAAATGGTTCTCCAAGAGCCCCCAAGTGTCAACTTCTGTCCTATCCAAGGCAAGAGAGAGGAGCAAGGGCTGATGGCGGGCACCCAGGGATCGCAGGTGGCCGAATACTGCAGCTGGCTTTTGAAGGCATCGATGCACACTTTGAGGGCCTGCCTTGGCTCCTGCACCCCACCTCAGTTCGTGTTTCCTCCCTTTATTCTCTCCACCCAGAAAGGTGACAAATCCAAGCCCTGGATGTGAGGGGGGTCCACAAGAGTAATTCTGGAGAGATGGGGTCAGGTGAGGAATGGTTAGAGACCCAGGGAGCCAAGTCACGGGACCTCAGTGACCCCATGGCTGACCTACCGAGACCTCCAGTCGCCAGCATCGGGTAGGCCCACACGTGTGGGGGAGGAAGTGAGTGTCACTGGCCCATCAGCAAGCAGAGCTGGCAGAGGTACCTGTGCAGGCGAGTCCAATGCCCAGCTCTTTAATAAACACGCCTTGCGGTGCTGGAAGAGACTCAAAGTCCATCCAAGACAGATTCTGTCTTCCCACTAAACTGGAAGCTCCTTAAGGACCGGGATGTGGCAGTTTTGCTCTCAGCTATGTGCCCAGTGCTCAGCACAGGGCCCGGCCTGCCTGGGCACTCAGAAGGACACCTGACGGACAAGGAACCAATCAAACGGTGATGGCCACACTCCACCCCCAGGACCTGACAGCCAACAGTCATCACGCACCTGGCAGGCCCACAGCTCTCTGCACATACACATGCCTCAATTTCCCAGGCATGGGGGAGCTGAATATCCCAGGATTCTGCCCCAGACACCATGGTTTTCAAACTCTCTCTGACCTCAAATGTCTTTCCTGAAATGAAATCTAACATGCAGACCCCAGATCAAACACAGATCAAGAGAGAGTGGCTGGGAAAGGTGGCTCACACCTGTAATCCCTGCACTTTGGAAGGCCAAGGCGGGCGGATCGCTTGAACTCAGGAGTTTGAGACCAGCCTGGGCAACATAGTGAAACCCTGTCTCTCCTAAAAATACAAAAACCAGGCAGGCTTGGTGGCGCATGCCTGTAATCCCAGCTATTCAGGTGGCTGAGGCAGGGGAATCGCTTGAGCCTGGGAGGCGGAGATTGCAGTGAGTCCAGATCATGCCACTGCACTCCAGCCTGGGTGATGGATGAAACTCTGTCTCAAAAGAAAAAAAAAAAAAAGAAAGAGCTGCTCAGGTGAAGGGAGTGGTGAGCAACTCATCCCCCTTGAAAAGCAGGTACCCCTTCAAGGAACCCCTAGGGGTGCCTCATAGCCAAGCGTGAAAGCCAATTCAATGAGACCGGAAACCACCCTGTGCCTCCAAATGTCTCAGCATGGGGAATGGAAGACAGCAGATTGGGCGGAAGCCCTTCCATTGTAACGCTAACTCACTCCCTAATCCCTGCCACTGTTATGGCTATGGGGTACTCACCTCTGCAGTTTTTGGCTAAGAAATGCCAAGAATAAGTACCTATTTCAAGAACAACTCTGTTGTGAGAAATTCCAGCACATTCCACTCTGAGGGCACCACCATCTTCACCCTTTTGTAGCTGGAGCTTGCACCAGGGGAGCGCCTTCATCTCTGCCTGGAGGGGCCACGTGGTGGAAGGGGAATAAGACAGCAGAAAGCACAGAGATTTGGGTGGCAGAGTCCCCAGGCCAAATCCCAGCTCTGCCATTTAAAAGATCTGTGACCATGGGCAAGTTATTTAACCTTTCTCAACTTCAATTTCCATATCCAAAAGGTAGGATAATTAATTGTCCCTGCAGCTTGTAGGACTGTCTTTGGGTTTATATGAGGGATTTTTTTCAAGTGCTTTATAAACCACTCCCAAATGTTAGCTCTATTTACACTGATTTTATTGCTGGGCTCCTAGGAGGCCAAAGGCAACAGACTTAGTTTCCACTAAAGGTCTTTTATTACAACAGACGCCAGGCATCTAGGGCGGCCTGTTGTCTGAAGAACAGCCTGATTCTCCCATAATCCCAAGCTCTCCAAGGTCTAAGTCTCGATACCAGGCCCTGGCTGACTCTCTGACCCAGGGAGGCCTGGTCTGGGTTGTTCTTACCCTGGGGGCCTTATCTGTCCTTCTGTGAGGGCCAAAGGAACCCCCAGTGGGGTAGGGGGACGGGAGATCCTTCAGTGGGGCCAGAGACGGCCTGAGAGTGACTCAGTGGGCTGGAAGTTCGCCCCCAAGCCTCACCGGCCTTCTGGCTCACTCTATATTCAATATAATACCTGCCCGCACCACCACCCTCCCTCCAAACCCAGGTCCCCAAGGGGCTGGTGGTACAGGAAACAGCCCTACATCTCCCATCCCAGGGTTCAGTCCCTCACTCAGAACTGGGAAAGGGGCCGGGCACAATCTCCCAGATGCCCCAAAGACTTGGAAAGCGCTCTGGTGGCTTTCTGAGCAGGCACATCTGGCCCAACCACACCTTTCGTCACCACTGTTTAAAACCAGTGGTTCTCCACATGGACACAGGAAGGGGAACATCACACACCAGGACCTATTGTGGGGTGGGGGGAGGGGGGAAGGGGGAGGGATAGCATTAGGAGATATACCTAATGTTAAATGACGAGTTAATGGGTGCAGCACACCAACATGGCACATGTATACATATGTAACAAACCTGCATGTTGTGCACATGTACCCTAAAACTTAAAGTATAATAAAAAATAAAAATAAAATAAAAAATAATAATAAAAAAAAACCAGTGGTTCTCAGACAGAGGGGCTCACAAGCAGGGTCAACATCACCTGGATACCTGTTACAGATGTGGATTCTCAGCCCCCTCAGACCTACTGGTTCAGAGACCCTGGGAATGGGGCCAGCCACCTGTTTGAAGATGTGCTCCCTGGGGGTTCCAGTGCACACTCCAGTTTGAGAACCATTACTTCAATCCAGTGGTTCCCCACCCGCCCCTCTCCCGGCTGCCTGTTGTCCTGGGGGCCTCATGACAGCCAGTGCTCAAGAGCTGCCCCAGAGATCTGGATATAATTGATGCCACCCCATCAGCACTTCTTTTTAGAAGTGCTTTAAAAAGAACAGGCGGTGCAGAGGACTTTCACGGTAGTGAAGCTGCTCTGTATGGTATGGTAATGGTAGATGCAGGTCACTATGCATGTGTCCAAACCCACAGAATGTGCAACACCAAGAGTGAGCCCTATGCACACTGGGGACTTCAGGTGATCCTGATGCACCCAGGGAGGTTCACTGATTGTAGCAAATGTTCCAGGCTAGCGTGGGATGTTGACAGTAAGGGGGGCTGCATGTGTGTCAGGGTAGGGCAGATACGGGAAGTCTCTGCACCTTCCTCTCAATTTTGCTGTGAACCCAAAACTGCTCTAAAATAGAGTCTATTAAAAATCAATCTCCCAGGTGACTGTGATTCCAGTAGTCTCTGGAGCCTGGGCTGATGTTTGGGAGGTAGACGGGACAGCCAGGCTTCAGAAACAGCAGGTAAAACTACCCAGTTGTGGAGTCATCTGGGAAGATTCTAGATGGAGGGAAGTCAGACTGAAGTAGGGAGAGATGGGGTCGGGGAAGGAAGCGAAGAGCAAAGGCTTAGAAGCACTTCCTGGCAGCCCACCCAGCACTTCATGCATCCAACCCTGACTGAACATCTTCTTTCCCCACATCCCCTCCACCCTGTCAGTGGGTCAAGTGCTAGCCTGGGATTCACCCCACTTAGAGGTAGAGTCCCCACTTCTAGCAAGTGAACCGAGCCAGTCACCCACGTGTAGCTGCTTTGACGTCATCTGTAAACAGGGTACTGTGGGGCTGGACTAAGACACAGCCCAGTGCCTGGCACAGGGCAAACAAGTAATAAACGCAGGTTTTAATAAACTGATTGACAGAAACTGGAGCCCATGTCTGCTGCATGGAAAACAGCATCCAGACAACGGGTGGTCTTATCTCCTGCCAGTACCACCTCTCTGGCTTGGAGGTTAGACTTAAAGCACAGGAGGGAACCCTGTTTCTCCATGCCCAGAAACAGACCCTATATTCCCAAAGACAAGCTAAAACCATTGGGAAAAAAACAAAAAACCATTCAATCTGTAAATGCTCACTGTCTATTCTAACTAGACACTGGGCCAGGGGGTACAGAACATGTACTCCCTTGATTACAGAGAGGCTCCAGTCCAGTGAAGAGCAAGAAAGATGCCGCTGGGGCTACTGGCTTCTCACCAGGTGGTTCATCCTCGGAGCCTGCATCACTCCTGGCAAGGAGAGCTTCAGGAGGGGCGGTGGCCATGTCCTGATATGTACGGTGGCTTGAGAACCAATGTTCTAGAGAATCTAAGGGCATATATTACAGAAAACAGCACTCTCTCTGCCTCTCATGGCTTTTTTCCCCTTCTGTTTCTTTCTTTTATAAGCCTTTCACTGAAGTATAACATAAGAAAGGAAGGACATGCCATAAGTGAACAGCTTGAATATTTCACAAACTGGCACCCAAGAGGAAGACTGAGGAGAGGACAGTTGCAAGACACCAGCAGGCTCCTCACATTCCCACCCGGCACCTTGTCCCCAAAGGTGACCGCCAGCCTGCCTCCTGTCCCCAGAGAGTAGCTTGGCCTGGTCAAGATCTTCATGTAAATGGAATCAGACACTGAATACGCCTCTGCACCTGGCATCTTTGGCCACGTTTCATGCCTATGGGACTCATCCATGGTTCATTCTCACTGCTGTATTCGATACAACTCCATGGCCAGATGATAACACAGGTCATGTACGTACCCATTCTACAGCCAATGGGCATGCGTGCTGTCTCCTCTTTGAGGCCATCAGGAATGCTGCTGCTGGGAACATTCATTCTACACGTGTCTTTTGGTGGACACAGCCCTCCTTTCTCTTGGGTACATGCCATGGAGGATTTGCAGGGCCAAAGGGTCAGCATCTCCTCAGCTTTAACCAAGCCATGTTCCCAAATCCCACACCAGCCCTCAGCCCCTTACTCTCCTTCATTTTTCTCCCAGTCCCCCTCCCCCACCTCACTCGCCACCCACACTTCTTTCTGTTTTCAGTCTCTCAACCTAGACACAAGTGCTCCACGAAGGCAGAGGGATTTGGGGTTTGTTTACTGGGACTCTCCCGAGCCTCGGTGCTGCCTGGCCCAGAACAGATACTCAAGGGACATACAAATGCCACCTGAACTTCTGCACTCACCTGCGCATGAGCTCGGGACTCCTCTCAGCTGTCCCCTCCCATGCCTCCCTCCCACAGCGCCTTTCCAAAGTCCAAGGACCCATCCTTATCCGGTCCTAGCCCCAACTGCCAGTCAGGCCTCAGGTAGAAACTGAAGGTGCCCAGCGGTCCCTACCACTCCCCGGGCAGAGAGTACAGGCTCTTGGAAGAAGTCCAGACTCAAGTCTCAGCCTTGTGAAGCCAGCTGACTGGAGTGGCAATGACTCCACAGACCTTCCTGAGCGCTGGCTGGGGTCTGAGCACCCAGCAGACGGGAGGAGCAGCCGGGGCACCCAGTGAGGTCACGGCTAGGGAGGTGAATCAGGCAGCCTGATGAGGCTGGGGCAGGTGAGGTGTTTAGGCCACAGGAGAGCTCCAGTGAAACTGAACATCACCCGGTCTGGGGAAAGGAGGGAGGGCTTCACAGAGGAGGTGTCTCAAGAGTTGCCTCTTCCAAGATGTCCAGAGTTCCCCAGATAGAGAAGGCTGGGGTGACTGTGTGAGTAGAGACTGGTGTGTGCAAAGCAGGAGAGTGGCCTGGGTGCAGCAGGGTTGAGAGGCAAAGCCCACTCCTGGCCAAGCAGAGGGAACTGTCGGGGAAGGAGTCAGAAAGATCACAGGGAGGACGGTGGCAAACACCAAGAACCGCCAGGCCAAGGCCTCTGGGGTCACCCAAGGGCAGTGTGGCATGTGAGGGCTTCTGCAGCTTACCCATGCTGAGAAGGTGCCTGAAAGCTTGGTGAACTGCAGACTGACTCAGCAGGTCTGGGGGCAAGGGAGTCTGCATTTTTCATGGGCGCCCCATCAGTGCAGCTGCCACTGGTTCCCAGACCACACTGGGAGCAGCAAGGGCTTAGGGAAGCAGAATTAGGAGACCTCAGCAGTGCACCCCCAAGGGAAGAGGGACCAAGAGGGGTGCAGTGATGTTGAAGAGGAACCAGGGTCTTAAGCAGCTCAGTCCACCCACGGCTGGGTCTCAGTGCAGCAGCCACAGCTCTACTTCACACCACCAGCCCATTCCAGAACCTTCTATACCACCTCAGAGCAGTGCCCCTCCTCCAGAGCCTGGTGTTGCCATGGCAACAGTCCACAAACAGGGGGAGCCCAGGCTTCAGTGCCATAAACAACTCTGACAGATTCAACAAATAAAGATGTACTATAGCAATTTGTGGGGAATTTATGAGAAATTAAAAATTCAACTTGGACAATAAACAACCCATTTCAGAATTTGCCCCACTTAAAGTTAAATAAACCCCATGCAAGCATTTTTCAAGCATGATGTTTCAAGGCTAAAAACAGGCCCTGCTGGGAATGCTTCCTGAGCCTCCAAAACTGGGTGCTGCTGGGAGAGCACATCACATAACTGCTCACATCACAGGGCACTTTTACAGCTTAGAAAGCGCCTGGCTCACCCTCTGGGTGCTCCCAAATGCCACCCGGGAGACCATAGGCCGAGGATGAGTAATGCTGTCAGGATTATGAGCCTCACAGGCGACTTGCCCAGAGCACAGTGACTCCCCAGGGTCACAAGGCTGGTCAAGGTCAGAGGCAGCGTGCAAACCCATCACCCAGACTCCAAATCCACCACGCATACACAGGCAGCCATGTGTGCATTTGCTATACACAGAAACACTGCACCCAGGCGAGGTCCAACGTGGAGAGCTAGCTGTGTTCTCTCGAAATCTGTCCTGCTGAAACAGCACCCAAAGAGCCTGCTTCAAGCAGATCGACAAATTCTCCCACATGCACACTCACTCACACATTCACTCACTCACACACACTTGCTCACTCCTACTCACTTGCTGCCCAGGGGGCGAGAGGCCTCAGATCCCTGGATTCTGCAGTATGAACAGGGCAACCTCACCAAGCTGACTTCAAGATGAAAGGCTAAGAAAGGAAACAGACGTGCGAGTACACCTGGGAGATTTTCTAGCCCCGTTTTCTGAAGAATCAGGGATTTACAGAAGGTGAGAGTGAAACGGGACCCATGAGATCCTATCAGCTGTCAGACAGAGAAAGAAGCAGAGCCCGGCCGAGGCCATGCAGGGAGGAGAGGCAGAACCAGCAGGGACCCCAGTCTCCTGCGGCCCCAGCCTGCAGCACAGGCAGCCGTGGCTTCATGCTCTCCCATGGGGGCCACACGACTCAGGGCTCACCCACCAGGCACCCTCCTGGTCATTCTCACCATGCTTGGTGGCGCTAGGCACCTTGATGGAGAGAAAAAGGATCATGACCCACGATTCTGGCATCACCACATGCTGTCTCTCAAGGGGCTACCTACTGACAGGTGGGAGAAACCCATCAGCTCGGCGAGAGCCCTCCCCAGCTCCCTGGCCCGATCTTCCCAGGCGGCCCCATGGTTGTCTGTCTCCCTGAGCTACTGACGCAGAAGAGGTCAAAGACTTGGTCATCTTAGAGTCCCTAGAGGGCAGCAGGGGACCTGCCACTGGGGCCTGGGTGAGCACCCAGCAACAGAAGGAATGAAGGGCTGAGCCCCTGTTAGGGCCCTGGGCCTGCAAGCCCATCAGCTCCCTTAAAGGATCAATCATAAATTGATGACAGAAATGAGCCATGGGGTGATGGCCACAGGGGCATCTGGGAGGGCCAGTCTGGAAGGTCGAAGCCAGAGTGGCCATGCGGGACTCTGGGTAGGGACAGAAGAACTGGGTCCGCTCTCACAGAGGCCACGGGACACATTGCTGCTCTGCCTTGAGGTCCACAGGGTCATAAGGCAGGGGTGGAGGGGGTGTAGGTCGCAACACAGGGGTGGAGGGGGTGCGGGTCACGAGGCAGGGGTTGAGGGGGTGCGGGTCACGAGGCGGGGTGGAGGGGGTGCGGGTCACGAGGCAGGGTGGAGGGGGTGCGGGTCACGAGGCGGGGTGGAGGGGGTGTGAGTCACGAGGCGGGGTGGAAGCGGTGCGGGTTACAAGGCGGGGGTGGGTGCTGGTCACGAGGCAGGGTGGAGGGGGTGCGGGTCACGAGGCAGGGGTGGAGGGGGTGCAGGTCGTGAGGCAGGGGTGGAGGGGGTGCGGGTTATGAGGTGGGGTGGAGGGGGTGCAGGTCACGAGGCAGGGGTGGAGGGGGTGCGGATCATGAGGCAAGGGTGAACGGGGTGCGGGTTACGAGGGAGGGTGGAGGGGGTGCGGGTCTTGAGGCGGGGGCGGGTGCTGGTCACAAGGTGGGGTGGAGGGGGTACGGGTCACAAGGCGGGGTGGAGGGGGTGCAGGTCGTGAGGCAGGGGTGGAGGGGGTGCAGGTCACGAGGCGGGGTGGAGGGGGTGCGGGTCACGAGGCAGGGGTGGAGGGGGTGCGGATCATAAGGCAGGGGTGGAGGGGGTGCGGGTCACGAGGCGGGGTGGAGGGGGTGCGGATCATGAAGCAGGGGTGGAGGGGGTGCGGGTCTCGAGGCAGGGGCGGGTGCTGGTCACGAGGGGGGTGGAGGGGGTGCAGGTCGTGAGGCAGGGGTGGAGGGGGTGCAGGTCACAAGGCAAGGGTGGAGGGGGTGTGGGTCACGAGGCAGGGGTGGAGGGGGTGCAGATCATGAGGCAGGGGTGGAGGGGGGTGTGGGTCTCGAGGCAGGGGTGGAGGGTGTGTGGGTCTCGAGGCGGGGATGGGTGCTGGTCATGAGGCAGGGGTGGAGGGAGTATGGGTGACGAAGCAGGGGTGGAGGGGGTGCGGGTCCTAAGCAGGGGGGAGGGGGTGCGGGTCACAAGGCAGGGGTGGAGGGGGGTGTGGGTCACGAGACAGGGGTGGAGGTGGTATGGGTCTCGAGGCGGGGGCGGGTGCTGATCCCGAGGCAGGGACGGAGGGAGTGCAGGTCACGAGGCAGGGGTGGAGGGGGTGCGGGTCTCAAGGTGGGCGCAGGTGCTGGTCACAAGGCAGGGGTGGGGAGGGTGCTGGTCATGAGGCAGGGGTGGAGGGGGTGCAGGTCACAAGGCAGGGGTGGAGGGGGTGCGGGTCACGAGGCAGGGGTGGAGGGGGTGCGGGTCACGAGGCAGGGGTGGAGAGGGTGTGGGTCACGGTCACGAGGCAGGGGTGGAGGGGGTGCGGGTCACGAGGCAGGGGTGGAGGGGGTGCGGGTCACGAGGCAGGGGTGGAGGGGGTGCGGGTCACGAGGCAGGGGTGGAGGGGGTGCTGGTCACGAGGCAGGGGTGGAGGGGGTGGGGGTCCCGAGGCAGGGGTGGAGGGGGTGAGGGTCCCGAAGCAGGAGTGGAGGGGGTGCAAGTCACGAGGCAGGGGTGGAGGGGGTGCAGGTCATGAGGCAGGGGTGGGGGGTGCTGGTCACTCCCTGCTCACCCCCATCCACACTGCCTGGCTCTGAGCCTGGGAGGCTGACTGCCGTAGAACGCAGCATTCAAGATCCAGGGCTTCCAGTTGCACTTGGCCAAGAGGGGTCACTGGCAGGAGACCAGAGGGCAGGAGGAGGGGGGTGGGGTATTTAGTCCCCTCTCTCTCCCTGCTTCAGTGACATGCCTGGGCAGTGGCTGTGGCTTGCTATGACTACCATCACAGAGCTTCTGCGACACTTTCTTCACCTTACCTGCGGCCCAAGAAGCAGAACAGCTCCTCTCTGCTGCCAGGCTCTAGGTGCCTCACCAGCCCCCGCTGCTCCCTTAACCCTGCCCACAGCTCAACAAACAGCCCCTGCTTTCAAGGCTCTCTTTGAACCACTGAGGGTGAGCTCTGCTTCCTGCAAGCTCCCTGGCTAATATGAAGAGGAACACGTTCTGGGTCACCACACATACAGGGTCAGAAGACAGGGAGCAAATTTGAGCCACAGAGACGAGCACAGAACCACCAGGCTACGTGGGCCAGGCATGCACCCTGACCAGGAGAGAGGCCAGGCTGAGGGTACACAGTCTGGAACAGGCGAGTATCAGCATGGGGACAGTGAAACAAGCTCAGGAATGGAGGGGACCCTGCTCTGCTGCAAAAGGCCCATGCTTGCAAGGTATTAGGGGGCTGATTGTGTGGTAGCCTTGGAAAATTCAGGAAGGCCACGGGAGGTTTTTATGAGGAACCAGAGAGGTCTGGTTAGCACTGGGGAAGGGGCAGGGGATGGAAGAGTCAGAGTAGAAAGAGCCTAGGCCATAGGCAACAGCAGATCTGAGTTCAAAGACCCAGAGTGATTGGTGCTTGGAGCTCTGTGACTAGAAATATCACAGAAGCAGGTGACAGATCTGAGCCTCAGTTTCCTCATCTGCAAAATAGGGAGAATAATAAATAGATCCCATCTCACAGAGCTATTATGAGAACTAGGAAGATAAAAGTAAAAAAGTCCAAGGCAGAGGGGGACACAGGCTCCACAATGACAAGGATTTTGGTTCAAGGTCAGGTAGCTGGGGTTCCCTGGAACAGTGACCCACACCCACAACAAAAGTTCCACTCCAAATCTGGACTGGCTCCATACCACTAGGGAATCACTGGAGGGATCACTCCAAAAGACAACTTAACATGCAAGCTGGTGTTTGATACTCTTCAGAAATTAACTTTCCGGACTGCAATTCCCCAAATGACTCCTAACCCTCCACCACTAGCTGCAGATTCCTCAACACAGATCTGGGGCCAGGCTGTGTGATAAGTACTTTGACACTGTATCTCAATTACCCTTCTTAACCTTAGAGGTTGGTGTTACGACAACCCCTTTTTCCAGGCAAGGAGGCTGAAGCACCCTCGGTGCTGGGAAGAAGCAAGACCAGAGGCCACCCGGGGACCACCCACCTCCTCCAGAGCCCACCACTCCTTCCTCCTCTCCCTGGGGTGAGGAACAATTGCAAGGGGAGAAAAGTCCATGGGCACAGCTGCGGCTAGGCTACAGCCCCCAGCCTCATGGGCAGAGAGAGTGGGTCTGGGGCAGGAGTGAGAAAGGAGGGGAGGGAGGGCACATGAGAGAGAAATGAGTTGCTGTATGCGTGCCTGGTGCACAGGTGATAACACAGCATTCAAATCTAGAAGCACAAACTCCCACAAGACCTTCCCTTTCTGTAATTCCCCAAAATGCAGGGGTTTGTTTATTTCACCAAGAAGTACATATTCCTCCTACAGACTACAAAAACAATATATACAACTTACTTATGTAACCCAAAGAAATAATCATCACAGGCTTGCCCAAACAGTATCAAAAGTGGATGTTTATCACAATACTATTTATAAAGGTGACAGACCAGAACCATGGTCAGCATCAACCAAGGGAATCAAAGAACTTCAGTTACAATCAGATAATATTATGCAGTCATTTAAAAAGCAAGCCTAAGTAGACATTTAACAAAGGGGGAAGCTCTAAGAGAATGCTAAGTGTGTTTGTGGGAACAGATTACAACAGAACCACAACTTTGTTTACAACTATGTCAAGGCTGGTGGCTCGCGCCTGTAATCCCAACACTTTTAGAAGCCGAGGCGGGCAGATCACTTGAGGTCAGGAGTTCAAGACCACCCTGGCCAACACGGTGAAACCCCATCACTACTAAAAATACAAAAATTAGCCAGGCATGGTGGCGCGTGCCTGTAATCTCAGTTACTCTGGGGTCTGAGACAGGAAAATCGCTTGAACCTGGGAGGCGGAGGTTGCAGCGAGCCAAGATCGAGCCATTGCACTCCAGCCTGGGCGACAGAGCGAGATTCCATCTCAAAAAAAAAACTGCATCAAAGATGTTGGTGCACACCATGGTCCCAGCTACTAAGAAGGCTGAGGTGGGAGGATTGCTTGAGCCCAGGAGTTCAAAGCTGCAGCAAGCTATGATCGCACCACTACACTCCAGCCTGAGTGACAGAGCAAAACCCCATCTCTAAAAAAAGTTTAATTAAAAAAAAAAGTTTTTTTAATGCATCAGTGTGTGTGCCATTTTTATGCTCAAAGGACATGAATAAAGTCACACTTTATTCACATTTTAGTGTGCTGGTTATCCTTCGGCTAGGGAGTAACACATTTTGTTCCCACAAGCTACACAGGAGGCTCTCCAGACCTTCCTGAAAGGCACTTTCAAACCTGCTTCTGGAGGGTCAGAACATCATGCAGGACAGAGGTCAGGCACTAGCAGGAGGCCCTGGTCCCACGGCAGGTCTGTGCTATTTGAAGTCGTAAAGCAGGTCAATGGTGGCCCAGTGTGAGGGGCTGCAGGGGCTGCCAGGCTCACAGTCAAGGCCAGGGCCTGGCCTACCATACACCAAGGCGTTTCATCTTCTCCCCAAGAAGATATACTGGGTGGGCAGGGGTCCTTGTCCCTGATGGACAAAGGAAGGCACTGAGGGCTCAGACAGCAAAAATAACCGAGGGTCCTGAGCGATCCGGCGGAATATTTGGTCGACAGGAAAACTCATCAAGTCCTGCCCTCACCAGGCCCCAAAGCCCTGGCTTAAGGGAGGGCCAGGCCTGGCATTTGTCAAGATTTAACAAGTTCAGTAAATGTGCGCCCCCACCCCACCCCCATCTCCCATCTCTCTCCCACGCCAGACCCTTCTCCAAGCCCCACTCCTTGGCCATTAGCTCAGTCCCAAAGGCATCCTTGCCCATCCCGGCTGCCGATGATCCTGTCAAAACACTGTAAATAACTTATTTCTACTTGGCAGGGCCTGCGGCAAAAATACTGCCTGGGCAAGGAAGGGAGTGAGCCAAGGTCTGCCTCCAAGCCAGGACCCACACCCTCCTGCCCAGGGACCCCTGGTCCCCCACCCACCTGAGATGGCAGAGACCCACAGTGGAGGCCAAACTCCTGCCCAGTGAGACAGGGGTGTGAGCTTCACAAGACCCCTCGAGTCATCTCAGGAGCCAGAAAACCAGTGAGCTTCCCACTCCCCACAGCCCCACACAGCACACTAAGCCCTGTCCCTGACCTCAGGCTACCCACGCTTCTCCTACGAGGGCCTGAGTTTTAGAAGGCCTTCTCACTTGCCCTCCCCTCGTCTCAATCATCCATCTCATCACCATCTGGTAGATGGGCCTCAGAGAGGTTGTGCCACTACCCAGGACTGCACAGCCTTGGAGGGATGGAGCTGGAACTAGGGAGGAGTCACTGGACTCTCACCAGGCAGGCAGTCTTCGGAGCAGAAGAGGCACTGGCTATGCCATCACACCTCTAGAATCCAATCCCAGCTCCACAGCTCACATGCTAGGCTGTGACAAGCCCACCTGTGTGAGCCTCAGTCCTCTCACCTGGCAAGTGGGGCACTAACCCTGGCACTCAGTAGACGAGGCACACACAGGAGTTCTCACTGCTGCTGCCTGGGCTGCTCATAGAAGCCCAGCCCAGACGCCAAACGCACTTTGGAATTTTTACATGCGCATTCTAGAACTCTGAAGCAATCCTACTAGGTGCTTACTGCCCAGACAACAGGGCTGGTGACCTTTAAAAAAAAAAAATTGGCCGGGCATGGTGGCTCACACCTGTAATCCCAGCACTTTGGGAGGCCAAGGTGGGTGGATCACGAGGTCAGGAGATTGAGACCATCCTGGCTAACATGGTGAAACCCTGTCTCTACCAAAAATACAAAAAATTAGCCGGGCGTGGTGGCGGGCACCTGTAGTCCCAGCTACTTGGGAGGCTGAGGCAGAAGAATGGCGTGAACGTGGGAGGCAGAGCTTGCAGTGAGCCGAGGTCGCGCCACTGCACTCCAGCCTGGGCGACAGAGCGAGACTCCATCTCAAAAAATAAAAATTAAAATTTTCGTAGAGATGGGGTCTCACTATGTCGCCCAGGCTGGTCTTGAACTCCAGGCTTCAAGCAATTCTCCTGCCTTGGCCTCTCAAAGTGTTGGGATTACAGACACAGGCCATCATGCCTGGCTGCTGGTGGCCTTCCTGCAGAGAATCCAGGAGCTCTAAATGTTCCCCCAGGACACCTGATCAAAGCCCCCTCTCAGGCCTCTGTACCCCATTCCCACCGGAACCCTGGGAGCCACCCCAGGCGGCTTCTGTAGAAGTGCTGAGTGAGCCCCATGCACCACCGCCAAGTTTCTGGGACACAGCTGCAGGGCCGGGCACCAGCAAGCCGGGATCTCCTTATAGGGTATACTCTAAGGCCATTGCATAAAGCTCAAAAAGAGAAAGACTCAGATTGACAGTCGAGCTGGAAAACAGGCCTGTGAAAGGAGAACTAGACACCAGGGCAATCAGGTCCCTGAAAGGGCTGTCTCTGCCTACCATTTGTGCAGAACATCAGAGAACTTGAGGCAAAGACGGGAGCCACTGTGCTTCCCAGGGGAGTTCTTGAGCTGAGGGTGGATCAAGGGGAAGGAGAAAGACAGAGCCAAGTTACAACTCTGGATTTACACAGCTTTTGGAAAAGTCACGATGAGTGTGCGGGGAATCCCTGGGACCTCCCCTGCCCATAATGAACTAGCACGGGAGGGGGTCATGGGGCTAGGGTCAGGGGTCAGCACTCCCTGGGGGTGATGCCTTCACCCCATCATGGCTAGACCTGGGGAGATCCAGAAAGAAGGAAAACATAAATCAGCCCATGCCCCCAAATGCACCCCAGCCAGAGCAAAATCTGCTCTAACCCCAGAGGACAAGCTGGGACCTCACTCACTCACAGCAGGAGACTCATCCCTGGTCAGCCCTGCTTTAGCCAAACCAAACAGACATAACTTATGCTACAGACATTTCTGGCTTTTTTACTCATGAAAATAAATCAAACAGAAGAGATCCTTTCATTTTGGCTCATCTACCCATCGCATCATTTAACTACACAACACACCTCATTCAGACTCACGCTTCCCTGGGCCACTGAGGATGACAATGATGGTGGTGGAGGTGGCACCAGTAAATAATCACAAACAGCTCCTTCTGAGGACAAACTAGGTAAACAGGTTCTGTGCTGTTCCTTATCTGCATGACCTCACTCCTGGAACTCTATGAGACTGGGTCCATTATTATTTCCATTTTACAGAAGAATAAACTGAGGCTTAGAGGGGGCAAGTAACCTGTCCAGTTCTAAGTCCAGGGCCCAAGTGTGCTGGACACAGCTGACTAGCTGCAGCCCAACCTGTCCCCCATTCTCCCCTTCTTCTTTAGCAACAAAATCCTGAAGTCACTTCTAGACCATAACCCAATGAAACAGCCTGAGATGTGACTTAGGTCCCCAAAGATTTAGGTCCAGAGACACCCAGGGCAGGACTGTTAGTAACAGCAAACCAGAAATAACCTAGAACTTGAGACTCTGGAGCAGAGAAATGGTTCTAGATGCTGGGACATAGGGATGGTGGGAAGCTGGTGCAGCCACTCTAACAGCAATTTCCAAGGTGTTTAAATGGCACAGGCAAATGCTCAACTGTTCCCCCAAATGCAAGTGGCAAAACTAGGGACACAGAAAAGCCTAACCTGAATGCACATCATATAGAAAAAGGAGCATATTTTATGTAAAAATTGCTTCAATAATTATCTCTGGGTTTTCATTTGTGAGCCTATCTTGACTTCCCAAGATTTCCACAAGTACATATTACTTAATGAGCAAAAGAATAATCTAGAGTTATTTTTAGCAAGCACAGACCCTCGAGGCCTGGCCACATCCTGTGTAGCACAATACCTCAGTCCTTAATTCACTCACCCAGTAGACACAGCGCACATCAGGGCCAGACCACGTGCTCCTCAGAGACCAGCAAGTCCCAGCCTCAGGAGGACACACCAACAGGCAGCTCAGCTTGGTGTGCGTGCGTGTGTGCGCGTGCATGTGTGTGTGTGTATGTGTGTGTGTGTGTGTGTGTAGGGGGCAGAGGCGTCTGCTGGGAAAGCAGGGTAGGTGTCACTGCCAAGGTGACATTTAGCAATTCTTTTTTTTTTTTTTTTTGAGACGGAGTCTTGCTCTGTCACAGGCTAGAGTTCAGTGGCGCGATCTCGGCTCACTGCAAGCTCCGCCTCCCGCGTTCGCGCCATTCTCCTGCCTCAGCCTCCTGAGTAGCTGGGACTACAGGCACCTGCCACCACGCCCAGCTAATTTTTTGTATTTTTAGTAGAGACAGGGTTTCACCGTGTTAGCCAGGATGGTCTCGATCTCCTGACCTCATGATCCACCCGCCTCGGCCTCCCAAAGTGCTGGGATTACAGGTGTGAGCCACTGCACCCACCTGACATTTAGCAGTTCTAAAAGCATGAATAAAAATATGAGAGCAGGGAAGGGGCTGAAGAGGGAGATGCCAGGTCCTTACTCAACTGAAATACTCAGGGACGCTTCCTGGTCTTTGGAACTGACCTGAGGCAATGCATCTCCATTCCTGGCTTTGACTACGATGGTTCTGCGCCCAGCTGGACAAGGAGCACAGTCCAGGGCCCTCAGGTCAAGATGCCTCCTCCTCAGAGTCTCAGCCCTGCACCAGGCCAAACGGGAACCGACTGCTGAGGAATCCAGTGTTTGCATCCGAGTTTCTCCATCTGCACCCAGATTCCCTAGGATCACACTCTGAGTAGCAATGCTATGGATACCTTCACCCCAGAATGCCAGGACAGTCAGCTACTTTAAGAGCAGAATCTTGCTTCTGGCCCTTTCTAAAACCCCCGTTCCATCCCTTCCTATTTCCCCTGTGTACTTCATTCCATCTCTTTTCTTTGCTTTTACGTAAAATGCTTACCTGGCACGCTCCACTGAGGCCACGGAATTCTTGACATTTGACAGCCAAGCAAGGGTGGCAGGTACCAGGGAGATCCAGTCCCAACCCTGCGTGGTGTGGTGAGGAGGGCCTGGGGTTCTGGAAGCCTGCCTGCAAGAAGGCACCCAGGCACCCTGGAGCACAGGGAGCCCCACCTGCCCTGGCAGAGCTCTGTTGTCTTGACATGGGATGTGGGAACTTTTTTTTTTTTTTAAAGGATTTGCTCAAATTGACTCAGTGCATCAAAGGCTGGAGAAAGAATCACCCTAGAACTGAGTGCCACAGGCTTCGGAAGCTGCACAAGACTGCAACACGGTGACAGCTTCTATTTCTAACAGCAAACCTAAAAAGCTCAGGAACCAAAATAAAACGGATAGAAATGAAACCACTCAGAGTATGACGACAGTACTCAAAGCAACTCACGAGCATTTCCCCACGCTGTCTTCCAAAATGTGAAAAATGTGATTTTTTTTTAATGGCCACATTGGAGAACTGCTATGAGCAGACCTCATTTATATAACCCTTCCCAGCACCTCATGTATCATCATTATTAAAAAACACTATGGGGATCATGCTTTCACATAACTTTGTCTTATTTGTTATCTACATAGCCTAAGCAAATAGTAAATGATGGAGAATGAAAATAATTGTCAATGTTTAGGGGGAAAAAAATACCTGCATTTCAAATTTTTTAAAAAAACCATAAAATCTATCTTTTAAAAAAGGAAGGAGTAAGCTGGAATCCACAATTGTTAGAAACCCAAAAGTGATACAGAGGGGAGGCAAAAAAAAAAAAAAAATACTATATTCTCCACACTGAAACAATGTATCTTTCTCAACAGCCCAGTTTCATCTGTAGCTGTATTTTCCCCACTGAAATGCCACCATTAATCATAACAACAGATGAGTAAAAATCAATTAATATTCCTTCAGCATCTCTTAGGTGTCTTCAATCCTGTGCGCTGTCATCCCTTTAAAGAGGAAGGAAAAGATCCACAGCCAGGAAACAGACTCAGAAACTCAAACCCAGGTCTCTGGACCCCACAGGGAAGTGAGGCACAGCCAAGAGCAATCTGTGTCCATTACTGGCCTCAAATGACCACATGGAAACACTGTGTGCAGAGCCAGCCCCCCAAGCCCGTGGCGGTCCTCCTTGGAGATGATGGGGTCTGGGGAGAGGTCAGAGTCAGGCTCACGTGAACTTCAGAAAGCCACTGCCCAGGATATGGGTGGACCGCAAGTCTACCATGGGCTGTCCCAGCTCCAAAGACGTCAGAACCCCACAGCGATTGTTATTCCCAAAGCCCTTTACGCTTGGCTCCACAGCACACGGCAGAGAAAATCGACAGAAGGAAGGATGTTCACAGGTGTCCACCCCTACCTATGCCCCAGTGACCTGGAAATAAAATCCATCAAGAGCACCGGGGTCAGCCAGCTGGGGTACGCTGGAGAGTATGGGTGGCAGAGGGAACCCCGCTGTGGATTGATCATTTGACACTGTGTTCAGCATACCTTTTAAAAAAATGTTGGTACCATGTAAAAATATAACCTAAATAACAAGTACATTTTTAATGCTGAGATGGAGAATTTAGCACCTATAATCCTTCCAGAGATGCACACCACGCAACCACGTGAGTCCCCTCTGGCTCTGAATTCCGAGAGCAGCTACCAACACAGGCCTCCGCTGCCTGCACTCAGCACACCTATCGGAAAGCGCCAGTGCTGGCATGGGCTTTCCCTCCCTGGCGGCTGCTCCTCCTGCACCCCCATGCCCAGGCACTCCGGCCAGAAACAAGGGAGGAGTCTGGGGACTGATCCTCCCCCTCTCACCTCCCACATCTACCCAGGTACCACACCCTGCCATCTGTCTCCTGCTGCCCTCTGTCACTGCAGGAGCCCCTGGAGAGCACATCACCCCTCACTAGGCTGCAGCCACAGCCCCTCTCAGAAAACCCTGCTGTCTGCTTTCCAGTGCAGCCCTGTCTAATCACCCTCCATGTATCCTCCCCATGGCTCTTCCCCCATAGCCTCAGGTTGGAGCACCCAGCTTTCGCCTGCAGAAGCCCCTCCATGCCCCCGACACAGCACCCCATGAACAACTCACCTGGCACCGCTACTCTCTCCAGCCTGGTCTCTCACTAGCCCCCTCAAGCCTGGGGCTGTAGCCTTTCCAAGCCATTGGCAGCCAAAGGACCCCCTTCCCCAGCTGCTGTGTGTGGCCCTGGCCATGCTCCTTGTCTGTAAGGCCATTCTAACACCTCGCCTCCTGCCAGCCCCTACGCCCAGTTTATTCCATGTCAGGAGGTATGGCCTCCATCCCCTGATGGCCCACTCCTCCTTACATGCCCAGCCTTGCGTCCTCACCACTCCCCCACAGCTCAGACAGGCCTGCCCTGCCCCTGGGCTTGGGCATCCCCACGGTTTCCCTGCCAGTGGGCATCCCCACAGTTCCTTCGCCTCCAGAGGCCCAGCACCCAGTTCTGCCTCGGCCCCAGGCACATGGACCTTCCCTTGGGTCTTAGTGTCTCTTTCTCAGACTTGCCTTTTCTTGGTGGTTTGATGGTCACCCACCCAACCTCCTTCCCTGAAAGTCTGGTGCAGGAAGGGGTAAAAACACATATACAAAGGTCACCAGCAAGCCAGCCAGCACCAGCTCTGGAGAAAACACGGACAGAAAGACGTATGCCCACCATTCACTCATTCGCAAGCCGGGAGAACTTACTTACTTCCTTGCCTGCTTGAGAAACAGCCGCCGCACCAGAGACTGGGTTTCATAGTGTCTGAATTCTCAAGGAATGTGGATGGAGGACAGTGAATCTCTAACTGGCTGCTGCACTTCTCACACTTACAGCTTGCTCATTCGCACTTTAAAGTCAAACCTCGAGTCCCCTCATGCCAGCAGTCACCTTCTCCCCGATCTTTTACAGTAACTGGGGAAAGGCAGCCCAGAGAACAGGCCAGGGCAGAGGTCAGGCTGCAAAACATGCTTCCCTAAGGACGTCCAGGCTGGAGGGGGCCCGGCAGCAGGTGGGTCTTTCTTTCAGGGTCTTCCTCCACCAAATTCAGGACTATTCCAGAAAGAGGCAGTGAGTCCCTGGATGGGGAAACCGCTCCTCCTGAGCCTTCCCCACAGATTGGATCGGAGTGGAAGGTGCCCCCAGGTGACAGCACCTAGCAAGGCTGATGCAGGCCTTCTGCCTGGCCCACAGGAGAGCCCCAGCCCCACTCCCCAGATCACAGACGACCAAGGCTCCTGTGTACGGGGGAAGTAATCATAGTGCCGTGCTTGGCACTTGGTCATTTTAGCAACTAGGTGTTTTAGAAGGAAGCACAAGGACCTAGGAACTGGGTTGAGCTCTGTCAGGCCTTGCCTCTCAGTTAGGATCTGTTGGGTAGATGGGCTCATTGCCACTAACCAGACTCGTCTTCCAGGGAGCCTTCCTGATTTACCAGGCTGCGTGAGGGCCCTCCTCTGTGCCTGTCTGGTGTCCCTGCCTACCTTGGCCACTGTCTGCAGACATCACAGAGAGTTGAAGGGGCCTGGCTTGGGCCTGTGTGAGCCCCCAGCACCTGGGGCCTATCCATAGCAAGTGTCGGGGAAACTGCTGCATGTTACTGCGTCCCATCTGCACGGCCTGGCTATGAGGGGCCCTCAGCTCAGCACTCAGTGAGACCAACTCAACACTGAAATGGTGGAGTCAGGGTGGCCCGTGCGTCCAGCATTCCCATTACCATACTACAGAGCACGGGGCTGAGGAAACAGGCACTTGCCACCATCACCATCATGACAAGTAGCCTCTCAAGACAGGAGGTAGAGAGCATCTGGTCCCACGACCCTTACTACACTCTTCCCTTGTCCTGCAGCCCAACTCCCTGCTCTAAACACAAAGTAGGACATCCTCTTCTTCTGAGCTACCTGGGTCCTGGCTCCCCTGCAACTTCCTTTCCTGCCTGAGCAGCCCTGAGCAGACAGTGCTGTGTCTTTCATGATCATCATCACGTGGCCCAACAGACCAGGTCTGCAGACAAGTCCACTGCCAAGCAAGTCTCGGAGCACAGTTCTGGGCCCCAGAGTCAGCCCAGTCCAGCCCAGCCCCATCAGGGCCTCTGGACAGCCTGAGAGCAAGGCCTCGTGCTGTCCCTCTCCGAGGAAGGATTTGCCTCAGGCCTGGTTCTGAGAAGTAAACAGGGTAATGTTCTGAAGCAGTGGACTTCAAACCAAACCCCCACAAAATAAATGTTTAAAACTACATATCTATTTGCACATTTTTAAGTTGATATGAAAAATTTCTCATCATAAGTCTAAATACTTGTAGAGGATGTAATTTCCAACATACTGTAAATATTAACATTTAAAAATAAAACTGTTAATGTTTCTCTTTTAAATGGATCCAATGGTATCTAAATACCACGGCGATTAGAGATTCGCCATCATCCATTTTTAAATTACATAATCAAGCTCTTCTTTAACCATTGGAAATTTAACAGTGTTCCTTTTTTCCTCCACAAACTCTGATCTCCCTCAGAGATGTTTATACTATCACAGTGTATTTTATGCTTGAAAGCCTTATACTGATTATCCTATTATATACTATAGGGCCAAAAAATACAAAAATCAATGTTTTAATTTTTTTTAATTTCCTGTGATTTCCTGTGATCATAAAGCTCTGTCAGAAGTTTTCTCCTGGACTGAATTATTATAACAATTACTATAAGTATACAATTGATCAATAAGACAGAAATATATTGCAAAATTGTATAAGAAATAACCTTTAAAAATAAACTTAATTAGGCCAGGCGCAGTGGTTCACGCCTGTAATCCCAGCACTTTGGGAGGCCGAGGTGGGCAGATCACCTGAGGTCAGCAGTTCAAGACCAGCCTGGTCAACTGGTGAAACCCCATCTCTACTTAAAAAAAAAAAAAAAAAAAAATTAGCTGGGCATGGTGGCAGGCACCTGTAACCTCAGCTACTTGGGAGGCTGAGGCAGGAAAATCGCTTGAACCTGGGAGGCGGAGGTTGCAGTGGGCCAAGATCATGCCTCTGCACTCCAGCCTGGGCGACAAGAGCGAGACTCCATCTCAAAAAAAAAAAAAATTAAATAAGTAAAATTTAATAAATAAATCTTATTAAAAATACATCTATACAATGAATGGGAATTTTTTGAAAAATTATTTCATGAATTCTCAGATGAATATTGCCTGTTGCTAGAATAAGACAGGGTTTATCAATTTCATCTCCATTTTTTAATTTTTACAGATGTGAGAACAGAAACCACTTATTCAAATTTAAAAAATAGAATGGAAAGAGATTTACCACAGCAAATTCTTTGGATTCCTTTATAATTATTTGCCAAGAATTACAGTAATCTAGTCATCTCTTATCAAATATTATTCTTTTTTTTTTTTTTTTTGAGACAGTGTCTTACTTTGTCACCCAGGCTGAAGTGCAGTGGCACGATCTCAGTTCACTGCAGCCTCGACCTCCTGGGTTCAAGTGATCCTCCCACCTCAGCCCCAAGCGGTCATACACCACCACACCCAACTAATTTTTTGTATTTGTGGTTGGGGGGGAACCCTCAGACGAGGTTTTGCCATGTTGCCCAGGCAGATCTCAAACTCATGAGCTCAAGCAATCCACCCACCTCAGCCACCCAAAACAAAGGTCATTCTTAATGTGCTATCAGCTGACGACACCATCAGGTACTCTTTGAATTTTGCTGCAAGCAGGGAACTGGAAATACCTCCCTGGCCCCAGGATGACAATGACTGGCCACTGTACTTGACCACCAGGAGGGTTTTATGCCCTGAGGTCTCACACTCGGTCAGGTCTGCCTGTGGATAGTGTACAGTTCTCCTGCAGACAGCCAGCTTCCAGTGTGCCAGGCCCAGTGCCAATTACTTCACCCAAAGTAACTCAGTCCTCACAATGGTGCCAGGGGACCAGCACCATGATTATCCCCATTTTACAGATGAGCAGAAAGACACAGCGTCGTTAAGCAACTGGCCCAAGGTCACACAGACAGGAACCTGACCCCAGGCGGCCCTGCGCCTCACAGAGTGCACAATCCTCTGCAGAGGTGGGAGGAGGAACGAGGTGAAGAGGCACAGGGGTGGCAGGGAAGAAGGGCTCCCGAGCTCCTCAGCCTCCAGCACAGGCACCTGAGGACACTGAGATCTGCAAAATCCACTTTCTTAAATATGCTCCCACACCCACCTCGGGAAGGTTACACACAAATGCTTCCTTAAAGTAAACCCATGATGCCTGGTACACTGGAGTCCTCAATAAAAGGACTGTTACTGTTGCCATTAAATAACAGGAAGAGAAACAACTCCCATGACCAACCGACCTCCGGTCACCAGCGTTTTGCAGTCTTGAGTCCTGACCCTTGGCCCCAACATCCTTTTTTTTAGATAGCAGCCAAAGTCCAGGTAATAAGAGGAACAGAAGCATTTAGTAAATGGAGAACCTATGAACATGCAGAGGAGACCGTTCAGCAGAAAACCATGGGCCACAGGCTTTTGAGACAGACAGACCTGCACTCAAATCCCAACTCCACCACGGCCAGCTGAAATCCCCAAGAGAAAGCACAGCATTCTGAGCCTCAGTTTCCCCACCTCAAAAGGGTACTTAACACCACATCATCCCTGGGTGGCTGCACAGAACGGGAGACGCCCCTCAGGGACCAGACACAGGAAACACAGGAAGACGGCTGGCAGCAAGGGGACGTGTGTCCTCTTCAGTCACCAGCACCTGAACCCAGAGGACTGCAAACACCCCCAGCTCCCAGGGCCCAGCAGCCTGGAGATCCTGCGCACAGAAGCCCAGCTGATTTTGAAAAGCCAGCCAAGTGGCTTGGCTTCCTGTTTTTGCAGAGTCTTTCTCAATGTCTTAAAATCTAAAAGTTCTCCAAATGCAGGGATGCCAGGAGGAGGTGAACAGAGAGGTATCGTGGTAGGTTTTATTTTTAGATGCTGAAGTGTAAAGTGTCCAGTTTGGCTTCGTTCTGGTCCCCAGCCACCACTTCCTCCCCCAAGCCACCACCTAAATGAACAGCATACATGTCTAGAAAGATTTCGCAATGCTTCTTCTGCCCCGGACATTCTGACACAATGGCTCCAGTCTCCTGTTCCTCCCACAGACCGAGCGGATTAAAGATTTTAGTCTAAATCTTCCCAGAATGCCACATAAATGAAACCCGCCGACCCCTGTCCATCTCTCATCCTCTCCTCGAGCGGTGGGGGTGACACCCACTGTGTGACAGTTTGAGGTCGCGTATGGACAGGATCAGGCATGGGGGAAGGCTGTCTTGCCCTCTCAGGCAGTGTGTTTGCTGGGGAGCGCCTGAACTCACTTCCTCTGAAAATGGCTCCCACAGCAGTTCCCCCATGGACCCTCCCAAGTGGCTGGGCGGAACCACAGGGCAACCCGGGGCCTTCCTGAGCACAGTGAGCCCCAGCTGTCAGTCTCAGGCTTATTGTGGGTAAAGCAGCATCTGTAAAGGATCCGTGGATTTCCCAGTGAACCATCATAGAGGGCTAAAAGGGAAATAGAAGCCACCGCATCCTAGAGGTGCAATGGTTAGAGACCATCTAACCCCGTGATGAGATGAATAACCACACCTCCTCTTTCCACGCCTGTACCCCTGGCAGGCACTACAGATCAACCCCTGTTCCCACCCACTCACAGATTTAGGATCCTCCAGGCTGCCAAAACCAATCAAACAGAAATGGTCCCTGAACACACACCCCTAAGCCATTCCTGAATTCCAGTATCCCCCACTTGATGATGGAGAAATTAAAGCCCACAGAAAAATTCAATGCAGGTTGGGCGCGGTGGCTCACACCTGTAATCCCAGCACTTTTGGAAGGCCGAGGTGGGTGGATCACCTGAGGTCGGGAGTTCAAGATCAGCCTGAGGAACATGGTGAAACCCCATCTCTACTAAAAACACAAAAACCAGCTGGGTGTGGTGGCACACGCCTCTAATCCCAGCTACTCAGGAGGCTGAGGCACGAGAATCACTTGAACCCAGGAGGCAGAGGTTGCAGTGAGCTGAGATAGCTCCACTGCATTCCAGCCTCCACTCCAGAGCGAGACTCCTTCTCAAAAAAAAAAAAAAAAAAAAAAAAAAAAAAAAAAAGGAAGAGAAAAAAGAAAAATCTAGTGCAGAACATGCAATTCTCCAGAGCCAAGAAGAGCCTGGACAAAAACCTAGAGCTGCTGAGAGGCTTCCAGAAACTACCTCCTTACCCCAAAACAAATCTCAGTCTTCCAGTGACAAGTTCAACCCACAAACTACCAGGAGGGAGGTCAGGAGGATCCTTTACCAGCCCCACCCGTCAACCAGCCCCAGTCTGGTCCCAGGAGCAGGGGAAACCTGGGGCCTGCAATGCTGAACCTGCAGGAATGGGGACGCTGCTCTCCTATGACCGCTGAGGGAAGGCCTGGAGCTGAAGTTAACAGGGGTGGGCTGGAAGAGCTCCCCAGTGGGCTTTTTGAAAGCCCCTTAGATATTCTAGCAGGGGCCAGCACCTCCACTGCCCTGATCTAGTCCCCAGCTTGAGTTCCCCTCTCTGCAGCTACAGGCAGATGAGGCCCGTAAGACAAGGAGATGGGATGCCAGCCCAGCTGCACAGACCACAGTCACCCTCCACGGGGACAGCGTGGGGAACAGAGGACATGGCCAGGCCACCATCAGGTTTACCAAGTACCCATTAGGTGCCAGGTACAGCCTTTAGTGCAAATAACACAGCCTGCCCCTCACATAGAGTCTGAGAGTATTTTGATGTTTCCTTCTTCCCCCTCCATCCATCCTTCCCTCTTCTCTCCATCCATCCTTCTATCCTTCCTCCCCTCCATCCATCCTTCCTTCTCCCTCCATCCTTCCTTCTCCCTCCATCTGTCCACCTTTCCCCTCCCTCCAAGATCCTTCCTTCCCCCTCCATCCATTCTTCCTTCTTCTTCCATCCATCCTTCTTTTTCTAGTTAATGAGCACCTGAACCAAGTCCACCCAGGGTGAGGCTACACAGAGCACAAGACAACTGGACATCTAGCTGGGTGCCTACTGCCCCCTCACCCTTCCCACACCCACCCTAACCTGACCACTGCCATGCACACCCCCCTCAGGACTCCCAAACCAACCCTCTCCCCACTGACAAAGCCACAGCAACCCTCCAAACCCGAGAAGCCCCTGTCGGAGTCTGCCCAGGCCAGGGCAGAAACCACATCAAATCCACAGGGGAGCTAAAAACAAGCTGCACGTGAAGAAGAGAGAAAGCCGTGCCCAATGCTGGAGGAGAGAAGGAGAGACAGAGAGGTGGGCACCAAGGGCCCCACTACCCAAAGAACCACGGGGACGCGGTCTGTACTCACCTGCACAACCTCCATCCCTCGCTTCCTGTGGAGAAAAACAAAGAAAACAAGCGTTACTCCAGCAGGCTGGACACGTCCTTTCCGAAGGTTCCCGACAGCCGGCTGAGGGCAGGACCATGAGAGGGTTTCAGGAGGGAGCCGGCAGCTGCGCCTCTCCTGCTACTGTCCCAGAACAGCCATGCCTTCCACTCCCAGCCACTCCTCAAACCACCTTCCCACTGAGAGGGCTGGCTCTGCAGAGGGACTTGCTGGAGTCCTCTGGAGGCCCCACGCCAGCCACCTCCCTCCACTCCTGGGCCGGGCCTCTGTCAGCCGAGCTCCAGCCTGGGTCGTCCCAAGGCCCCTGCCACCAAGTTCACCACCATCCTCACCACCTGCCGTCCCTGCCGAGCTCAACCCCCATAGGTCCCCATGTCCTCCCCATCAGGTCTCGCCCCAGGACCTGCCACAGCCAGTCATGCCCCAACCCATCCACTGCCACACACGGGAGGCCCACACAGTCCTGCCCGCTGCCTTCCCAATGCTCCACTGATGCCTGCCCTGGCCTCGCCAACAGCCTCCAAGCTGCACTCATGTCCTCTACATCTTCCCCGCTCACATGCAGTCCCACGGCCACCACGTAACCTGACTCTTGCCACCCAATTTTAGGAGCCTCATGGCCTGGGTCGGGGTTTGCCCAGAACACACAAAGGCTTTCTGTTGACTCCTACCCTTCTCTTCCTGACCCATTTCTTTTTTTTTGAGACAGAGTCTCACTCTGTTGCCTAGGCTGGAGTGGAATGTTACGATCTCAGCTCACTACAACCTCCGCCTCCCGGGTTCAAGCGATTCTCCTGCCTCAGCCTCCCAAGTAGCTGGGACTACAGGCACCCACCACCACGCCCGGCTAATTTTTGTATTTTTAGTAGAGATGGGGTTTCACCATGTTGGCCAGGCTGGTCTCAAACTCCTGACCTCAGGTGATCCGCCTGCCTCAGCCTCCCAAAGTGCTGGGATTACAGGCGCGAGCCACCACGTCCAGCCTCCCCCATCCCACATTTCTTACTGTGGGCCCAGGAAGTGCCCACCTGTGCAGCTCTGGCACACAGGGCTTTCTCCTCCCTGGCCCTGGTGCCCACCTCCCACCCCAGCCTTGAGGATTCGGCTCAGCATAGCCTCTCCAGGACGCCTCCTAACCTGGAAGAACTTAAGGCTACCACTGTCTCGGCCCTTTGTTCTGGGGTATTGATTGCTACGAGCCAGGGACAAGCACTGGTGTAGGGCCACCAGGACCTGCAGGGACCGAGGCACCCAAGACAGCATACTGTGCACATTGTGCTGGGAAGAAAGGCCTCCAGCAGATGCTCAAAGATGGCTGCAGCCAGGCAAGGTCAGGAATGTGTGGTTTACTCACCCAAGCTCCTTGGAGCAGGGACTATGCCAAACTTTAAAGCTATGTGTGCCCGTGCCCAATTATGATGCCCACCTGGCACACAGACACTCCTCAACGGCTGCTGGCAGATGAAGGTGTAAATGTGTAACAATTTAGCTCAGCTCCTGGGCCCAGCACTCGGAGGGTACAACAAATGCAACCTCCACAGTCTGGGCCCTTGAGAGGCTCAAGGTCTTAGGGAGGAGATGGGCACAAGCCCCACAGGAACCTTTGGGCACCCTTGCTCCCTTGTTTCATGGCACAGCTGAGGCGCCGCCCACCAATTCCTACATCTGTTTGTCAGCTCATTCAGTGAGGGCTTCCTCAACACCTTCTGATAGCAAGGCACTGAGCGGAACCTCACAAAGGAGCCACTCCATGAGACAGGAAGACAGAGGCCAAGGAGAGCTGACCAGGTCCCACTGTGGGAAGCACCCAGCCCACCTTCCCTCAAACCCCCGACACCTCAACAGAAACCTGGGCCCCGAGGAATCCAGTTTGAGAACCACCCTGGTTGAGGCATTCAGGGACCCTCAGTGTCTCTTAGCTTGTCTGCAGTTCCTGTAGGAATGGTGGCCAATATCCATCTGCTTCCACGGTTTCATGAGGGACAGGGGAGATACACAACAGCATAGCCCTGGGCCACCACAGCCCACAGCACAGTGACAGATAGCATCATGAGGAACCTGTGCTACACCCAACCACCCGCTCACAACCTGCACCGTTTCTGAGCACCTGTGGACACCTCAGCCCCTGCCTCATTCCCAATCATCCTGCCCCTCCCCCCGCAGGGACGAGAAAACTGAAGGAAGCGTCACTGACGGGAACCTGACCCAGGACACACAGCAGAGGACCTTGAGGAGCCAGCCCAAACTCCAGCGGCCCTGCTCCAGGACAGAAAACTCAAGTCCCAAATCACCGAGACTGTGAACCGCACAATGGGAAAGGCCGGTGACAGAGGAGCGCAGACTTCCACTGGGCTCTGGGCCAGGGCCTCGGTTTCCCTCTGAGTCAACCCTGCTGGCATCTGGGTTATCCCAGCGTGTGACTCTCCTCTCTTTACTGAGGTCAATTCCAATCAGTCCACATTTTACATCATCCCAGGCAGCTCTCCCTCCCTTAGTCCTAAAAAAACAGTCTCTCACTGAAAACAGATGGAACACATAAAATAAGAAAGCAACAAAAAAGTAATCTAGAGAAAAGATCGGCTGCAATCTTAAGTGGGGTTGATCTCCCAGGAGCCACAGCAGTTCCTCTGTCGCTCAGAGCTCCAAAAAAAGGATAAGTTGCAACAGTGGCAGAAAAGAGGGGGCCACCCACGTATGCTACACACCCCTTGAAGCTCACCACTCACCAATACCTTCTGCAGCCTCATGAGGGTGGGACAGTGGTTACCCCATTACCTGCAGAGCAGGCCGAGGCCTGGGAGACTCAGGAAGTGCAGGAGCTGGCCCGGAACAGGGCTCTCCCCACACCCACGTGTTCACCACCAGGTGCACCACCGTGGGCAAGGGTGGCACCAAGCTGGAAGGCCTGGTCTCCAGCCTCCAGGGCCTCAGTGCAATGGAAGGACCAGGAGGTGGCAGCGGAAAACTGCATCCCCTCTGGTGGTGGAATCCCACATGCACCACCACAGCCTCTCGGGAAAATAAAACAACCTGTCGGGGCTCATTTTTCACTGGGAAACTCGTGCAGAGCAAAGGCACCAACAACCTCGATTCCCCAAGAAGCAAGTTCCTAAAGTCCTGCCATAACCAGAAAGTTCAGAAATTGAATGATGAAGCCAAAGGGGAAGAGGGAGAAGGAAGGGACATGGGAGACAGGAGGAGGGAACACAAATCAGAGCATTGGTTGTCAAGTGACTGTTCCTCCTGAAAACCCTGGCTCCATGATCCCACCTCATCACCCCACAGACAGGCTCAAGTGTGCAATATGTTTCCGGCTCTGCCCTGTTAATTACCAAACTGTATGTGATAGCAAAACACTAGCAGCAAATTAAACTTCCCCCAAGAGGGGACATTAACAAACCACACACAGTCAAAGGAATAGTATGCAGCAGTAAAAAAGAACACAGAAGGCCTCCATGCACCCACGAGGAATTATCTCCAAGACGTTGCTGTGTGAAACAGGTAAGATGCAAAACCCTGTGTGCTGTAGATAATTATCTGTGTTAAGAACAACATCCAGGACAAGCATGTGTGCTTGTGTACACACAGAGTGAACCTGAGGGCGCTACAGGAAAACAATCATGGCAGGGCCCCTGGTCAAGGGCAAGGGCAGCTGGGGTGGCCGAGGGACTTCCTTTTCACTGTGTCCCCTCATACATTGCTTCAATGTTGTGCCATGTGCCTATAACATGTTATCAAAAACTGGAAAATATATTTTTTAATTGTTTCTTAAATAGATGCTTGATAAAAGCACGAAGCAATCGATCAATGGAGGACACAAGACAGCAGAGCTCAGGATGTATCATGAAAAGCTTCCAAGTGCTGTCCCAAAGAGGAGCTGAAATGATGCCTGCAGTGGGGACCACCAGGCTGCAGCACTCGCTATGGGTTCTAAGCCCGTGGAAACATTCCGATACCTGGAAAACAGACTGAGGTGCGTGTGCTGCAGTGTTAACTGTGGCCACGGGGCTGTGGTTTTTCCTTCATACTTCCCTGTGTTTTCCAGATTTTCTACAATGAACATATACGCTACCCTCAAAACTATAGGGAAAGTAACAATAAAAGTTACATTTTTTTTTTTTGAGACAGAGTCTGGCTCTATCGCCCAGGCTGGAGTACAGTGGCATGATCTCAGCTCACTGCAACCTCCGCCTCCTGGGTTCAAGCAATTCTCCTGCTTCGGCCTCCCGAGTAGCTGGGACTACAGGCATTTGCCATGATGCCAGCCAATTTTTGTATTTTTAGTAGAGACAAGGTTTCACCATGTTGGCCAGGCTGGTCTTGAACTCCTGACCTCAAAAGTGCTGGGATTACAGGCTGAGCCACTGCACCCAGCCTACAATTTAATAATTTTTAAGTTTCATTAAAAACCTGCAGCCGGGCATGGTGGCTCACGCCTGTAATCCCAGCACTTTGGGAGGCCGAGGTGGGCCTCCCAAATCACCTGAGGTCAGGAGTTCGAGACCAGCCTGGCCAACATGGTAAAACCTCGTCTCTATAAGAATATAAAAATTAGCTGGGCATAACAGCAGGTGCCTGTAATCCCAGCTACTTGGGAGGCTGAGGCAGGAGAATTGCTTTAACCCAGGAGGCGGGGGTTGCAGTGAGCCAAGATCGTGCCACTGCACTCCAGCCTGGGCAACAGAGCGAGATGCCGTCTCAAAAAAAACACAAAACCTGCACCTGCGAATAATTTTACAGGCTCTAAACTGTCATTGTATTGATAAATATTACACTAATATATAAATACAATATATTAATATGAATATTAATAAAATAGGAATAGCTAAGTATAAACATGCTTTTCCAAAAGCTGGATTATTAACAAAGGGATGATCCGCTTTGCACAGGGAAGCCTGTCCCCAGAAGTCCAAGGAGCACGAACCCTTCAGGAAGTGAAAATACTCACAAAATGATTCGATCCTTTCAGAGGAGGAGGCTGGCAATAAAGGAAGGCTTCAAAGAGGAGGCAGCATTTGCCATCTGGCAGAGCAACTGAAGGGTAACTACAGACCGGTGCTGAGAAGAGTACTTAGAGAGGAGTAAGGTGAGTCCTGCGCCCTCCCCAAAGGGTGTCTGGGGCTCTGGAAGCTTAAAGCCCTCTCAGGGGGCGGGGGCTGAGACGCAGGACAGAGGATAAAGGTGGGGCACGCCTCAGAGGCCCAGGATGTCACCCTGTGGCCCAGCCTTTACCTATGGGCCAGTGGGTCCCAAATGCCAGGGCAGATAACCTGAGAACCACCACTGGAGCGTGTCAAAAATCCTCATTCGAGGCCCACCCTGAGGCCTCTGATCCAGGAGGCCTAGGGCAGGGCCTGGGAAGGATTCAGGGTTCATCGCACTCCGGGTGTTGCTCAGGAGCAGCTGGGTATGGGGACAGCTGCTTGTCCACAAGAGCGACTCCATGTGCTTCTCTGTGACCAGTGGAAGCAGGATCTGATTTGCTAGGGGAGGACATAGCAGGGGTGGGGTGGGGGGCAGCCCTTGCAGGTCTTGGGAAAAGGGTAAAGGAAACCTAAGAACCAGAAATAGTTGTGACGCTCACAGTCTGGAAGGAGCAGACTGAGGCCCTGCGCCAGGCCCAGGAGACGAGAGAACACTGCAAGAAGGCAGCAGCAGTCCACTTTTCAACCGTGGTGGTGCCAGGAAGTGGTTAGAAGCCCAGGACTGAGCTTCGCAGCATTCAGAGGCTTAGATGAACACAATTCGGGGGCGTAGGCAGGAGCGGAAGAGGTGGGTGAGCCCCTGAGAGCAGAACATGGAACCAGACCCCCCTGTACCTTGTGCCTCTGTTTTCTTATCTGTAAAATGGGAGAATCCTAGAACTCATCCCACACGGGCTTTAAGGGAAACAGAGTCCAGGCCTGGCACAGTACCTGGCTCATGCCAGGGATGGGGGTCTTGTGACCTGCACTCTGCCCTGCCACCCTGCCTTCCTACCCTTCCAGAACTGCCTCCTCCAGTCCACATGACTGGGGGCGGCACGCCCACTCCAGGGGTGGGCACATGACCTGTCACCTCACTTAGCAGCAGCATGGGAGCAGGACCCAAGCCAAGCCGGTCCTGGTCCTTTACCGGACGGGTCCTGGGGGACTGTCTGCAGTACAAATGGCACTGCCTGGAAATGCTGGAGGACACCATTGCTTCTATGTGGCGAGAATCCAGATGAGCCAGAGGCCAACCAGGAGAAAGGGCCAAGAGGGCTCCAGGAGGGCAAATTCCCCGGCCAGACCCGGCCGCAGTGGGGCTCGTCCTCTCTAGACCTTCAGCTGCAGATTTCTGCTCAAGCCAGCTAAAGCTTTCTGTCGCTGGCCGCTGAGCAGCAGGGACCCTGTGAGTGACAGTGGTTACCACTTCTGAAGATGATGAAAATTACTCTGGATGACCCAGCACTGAGGGAGAGGGGATGATAAGGGAAAACAATAAAGATGATCAGGGCAGAAGTAGAAAAGAGTGATGAGGAGCAGAGACACGTCCACGGCATCCACGCCACCACCAAGCCACTGCAGCACAGTACCAGGTGTGGCGTCAGGAGGTTAACACAAGACACTCTGGGATGACAGACCCCATCCAGCAGCAGGCCTGCCACACAGCACAGCAGGGCACAAAAGGCTCAGGGACCATGACCAGCAGCAGGCATGGGATGTGCTGCTGAGCCGCTCGGGGTCTCAGCTTTCATATCCGTTAAAAGGATATGACCTTTCCCACCCAAGAGGCCCTCCCCAGGGCAGGGTGGGGACCTGAGCGCTGCAGCAAGTGAAGTACATGAAATGGTGAAGAAGCAAGGGAGGAAGGTTCTACGGAGAACAACTCGGGGAAGTGGGAAGCCAGGCACATCCTCATCCAAGCAACGTGTGGCACAGTTCAGTAACTACTGATTTCAGGCACCCCAAATAACAAGACCCTTTGGCACCTCCAGGTACCAGGCACTGGGGAAAAAGCCCCAAGTTATGGTCCCCTTTCCCTGCCTGCAGAGGGCAGGGCCCACACCGTACCCCACAGAAGCCCAGGATGTCTCCCCAGGACTTGGGGCTCCTAAACAGATGACTAAGCCCCGTCACCCATGTGTGTTGATGGCCACACTGTTCCCTTCCTCAAATGCCATCCCCACATCACCACCTGACCCCCCAGGTCAGCTCCTCTGGAGAAACCTGCCTTGGCTCCCACCCTCCTCAGGCCCCACTGCCCCAAGCTGCCCACACCCAGCACTGGGCAGAGAGAAAGGCTGCTGGACTCCATTGCACTGACCCCACCAGGCTAATGCTCGGTGGTGAACATCAATGGTGGCCATCAAAGCCGGCAATTTCCCTCCTGGACACTCAGTGCCACTGTGTTGTCCCTGCCCCCAGTCAGGCATGGCCACAGGACTTGCCTTGGGCAATGAGATGTGAACAGAGGTGACCATGTCCCCTCCTGGAAAAAGCATTCCACTGCCAGCACCGAGGCCTCCCTGACCTCAGAAACAAGGAAGCACATGAGGCTGCCACCCACCAGCAGAGCCAGCCAGACCCGCCACCTGGAAACAACGCGGGCTGAGTGGCGACGAAGCCAGGCTGGGAACCAGAAAGAAACAACTGATGAAGAGGACCTCCAGCTAGCGCTGGTTCCCAACTATGGGCAACTGTGTGTCCCCCACAAGGAGATTTAGCAACACCTGAAGAGCTTTTTGATTGTCACACCGAGGAAAGTGCTACTAGAATCCAGTGAGGAAAGGGCCCCTGTAATGCAGAGGACAGCCCCCTAAAACAAAGAATTATCCAGCACAAAAGGTCCACAGTGCTGAACTTAAGAAGTGGGATACACACTGAGCCACTGCAGGGCAGACCACAGCCCCCGAGAGTCTCTGGATCCAGAGTGCATGCTGAATGAGTTGTGAGTAAACCTATTTCCGCCAGCCTTTCGACACTACTTGTCACTGCAGCCTAACCTGGCCTATCCTGACTAACAAGCACTCTTTCAGGGACACAGCTTGTGCCCTGTGTCCACAGCCCCAAATTCTTAGCAAAACACCTGCCACATGGGCATTTGGAGGTGCAGCTCAGAAGACACGAGGGGGAGGCAGCAGCAGCCTCTCAAACCCTCCCAGGAGGGACCCCAATCTCCAAATGCCAAGGCTTGACCTAAGTCTGCCTTTGCACAAACTGATCCCCCTGCCAGGCACCCTTCCTCAGCTGGCAAACTCCTGCCCACCCACCAAGAGCAGCTCAAGTGCCTTCCTCATCAAGAGGCAGGAATAATGGCTTCCACTGAAGCCTGCTCCATGCTCAGCATCAGACCATGAGCCCCTCGAGGCCAAAGATGGCTCTTTATTTCAGCATCCCTGTGCCCCCTGCAGACCCTGGGCCTGGCAGGCTCTCTGCAAACACTCCCCGAGTGCTGCCGGGTTCCTGGGCCAGGCTCCAGCCCCGTGTCACCCCTGCCCGCCTGCCCTGCGGCATCTTGGTTTACTTGCTGATTGTTTGGTAATTTGGATTTTCCTCCTATTAACAGTGCCAGAAACTGAAATGGCCCGATATAAAGACAACATACGAACAGAATTTTAAAGCCAGTACAAACATTTGAATTGTCTGGACAGCTCTAGGGAAGAACCAGATAAACTGGAAGCTGCCATGTGTCTTTTTTATTGAGTGGGGGCATCTTTCCTTTGACTGGGGAGTCACCAACCACCTTACCTGAAGACCCTCCCCCCGACCGGGTGCCCCACCCAGGGGAGGCAGGCCGGCCCCAAAGTCCGGGCGCCCCTCAGTGCAGGCACAGCAGCCTGAGTCAGTACACTCCCTCAGACCCAGAACAGCTTCCAGGGGTGCCTGGAAGCAGCTTTTCCCAGTGAACAGGCACAAGAGAGAGACAGAGTGGGTGACCCACCTTTGGCACCTCCCGGAGAGGTCATCAGAGCTGCAGGGGCTGAAAGCAGCACAGGAACTGAGGTGCCTTTGAGACTCCCCTCCTCAGTTCAATTTTCAGGAAGGAGGAAGTGAGGCGAGGGCAGGAGATCACGCAAGGCAGTGTTCTGCCACATCCAAGGGGCCACCACTTCAGATCAGGAATCATCCTGACTTCTTGCTGATCACAAACGTTAAATCTATTCCCTTAATGGCTCTCGACATCCCCGCTTTTTAGTGTGGAAATTCTCGACTTGAAATTGTTTTTGAGTCTTTTACTATCCCCTTGCAGGTGCGGTAATTTTTCTTTCCCCTAATTAGGGATGGGACCTAAATTGTGGGAAGCAGGGGAGTTGGCTGCTGGGAGAGGGAGGTAGTGGGGGGTGCTGGCAGGCTTGGTTCTAGCACCTCCTCCCCTCCCCGCTACCCCCACTCCCCCTCCTCCGTCAGCCAGCCAGCCTCAGGGCTAATGATTCAGTTGGTTCTCTTCACAGCAGCTTCTTAATCCCAAGAATGCAAAGTCATTTAGTATCAGCCTAATGAGCAAGGTAGGCTACTGCAGGAAGGGAGGCAGAAATTCCCGTGACATTTCCCTCCCTTGGACTCACTGGGGGAGGGAGAAGCCTGCTCAGGAAAGCCTGAATTGTTCTAGCACCTATCCTCAAGGTACCCCACACTCCTAAAATAGCAGCATAAGTGTGTGTGTCCCCAGCCTGTGTCCTGGATGCTGACACTCTTTGAAAGGCTGTGTTCCAGAGGAGACCGAAAGACTTCACCCAAATTCTGCTGCCAACACTCCTTACCTGGCCTGAGGGCTGGGGGCAGCTCCTGGTCCCTGGATCCCAAGCCCTTAAAGTTTAGTTGTCTTTGCCCTGCTGCTGCACCTCCAACCACAGGCAGCGAGAGTTTCCTGGTCTGATTTTGGTCAAACATTTGCTGGGCTTCTCTGTCACGCACTGGGCTGGCCTGGGACCAGAGGGGGACCCCAGACCGCAAACCCTGCCCCGAGATGCTAGCTGCCACAGGGCAGACCAGTGGGCTACATGCCATGCCCTCTGGCGGGTGTGCCACAGGCCCTTAAATAGCACAAACACCTGGGGGACAGCAGGAGGCACAGGGAAGTTTCAGTAGAGCTGCTGTGTGAGCCAGGCCCTGGAGGGGAGGGAGAGGGAGGCTGCCAGGGCACGCTAGAGAAGGCCTGCTAAGCACCAGGAGAAGCAAAGGCAAAGACCAGGTCATGGGCACTGGGGTTTCCTGGGGCCCCCCAGCCACAGGCATGAGTCAGCCCTGACCCCATCTCAGAAAACTTAAACCACAAGGCACCTTACTGGAGTATCTCCCTGGCCCCTCAGATATTTTCGGGATGGCAGGTCAAAGGAAAGTCCCAAGGTGTCGGGTCACATGGGCTCTGGCCTTGACCTTGACCCTGACCCAGTCCCTCCCTTCTCAGTCACAGATTCACCCACAAGCCCTAAGAAGAGCAGGGTAGGAGAAAACTGTATTCACTTCCCATTGCTGCTGTAACAAATCACAACAGTAGTGGCTAAAAACAACACAAATGTATTATTCTCTTAGGGTTCTGAGGTCAGAGGCAGGCTTCCTTTTGGAGGCTCCAGGGAGAAATCGATTCCTCCGCTTTCTCTAGTTCTAAAGGCTGTCCACATTCCTTGGCTTGTGGCCACAACACCCCAACCTCTGCTTCCACTGTCACATCTCCTCTGGCCCTCCTGCCTCCTTGTAATTACACCAGGCCCACCCAGGTAATGCAGGAACATTTTCTATTTCAAGATGCCTCACTCCTTCACATCTGTAAGCCAAGAGCAGTGGCACATGCCTATAATCCCAGCTACTTGGGAGGCTAAGGCGAGAGGATCACTTGAGGCCGTGAGTTTGATGCTGCAGTGCGTTATGATCAGACCTGTGAATAGCCACTGCACTCCAGCCTGGGTGACACAGTGAGACCCCCATCTCTGAAAAATAAAAATTTAAAAATCCCATCTGTAGTCATGTCATACCCTTTTACCATGTAAGGCAGCACACTCACAGGCTCTGAGGATTAGAACCTGCTGTCTTTGGTGGGGAGTGGCAGGGGCCTTACTTTGCCCACCACAACCCCAAGGCTCCCACAGCTCTGCCATCCCAGGATTCTCAGACATCGCCTGGAAGCATTCATGTGTCAGGCAGGAATGAATGAGGACCTGTCAGGAGTTTGTAGGGGCCTTCAACAGTCAATGAGGAGTTGATGGGGAGGAGCACAGCACAGCTTTGCACGGTACCCGCAGATTCCCAAGGGGCACTGGGTACAGCCCAGCATGGCCGCAGGGGTCCCTGATGGGAATGGCGGGAAAGAAGCCCAGGGAAGGGATGTGGGGGAACTGGGTGCTGGAGACCAAAGGCTCCAGGCCTGGAAGCCTTGGCTGCAAACCGGGGAGCTGGGTGATAATTACTGACACTTGGGCTCATCCTGAGGTCCATCAGAGGTGCCCAGGCACCTGACCCTAAAACAGGCAGCGCTTCATCGGCTACCCGAGAGACTCTCCAGTTTCAGAGAGGATTCCAGGGGCCTGAGCACGACCCAAATAAATGAGAGGCTAACACCAGTAATCCCCGAGCTCTCTCGTTCCCCACCCAGGCCTGCTCTCCCTGTCCCAGGCAGAAACAGGGACAGACGAGGCAGTGGCGGGGCAGGATTTGTGAGTGCCAGGCACTTCGTCCCCCTCACACTGGATCTCAGCAACCACTGGGTGGGTACAATGGTTGCATCTTTTCTTTTTTGGTTTTGTTTTGTTTTTTTTTTTTTTTTGAGACAGGGTCTCCCTCTGTCACCCAGGCTAGAGTGCAGTGACACGATTTCGGCTCATTGCAGCCTTGACCTCCTGGGTTCAAGCAATTCTCCCGCGTTCAAGCAGGAGCTACTTGGCCACCCAAGTAGCTGGGACTACAGTCGTGCGCCACCATACTCTGTTAATTTTTGTGTTTTTAGGAGAGACGGGGTTTTGCCATGGTGACCAGGCTGGTCTCGAACTCCCAACATCAAGTGATCTGCCTGCCTTGGCCCCCCAAAGTGCTAGGATTACAGGCATGAGCCTCTGCACCAGGCCTCTTTTTTTATTTTTTGTAGAGACAGGGTCTCACTATGTTGCCCAGTAGGTTGCTGGTCTCAAACTCCCAGGCTCAAGCAATCCTCCCGCCTTGGCCTCCCAGAGTGCTGGGATTACAGATGTGAGCCACCGCGCCTGGCCTGTCACCTCTTTTCAAGTGGGGAAATTCAGAGCAGTTCAGTATCCTGACCAAAGACTCACAGCAGGTAAGAAGCAGAACCACAATCTAAACCCATCCAAATACCAGTAATTCCCAGGCTCCCTTACTCCCCACCCAGGCCCGCTCTCCCCAAATCTGTCAGGAAACCCTCCTCATCCCACAGCACTGTGTGACTTCCTGGGGAGAAAGGGGACCTGTGTGATGGTGGGGGGCCCACCGGGTCTGTTGGGGATGAGGCTCTGGGATTTCTGGAACAGGGTTGTTCTGGACAGAGCTGCCTCTCCACCCAACCACCTGCTGCCCTAATCCTCCCTCAGAACCTTGACCCCAGGAGGCCAAAAGGATGGATGCCATTGCCCCAGGGGCCCCAAGACCTGAGGAGCAGCCCCTGAGCAGGCCTGCAGTGAAGGGCCCGGAAGGCACTTCCTAAGGTCCAGCCTCTGGCATGTCAGGATGCTGTGGGGTAGACACGCCCTGGGTCAATCCAGCCCAGAAGCCGGGGGAGCCAGCACCCTGTTCCTCCCCTCTCCACACGGTTGACAGTCCTGTCCAATATCAAACCTTCCAGGCAGAAGGAACCCTTCCTATGAAGTAGATTTCAGCTCAACCATAGGAAGAGGTTGCTGGCTTCCATAGGAAGGCAGTCAAGAGGTGATGAGCACCCCGTGACAAGAAGGATTCAAGCAGATGCCAGATGCCCACAGGCAGGGAAGAGAGGCCAATCTGTGGGGAAGGCAGTAGGGCTAATGTTTTAGGAGCCCTACCCCACCTCTAAAGGGTTCCACCAATGAGACAGAAATCAGCTGGGTCACAGGACTGCAGCTCATGAGAATGGTATGTCAGCTGGGTCTCTGGAGGAGGTGAGAATGAGCCTGGGGCCTCAGAGGACCCCAGTGCCAAGAGTCAGTCTCAGAGCCAGCTCTCGGCAGGCGGGCACAGCCCCCATCTTCTTCCTGCCGGCCTCCAGGCCTGTCAGGCTCTGCAGCTGGGAGCCATGGCTACAGTCCCCAAACAGCTGGAATAATCCCTCAGAGCCCCATGCAGGGGGTCACAGCTGCCACCAAGCCAAAGCCAAGAGCCAGGACCCTGGGCATTAGAGAGAAATGTCAAAAGAAGGATGCAGAATTCCAGAAGAGCGGAAGAACTGAGGCCAGCACAGGCAGGGCTTCCCACTCCCTGAGACACACAGCTCTGCGGTGCAGGCCACCAGGCGGTCTCCCTGCTGTCCCTGCACACACACTCTGCACCTTCTGCATCTGAAACATGGCTCATCACCCCCCAGCCCCTGCCCAGACTCACCCCCTGGGCTTCCCTCACCCCCACCACTTGGGCCTCTGCAGCAGGTGCACACCTCCTCACCCAGCAAGTCTCGCCCCATCTGTTCCTAGCACACCGGGCTTCCTGCCGTGCCCCACAGGTCGGTTCTTTCACACTTCTGACCACCTGCCCATGCTGTCCGCCCCTGGAACGCCCCCATCCCTGCCTACCATGCACAACACGGAAGCCTCTTCCTCGCACCATCCTCTCAGAGGGCGGTCCAAGAGGAAGGACACAGAGGAACCCAGGGTGTTGGAAAGGGTGGTCAGATCGAGACCTGAAGGGCCAGCACATGGTATATTCTCCTGACCTGAATGCCTCCCGTGTGAAGGACAATCCACAGAGTCCACTTCGTGCCAACCCTAAATGTCCAGCCCGTATCCCTGACTGGTGTGCTAGCCACCATCCTGGAGAAACCCTACTTGTCAGGATCAGAGCTCAAGATAGAGAGGAATGAGCCCCATTTGCAGGGGGTGGGCAACGGGGGCTTTTCTTTTCTTTTTTTGGCCAGCGTTTTCTGGAACTAAATTCCTCCTGATGAGGAATAAAACTCCAGGGACAGGAGGAATGTCTGGGGACCTGAGGGATAAGACTATTCCTGTGCCAGTTTGGTTACCTGGGCCAAGAAATGTATTTTTTTTTTCTTTTTGCTTAAACTCATCTGAATTGGATTTTCTGCCACTTGCATTCACAAGAGCCCTGGCTGCTTCAATGTCCAAATCGAAACGCTACACTCCATCATTTCCATCACCAACCTGCGCCTCCAGTCTTGAAAACGGACTCATCCTGTAGCCAAGCCAGAGGCCCCCATCATCCTCCCCTGCTCTTCCTCCTCATCCCTTCCTCCGCAATCACCATGGAAAGGTTTCCCTGGGGCTTGCAGGCAGCCAAGGGCCAGTGGTCCCTCTCCCAGGGAGATGGCTCACCGTGTGCTGGAAGGAAAGGCAGGAAGAGGAAGGCAGATGGCCTCTCAGCTGAAGAGGGAAAAAGAGAATCCCCAATAACACTAGCTGGCTGATTGCATATAATTATGAAGAGAAAAAGTTCTTTAAAATTAGCTTCCCAAATACAGATATAATTTCAAGTGTCCCTTGTGGTGTGATTACAGCGTCAGCCCAACAAATGTTTTCCCGTCAGTACAGAATACTCAGGCCCCTGCAGGCAAAAAATAATGAAGCCAACAACGGCGCCAGGGCCAGACAGCTCCCACAGAAGCACTTCCAGCTGCCCAGGAAAGCACCAGGCCAGGAAGCCCAGCCCAGAACCAGTCTTGCTCCCCTCCACAGCTGGCCTCGGGCTCTTCCCAAGAAGGCACCAGGCACATCATTCTTCATTCTCTCTTTTTAATCTTCAGGGCCTTTGATATTCAGACTCAAATGCCAAGAGCAACCAGCTCATGTCAACAAGGATGGCTTCACTTGCTGTGTGCCTCCTACGCCGAGTGCTGGGCTCTACACCTCGGTTTTCCGGCCTGGAAAATAGCACGGTGGCTGGGCATGTAACTCAGGACACTGCCAGAGGGTGGAATGAATGAGGCTGGCACATAGTGGCATCCAGTCAGTGTCACCAGCTCCTCCCCGCCTCCCATTTAACCTCAGTCTTCAGGTGTGGCACCTGAAGCTCAGACAGGCTCCAGGAGCCATGCAGCTAGTCATAGAAGAGCAAGGAGGCAAACCTAGCTCTGCCAGGTCCAGACTCCATGCTCTTGTCACACTGGGTCCTTGCTGGGCGTGAGGGATGACGGGAGGCGCCACTCCTGGGCAGCACTGGCAGGCCGGGTGCACTCGGACCTCAGCTGCTGCTCGGCCCTCTTCAGGACCCTGGGTTTGAGCCTTGATTTTAAAGCACCACAGGCTCTGGCACGGTGTCCAACCCCATGACTCCCCTGTCCCCCAGGCTCTCCACCTCATTCCCCACTTTTTACACAGAAGAGAGCCCAAGAACCCTTTTATAAGCAAGGCCCAGAACTGAGAGGGACTTATCTGAGGTCACAGAGAAGTCAAGGGGAGATTAACACACTGTCACCAGGCACCCACGCTAAGCCCAGCATGGGGAGGGTGGGCACACTGGCATTCGCAGCCTCCACCAGCACCCATGGAAAGGCTACCACAGCCCCACGCCAAAGATGCAAAATCGAGGCTCAGGGTCCCCTACAAGGACCAGAGTGCCAGGATTTTCCATCCAGGCCTCCTGACCCCCAGACCTGAGGTCCTTACGGCACCACGGAAGCCTGGAGCAGGAAGCCAGGCGCTCTGACTCCCAGGTCACATCAAGCACATGTCAGCACATGGCTACACGGGCCTTGACATGGGTGAGGGAGGACAGCATGCCAGCCCCCAAAGCAGGCCTGACCCACTGCCTGGAAACAGAGCTCGCCAGGTGGCAGTGCAGCCAGGCTGGGACCAGAAGGGAATGATGAAGAACCCTCAGCCAGCACTGGCCCTCAACGGAGCAATTTTACCCCCCACCCAGAGGACATCTGGAAGTACCTGCAGACATTCTTGGAAGACGAGAGTAGTACTGGCATCCAGTAGGTGGAGGCCAGGGATGCCGTTGGGCACAGCTGTGGGGAACCCAGCCAAAGCTGGGCCTAATGTGGTCCTGGCTGATGTCCACTGGGTCAGCCAAGCTTCCACCCCACGACAGCCAGGGCACCCTCTGCCCAGCCCCACTGCATTCGACTCAGCCTCCAGGCACCAGGAGACTCCAGCACGGCAGGGCCCAGGCCAGGGGGCTGGGCTGAAGAGCGCACTCCCCTGCCTCAGCCGAACCCACCAGCCACAGACTCACCCACCCTCCAGCCACGGCGCGTGCCTCCAGGGTGCCCCAGACCATAATAGTCTTTCCCTAGAGGAACCTCTGTCCCAGATCCGACTGCTGCTTCACTTGGTCTTCACAATGACGCCCCCAGCTCTCCATACACTCATTACCACATGACCCCTCATGACCAGGATGGCTACTCAACAAGCAGGATGCCGTTCTGTGACCAAGTCCAGGCCTGCATGGGCTCAACACCCATCTGCTGACAGCACAACGGCAAATACCCAACCTGTGGGGCAGACACGACCCACACCTACATGGACACGGCAGAAAGGACAAAGGACAGGGTCCACAGGGTTCTAGGGCCTCCAAGGGCAGAGATGGGGTGTGCAGGCTGCCCTGTGGAGCCCAGCTCTCTGCCCTGCCCCAGCGGCCAGGCCGTTTCGGCCCTTTGTGTTATAACTGCACTAGTCCTCAAGCCGCCCCTGGCGTGGGGTGATGTAGCCCTCCTCCCAGTCAGAAGTCTGAGTGCTCCGACATCATCTCCTCTTCCCCCGCTCCCCAACCTCCCCTTCCTCATGAAGTCAGGCCTTGACCTCAGTCCTTTCTTCCCCCCTCAGCCCTGCGCTGAGGTCAACAGGTTCCCTAAACCAGTGTTTGCAAACATGAATGTGCCGTGTGTACTGGCACCTCTTGGGGGTCTTGTTAAAACACAGATTCTGAGTCCGTGGATACAGAGGGCGTGGCGATGCTGAGGAACCAGGAGTGCTGAGGCCACCGGCCCCATACAGACAACATCCTGAGTAGTCGAGGAATAGCCGAGGTTGCTAATGAGTCCTCAGACCTGGATGGACTCTGAAGAGTTGATATCCACCACCACTGCACGATCTAGACCACCACTGCCTGGACAATCGCAGCAGCCTCCCCCTCCAATCCCACAAGCCCCTGGCTTCCACCCAGCAGCCAACCTCACACAACTGCTATGGCTCCCCCAGCCTTCAGGGCAAAGCCCAAGCGTGTACAATGATGGCTTATAGGATCCTGTGCAACCCGGCCTCAAAGGGATCCTCACCCCGATTGCCAAGCTCCAGGTGGACTAAACTTCTCTCAGCTCCTGGGGCGCTCCAGCCAGGCCCCCACCGCCTCGGCTCCACCGCTCCCGGGAGAAGGGAGGGTCTGGGGGCATCCCAGCTCTTACACCTGGGTGGTCTAGCAGAGGTTAGTTAACCTCTGTGAGGAGCCTCAGTTTCCTCCTCCGTTCTACCCGAGGATATGCGGGGCCTCCTCCTCCTCTCTCTTCCCTGCCTAGAGCAGTTCCTTGGAGCAGGGGATTGGAGGACAGACACTGGCAGGTGGCTGCCCTGTGGGTGACTTAAGAATAAGACAGAAGGAAGCAAGAAGCAGAGCTGAATCACCGTCGGTATGGGCTTTTCTGAAAACTCACCTATGCCCATGGCTCAGAGGAGGCTGAGAGGGAACGTCCTCCACAGGCCAGCCTAGGATGTCTCCCCCAGACCAGCAAGCAGTGCCAGCTGCACACCACCCATACAGCTAAGTCACCAAGGAGCTGTCAGCTGGACGTGGCCCCTGGGAGCCGGGTGAAGCCATCATTTTATCAGTGCATGCCCTGTGCTGGGTGCTAGACACAGACTCCTCATCTCCCCTCACACCAGCCCTACGATCATCTCCCTGGCGGAAGCTTAGGGACACTCAATGACCTCCCAGGGCCACCAAGCTTCCCAGTGAGGCAGCCAGGCCCCAAGCCGGTGAGCCCACCGGCTCCACGTTCTTCACCACTTGACGAGCATGTGTCCACACCTGGCAGTCACAGCGTGGGGACGGGACCCACTGCAGGCACAGGGAGAGGCAGGGGTGTTCCTCCCACAGCCAGCCCACTGCTTCCTAGAGGCTCTCAGCCCAGGCTTCCAGGGGCTCCCCACAGCCACCCATCTGCACCGGCCCTACATGCCCAGAGTCCGTGTTGAAGGACTCCTGGCTCCACAGCGTCACGCCTTGGCACAGGCTTGCCCGCTTTCTCCACTACCTTCCATCCATACCTGTCCGTGAGCGAGCTCCCTGCGCCCTCAAACATACCTCTCAAGGGTCACCACCTGTGGAAAGCTTTCTTCCATCTTCCCAGATAGAGAAACTTGCTCTGTTCCTCGAGCAGAGTTCATCTAACACTTCACCTCCTGTCTCTGTCTCCGCACCAACTGGGCTCCCGGGGTGCAGGAGGAACTCGGTGCTCCAGCACCCCGCATGGTGTCTGAAACCCAGACCACAGCACCACCTACATACCACCACCACCACCACAGTAATACCATCTACCGCTGATTGGGGCCTACGATGAGTTATTTGTAGTAATTGTAAATAAATCTAGCAGGCAGTGAACTATGGAACTTTATACCATTAATAATTATTTCAACTGACACACCAACCACAGAAGTTAAGAAGTGCTTTTTTTATCCTACAGACAAAGAAACAGGCTCAGAGAAGCTCGCTAACTTGCTAGACAGGAGCAGAAGCAAGTTTGACCCAGTCCCTCCAATTCCAAAGCCAGCTTCTGGGCCCTGTGGCAGGCAGCTGGAGGGATGGGAAGTAATGAAGCCGCTCCAGGACACAGTCACACTTATCAGCACCACCCAAAGCTTTTAAAAGGGTCACCTAGAGTCACGGACTAGGTTTTTTTTTTTTTTTTTTAATAAATTCAACTTTTATCTTAGATTCAGGGGTACATGTGCAGGTTTGTTACAAGTATAATGTGTGACACTGAGGTTTGGAGTATGAATGATCTCATCACCCAGGTACTGAGCATAGTACCCAATGGGTAGTTTTTCAGCCCTTGCCCCCCTCTCCCATTTCCCCCTCTAGTAGTCCCCAGTGTTGACTCTTCCCATCTTTGTGTCCATATATACCCAAGGTTTAGTTCCCATCTATAAGTAAGAACATGAAACATTTGGTTTTCTGTTCCTGCGTTAATTTGCTTAGGATAATGGCCTCCAGCTGCATCCATGTTGCTGCAAAGGATGGGGTTGTGTTCTTTTTCATGGCTGAGTAGTATTTCACGGACTATGTTGTGGGGTAATTTGATGAGAGCCTTTGCCTTCTACCTCCTGTAAAATAATCTCAAACTGCATGCTGGGGCCTGGAAAGCGCTGAGAAACCTGGCCCTGCCTGCTTCCTCACGGCCCTGTCCTCCCAGGCCTTGCCCCGGCCACGTCCTCCAACCACAGCTCACCAACACACCAAGCTCCGGCTCCCTCCTGTGCCCCTGGGGCCTCTGCACTTGCTAAACCCGCTTCCCCTGCCTGAGATGCCGCAGCCCCAGCTTTCTGCGACTGACTCCTTTCTGACCTGTCAGCAGCAGCCACAGCTCTCTCCTTGGGAAAGGTCTTCTCTGACTATGTGAGGACAGTCCCCAGACCCCTTCATATCACTGTCATCACTTCATTTTCCGATCCCAGATAAAATCATCCCTGTAACTCACTGGTTGACATGTCTGTACCCTCCCTATAGCCCTCACAGACTAAAGCTCCAAATGACAAGACCTTGTCCATCTTGGCCATCACTTGGCCACATGCACCACGAGGCCTGGCACGGAGGGAGGCCAATAGATGCCTGTAAACAGCTCTGCAGAGGATGCAGGAGTTGTTCTAATGAAGAAACACACACGAAGAACAACAACAGGAAATCCTGGGTCTGGATGCAATCTGGAAACAACACAGGCACCCAGCAGCACAAGGAGAAGGAGAGAGCGCAGGAGCTAGTCCTGGCTGCAGATTCACCGCTGGTTTCCCCACTGAAAATCCCAAGGGCTCTCCCAGTTGGAATGTTCAAGAATGTAGGGGCTCGAATGTTCTAGAATGTAGGGGCTCCAATGTTCTAACCTCCTCTTCCAGCTGAGAAAAATGAACTTCATCATGGAGGTGGGGGATTGCCACAAAGATAACACCAGGCCCCAATCCAGGAACAAAACTTCCCACCACCACACAGGACACTGACGTCACCGAGTCCCTTGGTCAGTCACCCACAGAGCCTTCCCTCTGTAAGCAAAAGCCAAGTTCCTGAAGAACCAGGACTGACAATACCTGGGTCGGTAGAGCTGGGCACACAGCGGACACTTCGAAAAGCTTTCTGAATGATGACAGTTGTTCCTTATGAACCCGACTTCTCCGCCCCTCCCCATACCCAGCCCAGCACCAGCTGGGCACCTGCCAGGTACTAATTTGGGAAAGGTCTATGGGCTGCCGGCCAACGCGCAGACCCGGATCACACACTCTGTGTGCAGACATGTTCCCAGGGCTTGACCCTCCCTGTATCCAGGCCCTTTGCAATGACTTTGACACCTCCGCCAAGGGGTAAAGTTTATTTTCTTACCCCTTGAATGTTAGCTGGCCTTGGGTCTTGTTTTGGCCAACAAACTGTAGAGACACAAACGGGCCTCCAGAGGCCTTGGAAACATCCACTGTTAGTGTCAGGAACAAGCCCAGCAGCCTGAGGAAAGCCAAGAAGGAGGCCAGGTCATGCCCAGCGCCTTCGGTTAGCCAAAGGTCAAGCCCCAGGGCAGAGACCCCTTACCAGACTGCAAGCTGACCACACACACGCAAGGGATTCCTAGCAAGACCAGAGCTACGCAGCAAAGCCCACAGAACTGTGGGATGAAAAAATGCTTATTGCTTAAAGCCAGTAGTTTTTAGGATGGGTTGTTATGCATCAATAACTGATAAAAACTTTTACCTACACGTAACGGAATCAGAAAGGGAAGGAAGACATTTATATTCACAAAGATGCCCAATGCAGCTGTACCTACAACAGCAAGAAAATGGGAAAAATCGGCCAGGCACAGTGATTCATGCCTGTAATCCCAGCATTTTGGAAGGCCAAGGTGGGCGGATCACTTTGGGTCAGAGGTTAGAGAACAGCCTGGCCAACATGGTGAAACCCTGTCTCTACTACAAGTACAAAAATTAGCCAGGCATGGTGGCAGGTGCCTGTAATCCCAACTACTCAGGAGGCTGAGGCAGGAGAATCACTTGAACCTGGGAGGCAGAGGTTGCAGTGAGCCAAGATTGCCGCCAATGCACTCCAGCCTGGGCGACAAGAGCAAAACTCCATCTCAAAAAAAAGAAAATTAGCCAAGTGTGGGCTGGGCCAGGTGGCTCATGCATATAATCCCACCACTTTGGGAGGCCAAGGCAGGCAGATCACTTGAGGTCAGGAGTTTGAGACCAGCCTGACCAACATGGTGAAACCCTGTCTCTACTAAAAATGCAAAAATTAATGGCCGGGTGCGGTGGTTCATGCCTGTAATCCCAGCACTTTGGGAGGCCAAGACAGGCAGATCACGAGGTCAGGAGATCGAGACCATCCTGGCTAACACAGTGAAACCCCGTCTCTACTAAAACTACAAAAAAAGTAGCCGGGCATGGTGGCGGGCACCTGTAGTCCCAGCTACTCGGAAGGTTGAGGCAGGAGAATGGCGTGAACCCGGGAGGCGGAGCTTGTAGTGAGCCGAGATCACGCTGCCGCACTCCAACCTGGGCGACAGAGCGAGATTCCGTCTCAAAAAAAAAAAACACACAAAAATTAGCCGGGCGTGGTGGTGGGCGCCTGTAACCCCAGCTACTTGGGAGGCTAAGGCACAAGAATTGCTTGTCCAACCTGACAGGTCCACCAGCCCCACCAGCTAAACCAGAAGCAATGGGTCCCAAACTCATTTCCCAGAGCCTTTGAGCTGAGGGCCCTCAAATAGAGACCATGGTGCAGGGCCGCACAGCTCAGCGGCAAAGCAGGGGTCTGAGCGCTGGTCCCAGCTTCTGCCACCTTGTGCAGCACCGAAAGGCCCATGAAGCTACTTCAGGGCTGTCCACACGGCCGCAACCAAGGCAGGGCAGAACGGCTTCCCTTCCCGAGCTTCCCTCCAGCACTCCCATGCAGCCGCCTCTGAAAATTCTGGAACACCAAGCAGAGGCACCCACAGCAGTTAAGCAGGCCCGGGGCAAGGGGCTCTGAGCAGGCCTTGCCCTCACCTGCCCCACTCGTTTCAGAAAGGAACCATAAGGGACCCATACTCTAACCAGGGCCTGTCACCCTGCACTTCTCCCAACCTCCAGCCCAGCCCCTTTGCCCGGGGCCCTCGGAACTGGGGCCCTGATATATGGAACATCCTGGGTTTGTGGCCACCAGCCACTCACCGTTCATTTCCTCTCCCCTTCCGGGTGGAAATAGTCCAGCATGTCCTCCCCGCAGTTCCACCAGGCCTGCTCAGCTGTGGGGGGCCAGGGTCTGGCTTAGTATATCGGAGCGGAGTGTCCTGGACAGGAGTGGCCCTCCCCAGACCAACACTCCCCTCCAGCTCCGACAACCCCCAGCCACTAGTTCACAGCTGCTCCAGGCTCTCAGAATTCCCAGGATCCAGCAAAAAGACACCTTCTCAACCCTCCCCAAGCAGGACAGGGTCAAACAGCAACAGGCTAATTGTGTTTACATAACACGAGATTGTTTAGCTCCAGAACACATCAGTGTCAAAACACCAAGGTTCTGCACAGCGACAGCGACAGTGGGGCAGGAAAGATGTCATCCTTCTCCAGGAACTCAGGCAGCATTTCCCAAGGCCCGGAAAAACCCCAGCCCACAAATAGGACATCAGCCCTCCAGTATGTCCACCCACCCAGCTGGCTGCTGGGCGCAGCCAGGACTCTCAGAATCTGCCTGTGTCGGGCTGGCCGTGGGAATAAGCCAGATTCAGGTTTAACTGAGGCACAAGGTGGGGTCCAGGAAGCCGCTTCGGGGCTGCCCATGCAGCCACAGCCACAGGGAGGCCCCGAGCAGCCTCCCTTCCGGAGCTTCCCACCAGCACTCCCACCCAGCTGCCTCCGAGAATTCTGGAACCCCAAGCAGAGGTGCCCAGCACAGGGTAGGCCAGCCTGGGGCTCAGACTTGTGGGGGTAGGTACTCTCCACTCCCTTCTTGGGAACAACGTCCTAGCCCTGGACTCTGTGTGCGAACCCTCAGGCCCCCGTCCAAGTCTTTGCAAGCTGGGTCCAGAGCTGGAAGCTGAGGGAGAGCAGCCCCCAGCCTCACTCTGGCCAGCCACTGAAGCCCAGAAACAGGGAGCACGTCCACTCCCACCTCAGCTGCCAAACATCCCTCCCCTGCCTCTGGGAAACAGTGCCCCTGCAGCATCCTTTTGGGGATCCACCCTGCCCACACTCAGGCCATGTAGAAGGGAATGAGGCGCTGCATTCCCCAGCCCCAGAGACTGGTTCAGAGACAGGTATGTGGCCCAGGATGACAAATCAGAGGCCAACAGAAGGAATCCCTGTCCCTGTGGACCTGGAGCATGAGGGATGGGGGACCCTGGAGCCAACCCAACCAGCTCTGAATCCCAGCTCTGCCCCTACCAGCTGTGTGACCCCAGGCAAGTTACTTAGCCCTTCTATGAGAAACAGGAATGCTAAAACCACCACCCTCCCAGGGCTGTTAATGCGGATCAAATGAGATCACACACCTAAGGAACGCCACAGTGCCTGGCTGAGAATAAGGATTGAGGGTGAGGACTCACCTTGCACCACATGGGCCTGAGAATGAAGCCAATGTAAAAGAGACCAGGGAAGCAGGGAGGGGGCCGGGGGGAGAGAGGAGGGAGAGAGAGAGAGAGAGAGACAGAGAGAGAGAGAGACAGACAGACAGACAGACCAGGCCCTATTGGACTGTCGCCTGAGTCTACCTACACCTGAAGCCAGAATGCCCCAAGGATCTGACTCAGGAACCAATACATCCCCTTTATTACCGAACCCGCTCAGCACTGAGGCTCCTGTCAGAACCCATCCACCCCTGTGGCTCTAGGAATCAGCCATACAATCGACTTACTGCTCAGATCATTAGCTGACGAGACCCCAATGACTCATCACATCTGTTGGTTAATTGAGAGTGAGAGGACTGGAGCACACAGCAATGGAAACAGATTTGCAGCCATGTGGCCCACTCCATAGGTCTCACTGTCCAGGGGGTCCCAGCCTGAAGCACATGCAGAAGCACTCACAGAACTGCCCACGTCCCAGATGGCTGCGTCAGGGAAGGGGCACCCACTCACTCCCCCATCCTTCCCAGGAGAGCATCCCAAATCCAAAGAATTGGTTCCTGTCACATTCCCAGCAAGGTTAGGAGAGACCACAGGGCCCATCAACAAAAATAACTCATCCTGGCCGGGATGGGGTCCACCAATCATGGCCCAGAACAGAACACACCCTCGCCTCTTCACACTCCTAGAGGTTCCCTGGAGGCCACAGGTGTACTTCTGGGCTGCGAAGCTGTCAGCCCAAAGCTCTACATGTGTGACCCTGCAAGGCCAGCCACTCTGAGCTGCAAACCCTTACACGCAAAGGCCTCTTCTGGCTCAAAGGTTTTCAAAAGTTACTCCTCTAAGATCGTGAATCTCTGTACCTCTGGACTCTGTGGAGGTTTACTCTGATACCACCTGACACAGGTGAGTAAGGGGCCACTTTCCCCCTTCTTCCTTCCAGAGATGGCCTCTGCCCTGCACAGAAGGGAAGTTTGCATGTGCTGACCCCCTCCTATGCATGAGCACAAGGTCACCTCTTACTGACAAGGAAATTAAGGCCCAGAGAGGAGCTGAAACACACCCACAGTCATCCACCTAGTAAGAAGCCGAGGCCGGGCACGGTGGTTCACGCCTGTAATGCCAGCACTTTGGGAAGCCAAGCCAAGTGGATCATTTGAGGTCAGGAGTTCGAGACCAGCCTGGCCAATGTGGCAAAACCCCATCTCTACTAAAAATACAAAAAATTAGCTGGGCGTGGAGGCGTGCGCTTGTGACTCCAGCTACTCGGAAGGCTGAGGCAGGAGAATCGCTTGAATCCAGGAGGTGGAGGTTGCAGTGACCTGAGATCGCGGCACTGTGCAAACTGATGTTTGAACCCCACCCCCAGGGTGATCGGCTATGAAACCCCGGGAAAGTCACTTACCCTCTCTGAGCCTCAGTCTCCACATACGGACTGACAGCTTCAAAGAGCCACATGTTAGCGCTCAGCACCATGTCAGGCATGAAGCTAGAGCTCCAGAGACAGGAGCCACTGCTGTTTCTGGAGCTAACTGTCCTTATACCACTTAACAATGCAGGGCAGGGTGACTCTGCAAGCTTAAGTGCATTTCTGGAGGGACTCCCCTGCCCCTAACCCTCCACACTACAGGCACCTCGTCAGCTCCCCCAAAAGAACGAGGCACATTCCTCACCAGGAGGGCTCCTCCTGATATGTAGACAAAGGTCAGAAGCTGGGGCCTGGACTGGCCTCTCCACAGCTACAGGCTTCCCCAGAGCAGCGAGAGGATGGGGCACCCAAATCTCCGCAAGCACAGGCCACGGCTTGGCTGCGCCCAGGTCAAGGTGATAAAAAGGGTGCTTGGGAGCTGACTGTGCAGGAAGCAAAACCTTTCTCCAACACGATCCCAATGCCGCGGGACACACCTTCCTGCAGGGAGGCGGCAAAGGCCTCTAGTGGCAAGGCCATAATTCCTTTTCTTTTCAAGGATCCCATGACGAATGTTAGGACTTTAAAATCTTAAAGAAAATAGGCTGGGCTGGGCGTGGTGGCTCACACCTGTAATCCCAACTCTTTGGGAGGCTGAGGTGGAAGGATCACCTGAGGTCCGAGAATCACTTAAACCTGGGAGGTGGAGGTTGCAGTGAGCCAAGATCACACCACTGCACTCCAACCTGGATGACAGAGCAAGACTAACAAAAAAGAAAAAGAAAATAGGCTGGCTAGGCACAGTGGCTCAAGCCTATAATCCCAACACTTCGGGAGGCTGAGACGGGCGATCGATCAAGCTCAGGAGTTACAGCCAAACCTGGCCAACACAGTGAAACCCTGTCTCTACAACAACGGCAAAAAAGACAGAAACAAGTCTGGGAGTGGTGGCTCATGCCTGTCATCCCAGCACTTTGGGAGGCCGAGGTGGGCGGATCACGAGGTCAGGAGATCGAGACCATCCTGGCTAACACGGTGAAACCCTGTCTCTACTAAAAATACAAAAAATTAGCCGGGCATGGTGGCAGGCGCCTGTAGTCCCAGCTACTCGGGAGGCTGAGGCAGAAGAATGGCATGAACCTGGGAGGCGGAGCTTGCAGTGAGCCAAGATCGCGCCACTGCACTCCAGCCTGGGCGACAAAGCAAGACTCCATCTCAAAAAAAAAAAAAAAAAAGAAAGAAAGAAAGAAAAAAAGAAAAATAGGGCCGGGCATGGTGGCTTACGCCTGTAATCCCAGCACTTTGGGAGGCTGAGACGGGCAGATCACGAGTTCAAGACCAGCCTGACCAACACAGTGAAACCCCATCTCTACTAAAAATACAAAAATTAGCCGGGCGTGGTGGCGCGTGCTTGTAATCCCAGCTACTCAGGAGGCTGAGGCAGGAGAATCGCTTGAACCCGGGAGGCAGAGGTTGCAGTGAGATTGCACCACTGCACTCCAGCCTGGGCAATAGAGCAAGACTCCGTCTCCATCTCAAAAAAAAAATAAGAAGAAGAAGAAACTCACGAGCCCAGGACCCTGAGAGGTACGTGACCCAGCACACTGTGGGCAAGAGCTCCCAGTGGTGAGACAACTGCCCTGAAGCTCTCCCTAAGACTGACCCTGGGGCTCCAGGAGACTGTGGTGCTCACTGCTGTATCAATCCCCAGAACCCAGGAGTGCCCAGCATACAGCAGGCACTCAGTAAGTATGTGGCATGTAAGTGCATAAAGGAATGAATGGGGTGTTTTTTAAAAAGAAGATGCCACGGCCCACCCCAGATTCATTCCAGGGGAGGGGGAGGCCTGGGAACCTGCACTAGGACAAGTACCCCAGGGTGGAGACCGGATGTTTCCTCACCTCCGCAGCCCAGCCCTTGACTGTTGGATGGAAACAGGGTGTGAGGCAGAAATGAAAGTGAAACTGCCACAGGAGGGTTCTCTCTGCACCCATCTACCATGCCCCGCCCTGCCCAGGAAGCAGCAAGCTGACCACTGGAGGATCCCCCAGAAAAAGATGGGTGGCAGCTCCCAGCAGAGATGTGTCAGAGGCCCCAGGCCCTGCCTTGGGCGGGTAGGAGGGCAGGTGAGGTGGCCTCTTGGGTGGAGGGGGAATCCTATCATTTGGCCCTAGGGCGGGTGCACTGCACCCACCTTACAGTTGGGAGGGCAGAGGCTCAGGACAAGTCTCATGCTCCAACTTCACTGCCATCTCCACCATGCACTATCCTCCTGGGCCCAACAACTGCACACAAAGGATGCTCAGAAAAGAACCCCTTGAGGCAGGGCGCGGTCGCTCACACTTGTAATCCCAGCATTTTGTGAGGCCAAGTTGAGCAGATCACCTGAGGTCAGGAGTTTGAGACTAGCCTGGCCAACATGGTGAAACCCCATCTTCTCCACTAAAAATACAAAAATTTGCTGGGTGTGATGGCGGGTGCCTGTAATCCCAGCTACTGGGGAGGCTGAGGTGGAGGTTGCAGTGAACAAAGATCACACCTTGCACTCCGGCCTGGGTGACAATAGCGAAACTCCATCTCAAAAAAAAAAAGAACAGAACTCCTTGATTTTCCTGACATCGATCGACGGCAGCTGGATGCTGTGTTGAAGACAAAGGCAACCTGGCGGAGTGGAAACAGCATGGTTTCAGGAGTCACCCATCCCTGAGGGTGAATCCAAGCTGTGCTGCTCACAGCACCTGGCCTCTCCCTGAGTCTCAGGGCCCTCATCTAGCAAATGGAGACCCCTCAGCCATCCTGGAGGGTAGTTATCCCATCTGCAATAGTGCCTGACCCCCATGGTAGGTTCTCAGGATCCTCTGAGATCTGGCATGAGCCATGAATGTACAAGGGGGCAGAGAGGAAGCAACACAGCCCTGCCAAAGCACAGCAGGCCGCCTGAACAAACCCAGAGTCCCAGTTTCTGGCTTGGGCTCCAAGAGCGCCCAGAGTGACCCCAGGCTAATAAGAATGGTTGCTGAGGAGTCCATGGGTTTGCAGCGTAAACTGCTGAGGAAAACGCCACAAGTGTCTATCTGGCCAGATCGGTCCCAGGAATGTCTCTTGTGCAAAACTAGCTCCTTTCTATACACTCCGGGCAAACCAGCAGCCAGAGGCAAGAAATCTGAAAAGGCTTCTTTTGAGAAGGAATTTGGCAAAAGGTAGCAACAGCAGGTAGAACTGGGCTGGGCTGACGACCTGGTGCCCCTGCCATGTCTCCCTCCTGCATGAGGGGGCTCCAGTGAGGCCTCAGGTGAACGGTGCCAGACTGGAGATTCCCACAGTGAGCTCAGGGTACAGAGACCCAGGAGCCAGCCTGGGAACCTCTGGCTCCAGCAAACCTCCTGGAGGGGACCTGCCCCTGAGAAGTCTGAAACACACTGCTTCAGCCTTGGCTAACTCGGTGCTTCCCCACGCCTGACAGTTTTGGGGTAAGGTCTTCTGAGGCACTTCATGAAATGACAGTGAGTAGTTTCCCATAAAAATCATCAGGGTACTTCACAAGGAGCTCCCCAGCCCCCTTCCCAGGAGAATCTTCATCTCACAGGGAAGGGAGACTTCAGGATGTGTACTTCTCCCTTCTCCCCAGTGCCCCTGGAGCTTTTTTTTTTTTTTTTTGGAGACGGAGTCTTGCTCTGTCACCAGGCTGGACTGCAGTGACGCAATCTCGGCTCACCACAACCTCCGCCTCCTGAGTTCAAGCGATTCTCCCACCTCAGCCTGCCGAGTAGTAGCTGGGATTACAGGCACCCACCACCACGCCTGGCTAATTTTTGTGGGGTTTTTTTTTTTTTTTTTTGAGACAGAGTTTCACTCATGTCACCCAGGCTGGAGTACAGTGGCGCGATCTCGGCTCACTGCAACATCCACCTCCCGGGTTCAAGCGTTTCTCCTGCCTCAGCCTCCCGAGCAGCTGGGATTACAGGTGCCAGTCACCACACCCAGCTGATTTTTTGTATTTTTAGTAGAGACTGGGTTTCACCATGTTGGCCAAGCTGGTCTTGAACTCCTGACCTCAGGTGATCCGCCCGCCTCAGCCTCCCAAAGTGCTGGGATTATAGGCGTGAGCCACCACGCCCATCCCCTGGTGTCTCTTTTGTTGGGCAAGTTTGGCAAACAAGTAACTTGGAGGAAGATCGATGACTGCCAAAGAGCACACAGGTCAGGCGCGGCTTCCCTCGGCTCCCTTGGGCACCTGAGACCTAACCTGATTCTTGAGAAAGGTCAGCTGACCCACCCACTACCACCCCATCCACCCCACCACCCCACAGCCCAGAGCGGCTCATTTCCAGAACACAAAGGCTGGACTGAACCAGACCCACGGGGAGCATTTTGTCTTCCTATCCCTGGCCCCGAGGGCATAACTGCAGCCTCCCTCGGATGGGAGGAAGGTCACACTGTCAGGAAACAAGGCTCTAGAAGGACACCCCGACACCTCCTTGAACCACCCTGTCTAAGGTGGAAACCGGCCTCAGTTCTGCCCAGAGCTGCCTGCCCTCCAATCCACATGGAACCCAGGGCTTATGGCAGAGGCTTATAAGGCTTATGGTAGAGGCCAGGGTGTGTGGCCTCTACAAAGTGGACACCGTCCACCCTGTGGGTCCTTTAGCTCCTGGAGAGAGCTCTAGGCCCCTCTTGCTGAATGTCGCCTCCTTAGAGAGGCCTTCTCTGACCACAGAGTGCTAAAGTGGCTGCAGCCACTGCGCCATAGTTCTCTCCTGTTTGCAGGTTTCCTGGCTCTAGTCACACCTTGCAGCATTTCCAGTGCATCTGAGAGCTGGTTTGCCTTCACCTCCTGCAGGTGTACATGCCGGCAAGGACCAGCACCCAGCACAGGCCTGGCCAGGGCAGATGCTCAGGACTTGCCCACAAGCCCCTCCGGAACCTGGGACTTACCACCTAACTCTCTCCCCATCTCCCCCACCCCTGGGGTTTCCTTCCTGGCCCAGAGCATTCCAGAGTCACAAGTGGCTTTGGCTGAGCCATAGGGACATGAAAAAGGCTTCCAAAAACCACCAGGCAGTTATTGATCCACTAACATACTTTTTTTTTTTGAGACAGAGTCCAGCTCTGTCACCCAGGCTGGAGTGCAATGGTGCAATCTTGGCTCACTGCAATCTCCACCTCCCGAGCTCAAGCAATTCTCCTGCCTCAGCGTCCCAAGTAGCTGGGATAACAAGCACCTGCCACCATGCCCTGCTAATTTTTGTATTTTTAGTAGAGATAGGTATTCACCATGTTGCCCAGGCTGGTCTTGAACTCCTGACCTCAAGCAATCTGCCCGCCTCAGCCTCCCAAAGTGCTGGGATTACAGGTGTAAGCCATCACACCCAGCCACTAACAGATTCTTTTTTGAGCTCCTATGTGCACTGGTATAGGCACTGGGGTTTCAGCAGTAAATAAAGCTGCCAAAATCTCTACCTTCATAGAACCAACTACTTAAAAACAAGACAGACTTAAAATAAGCAGGACAATGAGCAAGTCAGAGAGGAAGAACAGGCCCAGTGGTGGGGGCCTAAGTATCAGTGAAGATTCTGACGGCGAGAGAGGTTTGGAACGAAGACATCTCCCTGAAGCTGTCTGGGAGGGCCTTTGGCCTGTGGGTCCCGATTCACCCTCTGGGGCAGCTGAGTCTGCAGGTGGCCTCTGCCACAGGTGTGCCCTGGAACATCATGAGCAATTAACAGGGTGGGGCACCCAGCACTCAAGGGCCTGGAGGGGTGGGGGGATGCGGAGCGGGGTCTGGAGTCTGGAGCTCCCTTGTGAGAGTGATTCTTGACGCTCCACGGCTCCACGGGATCTCTGACACGAATCTCAGATCCACCCCACCGAACCCTAAAAATGGCTGTGGGAGCACTCCCAGGGGCCATCCAGAGGATGGGCCTACAGAAACCAGCCCATGAGGCTCTGCTGGGGAGATGCAGGCCACAAGGGCAGCTGCTTTCTGAGCAGGCTCAGAGCAGCAAGACGAAGCCCCAGAAAGACTCAAAGGGCCCCACAGGTATGGCCTGGCCACTCTAATACACACCGTGGGCCGCAGCCGGGAGGAAAGGCCTGTTCACAAGGAGGCTTTGGCCAGTGGTGAGTGGGGAGCACTCGGCTTGGAGCGAGGCAAGTTCCCCTCCCACATTTCCACTGTGTGACCATGGGCCAGTTCTCGGGAGTCCCACACCCTCTCCAGAGCAAGGCCACACACACCCGGGCCGGCTCCCCAAGGGCCACCAGAGTGGGAGAGGCTGGGCTGGGCCCAATTCATGCAGGATGGGGAAGGTGTTTAAGACAGTGACTTTGCGAGGGAAAGAAGGAGGTGCACAGCTCTTGAATGCTTTGCTTCCTAAAATGAATGCTACTTTTTAAAAGGGAAGTGCCATAGTATTCTCTCAAATGTAGCTTTCCAGCTGAATTCAAAATGAGTGGGAACTGAAACCCTATTTACATCCAGCTGTTCAGGAACTGTGCTCATGGGGCACTTGACTTTAAGTATTTACTGAATGTCCCAAACCTGCTAAACCATGTGGGAGAAATAACCGGTAAAGGCAGGATGGCCCAGTGGTTAGAAACATTGATGCCCATCCTGCCATGCAGGTGCACCCAGCTCTTCCAGGTGCCTGCAGTCAGCCCCCAGCAACCTAAACTCCTCAATCTCACTATCTCACTAGGTGAAATATGAATCCAGAGGACCATCTCACCCACAGATTTGTCCCGGCCCTGAGCGCAGGAGGGTGCGCAGCACAGGCTCTCCCATTCACTGTCATTGGGACTGACATATTGAAATTTCTTTGTGAGCAGTTTCAGAACATGTATGAAAAAGCTGGGCGTAGTGGCTCACACCTGTAATCCCAGCACTTTGGGAGGCCGAGGTGGGCAGATCAATTGAGGCCAGGAGTTCGAAACCAACCTGGCCAAGATGGCGAAACCCAGTCTCTACTAAAAATAGAAAAATTAGCCAGGTGTGGTGGTGCATGACTGTAGTTCCAGCTACTCGGGAGGCTAAGACAGGAGAATCACTTGAACCCAGGAGGCGGAGGTTGCGGTGAGCCAAGATCGTGCCACTGCACTCCAGTCTAGGCGACAGAGGGAGACTCTGTCTCACACATACACACAAAAAGTATGAAAAAGTAAAATGCCTGTGCCCTCTGACCCAGCCCTCCTCATCTAGCAATGTACACCCAGGCAAGGGGACGGGGTATTGTCATGCTGCCCATACCAGCAGAAACCAACACCAGCGGAAGAAACATGTTCCATCCTTTTAAGAACTGGACCACACAGCTGTTTAAAAAAAAAGAGGTAATGATACAAAACTTTCTCCAAATGAAGCAGCGATGTGGAGTTTCTCCAAGACACACAGTCCCATGCAATGTGCAAGAGCACAACAGTAATACATATGGAGAGACCTACACGTGCACGCGCCCCTGAGTGTGCATAAACACCTATAGAGACAGACTGCCCCAGGGAACTGGAACTCAGCAATGAGAAGCGAACAGGGCTGACGTTTCATTGTATACTTTGAGTCCTCTGAATTTTTTTTAATATGTGCATGTCTTAAATATTCAAAAAGATACAGAAAACAATAAATGTTAGCTAGTAATAGTAACAAGATTACCAGTGGAGACTTGGCATTTTCAGGAAATCCAGAACAAACTCTTCTCAATCTCCAAACTTAAAAAAATACAAGTAGCATCTTAACATAAATTTCTCAGCTTCCCCATCCATAAAGTAGGTGGGGACAGCACCTCCACCTCCTGGGGGGCTGTAATATTCAGATGGGCCATGTGCTGAAGGAGAACAGAACCCCGCTGTGATGCTGAAAGGCCACCAGGCAAGCCTGGGCCCCCTCCTTAGCTATGCCCACTGAACAGTTTCAAATCCTCAAACCCACATCCCTGCAAGATGATCAGTTCAGCCATCGTGGCCTTCAGGGTGACTTGCAAACTGCCAAAACCAAGAACACTAAATCTACAAAGGCCAAAGGTCCCTGAATAGAGAGGCATCCATGGGCAGAGACCCACTCACTCACTCCACAGGGACGACGACAGCAGCGGCCGCCGCCACTGACAGAATTCCAGGCACTATCCTGGACCCTTTAGCAAATTCCCTCATTTGATGCTCGCAACCCTAAGCTAAATTATTACCCTCACAGATGAGGAAAGTGAGGCACAGAGGGGTAGGGAATGTGTCGAGGGTCATGGGGCACATAGGCAGTCAGTCGTGGAGTCAGGCCTGAAACTGAGGCAGTCCCTTCAATAGATCCATGTGCACACGGACGCTTCCTCCTATGTGAAGTTCTGTTTGCTCCCCAGGAGGCTGGTAGAAAGTGTTCATTTGCAAGGCTGGGTTATGAATACTCCCTGTGCACTGCTGCAAAGAAAACCTAAGTCAGCACCTCTTCCCACCTCTGCACCCCCGAAATGGTGGCAAATCCAGACATTAAAACAAATAAAAAAATACCCACCCACAGACCAGCATCACTTAATCCTGGAAAAGATCCTCCTTCCTCCCTGCAGAGAATCTCCCGAAAGAATTCCAGACCAGAATGCTAAGCCATCCCTGTAGAAAAGGACCTTGGAGATGGCCCTATTTTAAAGGAACAAATGTAGGGCCCAAGGGGAAGGGACAGGCCCGGTGGCATGCTACACTCTCACTGGCACGCCTCCCAAGCCAGTTTACTGTTGACACCAAACTCCCAGACCCATGAGAGCAGATGCAGGCCTGGGCTACCTACCAAGGGTGGTCATAAACGTGAACATTAATGAACTCCTCAGTCCCTTCTAAGGTATTGGGACAAAAGGGTCCCTGGTGGGATACCAAGGTCTGAGACTGCTCCAGAAACACGTTTCTTGCAAGCCAAGTCAGCCCAGCTGGCCTCCAAGTCTCTGGAGGATGAGAAACTCACAGACATTCTTGTGCTTCTGTAGCCTCCTGGAAGCCCCAGCCTAACCTGGGCAAATAAACAAGGGAAGCCACATTCTCAGCGCAAAGGCCTCAGGAGTGGACTCAAGAAAGCCCTCTAGCTGGCTGTGCAGGTCCTATAGACTCCCGGAGCCTCTGTTTCCTCATCCCTCCATCCCAACGAGGGATGTCCTCATCCCTCATCCCTCATCCCTCCATCCCTCATCCCTCCATCCCTCATCCCTCCATCCCTGGGCTGCTGGAAGGATTAAATGAGATGAGGTCCCTGGAAGCACTTCATTAAAAATCAGCAATTATTACAGTAAAGACAGATAAGGTTCACCCAAATTTTATATGGAAAGCTTCACCAAGTCATGTGCCTCTTCCGCCCCCACCTCCTGCAACGTAGGTTCAGCCACAGAAAGAATGGGACAGAGAGGAGGAGAGGAGGAGGCACAGAAAACATGAGCTGAGGAAACTGGGGCCAGCCAGTATTCCCCAGTGAGGCACTGTACAGAACTACAAAATTTAAAATTAAATTAATATCACCCAGTATTTCCAACTAACAGCTTTAATTTCTTCACTCCCCCTCTGAAGCCCCTTCTGAGCATCTAGAAAAAGCCACAAAGGCCAGGAATGCCTGTAATCCCAGCACTCTGGGAGGGCAAGGCAGGCGGATCACCTGAGGTCAGGAGTTCGAGACCAGCCTGGACAACATGGTAAAACTCCATCTCCACTAAAAATACAAAAATTAGCCAGGCGTGGTGGTGCGCACCTGTAATCCCAGCTACTCAGGAGGCTGAGGCAGGAGAATAGCTTGAACCTGGGAGGCGGAGGTTGCAGTGAGCCGAGATTGCGCCACTGCACTCCAGGCTGGGCGACAAAGCGAGACTCCACCTCAAAAAAAAAAAAAAAAAGCCACAAAGAGGGGGTGGTGTGGGAGACCTACAAGGTTGCTCCCAGGCTAGGGAAGGCAGGTGGGAGGGGTACAAGAGAACACAACCAGAGCCGTGTCCCCAGAGAAAGGGGAAGAAACAGGATGGCAACAGGAACAAACAGTACCACTGACAAACAAGTGGATTCAAAGGCCCATCTGCTGGCTAGCAGAGCCCCATCCTATCAGAGTGCACATCTGAAAAGGCTGGCGCCTGTCCCTACCTACGGCAGGTGGGGCACTTCATGGCCCATGAAGTGGCTCTAACCACCCACTGTTGCCATCAACGTGCACTACCCCCCAAACCCTCCCCCCAAGACAAGGATTACACTTGCAGAGGGGCTCAGCTTTGCAAGGAATGTGTCCTGGGGGCTAAATAGCAGCCACCAGACCCCTGGAAAGATAATGAGGGAGACTGCCTTATTGTCGGAGATGCCCAATCAGAAAGGCAATCTCAAGGTAGCCAGGTTGGACCCATTCTAGAAGTTAAAGGAAAAGACCAAGAGTCCGGAACCTGCCCCCTCTCTTGATGGGTTTCCCCATCTGTAAGACAAAGGGGCTAGATGAGATGATGGCCAACATCTCTTCCTGCTCTGAGATCAGATTTTTACAAGGCCGGACATTCAGCTAAACAACCCACCCCGGGCCGGACCATTCGGGTCATTCTTTGCCCAAACATTAAGAGCAGGGCCATTTTTTTTTTTTTTTTTTTTGAGATGGAGTCTCGCTCTGTCACCCAAGCTAGAGTGCAGTGGCACCATCTCGACTTACTGCAACCTCTGCCTCCCGGGTTCAAGTGATTCTCCTGCCTCAGCCTCCTGAGTAGCTGGGACTACAGGCGCCTGCCATCATGCCCGGCTAATTTTTGTATTTTTAGTAGAGATGGGGTTTCACCATGTTAGCCAGGATGGTCTCGATCTCCTGACCTCGTGACCCACCCACCTTGGACTCCCAAAGTGCTGGGATTACAGACAGAAGACACGGCACCCGGCCCAAAGCAGGGCCATTTTCAAATACCTTTAGACTTTTTCATTAGGGAATTCATAGACAATTCATCACCCGTCGTCAGTACAGAAGCCCTGCGCCCCCAGATTCTGAATGTGGAAAACATGATAATGTCCTTTGCACTGTCTCTCAGCCACTAAAGTCTCATTGGCCCTCACACCAAACAAAACAACCTCACGGGGCTCCCTGGTCACTGGCTCAACAGTTGCAGCATTTTGCAGCCAGTATAGAAATGTGGCCACCAGGGGGCACTGCCCTGAAAGTAATAAATAAGAAACGGAAAAACTCTTTGGTGTTTTCTTTTCCTTCTTAGGCTTAAGTGATAAAATATCTAAAGCTTCCCTAGTGAAAACACAAAGTGGGCTTCCTCGGGTTCTAGAATGGCCCTGATGACTTCTGCCTTCTTTGAAGCCAATATTTTGGCCAAAGGAAGGCAACTAGACTTTGAAGACAACAACTCTTTCAGAGAAAGTAATGCTCTACTCCCCAGAACGTTGATAGCATAGCTTGCTCTGAACCTCCCACCCCTTTAAAGGAAGAATGTCTACAAGGTCAAGCCAATCTGCAGGTCCAGCACGAGGACCTAGTTGTGAGTCTCGGCGAAGAATATTTTGCGAGAGCCTCCTAATTACCAAGCAAAACAAGCCAACCCAATGACAAGCCTCAAGCTTGAGTTGCAGACACAAGATGACATAAATACAGACAGCAGTACAAAGGGTGCGAGGTATTCGCTGGGATTTCCCAAGTCTTACATGACTGCAGGGGGAGCTCCGGTGCCTCACATCAGAACTGGACTTCGAGAACATGCCAAAGCAGCTGCTCCAAATTTCTTTAGTGTCTTAGAATGCCCTTCCCACAAGTGAGTGTATCCGCGGTACAACGTTCAAGTACCCTTTTGTAATGTTCCAAGGGTCCTAAGACTCATTTTCAAAGCTCTGGCTTCGAGCTCCTCCTGATTTCTTCATGAATTGCTGGGGCCACTCTGCATGCCCTATTGATCATGAAGAGCCTGTCTTCTAGGGAAACCGGCCTGGGAGAAGGCAGCCAACCCCATCCCCAGACCAAGGGATAAAGAACCAGGCACTATCCTGTACAAGCTGTGCCCCTCTGGCTGCAGGAAGAGCGCCTGCGGGGCTTGCACGGGGCAAAGGAGCAGCAGGCCCTTGGGAAAGGCATGAGGCACACAGAGGTGCTGCCAGGCTCACCTGCGCATGCCAGCTCAGACCAGCCACGGGCCCCCAGGAGCACCAGGGGTTACGGAAACCCAACTGTTCAATTCTCCAAGATGTGTGGGGCCCCCACAGGGACAAAAATGCAAGTAGAGCCCATTTTCAAAAATCAGTCTAACAAGCTGCATCACAAAAGGTTTCCACCTGGAGTTTGCAAAAGGCTTTCAGAGCTAGATTCTCTTAGGCTTGCATTGAGAAAAGGGCTTAACTGCTTCTCAGAGGCAAAGCTACAGTTGTGGAGCAAGGGAAGGCCTACCTGACCCAAGACTCAGTAGTTCTGTAATTTATTAAGAACGTGATCTGTTAAACACCGGAGACTCCGCCAAGGAGCACCAGCATGGTGGGAGCAGGGGCACACAGCCCAGATGGCAGAAGGCCACTCCACACCACGGGCATTTACCCAGCACTTTCTACGCACCAGCCACTCCCTAGCTGCGGGACCCCAAGCTAGGTACCCCGCTCCTCTGCCGATCGGTCCCCGTTCTCAGACAGGTGGCCCAGAATCACCACCCTGGCCAATTTGCAGGGCTGCTGCGAGGCTCTAATGAGACAGCAAATCACCACATACATGCCAAGAATTGCTACTCGCTTCAACTGGGCTTAACCTCATGATATGCAATGACAGCCTCAAGAGCCGAGCACACGCGGGGCACATAGTAGGTGGTCCACAAACGTGGGTGCCCTTTCTTCATGAAAGGGAAGGGGACGAAGGAAGAAAAACACTCCGGTCCAAAAGTACCCTCAAGCCCTTACCCCACAGCGTGGATGCCCCGATTTCCCAGGTCCCTCCGCAACCCTCAGTAGAACTCCCACCGCGCCCTGGGCTGCTGGGGGCCTCCCCAGCCGGGTCACAGTGCACCTGAACGCCCCGGTCCGTGCCACCTCGCCCGCACCGGCCACCGCTTCCCTGGAACGCGGCCGGCGGCCGCCACCGCCACCTGGCTGCTCGGACTCAGTCTCCCCGCGCGCCGCTTCTTCCCGTTTGGCTCCGATCTCCCAAAACAACTAATGAGGCTGCACCGGGCTCGGGCCGGGGGTCACCGGGCTCGGGCCGGGGGTCCCCGGGCGCCGGCGCCGCGTCCCTCCTTACCTGCACAGCTCGGCGAAGGCCTGGAAATTCAGCTTCTTGATTTTCTTCTCGCTCAGCCAGTAGCCAACTCTCTTCCCTTTCAGAAAGGTCTGCATCTTCCTCCTCGGGCGGGGAGCCTGGGTCCGGAGGAAATCGCCCACAGGCCGAGTCTGGCGGCCGGCGCGCGCCGCGAGCGAGTGGGCACCTCCTCCCGGCGGCGGGGACGCGGAACGGGGATCGGAGCTGGGGCGCGCAGTCCTGCCGCGCGGAGCGGAGCGGGGCGGGGCGCGGCGGGCGGCCGGGAGGAGGGAGCGGCGCTCAGCGCGGAAGGCCACTGGCTGGGCCAAGCTGCCACCGCCCACGCCCCCGCCGCCTGCGGGCTCGCCCGCCCGCCCACCGGCTCGCGAGCGCCGCGCCGCCCGGCCTGCCGGCTGAGGCTGGGGCACGGCTGAGCCTGAGTCTGAGTCGGAGCTGGGGCCAGGGCCCGCAGGAGGGGAAGCCGGGCCTCCGCAGACACCGCCCCCGCCCTGCCCGCCCTCCCGCCGCGCGGGCCCGAGCCACACGCCCTCAGGCGGCGGCAGAAGCGCGGCCTCCGAGCCCTTCCTCCCTCCTCCTCCCGCCCGGGTCCTCGCCCTCTGATGTTCCCAGCCGGGCCGTAACCCCTGGGCGCGCTTGGACCCCGGCGGGGCGCACGCGGCCACTCGGCCCGGCCAGAGATCCTCACCCGCCGCCGCCGCCGCCACTTCCTCCTCGGCCTGGTCCTCGCGCGCTGCCCGCCGAGAAGGGCGGCGGCGAGCGCCCGCGCACTCGCCGCCCCTGCCCGCCGCCGCCCCGCGCTGGCCCGGCCGCCCCGCTTGAGCCCGCGGCGGCGAGGAAGCGGCGGGGCGGCCGCCAGGGGGCAGCGCCGCCCGCCGCCTCTTAAAGGCGCCGCGCCGGCCCTCGCGGCTACCCGGCGCCTGTTTGTGTCCCCGGGTGTGGGGTGCGGGGCGCGGGGCTTCCTGGGGGCGGCCGTGGCCCGGCGGTCTTACTTCGGGAAGGGAGCCGCGGTGTGGGCGTGTGTTCCGCCTGGCCTTTGGGGGCGACCGAGCCGCTGAGTTTCGGAAACGTCTCTGTACCCCCAGCAGGGTTCAGCACCCCCAAGGCAATCCATTGCAACTGCGCCCGGAAGGAGACCTTCCAGGAATTCGCCCCTTCCCTCGAGGAAGCGGACCCTGGCCCAGGATGGGGCCCCCCGGGGGGGTGGGTGAACACCCAGGGGCCCTCCTAGGCGTAGGACGTGACCACCAGTTCTCACTCTAGGTCCCCTTCACTGAGGGGGGAAGGGGCGGGGACTGGAGGCGACAGCGACAACAGCGGCCGTCCCCGGAGACCCCTTCCTCAGGGGTGCGGGTCAGCGTCGGCGCCGGGGAGTCACTAAACCCCGCCTACCCTGCCCTGCCCTATGGGGCAGCCAGGGAGCTTTCCTGCCTCAATGGTCTCTGGGTTTGGGAAGGAGAAATGGACTTCTCTCCCCAGGCCCAGGCAGGAAAAATGGATTCCCGTGGAGGGAAGGCTCAGAAAAGTTTGAGAGGAGACACTGAAGCTGGCCTTGGAAATCAAGGAGATTTTGATGGAGCAGGGAAGGGGGATGAGCTTGAATTGAGGCTGGGAGACAAGAAAAAGCCAAGTTGCCAGCGGGTGACCAAGACTTCCCTTGATCACACTTGAGTCAGGCTCCTCCGAGACCTCTTTCTGACCAGGCCCCGACCTTGGGCTCTGTCCTTGGCCTTCTTAGTCCAGTTTTAGCCAGAATCCTGCTGTCAAGAATATCTCCACGCTTGGTATGTGATCACCCTGGCCGGCCTACATTAAGAAACTCCGTCTCAAAAAAAAAAGAAAGACAAGGATCTCTCTATGCTGCCCAGGCTGGAGTGCAATGGTGCAGTCATAGCTCACTGCAGCCTCGAACACCCCTGCTAAACTGATCCTCCCACCTCAGCCTCCCGAGCAGCTGGGACTACACTGTGTTGCCCAGGCAGGTCTCGAACTCCTGGCCTCAAGCTGTCCTCCCACCTGGGCCTCCCAAAGTGCTGGGATTGTAGACCTGAGCCACCCCGCCTGGCTTCCCTGCCATCTTTAACGAGAATCTGATTAGTTTTTTTCTTTAACAAGGTAGAGAAAACGGATGGATGGAGAGTGGAAAAGACGATGGGTGGGAAACAGGACTCCTCCAGGGGGCCAGCTAGGGACGGGCACTGCATGCCTTAGGCAAGGGTACTGCGAGTTTCATAGGCCATGGGAGCCTAGAAGGTAAGTGGTGACAGGTTCCAGGGTCAGCTCTGTGGCTTAGAATGCCTGGCTCCTGGGGGGGACATGGAAAGCTGGATAAAGGGAAGATCATAGCAAGGACCCCTAGGGCCGAGGCACAAGATGGATAAAAGAAGGCTAAGGGAGGCTGCGCATGGTGGCTCATGCCTGTAATCCCAGCACTTTGGGAGGCCGAGGTGGGCACATCATGAGGTCAGGAGATTGAGATCATCCTGGCTAACACGGTGAAACCCTGTCTCTACTAAAAATACAAAAAATTAGCCGGGCGTGGTGGCGGGCGCCTGTAGTCCCAGCTACTTGGGAGGCTAAGGCAGGAGAATGGCGTGAACCTGGGAGGCAGAGCTGGCAGTGAGCTGAGATCGTGCCACTGCACTCTAGCCTGGGCAACAGAGTGAGACTCCGTCTCAAAAAAAAAAAAAAAAAAAGAAGGCGGCTAAGGGAGTAAAAACGAAGGGGATGGGGGCAGCAACTATAAACTTGATACTTGAAGTCAGCAGTAGGGATTACAGGCATCGACTTTAAATGTCCTGCTGTTCTTAGGAACTGAAAGACCAGTTGAGGCTGGGTGGTTCAGGAGGGTTCCTGGAATTCCCTCACTCCTTTGGCAAACACACGAGAGCCCAGTGTGTGGCAGAGGAAAATGGACACAAGCCATTGATTAGAAACACGGGATGAGGCTGGGCGCTGGGAGGCCGAAGCAGGCGGATCACCTGAGATCAGGAGTTCGAGGCCAGCCTGACCAACATGGAGAAACCCCATCTCTACTAAAAATACAAAATTAGGTGGGCATGGTGGCGCATGCCTGTAATCCCAGCTACTTGGGAGGCTGAGGCAGGAGAATCGCTTGAACCAGAGAGGCGGAGGTTGCGGTCAGCCGAGGTCGCGCCATTGCACTCCAGCCTGGGCGGCAAGGGCAAAACTCCATCTCAAAAACAAAAAAAAGAAAGAAAAAAGGAAACGTGGGGTGAGAGCTGAGAGGGAAATGGGAAGGAAGATGGCAATCTGTCCCATTTTGCTGCATGACTGGGGAGACTGTGGCATAGGATCTTGAAGGATGAGTAGGAAGGAGTTCAGTGGGGGAAGGAGGCAACATTCCAGGCAAAGGCGAAAACAGGTGCGAAGTTTCAGAGGGTGAAAAGGGAAGAACACCGTAAATAAGGGCACGGTAAGATGGAGATGGGCAGGAAGATGAGGCCTGAGAAATGGACCAGGGGAACTTGGGAGGGATGCTGAAGACAGTGTGTGTGTGGTCACTTCTGAACAGGAGCTGGATGAAGTTCTTTTTTTTTCTTAATATTATTTTATTTTATCTTATTTTATTATTTTATTTTATTTTATTTTTTGAAATGGAGTCTTGTTGTGTCATCCAGGCTGGAGTCCAGTGCACCTCCCGGGTTCAAGCGATTCTCCTGCCTTGACCTCCCGGTAGCTGGGACTATTGGCACGTGTCACCACGCCCAGCTAATTTTTGTATTTTTTTTTTTTTTTGAGACGGAGTCTTGCTTTGTTGCCCAGACTGGAGTGCAGTGGCGCAATCTCGGCTCACTGCAAGCTCCACCTCCCGGGTTCATGCCATTCTCCTGCCTCAGCCTCCTGAGTAGCTGGGACTACAGGCGCCCGCCACCACGCCCGGCTAATTTTTTGTATTTTTAGTAGAGATGGGGTTTCACCGTGTTAACCAGGCTGGTCTCAAACTCCTGACCTCAAGTGATCTGCCTGCCTCGACCTCCCAAAGTGCTGGGATTACAGGCATGAGCCACCATGCCTGGCCTGGATGAAGTTCTTTTGGTATCTTCATCTGTAAAGTGGGGATAGATGCCCCACCCAGAGCTGTTGAGAAGATTTAAAGGGCCAGCAGAGAACTTGCCTGGAGGACAAAGTATATACAAGGGCATGGCCATCCTCAGGCTCACAGGAAGCCCCTTATTTAGGGCTCACCCCAGGGCCCTGCATCCTTCCCCTGATTACAGCCTCCCCCAAACCATTCTTCCTTCTGGCCTTCTGAGTTGGAGCTAGGTAAGGCTCGTCCTCACTGGGACTTCCAAGGTGAACACAAATGTCCTCTGTCTCTAGCTCTCAACTCGACCACTCACTTGCTATGTGACCTTGTAGGCCACTTAGCCTATCGAGGCCTCAGATCCTCTATCTTACTTCATAAGGTAAACCTTGCTCCATGACAGGAGTTGAAAATACAGCCAGGTGGGGTGGTGCACACCTGTAGTACCAACTACTTGGGAGGCTGAGATGGGACGATCGCTTGAGCCCAGGAGTTCGAGGCTGTAGTGCACGATTATCATACCTATGAATAGCCTCCACACTCCAGCCTGGGCAACATAGCGAGACCTCATGTCTAATAAATAAAAATTTAAAAGGCTGGGAATGGCGGCACACCTGTAGTCCCAGCTACTCAGGAGGCTGCAGCAGGAGGATTTCTTGAGCCCAGGAGTTTCAGGCCATCCTGGGCAATACTATGAGACCACATCTCAAATAAATAAATAAATAAACCTGCAACCCTCGTTTGCCTTCTTTGGGGTTAAAAAAATACAAAAAAGAGGGGGCTATGAGGTCTAAAATGTGTGGTATTATGGGGGCAGTGGCGGAATGGGGAAAGGGTAAGAGTAGTGATGTCTCCCTTTGGAACAGGGAGAACAGTCTTTAGCTTCACAAAGACCTGGCTTGGGGGTCCTGCTTCAGCTCTTCTCAGCTTGGGCAAGTCACTTAAGTGCTATCTCCGAGCTCCAAGTGGGAAAAGTAATGATTAAAGGACTGTGATGGCCGGGCGCAGTGGCTGACACCTATAATCCCAGCACTTTGGGAGGCCAAGGCAGGCGGATCACCTGAGATCAGGAGTTCGAGACCAGCCTGGCCAACATGGTGAAACCCCGTCTCTACTAAAACTACAAAAATTAGCCGGGCGTGGTGGCAGGCACCTGTACTCCCAGCTACTAGGGAGGCTGAGGCAGGAGACTTGCTTGAACCCAGGAGGCGGAGGTTGCAGTGAGTCGAGGTCATGCCATTACACTCCAGCCTGGCGGACAAGAGTGAGACTTCATCTGAAAAAAAAAAAAAAAAAAAAAAAGTTAAAGGATTGAGATGAGGACTAGAACAGAGTATGAGACTTGGTTCTTAGCAGGCCATCAGAAAAGGTGCCTGTTGATGTCTCATCCAAGGATTTTTCACTTGAGTCCCAGGTAAAGCCTGCTACCCAGCCCCACCCCAGGGCTACAGGAACCCCTGCAACTGCCAGAAATTATGTGTATAATGGTCATAGCTTTCAACAAACTCTCAAAGGGTCTGTGAACCACCCCAAAAGTTGAGTCACTGATTACTTCAACTTCCTCTTTTTCCAATAAAGAGACGGGCCCAGAGAGAGAAGGGGATTTATTCAAAGTCACAGAACAAGTAGGTGAGAAAGTAAGAACCAGGATCCTAGAGCCAAAGGTGTACACACACACACACACACAGAGCTCACCGTTCTTCTGGGGATCAGGAGGAGGAAGGAAGGGGCGGGTTCTAGGACTGGGACCCCTGCCTTGGGTGGAACAGGATCATCCCGCTGCTCAGGTGGAAGCAGGGTCCTCCTCACTCTTCTCTGAAATCCTGGGCCGATCATTCTACATGTTTATCTTTGTTTTAAGGTCTTGGTCATCCCACAGGGAGCTCAAGGACTAGGACCACCGTTCAGAGACATCCTGCCTTGACTAAGGGAGTGGGCCTTTTTGCCTACCCCACCCCTGCCCAATCAAAGAGTGTTTGAATATGGGTTGATTCCAGGAATGGACATGACCTTGAGCCAAGTATTTATCTGATTCACTACTTGTCAGTTTCTTTCATTTCCAGGAAACCCATCAACTCTTCCCCACTTGACTGTTCTGAGCCAGAACTATCTAAATCGGATCTGATCAGGCTATAGTTACCCTCTCCCTCTACGCTCCCAGCTTCAACGGCTTCCCACTGTACTTGGAATAAAGCCAAAACTCCTTGACAAGCACAAGGCCTCCTAGCTTCATCTCCCTCTCTATTCCCATCCCTCTCTGCCTGTCATGCTGGCCTCTTTTAGTCCCTGTGCTCCCTAGGGCCTTTAGACATGCGATTCCTTTTTCTGGAATGTTCTTCCCTCTCTTTGCTTGTTAGCCCATTCACCAGTTCTCAGCTCAGGGGTCCCTTCCCTGCTGTTTCAGCCATCTAGCTCTCTGTAACTCCAGGGGTGGTGATAATTACATTTGGCTTTTCACACTGCTTGAGTGCTTGATTAATATTTGTCCCTACCACTAGACTGTAAGCCCCTTGAGGGCAGGGGCTGGGTTATTTTCTGCTCAGCCCTGTATCCCATAGCATACAAGTAGGCTCACACCTGTAATCCCAGCACTTTGAGAGGCTGAGGTGGGAGGATCACTTGAGCTCAGGAACTCAAGACCAGCACTGGCAATACAGGAAGACCCATTTCTATTAAAATTTATTTATTTATTTATTTAAGATGAAGTCTCATTCTGTCACCCAGGCTGGAGTGCAGTGGTGCAAACTTGGCTCACTGCAACCTCTGCCTCCCGGGTTCAAGCAATTCTCCTGCCTCAGCCTTCCAAGTTTCATGGGACTATAGGTGTGCGCTACCACACCTGGGTAATTTTTGTATTTTTAGTAGAGATGAGTTTTCGCCATGTTGGCTAGGCTGGTCTGGAACTCCTGGCCTCAAGTGATCCACCTACCTCTGCCTCCCAAAGTTCTGGGGGATTACAGGCATGAGCCACTGCACCTGGCCAAAAAAAAAAATTTTTTTTTTTTTTTGAGATGGAGTCTTGGTCTTGTCACCCAGGCTGGAGTGCAATGGCATGATCTCGGCTCACTGCGACCTCCGCCTCTCGGGTTCAAGTGATTCTCCTGCCTCAGCCTCCCAAGTAGCTGGGATTACAGGCACCCGCCACCACACCCGGCTAATTTTTTGTATTTTTAGTAGAGACAGGGTTTCACCGTGTTGGCCAGGCTGGTCTCAAACTCCTGACCTCAGGTGATCTGCCCGCCTTGGCCTCCCAAAGTGCTGGGATTACAGGCATGAGCCACTGCGCCCCGCCAATTTTTTTTTTAATTAGCCAGGTGTGGTAGCACATGCCTGTAGCCCCTGCAACTCAGTAGGCTGAGGTGAGAGGATCACTTGAGCCCAGGAGGTTGAGGCTGCGGTGAGCCGTGATCGCAATACTGCACTCCAAGCCTGGGTTACAGAGCAAGGCCCTGTCTTAAAAAAAAATAAAAATAAAAATAAAAATAAACTAGATGATGCTAAGAATCTGGGTTCTCTCTGGATTCTAAATGAAGTCAAGCTGCCTCTAAGAGCCCTCTGCATGCAAGGGTGCTCAGGAAATATCAACTGAATGCAGGCTAGGTAAGTTCCTCTAGGTGGTCTCAGACCTCTCAGGGGAGAGGGACAATGATTGACACAGAAGTTAAATTTGCTAGTGCAAGACACAGTGGCTGGGTGTGGTGGTTCATACCTGTAATCCCAGCACTTTGGGAGGCCAACGTGGGCAGATCAATTGAGGTCAGGAGTTCGAGACCAGCCGGGCCAACATGGTGAAACCTGTCTCTACTAATAATACAAAAACTTGGCTGGGCACGGTGGCTCACTTGTAATCCCAGAACTTTGGAAGGCAGAGGAGGGCAGATCACCTGAGGTCAGGAGGCCTCGGCCTCCCAAAGTGCTGGGATTATAGGCATGAGCCACTGCAGCTGGCCATGACCGTGTATTATCTGTGATTTATTAACTGTGTGACTGTGGCAAGCTAGTAAATGTGTCCAAACCTTAGTCTTATCATTTATTAAATAGCAGTGATCATCAGACCTAGTTCATAAGACTGTTAAAAAGTTTAAATGAAAAACAAATTTTAATAAAATGTTTAAAAAGAAAAGGCTGGGTGCAGTGGTTCACACCTGTAATCCCAACAATTTGAGAGTCTGAGGCGGAAGGATAGCTTGAGGCCAGGAGTTCAAGACCAGGCTAGGCAACAGAGTGAAGCCCTGTCAAGGACGAAAGAGAGGGAGGGCTACCTCAGCCTCCTGAGTAACTGGAATTACAGGCGTGCGCCACCATGCCCAGCTAATTTTGTGTGTTTAGTAGAGACAGGGTTTCACCATGTGGGCCAGGCTGGTCTTGAACTCCTGACCTCAAGAGATCCACCCACTTCAGCCTCTTAAAGTGCTAGGATTATAGGCGTGAGCCACCATGCCCGGCTAATTTTGTGTGTTTAGTAGAGACAGGGTTTCACCATGTGGGACAGGCTGGTCTTGAACTCCTGACCTCAAGAGATCCACCCACTTCAGCCTCTTAAAGTGCTGGGATTACAGGCGTGAGCCACCATGCCCAGCTGACAAGGCCTTATTTTGTTGCCCAGTTTGGTCTCAAACTTGCGGCTTCAAGTGATCCTCCTGTCTCAGACGCCCAAAGTGCTGGGATTACAGATAAAAGCCACCATGGCTGGCCCTGCGTCTTTTTTAATATACATTTTTATTTTATTTTTATTATTTATTTATTTATTTGTTTATTTATTTTGGAGACGGAGTCTCGCTCTGTCACCCATGCTGGTGTGCTGTGGCACAATCTCAGCTCACTGCAAATTCCACCTCCCAGGCTCAAGCGATTCTCCTGCCTCAGACTCTGGAGTAGCTGAGATTACAGGTGCATGCCACCATGCCCAGCTAATTTTCATATTTTAGTAGAGATGGGGTTGTCCAGGCTGGTCTCGAACTCCTGACCTCAGGTGATCCATCTTCCTCAACCTCCCAAAGTGCTGGGATTACAGGCATGAGCCACCGTGCCCAGACTATTTTATTTTATTTATTTTTTATTTTTTTGAAACTGAGTTGCACTCTGCTGCCCAGGCTGGAGTGCAGTGGCGCGATCTTGGCTCACTGCAACCTCCACCTCCCAGATTCAAGTGATTCGCCTTCCTCAGCTCCCCCAAGTAGCTGGGATTACAGGTGCTCACCACCACGCCTGGCTAATTGTTGTATTTTTAGTAGAGACAGGGTTTCTCAATGTTGATCAGGCTGATCTCGAATCCCTGACCTCAGGTGATCTGCCGCCTCAGCCTCCCAAAGTGCTGAGATTACAGGCGTGAGCCACTGTGCCTGGCCACATTTTAATTTTTTTAAATTAATTTTACTTTAATACAGATAGGTCTCATTATGTTGCCCAGGTTGGTCTTGAACCTCTGGGCTCAAGTGATTCTCCCGCCTCAGCCTCCGAAAGTGCTCGGATTATAGGTATGAACCACCACACCCAGCCTACATTTTTATTTTTATTTATTTAGTATTATTATTATTATTATTATTACAGATGGGGTCTGCTATTTTGCCCAGGCTGGTCTAAAACTCCTGGGCTTAAGCAATTCACCTCAGTGTCCCAAGTAGCTGAGACCACAAGTATACACCATCATGCCTGGCCAGGTGGTGTAATGTGGTGTGTATGGTAACTGGTAACTGTGTAGTATAATGCAGCGTGTATATGTGGTGTGTTTTTAACTTGCTATATTAGTTCATTTTCACACTGCTAATAAAGACATAACCAAAACTGGGAATAAAAAGAGGTTTAATTGGACTTACAGTTCCACATGGCTGGGGAGGCCTCAGAATCATGGCAGGAGGGCAAAGTCACTTCTTACATGGTGGCAGCAAGAGAAAAATGAGGAAGAAGCAAAAGTGGAAACCCCTGATAAACCCATCAAATGTTGTGAGACTTATTCACTATCACGAGAATATCACAGGAAAGAATTTCCCCCATGATTCGATTATCTCCCCCTGGGTCCCTCCCACAACACGTGGGAATTCTGGGAGATACAATTCAAGTTGAGATTGGGGTGGGGACACCACCAAACCATATCACTTGGGTTTTTAACCCAAGTGTAGGGGGCTGGGCTCGGTGGCTCATACCCAGCACTTTGGGAGGCTGAGGCAGGCAGATCATCTGAGGGCGGGAGCTTGAGACCAGCCTGACCAACATGGAGAAACCCCATCTCTACTAAAAATTAGCCAGGCATGGTTGTGCACGTCTGTAATCTCAGTTACTCGGGAGGCGGAGGCAGGAGAATTGCTTGAATCCCCGAGGCGGAGGTTGCGGTGAGCCAAGATCGCACCATTGCATTCCAGCCTGGGCAACAAGAGCAAAACTCCGTCTCAAAAACAAAAAAACAAAACAAAAAAAACCCCAAGTATAATGCAATGTGTATGGTAGGCTGCTGCTAAGTAAAGAAAGTAAGGGACCACGTGCACATAGATGCGTTTGTGTGAATGGAGAACGTCTCAATCTGAAAAGATGCACGAGAAACCATTCATCTTTTAAAAATAACATTTTTTTTTTTGGAGATAGAGTTTTGCTCTTGTTGCCCAGGCTGGAGTGCAATGGTGTGATCTCGACTCACCACAACCTCGGCCTCCTGGATTCAAGTGATTCTCCTGCCTCAGCCTCCCAAGTAGCTGGGACTATAGGAATGTGCCACCACAAGTGGCTAATTTTTGTATTTTTAGTAGAGATGAGGCTTCACCATATCAGCTAGGCTGGTCTCAAACACCTGACCTCAAGTGATCCACCTGCCTCAGCCTCCCAAATTGCTAGGATAACAGGTGTGAGCCACTGCACCTGGCCTAGAAATTAGATCTAAAGTCTTGATTAGAGTCAAGTTAAAAGCTTTGGACTGAAATACATTATAGATGGTGTTATGTATGTCAGAAAATACAGAAGGTCTGGTTGTTCTAAGATTTTTACATATGTCCGCACCCATGGAACCAAAGCCCAAATCAATATAGAGAACATTCCTAGCTCCCCAGCTACCTCTGGTGCCCTCTTCTTGATAATATCAAGGCAATGCAATGCCTATAGTAATGCAAGAATTGCCTAATACAAGAAGTTTCCTCTGAATGTGTCCTTTGATTTGTCAACTCCCTTGCGTGGGGGCACACAAAACAAACTTCTTGTATTAGGCAGTTCTTGCATTGCTATAAAGAAATACCAGAAGACCAGGCGCGGCGGCTCATGCCTGTAATTCCAGCACTTTGGGAGGCTGACGCAGGTGGATCACGAGGTCAGGAGTTCAAGACCAGACTGGCCAACATGGTGAAACCCCCCCCCTCAGCTAAAAATACAAAAATTAGCCAGGTGCGGTGGCGGGTGCCTGTAGTCCCAGCTACTTGGGAGGCTGAGGCAGGAGAATCGTTTGAACCCAGGAGGCGGAGGTTGCGGTAAGCAGAGATTGCGCCACTGAACTCCAACCTGGGCGACAGAACAAGAATATGTCAAAAAAAAAAAAAAAAAAGAAAAGAAAAGAAAGAAAAGAGAAATACCAGGGACTGTTTTTGTTTGTTTGTTTTAGATGGAGTTTTGTTCTTGTTGCCCAGGCTGGAGTGCAGTGGCATGATTTCAGCTCACCGCAACCTCCGCCTCCCAGGTTCAAGCGATTCTCCTGCCTCAGCCTCCTGAGTAGCTGGGATTATAGTCATGTGCCACCACACTTGGCTAATTTTGTATTTTTTAGTAGAGACAGGGTTTCTCCATGTTGATCAGGCTGGTCTCGAACTCCCAATCTCAGATGATCCACCCACCTTGGCCTCCCAAAGTGCTGAGATTACAGGTGTGAGTCACTGCGCCCAGCTGGCCCTGGGTAATTTATAAAGAAAAGAGGGCCAGGCGCAGTGGCTCAGGCTTGTAATCGCAGCACTTTGGGGGGCCAAGGCGGGCAAATCACCTGAGGTCAGGAGTTAGAGACCAGCCTGGCCAACTTGGTGAAACCCCATCTCTACTAAAAATACAAAACTTAGCTGGGCTTGGTGGCAGGAGCCTGTAATCTCAGCTACTCGGGAGGCTGAGGCAGGAGAGTTGCTTGAACCCGGGAGTTGGAGGTTGTGGTGAGCCGAGTTGGCACCACTGCACTCCAGCCTGGGTGACAGAGCTAGACTCTGTCTCAAAAAAAAAAAAAAAGAGGTTTAATTGGCTCAGTGTTCTGCAAGCTCCACAGTAAGCATAGTGCTGGAATCACTGGCCTTCTGGGGAGGCCTCAGAGAGCTCATACTCATGGCAAAAGGCAAAGCAGGAACTTGGGCATCACATGGCAAAAGCAGGAGCAAGAGAGGCAGAGAGTAGAGTGGAGGTGCCATGCACTTCTTCTTTTTTTTTTTTTTTTTTTTGAGACAGAGTCTTACCCTATCACACATACTGGAGTGCAGTGGTGCAATCTCGGCTCACTGCAACCTCCACCTCCCAGGTTCAAGCAATTCTCCTGCCTCAGCCTCCTGAGTAGCTGAGACTACAGGCATGTGCCACCATGCCCAGCTAATTTTTGTATTTTTAGTAAAGACGGGGTTTCACCGTGTTGGCCAGGCTGGTCTCGAACCTCAAGTGATCCGCCTGCCTCGGCCTCCCAGAGTGCTGGGATTACAGGCATGAGCTACCGCACTCTGCCGCCGTGTACTTTTAAAGGACCAGATCTCTCATGAAATCAGTGAGAACTCACTTATCTGGTCCTTTAAAAGTGGATAGCCCCAGCCATTCATGAGGGATCCGTCCCCATGATCCAGACACCTTCCACCGGCCCCCACCTCCAACACTGGGGATTACATTTCAACATGAGATTTGGGCGGAGACAAATATCCAAACTACCTCACTTCTATTCTGACTTTTATCACACAGATGAGTTTTGCCTGTTTCTGTAATTCATACACACAGAATCTTACAATAGGAACTCTTTCAGTCAGCATTATCTATGAGATACATTCACATTGTTGTGTGTATCACATTTGGCCCCCATTATTGACTGATTTCTTTGAATGAATCTGCCACGGTTTTATTGTTCGTTCCCTTGCTGATAGACCTCCTAATGGTTTTAACGCCAACTGATACTCTTAACTAAATCCATGATTTCCAGCCAGGTGCGGTGGCTCACGCCTGTAATCCCAGCACTTTGGGAGGCTGAGGCGGGCGGATCACGAGGTCAAGAGATCGAGGCCAGCCTGGCCAACATGCCGAAACCCCCGTCTCTACTAAAAATACAAAAATTAGCTGGGCGTGGTGGCACACGCCTGTAGTCCAGAGGTTGCAGTGAGCCGAGATCGCGCCACTGCAGTCCAGCCTGGAGACAAAGAGAGACTCCATCTCAAAAAAATAATAAATAAATAAATCAATAAATCCATGATTTCCTTGGAGGTGACAAAACTGATCAGACACTAAAGTCAGCTGTTATTCCTGAAAAAGTGAGATAGGAGAGATTTAAACTGACTTTGCAGGTCTGGTGGGAGGGAAGTGATTCTATTCAAGAGGTGCTCATTTAGTGTATACACAGCTACCCTGAATCTGGTTTCTAAAGAACTCTTAAATACCTGGCTTCATGGCTTTCTATAGCCACCCTGCAGAGAGGGGCATGCTCTCCCCATCTGCTGGAATGAGGGTCCTGACGGGTGAAGTGCCCCCTGGAAGTCACAGAGCAATGGCAGGGTGGGGCTTTCCCCCTCATATTGGGCTTTCCCCACCATCCTTCTTACTGTGAGGTCAAGGACAGGAGTCTTCTCAAGACCTCCAGAGGAAAGAAGGAAGGAAATACTCAGAGAGCAAGGCAGTACCCTGGAGTTTTGAAATCTTGCTGGCCGTAGCAACATGCCCTTTGTACAGACTGATAAATGGAGGCAGACAGAGAAAGCCAGCAGCAGCCAGCCCTGCCTGCTGCCTGGGCAAGGCCAAGCCCCAAGATCACAGCCTCCCTGGGCAATGCTGGCTCTCTGCTCACACCATTGTTTCATGCCCAAAACCAAAGTGGTGAAAAAGCAGTGGCCAGGCTCAAGTGTGGGGTTTGTCTCCATGACACTCCCCTTCTATGACAGCTGTTCTCCTACCAAAGCCTGGGAAATGTTCCTCTCAAAGCCATTAGCTCCTTCTATGCCAAACATTTAGTGACATTCCTTTAGTCCTCTGTGGCACTTAGAAAACATAACTATTGAGTAACTATATTAAGAAATGCCATCTACAGCCCATCCTTGGCCAGCCTCACAAGCCCCAGTGACGTCCACCCTCCAGGGTCATGGGGAAGGAGGCCCCTGGTGGGCCTCTAGGGTCCTAAATTGCTTTTCCTGGCACAGTCCCACCCTCTGGGCTCTGCTAGACAGACTACTGCAACGGCACCTCATTTTACAAGAACCCTAGATTAAAACACACACACACACACACACACACACCCCAAAAGTTCACAGCACACGTGTCTCAGCAGTCAATGCTTCACCAGCCCCCTCCTGGGTCTAAAACAGGATTCCATCTACAGTCCTGTGTCTCAAACACTGCTTTCAAACTCCTGTCAATCGTAGAAAGGGAAGCATCACACCCACCACCAAGAATTGCACTTCTCCAACTTCAGTGAACACGCGAATCACCTGGGAATTTTATTTATTTATTTATTTATTTTTGAGATAGGGTCTTGCTCTGTCACCCAGGCTGGAGTGCAGTGGCATGATCATGGCTCACTGCAGCCCCAACCTCCCGGCTTCAAGTGATCCTCCTGCCTCAGCCTCCCAAGCAGCTGGGACCATACCCAGCTATTATTTTTTTTTATTTTTTTGTACAGACAGGGTCCACTATGTTGCCCAGGCTGGCCTTGAACTTGTGGGCTCAAGCAATCCTCCTGCCTCTGCCTCCCAAAGTGCTGAGATTACAGGTGTGAGCCATGATGCCCGGCCAGGGAAACTTGTTAACATGCATATTCTGATTCAGTGGGTCTGGGGCGGGGCCTGAGACTCTGCATGTCTAGCAGGTGATGCTGATGCCTTGGGTTCACTGGTCACTCTGAGCAGAAGATACTAAAAATGAGAACAAAACACAAGTTCCAGGGTTCCCTGGCTGCATTTTAGAATCACTGAGGAGCTTTAAAAACAGATACCCCTGTCTGGATCCCACCTCAGACCAACTGAATCAAAATTATTGGGGGAGGGCTGGGCACAGGGGCTCACGCCTGTAATCCCAAGACTTTGGGAGGCTGAGGTGCAAATCGCCTGAGGTCAGGAGTTTGAGACCAGCCTGACCAATATGGTGAAACCCTGTCTCTACTAAAAATACAAAAATTAGCCGGGCATGGTAGTGTAGTCCCAGCTACGCAGGAGGCTGAAACAGGAGAACTGCTTGAGCCCTAGGGGCAGAGGTTGCAGTGAGCTGAGATTGCACCACTGCATTCCAGCCTGGGTGACAGAGCGAGACTTGGTCTCAAAAAAAGAAAAAAAAAGGAATTATTAGGGGAGAAGGGGCTTGGAGGGAAAGTTGGACCCCCAAAATAAACAAGAGCTGCACCTCACATGTGCCAGTGATAATGATATGCAGTGAAATGAAGCAAACTCTCTGCATCCAAGATTAGCATCAGGAAATGCAAAAGACAAGTCTGCCCCGAGGCGCTTAGGTGCCCATGGAGATTGAGAACTATTACACTACACCAAAATATGGGAGAAATAAAGCATAAAATTGTCATCATCATTTATAATCAGGTTCTCAATATTCTCTCTCTCTCTCTCTGTGTATATATATATATATGTTTTTTCTTTTTTTTGAGACAGAGTCTTGCCCTGTGGCCTGGATTCAAACAATTCTCCTGCCTCAGCTACCCAAGCAGCTGGGATTACAGGCACCTGCCAACACACCTGACTAATTTTTGTATTTTTAGTAGAGATGGGGTTTCACCATGTTGGTCGGGCTGGTCTCAAACTCCTGACCTCAAGTGATCTGCCTGCCTCAGCCTCCCAAAGTGCTGGGATTACAGGTGTGAGCCTTGGCACCCAGACTTCTATATCTATATCTATATCTATATCTATATCTATATCTATATCTATATCTATATCTATCTATATCTATATCTATATATATATTTTTTTTTTCTGGGAGAGTCTTTTTCTGTTGCCCAGGCTGAAGTGCAGTGGTGCAATCACTGCAGCCTCAACCTCCCAGACTTACATGAGCCTCCCACCTCCCACCTCAGCTTCTGGAGTAGCTGAGACCACAGGTGTGCACCACCATGCCTGCCAATTTTTTTTTTTTTTTTTTGAGATGGAGTCTTGCTCTGTCACCCATGCTGGACAGCAATAACACAATCTCGGCTCACTGCAACCTCCGCCTCCCGGGTTCAAGCAATTCTGCTGCCTCAGCCTCCAGAGTACCTGGGATTACAGGCACTTGCCACCATGCCCAGCTAATTTTTTGTTTGTATTTTTAGTAGAGATGTGGTTTCACCATGCTGATCAGGCTAGTCTTGAACTCCTGACCTCAGGTGACTCACCCACCTCAGGCTCCCAAATTGCTGGGATTACAGGCATGAGCCACCGTGCCCAGCTGTTTTTTTTTATTTTTTGTAGAGATGGGGTCTTACCATGTTGCCCAGGCTGATCTCAAACTCCTGGGCTCAAGCAATCCTTCCATCTCGGCCTTCCACAGCACTGAGATTACAGGTGTGAGCCACCACTCCCAGTCTGCTTTTTGTTTTGTTTTGTTTTGAGACAGTGTCTCTCTATTGTCCAGGCTAGAGTGCAGTGGCACAATCGTAGCTCCCTGCAGCTTTCAACTCCTGGGCTCAAGCCATCCTCCCGACTCAGCCTCCTAAGTAGCTGGGACTACAGGTGTGTACCACCACACGGCTAATTTTTTAATATTTTTGTAGAGACAGGATCTCACTATGTTGCCCAGGTTGGTTAGGGCAACTCCTTGAACTCCTGGCCTCTAGTGATCCTCCTGCCTCAGCTTCCCTAGTAGTTGAGATTACAGGTAGCTATTATTTATTTAGTTATTTATTTTGAGACAGAGTCTCTGCTGCCTAGCCTGGAATGCAGTGGTGTGATCTCGACTCACTACCACCTCTGCCTCCCCGGTTCAAGCAATTCTCCTGCCTCAGCCTCCTGAGTAGCTGGGATTACAGGCATGCACCATCTCGCCAGGCTAATGTTTGTATTTTTGTAGAGGTGGAGTTTCACCATGTTGGCCAGGCTGGTCTTGAACTCCTGACCTCAGGTGCTCCGCCTGCCTCGGCCTCCCAAAGTGCTGAGATTACAGGCGTGAGCCACCGTGCCCGGCCAGGTAGCTATTTTTTTTTTTTTAACTGTAAAGAATATTGAACTTTGGGAGCCTGAGGTAGGAGGATCACTTGAGGCCAAGTTCAAGACCAGTCCGAGCAACATAGCAAGACCTGTCTCAAAATAATAATAATAATAATAGCTACCGTGCATGCATTTATAAGCCTTCGACATTGTGCAGGCAGCATCACATACAGTCCTCATAACAGCCCCATCTGTCGGCCAGTTATTTCCTACCACTTCCCAGCTGAGAAAACTGAAGGGCTGAGAGGGTAAGGCACTCTTCCAAGGTCACAGTCAGTGAATGTTGAGGTCAGAGCTGAAAGCAGGGCCAGCTGAAACCACAGCCCATGGGTTCAACAACCTACAGCCAGACCAAACCCTACTCATCACCCTTTTGTTTTTTTGGTGTGTCTTTGTTTGTTTTTTGATATGGGGGCTTGGGTGGGGAAGAGGAGAGAGAAGCAACCACCCATTTTTATACTGCCCTTGAGCTAAGAATGGTTTTAATATCTTTAAGTAGTTAGGGGAAAAAAAATCAAAAGGGCCTGGCGTGGTGGCTCACACCTATAATCCCAGCACTTCGGGAGTTCGAGGCGGGTGGATCACTTGAGCTCAGGGGCCTGTCCAACATGGCAAAACCTCATCTCTACTGAAAATACAAAAATTAGGCCAGGCGCAGTGGCTCACACCTGTAATCCCAGCACTTCGGGAGGCCGAGGCGTGTAGATCATGAGGTTAGGAGTTCAGGACAAGCCTGGCCAAGATGGTGAAACCCTGTCTCTACTAAAACTACAAAAATTAGCCAGGCGCGATGGCAGGCACCTGTAATCCCAGCTACTCAGGAGGCTGAGGCAGGAGAATCGCTTGAACCCGGGGGATGGAGGTTGCAGCGAGCCGAGATCGCGCCACTGCACTCCAGCCTGGGCCACAGAGTGAGACTCTGTCTCAAAAAAATAAAATAAAATAAAATACAAAAATTAGCTGCGTGTGGTGGCGTGCGCCTGTAATCCCAGCTACTCGGGAAGCTAAGGCAGGAGAATCACTTGAACCTGGGAGGCAGAGGTTGCAGTGAGCCAAGATCGTGCCACTGCATTCCAGCCCAGGCGACAGAGCAAGACAATGTCCCGAAAGAAGATAATAGTTCATGACAAGTGAAAGGAAATTCAGATTTCAACATCCATGAATCAAGTTGTGTTGGAACACAGCCACACCCATTCCTTTAAATCTTGCCCGTGGCTCCTTTCCTGCAGCAAAGGCAGAGCTGAATAGTTGCGACAGAGACCATACGGCCTGTAAAGCCTAAAATACTTACATCTGGCCCTTGCCAGAAAAGGTTTTGCTGAACCCTGCTCGAAATGGTTTCACTGTTTATAAATTCTCCACTTTTCTTTTTTTTACACTCAAATGAGTATTCTTCTTACCCCAACGCTCTGCTAAATTTGAACATGTATGTAGTTGCTTTTATAGGGTCGGTTAACATAAACCAATTGGTTGCTTCGCTAAGACTTTTTTTTTTTTTTTTTTTTTGAGAAGGAGTCTGGCTCTGTCCCCCAGGCTGGAGTGCAGTGGCGCAATCTCAGCTCACTGCAAGCTCCGCCTTCCGGGTTCACGCCATTCTCCTGCCTCAGCCTCCTGAGTAGCTCGGACTACAGGCACCCGCCACCACGTCCGGCTAATTTTTTTGTATTTTTAGTAGAGACGGGGTTTCACCAGGTTGGCCAGGATTGTCTCGAACTCCTGACCTCGTGATCCGCCCACCTCGGCCTCCCAAGGTGCTGGGATTACAGGCTTGAGCCACCGCACCCGGCCGACTTTTTTTTTTTTTTTAACTGTAGTTTTGTTTTGTTTTGTTTGATACAAAGTCTCACTCTGTTGTCCAGGCTGCAGTGCAGTGGCACAATCTCAGCTCACTGCAACCTCCGCCTCCTGGGTTCAAGTGATTCTCCTGCCTCAGTCTCCTGAGTAGCTGGGGTTACAATTACAGGCGTGCACCACCACGCCTGGTTAAGCTTGTCTAAGATTTCTTATACTGGTAGATGGATTCAAATCTATAGATGCAAACCTATGAGCATTCGGGTGTGTGAAGCCATAAAGACATTTACAACAGAAGGAGGTCTTAGAGGCTTAGTTTTCTCACACATGTAGGGACTGCTAGTTTTCCTTCCTGGAGTCCGGGCCAGGCCTGAAAAAGGCAAACTAAGAAAATCAAAATGACAAACTGAAGACAGTGAGGTAGCACCTCCCCGAAGTTATTCCATGTGTTTGTAGCATAGATTAAGCATTTATTTAGCAAACATCTGTTAAGGCCAGTTACACACTCTGCAGAGTCAGAGAGGAAAGAGGCAGCGAGGCATGTGGGTTCACACCTGAAGTCTCAGCTACTTGAGATGGCAGTAATGCCATCATAGCTCACTTCAGCCTCATCTGACTAATTTTGTATTTTTTTAGAGACAGGGTCTTGCTTTGCTGCTCAGACTAGTCTGGAACTCCTGACCTCAAGAGATCCCTCTGCCTCAGTCTCCCAAAGTGCTGGGATTAGAGGTATGATCCACCATGCCCAGCCAACAATGAATAATTTTTATAGTATGTCCCAAATGGGCTGTGGGATATACTTTTTTAAATTATTATTATTATTTTTTTAAGCAATGTCACTCAGGCTGGAGTGCAGTGGTGTGGTCATAACTGCCACCCCAGCCATCCAGGCTCAAGTGATTCTCCCACCTCAGCCTCCTGAGTGGCTGAGACCACAGGCAGGCGCCACCATGCTCGGCTAACTTTTTAAATTTTTTGTAGAGACAAGGTCTCGCCATGTTGCCCAGGTTGGTCTCAAACTCTTGGGCTCAAACGTTCCTCCCACCTCAGCCTCCCAAAGTACTGGGATTACAGGTGTGCACCACCACGCCTAGCCTATTTTTTAAAAATAGTCACTTTTTATGGGGGATTACAGTTTAACTGGGCCTTCTGTATTTTATCTGGCAACACTACCCATGAAGAGCACTGTCCAACTTTGAAGCCACCTCAATGTGAATGTGACTTTTATCTGCACCTGTAGTCTGTTTCTCCTCTTCTCCTGGGAGCGGGACTACTCATGTTGATTGGGTGCCAAGGGTACCAACCCGATGCCATATTAGGAAAGCCGGGCATGACCTCCAGGAGCTGGTTTGTTTGTTTTGTTGGGTAAAGATTTTGCCTGCTTACATTAGTGGGTAAAGGTTTGTTTTCTTTTGAGAGAGCCAGAAATATCCAGGCAGGCCTGGCCCCAGCAGGGTTGGTGGAATAGATCACAGCAGCTTCCTCCATGTCGTGCCTAGGAAAGCCCGCAAAGGATTTTTAAGGTCTAGTGGGAAGAGGAGGGAAAGGCATCTTGGTCTTTTGTGTGTGTGTATGTGGAGGGGGCATAGGTTATATGCAAATAGCATCTTCATGTTGGAAAGCCTGGCTTGAAGCTTCTGGACAACTTTCCTGACATGCCTCTACTCACCCCAGCACTCTCTCCACCATGGCCCCCCATTCTGTATCCATACCCCTGGCTTACAGAAAGTTCTTCCTCCCTTTGTGCCTAGCCTTCGATTCCCTCAGGGTGGCATCAGATCTTTTTATCTTCTAACCTAAGACGGAGGCCGCCCTGAGGAGTGTTAACATTGCCCTCCATCCCTGTCTCTGGCTGTTGTTCAGGAGTGCCGGGTCATGTCAGGACACGTGGAAAACCGGCGAACTTTCCTCCCTTGGAAGGTCCTTCTCACCCACCCACCCGCTGGTCCTCTCTCTTCAGGCCGGAACAGTCCCCTGTCCCTCCAGTGGAAGCCCCTCCCCCATGTGGATGTTGTCCTCAGGGCCTTCTCCAGGACATCCTGGGCATGCCTGGCCCCCTGGCTGGCTCAGAGCAGAGCTGAATTCCCTCCTGAGGAGGTATACAGCAGTCCATGCAGCCTTGGGTCCAGTTTGTCTTTTTGGCTGGTTCTTCCTTTTTTTTTTTTTTTTTTGAGACAGAGTCTTGCTCTGTCACCCAGGCTAGAGTGCAGTGGCACAATCTCAGCTCACTGCAACCTCCACCTCCTGGGTTAAAGAGATCCTCCCACCTCAGCCTCCTGAGAAGTTGGGATTACAGGCATGCACCACCATGCCCCGTTAATTTTTGTATTTTTAGTAGAGATGGGGCTTCACCATGTTGGCCAGGCTGGTCTCAAACTCCTGACCTCAGGTGATCCACCCGCCTTGGCCTCCCAAAGTGCTGGAATTACAGGCGTGAGCCACTGTGCCCAGCCTTGGCCGGTTCTTCCTTATTCACTTGGTCGATGAGGAAGCTAGGAAGCTGAGGTTAAGGGGCCGCCCGAAGTCACACAGCCAGCCAGTGGCCGACTTAATACCTTGAACCCAGGTCTTCTGGCTCCTAGACTAGACTTCTCTCGACTGTAACACACTGATCTGCCTAAAGTGCGTCCAGAGGGGTATATAGCCCGGTGGTTCTGCGCATGGACAGCGAGGGCCTGGTATTCAAAACCCAGGCCTTGCGCTCAGTGGGTGTGACATTGATAAAGTTGCCCAGCCTCTCTATTGAGCCTCAGTTTCCTTATTTGTCAAGTGAGGATAATGACAGTGCCTAACCGAAGGGAGTTCCTGGAGGATCAAATGAGAGGACGCTTATGCAGTACTGGTGCAGTGCCTGGCTGGCAGGAACCATTGTCAGAGTAAAATCGAACCAATGTGAGCCCAGGCACGGTGGCTCACACCTGTACTCTCAGCACTTTGGGAGTCTGAGGCGGGCAGATCACTTGAGGTCAGGAGTTTGAGGCCAACCTCGCCAACATGGTAAACACCCTGTCTCTGCTAAAAATACAAAAATTAGCCAGGCATGGTGGTGCACACCTGTAATCCCAGCTACCTGAGAGGCTGAGGAAGGAGAATTGCTTGAACCTGGGAGGTGGAGGTTGCAGTGAGCCGAGATCATGGTGGGACAACAGAGTGAGACTCCATCTCAAAAAAACAAAATAAAACAAAAACACAATGTGAGCAAAGAAAGAGATTCAAAAATCTCTATGTTGTCCAAAATTGGGAGTTGGATTTAAAAGTGACTGAAGGTAGGTCACTTTGAGTAATCTCAGCTACTCAGGAGGCTGAGGCAGGAGAATCACTTGAACCCAGGAGGCAGAGGTTGCAGTGAGCCGAGATCGCACCATTGCACTCCAGCCTGGGCGACAGAGCAAGACTCCATCTCAAAAAAGAAAAAGAACTGATTCCGAACACTCTTTAACGTAGAGTTCTAAGGATGGAAACTAGGGAGGGCTTGGATACCACTCATTTATCCACTCCCCCTTGGCGAGCCCAGTCATTGCCAGGCACTGTTGTTGGCATTGGGGGTACACCAGCGGAAGAAACAAAACCTTGGCCAGGCACAGTGGCTCACGCCTGTAATCCTGAGACTTTGGGAGGCCGAGGCAGGAGGGTCACTGGGGCCCGGGAGTTCAAGACCAACCTGGGAACATAGTAAGACCCTGTTTCTAAAATATATATATACATATGTGCTTCTACGTCGCCCCGCCCCTGAGCCGGCCGCCCAGCCCCTGGTGTGGTGCCTGGCGAGGGGAATGTCCCAGGTGGAGCTGGCGGAGTCACAAGCTCTACTCCACCCGACGAGGCTGTGTGTGCTGGGCCTGGCTCGCAGCCAACCGAGACGGCCGAGCAGCTGGACGAGGCCGTGAAGTACTACACCCTAGAGGAGATTCAGAAGCACAACGACAGCAAGAGCACCTGACTGATTCTGCACCACAAGTGTACTATTTGACCAAATTTCTGGAAGAGCATTCTGGTGGGGAAGAAGTCTTAAGGGAACAAGCTGGAGGTGACGCTACTGAGAATTTTGAGGATGTCGGGCATCTTTGAGATGCCATGGAATTGTCCAAAACATATATCATTCAGGAGCCCCATCCAGACGACAGACCAAAGTTAAACAAGCTTCGGAAACTCTTATCACTGCTGTTGATTCTAGCTCCAGTTGGTGGACCAACTGAGTGATCCCTGCCATGTCAGCAGTGGCCGTCGCCTATCAAGGCACACATGGCAGAAGGCTGAACCTCCTCAGAAGCCAGTGCAGGAAAATCCTGCTTTAGACACAGGCAAAAAGAAGCCAATGCTAATTACTCCAACTGACAGAAAACTTCTCTTGAAAAAAATAATTTTAACATATCTCTTTTTCTTTCTGCCTACATTAGAAATAAAACAAAAAGAACTGTCTTTTCTGCTCTCGGATTTTTCGAGTGTGCCTTTTATTCATCTACTTTATTTTGATGTTTCTTTACTACGTAATTTACTGATTGTAAGCATGATCTTTTACAAATATATCCGGCTTTTAAAATACAAAAATATAGGCTGGGCGCCGTGGCTCATGCCTATAATCCCAGCACTTTGGGAGGCTGAAGGGGTTGGATCACAAGGTCAGGAGTTCGAAACCAACCTGGCCAATATGGTGAAACCCCGTGTCCACTAAAAACACAAAAAGAAATTAGCCTAGCGTGGTGACACATGCCTGTAATCCCAGCTACTTGGGAGGCTGAGGCAGAAGAATCGCTTGAACCCGGGAGTCAGAGGTTGCAGTGAGCCGAGATGGCACCACTGCACTCCAGCCTGGGTGACAAGCAAGACTCCGTCTCACCAAAAAAAAAAAAAAAAGTATATGTATATATATATATATACACACACACACACACACACACACAAATATATAAACACACATACACACATACACACACACATCATTTTTAAACAGAAAGAAACAAAGCCTTGCCCTCCTGCAGCCCACACTCTAGTCGTGGAAACAAGCCATACACAAACAAAAAATGCAGACTGCAATCTCACGTGGTCAGTGATGGGTGAGGAGAAACAGAATAAAACGAGGGCCTAGATATGGTTCTCGCCCAGGGTGGCAGCGCCGCCTAGTGTACATTTTTTAAATTTCTATAGGTTTTTTTCTAGTTGTCCCATTGACTGGGGGCACAGCAGGCACTCAGCTGGCTGGAGTCAGACAAGCCAGACATGCTGCGATGCACAAGATAGTTGGAGAGGTGAGGAGATGAAAACTGATCTCCTCACGTGACTTTAGAATGTCTCAGCAGACATCCATGCATGTGAAAATTCTGTTTGTAAGTATTTGAGCCTAGAACCTCACTTGGTTTTTGTTTTTTTGGTTTTTTGGTTTTTTTTGAGACAGTCTCGCTGTCTCCCAGACTGGAGTGCAGTGGCGCGATCTCGGCTCACTGCAAGCTCCGCCTCCCTGGTTCACGCCATTCTCCTGCCTCAGCCTCCCGGGTAGCTGGGACTACAGGCGCCCGCCACCACGCCTGGCTACTTTTTTGTATTTTTAGTAGAGACGGGGTTTCACCATGCTAGCCAGGATGGTCTCGATTTCCTGACCTCATGATCCACCCACCCTGGCCTCCCAAAGTGCTGGGATTACAGGCGTGAGCCACCGCGCCCTGCCCCTCACTTGGTTTTATAATCAAGCACGAAGTATTTTGTACACAGATTTATCACTCAGTGAATTTCCAGGAATTCAAGAACTTTGTATATGGAGGGAAGGCTGTACTTCGTTTTGTTTGGGACTCCACCGAGAGTTTTTTATTGTTTTAGGAAATCACGTCTCTGCCGATTTCAAGTCAACATCTCACAATCTCTATCAGTCTACGCATATTTGCAGATAGCCACCAGGGCATTCATTTACTGAAGTTATGTATTCAATTATTAAAAGTTAATTTCCGCCAGGCGCAGTGGCTCATGTCTGTAATCCCAGCACTTCGGGAGGCCAAGGCGGGCAGATTGCCTGAGGTCAGGAGTTTGAGAACAGCCTGGCCAACATGGCGAAACCCTGTCTCTACTAAAAATACAAAACTTAGCCGGGTGTAGTGGCGCATGCCTGTAATTCCAGCTATTCAGGAGGCTGAGGCAGAATTGCTTGAACCTGGGAGGCAGAGGTTGCAGTGAGCTGAAATCATGCCACTGCACTCCAGCCTGGACAACAGAGTGAGATTCCATCTCAAAAAAAAAAAAAAAAAGTTAATTTCCTGACTGGGCTCAGTGGCTCATGCCTGTAATCCCAGCACTTTGGGAGGCCGAGGCAGGTGGATCACCTGAGGTCAGGCGTTGGAGACCAGCCTGACCAATATGGTGAAACCCCATCTCTACTAAAAATACAAAAATTAGCTGGGCGTGGTGGCATGTGTCTGTAGTCCCAGCTATTCGGGAGGCTGAGACAGGAGAATTGCTTGAACCGGGGAGGTGGAAGTTGCAGTGAGCTGAGATCATGCCACTGCACTCCAGCCTGCGCAACAGAGCAAGACTCTGTCTCAAATAAATAAATAAATAAAATTTTAAAACTTAATTTCCTTTTCTTTCTTCCATAAATTACACTACATCCTATTGATTTTTTAAAGTGTATGCTTAGGTAGATTTTATTGCCTGTGAATTTATTTCATGCTTTTAAAGGGGAGGGCACATTACTATGTGTTATAAAAAGGGCGTATTTGATCTCACCGGTGGTGGGCTGAGAACCAGGGGAGTGGAAAGGGGTCGAGCAGGTCAGAGGTCAGGGCAGATGTGCCAATGAGCAGAGGCAAATGGAGGAAGGCATGAGCCATGAGCATGTCTGGGAAAGGCTTCTGGAAAAAGGGAACAGTGAGTGTCAGCTCATCTCCTGCAGGGAAAGAGGGAAGCACCATAAGGCCTTGTCAACTGTGGCCAGACCAGGAACTCTCTTCCCATCTCCTTGGTCAGTGCTGAGGATTCAGTGTTGAACTAGCAGGACAGGTGTGTCCCAGGGTCAGGACCAAGCAGGGAGAAACATCATCTGATTTCCTTTTTTTGAAACAGAGTCTCGCTCTGTCGCCCTGGCTGGAGTGCCGTGGCGCAATCACAGCTCACTGCAGCCTCGATCTCCTGGGTTCAAGCAATTCTCCCACCTCAGCCTCCTGAGTAGCTGGAATCACAGGCAGTTGTCACCATGCCTGGCTAATTTTATTTTTTTGGCAAAGATGAAGTCTCGCTGTGCTGCCCAGGTAGATCTCAAACTCCCGGGCTCAACCGATCCTCCCACCTTGGCCTCCCAAAGTGCTGGAATTACAGGTGTGAGCCACCATACCCGGCCCTTGATTTCCTTTTTTGTTTATTTTTTTATTTTTTGAGACAGAGTTTTGCTCTTGCCCAGGCTGGAGTACAATGGCGCCATCTGGGCTCACCGCAACCTCCACCTCCTGGGTTCATGCAATTCTTCTGCCTCAGCCTCTGGAGGAGCTGGGATGATGCCTGGATACCTTTTTGTATTTTTAGTAGAGACCGGGTTTCACCATGTTGGCCAGGCTGGTCTCAAACTCCTGACCTTGGGTGATCCACCCACCTTGGCCTCCCAAAGTGCTGGGATTACAGGTGTGAGCCACTACACCCGGCCCATTTCTTTTTTTTTTTTTTCTTTTTTGTGACAGAGTCTTGCTGTGTTGCTCAGGCTGGAGTGCAGTGGCACAATCTCAGCTCACCACAACCTCTGCCTCCCGGGTTCAAGCGATTCTCCTGCCTCAGCCTCCTGAGTAGCTGGGACTACAGGTGTGCACCACCATACCCAGCTAATTTTTATATTTTTAGTAGACACGGAGTTTCACTATGTTGGCCAGGCTGGTCTTGAACTCCTGACCTGGTGATCCACCTGCCTCGGCCTCCCAAAGTCCTGGGATTACAGGTGTGAGCCACTGAGCCTGGACCAATTTCCTTTTTTTCTTTTTAAAAAACAAAACAAAACAAAAAAACCTCACCACAGCTGCCTGATGGAGAATGCCTGGGAGATTACTGCAGGAGTCCAGCCATATTGTGACTTAGATCAGGGCAGAAGAGACGGTTGGATTTGTGATATATTTTCAAGGTCAGACCCACAGAATTTGCTGACAGAAGTGTGATTAAAAAAAAAAAATGCATGGTGGCACATACCTATAGTCCCAGCTACTTGAAAGACTGAGGCAGGAGGATGGCCTGAGCCCAGGACCTTGAGACTAGCTTGGACAACACAGTAAGACCCCCATCTCTTTAAAAAATAATTAAATTTAATAAGACTCCATCTCTTTAAAAAATAATTAAATTTAGTAAGACCCCCATCTCTTTAAAAAATAATTAAATTTGGTAAGACCCTCATCTCTTTAAAAAAAAATTAAATTTTAAAGTTAAAAAAAATTTTTAAAAAAATACTGCAGTCAAGCACCTACCCCTCCAGGAAAAGATGGTAGAGGGAGACAGCTGGCTAACCCACAGGGGATATTCAGGTTTCCAGTTAGAAGGTTATATTGAGAAAGGTTTCACATTTTGAAAACACAACAGATCTCTAAAAACACAAAAGATGAAAGGTTTTTTGAAAACTTACTAGTATATTTTTAAGTTGGGAGGTAGGTTTGAGGGGCAGGGGAACTGTTGTTATTGTTATGTTTTTTGAATTACATATATGTGACATATTTTCTCTTGTATGTGTTAAATATTACATAATAATACCTTTTGAAAAAGCTTGGCACTGACATCATTTGTGAACCTGGGGCTTTATTTCCTGGACAAAGCCAGAACTAGCCAGAGCATGGGCAGCCTCAGACAGGCAGCGGGAGGTCAAAGGAGCACCGCAGTGGGGAACAGGGCAGTAGCGCTGGACTTGGAGAATTCCCAAATTAATGTTTGCCCTGTGACCTCGGGCAGGTTCCTCCACTTCTCTAGACTCAGTATCCTCATCTAGAAAACAGGGACAATAATAGTGCCTCCTCCTACTAGTGCTGTGAGGACTCAGAAGAGGTAACAGGCCGGGCACGGTGGCTTACACCTGGAATCCCAGCAATTTGGGAGGCAGAGGCAGGAGGATTGGTTGAGCCCAGGAGTTCGAGACCAGCCTGGACAACATGGCAAAACCCTATCTCTTCTAAAAATATTAAAATTAGCTGGGCATGGTGGTACGTGCCTGTAGTCCCAGCTACTCGGGAGGCTGAGGCGGGAGAATCCCTTGAACGCAGGAGTTCAAGGCTGTGGGATTACACCATTGCACTCCAGCCTGAGCGACATAGTGAGACCTTGTCTCTATGTTAAATAAACAAAATTAGCCAGGCATGGTGGTGCACACCTGTGGTATCAACTACTAGAGGGGCTAAAGGGGGAGGATCACTTGAGCCCAGGGATTCAAGACTAGCCTGAGTAACATGGTGAAACTCCGTCTCCACAAAAAATACAAAAATTAATCAGGTGTGGTGGCACACACCTGTGGTCCCAGCCACTTGGGAGGCTGGGGTGGGGGAATCACTTGAGCCTGAGTGGCTGAGGCTGCAATGAACCATGATCATGCCACTGCACTCCAGCCTGGGTGACAGAGTGAGACCCTGTCTCAAAAAAAAAAAAAAAAGAGAGATCATATACACAAAACCTCTCACACAATGCCTGGCACATCGAGTCATGCTAACACAAGGTGATAGACGTTGCTTTAGTCATTGCAGTGGTACTTGAGGATAGAGTTAAAAGAAGGGGGTTGCCAGGCACGGTGGCTCAAACCTGTAATCCCAACACTTTGGGAGGCTGAGGCGGGTGGATCACCTGAGGTCAGGAGTTCGAGACCTTCCTGGCCAACATGGTGAAACTCCGTCTCTACTAAAAAGACAAAAATTAGCCAGGCATGGTGGGGGTGCCTGTAGTCCCAGCTACTCTGGAGGCTGAGGCAGGAGAATCACTTGAACCCAGGAGGCAGAGGTTGCAGTGAGCTGAGATCATGCCATTGCACTCCAGCCTGGGCGACAAGAGCAAGACTCTGTCTCAAACAAAACAAAACAAAAAGAAGGGGGTTGGTTGGTTGCTCTCGAAGAGCAGCTACCTTAGCATCAGGCACCCTAGAAGCGGTTGGACGCCCACCCTGGGGGTGTTGGAGAAGCTTCAGGTTTCGTACCTTCAGCCTTCTTCAAAGGTGTACGGCAGTTCAGCCCCTTCCATTACCTTCTTTCTACAGGCAGGACACAAATTCAATATTCCATCCTCCCCGAGGCCCCATGTTTTCTCCAGGAGGTCGGTTCATGTTGCACCTATAAGCAGGCTAAATGGGAAGCCATATTGTAAGGAGGAGGCTATTTGATGGGCAAGGGGAGCAGAGGGGTTGAGACTATTTCATTTAAAAATTGTTTGAGACAGCGTCCCGCTCTGTGACCCAGACTGGAGTGCAGTGGCGCGATTATGGCTTATGCACCCTCGACCTCCCAGTCTCAAGTGATCCTCCCACCTCAGCCTCCTGAGTAGCTGGGACCACAGGTACATGCTATCAGGCCCAGCTAATTTTTTTATTTTTTGTAGAGATGGGTCTCACTTTGTTGCCCAGGCTGGTCTCAAATTCCTGGGCTCAAGCGATCCTTCCGCCTAGGCCTTCCACAGTGCTGGGATTATAGGCGTGAACCATGGTGCCCGGCCAGATTGATACTATTTTAACTTGCGACTTTGGTCTCTTTCCCTTTCCCCTGGTCACGTCTGAGGACTCGGCCAGCTTATCTGGGGAGTCAGGCAGGAGGAAGAGACCTGTGTGGGCAGAGGATGGGTTCATACAGGGGACTGAGCAAACATGGTCCTCAAATTCTTCTGCAGCCTCAAACTCCTGGGCTCAAGAGATCCTCCCACCTCAGCCTCCCAAGTAGCTGGTACTACAGGCGTGTGCCACCATGCCTGGCAATAAAGTATGTTTTGACGGGCGAGAAAACTAAATCTCAGAAAGACAAAGTGACTTGCTCACAGTTATAAGCCATAAGGGATGGAGCAAGAATGGGAACCTAGATCTCTGAGACCCCAAAGTACAGGTTCTTCCCCTGGTACCATATTTGAGGTGCTCCTCTTCCTTCGCCCAAGGCACTTCCCCACACCCTGAGCCCCCTCATCCCACGGATGCTGGGAATATACTGGCCATGGTGACTCCTCCTCCCCCACTTCTGCGTGTGCCAGGCCTATCTTTGGTTGGAATCTTCGTCCCTTACCAATGCTAATGCCATCCTCAATGGCACCTTTGTGCTTAGACAGCTGGGCTGTGGCTGTAGCTACACTGTGATCTCTTTTTTTTTTTTTTTTTTTTTTGAGACAGAGTCTCGTTCTATCACCCAGGCTGGAGTCCAGTGGCGTGATCTCGGCTCACCGCAACCTCCACCTCCTGGGTTCAAGCAATTCTCCTGCCTCAGCCTCCTGAGTAGCTGGGATTACAGGCATGCACCACCATGCTCAGCTAATTTTTGTATTTTTAGTAGAGATGATGGGGTTTCACCATGTTGGCCAGGCTGGTCTCGAACTCCTGACCTCAAGTGATCCGCCCACCTCGGCCCCCGAAAGTGCTGGGATTACAGGCGTGAACCACTGCGCCCGGCCACCATGAGCTCATGATTAGAAATTAGATGTTGGTACACACCTCAATCACACCTCAGTCATCCTTGTACTCATAACTAACACAATAATAGGTGCTTCCCCTGAGAAGCTCCAGTGTAGTAAAGGACTTGAAAATCAACATAAATTTGAAAATGCTAAATCCTGAGATAGAAGCATGCTTGGGGTAGAGTGGGACACACAGGATGCAGGAAAGACTTCTGAGTAAAGAAGATATTTGGTCCATGAATATCTTGAAACAACATGCATATGATTTTGTGTCTGTGTGTTTCTTGCGCGAGAAAGTCCATGATCTTTATCAGATTCTGCAAACGATCGACAGCTCATTAAGCAGAGTCTGGGCCAGAGATTGAGAAGGCTAAGGGGCCAGGGCATGGAGATGGGGTAGCATGAAAGAGTCTGGACGTACAAGAAGGACAAGGGCCACCACTCGGAGGAGCACGGACGTCACTCTTAGGGCAATAGACAGTTATTGCCTAGGTGGGTCTCGGTTTTACTCATGGCCTGTGTCATGTAACCCTCAGAGTTCTGGTAAGTCTCATCATATCTAAGGGACACAATGAATAGCCGAGAACAAGCTTCCTACAAACATCAGGGGAGGCCTCTCACAGGCAATCTACTGGGTCTCAAAGCATGAAGAGGAATTTGCCCGGCAAATGTTTTAATCAGAAAGACTCTAAGCTGTAAGTTACAGAAATTCCTCAGAATGGCCTTAAATCCTGTGGCATGCCTGTAAATGTTTAATAACCAGCTCTTAAGGAGGGATACCTGATTGGTAGTAATTACCAATTTCTGTGGTGTAAATACTGCCCCCATGGCCTCTTTCTTTCTTTCTTTCCTTCCTTCCTTCCTTCCTTCCTTCCTTCCTTCCTTCCTTCCTTCCTTCCTTCCTTCCTTCCTTCCTTCCTTCCTTCTTTCTTTCTTTCTTTCTTTCTTTCTTTCTTTCTTTCTTTCTTTCTTTCTTTCTTTCTTTCTTTCTTTCTTTTCTTTTTCTATTGAGACAGAGTCTGGCTCTGTCACCCAGGCTGAAGTGCAGTGGTGCGATCTCGGCTCACTGCAACCTCTGCCTTCTGAGTTCAAGTGTTTCTCCTGCCTCAGCCTCCTGAGTAGCTGGGATTACAGGCACCCACCACCATGCCCAGCTAATTTTTGTATTTTTAGTAGAGACGGGGTTTCGCCATGTTGGCCAGGCTGGTCTCTAACTCCTGACCTCAGGTGATCCACCCACCTCCCGAAGTGCTGGGATTACAGGTGTGAGCCACCGTGCCCAGTCCCCCCCATGGCCAATTTCAAGCTACCAATGTGAGGTCACTGAAGAAGTATGCCCAATTGGCTCACATGGGCATGGTGAGTGGCTCTAGCACACCACCACTTCAATCCCATTGACTGTAAGAATCTTGGTCTCAGCCAGGCATGGTGGCTCACACCTGTAATCCCAAAACTTTGGGAGGTCGAGGCGGAAGGATTGCCTGAGCCCAGGAGTTGGAGACCAGCCTGGGCAACATAGTGAAATCACTGTCTCTACAAAATTTTTTAAAAAATTAGCCAGGTGTGGTGGCACGTGCCTGTAGTCCCAGCTACTCAGGAGGCTGAGGTGGGAGGATCACTTGAGCCTGGGAGGTGGAGATTGCAGTGAGGTATGATCATGCCACTATACTCTAGCCCGGGTGACAGAGTGAGACCCTATCTCGAAAAAAAAAAAAAAAACCAAAAAACAAAAACGAAGAATCTTGGTTTCATAGGGACCAAGACTAGAGATGCTGCTGGGATCTCAGGACTGGACTGGAAGCAGGAACTGGTGTGTTTCAGTAGCCCTAGGCCACCCTTCTCTCTCTCTTTATTCGCATTCCTATGGGGTCATTCTGTCTCCTGTTCTGGCAGATTGACTTTCTCTGCTCCCCAGTCCACAGAACAAAGAATTGCTATTGCTAACACTATCCAGGTTTTCATGTCCCTCCTGAGAAAAAAGAAGCCAGACCAAAGCTTGGCCTCTTTTAGTCCCAACTTCAAACTCCCTAAGAAGGAGCCCATTGGTGCCTCCTGGTAAGTGTCCAACCAGCTGTGACTAGAGGGCTGGATGTTATTCCAATTTGGCGACCAAGACCTTGGGTTCTATAACCATAGGGTGTGGGGGCGGGGAAGTGGGAAGTAGTAATCAGAGAAAAAAGAAGCGAGATCTGAGTAACCAACTCATTAGGGATCTGGCCTGCAGAAAATGGGGGAAATTAATAATATAATATTTCACAGTATCTACTCTAGTCTTTTGAACTATCCATCCAGGTAGTCACTAATTCATTCATTTATATTCATTCAAGAATGCATTCAGCCTTAATTTGACATTTTTTTAAAACTTTTTTTTTTGAGACAGGGTCTCACTTTGTCACTCAGGCTGGAGTGCAGTGGCATGAGCATAGCTCAGAGCAGCCTCAATCTCAACCTCCTGGGCTCAAGCGATCCTCCTGCCTCAGCCTCCTGTGTAGCTGGGACCACAGACACACGCTACTATGCTCCGCTAATTTTTTAATCTTTTGTGGAGATAAGGTCTCACTTTGTTGCCCAGGCTGGTCTCAAACTCCTCAACTCAAGCGATCCTCCCACCTCGGCCTCCCAAAGTGCTGGGATTATAGGTGTGAGCCACTGCACCCAGCCTATTTTGACATTTATTAAATATATATTCTATATTAGAAATTTTGGCCCAGGCGTGGTGGCTTACGCCTGTAATTCCAGCACTTTGGAAGACCGAGGCGGGCGGATCACCTGAGGTCAGGAGTTCGAGACCAGACTGACCAACATGGAGAAATCCTGTCTCTACTAAAAATAAAAAATTAGCCGGGCGTGATGGCACATGCCTGTAATCCCAGCTACTCGGGTGACTGAGGCAGGAGAATCGCTTGAACCTGGGAGGAGGAGGTTGCGGTGAGCCGAGATCACGCCATTGCACTCCAGCCAGAGTGAGACTCTGTCTTAAAAAAAAAAAAAAGAAAAAGAAAGAAATTCTAGGGGCTAAAAACGAAAGGAAAGATGAACAAGATTTAGTCGCTGCCCTCAAAGAGTTTGCAATCTGGAAATAAGGCAAAGCATCAATAATACAACATGGAAAAAGTTTTGCAGGAAGTAGGTAGATAGGGCTGATCCCCAGAGGACTCAACGGGGAGCTGTGGAAGGCAGCCTCCAAGATGGCCCCAGGGATCCTTATCTTCTGTGTTGGTCCTTTCTCCCATACCACACCCTGTTTGCAATTCCTGGGCCTCATCTGCTCCCTATTCCTGGTACCACTGCTCCTGACGCTTGAAAAATGCATACCTGGAGATCAAGGTCGGTGTCCACCCCCCACAGCGATTGGGTCCAAGGAGAACACATGTCCCTCTATGGACCAATCAGAGTCTGCGAGGCAGAGCCCAGGACTTAGGCTGAAACTATGGGAAAGGAACATCATTTGCACTTAGGAAAAAGCCGGAGCTGCTGGTGGCAAACTGCTTCCGTGGAGGGAGAGGCTGCCTAATGTGGAGGAAAGCAAAGCCCAGAGGTGGGCAGAGGGGCCTCCTCACGCATCGCTTCAGCACTGTGCTTCGTACACGGAAGTTTCTACTTAACGCCAGCCAGAGTTGGTAACTTGGCTTGGGTTCCCAGAAACCTTGAGGTAAAGGCCTGTTTGATCCTACTCTATAAGTGAGGGCCATCGCAGAGAGCACCGAGGAGAGACCATGGGAGAGAGGAGAGAAGGAACCATAGTGGCTATGAGGCTCCTCCTCTTGAAAGTCCATTGAGGATGAAAAGGGCCAGAATGTATCCACTTTCCCCATCTCCCATCAGTCAAAGGTTTGCTTCATGGCGCATTAACTCCCCGCCACCCTCACCCCGGCAGGTTGCCGGCTAATTCCTTTGCAGGGACTGCTGGCAGCCCTGGAACTGACAGGCAGGAATTAAACAAGTAACTGCAAGGTGGTGAGGGTTTTGAAGAAATAGCACAGGGTGGCCAGAAGCACTGGCTCATGCCTGTAATCCCAGCACTTTGGGAGGCCAAGGGTGGCAGATCATTTAAGGTCAGAAGTTCGAGACCTGCCCTGGCCAACAAGGTAAAACCCTGTCTCTACTAAAAATACAAAAATTAACCGGGCATGGTGGTGCGCCAACAAGGTGAAACCCCATCTCTACTAAAAAATATAAAAACTTAGCCGGGCGTGGTGGTGCATGCCTGTAGTTCCAGCTACTTGGGAGGCTGAGGCAGGAGAATCGCTTGAACCCGGGAGACGGAGGTTGCAGTGAGCTGAGATGGTGCCACTGCACTCCAGCAAGGCAGATCACAGTAAGCCAAAGTGAGACTGAAAAAAAGAAAAGAAAGAAAGAAGGAGGGAAGGAAGGAGAGAGAGAGAGAAAGAAAGAAAAAGAGAGAAAGAAAGCGAGTACAGGGTATTCTGGGCACAGGTCAGGAAAGGCCTTCTAAAGAGGTGGCAAGTCCAGATGCTAACCCAAAGGAAGAGTAGACATCAGCCAGGCCAAGGGGTGCAGACAGGGAAGAGCCATCGGGAAGTGAAAACCACACATGGGAACCCTTGAGGCCAGAAAGAGCACGTGTGTTTGCGGAACTAAAAGAAGGCGGGCATTGCAGCAGCATTCAGAGCAAGGCAGATCACAGTGAGCATTTATAGAGCACCAAGTATATACACACGGACGTAGCCACTTATTGTTTGAGCTGCCCTGCCCCTTCTCCCTTTTTTTCTGGGAACTGTGCCTTCTTCCTTCCTGCCCGGGCACATGGTTACCATAGGAACAGCCCTCTGGCCGTTGAATGGACTAGAGGTGAACACCTCACTGAGGCGGAACAATCAGAGCCTAGGCCTGAGGAGACTGGGGAGGTCGGGGCCCAGACGGTGATTGAGGCTGTCAATGCAGGGCTGGGCAAGTTGCACGTTAACTCAGGATATGTTGGCAGCCAGGTTTTCAGTGGACCAGGAAGCAATGAAAGACACTTCTGCAGAGGTGTTAATGAGGCAGGCAGGGAGATGAGGAAATGTGAGAGAGCCTGGTACCCAGTCATCCTAGACGTGGCTGCATCCCTGCCCTGGAGCTGCTTGAAACAAAGCTCGCTTGTTGCTTAAACTGCATCCAGTGGGTTTCTGTCAGTTTCCTAACAAAACAAGTCCTAACTCATACCTTACCAAGTGCTAGGGCTTTATAGATGCATAAATACGGCAGGGTCTCTGCCCTGAAGAAGGTTATAAACCAATGGGAAGACAGACATGTACACTAAACATTAACTACAGGGTGATAAGTGCTATAATAAAAGTTTGTCCAAAGTAGGGAGGTTGTGCAGAGATAAGATAACAAATGTAAAAGGATTTCGAAAAGAAAAATGTGTTATGTAAGTCCCCTAGAATTATGCTTATGCAATTCAATTGATTTCTACTTTCAATTTAATCGAGAACACAGCTACTTCACTTTCAGAATTACGCTGTTTTATAAGGTAGTGCTGGCCTGTAATCTGGCAATGGGTAAATTATCCAGGGTCTCATGCTTTTATTTCGTCATTTGTGTTTGGCGAGTGGATAGATAAATAACCTTGCAGTTTCCCAGAGAATCAGGAAACATTTGACAGTTTGCCCTTGCAGCCTGTGTTGCAATTTTCGTTTTTGTTTTTGTTTTTCCCTGAAACAGAGTCTCACGCTGTCGCCCAGGCTGGGGTGCAGTGGCACAATCTTGGCTCACTACAACCTCCGCCTCCTGGGTTCAAGCGATTCTCATGTCTCAGCCTCCCAAATAGCTGGGATTACAAGCATGCACCATCATGCCTGGCTAATTTTTGTATTTTTAGTAGAGATGGGGTTTTGCCATGTTGGCCAGGCTGGTCTCGAACTCCTGTCCTCAAGTGATCTGCCTGCCTCAGCCTTTCGAAGTGGTGGGATTACAGGCGTGAGCCACCGCGCCTGGCCCCTGTGTTGCAATTTCCTGCCCTGCCTGCATCAACCTCTCCTTGACTCCATGAAATGAAACGTCTGCTGACGCACTAAAATAAAATCTTGCAAGTGAATCACTGATTGAGTTTGCTGATTGACATACATACCATTGCCATGTTAACCACATGATGGTAACATTATGTCTGGAGAGAAGGTGTGACCGTTTCCACCTATACAATCTTCAAAATCATCCCATTCAAGGGTGCTTCCTAATGTTCGAATAATTTATGAAAGAATAATGATATCTTATTGAGAAATACCTTCCCTGTACCCTCATCACAGGGAGACACCTGTTTATTCCTGTTGGGTTTTTTTTTTCTTTTTTTTTTTTTTAGATTTAGAGAGGGTCTTGTTCTGTTACACAGGCTGGAGTGTAGTGGTATAATCACAGCTCACTGCAACCTCAACCTCCTGGACCCAAGTGATCCTCCCATCTCAGCCTCCCAAGTAGCTGGGACTACAGGCAGGCACCACCACTTCCAGCTCCTTTTTTCTTGTAGAGATGGGGTCTCGCTATGTTGCCCAGACTGGTCTCCAACTCCTGGCTTGGAGTGATCCTCCCACCCCAGCCTCCCAAAGTGCTGTAATTACAGGCATGAGCCACGGTGCTTGACCCTCCTGCCAAGTTTTTGATGGTGGAAATGACAACACAGGGTGTGCTTTGGTGTCAAGATGACCTAGGTTCAAATCCCAGTTGTACTGATGGCCAGCTGTGTGGTCTTGGGCAACTTAACCTACCAGAGCTTCAGTCTCCTCATCTGTTGAAGAAAAAAAAAAAAACACTTGACAAAGGATGAGTGGTAGGTGGAGAAGATGATGGAATCAGGTAGCGCTCCAAGGGTTAGATGGGAGAAGGTGAGGCTGGGCGTGGTGGCTCATGCCTGCAATCCCAGCACTTTGGGAGGCCGAGGCGGGCGGATCACCTGAGGTCAGGAGTTCGAGACCAGCCTGGCCAACATGGCGAAACCCCACCTCTACTAAAAATACAAAACTTAGGGGGTCATGGTGGCGCACGCTGGTGATCCCAGCTACTCGGGAGGCTGAAGCAGGAGAATCGCTTAAACCCGGGAGGCAAAGGTTGCCGTGAGCCAAGATCTTGCCACGCTACTCTAGCCTGGGCAACAGAGCAAGACTCCGTCTCAAAAAAAAAATTGAGAAGATGAGTAAGCATAAAAAAGTTGTTAGTTTCTTCTCCTGTATCCTGGAGTCCCAGATTATATGGGAAAGGCTGGGAGGGCAGTACTTCCTTTCCAGCCGAGGTCATCTCCTAGGGATCAGAATCTGATCGAGTCAATTACATTTCATGAGAATGGCAGGTTTCTGAAGACTTTATCATTTACAACTCAAAAACTCAGGAATAATTTCTCATAAGAATAACTCTACAGTTGGGGGCATGATCCTTAGAACACAAATTCTACTGCCATTGTAGTATTGTTTTGCTTTCGTTGAGCCTTTGCTCTCTGCATCACTGCTAGTATTTTGCAAAATGCTCACACATAAATTACAACAAGTGCTCTCACAGGGATCGGAGCACTTCCTCGCAGCACTTTGTCTCAGCTAACCATTCTGCAGAAGTGATTACAACACTGATGATGCGCTTGTTAGCTGGAGCATGTCCGGGACCACTCAATGAAGCTCCACATGCCTGAGTCCCAGCACACCTGGACGCTGCTGTTCCCAGTGGCTGACTTGGGATAGGATGTATATTTCTGTTTACCTGCTAGAGTGGTACCACCCCGTGGGACCATCATAAACAGTGTACAATTCAGAGTTCCACCAATTTTGAAATGAAGGGATTCTTTTTTTCTTCTTCTTTTTTTTTTTTTTTTTGAGATGGAGTCTCACTCTTGTCACCCAGGCTGGAGTGCAATGGTGCCATTGTGGCTCACTGCGACCTCTGCTTCGCAGGTTCAAGCGATTCTCCTGCCTCAGCCTCCCAAGTAGCTGAGACTACAGGTGTGCACCACCATGCCTGGCTAATATTTGTATTTTTAGTAGAGACAGGGTTTCACCATTTTGGCCAGGCTGGTCTCGAACTCCTGACCTCAAGTGATCTGCCCACCTAGGCCTCCCAAAGTGCTGGGATTACAGGCATGAGTCACTGTGCCTAGCCAAGGAAAGGAAATTTATACCTCAAAAAAGAAGTGGAGTGCCACTGAGTTATGCTTTCTAGAAAAAAAAAAGTGAAGGCCGGGTGCAGTGGCTCACACCTGTAATCCCAGCACTTTGGGAGACCGAGGCAGGCGGATCACAATGTCGAGACCATCCTGGCCAACATGGTGAAACCCCATCTCTACTAAAAATACAAAAATTAGCTGGGCGTGGTGGTGCTCACCTCTAGTCCCAGCTACTTGGGAGGCTGAGGCAGAAGAATCGCTTGAACCCAGAAGGCGGAGGCAGCAGTGAGTTGAGATTGTGCTACTGCAAAATTTGCTGGGATTACAGTCGTGAGCCACCATGCCCGGCCTCATTTTAGCCTTTTTAAAGAAGTTTGCAGCTCATGCTTCAAGGAGGAGCAGTGGAAAGGCAATCATACAGGCCGGGTGTGGTGGCTCACTCCTGTAATCCCAACACTTTGGGAGGCTGAGGCGGGAGGATCACTTGAGCCCATGAGTTCCAGACCAGCCTGAGCAACATACCAGGACCCAATCTTTACTTTAAAAAAAAAAAAAAAAAAAAAAAAAAAGGAATGCTGGGTGTGGTGGCGCACGCCTGTAGTCCCAGCACTTTGGGAGGCCGGTGCGGGTGGATCACCTGAGGTCGGGAGTTCGAGACCAGCCTGACCAACATGGTGAAACCCCGTCTCTCTTAAATACATAAAATTAGCCAGGTGTGGTGGCACATGCCTGTAATCCCAGCTACTTGGGAGGCTGAGGCAGGAGAATCACTTGAATCCAGGAGGTGGAGGTTGCAGTGAGCTGAGATCGTGCCACTGCACTCTAGCCTGGGCAACAGAGTGAGACTCCATCTCAAAAATAATAATAAAATAAACAAAAAATAAATTTAAAAATGTTTTTAAAAAAGGAGCCAGGTGTGGTGGTGCACACCTGTAGTTCCAGCTACCCAGGACACTAAGATGGGAGGAACACTTGAGCCCAGGAGTTCAAGGCTGCAGTAAGCCAAGATTGTGCCCCTGCACTCCAGCCTAGGCAACAGAGCGAGACTCCATCTCAAAAATAAATAAAAACTTTTTTAAAAAAGAAAGGCAATCGTACATCTTATGGGGTTTGCTTCCAGAAGGAGCCCCACTCTGGCCAGGTTTGCCCCAGGCTTCCTAAAGGAGGCCCACTTCCTCACATATAAATGAGGGGCCTACACTTGTCCTTGGAAACTCACCCCCAATTTCTTTCATCAACTAGGGTCTTCCCAAGCTGCTTCTGCAGCTCAGCAGTGGGTACTTCCAAGGCCCGTGCACATGGCCCCTGAGCAATCTCTCTTTTCATCCTAATTCCCCTCCCCAGGTAACTCAGGGTGGTGCTTTTTCAAGTGGGATCAGCAGCCATATTCCTGGGGATTTATAAGCTGTGCCAGAAGTTTTGAATGTTGTGTTTTCATTTTTGGGTTATCTGGGTTACTACCCCAGAACTCTTGTGCCTTGCACGGTTTTGGGTTTTTTTGTTTGTTTGTTTGTTTGTTTTGAGACCTATTCTTCCTTTGTTGCCCAGGCTGGATTGCAGTGGCATGATCTCGGGTCACTGCCACCTTTGCCTCCTGGATTCAAGCAATCCTTCCGCCTCAGCCTCCTAAGTAGCTGGGATTACAGGCACGCTCCCAGCTAATTTTGGTATTTTTAGTAGAGACGGGGTTTCACCATGTTAGCCAGGCTGATCTCAAACTCCTCACTTCAAGTTCGAGCCTCCCAAAGTGCCTCAGCCTCCCAAAGTGCTGGGATTACAGGCATGAGCCACTGCACCCAGCCTGCAGGATTTTATTTTATTTTATTTTATTTTATTTTATTTTATTTTATTTTATTTTATTTTATCCTTCCCATGAGTGCTCAGGATTTTAAAACCTGCTTTTCCATTTGGGTTAAGATCCTGTTCGCGGCACATGAGTCAGTGTGCAGTATCACTAAAGGCAAACATTTCACCAGAGTTCAAATGCAAAAAAATGGCAAGAGAGTTGTGTGGTCCTGTGAGATGAATTTTGCAACTTCCACCTTCTTCCCATCCAAACTACAATCTGCATTAGCAGTCAGTGTGTTAGTAAATAAACAGTAAAGAAATTTCATTTAATATTTTCTGTATTATATTTTGGGAGTATATGATTAAATTGATTGGCTCATTAAAATAACGGATAGGTGGTTGAAAGAGTTTATTGTTCACATCCAGAAAAAAAATCAATAGTGATTATGTCAGTGACTCAAATAAAGATCCATTATCGAAAAAAAAACAAAAAACTGAGAAAAATCAAGTTGAAAATACATCTTTCTTCCATTAAACCACACATCAGTGATTCGCTTCGATTCCATTTCAGTAAAACATCATCCATCCATCAGGTTGATTTAATGTTGTTAACTTTAGTTCATGAGTTTTTGTTTGTATTTTTAAGTTTATTCTAGTTTAAAAAGCTGAGGCAGAATGGGAGCTTTTTTTTTTTTTTTTTTTTTGAGACAGAGTCTCACTTTGTCGCCCAGGCTGGAGTACAGTGATGTGATCTCAGTTCACTGCAACCTCTGCCTCCCAGGTGCCTCAGCCTTGCGAGTAGCTGGGGCTACATGTGCACACTACCACATCTGGCTAACTTTTTGTATTTTTAGTAGAGATGGTGTTTCACCATGTTGGCCAGGTTGGTCTCGAACTCCTGGGCTCAAGTGATCCACCTACTTCAGACTTCCAAAGTGCTGGCATTACAGGTGTGAGTCATTGCACCTGGCCAGAATATGAACTTTTAAAATATGGAAGTTTAAGTTTTATTTTTCTTCCTTCTCTTCACTGCCTTGGTGTAGGATTCAACCTGATCCGGGAAGGGAATCCCCCACACCCTCGCTGCCTCCCATCCCAATCACACACTGGTGTAAATAGTTCCTTTCCTTTCCAGTAGCATGTGAAGAATTAGTCCCTCCAGCCCTAGGGGAAGGGAAACCAGTTTCCAATGGGCAATGACTTAGCAGTCAGTTTTATTGGGCCATCAGGATCTCCCAGGAAAGAAAGGAGAGTCAGGCCTTTGTGTGAAGCGAGGAAGAGGGGAAGAGGGAGGGACTTTGAGAGGCACTGTTGAGAGCCACATCAGCTTCCAGAGACCCTGGGAGCAGCTCCTGTTGGTCTGCACACAGGATGGAGTCAGGTTTTCACCAGGGACTGCCTAGCTGGGGTAACAGCCAGCCACGCCACAAGACTGTCCTGTCCCATCTGGCTCCAAAGTGTGGACTCTTCTTTGAAATACTCCAGGACCCCTGAGAGCCCCGAGGCTATGTCTGGTTAGCCAGTGGTGGGGACAGGAGGAGGCCCCTTGCACTCCCGCAAGCTGGGATGATATGCTCAATCTGGAGGCCCCCAGTCTGGGACAGTGACTGGGGAGGACCCCGTCAGGAAAACCATGAGTAGTGTGTGATGGAGCAGGGTGTGAGGTGCTAAGGGAATCTGGAGGCCGGGACTGTCTGCTGTTGCTAAGAAAGCGAGGACAGGGGTGTGAGCATCAGGGAGGCTGCCCCTTCTCTATTCCTCCTGCCAGTCTCTTTCTCTAGATGGGCTGACCACGCCAGAAAGCCAGCAGGCCAAGTAGTCTGGAATGCGGTTTTCAGAGTCCCAGCCCCAGAGCAAGTGGACAGGTGAACTTGGGGATGACAGACACTAGGTCAGTGACCACCTGGCTACTCCAATTCTGGCTGATTGAAGCTGAAAAGCAATGTACCAAAGGCTACTGGGCATCTCACAGAACTAGTTTAAGAACCCAGATCAGAGGCTGGGCGCAGTGGCTCACGCCTGTAATCCCAGCACTTTGGGAGGCCGAGGCAGATGGATCACCTGAGGTCAGGAGCTCAAGACCAGCCTGGCCAACATGGTGAAACCACATCTCTACTAAAAATACAAAAATTGCTGGGCGTAGTGGCTCATACTTGCATTCCCAGCACTTTGGGAGACCAAGGTGAGCAGATCACTTAAGGTCAGGAGTTGGAGACCAGCCTGGCCAACATGGTGAAACCCCGTCTCTACCAAAAATATAAAAAATTGACTGGGTGCTGGGCACGGTGTTTCACGCCTGTAATCCCAGCACTTTGGGAGGCCAAGGCAGGCGGATCATTTGAGGTTGGGAGTTCAAGACCAGCCTGACCAACATAGAGAAACCACGTCTCTACTAAAAATACAAAATTAGCTGGGCATGGTGGCCCTTGCCTGTAATCCCAGCCACTTCGGAGGCTGAGGCAGAAGAATCGCTTGAACCCGGGAGGCGGAGGTTGCGGTGAGCCGAGATCAAGCCATTGCACTCCAGCCTGGCCAACAAGAGCAAAACTCCATCTCAAAAAAAAAAAAAAATGACCGGGCATGGTGGCTCACGCCTGTAATCCCAGCACTTTGGGAGGCCAAGGAGGGTGGATCATGAGGTCAGAAGTTCAATACCAGCCTGGCCAAGATGGTGAAACCCTGTCTCTACTAAAAGTACAAAAATTAGCCGGGCATGGTGGCAGTCGCCTGTAATCCCAGCTACTCAGGAGGCTGAGGCAGAAGAATTGCTTGAACCCGGGGGGTAGACGTTGCAGTGAGCCGAGATCGTGCCTCTGCAGTCCAGCCTGGGCAACAGATTGAGACTCTGTCTCGAAAATATATGTGTGTATATACATACACACATATATATGTGTGTATATATATGTGTGTGTATATATACACAGATGTGTATATACACAAATATGTGTGTGTATATATATACACAGATGTGTATATACACAAATGTGTGTGTATATATACACACAGATGTGTATATACACAAATATGTGTGTGTATATATACACACAGATGTGTATATATACACACAGATGTGTATATACACAAATATGTGTGTATATATAATATATATAAATATAAATATAATATATAATATATAAATATATAATATATGTGAATATATATAATATATGTAAATATATATTATATATAAATATATAATATATAATATATACATATTATATAAAAATATATATTATATAAAATATATATTATATATATTATATAAAATATATATTATATAATATAGAAATATATATTATATATAAATATATATAATATAGAAATATATATAGTATATAAAAATATATATAATATATAAATATATAAATATAATATATAATATATAAATATATAATATATAAATGTATAATATATAATATATAAATATATAATATATAAATATATATAATATATAATATATAAACATATAATATATAAATATATATAATATATAAATATATATAATATATAAATATATAATATATAAATATATAATATATAAATATATATAATATATATAATATATAAATATATAATATATATAATATATAATATATAAATATATAATATATATAATTAATATATAAATATATAATATATATAATATATAATATATAAATATATAATATATATTATATATATATAAATAAATAATATATATAATATATATAAATATATAATATATAATATATAAATATATAATATATAAATATATAATATATAAATATATTATATATTTATATAATATATAATATATAAATATATTATATATTTATATAATATATAATATATTTATATATTATATAATATATAATTTATAATATATTTATATATTATATAATATATAATATATAATATATAAATATATAATATATAAAAATATATATTATATATTATATATCATATATTAATATAATATATCATATATTAATATATATTATATATCATATATTATATATAATATATAATATATTCTATATATAATATATATAGAATATATTATATATTATATGTAATTATAAATATATTATCATAAATATATATGATATATAATATATATAATATAATATATAATATAATATATATATATAAATATATTTAGCTGGGTGTGGTGGCAGGTGCCTGTAATCCCAGCTGCTCGGGATGCTGAGGCAGAAGAATTGCTTGAACCCAGGAGGTGGAGTTTGCAGTGAGCTGAGATAATGCCACTGCACTCCAGCCTGGGCAACAGAGCCAGACTCCATCTAAAATAAATAAATAAATAAATAGATAAAATTAAATAAAAAATTAGCCTGGACTGGTGGCACGTGCCTGTAGTCCCAGCTGCTTGGGAGGCTGAGGCAGGAGAATCACTTGAACCTGGGAGGTGGAGGTTGCAGTGAGCCGAGATCACACCACTCCACTCCAGCGTGGCAGCCTGTGAGACAGACAGAACAAGACTAGGTATCAAAAAAAAAAAAAAGAAAGAAAAAGGAAAGAAACCAGATCAGAAATTAGATGGCTGGGCACACTGGCTCTTGCCTGTAATCCCAACACTATGGGAGGCCAAGATGGGAGGATTGCTTGAGGCTAGGAGTTCAAGGCCAGCCTGGGCAACATAACAAGAACCCCCACCCCACCCCCCACCGCCTACCGCCCCAGCACCACCTGTTTCTACAAAAATAAGATAAATTGGGTGGGAACCACAGCCCAGATCCAGACCAGTAAGGACACCACTGCCATCTAGCTGTTGCTGCCATGGTGTGGTGGATTCTATTATTATTTTCCAGAAAGGATTCCTTCTCTCTCCCCATTTTGTGTTTCCCTGTGGGCAGAGTATATTGCCCTGCCCCCACTGACTTTGGGTTGGCTGTGTGACTTGCACATACTGATGGGGGATGGGCAAAGTGACCTTGTACCTGTTCTGAGCAGAGAGCTCGGGAGACATCCTGGGTTCCTGCCCCTGCTCTTGCACTCCTGCCGTCTTGGATGAGAAGGGCATACCCCAGGTAGCTGGCTGCTCCTTCAGCCTGGGGTCTGCAATAAGACACGTGGATCACACCTGAACCCAATCTACAGTCTGGAGCCCTGCCCATCAGATTCCAGCAGAAGCCACCAATCAGCCGACCACCCACAACTGATGCCCAGAACTGTGAGAAACGCATGCTTGTTGTTGGAAGCCCCTGAGATTTGGGGGTGTTTGTTATCACAACAAAAGCTGACAGAAAATACAAAAAATACATGTGACCAGCTTTAAGAATCTCTCCAGGCCAGGTGTGGTGTCTCATGCCTGTAATCCCAGCACTTTAGGAGGCCGAGACGGGTGGATCACTTGAACCCAGGAGTTCAAGACCAGCCTGGCCAACATGGTGAAACCCCATCTCTATAAAAATACCAAAATTAGCCAGGCATGGTGGCACGCACCTGTAATCCCAGCTACTCAGAAGACAGGCAGGAGAATCACTTGAACCCAGATGGAGGTTGTAGGGAGCCGAGATCGCGTCACTGCACTCCAGCCTAGGGGATAGTGCGAGACTGTGTCTCCAAAAATAAAAATAAAAAATAAATACAAAAATTAGCCAGGTGTGGTGGCACACGCCTGTAATCCCAGCTACACGGGAGGCCAAGGCAGGAGAATTGCTTAAACCTGGGAGGTGGAGGTTGCAGTAAGCCGAGATCGCGCCACTGCACTCCAGCATAGGTGACAGAGCAAGACTCCATCTTGAAGAAAAGAAAGAAAAAAGAATCTCTCCTACTCCTGCTGCTTTGCATCCCTGGCTCCAGATGCAAAATCCTATGTGGCTGTACCCCATTGGCCAAGCCCAGGTCATGCATCTGTGCAGCACCTGCCAGGGAGACTGAGAAAGTGTGTATTGGGTGTTTTCATTTTCTGTAGAAGGGGGTGGGCTGCATCCCTCCCTGGCCCAGTGAGACTCATGGGGTGGGTGGACGGTGCTGAATGGTGTCCTCCAGGAATTCATGTCTGCCCAGAACCTCAGAATGTGACCTTATTTGGAAGCAGGGCCTTTGCAGATGTAATTAGTTAAGTTAAAATGAGGTCATACTGAATTAGGGTAGGCCCTAATCCAATAACTGATGTCCTTATAAGAAGAGAAAACAGAGACACAGAGAGATACACAGGGAGAAGGCCACGTGATGACAGAGGCAGAGACTGGAGTGATGTCTCCCAGCCAAGGGATGCCGAGGATTGCTGGCACCCACCAGAAGCGGGGAGAAGCATGGGATAGATCCTTCCTACAGCCTTCAGCGAGTGCATGGCCCTGCTGACACCTGGAGTTGAGACTTTTAGCCTCCAGAACTGTGAGCGAGCTGAATTCTATTGCTTCACGCCACCCAGTTCGGGGCGCTTTGTGACAGCAGCCCTGGGAAATGAATACAGTGGGCAGATCCTCAAGTATAGGAAGGAGGTGACAAGGGAAGTCATCCCTTGACCCCCATAGAAAAAGATATGTTGGCCGGGCACAGTGGCTCACCCCTATAATCCCAACACTTTGGGAGGCCGAAGCGGGCAGATCACGAGGTCAGGAGATTGAGACCATCCTGGCTAATATGGTGAAACCCCATCTTTACTAAAAATACAAAAAATTAGCCAGGTGTGGTGGCAGGTGCCTGTAGTCCCAGCTACTTGGGAGGCAGAGGCAGGAGAATCGCTTGAACCCGGGAGGTGGGGGTTGCAGTGAGCCGAGATTGCACCATTGCACTGCAGCCTGGCGACACAGCAAGACTGTCTCAAAAAAAAAAAAAAAAAGTTACATTTTGTTTTCCTATACATATTTCAGTAATATTCTGAAACAGTAATTCAAGGGAAGGACTCTTGGATGTTTCTTCTTTTAAAGCAGTCTGTTTCTTCCTTTAAAGCAGGTGGTGGCATGCCCCTCTAATCCCAGCACTCTGGGAGGCTGAGGCAGGAGGATCACTTGAGCCCAGGAGTTTAAGGCTGCAGGGAGCGATGATCACACCACTGCACTCTAGCCTGGATGACAGGGAGACCCTGTCTCTAAAAAAATTAAAAATTGGGCCACGTGTGGTGGCTCACGCCTGTAATGCCAGCACTCTGGGAGGCCAAGGTGGGCGGATCATGAGGTCAAGAGATGGAGACCATCCTGGCCAACATGGTGAAACCCCGTCTCTACTAAAACTACAACACAAATTAGCTGGGTGTGGTAGCGCACACCTATAGTCCCAACTACTTGGGAGGCTGAGGCAGGAGCATCACTTGGACCCAGGAGGCAGAGGTTGCAGTGAGCCAAGATCGTGCCACTGCACTCCAACCTGGCGATAGAGCCAGACTCTGTCTCAAATAAATAAATTAATTAATTGGCCGGGCACAGTGGCTTATGCCTGTAATCCCAGCACTTTGGGAGGCTGAGGCAGGCGGATCACTTGAGGTCAGGAGTTCGAGACCAGCCTGGCCAACATGGCAAAACCCTGTCTCTACTCAAAATACAAAAAAAAATTAGCTTGGTGTGGTGGTGCATGCTTGTAGTCCCAGCTACTTGGCAGTCTGAGGCATGAGAATTGCTTGAACCTGGGGCAGAGGTTGCAGTGAGCCAAGATTGCACCACTGCACTCCAGCCTGGGTGACAGAGCAAGACTCCATCTCAATAAAAAATTAAAAAAGTAATAAAAATAAAAATAAAAATTTGATGCTGTCTGTACATGAACTTGAGGAAATGTAGGCACAGCATCCCCTGGGCACGATAGCCTCTGTGGAAGGAATTTGGTATTTGGGGTCTCTGCCTTTTCCTAGATCCCACCTGATCCAAAGGTAATTTTACCTGGATATGGAGTTCAAGACCTTCGGGTGAAAAACAGGTGCCTTCTGAAAAAGTTTGAATTTCAGAGTACAGGGGCTGCTCTGGGGACAGAATGCCTAGGGCTGGAGTTTGACATCCGAGCAAGACCTAAGCTAATTCATTAGCCCCAAGTCACATCACAAGTCTTAATGTAATGAAACAGTGCACTCTATTGGACTATCTCAAAACGATTTTGGAACAATGTGGGAAATAGAAATACAGTAGTCCTGTCTTATCTGCAGTTTCACTTGCTGTGGTTTCAGTTACCTGCGGTCAACTGGGGCCTAAAATATTACACGCAATAAGATATTTTGACAGACAGAGGAGAGAGAGAGACCACATTTACATAACTTTTATTACCGTATATTGTTATAATTGTTCTATTTTATGTTATTGTTGTCAATCTCTTGCTGCTTCTAATTTATAAATTAAACTTTATCATAGTAGCTGGGCCTGGTGGCACATGCCTGTAGTCTTAGCTACTCGGGAAGCTAACATGGGAGGATCATTTGAGCTTAGGAGTTTGAGGCTACAGTAAGCCATGATCATACCACTGTACTCCAGCCTGGGCGACAGAGCATGACCCCATCTCTACAAAAAAAAAAAATTTCTTTTTTTTTTTGAGATGGAGTCTTGCTGTGTCGCCCAGGCTGGAGTGCAGGGGCGCGATCTTGCCTCACTGCAAGCTCCACCTCCCGGGTTCATGCCATTCTCCTGCCTCAGCCTCCCGAGTAGCTGGGACTATAGGCGCCCGCCACCATGCCCAGGTATTTATTTATTTATTTATTTATTTATTTATTTATTTGTATTTTTAGTAGAGATGGGTTTCATCGTGTTAGCCAGGATGGTCTTGATCTCCTGACCTCATGATCCACCCGCCTTGGCCTCCCAAAGTGCTGGGATTACAGGTGTGAGCCACTGCGCCCGGCTACAAAATTTTTTTTAAAAATTAACTGAGTTTAGTGATGCATGCCTATAATCCCAGCAACTGGACCGGATGAGACCGGAGGATTGCTTGAGACCGGGAGTTTGGGGGTTACAGAGAGCTATGATTATACCACTGCACTCCAGCCTGGGCAACAGTGTGAGACCCCATCTCTTAAAAAAAAAAAAAAAAATATGGCCGGGCGCGGTGGCTCACTCCTATAATCCCAGCACTTTGGGAGGCCGAGATGCGTGGATCACAAGGTCAGGAGATCCAGACCATCCTGGCTAACATGGTGAAACCCCGTCTCTACTAAAAATACAAAAAATTAGCCAGGTTTGGTGGCAGGCGCCTGTAGTCCCAGCTACTCAGGAGGCTGAGGCAGGAGAATGGCATGAACATGGGAGGCGGAGCTTGCAGTGAGCCGAGATCTCACCACTGCACTCCAGCCTGGGCGACAGAGTGAGACTCCGTCTCAAAAAAAAAAAAAAAAAAAAAAAAAAAAGCCAGGTGTGATGGTTCACATCTATAATCCCAGCACTTTGGGAAGCCGAGGCAGGAGGATCATTTGAGCCCAAGAGTTCGAGACCAGCCTGGGCAATATAGTGAGACCTCATCTCTTAAAAACAAACAAACAAACAAACAAACAGGCCCGGCGCAGTGGCTCATGCTTGTAATCCTGAGGGAAGAGAGAGACCCTCTCATATTGTTTTATACTCAGTACCTGTTTCAAGAAAAAACAACAAGGAAGTAAAACCAAAGACAGGCAGCCCAGCCGCCAGGCCCAAAACCAGGCCATGGCCTGCCTGGCCTAAACCCAGTAGTTAAAAATCAACTCATAACTTAGAAACCGATGTTATTCATAGATTCCAGACATTGTATAGAAGAACATTGTGAAACTCCCTGCCGTGTTCTGTTTCTCTCTGACCACCGGTGCATGCAGCCCCTGTCACGTACCGCCTGCTTGCTCAAATCAATCACGATCCTTTCATGCGAAATCTTTAGTGTTGTGAGCCCTTAAAAGGGACAGAAATTGTGCACTTGGGGAGCTCGGATTTTAAGGCAGTAGCTTGCCGATACTCCCAGCTGAATAAAGCCCTTCCTTCTACAACTCGGTGTCTGAGAGGTTTTGTCTGCGGCTCGTCCTGCTACAATCCCAGCACTTTGGGAGGCCAAGCCAGGCGGATCAAGAGGTCAGGAGTTCGAGATAGCCTGACCAGCATGGTGAAACACTGTCTCTACTAAAAATACAACAATTAACTGGGCATAGTGTCACGCATCTGTAATCCCACCTACTCGGGAGGTTGAGGCAGGAGAATCACTTGACCCTGGGAGGTGAAGGTTGCAATGAGCCGAGATTGCGTCACTGCACTCTAGCCTGGGCGACAGAGCGAGACTCCGTTTCAAAAACAACAGCAATAACAACAACAAAACATAGATATGTATGTATGTATAGGAAAAGGCATGGCTTATATGGGTTCTATACTAGCCACAGTTTCAGGCATCCGCTGGGGATCTTGGAACGTATCCCCTGTGGATAAAAGGGGAATATCGTATGTTTCTTATGTGTCTTTTTAAAATTGAAATTCAACCAGGCAATGGCATGGAGACAAGGCAAGGGACTGCTTTAATTAAGACACTTGGGAGGCATAGCAACCAAGTATCACGCATGGCTCTTGTTTTGAATCCAGATTCCCATAAATCAACTGTAAGAAGATACTTTTTTACCTTGGTGAGTAGATATTCTTGACGTAATTGGGGAAATTTTAATATGAACTGGATGTTAGATGATACTAAGTCATTACTGGCAATTTTGTCAGGTGTGCTATAGGTATTATAAGAAAAGGTCTATATTTTAAGAAGTACATGCTGAAACATGTAGGGGCAAAATGCCATCGTGTTTGGGATATGCTTTACAAATATTAGGAGCTAGGCATGGTGGTTCACACCTGTAATCCCAGCACTTTGGGAGGCCGAGGCGGGCAGATGCCTGAGGTCAGGAGTTCGAGACCAGCCTGGCCAACGTGGTGAAACCCTGTCTCTACTAAAAATACAAAAAAATTAACCGGGCTTGGTGGTGCGCACCTGTAGTGCCAGCTACTCAAGAGTCTGAGGCAGGAGAATCGGTTGAACCCAGGAGGCGGAGGTTGTAGAAAGCTGAGATTGCACCACTGTACTCCAGCCTGGGCGATAGAGTAAGATTCTGTCTCAAAAATATATAATGGTAGACCCAAATTTTAACCATTGCTTTTGGGTAAGAGGTGTGATTTCTCTTTTGAAATTTTATTTATTTTCATTATTTTTTATAAAGACTGGGTCTCACTATGTTGCCCAGGCTGGTCTCAGACTCTTGGGCACCAAGATTGGGAGATTACTTGAGGAGCTGGAAGACCCTCTCCCTCCCTCCTTCCTTCCTTCTTCCTTCCTTGTGTTTTTTTTTTTTTTTTTTTTTTTTGAGACGGGGTATTGCTTAGTCACCCAGGCACTGGGATGTGGTGGTGTGATCATAGCTCACTGTAGCCTTGAACTCTTGGGCTCAAGTGATCCTCCCACTACAGCCTCCCAAGTAGCTAGAACTACAGGCCTGCGCCACCTCCCCTAATTTTTATTTTTGTATAGATGAGCTCTCCCTGTGTTGGACAGGCTGGTCTCGAACTCCTGGCCTCAAGCAATTCTCATCCTCCACCCTGCCTCGGCCTCCCAAAGGGTTGGGATTATAGGCGTGAACCACCATGCCCGGCCCAAAGACCTTGGCCTCCCACCTTGGCCTCTCAAAGTGCTGGGATTACAGGCATGAGCCACCACACCTGACCAAGAGATGTGATTTCTAGCAGCCTATTTGTCCTTGGTATGAGAATATTTCGAAAACAAGCACATAATATTTTAACAAATGGAAGGATAAAGCTAGTCACAAAAATATTTAAAGCCTGTAGAGAAACATTTGGTTAAACACTGTATATTGAATGCACATGTTATCTCTGTTTCCACCTGAAACTCATCCAAAATGACAGTCAAGGATGAAAACAAATATAAACCTACAAGAACAAGAAGTGGGTGCGTTGACTGCCGAGGAGCGATGTCAATATGTTTTGGAATATGGACAACTGTTTTTTGTTTTTGTTTTTTTTTGATACGGAGTCTCACTGTGTTGCCCAGGCTGGGGTGCAATGGCACAATCTTGGCTCACTGCAACCTCCACCTCCTGGGTTCAAGCAATTCTCCTGCCTCAGCCTCTTGAGTAGCTGGGATTACAGGCACCCACCACCACGCCCAGTTAATTTTCTTTTTTTTTTTTAGATGGAGTTTCACTCTTGTTCTCCAGGCTGGAGTGCAATGGTGCACTCTCAGCTCACTGCAACCTCCACCTCCCCAGTTCAAGCGATTCTCCTGCCTCAGCCTCCTGAGTAGCTGAGATTACAGGCATGCGCCACCACACCTGGGTTATTTCATATTTTTAGTAGAGACACGGTTTCTCCTGTGGGTGAGGCTGGTCTTGAACTCCCGACCTCGGGTGATCCGCCTCCCGAGTCGGATTACAGGTGTAATCCCGAGTGCTGGGATTACAGGTGTGAGCCACCGCGCAAGCTTTTTTTTTTTTCTTTTCAGTATTTTTAGTAGATACAGGGTTTCACCATGTTGGTCAGGCTGGTCTTGAACTCCTGACTTCAAGCAATCCACCCACCTTGGCCTCCCAAAGTGCTGGGATTACAGGCGTGAGCTACCGCACCCAGACTGGACAACTGTTGAAGGAACAGTCCCTGCAGAGGGGGCTACCAAGTGAAAACACATCTCTCCCCTGGAACTTCCACAACACTAGGGCAGCAGGAATGGACACAGGATAGGACACAGCCACACACCATGGTCTGAAAGCAGGAGTAACAACAGGTTGAAGAATGGCCCCCAAAGATAACAGGGCCTAATCTCTGGACACTGTGAACGCTACTGTGATTGGAAAAAGTGTCTTTGGGCCGGGCACGCTGGTTCACACCTATAATCCCAACCCTTTGGGAGGCTGAGGTAGGGTGGAGGATGAGAATTGCTTGAGGCCAGGAGTTCGAGACCAGCCTGTCCAACACAGGGAGAGCTCATCTATACAAAAATAAAAATTAGTCAGGGGAGGTGGTGCAGGCCTGTAGTTCTAGCTACTTGGGAGGCTGTAGTGGGAGGATCACTTGAGCCCAAGAGTTCAAGGCTACAGTGAGCTATGATCACACCACCACATCCCAGTGCCTGGGTGACTAAGCAAGACCCCGTCTCAAAAAAAAAAAAAAAAAAACCACAAGGAAGGAAGAAGGAAGGGAGGAGGAAAGGAGGGAGGGAGAAGGTCTTCCAGCTACTCGCCAGGCTGAGGTGGGAGAATTGCTTGAGCCTGGGAGGTCAAGGCTGCAGTGAGCTATGATTGCATCACTGCACTTCAGCCTGGGAGACAGAGCAAGGCCCTGTCTCAAACAAACAAGTAAATTTTTTAAAAATTTAAAAAGAAAAATTTGGCCGGAAGCGCTAGCTCACGCCTGTAATCCCAGCAATTTGGGAAGCCGAGGCGGGCAAATCACGAGGTCAGGAGATCGAGACCATCTGGGCAACACGGTGAAACCCCGTCTCTACTAAAAATACAAAAAATTAGCCGGGCATGCTGGCAGACGCCTGTAGTACCAGCTACTTTCGAGGTTGAGGAAGGAGAATGGTGTGAACCCAGGAGGTGGAGCTTGCAGTGAGCGGAGCTTGCGCCACTGTACTCCAGCCTGGGCGACAGGGCAACACTCCATCTCAAAAAAAAGAAAAAAGAAAGAAAGAAAGAAAGAAAAAGGTCCCAGAAGAAGGTGTAGGGGTGAAAGAAAAAAAAAAAGCTGAGTGCAATGCCTCATGTTGTGCCTGAAATTGGTGGGTTCTTGGTCTCACTGACTTCAAGAATGAAGCCGCGGACCCTCGCACTGAGTGTTACAGCTCTTAAGGTGGCACGTCGGGAGTTTGTTCCTTCTGATGTTCGAATGTGCTCGGAGTTTCTTCCTTCTGGTGGGTTCGTGGTCTTGCTGGCTTTAGGAGTGAAGCTGCAGACCTTTCGGTGAGTGTGACAGCTCTTAAGGCAGCACGTCTAGAGTTACTCATTCCTCCTGGTGGGCTCGTGGGCTCGCTGGCTTCAGGAGTGAAGCTGCGGACTTTCGCGGTGAGTGTTACAGCTCATAAAAGGAGTGTGGACCCAAAAAGTGGGCAGTGGCAAGATTTATTTCAAAGAACAAAGCTTCCACAGTGGGGAAGGAGACCCGAGCGGATTGCCACTGCTAGCTCCGGCAGCCTGCTTTTATTCTCTTATCTGGCCCCACCCACATCCTGCTGATTGGTAGAGCCGAGTGGCCTGTTTTGACAGGGCGCTGATTGGTGTATTTACAATCCCTGAGCTAGACATAAAGGTTCTCCAAGGCCCCACCAGAGCAGCTAGATACAGAGTGTTGATTCGTGCACTCACAAACCCTGAGCTAGACATAGGGTGCTGATTGGTGTGTTTACAAACCTTGAGTTAGATACAGAGTGCCCATTGGAGTATTTACAATCCCTGAGCTAGGCATAAAGATTCTCCACATCCCCACCAGACTCAGGAGCCCAGCTGGCTTCACCCAGCGGAACTGGCACCAGGGCTGCAGGTGGAGCTGCCTGCCAGTCCCTCGCTGCCGTGCGCTCGCACTCCTCAGCCCTTGGGTGGTCGATGGGACTGGGCGCCGTGGAGCAGGGGGTGGCACTCGTCGGGGAGGCTGGGGCTGCACAGGAGTCCATGGAGGGGGTGGGAGGCTCAGGCATGGCGGGCTGCAGGTCCCGAGCCCTGCCCGGCGGGGAGGCAGCTAATGCCCCGTGAGAAATCGAGCACAGTGCCGGTGGGCTGGCACTGCTGGGGGACCCAGTACACCCTCCGCAGCCGCTGGCCTGGGTGCTAAGTCCCTCATTGCCCAGGGCCTGCCAAGCCCACGCCCACCCGGAACTCCAGCTGGCCCACAAGCACCGCAGGCAGCCCAGGTTCCGGCTCGGGCCTCTCCCTCCACACCTCCCTGCAAGCGGAGGGAGTGGGCTTCGGCCTTGGCCAGCCCAGAAAGGGGCTCCCACAGTGCAGCAGTGGGCTGAAGGGCTCCTCAAGTGCCGCCAAAGTGGGAGTCCAGGCAGAGGAGGCGCCGAGAGCGAGCGAGGGCTGTGAGGACTGCCAGCATGCTGTCACATCTCAATGTCTGTAATCCCAGCACTTTGGGAGGCTGAGACAGGTGGATCACTTGAGGTCAGGAGTTCGAGACCAGCCTGGCCAACTTGGTGAAACCCCATCTTTACTAAAAATACAAAAATTAGCCAGAAGTGGTGGCTCTCGCCTATAATCCCAGCTACTCGGGAGGCTGAGGCAGGAGAATCACTTGAGCCCAGGAGGCGGAGGTTGCAGTGAGCTGAGACTGCACCACTGCATTACAGCCTGGGCAACAGAGTGAGACTCCGTCTCAAAAAAAAAAAAAAAGAAAAGAAAAGAAAGAGAAAGAAAGAAGAGAGAGAAAGAGAGAAAGAAAGAAAGAAAAAGGGTCTTTGCAGATTTTTTTTCCCCATAAGATCAACAAGAATTAATCGCAGATTTTTTTTTTTTTTTGACGGAGTCGCTCTGTTGCCCAGGCTGAAGTGCAGTGGCGTGATCTCGGCTCACTACAAGCTCCGCCTCCCGGGTTCACGCCATTCTCCTGCCTCAGCCTCCCGAGTAGCTGGGACTACAGGCGTCCGCCACCGCACCCGGCTAATTTTTTGTATTTTTAGTAGAGACGGGGTTTCACCTTGTTAGCCAGGATGGTCTCGATCTCCTGACCTCATGATCCACCCGCCTCGGCCTCCCAAAGTGCTGGGATTACAGGCGTGAGCCACCGCGCCCGGCCAATTTTTTGTATTTTCAGTAGAGACGGGGTTTCACCGTGCTAGCCAGGATGGTCTCGATCTGCTAACCTTGTGATCCGCCCATCTCGGCCTCCCAAAATCCTGGGATTACAGGCATGAGCCACCGTACCTGGCCAACCACAGATATTTTTAAGTGAAGGATTTTTTTATTTTTATTTTTTGCTTTGTCACCCAGGCTGAAGTGCAAGTGGCATGATCACAGCTCACTGCAGCCTTGACCTCCCAGACTCAAGCTCACAATTTATCTCTTGTGGTTTCTTTTATTTCATTTATTCAAGAATCTGTAAACATTACACAAATAGGAAGTATTCATTGGAGAAAAGCCAAAACTTCATTTTAAAAAAGGTTAAAATTGCTCATAATTCTGCTACCCACAGATAACTGCTGTTAACATTTTGGCATATGCCTCTCCAAGACTTTTTTTGTTAACAAATAATTTATATGTATTTGCCAATATAAAAATGAGATTGTTCCATAAATACTGTTGTACTCTGCTTTTTTCTTTTTTTCTTTTCTTTTTTTCTTTCTTTCTTTCTTTTTTTTTTTTTTTTTTGAGATGGAGTTTCGCTTTTGTCGCCCAGGCTGGAATGCAATGGCACAACCTCGGCTCACTGCAACCTCTGCCTCCCAGATTCAAGCGATTCTCCTGCCTCAGCCTTGAGCTGGGATTACAGGTGCCTGCCACCACGCCCAGCTAATTTTTGTATTTTTAGTAGAGACGGGTTTCACCGTGTTAGCCAGGCTGGTCTCAAACTCCTGACCTCAGGTGATCCACCCACCTCAGTCTTCCAAAGTGCTGGGATTACAGGTGTGAGACACTGCACCTGGCCTTTTTTCACTACATGGTAGGTTGTGAACCTATTTGTATGCAAAAAAAAAAAAAATCCTTCTATTAGGTTGAAACATGAAATTACCCAAATTCAAATAGTTTTGACCTACGAAAACAGCAACTGCAATACTTACAACTCAATGCAAGTTTTTTGTTTTTTAATATAGATAGGATCTTGCTATATTGACCAGGCTGGAGTGCAGTGCCTTGATCGCAGTAACCTTGACCTCCTAGGCTAAAGTGATCCTTCTGTCTCAGCTTCCCAAATAGCAGGGACCACAGGTGCACACCACCACGCCTGGCTAATTTTTTTTTTCATGGAGACAGGGGTCTCACTATGTTGCCCAGGCTAGTCTCCAACTCTTGGGCTCAAGCAATCCTTCCACTCCAGCTTCCCAAACTGCTGGATTACAGGTATAAGCCACCATGCCCAGCCCTCAGTACAAAATTTGTAATGGCTACTGAGTTTATAGTCCTTTGGACATTGCATAATTTACTTAATCTATCAGTTATGATTGGACATTTATATGGTTTCTGATTTTTTCACAATTATAAAAAATATTGCAATGAAAAACATTTTAGCCCATTCTTTGTAGACATCCTTATTTAGTTTCTTGGGATACATTTCTATAGAATATGTTAGATGAAAGGAATGCACACTTTAATAGCTTTTGTTGCTGGGTGTGGTGGCTCACACTTGTAAGCCTGAGGGAGGCTGAGGCAGGAGGATTGCTTTGAGCCCAGGAGTTCCAGACAAGCCTGGGCAACATGGCAAGACTCCATCGCTATAGAAATAAAAATAAAATAAAATGGCCTAGTGTGATGGCATGCACCTGTAGTCCCAGCTACTCAGGCACCTGAGGTGGGAGGATCGCTTGAGCCTGGGAGGTCAATGTTGCAGTGAGCTGTGATCGTGCCACTGTACACCAGCCTGTGCAAAAGAGTGAGACAAAAGTAAAAAAATAAAAGCTTTTGTTAAATATTTAGGGTACAGTTGCTTAGAAACCAGAAGCTGGTTGGTACAAGGTAAGTCTTCTCCCCACTCCGAAAGAGGTGTGAGAGTGTCAGAGGCCAAGCAGGTTATTGCTTCTTCTTTTTTTTTTTTTTTGAGACAGAGTCCCCTCTCTTACCCAGGCTGGAGTGCAGTGGCGCAATCTTGGCTCACTGCAACCTCTGCCTCCTGGGTTCAAGTGATTCTCCTGCCTCAGCCTCCCAAGTAGCTGGGATTACAGGCATGCGCCACCACCCCTGACTAGTTTTTGTATTTTTAGTAGAGACGGGGTTTCACCATATTGGCCAAGCTGGTCTCGAACTCCTGACCTCAGGTGATCCGCCTGCCTTGGCATCCCAAAGTGCTGGGATTACAGGTGTGAGCCACCGCACCCGGCTTATTGCTTATTCTTAAAGTACACTCAGAAGGGAGGGAAGTGAGATCAGGAGGGAATCGGGGAAGCCGAGAAGCAGCTGGACATTTACAGCTTGGAATAGGGAAGATTTAGGAGACACTTATGCTTGTACGCTAAAAAAGTGAACATATGCTGGCTGTTCACTAGTGAACCTCAAATGGCCTCTAGCACCCTTTAGAATGGACACAGGGCAATTCTGTGCTTACTACTCGGATACATGAAGGAATGGATGGAGGATTTTTTTCTCTTTTAATCTAGTTCTAATAGAGGAATTTTGTCATTTGTAGGTAAAATATAAAGTTAGAAGTAACAAAAATATAGGCTTTTTCTCTGCATAGGTAAAACTAACAGCTGTCAGCAGCAGCCTCTAAGACAGCCGCAGTGATTCCCTCCTCCTGGAATCCACACCCATGTTTCTCTCCTCCCCTTGAGCATGGGCTGGATTACCGACTTGCTTCTAATGAATAGAATATGACACAGCAATGGGATGTCACTTTTGAGATAAGATGGTTAAAAGACGGTGGCTTCCGTGTGGGTGTTCTCTCTCACTCTCTCCTGGATCACTTGTTTCCAGGGGAAATCAGCCCTGTGTCATGAGGCAGCCCCGGTGGACAGGCCCACGTGGGTGAGTGTGAAAGATGATCATGTAAGACACAGCCGCAGCCCCGGCTGGCTGCTCTGCTGCAGTCTCTGAGAGTGAGAACCACCCAGGTAAGCTGCTGCCAGATTCCTGATCCACGGAAACTGTGAGATAACAGCTATTAAACCATTGCTGCTTTCAGACACTAAGTTCCGGGTTAGTTGATGATGCAGCAGTGGTGAACAGAGACAAGAGCTATCTCTGAGTATTCACTGTGCAGTGGCTGACAGCACTTTACAGGTACAGGTTTACTAGGTCCTCACAATGACCCCTGGGAATGAGTTTCATTACTATCCCCATTTTCAGTTGAGGAAACTGAGGCCCCAGGCAGGGTTAATCAACTTGCCCAAGGTCACAGAGTTAGAAAATGGTGAAGCTGGAATATTTTTGTTTTTGGAGACGGAGTCTCGCTCTGTCGCCCCGGCTGGAGTGCAGTGGCATGATCTTGGCTCACTGCAACCTCTGCCTCCCAGGTTCAAGCAGTTCTGCCTCAGCCTCCCGAGTAGCTGGGATTATAGGCATGCGCCACCACACCTGGCTAATGTTTTTGTATTTTTAGTAGAGATAGGGTTTCACCATGTTGACCAGGCTGGTCTCGAACTCCTGACATCAAGTGATCCACCTGCCTCAGCCTCCCAAAGTGCTGGGATTACAGGTGTGAACCACTGTGCCCGGCCTGAAGCTGGAATCTGACCTGGGGCAATCTGGCACCAGAGTCTATGCTCCTATGAAGACAGGTTAAAAAATAGCTGCTCATATTTCACTGGCTAGACCTGAATTATCTGCCCACGCCTATAGCAAGCAGTTTGGCAAAGGATACCAAGTCATTTAAACTTATCAGATTTACCACTCTCTCAGGAGGCTGAGGCAGGAGGATCACTTGAGCCCAGGAGTTCGAGGCTGCAGTGACCTATGATTGCACCACTGCATTCCAGCATGGGCTAGAGAGTGAGACCCAATCTCTAAAATAAACAAACAAAAACAACAACAACAAAAGATTTACCACCCACTCTTTCTATTAGGACTAGAGAGAGGCTGAGCTTCCTCTGATATTAACGGTTCTGTAAAGTGGGTGAACAAATCTTAATTACAAAAGAGGAAAAGGGTTAATAGTTGCTGTGCTGGGTGGTAGCGAACAGTGTTGTCTCTTCTGTAGCATAAGTTACGCTGTATTATTATTATTGTTATTGGAGAGAGACAGAGAAGAGACGTAATGGATTGGGTTTAGGTTACAAGGTTAGAAACAGGTTCACCAATGATTATATTCATTTCCTCATGCCTACTCTCGCTGAGGCGGGTGGATCTCTTGAACTCAAGAGTTTGAGACCAGCCTGGGAAACATGGTGAAACCCTGTCCCTACAAACAATGACAAAAAATTAGCTGGGCATGGTGGTGCATGCCTGTGGTCCCAGCTACTCCGGAGGCTAAGGTGGTGGGAGGATTGTTTGGGCCCGGGAGGTCAAGGCTGCAGTGAAACATGATCGTGGCACTGCACTCCACCCTGGGTGACAGAGTGAGACCCCATATAAAAAAACAAAAAAACAAAAAAAAACAAGAAATATTGATCGGCTGGACATAGTGGTGTGTGTGTGTGGTCCCAGCTACTCAGGAGGCTGAAGTCAGAGGATTCCTTGAACCTAGGAGTTTGAGGTTTCAGTGGGCTGTGTTTGCACCATTGCACTCCAGCTTGGGGAACAGAGTAAAACCATGTCTCAAAAAAGAAAAGAAATATTGATTACCTTCCAAGTGTATTGGGCTTATCTAGGGATATGATACTCCTTGAAGAGGAGTATAGAATCTAGTGGGAGAGTTAAAAGGCACACTCATCAAAAGATATGCTGATAATATTTGGAAACACATATTAAATGACAAATATTAAGAACTTAGTGTCAGTTTATAGCTTACTTATTTATTTATGTTTTTGAGACAGAGTCTCACTCTGTCGCCTAGGCTGGAGTGCAGTAGTGTAATCTCGGTTCCCTGCAACCTCCGCCTCCTGGGTTCAAGTGATTCTCCTGCCTCAGCCTCCTAAGTAGCTGGGATTACAGGCATGCACGACCACGCCCAACTAATTTTTTGTATTTTTGGTAGAGATGGGGTTTCACCATGTTGGCCTGGCTGGTCTCAAACTCATGAGCTCAAGCGATCTGCCCACCTCAGCCTCCTAAAGTGCTGGGATTACAGGCGTGAGCCACTGCACCCGGCCCAGTTTATAGTTTAGAGATACTCAAAAGAATCCTCTGAGTACCAGAGTTTTAGAGCTAAAAGAGAGCACAGATTTTGTAGGTAAATAAACTGAAGTCGAAGAGGAATTAAGCATCTCAGCTCAGGTCACAGAGCAAGACAGAAGCAGCCTCAGATTCAGGTTCCCAGTTGGGCCCCACCACTACTTAGCTTCGTGTCCTGGAGCAAAGCCTCTCACCCTCTCTGAACCTCACATGCCTCATCTGTAGAATTCTACTATTGTAGACTCAACCTCTGACTCCCAAACCACCTTTTAGGGTGGTGACTTACAAGCCTACTTTACAGTGAATTAATGACTAATTATCAGTAAATCAGTGTAATAAATGACACTAATTTATTTAACATACTTACCCAGTTTATATGGTAATATAAGAATAGGCCAGGTGCAGCTGCTCACGCCTGTAATCTCAACACTTTGGGAGGCCAAGGCAAGCAGATCACCTGTTGGAAATTTGAGACCAGCCTGACCAACATGGAGAAACTTCGTCTCTACTAAAAATACAAAATTAGCCAGGTGTGGTGGCGCATGCCTGTTATCCCAGACACTCGGGAGGCTGAGGCAGGAGAATCGCTTGAACCCGGGAGGTGGAGGTTGCAGTGAGCCGAGATCGTGCCATTGCACTCCAGCCTGGGCAATAAGAGCAAGACTCCAGTTCAAAAAAAAAAAAAAAAAAGAAAAAGAAAACTAGGCCTGGTGTGGTGGCTCACGCCTGTAATCCCAGCACTTTGGGAGGCCGAGGCAGGCAGATCACCTGAGATCAGGAGTTCAAGACCAGCCTGGCCAACGTGGTGAAACCCTGTCTCTACAAAAATACAAAAATTAGCCAGGAATGATGGCAGGTGCCTGTAATCCCAGCTATTTGGGAGGCTGAGGGGGAAGAATCGCTTGAACCCAGCAGGCGGAGGTTGCAGTGAGCCAAGATCGCGTCACTGCATTCCAGCCTGGGTGACAGAGTGAGACTCAGGCTCAAAAAAAAAAAAAACAAGACAAAACAAAAAACCAACATCTCTAAAAGCAGAGTGAGGCTGGCTGGCAGCAGCAGAAGGAGAGCATGTGGGAACCCACCATAGCTCCATAGTGCTTTGAACCTCAATTTCTTTCTTTCTTTTTTTTTTTTTTGAGGCAGAGTTTCACTCTTGTTGCCCAGGCTGGAGTGCAGTGGTGCGACCTCAGCTCACCGCAACCTCTGCCTCCCGGGTTCAAGTGATTCTCCTGCCTCAGCCTCCCAAGTAGCTGGTATTACAGGCACACGCCACCACGCCCGGCTAATGTTTGTATTTTTAGTAGAGACAAGGTTTCTCCATGTTGGTCAGGCTGGTCTCGAACTCCCGACCTCAGGTGATCCACCTGCCTCTGCCTCCCAAAGTGCTGGGATTACAGGTGGGAGCCACCACGCCCAGCCTGAACTTCAATTTCATTCTCTTTAAAATAAGTAACTTTCAGAAGTTGATCTGGTTTCCAATGTTGAGAGACGCTCTAGCTGGGAGTGAAGTGGAATCACGAAGAATGTTCTCATTTAAATAGACTGAGATCAATCCATTTGGTGAGGCCAGGCCTCTCTGAACAGTGAATTAGAAGATTCTAGAATGTCATGGACTTAGAGAGAAGTCATTGTCCTAGACTGAGCACTCAAAAATATTTTCCTCCATAAAAGCTTGAGAAATGTTTTAGTTTTCCAGGGTTAGATATGACCCTGTTTACATAAGAATCCCTTTCCCTGCTTTGGCTTGGCTGGGGCCTGCCTTTCGTGGTAACCGCCACCTAGTGGTGTTTCAGTGAATGAAATGACTTGTTTTACTGGTTGGCATCTCAGGTCATTTGTTATTACCATGCATATGGTGTATATATCTTCATAGTTTTTTTTGTTTTGTTTTGTTTTGTTTTGTTTTTGAGACAGGGTCTTGCTCTGTTGCCCAGGCTGGAGTGCAGTGGCGCGATCTCGGCTCACTGCAGCCTCGACTTCCCCAGGCTCAAGAGATCCTCCCACCTCAGCCTCCCAAGTAGCTGGGACCACAGGCATGTGCCATCACGTGTGGTTTTGTAGAGACAGGGTTTCACTATGTTGGTCAGGTCAGTCATAAACTCCTGGGCTCAAACGATCAGCCTTCCCTGGCCTCCCAAAGTGCTGGGATTACAGGCGTGAGCCACCTCACCCAGCCCTTCTTTTTTTATTTTTTACTTTTTGCTGAAACATCTAGGAACCCAAGATATGTGTGTGTTTCAATGGACATTTTTTTATAGTAGTTTTAGGCTTACAGATAAGTTACAAAGAGTGCAGAGAGCTCCTGTATTCTCACCTACTTCCCCTATTGTTAACACTTTACATTTCCATGATACATTTGGCACTTCCAGGAAACTCACATTGGCACATTACTGTGACCTCTAACCTCCTAACTGTACTTGGATCCCACTTTTCCACTCATGCCCTTTATCTGTTCCAAGATCCCTTCCAGGACACATTACATTTAGTTCACCACCTCTCTCCTTAGTCTCTAGTCTGTGATCTGTGATGGTTTCTTTTTTTTTTTTATTTTTTGAGGTGGAGCTCACTCTGTCGCCTAGGCCAGAGTGCGGTAGCACAAGCTCAGCTCACTGCAACCTCTACCTCTTGGGTTCAAGCAATTCTCCTGCCTCGGCCTCCCCAGTAGCTGGGATTACAGGCGCCCGCCACCACGCCCAGCTAATTTTTCTATTTTTAGTAGAGACAGGGTTTCACCATGTTGGCCAGGCTGGTCTCGAACTCCTGACCTCAGGTGATCCGTCTGCCTTGGCCTCCCAAAGTGCTGGGATTACAGGCATGAGCCACCATGCCCAGTTGAAACATGGCTATTTAAGGGGAGCATATTTTATTTTACATGATTCCATAAACATAACTTAAACAAAAATTATGTAATGTTTACCAGATACATGTCAGAACACCTTAAGAACAGCTTTCTGGAATCAGGCTATGAGCCCTTGCCCCTGGCATTGAATCTCTCTGATCCTCAAGCTTCTCATCTGTCAAATGGGGAAATAGTAGGTTTCTGAATAAGGCAGCATAGAATACATTAAGATGGAGAACTCTGGAAACGTCTGAGCCTGCCACTCACTAGCTATGAAACCCTGGGCAAGTTACTTAGCTTCTCAGTCTCATCCGTAAAATGGGGAAAATCAAGGACTGAGCTCGTTGTGGGATCAAACGTGTTCACTGGTGCTCGGTATCTGCTGTTCAACGCCAGCTATCATCACTGACCCTGAATAGACCTCCAGGGCAGGGATTGTAGTCTAAATCTAACGACAATCTTAAGCCCTCAGCTCAGTGCCTCACATATGGAGAGGAGCAACCTGTATTAACACCCAAGGGTGCACACACTAACCATGTCTGCTTCCCACTACTGAGGGGGCAAGTGAGTGGCCCGTGTCACAATGCCTTGTACACTCCAAATGACTACTCAAATATAAACAAGATCAGAATTACACCTTCTAATCTCTTCAGAGTCCATATGTCATCTAATATTTCTCTTTCCATCGTAGAAGAACTTACGGGAACTTAATCATGACATTTAGTCATAACACAAACATTATACTATGCCTTTGAATCTAAAACCAGGGTGTACATCCCAAATTTGGGTACTTTTATGAAAGGCTTTATCCTACCTTTCAGCAATTGTCAACCATGCTTCATTTTTTTTTTTTTTTTTTTTTTAGGTAAAAGATAACCCATGCCACCTGCCCAGGTCTTATAGAGTCTCATATTCTCCACTGCTAAGTGTTTAATTTGCAGTAGGACTCTGATTCAGAATAACGTGCAGCTGACTCTTGAGCAACAGGAGCTTGAACTACACAGGTCCACTTATCCACAGATTTTCTTCCGTCTCTGCCACCACTGAGACAGCAAGACCAACCCTCCCTTTCCCCCTCAGCCTGCTCAATGTGAAGATGACAACCAGGATGAAGGCCTTTATGATGATCCACTTCTTTAATGAATTGTAAATATAGTTTATCTTATGATTTGCTTCCTTTTTTTTGAGACACAGTCTCGCTCTGTTGCCCAGGCTGGAGTGCAGTGGTGCCATCTCAGCTCACTGCAACCTCCGCCTCCCAGGTTCAAGCGTTTCTCCTGCCTCAGCCTCCCAAGTAGCTGGGATTACAGGTGCATGCCACCATACCCAGCTAATTTTTGTATTTTTAGTACAGATGGGGTTTCACCATGTTGGCCAGGTTGGTCTCAAACTGCTGAACTCAAGTGATCCACCCGCCTTGACCTCCCAAAGTGCTGGGATTGCAGGTGTGAACCACTGCATATGGCCATATAATTTTCTTAAGAACATTTTTTCTTTAGCTTACTTTAATATAGTATATAATACAAATAACATACAAAATATGTTAACCAACTTTCTGTTATTGGTAAGGCCTCCTGTCAGTAATAGTAAAGTTTTTGAGGAATCAAAAGTTATGTGCAGATTGTGCAGTGGGCTGGCTCCCCTAAGCCCCAAGTTGTTCAAGGGTCAACTGTACTCCCCTCCAATGCACATAAGATGGACACTTATGAAATGGAGCCAATGCCTGCCCTGCCTCCCTTGTGAGGCTATTCGGTATAGATACCCTGATGATTGTTTCTCTTTCTTGGCAGTAGAAAGAACATGGGCCTTGCAGAAAGACAAGAATTCTGGCCTAATCGCTCACTACACTTACTACAGAGGATAGAATTCTGGCCCAAGGATGTTTCACCTTGACCAAATTTCTTTTTTTTTTTTTTTTTTGAGACGGAGTCTCGCTTTGCCCAGGCTGGAGTGCAGTGGCACTATCTTGGCTCACTGTAACCTCCGCCTCCTGGGTTCAAGTGATTCTTTTGCCTCAGCCTCCTGAGTAGCTGGGACTACAGGCACCCGCCACCACGCCCAGCTAATTTTTTGTGTTTTCAGTAGAGACGGGGTTTCACCGTTAGCCAGGATGGTCTCTATCTCCTGACCTCGTGATCCGCCCGCCTCGGCCTCCCAAAGTGCAGGGATTACAGGCATGAGCCACTGCGCCCAGCCCTTGACCAAATTTCTAACCTTTTGTGCCCATTTCCACAAGTGTGAAACTGAGTTTTCCTATACCGCAGGAATTTTTTAAATTAATTATTATTTTTTTTTAGACAGGGTCTTGCTCTGTCACCCGGTTGGAGTGCAGTGGTATGATCATGGCTTGCTGCAGCCTTGACTTCCTGGCCTCAGGCAGTCCTCCAGCTTCAGCCTCCTGAGTAGCAGGGTCTGCAGGCGCACACCACCATGCCTGGCTAGTTTTTAAAAATGTTTTGTACTTACTATGTTGCCCAGGCTGGTCTCGAACTCCTGGGTTCAAGCGATCTTCCTGCCTCAGCCTCTCAAAGTGCTAAGATTATACTGCTCAACCTTTTTTCAAGAGGATTAAATGGGAAAGTACATGGAGAAACTTTTAGTCCAATCTTCCAAGCAGCAGCATGCAATGTTCATTTCTTTCCTTCTCCTTCCAAATTTGACACACTGATACATCTGCACTACTCGCACTAATTTGTGCACTGTCTTGTTTCATCCCATTGTTTTACTGCTTCGGTAGAAGGTCCCTTCACTTAGAAAACAATTTCCTACCCCTGAGCACCAAGAGGAAAGAGTCCAAGGAACTAAGTCTGTGTAGGTTCAGTGGTTTGCAGATTCATGCTTTGGGAACTCTTTATTCAAATGAAATCTCTCTTGGAACCGTGATATAAACAAAACAGACAAAGTCATTTTATTAGCATTCCTTTATTTTAGAAGTTCACACCTATAATTTTATAACAATCGTGAAAATGTTACTCAGAACTAGATGTTTTGATGACACATAGCAGAAATCTGTGGTTCAAGATGGTCATTGCAAACTTAACCAATCTCAGCATTCTATTCTGCCTTTTGTTTTGATTGCACAGAATCAATATAATTCTGATTCATATGGAAAATAACTTAATATCTTAACCTCCGCTCAGGATCTTCATCATAAATGTAGGTCAGTACATACCTAAAAATTGTCAATGATCCAACATGGTCACATGTGACATGCTACACTTGCACCTAGTACCAAACAAGCTGATACTTCAATGAGATCTGGTTGGCATATACACCCAAGCCTTGTCTGTCCCCTCAGAGCACTGCACACAGATAGTGAAAGAACTTGTGTACAATAAGAAATTCACAGGGATGAGGCTGGGCGCAGTGTCTCACGCCTGTAATCCCAGCACTTTCAGAGGCCGAAGCAGGTGGATCACTTGAGGTCAGGAGTTCGAAACTAGCCTGGCCAACATGGTGAAACCCCGTCTCTACTGATAATGCAAAACTTAGCTGGGCGTGGTGGCACATGCCTGTAGTCCCAGCTACTCGGGCAACTGAGGCAGGAGAATAGCTTAAACCTGGAAGGCGGAGGATGCAGTGAGCCAAGATCACGCCACTGCACTCCAGCCTGGGTGACAGAGCGAGACTCTGTCTCAACAACAACAACAAAGATATTCACAAGGATGAATTTAAATAGGTAAATGGCAGTGTAGAACTACATCCTTCCTAGTCAATTACACCTTTAGGAGACTTTAAATAGGCACAGAAACGACAAAGGGCTTATACTGAGAATTGCACAAAAATGAGTTACTTGGCAGCACAAGGTAGGGATTGTATGTGTCACAAGAGTATATAGACTGTTCTACCTTCATGCTCTACTCATTGCCATATCCCTTCGTGGTTCCCTGAGACTCAGGTGAAATTACCTTCCAATATTGCCTGGAGAAGGGCCTCCTCCTCCTCAGCTGCCTCATAATCCTTTATTAGTACCAATAACTGCAAGAAACCAGGGGCTGGGCCATCCTCTGGCAGATTAAGCTCTCTGCGAATTGTTTTGTGGACTGCCCCAGCAATGACTTGGTCTAGGCGGGCCTGATTCACAGCATCTCTCTCAATTGCTCCTCTCTGTACCAGCTTCTGTAACAAAGGCTCCAGCCTTAGTACATAAGCCGACAACTTTTCCTCATCCTTCTGGTAAGTGGTTAGATATTTGACCTGCAACTCCCTAGGATTATCTGTAACCCCAAATACCTCCTCAAGAGCCTGCAGACATTCATCGACAGTAATTAAAGGATTGTTTATCTTGAGGACACGAATAACATCAAGTGCTGGGCCTCGAAGGCTCTCTAGCAATCGCCTTCTCTTCTCTACATCTGGCACCTGCCACGCCTTTATCATCTGAGTAGTATGAAACATCCAGCGTCCAAATTCTTCTTCTCCTGGTTCTGGAGACTCCCTGCCCGAGAACACTCTCAGCTTTTTATACTTCAAGCATTGCAGGGCAGGCTGAAGAGCCTCTAATGCCTGTGCCAACATAGGGGCCCACATTTCCGGGATCATGCCCTGCTCTGGGTCTAAGGAGCCATTTTCATGTCCAAGAGCTCTGCTCAACTCACCCACTGTCATGCCCTCTCCCGCTAAAAATTCATTTAATCTGCTTAAAAATGTATTATCTGGGTCAGGGGGCTTAAAGATCACTCTCCAGATACCCCCTTTTCCCGGTATCTCCTTAGGGACCAGGGCGTGACTAGTCTCCGCAGTAAGCCCTACTAAGGCTACTTTCCTGTTCTCATCCCTCCTGAACATCCTTCCAAGCAGTCTGTACTCCCCCAAGGGAGCTAAACCAGCCTGCAGAGCCTCCTCGATTTCTGCCACACTGCAGCTCTGGGAGATGCCGGCAATCAATAGCGCTTTCCGAGGGTTCATGTCCATCCCCCTGCACCAGTCTTCTAAAAGCCTCAAAGTCATGGTGCCCGAAATAATAGACTTAAGTTCTAAATATGCCAGACCACAGGCGACCACCGAAATTCAAAGTAATCCTCCGCGGTACCCCAGAGAAATCTTGTCAACGTGCCGAGGTCCAGCAGCCTGCAAGACAGAGCAGACAGGTTAGCTAAAGGTGCCAACGTCCAGGGCAAGCGTGCAGGCCCCAAGCCCCGCGCGCCCTGCCCCCAGCGGCGACGCCAGGGCAGCCGCACTGCGGCGCGCGCCCCTCACCCCTCCCAGCCCTGGTGCCTGGCGGATGTCGGGCCTGCAGGGCCGCGTCGGGCCCGCTTCCACTCACCGTGATCTAGTGCTCGTGCCCGCGTCCGTGCGCCGGCGGCCAAGGTGCCTGGCCGGGCCCCGACGAGGCGCGGGAGGGCAGGCTCCCCTAGGCTCTGACGGACACTCGGGGGCCACAGCGACCGATGCCGGTACTCCAGGTGCCTGTGGTACTGTCTGCAACGAGAAGTGATGGGGCGATGACAGTCGCGAGCGGGCACCAGGGGGCAAGGCTGAGGAGCGCTGAGTCGCCAGACCCAGAGAGCCACCCACCTGGAGGGACGTGCCGCCACCCGCGCCGCCGGAGCTCCGGCTCCAGCCCGGATTCCACCTGTTTTGGTCTCGCTCGGGGAAGCTGCGCGGCGGGCGGGGGCGATCTGACGTCATGAGGGGCGGGCCTCGGGGGCGGGGCGCGCGCGCTTCCGGCCCGAGCCGGAAGCTCCGACTGCGGCGGCATCCGGGACGGCGGGCGGGCTGGCCACCACGGGACAGGAAGGTGAGATCCGGGACCTCAGCTTTGCAAGCAGGCTCCGCCGGCGACCGCTGACGGGCGCTGGGCTCGCGGCGCTGCAAGGCGGCGAGGCCCGGGCCTGGCGCCGCCTGCGCAGCCTTGGTCGCGGCGTGCCGGCGCTGCAGCGCGGCAGGGGGCGGGGCCGGCCGCCCGGAGGCCCAAGTGGCGGGGACGCCTCCCTGCCGGGTCAGGTTCTCAGAGCGGGTCTCCGGCGGCGGCGACGGGGGCCGGGCCGCGCGTGACCCGCCGCAGTCACGCCGTTCTTAATCACTAGTAGCTGGTGCTCCAGGCTGGCGGCGCTCACCTTTCTCCTAGCCGGGTGACCCAGGGGATTTATTTTATGTTGGCTTTCTCTGAAATGCCAAAGCCACCCGATTATTCAGAGCTGAGTGACTCTTTAACGCTTGCCGTGGGAACAGGAAGATTTTCGGGACCATTGTAAGTGCTTAGGAGTTACTGTCTTAACTTGGGGGCTTGACTTGTAGCACCCCGCGTTCACGTCTGAAGCAGTACTGTTATGCCAGAAAGTGTTTCACCTGTCAAAGTGAAATGTGCTGTGAGAAACTAGTTTAATTCCAGTTTCTGGAGGGCGGGTATTATGGACCTGTTTAAGTAGGATGCAGTGATTTATTCTGAGGGATTCCCGTTAAAAAGCAGAACTCAGTATATACTGAAATCAATGGTTTTTTGTTTTTTTGTGTGTGTTGTTTTACTTGATTGTAAGTATTACACAAAACAACCTGTAAGTTTTACATTTCTTAATAGGTGTTTAATTTAATTATTTTAAATCTTAAGTGTGTTAGTGGGATATTTTAGAATTCTTTTTTTTTTTTTTTAATTAGACAGAGTCTCGCTCTGTCGCCCAGGCTGGAGTGCAGTGGCGTGATCTCGGCTCTCTGCAAGCTCTGCCTCCTGGGTTCACGCCATTCTCCTGCCTCAGCCTCCCGAGTAGCTGGGACTACAGGTGCCCGCCACCACGCCCGGCTATTTTTTTTGTATTTTTAGTAGAGACGGGATTTCACCATGTTAGCCAGGATGGTCTCTATCACCTGACCTCGTGATCCACCCGCCTCAGCCTCCCAAAGTGCTGGGATTACAGGCGCGAGCCACCGCGCCCGGCCTAGAATTCTTGGAGATAAAGCAAGTACATTTGGAGTAGTTGCCGTGACAGCATTACTAGACCCTAATTGTATTTTCTTTTTTAATTTGAAGGCACAGAGCATGGAGAATGATGAACTTCCGTCAGCGGATGGGATGGATTGGAGTGGGATTGTATCTGTTAGCCAGTGCAGCAGCATTTTACTATGTTTTTGAAATCAGTGAGACTTACAACAGGCTGGCCTTGGAACACATTCAACAGCACCCTGAGGAGCCCCTTGAAGGAACCACATGGACACACTCCTTGAAAGCTCAATTACTCTCCTTGCCTTTTTGGGTGTGGACAGTTATTTTTCTGGTACCTTACTTACAGATGTTTTTGTTCCTATACTCTTGTACAAGAGCTGATCCCAAAACAGTGGGCTACTGTATCATCCCTATATGCTTGGCAGTTATTTGCAATCGCCACCAGGCATTTGTCAAGGCTTCTAATCAGATCAGCAGACTACAACTGATTGACACGTAAAATCAGTCACCGTTTTTTCCCTACGATTACAAAACTGCCAGTCCTATATGGAGTCTGATCACAAGACTGCAGTTTCTTCACAGATCTCAGGAAGTTGTCGTGGGGCAGAGGCTTTTTAAAAACATGTGATTAGGGAGCTATCTTTATCTGAATAATAACGAATTTTTAGGTAAAACCTGAGATAGAGTACTACAAAATCATGTTGATGACTTCAGATTTTGGAAGTTAAATCATGTCTGTTATTTGCATTCTTTAGAAACTTGACTAAGTACCTGAATTCATATTTCTATTCTACTGTGCAACATAGTGATGATTCAGAAATTTTTCCTTTGGGGAAAAAAATGAATATGAACATTTCCATTGTGTTAAGTGTAAAAAGGTCCAGACATGATCATAAAATTTAAATTTTATACAATTACTTGGCTTGCTTTAAAATTCTTCACACTTAAAACACCGATTCATTCTATTGCAGCTAAGCCAGCTGTCTAGACTTGCTGTCAGCTTATGAGGCATTGCTAAAAAATTATTGAGGAAATGGCTGTCTTGATAAGCAGAATTTGTTCTTCCTCTTGGTAATGGCTAAATTATTATTAATGCTTTTAATGGTTTTATTTTTTATATTTTTCTTTTTTGTGGAGAATGGGGTCTCGCTATGTTGCCCAGGCAGGTCTCGAACTCCTGGGCTCAAGCTTTCCTCCTCTCTCTGGCTCCCTAAGTGCTAGGATTACAGGTGTGAGCTACCATGCCCAGCTATTTTTAATTAAAAAAATTTTTTTTTTCCATGACTTGTGACACAGTCTCAGAAGGCCCTGAGAACGTACGCTCCAATGCTACTGATTTAGAAAACTATCTGGGAAGAAACTAAGTGTTAAATGTTGAAAGGCTAGAAATAACTTACAAATAGAAGATGGAAACAATGTGTTCAATGAAAATCTAGCAGGTTATTTATTATTTATTTAAATTATTATTATTATTTTTGAGACGGAGCCTTGCTTTGTCACCCAGGATGGAGTGCAGTGGTGCAGTCTTGGCTCACTGGAACCTTCGGCTCACTGCAACCTCCACCTCTCGGGTTTAAGCGATTCTCTTGCCTCAGCCTCCTGAGTAGCTGGGATTACAGGTGACCACCACCATGCCTGGCTGATTTTTGTTATTTTAGTAGAGACAGGGTTGCAGCATGTTGGCCAGGCTGGTCTCAAACTCCTCACCTAACTAAGGTAATCCACTTGCGTCAGCCTCCCAAAGGCCTGGGATTACAGGCATGAGCCACCATGCCTAGCTGTATTTATTTATGTTATTTATTTTGAGATGGAGTCTTGCTCTGTAGCCCAGACTGGTGTGCAGAAGTGCGATCTCAGCTCACTGCAACCTCCACCTCCCAGGTTCATGCTATTCTCCTGCCTCAGACTCCCGAGTAGCTGGGATTACAGGCACCCACCACCATGCCTGGCTAATTTTTGTATTTTTAGTAGAGACGGGGTTTCACCATGTTGTCCAGGCTGGTCCCGAACTCCTGACCTCAAGTGATACACCTCAGCCTCCCAAAGTACTAGGATAACAGGCATGAGCCACCATGGCCAGCCTATAGCAGGTAATTTAGTCCAGTCCTTATCAGATGCATGAGACCCCTCTAAAAGATGCTATCAAGTCATAATCTTTCTGATTTTCTTTTCTGGCCCAAGGTCAGGTCATCAGGCAGTAGGTTAATTACATGAAGATGTGTTCCTGTACCTTCTCCTTTGCATTTGTACTACCTCACATCTGGTACTAATACAAATAACTAAAACATGGACACAGTAGCATTTCTTTTCTGCATGAGATCAAGATATATTTTTATACAGTTATGTCATTAATACTGGAAAACATTTTATGCTTTTAATAATCAACACTTTTTGATGCTTATTCTGTTGGGCCCTATTCTAAGAGCTTTATGGAAATTAACTAATGTAATCCTCCCAACAACCCTATAAGATGGGTATTATTATCCAGATTTCACAGATAAGGAAACTGAGGCAGAGAAGTCAAGTAACTTGCCAAAGGTCACAGCGAGTAGCAGAGCCAGGGTTATAACCAGGCATTCTAACGCCATCGTTACTAACCACAGAGGCATAGCGCTTCTCACAAATGACAAATGTTTTAGCACTGGGTACTCTTTGCCCAGTCATGCCAAAGAATGGAAATGGCAATAGTATTGACAAGTTTTTCTCTATTTGTCTACTAGAAATCTGAAAGTTTCCTAGCAACCTCATCTTTCCACTACATCTGACTGAACCCGAAAGGAAGGCTGAGTATTCCATAGCAAGCTGTTACTTAAAAGATAAAGCAGGTACCTTTGTGATGTAAAAGTAGCAGATCAGATCCTTCAGATCAATTAGTCTCATTTATCTCACTGCCTCCAAAGGTCTAGTTACTGAAATGATATATCTTTTGATATAACACGTGGAATCCTCAAAGTAAGCAGCAGTTTGAAATACTTGTTTTTGTGAGGGTCAGATGACCAAATCACTTGCATCTTTTAAGTATTCAGTATGCATGTTACAGACATTGTTTATGAGTGATTTACATTTATTCTTCACAACAGTCCTGGGAGGCAGGTATTATACTGCTACTAGTGTCATTTTACAGAAGAAACCTGAAACACGTAGGAATAACTTGTCCATAGTCACATAGCCAGTATGTGAAAGAGCCGATTTGAACCTAGGATGTTGGCTTCAGATCTCCAGCTTTTTATCATTCTATACTGCTTCTCAAAAAGGAGAGTAATTTGAGGGAAATCATTGAGAGTTGCCAGTTTTATTAGTCTTGAGGCAGTGATTTAAGAAAATTATTTCAGTTTTGTTTTGTTTTATAAATGCTTTATGTAGGCTGGGAGTGGTGGCATCTGTAATCCTAGCACTTTGGGAGGCAGAGATGGGAGGATAGCCTGAGCCCAGGAGTTCATGACCAGCCTGGGCAACATGGCGAGACCCCATTTCTATTAAAAAGGGGTGGCTCATGCTACTCCCAGCACTTTGGGAGTCTGAGGTGGGCAGATCACTTGAAGCCAGGAGTTCAAGACCAGCCTGGCCAACGTGGTGAAACCCTGTCTCTACTAAAAATAGAAAAATTAGCCACGGCTGGTGGTGCATGCCTGTAATCCCAGCTACTCAGGAGGCTGAGGGAGGAGAATCGCTTGAACCCAGGAGGGAGAGTGGCAGTGAGCCAAGATCGCATGGGCCACAAGAGCAAGATTCCATTGCAAAAAAAAAAAAAAAAAAAAAAAAAGGTTATGTAATGCAAGGTTTGTGAGGTTGCCACTGGTATTGCAAAGTTTTCTTAATGAAGTTGATTCATCTCTTTTTATACTTCAAATTCTAGTATTTTGGGATTTGGTAAGCAAATGTTCAGTCCATCTCTATCTTTCAAGATTATATTGCCTTTTGCCTTGATAGAAGAAATAGTAAAATAATTAGAGTAGGATTAATGTAGTAAATTCAGTATTTCCAAATGTAATTACTATATTTCAGATTGCAGGTTTAATCTGCTTTTTGATTAGGAGCTATTTATCCAAGTTGTGGATTATTTCTGGTTTGTGGCTATTTAATAGTTCAAAGCATTTTTTAGGTAAGGTAAAGAGGGAAAAGTGAAATATATTTTTTAATCTGTTAGCTCTTGGATTGAGGAAGAGGTTGAAATTGATGGTTAGGAGACCTGTGTGTGATAGCAGATCATCATTTTTTTTTCTTTTCTTTTTTTTTTTTTTTTTTTTGAGACAGAGTCTCGCTCTGTCGGCTCAGGCTGGAGTGCAATGACGTCTCGGCTCCCTGCAACCTCTGCCTCCTGGGTTCAAGTGATTTTCCTGCCTCAGTCTCCCAAGTAGCTGGGATTACAGGCGCACGCCACCACACCTGGCTAATTTTTGTATTTTTAGTAGAGATGGGGTTTCGCCATGTTGGCCAGGCTGGTCTCAAACTCCTGACCTCAGGTGATCCACCCGCCTTGGCCTCCCAAAGTGCTGGGATTACAGGTGTGAGCCACTGTGCTCAGCCCATTTATTTCATGTTCACATCATAATACAAAAAGCAGTGAGTACAGGATTACTTAGTGAGATGAATGGCAAATAGAGTAAGTGCTTCAGGGATTTTAGGGAGTGGACATTCTAGGATTCATAACTAGGAAACACTCGCTTCCAGAGATGAGAAAAATAGAGCTATATCCTACAATGATTTGATAGGTGATTTTATTTGCAACTATATGTGAAATGAAGTAATCCTGTTGAGACTTTTCACCAAAACATGCCAGATATTTTTTCAAAAGTGCCAGTATAGGGAACAGAAAACTGAATTACAGAATCATGTAATTCATGGAGCTTTAGTCCCCATGTAAATTTTCTGGTTTTAAAGATGCTACCAGTTTTTAAGTTGTCTCGTTTTTTAATATTAAATTGTTCTTAATACCAGTTTTAAAGTAAAAGTTGTGATTCCTTGAAGGTTAGAATTTGGTTCTATTTCAAAATTTGTACAGTTAACAGAAAGCTTTTCTTTGGGGAAGTGCAGTCATCAGATAAAGTGCTTCTATGAGTAACTGTACCCACAAAGCCATGGAACCAGCATATTTGTTCATGGTGAGTAGGATTAGTCTTTTTTTTTTTTTTTAAAGATTATCAGCTGGGCGTGGTGGCTCATGCCTATAATCCCAGCACTTTGGGAGGCCGAGGCAGGCGGATCACTTGAGGTCGGGAGTTCGAGACCAGCCTGATGAACATGGTGAAACCCCATCTCTACTAAAAATACAAAATTAGCCGTGCGTGGTGGTGTATGCCTGTAATCCCAGTTACTCGGGAGGCTGACGCAGGAGAATTGCTTGAACCCGGGAGGTGGAGGTTGCGGTGAGCTGAGATCACGCCATTGCACTTCAGCCTGGGCAACAAGAGCGAAGCTCTGTCTCAAAAAAATAATAAAAATAATAAAAAAAGATTATCTAGTGTTGATTCCCATCTTGATGGATTTAACATTCTCAATCTCCAAAACACTGGCAGAAAAACTTACCACAATACCATGTCTCATCTTTGCAGCAAATATGTGCCATCATTTAATAAATTTTCCAACATAAAAAGAAGTGCCATATAATTTTGGACCATGATTGGGAATCATGATGCATTTGTATTTATGCTTTCCTCTAAGGCAGTGAATAGGTCTTAGACTGTGGCTGTATGTACATTAGAATTACCCAAAGAAAACTTCTTACATTTAAACAATGCCAGGGTCCCTTTCCAACCAGTTACATCTCTGGGATGGACCCCAAGCAATCTTCAAATGATTCTCTCAGGGTTGCAAATCACTGGTCCATGGGTTTTTATGTGCCGTTTACCAAAAACTCAACTGTCATGAGAATTGGGCTTGTCTTTGGAACAGCTTCAACAAATACGTTGCAGTTTAATTCACCCTAGCCATCTTAATTGCAAATCTTTAGAGTTGTCTCTTTTGATTTCGAGTCCTCTCCTCTCTTTTGATTTCGAGTCCTCTCCTCCAGTTTGTCCTGAATATACTTCTATCAGGCTTTTGCCTCCCACTCTACCAAAACTGCTGTCCTGTCAGGAAGTTGCTGGTCACTTACACATAACTAAATCCAATGGTCAAGTCTCAGTCCTCAAATTACTATTACTATTAGTTTTTGACACTCCCTGTCCTTGAGATACTTTCTTCAGTTGTCTTCCTGACCAGCACTGTCCAATAGAACTTTAGCAATGCTGGCGATGTTCTGTATCTTTGCTGTCCAGATCAGTAGCCAACAGCTACCTGAAAGGGGCCCTTGAAATGTGGCTAACATGAGCCTGGCATGGCGGCTCACACTGGCATGGCGGCTCACACCTGTATGCCGACAACTTGGGAAGCTAAGGTGGAAAGATACCCTGAGCCCAGGAGTTCGAAGCTGCGGTGAGCTATGATTGCACCACTGCACCCCAGCCTGGGCAACAGGGTGAGATCCTATTTCTAAAAAAAGAAATGTGGCTAATGTGACTGAGAAACTGAGTTTTAAATTCTAATTAAATAGCATATGTGGCACCATGTATTAGATGGTCCCATTCTAGATATTTAACTGGTTTGCCTTCTTCCTCACCAGCTTTTTTTTTTTTTTCCTTTTTTTTTGAGACAAGCTGTTGCTCTGTTGCTCAGACTGGAGTGCAGTGGTGCGATCTCAGCATACTGCAGCCTCCATCTCCCGGGTTCAAGCGATTCTCCCACCTCAGCCTCCCAAGTAGCTGGGACCACAGGCGCGTGCCACCATGCCCGGCTAATTTTTGTATTTTTAGTAGAGGTGGGGTTTCACTATGTTGGCCAGGCTGGTCTCCATCTCCTCACTTCAAGTGATCTGCCTACCTCGGCCTCCCAAAGTGCTGGGATTACAGGCATGAGCCACCACTCCTGGCCCTCAGCAGCTTCTTAAGTCTTTGCTAGTTCCTTGTTGGAGATCTGCTCAACCTCTAAATGTTGGAGTGCCCCAGTTCTTTTTTCTGTGTGTACTCCTTTGGACATCTCATCCATGACTCATGGCTTTCAATATATGAATTGGCCAGGCGTGATGGCATGAGCCATGCCTGTAATTCCAGCACTTTGGGAGGCCGAGGTAGGCAGATCACTTGAGGCGAGGAGTTGGAGACCAGCCTGGCCAACATAGTGAAACCCCACCTCTACTAAAAATACAAAAATTAGCCGGGCATCGTGGCACGTGTCTGTGATCCCAGCTACTTGGGAGGCAGATGTGGGAGGATCACTTGAGCCTGGGAGGTGGAGGTTGCAGTGAACGGAGATTGCACCACTGCACTCCAGCCTGGGCGACAGAGCAAGAGCTTGTGTCAAAATAAATAAATATACAAATTTATGTCACTACCTTGGATCCCTCTCCTGAGCTCCAGACTTGACTATCCAGTTGCCTACTTGATAGGCCTTGACATGGTGCTTGGTAATATGTCTTACCAGGCACATGAAATTGAACCTATTCAAATCTAAGCTGCCGATCTCTCCACCCATCAAAATCTGTTCCTCGAGTTTCCTACGAGTCTGTTATCATCCATGTGGTCAGGGGGATCCTTTTAAAATGTTACTCCTCTCAAAAATCCTCCCATAGCTTCCCTTCTCAGAATGAAAAGCAAAGTCCTTCACATGGCAAGTCCTAAGTAAATGGCCCTGCCCTGCCCTTGACCTCATTTTCATTTTATTTATTTATTTATTTATTTATTTGAAATGGAGTTTCACTCTTGTTGCCCAGGCTGGAGTGCAGTGGCCAGATCTCAGCTCACTGCAACCTCTGCCTCCTGGGTTCAAGTGATTCTCCAGCCTGAGCCTCCTGAGTAGCTGGGATTACAGACACCCGCCACCATGCCCGGCTAATTTTTGTATGTTTAGTAGAGACGGGGTTTCACCATGTTGGCCAGGCTGGTCTCGAACTCCTGACCTCAAGTAATCCACCCGCCTCAGCCTCCCAAAGTGCTGGGATTACAGGCGTGAGCCACCACACCCAGCCTTGACTTCATTTTCTACTACTCCCTCTGCCCTTGACTCCACTCCAGACACTGGTCTTCCTGCTGATTCTTGAACTCACCAGAATACGCTGCACTCAGTGTGTCTTCTGCCTGGATGCTCCACCCTGGCCTGCTGAAATGTCACCTTAGTAAGGCTGCCTCTGATGACCCCTATTTGAAATTAACCATCCACTTTCCGTTTTTCTCCATAGCACTTAGCACCATGTACTATGTTATATATTTTGTCAGAATCTGAAGTCTATGATAGCAGAAATTTTGTCTCTTTGTGCAGTGCTGCGGGCCCTATGCCTAGAACAGTGCCCAGCACATAGCAGTTGCTCAGTAATATTTTTATTGAATAATTCTTATTGCCACTGAACACTTCTTGCTAGACCACAAAGCAATCTAGTTCACTGTCCAGATAGAATAAAGGTTAAAAGTTAACATCTGGCTGGGTGCAGTGGCTCACACCTGTAATCCCAGAACTTTGGGGGGCCGAGGCAGGCAGATCATCTGAGGTCAGGAGTTTGAGACCAGCTTGGCCAACATGGCCAAACCCCGTCTCTACTAAAAATTTAAAAATTAGCTGGGCATGCTGATGCATGCCTGTAATCTCAGGTACTCAGGAGGCTGAGGCAGGAGAATCACTTGAACCTGGAAGGCGGAGGTTGCAGTGAGCTGAGATCACGTCACTGCACTCCAGCCTGGGTGACAGACCAAGACTCTGTCTCAAAAAAAAAAAAAAAAAAAAAAGTTAACATTTACTGTTAAATGCATAGTACAATCTGTCCCATCTTCTAGTTTAATTGTTGAGCTCTTTCATATTTCAGCATGTAGGGGTATATTATCTTCAAGGCCAAGATTTAAAATGAGTATCTCAACTTACTTATTTATTTTAGATCCAGGGACAGACCAGAAATTTTTTACTGACAGTTCTTGTAATATTGGTTGTCTTGGAATTTTCTTTATTTTTTGTTTTTATTTTTAGAGATAGGGTTTCACCACGTTGCCAGGCTGGTCTCAGAGCCCTGGGTTCAAGCGATCTGCCCACCTTGGCCACTCAAAGTGCTGGGATTACAGATGTGAACCACCATGCCTGGCCAATTTTCTTTACTGATGCAGAGAAAAACACATTCACAAATAAGGTTTAAGTGGTGGTTAGAGTCCCTGAGAAATTCTCAAGCTACAATCATGAAGATAATGGTTTTTTAAACCACCTAACATGCAGCAAGTATCACAGCTCTTTTTTTTTTAAGAGATGGGGTCTTGCTATGTTGCCCAGGCTGGTTTCAAGCTCCTGGGGCTCAAGCAATCCTTCTGCCTCAGCCTCCCAAGGTGCCGGGATTACAGGTGTGAGCCACCATGCCTGGCCAAGTGTCACAACTCTTAGAGCTACAGCACACAATTCCAGTACTCTGGTGTTCAATATCTTGGACTCATAAAGCACTCATTTAAACTACTGTTTCTAGAAGTTACTTCTATCCCCAGTAGAATTTTTTGCATTGGAATAAATCTCTATTTAAAACTGCACCCTATGGCCTGTTACTATCCCAATGTCAGCTGCTACTTTTTAAAAGATTTAAATAGAAGCTTACTGTCTAACTTCAGTTTCCTGGGCCATGTCTTTAAATAGAGCAATTCTGATCTCAAAGGTCACCTGAGAAGTGGAGTACTTATAGCAACATTGTGAAATTCATTTTATACTTTGAAAATAACACACTGGCTATAGGGCCATTGTTTTCAAGGTTAGGCACATCAGTTTCAGAAATACCTCTTCTCTTTTTTTATGGCATCTTATTTCTTAGCCTCCCAAGGTGCTGGGATTACAGGTGTGAGCCACTGTGCCTGGCCAAGGTGGCTCCTTTTTTATGGTATCTTATTTCATATTTAGCCCAGCTCTCCTACTCTCTGGAAGTTGCATTATCATTCTTTTTCTTGTTTTCTTTTTTGAAACAAGGTCTTGCTCTGTTGTCCAGGCTTGTCTAGAACTCCTGGGCTCAAGGGATCCTCCCACCTCCCCCTCCCAAAGTGCTAGGATTACCAGGGAGAGCCACCGTGCTGGGCTTTTCCTCCTCCTTCTGACAAAGTGGTTGGATGGGAAATGTGGATTTTTTTTGCTCTGCTTTTAAAGTCTGAACTGGTTATTTTTTGCCCTGAATTACTAACACGACAGTGTTTTAAACTGTTAATATGGCTGCTCTGTTCTTATTAAATCTAAAGCATAACTTTGTAAAATTAAAAATTGAAAGTTTTGGCTAGGTGAGGTGGCTCACACCTGTAATCCTAGCACTTTGGGAGGCAAAGGCAGGCAGATCATGAGGTCAGGAGATGGAGACCATCCTGGCTAACACGGTGAAACTCCATCTCTACTAAAAATACAAAAAAATTAGCCGGGCGTGGTGGCGGGCGCCTGTAGTCCCAGCTACTCTGGAGGCTGAGGCAGGAGAATGGTGTGAACCCGGGAGGCAGAGCTTGCAGTGAGCTAAGATCCCACCACTGTACTCCAGCCTGGGGGACAGAGCAAGACTCCATATCAAAAAAAAAAGAAAGTTTCAAAATAATGTTCTGTATTCAGGTAGAAAATTACATCCTTTTTTTAAATGGAAAAAGAAAAGGGCATAAAATGAAAAAACTCCCTCACTCCCAACTCCTACTCCCCTCCCTCTTCCCAGAGGTAGTTGTGCTATTCTTTCAGAGATATATGTCTATCTAGCTTATATTCCCCAATAGTAGCATTCTATACAGTTATCTTGCTAGTTTTTATTAAGCATATCTCAGAGATTGATCTTAAACAGCATATAGAGCTTTACCTTAGTGTTTTCCATAGCTGCACAATATTGTTGTACTAAGTTTCCTCTATTTTTATCTAATTATGGTCTTCTGATGAACAGTTAGGTTGTTTCCAGCCTTTTGTTACCAATAATGCTGCAACAAATAGTCTTATAAATAGATCTTTGTGCATGTGTGTTACTCTGTAGGACAAATACCTATAAATGAAATTGCTGAGTCAAAGAGCATGTACATTATATATATATATAATTATTATTATTATTTTTTGAGACACGGTCTCGCTCTGTTGCCAGGCTGAAGTGCAGTGGCTCACTCTTGGCTCACTGCAACCTCCGCCTCCCGGGTTCAAGTGATTCTCCTGCCTCAGCCTCCTGAGTAGCTGGCACTACAGGCACGCCAAAACTTTCAATTTTTAAAGTATTTTTAGTAGAGACGGGGTTCACCATGTTGGTTGGCCAGGATGGTCTCGATCTCTTGACCTTGTGATCCACTCACCTCGGCCTCCCAAAGTGCTGGGATTAGAGGCGTGAGCCACTGCCCCTGGACTAATATTTTAACAGAATTGTCGACTTGACTTTCTAAGAGCTTATAGCAATTTACACTCTCACCATCAATATATTATAGACCTCACATCCTTTCCAGCTCAGTACTGCATCAAAACTGTTGATTTTTCCATCTGAAAAGTAAAAAAATGGTATTGCATTGTGGTTTTAATGTTAACTTATTTGAAGTGCACTTTTTTTTTTCACTGAAAAGCCATGTGTATTTCTTCTGTGATCTTGTGGTTCCTTTCCTCTGCCTATGTTTCCGTTATATTTTCCTGACTAGTATATAAGGGATCTACATAAAAGAATTTGTTCTTAGTCATTTGTGCTAAAAATACTTAATACTTTTCCCTGTTTTTATTTTGACCATATTTACAGAATGTTCAGAAATTTTAGTTATTATGAATCATGTTTACTAATACTTTCCACTATGGTTTCTGGATTTTTACATTGTAGTATTATTAATTTCCCCAAACATGTTTATCTGCACCCATCACCAGTATGGATATAGTTTTGAACTGTGTGGTGCTCAACTACCAATCACAATAGTTCATACAAGGAATTGCTTGTAAAGATTTTGTCATGCCGGGCTCGGTGGCTCACACCTGTAATCCCAGCACTTTGGGAGGCCGAGGCAGGCGGATCACGAGGTCAGGTGATCGAGACCATCCTGGCTAACATGGTGAAACCCTGACTCTACTAAAAATACAAAAAAAAAACAAAATTAGCCAGGCACGGTTGCGGCCGCCTGTAGTCCCAGCTACTCGGGAGGCTGAGGAGGGAGAATGGTGTGAACCAGGAAGGCAGAGCTTGCAGTGGGCCAGATGGCGCCACTGCACTCCAGCCTGGGCGACAGGAGACTCCGTTTCAAAAAAAAAAAAGTTTTGTCGTAACACATAGAGGTTGACGACTGAGTTAAAAAGCTTAGGTTTTCAGGTTGTCTTTTTTTTTTTTTTTTTTTTTGAGACGAAGTCTTGCTCTGTCACCCAGGCTGGAGTGCAGTGGCACAATCTCGGCTCAGTGCATCCCACACCTCCTGGGTTCAAGCAGTTCTACTGCCTGTCTCCCTAGTAGCTGGGATTACAGCTGCACACCACCATGCCTAGCTGATTTTTTGTATTTTTAGTAGAGACAGGGTTTCACCATGTTGGCCAGGTTGGTCTCGAACTCCTGACCTCAGGTGATCTGCCAGTCTTGGCCTCCCAAAGTGCTGCAATTACAGGTGTGGGCCACCACGCTCAGCCACAGGTTGTCTTATGTATGTATCTTATTGCAATATAAGAAATGATAGTCTATACTTACATTGATGGAACAATTTGAGAAACAGTTGCATCTTTAGGTTAAATAGAAACTAGATAAAAGTACTACATAATAAACTGAGGGCCACAGACATCTCCAACTGATTTTCTCATTTGGAAGAAAACATAAACTTTATTTCCTTTAGAAGTACAGGCTTTTTCAATTAAAAAATTCAAAAGTTCTCCTGAAGCAAATGTTTAAACTGAAACCTAAAGGATAAGTAGATAGACAAAGGAGGTCATTTGGCCCAGGATTTGAAAGGCAACTAGTGGCAGAAGCATAAATCCTGAGTCTAAGCTGGGCATGGTGGCTCAGGCCTGTAATTCCAGCTCTTGGGGAGGCTGAGCTGAAGAGGATCACTTGAGGCCAGGAATTAGAAAACAGCCTAGGCAACGTAACTGAGACCTCCCCCGTCTCAAAAAAAAAAAAAAAAATAGCCAAGCGTGATTGCATGCACCTGTAGTCCTGGCTACTCTATAGGCCAAGTGGGAAGACTGCTTGAGCCCTGAAAAATCTTGAGCTATTGAACTCAAGATTGCTTGAGCCCTTACCTTCCAAATGAGTTTGAAGTTGCAGCGAGCTATGTTCATGACACTGCACTCCAGCCTGCATGACAGAGACCATCTCAAAAAAAAAAAAAAATCCTCTGATTCTGAATGCCCATTTCTAAATGGAGAGGCGGGGGAATTGATTTCCTCACATACATTTTTTTTCCTACTTTTCCAAAGTAAGTTTTTCTTCCCAAAAAGGTTTAAATGTCTTAAAATTAATTTTGCACCAACCTAATATTATAGCCAAGCAACCACAACCTATTATAAAAAAGTTCTCGTCCTTGGCCACAGAATTCTATTATTAAAATAAACATTTCTGTGACGCAAAAGGACTTACTTTTAGAAAACACATCTATCTTGCATAAATTCCATATGTTTCACATTTTAAAAGATTTATCTAAGTCTAATGTCAAGCTTATTTTTAGGTAGGATTGTGCGGCTGACTTTCCTGTTCAAAAGTAAAGTTGGAGCTGTTTCAAAGAGTAACTTTATTCTGCTTGCCTGTGGCTGTTTGTACCACAGAAGGCAGATTTGTCAGGTGCGGTGGCTCATGCCTGTAATCCTAGCACTTTGGGAGGCCAAGGCAGGAGGATCGCTTACAGCCAAGAGTTTTAAGACCACCCAGGGCTACAAAGCAAGGCCCCCATCTCTACAAAAAATTAAAAAATTAGCCTGGCAGCTGGGCACGGTGGCTCACACCTGTAATCCAAGCACTTTGGGAGGCCAAAGTGGGTGGATCACCTAAGGTCAGGAGTTCAAGACCAGCCTGGCCAACATGGTGAAACCATGTCTCTACTAAAATACAAAAATTAGCCAGGCGTGGTGGCAGGCACCTGTAATCCCAGCTGCTTGGGAGGCTGAGGCATGAGAATCGCTTGAACCTGGGAGGTGGATGTTACAGTGAGCCAAGACCATGCCATTTCACTCCAGCCCGGGCAAAAAGAGTGAAACTCCATTTCAAAAAAAAAAAAAAAAAAAAATGGCCGGGTGCGGTGTCTGTAATCCCAGCACTTTGGAAGGCCAAGGCGGGTGGATTACCTGAGGTCGGGAGTTTGAGATCAGCCTAATCAACATGGAGAAACCCCATCTCTACTAAAAATACAAAATTAGCCTGGCCTGGTGGCGCATGCCGGTAGTCCCAGTTACTTGTGAGGCTGAGGCAGGAGAATCGCTTGAACCTGGGAGGTGGAAGTTGTAATGAGCCAAGATTGCACCATTGCACTCCAGCCTGGGCAACAAGAGCGAAATTCCGTCTAAAAAAAAAAAAAGAAGAAATAAGATAAAAAATAAATTAGCCTGGCGTGATGGCACACACCTAGTGCTTGGCTGCTTGGGAAGCTGTGGTGCGAGGATCACCTGAGCCCAGGAATTCCAGGCTGCAGTGAGCTGATTGCGCCACTGTACTCCAGCCTGAGTGACAGTGAGACCCAAGAGCAGCAGCAGATTAGGCAACTTGGCAAAGCATTTCTTCTATACTGGTCCATCTTTGTCAAACACATGGCTTACTTATGAAGAAGACAGTATTAGAATTGAAATCAGTATTAAAATTAATTAAAAGACCAATCTTATAAATCAGAACCTAAAAACACTGGGACACAAACACAAATATTATCTTGAAATTTCTTCTTTATAACCACATTTTCCAAAGGAGGAAACATAAAATGTTCAGAGAAAAGGTTCAAATATCAGTTTAACAATGTGCTCTCTTTTCAGTATATACAGGTAAGTTTTTTTCTTTTCTTTTTTGAGATGGAGTTTCGCTCTTGTTGCCCAGTCTGGTGTGCAATGGCACCACTGGCTCACTGCAACTTCTGCCTCCCAGTTTCAAGCTATTCTCCTGCCTCAGCCTCCCAAGTAGCTGGGAATACAGGCATGTGCCACCACACCAGGCAAATTTTGTATTTTTAGTAGAGACTGGGTTGCTCCATGTTGGTTGGGCTGGTCTCGAACCCTCGACCTCAGGTGATCCGCCCACCTCGGCCTCCCAAAGTGCTGGGAATACAGCCATCAGCCACCGTGCCCAACCAGTTTTTTCTTTAATGATTGTATAGAGATAACAGTACTATAATAAATAAGTTAAATGTTAGAAACATCAACATAAACTAAACAAAGATAATTTCTGACCATCCATAACTTTTTCTAGTTGGCACTGTTTTGATTGCCCAAGAGTACTTAGTGGAAGGCTGCTTGCTGTTCCAACTAAAACAATATTTCAAGGATATGAAAAAGTGTGTAAATTGAGTTTCACTTAAATTATTTCACAATAAAAGTGATTCATAAAAGTTGATTAGTCCGGGCATGGTGGTTCACGCCTGTAATCCCAGCACTTTGGGAGGCAGAGGTGGGCAGATCCCTTGAGTCCAGGAGTTCTAGACCAGCCTGGGCAACGTGGTGAAACCATCTCTACAAATACAAAAAAATTAGCCAGGTGTGCTGGTGCATGCCTGTGGTCCCAGCTATTTGAGAGGGTGAGGTGGGAAGATCACCTAAGCCTGGGACTCGGAGGTTGCAGTGACAGTGAGCCGCGATCGTGCCACTGCACTCCAGCCTGGGTGACAGAGTGAAACCCTGTCTAAAAATAAAAATTTAAAAAAGAAAGAAAGAAAAAAAGGCTACGCACGGTGGCTCACGCCTGTAATCCCAGCACTTTGGGAGGCTGAGGCGGGCGGGTCACGAGGTCAGGAGTTCGAGACCAGCCTTACCAACATGGTGAAACCCCATCTCTACTAAAAATATAAAAATTAGTCGGGCGTGGTGGTGTGCACCTACAATCCCAGCTACTCAGGAGGCTGAAGCAGGACAATTGCTTGAACCTGGGAGGTGGAGGTTGCAGTGTGCCCAGATCGCACCATTGCACTCCAGCCTGGGCAACAGAGCAAGACTCCATCTGAAAAAAAAGTTGACCCTGGGAAAAAAAAAAAAATTGACCTGGCGTGGTGGCTCATGCCTGTAATCCCAGCACTTTGGGAAGCCAAGGTGGGTGAATCACCTGAGGTCAGGAGTTCGAGACCAGCCTGACCAACATGGTGAAACCCCATCTCCACTAAAAATACAAAATTAGCTGGGCGTGGTGGCACATGCCTGTAATTTCAGCTACTTGGGAGGCTGAGGCAGAAGAATTGCTTGAATCCGGGAGGGAGAGGTTGCAGTGAGCCAAGATTGTGCCACTGCACTCCGGCCTGGGCAACAAGAGTGAAACTCTGTCTCAAAAAAAAAAAAAAAAAGAAAAAAAAAGTTGATCTTCTCTCACCTTTTATCAGCTTAAAAAAAATCTAAAGGCTATTTATGTAACCCAGTTTGTCAATGGTTAGCTCTGTAATCTGAGGGCAAATACTTATCCTTAGATTTATCTCTGAAATAAATCACATAATTTGTAAAGTGACTTCCAACTCTAAAATTCCATGACTATTTGTATTTTACTAGGTACATGCTACTTGATTTCTTTGCATTGAAGCTATCTAAATCAGGAAGGATGCACAGCAAATAAAAATGCCTTAGTCCCACTGACGAGCAGAAAAGAAACACACACACATACATATTTTAGGAATATATATTTTTAAAAGGATTCAATAATCTTTTTAAAGCAAAATCAAAGTATGGCTACAGGAGGAGAGGAAATATCCAAATTGTAATCAATGCAGATTGTTTACTTAAGGCCTTATATTTGTACCTGTATAAATACCATATCACAGCACAAAAACATACCCCATCTGGCTCTCTTAAGGTACATGATAAATCAGACTAATGCACATTCATCAAAGTGGCATCATCTCAGGATATGTGCATATTTGACGTGGGTATGAATTCAGGGTTTCCTTGGGTCTCTTTCAAGGACTCTCCTTTCTCGTCGGTATTTCTATTTCCTTATTTTCCTTCTGTTTATGAAGAACTGTTATTTTTATATTTAATGCCCAATTTTCACTACTTGTTCATGTCAGTTCTCTGAAATGTTACTGCCTATGAACCGTGACATGTACTCTTTATAACAGAACCAGAAGTTAAAAGATGTAGACATCACACAAATCAATGATTATTTTAAAAATAGAAAACAATGATAAAAATTCAGTTGCCAACTTAGAGGATTTTATACATTATGAAGTGTTCTATTTTCCTTCCAGGGTCTGAAATTTATTTCTCAAGAAAACAGATTTTATTTCTAAGCCTTTACTATCTTTGCTAGAAACAGAAAAACCAGTTTTCTCTTTGACAAAATTGTCCCAGGAGAACAACACAAATGCTTTTTCCAAATTAGAGCATAAGTCTTCCTTAAATGTCCTAGTGTGACAATAAGGATACAACAGCCATCTTTTAAATGTCATGAAGGCTATTGTTAAGACGGTGTTTTTGGCCGTTTTGCAGATGGTCCATCGAAGTTAGTTCTGTTATCAATGTTATTTTCATCTTCTGCATCATCTTCATCATCACCTTTTAAAATAAATATTTGTTGTATGACAATACGTTCTATGGCTGAAAGAAATATATATAGCTAAAGTGGTTGATAATGAGACCATTTCACTTTAGGGATTAATAAAACCTGCACATTTTAGATTAAAATGATTTTGAGAATTTCAGTGTTTAAAATCTTTATTTTCTATCACTTTCCTCTTTGGAAATATTAGTTCATTCACCATAAAATCCACTCTTTTTTTCTTTTTTTTTGAGATAGTCTTGCTCTGTCGCCAGGCTGGAGTGCAGTGGCACGATCTCAGCTTACTGCAACCTCCGCCTCCGGGGTTCAAGCGATTCCTCTGTCTCAGCCTCCCAAGTAGCTGGGATTACAGGCACGCGCTACCACGCCCGGCTAATTTTTTGCATTTTAGTAGAGATGGGGTTTCACCATGTTGGCCAAGATGGTCTTGTTCTCCTGACCTCGTGATCCGCCCGCCTCGGCCTCCCAAAGTGCTGGGATTACAGGTATGAACCATTGTGGCTGGCCAAAATCCACTCTTTTAAAAAGTGTACGGCCTAGTGGTTTTTAGTATATTCACTAGCTTGTGCAACCATCACCTAGAACACTTTCATCACTCCAAAGAGAAATGATATGCCCATTAGCAGTCGCTTTCCATTCCCCTCAGCCTTCGGCAACCACTAATCTACTTTTTTTCCCCCTTATTAGAGATAGGGTCTTGCTATGTTGCCCAGCTAGACTCAAACTCCCAGGTTCAAGTGATCCTCCTGTCTCAGCCTCTAGAGTAGCTGGGACTACAGGTGCCCACCACTGCACCTGGCTCACTAATCTACTCTATCTCTATGGATTTGCCTATTCTGTACATTCATATAAACAAAATCATGCAACATGTACCCTTTTGTGTCTGGCTCTCACTTAGCATAATGTTTTCAAGGTTCATTCATGTTGTAGCACATGTTAATACTTCATTACTTTTTATTGCTAATAATAGTCCATTGTATGGATATACCACATTTTGTTAATGCACTCATCGGTTGATGGATATTTGCATTATTTCTATTTTTTAAAATTATCATTTTTAGAGATGAAGAGATGAGGCCTCACTCTGTCCTCCAGGCTGGAGTGCAGTGGAGCAATCAGCCCACTGCAGCTTCAAACTCTTGGGTTCACATGATCCTCCCACCTCCTAAAGGCGCAACACCAAGCCCAGCCAATTGTTGTTTCCACGTTTTAGCTACTATAAATGCTGCTGTTATCAACATTCATGCGTAAGTTTTTGTGTGAACATACGTTTCCAGTTTTCTTGGGAGGACTACCAGTGGAACTGCTGGGTCATATGGTAACTTCATGTCAACTTTTTGAGGAGCTACCAAACTCTTTTTCCCAGTGGTTACACTGTTTTACATTTCCACCAACAATGTACAAGGTCTCCAATTTCTTCACATTCCAGCCAACACTTGTTATTGTTCTTTTTGATTATAGCCAACATCCATATTATCAAGATGTATTTCCCAAGATGGAAGGAAAGTACAGTTTAAGCTCTTCTTACATAATTGTAAATCCTGACTCTAATATCTAGTTCTTGGGTTTTTCAGCTCAGGACGGTTAAAATGTACCTGCCTGGCCAGGTGTGGTGGCTCACGCCTGTAATCCCAGCACTCTGGGAGGCTGAGGCGGGTGGATCACGAGGTCAGGAGTTCGGGACCAGCCTGGCCAACACAGTGAAACCCTGTCTCTACTAAAAATACAAAATTAGCTGGGAGTGGGGGCGGGTGCCTGTAATCCCAGTTACTCCGGAGGCTGAGACAGGAGAATCGCTTGAACCGGGGAGGGAGAGGTTGCAGTGAGCCAAGGTTGTGCCACTGCACTCAAGCCTGAGTGACAGAGCTAGACTCCATCTCAAAAAAAAAAAAAAGTACCTGCCTATTTCTGCATTCGAGGCAATTTTTTAAAAATAATGCAGTTAAACTTCATGTTTCTACTTTCAAACTGCACCTACAAAACTGGAAAGGCAAGGGAGTCTCTGGGAGTTAATACGTGATAAAATGAAGTCTGTCCCAGTCTTTGGAACCTGTTCCTACTCTGCGATAGATTGTACTCTTCCAAGTATGTCTGTAGTTTCACACCTGATAAAACTCCTTTTTATTCAACACCCAGCTCAAAAGTCTTATCCTTTCTGAAGACTTCCTAGGGTGTCTGGGTTTGCAACAGTTACAGAGGACCACAGAACCACTTTCACTTTTTTTTTCTTTTTTTTTGAGACGGAGTCTCGCTCTGTCGCCCACGATAGAGTGCAGTGGCGCGATCTCGGCTCACTGCACCCTCTGCCTCCAGGGTTCAAGCGATTCTTCTGCCTCAGCCTCCCGAGTAGAGTAGCTGGGACTACAGGAGCATGCCACCACGCCCAGCTAATTTTTGTATTTTTAGTAGAGACAGGGTTTCACCATATTGGCCAGGCTTGTCTCGAACTCCTGACCTCGTGATCTGCCTGCCTCGGTCTCCCAAAGTGCAGGGATTACAGGCGTGAGCCACCAGCCCGGACCACTTCCACTTTTAATAAGAGTGTCTGCCTGTCTAGTCCCCTTGTGTTTCACAAGGGCAGGAACTGAGTCGCATTCACCTCATTCTTCCTCCAGGGCTCAGCTCAGGGTTTGGCACATAATAGTAGGCATTCGACACGTTTTTTTGTGAAATAAACGAAATAGCGATGAGTTGTGGAAACGCTTGAGTAGAAGCAGCCCAAATAAATATAGTGATAAATGCCAACAATTTTTATTTTTTAAATTATTTTAAAAATAATAATAGAAACGGGGTCTCGATATGTTGCCCTGGCTGTTCTGGAACTCCTGACCTCAAGTGATCCTCCTGCCTCGCCCTCCCAAAGTGCTGGGATTACAGGCGTGAGCCCCACTTCGCCTAGCCCGCCAAAAATTTTTAGATGCAATTCTTCTTTCCTCGAGGCTCACTTTGTCCAAGTCTGCCACTCTACACGGGCTCCCCAAGCCAATTTCCCCTGGGCGCCCGCCCCGTCCTCCGGTCACTGCAGCACCGTCTCAGAGCTCACCGTCCAAGTCCTCGTCTGGAGCCGCCGCCACCCGGTGCTGCACTTCCCCCTGTACCAGAGGGTCGAATAATTCCGTTACCATGTCCTTCATCTGGGCCACGCCAGACAACAGGCCCTGGAAAGGGTCGCCGTCACCCGGCGCCTCACAGGACACCCGCAGCTTCTGCGGCTTCCCTTCCTGCCCGACGTACTCTCCCAGCAGCTCCATGGTGACCGCTAAGCTTCCAGAACACGACACCGGGAAGCGCCACCCGGAGGCGGAAATCAGCCCGCGTCCGGCGCAGGCGGGAGAAGGGAGAGGAGTGACATCCGTTTGTCGGAAGTCGCTCCTCCCCCTTCCTTCGCTTTTTTTCCTTGTCATTGGTTCCTGGCACTCGGGCCCCACCTCCTCCGGCTACGCCCCTCACGGCCGCTTTTCCCGCCTCCGCCGGGGCCGAGCCGCTGTTCGGCTGACAGTTGAGGATGGCCGGAGCCGAGGGCGCCGCTGGGCGGCAGTCGGAGCTGGAGCCCGTGGTATCGTTGGTCGACGTCCTTGAGGAGGACGAGGAGCTGGAGAATGAGGCGTGCGCTGTCCTGGGCGGCAGCGACTCCGAGAAGTGCTCCTACTCTCAGGTGGGCGCGCGGCCCGGGCCTCCTCTCCCCCGGCTCCCGCCGAACCTCCCCTTCCCGGCCCGGCTGTCCCTATTCCCGCCTTGCCGCAGTCGTCTCCCCAGTGGTGGTCCGGGGCCGCCGTTAGTCTGCCGCTTCCTCACCCCAAGCTCACCCTTCCCTTTTAACCCCAACCTCCTGGGCCCCCTTCAGCCTGTGTCCAGCAGGGGCCCCCCTCTCCCCTGTCTCCAACTCTGTCCGGCCCGCCAGGAAGGGCCCTGGAGCAGCTGCTCTGTCCGTCCTCTCCAGCCTCTTCTTGGTGCACCACTGCTTTTCACGAAACCACCCCGCGACCTCTCAGATCCAGACATCTTTGTCCCTGATTTTCCCATCCTAAGATTATTTATTTATTTATTTATTAGGGACCGAATGGGAGAGTCAGGTTAAAGAGATTTTCAAATCCATAGGGATTTGCGGTGAGCTCCTTGACAGCTAGTTCCTCTGCAATTTAGTTGGACAAGTGCTAGCTAGTACTTTTTCTTTCTTTCTTTTTTTGGCAAAATGAAGCAAGTACCCATGTCTATCTGCAGTCTGCCCCCCTCCCCTGGAAATAGACCGGAAACAGAACAGCAAGTGGCTCTGGCAAGGGAGGGGAGAGAGGAGAAAAGGATCTGTTTGGCATTTGGAAGACGTTGTGAGTGAGCAAGTGTTTGAGGGGGTGTGATGTGGTGTTTAGTGACTCACCCTACACTTCGAGGTACAAAAATGGAAAAGGATGGGTAGGAAGAAGACTGACAAAGGATGAGAATTGGTAGGAAGAAGGGTTACCTAGGAAGAGGGGTGGATTGGAACACTGGGGAGATGAGGGGAGAGACTTGTATTCATTATGTGGTATGAACTGAGATCATAATACCAGTTCTCGTTGTTGACCAAGGTTAGTTTACACTGCAAAGTGCTAGATTGTTGAATAAACCTGGTATCCAGACATAGCCCCAGGTATTTTAAAACCTTTGGTCACCACTAAAACAATTTTTCCCCTGCTTTACTTAAAAAAAAAAAAAAGAAAAAAGTTATGTCTATATGTAAACTATTTTTGAAGTGTAGTTACCTTTATAAAATGGATTCCTTAATATTTTCTTTGTGGTAAAAAAAAAAATACGGAAATTTGCACAAATCATGTACACAGCTTGAAAGGAAAGTGTGCGTGTTCCCACAACCCAGATCAACAAATAGAACATTAGGAGTGCAAAAGGCTTATTGGAATAGAACTTTAAAAAAAAAAGAAAGAAAAAGAAATAGAACCTTACTGGCATCCCGGAAGCCTCCTTATCTATCTTCCTCCTTCCTAGAGGAAGGTAACTATACCTCTTATACATATTCACTTTTTTTTTCTTTTTGAGATGGAATTTCACTCTTGCCACCCAGGCTGGAGTGCAATGTCATGATCTCTGCTCACTGCAACCTCCACCTCCTGGGTTCAAGTGATTCTCCTGTCTTAGCCTCCCAAGTAGCTGGGATAACAGGCGCCCGCCATCACGTCCAGCTAATTTTTGTATTTTTAGTGGATGGGGTGTTCTAGAGATGAGGTTTTCACCACGTTGACCAGGTTGGTCTTGAACTCCTGACCTCAAGTGATCTGCCCACCTCGGCCTCCCAAAGTGCTGGGATTACAGGCGTGAGCCACCGTGCCCAGCCTACATATTCACTTTTTAACATTTTGTCACATTTGTTTTATCTCCTTTTCTACTTAAAATTTGCTGTTTTAAAATTTTGAACTATTTAAAAATAAGTTGCAGACACGATGACACTATACCTCTAAATACTTCAGCAGGCATCTCCTAAAAATCAAAGGGATTCTTTGCATGTGTTGATTCTTTCTTTGGTAGATTTACAAACATTTTCCAGGATGAAAGTGTGATGTTACTTACATAAACCTGTACATATGCTCCTGTGTTTTCACATATTAAAATGATTAAACAGATCCATTTATTCACAGCTGATTGACAAATTCAGACTTCCTATCACTTTAAGAAAGAAGTGCTGGCTTGTGTCGTGGCTAATGCTTGTAATCCCAGCACTTTGGAAGGCCAAGGCAGAGAATTGCTTGAGCCCAGGAGTTTGAGACCAGCCTGGGCAACATAGCAAGACCTTATCTCTGCAAAAAATAAATAAGGAAGAAAGAAAAAAGTGCTTGCATGAAAAAAAGCACTAGTATAAAAATGAAACTTGCAACGCAACTGTGTTTTGGTTGATGCTCTGTTGTGTAAACTTTTTAGTCTTAATGGTTTTTACAGAAAGATCTTGACCACAGATAATCTGATTTTAATTATTTTTCAGTTCCTAGTGTGGGTATTAGGTAAACCATGCTACTACATTAATTCTCTTTTCCATTTTGGGGGCTTTCAGGGCTCAGTAAAGAGACAAGCACTATATGCCTGTAGTACCTGCACCCCAGAGGGAGAAGAACCAGCAGGAATTTGTTTAGCTTGCAGTTATGAATGTCATGGAAGTCACAAACTATTTGAGCTATACACAAAAAGGTAAACATAGTCAAGAGATTGTTACTAAATGCTTTTGAAGTATAGATTCTTTCCCATCTACACTTTTTCCTAATCTTGTTTTTTCATGCAAAGCAGTTGAACACTAATGAAATTAATTAATTAATTTATTTATTTATTTATTTTGAGACGGAGTCTTGCTCTGTCACCCAGGCTGGAGTGCAGTGGTGTGATCTAGGCTCACTGCAAGCTCCGTCTCCCGGGTTCACGCCATTCTCCTGCCTCAGCCTCCCGAATAGCTGGGATTAAAGGCTCCCACCACCACGCCCAGCTAATTTTTTGTATTTTTAGTAGAGACGGTGTTTCACCGAGTTAGCCAGGATGGTCTCGATCTCCTGACCTCGTGATCCGCCCGCCTCAGCCTCCCAAAGTGCTGGGATTACAGGCGTGAGCCACCTCGCCCAGCACTAATGAAATTTAATGTAATTATTTTATATAATTGGAGAGAGTTGTTTCTAGAGCCTTTAAAAACATAATATGGTACAAACTCAAACCATTTATCTTTCCCTGCCATCATTTTACTTGTGTGTTTGTATGTGATATAAATATTTGCTTTTGTACATATTAATTTCCCGAATTGTGAAGTCTTACTATGTGCTTGAATGCTTGAAGAAATTTTAAATTGGATTTTGTAAAAAGAAAAATAAAATTGTTATTTCCTCCTTTTTTCAGAAATTTTCGTTGTGATTGTGGAAACAGCAAGTTTAAAAATTTGGAATGCAAATTACTTCCTGTAAGTAAGCACTGTAACTATAAATGCATTTAGAGCAGCTGAGGTTAATATTTGCCAGAGTGGGTAAAAAAACAAATACCTGTATTTTCCAAAAAAAGAAGTTCTTATGCTTATTCTTTGCAGATGGCCATTTCATTTTTTACTTTGTTAGAAAAACTATATAAACTGTTGAGAGCCTACAAGATAGATGGTAATTAATATGAAAGGTTTGGGGGAGAGATGTACTTGAAAGTAATTCAGGTTTAATTATATTGGTTGTACTTATTCTCTGAGGCTTTTAAATCAGCGGATATGACTTAAAAACAATAAATAGGGTCAAGAGATCGAGACCATCCTGGCCAACATGGTGAAACCCTGTCTCTACTAAAAATACAAAAATTAGCTGGGCATGGTGGCACCCAGTCATCTACTCGGTCAGCTACTTGGGAGGCTGAGGCAGGAGAATTGCTTGAACCCAGGAGGCGGAGGTTGCAGTGAGCCGAGATTGCGCCACTGCACTCCAGCTGGCAACAGAGCAAGACTCCATCTCAAAACAAACAAACAAAAACAATAAATAGGCCGGGCACGGTGGCTCACACCTGTAATCCTAGCACTTTGGGAGGCCGAGGCAGGTGGATCACTTGAGGTCAGGAGTTCAAAACCAGCTTGGCCATCATGGTGAAACCCCCCCGTACTAAAAATACAAAAAATTATCTGGGCATGGTGGTGCGTGCCTGTAATCCCAGCTACTTGGGAGGCTGAGGCAGGAGAATCGCTTGAACCCAGGAGGCGGAGGTTGCAGTTACCCGAGATTGTGCCACCGCACTCCAGCCTGGGCGACAGAGCGAGACTCCATCTCAAAAAAAAAAGAAAAAGAAAAACCAATAAATAAGGCTGGGCGTGGTGGCTCATACCTGTAATCCCAACACTTTGGGAGGCCTAGGTGGGAGAATGGCTTGAACCCAGACCAGCCTGGGCATCATAGTGAGACCCCATCTCTATCAAAAAGAAAAAAGAAGTACCTTGAAATTCCAGGCCAATATCAGTTCACATAGATTGATAATTAATATTTATGATTAACTTTTATCTCCATTTTATTGAATAGGTGTATTTAATTTCTCCTAATTACCACAAAAAAAAACAAAAAAAAATTATTTTTTCCCTGTGTCCTGAAAAAAGTATCCCTTTAGTGGTAGTGAGTTTTTTTTTTCCTACTTTGAAAATTAAAGATCAGCCTCTTGGGGGAAATAATGTGGAAATGTATTGAATGCATAAATTTTATAATGTGTGAAATTATAGTTAAAATTAGACCATATTATTATTGAAATCAATATTATATTTCAGGACAAAGCAAAGGTAAATTCTGGCAATAAGTACAATGACAACTTTTTTGGATTGTACTGCATTTGCAAGAGACCTTATCCTGATCCTGAAGACGAGGTAAGAGAATTGGAAGTTAAACCTGGGGGTGTGTCCCCTCTAGCCTTGATTCCTCAACTGCTTGTCATATCCGAGCCTCTGGCTCTTCAAGAGGCAGTGTGGGATGGTGAAAGGGCTCTAGATTTATCTTTTCTTATGAATCTGGGTTGGATCTATAATTGGTACACATCTCAACCATTCTTTTCATTTTTACATCATAAGAATGAAATATTGGAGAGGACTTTCCCAAAGCCAGAGCTTCTTCCCTTCCTCTCCTTCCCTGACTGCCTCCCCCAGTCCCCAAACACTTTCTAAGAAATGACCTTCAACTTCTTTTGTCTCTTTACGGAAAAAAATGGGGTATACAAACAGCATCCTCTTAAAAACGTCAATGAGAAGTATATGCAAAATTCAAAACGAGTTCTTCCTCACTTCTGCACCTCTTACCTCCCAGGCATAACCACTGTTAACACTTTTGGTGTGTATATTTTTAGTCCTTTTTCTGTGCACATAGAAGTGTTTGAGTGAATGTGTGTTTCAATGTGTAGTTTCCTTTCTATTAACAGAAGTGAAAATTCTGTACACTCACTTCTGCAGCTGGCTTTTCTCACCAGTATATCATAGACATTCTTTCATGTCAACAAAACACACTTACCCCCTTCTAACTGCTGCAGAGTATCCTATAATTTCATATGCCATAAGTTAGTCAACCTGATTGTTCTTCTACAGCAGAATGGCATTGTGTAATTTTTCAATATTATAAAGAAAGCTAGAGTGAACATCCTCATACAGTAATACAACTGAGTATACTCCAAGTATTTATGTAGAATGGATCGGTATAATTGACGGATCAAAGTGTATTTGTGGCATTTAAAATTGTGATTGGCTGGGCACTGTGGCTTATGCCTGTAGTCCTGGCTACGCGGGAGGCTGAGACACAAGAATCACTTGAACCCATGGGGCAGAGGTTGCAGTAAGCTGGGATTGCGGCACTGCACTCCAGCCTGGGTGACAGAGCGAGACCCTGTCTCAAAAAATAATAATCATAATAAATAATAAAATAAAATTGTGATCATATCTGCCAAAAAAGTTGTACCAGCAACAGTATATGATAGTGTTTTTTCCCCAACACTTTTGTCAACCTTGCATATTACCAGTTCTTGAAAATTTTGCCATTCTGATAAATGAAGAATAGTATCTTTTTTTTCATTTTTTTTTTCAGACGGAGTCTCGCTCTGTCACCCAGGCTGGAATGCAGTGGCGCGATCTCGGCTCACTGCAAGTTCCACCTCCCGGGTTCATGCCATTCTCCTGCCTCAGCCTCCTGAGTAGCTGGGACTACAGGTGCCCGCCACCACGCCCAGCTAATTTTTTGTAATTTTAGTAGAGTCAGGGTTTCACCGTGTTAGCCAGGATGGTCTCAATCTCCTGACCTCATGATCCGCCTGCCTCGGGCTCCCAAAGTGCTGGGATTACAGGCGTGAGCCACCGCGCCCAGCCAAAGAATAGTATCTTAAATTTTTTTTTCTTTCCCTGATGATAAGTGAGGTTATGCATCTTTTCATAAGTTCATTGGACATCCATAATAACCTTCTCTCTGAATTGTCCTTTCATATCCTCAGTCCATGTTTTGATTGGTTTGGGTTTTGTCTGGGTATTTACCGATTTGAAAGAGTACTTTTTGTCTTTAGAGATATTAGTCTTCTGCCTTCTTCCTTGCTTTCTAATTGCGTTGGAACTATAATTATTGAACCAAATTATATAGAGGGACAGATTGAAAGTCTCTTTGAGTTAACAAAAATAAAACCTTAAAACTGGATTTTTTTTTTCTTTTTTTTAAGACGGAGTTTCGCTCTGTCACCCAGGCTGGAGTACAGTAGTGCGATCTCAGCTCACTGCAACCTCTGCCTCCCAGGTCCAAGCGATTCTTCTGCCTCAGCCTCCTGAGTAGCTGGGATTACAGGCACTCGCCACCATGCCCGGCTAATTTGTGTATTTTTAGTAGAGACAGGATTTCAGCATGTTGGCCAGGCTAGTCTTAAACTTCTGACCTCAGGCGATCCACCCACCTTGGCCTTCCAAAGTGCTGGGATTATAGGCGTGAGCCACCACGCCCAGCCAAAACTGGATATTTTAAGGCATGTGGTAAAGTGTTACAGCTCCTCCTGTTCCACAATATGTGCTTTTTTATTCCCTTTAAGAAGCCTACGATAGGAAAAGGACAGAACAACATTGGGATGTTAATTAACAGTTATGAGAGCCTGGGAGTAAAAGAAAATCATCCCCAAAATAGTCTATGTCCTTTGGTATATTATTTTCCTAGGGCCAGCATTTAATTATTTAATTTATTCAAATTAGAGGAGTTATCTATCGAGGTTTTTCATAACATTTACTTTTCAGTGTACTTGGCAGGATGGTTCTTCTGCAGCAGAAAGGCATTGTCTAATTTTTCAATATTATAAAGAAGGCTGGAGTGAACATCCTTATACAGTAATACAACTGAATATTGTATTAAAGGATGGTGTGGTAAAAAGTCCCAGTTGTCACTGTCTGCACTGGTCCATTCACATTACTTGCCTGGGCCTGAGTTTTGTATAAAATGGGAATGCCCTCCTTGTCTACACAGTTTTGTGAGAATCAGATATTAAGTAATGGATGTGAAAGAGCCTTGAGATTGTTTGTAAAGTGCTTATCTCAATGTAAGCCTTTGGAACACCAGTTCATGTAGAACAAATATTTAGTATCTTATTTTACTGTGTGCCAGGTTATTTCCATGTTCCCGAATTCAATGTAATCCTTAACAAACTGCTTTTCTCTGTTAGATTCCAGATGAGATGATCCAGTGCGTAGTCTGTGAAGACTGGTTCCATGGAAGGGTAAGGAAAATGTTCCACCTTTTGAAACCATTGTTGTCACAAAAAGATAAAGGTTATATTTTACATTATAATTAGTCTTCTAAAAATAAATTCTAATGATATGATCAGTGTATTATTACAGTATTTATAAAATAATGGGCATTTTGGACAATTTGGCAATCACAAGAAAATTTTTGGTGTTCTATATTCACAGCATCTTGGTGCCATTCCCCCTGAGAGTGGGGATTTTCAGGAGATGGTATGCCAGGCCTGCATGAAACGTTGTTCTTTTTTGTGGGCTTATGCTGCACAATTGGCAGGTAGGTATCTTTGTGAAGTTGGTGTGCCACAAACTTGTGCTTGTGAAATTTGTATGTTCAATTCAGAATTTTTAGCAACTATTTTTAACTGGGCTCTGTGGTTATAAAATAGTATATGTTCTGGCCAGGCATGGTGGCTCACGCCTGTAATCCCAGCACTTTGGGAGGCCAACAAGACAGATGGATCACCTGAGGTCAGGAGTTCGAGACCAGCCTGGCCAACATGGCGAAACCCCATCTCTACTAAAAATATGAAAATTAGCCTGGCGTCACGGCGCTTGCCTGTAATCCCAGCTACTCCAGAGGCTGAGGCAGGAGAATCACTTGAACCCAGGAGGCAGAGGTTGCAGTGAGCCGAGATCACGTCACTGCAGTCCAGCCTGGGCAATAGAACAAGACTCCATCCTCAAAAAAAAAAAAAAAAAAAAAGAATAGTATGTGTTCTTTCTCCACAAGGTGCATAGATTTGTTGGGATACTACCAAAAACAAATTTATACTTAAATGATATGATGCAGAGTATTGATGAGACCAGAGTTAGAGAATGGAGGAGGCAGTTTTTGAATGGGATTTTGAAAGATAAATAGAACTGAAATAAGTTGTTAATTCTAACACATGGTATCAGTTGGGGAGGAGGTGGTGTCTTAGTCTGTCTGGGGTGCTAAAACAAAATACCTTAGGCTGGGTAATTTATAAACAATAGACAGATATTTCTCACAGTTCTGGAGACTGGGAAGTCCAAAATTCAGGTGCCCGCAGAGTCAGTGTTTGGTTGAGGGCCCATTCCTCATAGACAGATCCTTCTACGTGTCCGTACCTGTTAAAAGGGGCAAACAAGCTCGCTTGGGCCTCTTTTATAAGTCAGAGCCCTCGTGAATGGGATTAGTGCCTTTATAAAAGTGGACTACAGGCACACACTACCATGCCCTGCTAATTTTGTATTTTCTGTAGAGACAGTGTTTCACCATGTTGCCCAGGCTGGTCTTGAACTCCTGAGCTCAAGTGATCCACTCATCTTGGCTTCCCAGACTGCTGGGATTACAGGCATGAGCCACCATGCCCAGTCTATCTGGTGCTTTTATTATACACTAAGAAATTAAATCAAAACAACTAATTAATGAATGGTCCTGAGGCATTAACTATCTTATTGGTAATGCTTTATGTATTTCTTTATTTTTAAGGTGGCAGTTACTCATGGTATCTGCTGCTTAGGCTTCATAATTTCTTGCCTTTCTCATCTTTAGAGACCAGTTCACCATACAAACCATGAGCAGCATAGCCATACCTCTGATCTCATCCTACAGTTTAGATTTGCCTTAGAGTTCTTTTGTTTTTCTGCCTTTTTTTTTTTTTTGAGACAGAGTCTCACTGTGTTATCCAGGCTGGAGTACAGTGGTGCTATCTCGGCTCACCTCAACCTTGCCTCCTGGGTTCAAGCGATTCTTGTGACGCGGCTTCCAGAGTAGCTGGGACTACAGGCACATGCCACCACACCTGGCAAATTTTTGTATTTTTAGTAGAGACAAGGCTTTTACCATGTTGGCCAGGCTGGTCTCAAACTCCTGATGTCAAGTGATCCACCCGCCTCGGTCTCCCAAAGTGCTGGGATTACAGGCATGAGCCACCACGCCCGGCCAGTTTGCCTCAGAGTTCTTAAGTGCTGCTCCCTTTCTGTTCACACCCTTTCCAGTGATCTCTCTCACTGTCCACAGATGCTGAACCTATCTATGTGTAGTTCTCATTCATTGGGTTTTTTTGTTTTTTCAAGACGGAATCTTGCTCTGTTGCCCAGGCTGGAGTGCAGTGGCACAATCTCTGCTCACTGTAACCTATGCCTCCTGGGTTCAGGCAATTCTCCTGCCTCAGCCTCCCAAGTAGCTGGGATTACAGGCATGCACCAGCATGCCTAGCTAATTCTTCTATTTTTAGTAGAGAAGGGGTTTCACCATGTTGGCCAGGCTGGTCTCGAACTCCTGACCTCAGGTGATCCACCCACCTTGGCCTCCCAGAGTGCTGTGATTACAGGTGTGAGCTACCATACCCAGCTTAATTGGGTTTTTTAAATTGATCTCCTGCCTCTCCCTTCATTTCCTCTCCCATCAGCAGATGGCTTCATCTCCTATTACATTGAAATGCTGGCATCCAATGTGAGCTCCCCTATCGTTTCTCTTCTCTGTCTCAGAGTATATCTGCCACTACACCCATCATTTTTTTTATTTCTTCCTCCCATAAAGAAAAGCTGTTTTTAAAAAATTACCCTTCTGTCTGTGTTTACAATTCAATCTCTTCCTCCTGCTTCTTGTATTATTCTGTCTCTAACAAGTACAGTACAATATTTTCTCCTTTATGTGTAAAGTGCTTAAGCAGTGATTGATATTTTCAAATAAACTGTTTAATTATTTGAATTCTTTGGGTTAGGCAGACATAACCTAAAGAAGCGTTGGAATTTTCTTTCTCAGTATTTCGGAGACTACGGTGGACTAATCTCTTTTTCCAGATTCTGAAATATTTTAATATCAGAAAAAGTGATTTTAGGTCAGATGTGGTGGCTCATGCCTGTAATCCCAGCACTTTGGGAGGCCGAGGCAGGTGGATCACCTGAGGTCAGGAGTTCCAGACCAGCCTGACCAACATGGAGAAACCCCATCTCTACTAAAAATAAAAAATAGCCAGGCATGCTGGTGCATGCCTGTAATCCCAGCTACTCAGGGGGCTGAGGCAGGAGAATTGCCTGAACCCAGGAGGTGGGGGTTGCAATGAGCCAAGATCACGCCATTGCACTCCAGCCTGGGCAACAAGAGCGAAACTCTATCTCAAAAAAAAAAAAAAAATAGCAAAAGCTATTGTATGCCTGATGTGGTGGCTCACACCTGTAATCCCAGCACTTTGGGAGGCTGAGGCAGGCAGATCACTTGACATCAGGAGTTCAAGACCAGCCTGGCCAACATGGCGAAACCCCGTCTCTACTAAAAATACAAAAAATTAGCCAGTCATGGTGGCACGCACCTGTAGTCCCAGCTACTCGGGTGGCTGAGGCATGAGAATTGCTTGAACCTGGGAGACAGAGGTTGCAGTGAGTCAAGACCATGCCACTGCACTCCAGTGTGGACGACAGAGTGAGACTCTGTCTGTAAAAAAAAAAAATAATAATAATAGAATAAGTGATTTTATTGTCTGTTGGGATTTTATTGTCCGTTAGGTCAGTGGATATGTGTGTATGTGTTTTTCTTTTTCTTTGAACTCACAGTAACCAAAATATCCACTGAGGATGATGGATTGGTGCGGAACATTGATGGAATAGGTGATCAGGAAGTTATCAAACCTGAAAATGGAGAGCATCAAGATAGTACCCTCAAAGAGGATGTTCCAGAACAGGGAAAGGATGATGTCCGGGAGGTTAAAGTAGAGCAGAACAGTGAACCATGTGCCGGCTCTAGTTCTGAATCTGATCTCCAGGTAATGTGTGAAGTACGAGCCATCAAGAAATAAGACTGGGCCAGGCGCGGTGGCTCATGCCCATAATCCCAGCACTTTGGGAGGCTGAGGTGGCGGATCACCTGAGGTCACGGGTTTGAGACCAGCCTTGGCAACATGGGTAAACCTCATCTCTACTAAAATTACAAAAACTAGCCAGGCATGGTGGCACATGCCTGTAATCCCAGCTACTCAGGAGGCTGAGGCAGGAGAATTGCTTGAACCCAGGAGGCGGAGGTTACAGTGATCCGAGATCATGCCACTGCACTCTAGCCTGGGCAACAGAATGAGATTCCGTCTCAAAAAAAAAAAAGAAAACTGAAGTGGAATTAATTCTGTAAACTTATGGCTTTGGATTTCAATTTTATCCTTTGCCTAAAGAAATCTCTTTACAAAATCTAAACTATGAAAACTATGGTAGTTTAAAAAACATGCTTCAAAACTTAATTTTATTTCAGACAGTGTTTAAGAATGAAAGCCTCAACGCAGAATCAAAATCTGGCTGCAAACTTCAGGAGCTTAAAGCTAAGCAGCTTATAAAGAAAGACACTGCCACCTATTGGCCCCTGAACTGGCGTAGCAAGTTGTGTACCTGCCAAGACTGTATGGTAAAGTATCTGATTGTGCTCAGTGTTAGCATGTTTTGTGTACTGGTGCCCCAAAATAAGAACACCTGGGGAAAACATTCAATTTTTGTACCAGAGGAAGAAAGGAAAATAAAAAGAACACCTGAACAATATATTTATGAAATTAATGTTTAGGAGACCCTCCAAATTTTTACATTAAGCAAATTTATGACATAGTACTTACAGTTGGAATGTTTGTGGAAGAAATGGATAATTATGCAGTATTTTAAATTTACTTATTTTAATTTTAGTTTACTTATCTTTGTTATATCAAAGTTGCTTGGAAACACTGGTTGAAAGTTATAGTAAATTGGCCAGGTGCTTTGGCTCACGCCTGTAATCCCAGCACTCTGGGAGGCCAAGTTAGGTCTCGATCACCTGAGGTCAGGAGTTCGAGACCAGCCTGACCAACATGGTGAAATCCTGTCTGTACTAAAAATACAAAATTAGCTGGGTGTGGTGGCACATGCCTGTAATCCCAGCTCCTTGGGAGGCCAAGGCAGGAGAATCGCTTGAACCCAGAAGGCGGAGGTTGCAATGAGTCGAGATCATGCCATTGCACTCCAGCCTGGGCAACGAGTGAAACTCCATCTCAAAAAAAAAAAAAGTTAACAGTAAATCAATGGTTTTTAAATAAAGATCTCATAGACCATATGACATCTGGGAAATTGGGAGATTTCTGAAAGAAATTTAGGCAAAAAGAATAAATCCTTCTAGCAATTCTGTGTTAAAGACGCTCCAGTTTTTCTAGGTCTTAATATAAAAAAATTACATTTTTAGTGATTCTCAGGAAATTGGCTTTCTGAGAATGATAAACAGTTCTAATGGGGAAACTCCTCTTTCTTTTTTTTTTTTTTTTTTCCCTAAAGAAAATGTATGGAGATCTAGATGTCTTATTCCTGACAGATGAATACGACACAGTTCTGGCTTATGAAAACAAAGGGAAGATTGCCCAGGCCACTGACAGGAGCGATCCCCTAATGGATACCCTTAGCAGCATGAATAGAGTCCAGCAAGTGGAACTCATTTGTGGTAAATACTGTGTGTGTGTGAAAATTCATCATTTCCTTCACTATGTAAAAAAATATAAAGGGGGCAGTAAACACCTATATTTTTAATTTAATACAAAGAATTAAAATTTTGAATTTTAGACCATTGCTTGATTTTCATATTGGTGGGTATTCAGCTGCTTTTACCATTGAATCAGAGTTACATGCTAGAATAATTACATGCTTGAGAAACCACAACATATGCTATTCTGATTAAGGGTAGATGGATGAATGCAAATTTTCCATCCATTGAAACAATTTTTGGACATTATGTGTCATGTTCTTGAGCAAGGCATGTCACCATTTTGACAGTTCTTGAGGTTGCTTCAGTGGTTCACAGGAAACCACTAGAGGAGAAAATACCCCCAAACCCTTGATTGAAGGCTTTTACATCCCCCCACCACCACCCAGCTGCAGCAGGCCAAACTTATTTCAGTGGTTTCTATCCCAGCCATTTCCACTTGGATGCCACCACTTTTATGTGACTTTTATAGCATCAGTCATTTCTGTCTTTTATTATTTATTTATTTATTTTGAGACAGGGTCTTGCTCTGTTGCCCAGGCTGGAGTGCAATGGTGCATTCTCAGCTCACTGCAACCTCTGCTGCCCAGGCTCAAGTGATTCTCCTGCCTCAGTCTCTCAAGTAGCTGTGACCACAGACGCATGCCACTGCGCCCCCCCAATTTTTTTTTTTTTTTTGAGATGGAGTCTCACTCTGTCACCCAGGCTGGAGTGCAGTGGCGCGATCTCGGCTCACTGCAACCTCTGCCTCCCAGGTTCAAGTGATTCTCCTGCCTCAGCCTCCCAAGTAGCTGGGATTACAGGCACCTGCCACCATGCTTGGCTAATTTACTTTGTATTTTTAGTAGAGACAAGGTTTTACCATGTTGGCCAAGCTGGTTTCGAACTTCTGACCTCAGGTGATCTACCTGCCTTGGCCTCCCAAAGTACTGGGATTACAGGCATGAGCCACCATGCCCAGTCCCCACTAATTTTTGTATTTTTAGTAGAGTCAGGGTTTCACCATGTCACCCAGGCTGGTCTCGAACTCCCGAGCTGAGGTGATCCACCTGCCTCAGCCTCCCAAAGTGCTGGGATTACAGGTGCAAGCCACTGCACCTGGCCGTGTCTTTTATTTATAATTATTAATTTCTTTTTGCCTTTATTAGAGTAAAAACTTTTCAAGGATAGAGGATGCACCTAAAAGATACTTGTAGCCCTCAAGGTACCTTGTACATAATATAAACTGTTAAGTGAGTCAGTTTGCTTGGGCTGGGCGCCATGGCTCACGCCTGTAATCCCAGCACTTTGGGAGGCCAAGGCAGGTGGATCACCTGAGGTCAGGAGTTCAAGACCAGCCTGGCTGACGTGGTGAAACCCTGTCTCTACTAAAAATATAAAAAAGTAGCCAGGCATGGTGGCGCGTGCCTGTAGTCCCAGCTACTCGGGAGGCGGAGGTTGCAGTGAGCCGAGATCGTGCCACTGCATTCCAGCCTGGGTGACAGAGTGAGACTCCATCTCAAAAAATAAAATAAATTAAATTAAATTAAATATTCAACAAGTCCAAGGTTATTTCAGCTACCAGAATTCCAGAGAAATAGGAAGCCCTTTTAAAAATTCTTAATCTTTATGGGATTAGGATATCTCTGCTTTTTATGCTTTTTAAAAAATTTTGCTTTTTTTTTTTTTAATGAAAAAGGGTCTCATATCAACATGGTAGACGTACAGATAATTTGGGAACGAGTTTCTATGCAGCTTTCACTTAAGAAAATTTTTATTTAGACTACATTATTAACAGACTCAGGTGTCAATGGCAAAGAATATTTTGTTTTTGAAAGCAAATGGTTTATCTAAACTTAAATACTTTTGTGGTTTTGATTTAGAATACAATGATTTGAAGACTGAACTTAAAGACTATCTCAAGAGATTTGCTGATGAAGGCACGGTATGTTGAGTTAAAGAATTCTAATCATAGCCCTGTAAGTTTTGAATGAAGGGTTTATTTCCTTTGACGATTAAAAATGACTGCGACTGGCGGGGTGCGGTGGCTCACACCTGTAATCCCAGTACTTTGGGAGGCCAATGTGGGTGGATCACAAGGTCAGGAGTTCAAGACCAGCCTAGCCAATATGGTGAAACCCCATCTCTACTAAAAATACGAAAATTAGCCAGGCGTGGTGATGGGCGCCTGTAGTCCCAGCTACTAGGGAGGCTGAGGCAGGAGACTCACTTGAACCCAGGAGGCGGAGGTTGTAGTGAGCCGAGAACACGCCACTGCACCCCAGCCTGGGCGACAGAGCAAGACCCTATTTCAAAAAAAAAAAAATGACTGCGACTTAAGTGGGTACTTGAGAGTTGAATTCAGGGACTGTTTTGAGCAAATTGGCAGGCTAAGGGGAATGAATAAGAGGTAGTGAAACATCAGAGTTACATTGGCAGTCCTTACCAACCCCAGCTAAGCCGGGAAGAATGATGGGAGGGCGCAGTCCCACAGCCTCTGAGAGAGTACTTGTAGCTTAGCAGAAGGTCATTGGAAGGAATCCGCAGTACTGATTCTGCTGGTCCTGACCTTGAAGCATGGATCTTTGGGACGGGGAGGGGAAAATGACTGGACAGGAAAAATTAACACCAGACCCAGTTTCTGGAATTCTAAGTTCCATGGTTTAGAATAGAAACTGGGCATGGTGGCCGGGTGCAGTGGCTCACGCCTTAATCCCAGCACTTTAGGAGGCTGAGGTGGGTGGATCACCTGAGGTCAGGAGTTCAAGACCAGCCTGGCCAACATGGTGAAACCTTGTCTCTACAAAAATACACAAATTAGCTGGGTATGAGGGCGGGTGCCTGTAATCCCAGCTACTCCGAGGCTGAGGCAGGAGAAACGCTTGAACCCCACAGGTGGAGGTTGCAGTGAGCCAAGATTGTGCTATTGCACTCCAGCCTGGGTGACAGAGCAAGACTCCATCTCAAAAAAAAAAAAAAAAAAAAGAACTGGGCATGGCGGCTTGTACCTGTAGTTTCAGCTACTTGGGAGGCTGGCTTGAGCCCTGCTTTCTTAGAAGATGTCATCTCTGTCTACCTACTTTAGGTCATTTTTTCCTTTTTTTTCTTTTTTGGGGTGGGGGGCGTTCCTGAGTTTATTTGGGGCACACCCGGGCGAGGGCCCTGCCCCTAGAAGAACGTGTTGGGCCTCTTGGTGGTGAAGCGTGGCTTGGGCTGACGGGCAGGACCCGGTGGGGCAGCGGGAAACTTGATCTTGGAGTCGTGGAACTGCTTGATGGCCGGCCGGCTGGCGGCACTTGCTGGCTGCGATCTCCTTCACCTTCAGGATCTCGATGGAATGGGCCCAGGTGCGGTGCCAGGCGCCCATAGACCTCTCGGTAGCACTGGGTAACAGCGCCCGCGGTGGTCAGGTCCCGGTATTCCCGGTACATGTTGGGGGCGCCGCTCCGGGAGTCATAGCTCAGCCAGATGCCGAAGTTCTTGACCCGCGGTGGGGACTTCTCAAACACCTGCCCACAGTAGACAATCTCCCCTGAAGACTTCTTCATCTTTTTTAACTGAGATACGAAGTACCAGAAGTCCCGGGACTTGGCGACAACGTGATTAGGCGCAAAGATTCGCATGTGGTAGAGGGGCGGTGTGTGGCATTTGGGGGTGGGCAGGCAGTGACCCACCACCTTGTACTCTCATAGTGTGCCCGAGGCCTTCATGGCGTCCTCTCCGCGCTCGCCACCACCCGCAAAAGGTTAGGTCGTTTTTTTCTTTGTCATAGATGTGGGAAGAACATTTAACTGCCTGAATTTCTGGACAGGGTCACAGTGCTGCCTGCTGCCTTTCTGCAAAATGAATTGTAAAGTTAAAAGAGCCTTCTTCTAAGTGGTTTTCTCAGTTTTTAGAGACTTCTTCACTATCACTGAGAACAATTCCTACTTCCTTACAGTTCTTTTTTTTTTTTTTTTTTTTTTTTGAGATGGAGTCTTGCTCTGTCGCCTAGGTTGGAGGGCAGTGGCGTGATCTCGGCTCACTGCAACCTGTGCCTCCCAGGTTCATGTCATTCTCCTGCCTCAGCCTCCCAAGTAGCTGGACTACAGGCACCCGCCACCACGCCCGGCTAATGTTTTGTATTTTTAGTAGAGACGGGGTTTCACCGTGTTAGCCAGGATGGTCTCGATTTCCTGACCTTGTGATCCGCCCACCTTGGCCTCCCAAAGTGCTGGGATTACAGGCATGAGCCACCTCGCCCGGCCTTCCCTACAGTTCTTAAAACTTAATGTAGTTATTCTTGTTTCTGTTGCAGAGACTATCCTCTGGTTAATACAGACTCAAGCTTCTTTGGTGCTAGAACTAAGAATGTTCATGGGTGTAATGGGGCACTCTGCCTCAGTGTGGTAACCTCTGAACTGTCAATGGACATTTGAGGTGTTTCAAATAGTGTGCAGGCATGCCCTCTTGATGCTGGTGCTGTTGCACCTCCACTCTTTTGTGGTCGGTTTTCTTTATTTTATCACAAACATATACTTAAAATTACATAAAAGAAAAAAGTTAGGCATGTTCTTTTTCATGCACATTGGAGACTTTTACTCAAGGTCTTCACAGGTATCTTCAACATCCGGGTCCTTGTTATCACTAGCGCCACTCTTTAGGAGTCTTTAGGAGAGAATTTTTTATCTGACCAGATAATTTAAAAGGTCAGAAAAATGTGGTATTTTTGTTGTTTGTTCCATGACATTACTAACCAGATCTTCACAGAAAAAGAAACAAAACCTCAGGTTGCCATAAAGCTTATCTGCTTTGGTTGTATTTGTCCATAGGGATAATGTTAATAAGTTCTAGCTGTTCTTAGATGGTGGACTGCCTTTTATTTAATGTTTGTATCTAACAAAACAAAAACAAAAACCAAAAAAAAAACCACTTAGACTGGGTGCAGTGTCTCATGCCTGGAATCCCAGCACTTTGGGAGGCTAAGGTGGGAGGATTGCTTGAGCTCAGGAGTTCAAGACTAGCCTGGGCAAGATGATGAGACCCCGCCTCTACAAAAAAAAAAAAAAAAAAAATTAGGCTGGCATGGTGACGTGTGCCTGTGGTCCCAGCTACTTGGGAGGCTGAGATCGGAGGATCGCTTGAGCCCAGGAATTTGAGGCTCCAATGAGCTATCATCACACCTCTGTACTCCAGCCTGGGTGACAGAGCGAGACCCTGTCTCTAAAAAGCAATAATAATTAATAAACTTAGAAACTACACATTTTCTGAAATAAATTAAAAAACTGATTTGTTATTGAACCCAAGTATTTATTCACTAGCGTTTCTACTCTGCACGTTAGCTGTGACCATTTGAGGATATCCAGAAACCAAAAGCTGCACAGTCTCATTTGTGTGTTGTTAGGTCTCCTCCTACAGTATCCTTGCTAGAGATATTTCCTTTTACTTACGGGCTTTCTGTGGCTAATGTTTGTAATCCAGGGTAGGGACAGATCCTTCATTTTGCAACTTGCAAGTATCCTATTTATTAGCATTTTGTTAAGTGTAAATTCCCGTGCCATTTAGCCAAGTACATTAGAATTTTGAGCTGCAGTCATTTCAGGATGTGTTCAGCCTCTGCATCCTGAATCTGTTAGGGGTTTGGATTCCTCACTGGTTGAGCAGCAGTATTACTGTTGGTGCTTATGAAACTGGTGTATCAGCTACTGGTCTGAGAAAATTATTCCAAGTTAGCATTATTCCAAGTTGCTCTTTTGAGTATGGTAGCCACACTTACTAGGGAATGAGAGGGAAGTTTTCACTTTATACCCCTCTTTCTTACTTTCTCTTTATCTCTTTCCCTTTTTGCTCGAATTCATTCACGTGCTCTATTTTTCTTTCTCTTTCCTTCACTTTCCTTGTCTCACTGTCCTTCTTTCTTAACAATAAGCATGTGTTACCTCAGTAAAAAATAAACATGCTGGGTGTCATGGCTCACACCTGTAATCCCAGCATTCTGGGAGGAAGCGGGAGGATCACTTGAGCTCAGAAGTTTGAGACCAGCATGGATAATATAGTGAGACCTCGTATCTACACAAAATTTAAAAATTAGCCAGGCGTAGGCTGGGCACGGTGGCTCACGCCTGTAATCCCAGCACTTTGGGAGGCCGAGGCAGGCGGATCATGAGGTCAGGAGATCGAGACCATCCTGGCTAACACGGTGAAACCCCGTCTCTACTAAAAATACAAAAAAAAATTAGCCGGGCTTGGTGGCGGGCGCCTGTAGTCCCAGCTACTCGGGAGGCTGAGGCAGGAGAATGGTGTTAACCCGGGAGGCAGAGCTTGCAGTGAGCCGAGATCGTGCCACTGCACTCCAGCCTGGGTGACAGAGCGACACTCCATCTCAAAAAAAAAAAAAAAAAAAAATAGAAAATGGAGATGTTATCATTAACATAATTCTTAACAGTATCATTTGACTTGTTTGTGAATGCTATGACCTCGGATTGCGATTCTGTTACTTAGTTCTCTTTCATAATCTTTGCTTTTCAAAAACAGGTTGTTAAGAGAGAGGACATTCAGCAGTTCTTTGAAGAGTTTCAGTCAAAAAAGAGAAGAAGAGTGGATGGGATGCAGTATTACTGCAGCTAGAGTGGAGTATGAAGCTTTCTCATTCAAGCCAATGAAAATGCGCTTCCCATTCTTGGAATAAAAGAGGTGTGGTTCACATTTGGCCCCCTTTCCGTCCTCCTCTGTTTGGAGAGGCCTCGCGCTCCCTTCATTCTCTTTAGCTGCAGTAGCCACCGTGTGGATGCTGACTTCACAGCCAGCGTCCTCTGTGACTCAGCTGATGCAGCTCATTCCACAGACTTCTCCAGTGTACTCCTACTCCAGTGCACCCAGGGTTATTTGCATAGTTTTTAAGTTTGATTTTGTTTTGAGAAAGCAAATTGGTGTCTTGTTTAATGATCTGTTATTTCACTCCCAGATGTGTGTGTTTTGCCACAGAGCTGTTGCCTTCCAGAACCTCCTCCGCAGGCATCACGGAAGGCTCTCTTCCCGTCACCTAGAACCTCTACAGGTCCCCTCGCCCCTATGATCGTGGTGCCTTGGGTCAAAGCTTCCTCAAGCCTGGTCTGCTCCTTCTTTCACGTCCCTGTTTTCTGAGGTTTGGTCATAGCTTAGAAAGGATCTTGGGGCTTGTTTTCTCTAGGCCCAACCTCCAGAGTAGCCAGGACTGATGGTTTTCTGGTCTGGATGTCTGTCACAGGCGGAGAGATTAACAGATGACAGGGTTGAGGAAGCAAGCCTTTGTTATGAATTTTACTAATACAGTTCAAGTGAAATTTTCGTTCATGATTCTATTGGCACTAGAATTAGAATTTCAGTACTGTAGTGCTCACAGGGCTTCCTGGAGAACATTTGCCCGTATACTAGTCCCTTCTCTGCTGCCTAGAAAACAGACCGGGTCTCACCCCTGTGAAATCTTGGTGGTTTACGAAGTCCTCTGGATTTCTTGATATTATCAGGGATATTCATAAGCATATATCAAAAATGGACCTATTTTGATATTCTGTTATGAAAATGTTATTAGAACCCCAATAAATTATTATTTTTCCCCCTTGAATCTGCTAAAGAAAACAGATCCTGACTTAGCTTACTTGAAATAAGCAGGGCAGGGAGCCCTGTTTTGGAAGAGACAGACTGTGGAAGAGATTACAAACAAGGCCCGAGGCTGCACGAATGATGAGTTTTGTGTATATAATGTTAATGTCCACCGCCACTTCCCTAACGACTATGAGATCTTTTTTTTGAAGATCCTCATGGAAGGTTGTACAGAGCCCCACATTTGAGGGGAAGTCCTTTCAGTTGATATGAGATCTCTTTAACACCCCTCAGTCTATGTAGGAAATGCCTTGTGATACATAGAGAACCCTCAGCTTCTCTCTGCCTCTGGAGGACCAAGGTCTTTCCTGACAGTCGGAGACACACCTTGATGTATGTTAATAAAAGCATTTCAGGCTGTGGGGCCACCATGTATATTAATACTCCTTATGTGTCCAGCATCTGTGTATTCATTCGAGTGCCCAATCCCTGGATGAGATGAACTAGGCCTTATAAAAAGTCAAAGCCTCAAAGAAATGGCACAACCATGTTCTTCGGCACTCAGGCTCCTAATTGCAGATCCTCACGAAGGGTGGTATGTGGAGCTGGAAGGTCTTGTGGCCACAGGACATGCTGGTGAGCCCTGAGCTGGCCTTGTGCAGAGGGCTCCGTTCAAAGGCTCGGGGTGTCTTTGAGGTTGTTTATCAAGCTGGGGAACTCTTCCAAGTCTGACAATGTTTCGAACCCTTTTTGCAAGGTTGCACTATTAGTATACCATCATGTCCGGAAAACTTTTAATCTTCTCAAATATCTGATGTAACTACCAGAAAGTCCCTTACTTCCTATGACCAATCAGGACCAAGTCTTGGAGGTGATGTGTTACATTACGTGCAGCACAATAGTACCGATCAGTTAACTCAGCGCTGAAGGGCTTGTTTTATGAAAGGTACTATTCCTTCTTTCACATTAACTGGAAACCTCTTTTTTTACCTGTTGTTCACAACTAGTTTTCTTATTGACTGTATTGGACTGTCTCTTCTTGTAGAGACTGATTTTGGCCAACATATTAATGCATGTTTTATGCAAAACACAAATATGATATTAGTTGCTTTTAAGGAGTTCTGGCATTGTATGTGCATTTTTGTAGAAATTGTTACTGGACTTATAATTACATACTTAACTCTGATCAGGTTTCTGTAAAATTTAAATAAAACCAATACAAAATAGTTGCTTTTCAGATTGTTTTTAGTATATTTAAGTCTACACAGCCTCCCTCTGCAGGTTTTAAGAAAATGCAGGCAGGGCGCGGTGGCTCACGCCTGTAATCCCAGCACTTTGAGAGGCCGAGGCAGGCAGATCACGAGGTCAGGAGATCGAGACCATCCTGGCTAACATGGTGAAACCCCATCTCTAATAAAAATACAAAGAATTAGCTGGGTGTGGTGGCGGGCGACTGTAGTCCCAGCTACTCGGGAGGCTGAGGCAGGAGAATGGCGTGAACCCGGGAGGCAGAGCTTGCAGTGAGCCGAGATCACGCCACTGCCCTCCAGCCTGGGCGACAGAGCGAGACTGTCTCAAAAAAAAAAAAAAAAGAAAAAATGCATAGAGCCGGGCATGGAGGTTCACGCCTGTAGTCCCAGCTACTTGGGAGGCTGATGCAGGAGGATTGCTTGAGCCCAGGAGTTGGAGGCTATAGAGTGCCGTGGTTGCACCTGTGAATAGCCAGCCACTCACTGCACTCCAGCCTGGGCAACAGAGTGAGACCTCATCCTTCAAAAGAAACGTAATGGTGTATTCTAACAGCTCTTCCTGCCCTGAGGTCCTGCCCTCAAAGCAGAGGGACTGGTTCACGACATTGGGTAGCTCATTATTCTGCTGTTCTGTAAAATGCAGCCTGATCCCAGGTCCCCCGAGCAGAGCTCCTTCATCCCCCCGACTTCACCATACCCCCTGGGGTCTAATAATTGGGGTCTAGATGAACAGCAGAACAAAGCAATGGGCTGGGCTGTGACCAGTCACAGTGTTCAGGTACTGCTGCATGCAGAGGGAGAGAGGGCTGGAGCCCACATCCTGAGGAAAATGTGAGGTCCACCCTACACAGTAGCCATTATTTCTAAGTAAATATAAAAGCAACCCAAAAAGCCAGTATAGTGGCCCATCTTTGGCCTCCCCACAACTCCTGCTACCTTGGATGTGGACTTACGGTCATCACCCATGGTAAGTTCAGAGGCCAGATTGCAGAGGGCAGGGTGTGGGCTGCAAGAAGAGGCCACAGTTGGCACTACTGTGAGGGGACAAGGAGAGGGCGCGGCTGCAGAAGGCCAGTCCAGGGAGTTGCTTGTTGAAGTTCAGAGACACTTGGGCCAACGCACATTCTTAAGGTGGAGCCATTGCTGAGAGTGGACCGCAGGTGATGTTGGAGCTGTTAGAAGATGGGATAGGATGGGACAGAAGGACCACCAGACCTGGTGGTGGGGGATGCGGGTGAGGGTGTTGGAATGAGGCCTCAAAATCGAGGGAGTTCCATAGGCAGCCTCCATTTCCCTGGGAGGTGGGAGGGGAGGAGTGAGCTGGAGCATGGCTCAGGTAAGAGGAGGTGGGGGGAAGGAGTGCGCTGGAGGGCGGCTCAGGTGAGAGGAGGGGGCGGAAAGTGGCCCCGAGGAGAACACGTTAAGGCTGACCCGCAGGACTCAGGCACACCGAGCCACGGGAGGCTGGGGACCACAGGTACCACGGGGGCGTGGCTGTCTTCAGTCTCCCAAAGCTGAAGATGGACACACTGTTTATGGGTTGAGTTGGGCGGGGAGGATGGGTCGCAGCTGGGCATGGTGAGACGGCTGCCACCTATGGAAGCTGGGCCATCCTGGCAGGGGAGCAAGGAGGCCAGAGTTCCAGAGGAGGACCAGGGAGAGGCTCTGGACAGGAGGCGATCCGGCCTGAGAGCGGGCAGTGAGGTTAGCATTTCAAAGATGGAGATATTCTGGGGACAGGGGAGAGCTGTGCCATGGACAGGTAGCTGGAGACGGTCTAGGCAGCTACCAGGATGACACCAGGGATTGGAGGGAGAGGATGTTAGGTTGGAGCCAAAGCCTTCAGGATACGAAAGGAGTGACTGGGGGTGGCAGCTGCAAAGGTGGGAGCGGGACACTGGGCCGTGGGGGCTGGAGAGGTGCTGGGGTGTTAGAGACGTCACCCGCCGCCCTTCCTGACACAGAGTCCGTGGAAAGAGCGAGAAGGAGCCCACGTCCTGGGAGAGGGCTAAGTGGGCGAGGAGGAGCTAGGAGGGCAGCCAGGACAGGAGGCAGGAGGGGAGGGGTAGGAGCACAAGGACGCTGGCACTGGGGGGCAGGGAGGACACCCTGAGCAGGCTGGAGAAACAACCGTGGGTGCGATCAGGGGACTTCTGTAGGAAGAAGGCTGGCGAATGACTCGGGAGAGCGGGATTGGCAGGCACAGGGTCACCTGACTGCAACTCTGCAAAGAGCCCAGTCCCATCAGCCCCGGGAATGGTGGGATGCTGGGGGCACTGAGTTCTCTCGGGATCACTTACAGCTGGACTTCCCAGGGACTCCCCAGGGATTTCAGTGGCTCCGTTGGAACATGGAGAGATGGGAAGAACAATTGCTTTTAGTTCAGTCTCAGAGGGCAGGGAGGCATTTATGGTGCATCTGCTAGAACAGGGGGCCCACGGTACCGTCCATGGCCCGTTAGGATCGGCGCCACACAGCAGTAGGTGCGCGGCGAGAGTTATCGCCTGAGCTCCGCCTCCTGCTAGATCCGCGGCAGAATTAGATTCTCACAGGAGAACTCTATTGAGAACTGCGCATGCGAGGGATCTAGGTTGCGTGCTCCTTATGAGAATCCAATGCTAAAAGTAATGCGCTTGAATCATCCCGAAACCACCCCCCCGACCCCTGTCCGTGGAAAAATTGTCTTTCATGAAACCGGTCCCTGGTGCCAAAAGGGTTGGCAACGGCTGTACCAGAAGATTCCAGAGATGGAGGATATTTGTGGAGCTAGCTAAATGAAGGGTAAGGAATTCCAGGAGAGTACAGGCGTCAACAGGTGCCCACAGGACCCCGCAGCAGCCCTCCAAGGTGGGTATTGAGGAGGAGTTTCTTCACCTGAGCCTGAGGATGAGAACTATTGCACACGGTGACTTGAGGATCGCGAGTCAGACATGGAAATTTCGCGACCAGCGCTCAAGAAGCGCACTCGCATCATCTCCAGCTTAAGGATGAGGAGACTCAGTTAGGCGCTTTGCCCCAGCTTCCACAGCCAGGAAGTGGCAGAGGCAGGCCCAGCCCTGGCCCTGCCCTGGCCCTGCCCTGCAGGCGCCCCGAGGATCCCCCAGTCCGTGCCTTCCTCCCTCCTCCCAGGCAGGCTTTCCTGGCTCCGCCTCCTCACCCTCTCTGAAGACCCCCCGACAGGCCAGCAGCGGGCACAGGAACACTCCCCAAAGCTTGGAGACAAGGCATGACAGCCCAGAATCCAAGGCTCTGCTAGATGAGGCTCAAAGCAGCGGCGAGCTCTCCGAGGGACACAGCTTAGTCCCAGGCCGGGGGAAAGGCACCGGGCTGGCACTGGGAGGAAATGGACGTGGTTGTACGGAACTGGTGAGCTCTGGGTTTCAGAGACAGAATAAAAAAGGGTCCATGGCCAAGAGGCTTGGAGACAGAACAGATGGACCTGTTGGGTGGGCCATGGAGCTAAACTCCAGACTGGGGTGACGCCCGTGAGAAACCCCAAGACCGTGAGTGCCATGTATAAAGCCAGCTGTGGAGCAAGGACAGTTAGCTGACCACAGGGAGCGTGGAAACACATGACTGGCTTCCACACTTTCTGTGAGAGGACAGCCTTGAACACGCAGAGCAAAAGCAGGCGAGCACGGGCGGAAGGAGCCGGGAGGCCCTGAGGACGTGGCCTGGAAACTATTCACAGCACACCGCAGGCAATCTATGCAGGACGACCGACGACCGAGAGAGAGACACGGGCCCCAACGCCAGAAACGACCATATATCTCAATTCATTTGCTTTTGTACTTTTAGGTGGGGGATGGTAGATTCTGGAAACTATGGACTGGTGACCTGACAGGTGTCCCCTAGAGGCTTCTAAAACAAACTAGCAGCTACTGTGGAATGATTTCTGAACCCCAGGAGAGAGGAGCTGAAAATAGGAAGTGAGGAGTCCTTAAGAACAAATGGTGCGACCCAAATGCCCATCAACAGTAGACTGGATAGAGAAAATGTGGCACATGTACACCATGGAATACTATGCAGCCATAAAAAGGATGAGTTCATGTTCGTTGCAGGGACATGGATGAAGCTGGAAACCATCATTCTCAGCAAACTTACACAGGAACAGAAAACCAAACACCGCATGTTCTCACTTATAAGTGGGAGGTGAACAATGAGAACACATGGACACAGGAAGGGGAACATCACACACCGGGGCCTGTCAGAGGGTCGGGGGTTAGGGGAAGGACAGCATTAGGAGAAATACCTAATGTAGGTGACGGGTTGATGGGTGCAGCAAACCACCATGGCACGTGTATACCTATGTAACAAACCTATACGTTCTGCACATGTAACCCAGAACTTAAAGTATAAAAAAAAAAAAAAAGAACAAATGATGCAGAGCCGACTTCCTTCTCCTGTTGATAAGTCAACCAGCTTCCCAGGGGACGAGGGAAGCCTATGTATGTGACAAGGTCTCTCATGACTGGCCCACAAGATGACAGTAATGATGACCCCATCCAGCTTCCAGGGACAGCTCGGTCGGGTCTCCTCACTCCTCAAACGCCTTCAGTTTCCCTCCTCTCCACCACTAAGCTACTCAAAAAGGCTGTCTACACAGATCATCTCCACCTTCTCACCTCCCACTCAGACTCGCATCTGCCCCACCTGGCTTCTCTCTCCAGCTGCCGCCAAACTGCTCTTCCAAACACCTTCACCTTGAGGCTGACCCAACCCGCCTTAGGGGCCTGATCTTCCAAAACCTCGGAACAGCAGCCACAGGGTTAACTTTTGGATAGCAGTGAAATTGAGCCTTAATCTCTTACCTTTAATTAACTTGAAAAAGTAATACCTGCATATCATTTAAACACTCAACCAGAACAAAAAGGATGCCATTAATTGGCAGTTGCATGTATTGTCAATGACCCTCTCCAGAGGGAGTCCTGTGCACATTCTTGCAGATTTTTTTTTTTTTTTTTTTTTTTGAGACTGAGTCTGTCTCTATTACCCAGGCTGGAGTGCAGTGGTGCAATCTTGGCTCGGTGCAATCTCGGCTCACTGCAATCTCTGCCTCCTGGGTTCATGCGATTCTCGTGCCTCAGCCTCCAGAGTAGCTGGGATCACAGGCCCCTGCCACCACACCAGGCTAATTTTTGTATTTTTAGTAGAGATGGGTTTTCACCATGTTGGCCAGGCTGGTCTCGAACTCCTGACCTCAAATGATCCACCTGCCTTGGCCTCCCAAAGTGCAGGGATTACAGGCGTGAGCCACCGCGCCTGGCTGCAGAAATGTTTATGTATGTATTTGCATTCATTCCTTTTTTTTTTTTGTCTTCTCTCCAAGTGGGAGCATATGGATGCATTATTTTGTATACTGCTTCTTTCACTTCATTTATTCTAAAGATCACATTCCCTCTTTTCTCAAGTTGTCCCAGCCTGGTCTTCTGTGCAGCACACTGCTGGTTTTCTTTCTGTCTGCTAGGCTGCCCTTGGCCAGCAACTCCCTCCAGCTGGCTTGGAAAGGTTGGAGTCCCCCAAGTTCATCATCCAGGCCCTCTTTCATCTTCCTTTAAACCTTTCCCCTAATCACACCATCTACTCCTAAGGCTGTAAGTGCCACCCATATATGTGGACAACCCCCACACAGCCTCCAGCTAGAATCCTTTCCTCTGACTCCCAGCTGACACCTAGTTGCCACCTAGTAGTTGGCTGCCTGGCAATCATTCCCGCGTCAACATGACCAACACTAACGCCATCTTCCCCCCAGAGCTGGCTCCCCCTCCTTTCCCACACTGAGCAAGCACCTAGTCACGCAGACACGGCACCGTCAGCAGATTCCGAATCTGTTCTCTTTGTTGGCTGCTTGCAGCTCTCCCCTGGACGGCTACGGCAGCCTCCCGTCTGGACCTCTCAATCTACTCCTGCTTCTTTTCAACCACTTCCCATGCAATAGCCAGAGTGATTTGGAACATGCAAATCTGGTGAACCACCCCAGCCCTAGTAGCTTTTGAGTTGCCATTATAGCCAACTTCAGAAGCCTCACCCTGCCCTAGGAGGGTCCCACACCCCCTCTCACTCCCCTGAGCTCTGTCCAGGCTTGGTCTCTCCATGGAGCCCTCCCTCCCCACTCCTCACCCTGTTGCTCGTCTCTTCCTTCACCTGCACCTTCAAGGTCACTCCCACACAAAGCCTTCCCACCCCTGGGACCAGTTAGACATCGAGCCTTACCTGTGTAGTTCTTCAATGTCTTTTCTTCTTGGAAACTCAAACAGTTTTTGAGTGGGACTGTGACTGTTTTGTTCATGACTCTGCTGTCTCAGCATCTAGCAATGTTCGGAAAAACGGACTGGATGAACAACTGATTGCCATCCTTGAACCTGCTTCCACCTGTTGCACATTAGAGTCCCCCCCACCCCGCCCGGACCACCGGACTTCCTGATGCGCAGAACAACACAACGGCTGAGGACTGGGGTTCTGGAGCCAGGCTACCTGGGTTTGAGCCCAAGTTCTGCCAACTTTCTAGCTGTGTGACCTTGGACAAGGTGCTCAGTATCTCCGGGCTTTTCTCTTTTGTAAAATGGCACAAATAATAGTACTTAATTCACAGAGGATCAAAGGAAGGAGTTCCTAACTCAATGAGGGATTAGAAAAGATTACATTGTTTAGTGTTAGTGCTGCTTCCAGCATTTCTCCTCCTGTTTTCATTCCTGGTCCATTTCAAGCTGGTCTTCCCCTTAGCTGTGATAACTGCCCTGTATTTTTTGTTTGTTTTGAGATGGAGTCTCACTCTGTTGCCAGGCTGGAGTGCAATGGCATGATCTCGGCTCACTGCACCCTCCGCCTCCCAGGTGCAAGCGATTCTCCTGCCTCAGCCTCCCGAGTAGCTGGGACTACAGGCACGCACCACCACGCCCACCTGATTTTTCTATTTTTAGTAGAGATGGGGTTTCACCATGTTGGTCTCAATCTCCTGACCTCATGATCCACCTGCCTCAGCCTCCCAAAGTGCTGGGATTACAGGCTCGAACCACCGCACCTGGCCTTGTTTTGTTTTTAGGACAAAAGTCATTTCCAGCTAGAGGTGAGTTTCTGAGACTGGGGTTCCTGTCTGTTTGGTCTGCTGCTCCATATTCCCAGACTCCGGGAGGAGTGGACTCAAGAAATATTCCCTAATGGATTGAGGAGAGGTAAAGCCTAAAGTGGCTTGGGAAGCTAGCCCGAGTTCATTTTTCCAGGAATAATCCACAAGTACAGAAATGAATGTTGATTTATTCAATTTTCTTGTTTAGATTTAAGAAGCTCACCCACAGAAACCTTAGATTTTATTTTATCTTTATACCCTTCTGTTAAACCTAAGATGGTTACAAACTATAAAGCAATAACTTGTTAGTAAGGCATGAAGAGTGAGATGCTAGGACAGAATTTGGCACTGAAATGATAAAAAACATTTTAAAGAGCTCGCTGGTTGCAGTGGCTCATGCCTATAATCCTAACATTTAGGGAGGCTGAGGTGGGAGCATCACTTGAGCCCAGGAGTTTGAGACCATCCTAGGTAACGTAGTGAGACCCCCTCCTCTGTCTCTACAAAAAATTTTAAAAATGAGCCAGGCATAGTGGTGTAACACTGACTGTAGCCCCAGCTACTCGGGAGGCTGAGGTGGGAGGATCATTTGAGCCTGGAAATTGAGGCTGTAGTGAGCTGTGATCACACCACTGCACTCCAGCCTGGGTGACAGAGCAAGACATTGTCTGAAAAATAAAAAACAAAATAAGAGCTCTTTTGTAGCAATTTTAAAAAATGGAAATTAGAAAACTTTCCATTTTGCGTTTTTTTTTTTTTTTTCCAGAATCCTAGACTCTAGACCATGATCTCATTTCCTTTTGAAATTGAAAATATTACTGAGCCTGGGTGTGAAAGCAAAGGCAAAGCTCAGAATCTAGGCCAGGTCTCTGACCCTCGAAGGGCCCTGAAGAGCAGGACACATCCAGGTGCCTGGTTCACGTGGGTGCCATGCTGAGCTTCCTGCAATCCTGAAGACCCCTGTGAGAGGAACTTTCCGCTCAAATTTGTAAAATAAAATTTCTCAGAAATGTCTCAATGAAATAATAGAAAATAATGAACTTGATGATTCAGAATAAAATGTGTGATTTCCGAGAAAACGATGATGATGATGATGATAAAATGCCTCTGAATGATTGAAATCCTAGAAACAGAGAAAATCAACCTAGAAAACCTCCCAATTCTACCCTCCAGGGGTGCAATGACTTCTATAATTGAAGACTGTATGCTCCACTGCTAAAACAGACTGTATCCAACTCAGCAGATTCTATACAAGCCATTTATTTGAAATGCCAACTATATGTAGGATAAAGTCAGTGTTACATGCTTATCAGTAACAGTAGAAAAATAGAAGCAGTGAAAACCTCTGTACAACTGTAATGGTACTCAAAAGAGAAATGTATCGTTTTACAATGCTTCACACAGACGAATTCAAGTTTGGAGGTACCTAAATAAAAATACTATATATTTCTTTAAAAATCACTATGTACAATTGAAGCGTAAACAAGTTTTACAAAGTACTGGTTATGCAGGTTGTAGAAAACACTTGCATAGGACATGAAATCAGTTTAAGAAAAATTTCTGAGCCTTTAGCATTGAAGGCACTTGACTTTATACCAGTAACAGCACAACCACAAGAAACGCAGTGTTGTAGATGATTTTCCACCTCTCTGAAGTACAGATGTGGTGCATACACAGCAAGGAGAGTTCAGGAACCTTTATCTCTCAGCCACCCCATCGAAGAGCAGGACTTGGTACCGCCTGCCCATGTAACCCAGATACAGTTACATGTAGGTACAGATGATGAAGCTTCCAGAGCTTATCTGATCTCTTAGACAGAACTCACATAAACACACAAATACAAGAGGTTATTTTCAAGACACACACTTGCAAGTAATCTTTCTATAGAAATGGCCACAGCATTATAATATTCAAAATATGGAAGATTGACAGTCTGAGGATTTTCTAGAGGAAAAAAAAATCAAAGGACTTGCCAAAAGGATAACTACATAACAGATATGACAATCTACAGGACAAAAAGACAACATGTCACCAAATATTGTTCATACAACAGCGTTAATGGAAAACAGTAAAACACCTTTTAGCAGTGTGCATGTTAAGTCTTTTAGTAAGATTATCTGTAATGAGGTTTGAAAGTAAATCACTTAGTAGACAAAGTAAACCACCACAGAACCAGGAATAGCACCCATCACTGCTGCTTTGTCACTCCAGAAAGCTGAAAGTCAACCGAACAATGAAAAAAAGTCAAAGAAGCATTTCCCTTTGAATTCAGTCCTAAAAATATGAATGCCTTATAATTAATTTCAAAATAAGTATCTTACAAGTGTTTCATGAAACATTGTTTTCCTAAAAGGCAAATTCAACATTATGAAAATATATATTTTGCCGGGTAGTTACTGAGAAATGTCAATCCTTTCAACTCTAGAGAATGATGCATGGAGGTCGGCTTTGAGCCCCACTGCCGCTGGCGCGTGTTTCCAATTTGCCTTCTGCATCGGCACCTTAATGCAGATGTACAAGGACTAAGCTCATTGCTAGAATGGCAACAACAAACCAAAACAAAAATCCAATGAAGGATGGCAGATGCAATAAAAAGTTTCTGAGGAAGCAAAAACAAGAATTAGTTAAGGCTTCATAAAGAATTCTATAAGAAGATTTAAATGTCAAGAATTCACTGAAAAGCCTCAAAGCCTAACGGGTTATTGCGGTGTCAGGCTAGCTGAGGTCTAGTGACATGTTCCCAGAAATAAAGCTAAAGGGGGCATGTGAGAACGGGCGTGGAAAATTGAAACAATTACGTTTCAAATACTTTTTGCCTTTCATGATGCTGTTTTTTCCTTAGGAGCCACGGGTGACTCTGAACTTCAATTATTCATCAAAATCACAAAACTAAAACAATAACATAAGAAAAAAGACCAACAGCATCTTTAAGAAACTTGAACGTCCTCTCGGCTCTAGCGTGTAAACGGTAGGTCTCTAACCTCAACGCACAGCGGGCACTGGAAGCGGTGATTGTCCAAAGGCCTGATTGTCCACGATCTCAAAAGGAGATCTGGTATTTTTGTGATTTGGTTCTCATTAAATTCCTATACCAAGTAAAATGCCAGTTCCCATGGCCTAAATTTTATTTTATATATATATATGCTTTTTTTTTTTTTCTGAGAGCAACCTTACTCAGACTTCACATTTATCTTAGTACAGCATTAAAAAAGATTTAATAGATGGGTTCAAAAGCCAGAGGCATGTAGCTCTTGAACCTACCCTAGTAACCATACTTCACAAGATACATTAAAAGTCCACTAACACCTAACCTAACGCACACAAAACCCACGCCTGTTTACCTTCTGCAAGTCGCATCGGTCCGCAATCCCACAGATTAAAGCAAGTTTTCCCTTTATACGCAAAGTTTTAGCCAGGTAAGCTATTGTATGATTAAAAGCAAACTTTATAAACTAAATAATCTTAGGAATAGTGGCCACTTACTTTTATATTTCAGGGATATGAGAGAATAGTTCATGAATTTTCAGAAAAATGAATGTGTGGGATCAACAGCTCTGGTCTAACATTTGCGGGGGGGGAAGGGTCAGGGATGAGAGTTTTTCTCCCCATCCAAATTAGGTCTGTTGAGTCTTACTTGCAGTACCGGCGCAGTACATGAACATGTCAACATACATATGTGGCAGAAACACACATCAAGGAACATGACGGCATTCACTTTTGTTTCTGAAGACAGACAGAGACTGGGCTTCAAAAGACACCGTCTTCTATTATGAGTCAAACTTCTTACAAATGAGAACAGAGGCCTATGCTTTTCTCTTTAAAAAAGGAGCCTCGAATGCGATGCACAGCCGACCTGCAGATTAGTGTTAACTCTGGGAGCTCGGGAGCGTGCACCACCACCAGTGTCACCGAGCGCACCCGCACAGCAGCTAACCAGTCAGGCAGCAGAACGAGTGGCGGCAGTTTGCCGGGGCGTGCAGACACACGACATGTTTCCCATCTTGGAGACTATCTACTGTTCGGCTTTTCTAAAATGTCAGATTATTCCTGAGTGTATATCCACAGGGTAAAGGAGGAAAAGACCGTAAGAGAAACTATAGTTTTGGGAGAAATCAGCGTTGTTGACACCCAATAGAAAACCTATTTACTTCAAAGTGCATGTAATTCATTTACCCGGTAGCTCATAAACGCTCCCTAGCCCTGCATAGTTTTCGAGTGAGTGTGAGTGATTCATAGTTTTTTATATATATACATACATAGAAAAGAGGATCCCAAATATCCTGCAGAGGAAGGAATGCTTAGAAAGCCTCTTTTCTTCTAAGTGCTACGGCTGTGTGTTTATGTGTTTGTAAAAATACAAAGTAAATGCTCAAATAATGTTGAAGTGATTTAAAAACTCAAATACTCATATATTTACATTGGAGAGTAAGAAAAAAAACAGTCCTTAGCTCACACATTGCCCTTCCAAGGGAGAGGATCCTGAAAGACCCCATGTGCTCAGTGGTTTAGTAAATGCCAAACCAGCGTCCCAGTGGAGTTCAAGTAGGACATGTAGTGTTTAACTGAAAACAATTTTTTTCCTTTTTTCTGTTGGTGAGAAAGCATTATGCATTACACAACACCAAAATTTAGACATATTTTGAAAATCGTTTAAAAGAAAACGTATCTTTACAAACACCAAATAACATCCATGAGACTGAAGCCCTTTTGTTTTTTTCCCATAGAGAGCAAGACAATTAAAGGCAGCAAGCAGTCAGTTCCGCCATCACAGCTGGAGAGTTGACGCTCAGAACCAGAAATTCTGTCAGTGTGACCTTTAAGTTACTTCTCTATTTCCACTGCCTTTTTTTTTTTTTTTGAGACAGGGTCTCACTGTTGCCCAGGTGGGAGCACAGTGGTGCAATCTTGGCTCACTGCAGTCTCAACCTCCCAGGCTCAAGCGATCCTGCCACCTCAGCCCCCCAAGTAGCTGGGACTACAGGCACGCACCACCACGCCTGGCTAGATTTTTTTTTTTTTGTATTTTTTATAGAAATGGAGTTTCGCCATGTTGCCCAGGCTGGTCTTGAACTCCTGAGCTTCAGTGATCTGCCCGCCTCGGCCTTCCGAAGTGCCGATCACAGGTGTGAGTCACTGCGCCCGGTCTCCACTGCTTTCTAATTCCAAGGGATGCGATCTGTTTAGAGCCTCATCTGGTGACTCTAATCCTTATGACCAGAATGTGCAGGGATTCTGACTGCATCCACACTGTGGAAATGTAACAGCTTTAGCCTGGGCACAGAAGGCTTTTCTCTTTCCTGTTCTTTCCTGAACCAGCAAACTTCAGGACCCTGACTGGACTCCCGCTGGAGGAATGAAGCCCAGCTCCTAGGACTTATTAAAAAAAAAATGACATTAGATTTATGGAGGCTGAGCGGGAAGATCTCTGAACTAAAACAATTACTGAAAAGAGAGGAGCATTCTGATGTGCTGTTCTTTGGAATTTCTATAATTAAAAAATAAACACAGAACTATTTCGTAAGAAAATACATCTTAGTGTGCAATCCAATGCACATGGATTGGTAGATGAAAGGTAAAATGCAAAAAAGTATGAAAATACAGTCCTTTAAATGTGGCAATAAAGTTTAACATACTGATATAAAATCAATACAGAGAAAATAAATGTACAAGTGCAAAAAAATTCCATCATTTGTAAAGAGAAATAAAAAGTGCCAGCCTGCTTGTTCTTAAAAATGCCTCCCGACATAATTGTTCAAAGACAAATTAGACAGATGCAACATTAAAAAAAAAAAACAAAACCTTCTTAGCATGCCATGTCTAATAAACACATATATACACAAAAACTAGAACAAAATCATGTGAAACCGAGTTATCAGCTGGCATTGATGAACTGGTCTGTAAGTTGTTGGGTTACATCATAAAATGGGATGTTTCACATCTCAGGCACAGACGACTTGGAGGTTGCTCTCAGAGGGCAGACTTTTTGTAGAGGAAGTCCGGCTTGCTTGGTGACCTCCTTCCTCTGCTTATTGAATCTTCCCTTTCCAAATCTGTATTTCTCTGAGCTCCATGGCCCAGGGACTCACTGTCTGCCAGTCTTCTACCGGATCTCTCTTCGGGAGCTTCAGAGCTACATGCAGAAAGTGAAGGTCTGTTAGGAGTCAGCCCAAAAGTCAAGTCAGTTTCTACTGCAGTTCGTCCCCTGACATGGGCTGGACCGGTACTAGCATTTTCTGGGGCTGCCAAAGGAAAGTCTGACCGCTGGGGAGGTTGCTCAACGACATCCAGGTGTATCGGCTCATTCTTTTGTCTGTGTAGATGCCCGTCAGGGGAAAGTGGATATTCTCTCCTAGCTTCTTCCTGTTTTTTAGGAGACGTCTGACCAGGTAGGTAGGCTGACTTTAAGCCACTTGGTGATGCCTTATTGTGGCTGTACAGATCGGGACCAAAATATCCACCTTGCGAAGGGGAAGGGGTGCGTCTGCTGAGAGCAGGAGTAGAAGGTCTGCAAGCAGCATTTGAGAAGTCATAGAAATCCGGATATTCCTGTGGATTTTCTCTGGTGTCTGTTTTTTGCTCTAGTGTGTGTTTTTTCCGAGAAGTGTGTGTATGTCTCTGTGGAATACACGACAGATGCTGGGGAGGCCCTGGTCCTGCTTCAGAAACTGACTGGCTTAATTCTGTGTCTACAGCAAGCTCTGGAAGCCTCCTGTCCTTGAGTGACAGTGTGGACACACCCACCGCGATGTCTGGCATCAGATCATTCAGCACAGGTTGTGTTCGCTGCAGACAGAGACAAAAATGGTGGGAGGGTTAAAAAAAGGACCCATCCTCTGTAGAAATGATGTTCACTGATTTTGTTTCCCAATTATAAAATTAACACATTCTGTTTTTGTTTTTTTTTTTGAGACAGAGTCTCGCTCTGTCGCCCGGGCTGGAGTGCAGTGGTGCGATCTCAGCTTACTGTAACCTCTGCCTCCCGGGTTCAAGTGATTCTCCTGCCTCAGCCTCCTGACTAGCTGGGATTACAGGTGCCCGCCACCACGCCCAGCTAATTTTTTGTATTTTTAGTGGAGACGGGGTTTCAATGTGTTAGCCAGGATGGTCTCGATCTCCTGACCTCGTGATCCGCTCACCTCGGCCTCCTAAAGTGCTGGGATTACAGGCGTGAGCCACCGCTCCTGGCTGAATTTGTAAGAATTATAAAAATACAGAAAGCTATAAAGGCAAAAAAATCACTCCAACCTTTTGAACAGAGATACCACTGTTAGCATTTTGAGGTCTTTCTTTTTATGCTTTTCTCCTTTGCATATATACTGATGAAATTTAGTACCTATATAATCTGTCACTAAATCTTTGAGATCACCATTTTAAATTATTATGTGACGTTCTACTGCATCAATGAACCATTACTTAATCATTCTGCTACTATTGGACATCTAGGTTGTTTACCATTTTTCATTATTATAGTCAAGACTGCAATGAACAGACAAATAAATTACCTTTAAAGGGAGTTTTATTTAAAATATAAAGTAGTAGAACTTTTGTAATTGTAGAACTGAGGGCCTGGCCCAACAGAATGGGAATCTGGTTTATCAAACATGACCAACCTTCGCCATTCTGGGGTGGGGGAAGCAGGGAGGGGAGGTAGAGAGGTCTAAGAAGGCGAGAAAGGCTTTCTGTGCTAACAGTGCCCCTGCAAACATGGTGAACCTTCCTAAAACCCATCGGACTTTCTGTCACAGTGTGGCACACACCAATCCCACAAAGTGACACAGTAGAGGAAGGGCAAGGATTCTCTGTATGCCCAGGGAAAGCAGCATGACAGGAAGCAGAGTGACTATGGTGGGCAGACTAGGCTGATTTTCCCGAAAAAGGGTAAAACTACAAAGACTGTGCTGAAGGTTGAGTGCGCTGAGCTCAACTGCAGATCTAAGAGGATGCTGGCTATTAAGAGATGCAAGCATGCTGAACCCAGAGAAGATAAGAAGAGAAAGGGACAATTGATCCAGTTGTAAGCATCATCTTTTGTTTCACGGTAAAGATAATAAAATCTTGAGGTTGGCCGGGCGCAGTGGCCCACGCCTGTAATCCCAGCATTTTGGGAGGCTGAGGCGGGTGGATCATGAGGGTAGGAGTTCGAGGCCAGCCTGACCAACATGGTGAAAACTCATCTCTACTAAAAATACAAAAATTAGCCGGGCGTGGTGGTGCGTGCCTGTAATCCCAGCTACTCAGGAGGCTGAGGCAGGAGGATTGCTTGAACCCGGGAGGCGGAGATTGCAGTGAGCCGAGATTGCACCACTGCACTCCAGCCTGGGCAACAGAGTGAGACTCTGTCTCTAAAATAAATAAAGAAATAAATGAATAAATAAATAAAATCTTGAGGTTATGTTAAAAAGAAAAGTTGAGAAAGGATCATAATTGGACTCAAGCTTCCAATAAGCCATATTTTAATGAAGCTTCCCTGAACTGACAGGTGAATCTTTTCTTCTAACTTGCTACTGATAGCATGTGACTGAGTATGAAGACTTACAAATCTTACAAATCTTTTTTTTTTTTTTTTTTTTTGAGACAGTCTCCCTCTGTCATCCAGGCTGCAGGGCAGTGGTTTGATCACAGCTCACTGCAGCCTCAACAACCTCCCAGGCTCAAGTGATTGTCCCACCTTAGCCCCATGAGTAGCTGGGACTACAGGCACGTGCTACCACACTTAGCTAATTCATTTGTTTATTTGGTAGAGTCAGGGTCTCACTATGTTTCCTAGGCTGGGTCTGAATTTCTGGGCTCAAGTGATCCTCCCACTTCAGCCTCCTAAAGTGTTGGGATTACAGGTGTGAGTCATGGCACCTGGCCAAAAAAAAAAAAAAAACTTTTTAAAGTATATTATACAAAATCTCTAATACAGTGCAAAATCAAGCAAAGAATCCTCTATCAATTTACTACCTACTAGCCCTGGCTACTATGATTCTAAGTGAAGTGGGGGCTCTGCTGATGAGCTTCAGAGGCAGAGGCATGCCTGAGGCCCTGAGGCCTCATTTTCTGCTCATCTTCTGAATGGGGAGTTTTTTCCACATTATTCCTGACGGTATACTGTACTTAGCTATAAGTAGCTCTTGCTTCTTGTCCGATTAAAGCATGTGGTAGAACAGTGGATTTTACAGAATAGTAGAAGTTAGGGACAAATTGTAGACCTGTGCTTGAACAGAACATGAAACTGGTATATTCCTTTATGTTGCTCAGTAACCCCATTCCTTCCTAATCCTGCCAAATGAACATAAAGATAAGAAGATACTCAACTCCTCCATATACACCTCTTGGTCTCTCTCCTCCTGTCTTTTCTCATTCAAGTACACTAGCGTTTTTCCCTCTTTTCCATACCCCTCAAGTCTATGCCTTCCACTTGTCAGCAATACTTCTGGGCACTGCTGAGTCCCAGTGGGGCTCTTGGGGCCAAGAAAATTGCTTCTAATTCTCCATAAACCGAATTTGAAGCAAGTTACTGAAGTGTTGACTTACCACTTGCTTCTCAGATGCTGCTGCTGCTGCTGCTGTTGCTGTTGAGGTGGTGGTGGCGGCAGCAGCAGCCACCGTCTGTCTGCCCAGTCCTGCAGTGCTGGTACAATCAGGCGGTGCAGCTTTCACACTCGGCAAGTAGACTGGGGGAGGGCCAGCTTTAGGAGCTGTTCTGGAGTGGAACAGCGAATGATTACAGGGATAAGAAAATGAACGTGAAGGGTGCTGACTGGGAGGTCTTTGCTTCCAGCCTGCTTTGAGTTGGTTATGGATTGGGGTAGCTGGGGGGTGGTAGGGAGGTGGTGGAGGGGGCAAGGGTGGATGGAAGGCCACAAAAGAGTCCAGATCTGTAAACATGGTTTCTGCAGGAGGTGTACTGTTTACGCGACATCTCCCAGGCTGTCTCATTGTCAAGAGTGGACTTTCATCCCCAAAACGTTCATCAGGAAAGAATTTGTGAGGATTCTAAAAAAGATTAAAAAAAAAAAAAAAGGACATTTATTAGCAGATTTCATAAGTGGAAATTTATAGGCTGAGAGAATTAAGTGAGGTACTTAAGAAAACCACAGTCAGCAAGAATAAAAAGCATAATATATTTTTCTAGGCCAGAAGCCCAAGAAAAAAATCACCTTAGTTATAGTACAAAGGCACAGAGTGCAGCCTAGGACACAGCCATGAAAGAAAGCTGCTTGATCGAATGCTCCTCAAGCAGGTCACTCATCTCAGATTATGTGATAATGCAAAAACTGGTAATAAAACCAAACTCTAATATGTCTTTGCTAAGAGATTAACATTAAATGCCAAAGGGAGAAAGGAATACAACTGAGGATGTTCTAGAAACTTTCTGACAAGACATCTATGCCTGCTCTGTCTGAAATAAAAACTACAAAATACTATTCATTACCCATTATACATGACTAAGTCTGACCAATATTTTGGTAAACATTATAAAAGAATATGTCATGCAATTTAAGGTACCAAATTCAGACACAATTTAGAATGGCAAAGGGAAAAGAAATGAGTAGAAAACCAGACTATATATTTTAAGGAGAAAAACTGTAGCAAAAAATGAAAATCAACAATCTAAAACAAGAACCTAAAAATGTTCAGTAGAAAATTAGGACAGCAGGGGGAAAAAGAAGAAAAAGAACCTAAAAGTGGTTTGCTGACTTGCTGAAGAACCCTATGCCATGTTTATTCATTCATTCATTCATTCTTTTTTTGAGACAGGGTCTCATTCTGTCACCCAGGCTGGAGTGCAGTGGTGCAATCATGGCTCACTGCAGCCCTGACCTTCTGGGCTCAAGTGATCTTCCCACCTAATCCTCCCGAGGAACCGGGACTACTGGCGCATACCACTATGCCTGGGTAATTTATTATATTTTTTGTAGAGATAGGGTTTTGCCATATTGCCCAGGCTAGTCTTAAACTCTTGAGCTCAAGTGATTCACCTGCCTAGGCCTCCCAAAGTGCTGGGATTACAGCCATTGTGTCCAGCCTATTCTTTTTTGTTTGTTTGTTTGTTTGTTTGTTTGTTTGTTTTTGAGACGGAGTCTTGCTCTGTCACCCAGGCTGGAGTGCAGTGGTGCAATCTTGGCTCACAGCAAACTCGGCCTCCCAGGTTCAAGCGATTCTCTTGCCTCAGCCTCCCGAGGCTGGGACTACAGGCCCACGCCACCACACCTGGCTGATGTTTGCATTTTTAGTACAGACAGGGTTTCACCATGTTGGCAAGGCTGGTCTCGAACTCCTGACCTCAAGTGATCCGCCCACCTTGGCATCCCAAAGAGTTGGGATTACAGGCGTGAGCCACTGCGCCCGGCCACATCCTATCCTTTTAAAGGGTACGGATTAAAGGGGTTTGGAGTTTGTAGCAAGAAAATGAATCACCTAACCAGATGAAATTAAATTTTATTTAAGGCTCTGATTTAGTGGCTGTGATCAGACTAGTTTACAAATTCTATCTTAATTGCAAAACCAGTGCTATTGCTTTTGTATCTAATAATTACTAGAAATGAGTTTTTTCTTTTTTCCTGGTAGGTTAAAAAAGAAAGCACTTACTGTTTGATTCTCATGCTTGGGTTTGAACCCTCATGAAAGAAATTTCTTATAAGATGGAAAACAGAAACGAAAGTGGGCATGTGAAAGGTGTGTAAGTGAGGAAGTAGACCAAACCTCAAACCTAGTGACCAAACAAGGAAGAGAGAGCAGTGGAAGTTCAGACTTTTCTACTTCCATGCCATCTCTGGGCATGCACACTGTGGAATTTTTTTAGCAGTCCCCACTTGTATGCTTGCTACATACCAGAAATATAGCTGCTGTACAATAGCACTCTGGATCTTCATAACAATTTATATTACAGGTAAAAGAGCTGTTGATGCCCAGGGTGGTTAAGTAACTCATTCCAAGTTAACCAACTAGTAAGCAGCAGAGCCGGGACTTAAACCCAGTTCTCATCCTAGGCCTCTGCTCAGTCCACTCCATGACGCTGCCTCTCACCAGGAGGGACTTGCAGGTTATCAAAGACACCAAAGGCAGTGAAAAAGCACATACGACGAAAAGGAAATAAGCCAAGGACTCGTCAGGATGCCCACAATACTGCCTGTCTGGTGACTGAGGCTCCCTATTTTAAACAGTTTAATGTCATTTCCTACCTGCAACAGCTCTGCAGCAGCATCTGCAAGACCAAACTCTCTTAGCACTCGAATCTGAATTTCATAGCTGACAGTGGCGCCTTCCCCGCAGTTCAGGGCATAGGCCCTCTGCACCTGCTCCGTGTGCCGCAGTTCCTGCAGTCGTCTGACCATGTCTTTCATAATGAGGAGACGAGGAACTGGAAGGAGAACAACAGTGGGCAAGCAAAATTCCTGAGCTACACAAAAGACGACCCCGTGAGCCCAAGGGAAAAAAGCATGTATTTCATACCAGAATCTTATAAGTTTTTAAGATAGTATCTTAATTTCCTGGGAACACATTCATTTATATATCTCTAATTATTTTTCAAGGTTTTAAAATTTCACTATGCCCAAAAGGCTCTTGATCATACTGAACAGCCCGAGTTGTATTATTTAGTTTACAGTTCAAATACAATTTTACTTGCATGTATTCTTGTCTGAATCTCAGGATATTTCAGAAGTCTTTAAATATATTCATTCTATTATTCAAATAATTTTTTGAGTCCTGACTATGCACCAGGGATTGGACTTGGATATTAGGGTGCACAGAATGAAACACGATTCCTCTTCTCAAAAGTTTCTGGCTTAGTGATATGAACTAAACCAGCAGTAAACAAATACAATATAGGGTCATAAATGTTCCTGGAGAGAAATATGCAAAGGACACTGAGGGACTGGAAGGGGCACCCAGCCAGACTGGGGACAGACAAGAAAGGCTTCAAGGTGTACACAGAGCAGATTCTTGAAGAATGAAAGGAAACCAGATAGGCAAAAAAAAAAAAAAAAAAAAAAAAAGCTGTCTCAGCAGAAGGACTGGGTATGTGTAAAACATGCTGAGACAGCCTGGCAGAAGTGGTTGGCATGGCCAGCAGAACTTAGGGTTCAGAGCTGTAAGCAGGAAGAGTGTGAAGAGAGGAGGCAGAAAGATGGCTACTGGCAGATCATGGATAAAGAATTTAAATTGTACCCTGTGCACAACAGGCAGTCACTTTTGCAGGAGGATGACAGGATCAGAGCTGTGAACAAGTGCATTCTGATGTTAACGTAAAATGGGCAGGCATGCTGTGACTGGTAGGCTAAATCAAGCTTGCTGTCTGCCTTTGTAAATAAAGTTTTATTGGAATGTAACTGTACCCATTCATTTACGTACTGTCTACGGCTGTTGTATGGGAGTTAAGTAGATAGAAGCAACAGAGACTGTATGGCCTACAGAGCCTAAAGTATTTACTATCTGCCCCTTTCTAGAAAAAGTATGCCGGCCGACAAGCTGGTGTAAAAGACAGAATTTTGAGTAAGATGAGAGGCGGGAACACGGGTTAGAAACCTGAAGTAGGGCTGTAGCTGTAGGGCTGGAGAGGGGATGGAGTCTATAAATATTTATGAAAGAAACTGACTAGAGCAGTGATTATTATTTTTTAGGGATAAAAGGAACTGGCATTTACTGAGTGCTTACTTTGTGCCAGGCAAACTCCTGTGCATATTACTCATGGTGCTTCATTAAATCCTCCTAATTCTTGAAAGGAGGTATGAGCCCCAATTCATGGATGAGGAAATTAATGTTCAGGAAAGAAAATATTAATACCATGTCCAAAGTCATACAAAGTAACAGAGCCAAGATATGAGCCCCCTAATCCTCTGCAACAAGCTATCCATCCTTTCATGAATGTGGTGTGCAAGGAAGTGAGAAGAACCCAGGATGATACCAGAACAGGACCATACCTCATTAGCTAAACAATAGAGAGACAAGCCTTATTTTTCTGAGCATACTTATTTGAGAATGTCTAGACCTCTGAGATTGAGTTCTAAGATTAAATTATGCTGATTTTGAACTGCATTAACTCAAGCCTAAAAAGCCAGGCTAATTAGCAAAGCTTCAAAATCTGCATAAATCAGCTAAAGAAATATTTCTTTTCATGCTGTTAACTAATGTATATTTCAAGTAAATATGCAGTGGCCAAATTTGATAAGGTAACAACTGAAGAAAGTCATTAGCTCCAGAATAAAATATATGTATTCAATTAAAAGTTCTGTCACTATGTCTTTTATTCATCTTTAATTACAGTAGACATTTATAAGCAGAAATAAATAGTGCTATTTCTATTGCTATAGTGTGCTGGTTTTTATTTTGAATCTTGCAATGGCAATTAGCAAGAGCTACAAGTTTCTGACCACCAGATCATTGTTGCTTTTTTTAGACTACTTTGGTTAAAGCCAACATTTACTGATGCTCAGACGTTTTTGGACATGACAGTTATATCCTGATCGATAGCCAATTCCCCTAAAGTCGTAAGACATAAACCTGTGCTACAGTAAACTTCACAGAGCAGAGCTTGGGAAATTGGATCTCTAGGAAACCCACAGTGATCACATTTTGGAAGGCCACAGACTCAAAGGTATAATAGACTAGGAAGGCCATAGACTTTAAGGTATGATAGTGCATTTGACCCTCCCAAAGGGTCTTGTAACCTGAGAAATACCCTATAGTGATAAAAAAAAATCTGAATTCCTCTAAACCAGTGGTTCTCAAAATGGGTGACTTTGTCCCACAGGGCACAACTGGCAATGTCTAGAAACATAAAAATGTTTCCAAAAGGTTTTCAGAGAGGTGTGCATGCATGCACATATGTGCTCCTAGCATTTATTGAGTACAGGCCAGGAATGCAGCTGACCACCCTACAAAGCACAGGACAGCTCTCCATTAACAGAATAATCCAGCCCCAAATGTCAGTAAGACCAAGGCTGAGAAACTCAAGGGTAAACTGATAAACTGTATACACTTAGTAATACAAAATAAAATATAAAGCAAAAGTTTTGGCTTAAAAGTGTTTATTCTTTAAGGAGAACAAGGCATAAAAAGTATTGAAATGTGGAGAGAATTAGCATATACAGAGAGGCTCAAACATCAGCAATTTCAAAAAAACAATAAATTATTCATTTAAATATAAACACCCAACATACTGCCTTACCTGGAATTTCGTTGGCTACAACTGAAGGAGGGCTTGACTGGTTGCTGCTGATCTGCTGGTGGCTGATCATGTGACAACACTGTGGCACGGCATTATTGACCATGTAGAGCGTGTCTGGCACATTGGACATTCTAACCATTCGCAAGCGCACAAGATCCGTTTGTTCCACCATCATCTCATCTAGCACTGACTGAAATAATCATTCAGTATTAACAAAACCAGTCAACCTTCCTCTGTTAAATCACATTTGAAGGAAGACTATTACTTTCATCAAATAAAAAGGGAATTAATTTATTTCTATTTTATAAATGTTAACATTAGTGGTGAAAGAAAGTTCCCCTACATCTTTAACTTTTAAAGACTCTTTTAGGAGCATCTTTGAAAAGACACAACCATCTTTTGAAAAGTCTGCTTTTAATTAGAAGTATTTGAAATGTGAAGGAAGGATATAAAATTAATCAGAAATAAATTACACACAATATTATAATAAAACAATGTATACATGTGCTAAATAACAAATCCAACAAAGTGCTCAAAATACAAAATATTGAAGATTGATAATCAGGGCCGGGCGTGGTGACTCATGCCTGTAATCCCAGCACTTTGGGAGGCTGAGGTGGGTAGATCACCTGAGGTCATGAGTTCAAGACCAGTCTGGCCAACAAGGTGAAACCCCATCTCTACTAAACATGCACAAATTAGCCAGATGTGGTGGCGGGTGCCTATCATCCCAGCTACTCAGGAGGCTGAGGCACGAGAACTGCTTGAACTCGGGAGGAGAAGGTTGTAGTAAGCTGAGATCTCACTGCGGCACTCCAGCCTGGATGACAAGAGTGAAACTCCGTCTTAAAAAAAAAAAAAAGATTGATAATCAATTCAAGAGACTTAGAAATAAACCAAATTTTCTTTTTTGAAGAAAAAAGAAAAATGTTGCCTGGGCTGGAGTGCAGTGGTGCCATCATGGCTCATTGCAGTCTTGACCTCCCAGGCTCAAGCAACCCTCCTACTTCAAGCCTCCTGCATAGCTGGGACTACAACAGCACACCACCACGCCTGGCTAGTTTTTTTTTTTTTTAATTTATCTTTATTTTTTGTAGAGACAGGGTCTCACTAGGTTGCCCAGGCTGCTCTTGAACTCCTGGACTCAAGTGATCTTCCTGCTTCAGCCTCCCAAAGTGCTGAGATTACAGGTGTAAGCCACCATGCCTGGTTTAAAAATGAGAAACATTTTGAGGCAACTTGATTGTATACTCATTGAGTATACACACTGTTTTGTCTGTTAAATTTACTTCAGAAAGCTTAATAAGGATTTCCTGCTTTCAAAGACTGTCAGTTCCTCAAAAGGCCAAAGTTTTTTTGTTTTTTGTTTTTTTTTTGAAGACTGGTTCTTACTCTGTCGCCCAGGTTGGAGTGCAGTGGCACAATCACGGCTCACTGTGCAGCCTTTGCCTCCCAGGCTCAGGTGATTCTCCTAAATCAGTCTCCTGAGTAGCAGAAATCAGGGTGCACGCCACCACAACTGGCTAAATTTTTCCTTTTAGTTTTTGGTAGAGTTGGGGTTTTACCATGTTGCCCAGGATGGACCCCGGAAAGTTCTTATGGCTGAACATCTAATAAAAATTAGATGTTTCATTTTCACATTACCGTATTTTCTGGGACAGTTCTTTATGTTACAATATACATAATGCGAACTAGTTACTTAACAGGCCTGAAATTTTTTCTTAGTTTGTGCATTTATTCTAAAACTAAACATAATTCCCAACAGTCAGCTATTGCAGAAATATGTTACAAGAGGTCGTGGCATTCCTTTAATTTAGGAAGGAAGTAAAAAAGTGGGCAATCTTCTTTCAGAACATTTCCCTCATGCTCAAGATCACAAAATAGTGACAACCATTTTCAGTAAGTGGTAACAATTTGCAAGGCAGTTAACAATTTGCAAGGCAACTAAAATGAGAAAAATATAAAATGCATTTTAACATAACCTAAGTTTTAAAAACATGCTTAATTAAAATTAAACGTTTTAGAAAACTATTCTGTTGAGTAGTCAAACTAGAACTTACTTTCATTTTCCCTATTGTTGAAAATATAGGCTATTTCCAAATATTTAAGTAATACTACAGTGAACCACTTTGTGCATATGGTTTGTAATAAAGTAGTCTACTATCTTCAAATGGTTTTCATTACCTTTGCTTCTTCCACATAGGGAGAGAAGAGTCGAGGACGAACATAGATGCCAGCATTTTTTTGCCGTAACCAGGCATTTGACTTCCCACCTTCTGTTGTAGGAAGCATATCTGATGGAGGAGTACTAATCAAGCCTCTTTTCATCTAAAAAAAAATTTTTTTTTTAGATAGAAATCTGTGTAGTACTATAATACTACTAAGATAAATAAAAATATTTATAACTATAAATAAAAATATGCAAACTTTATCATTTAAATAAAAATTTAGAAATGTATATGAAATTTAGAAATACCTCAAATTTTTTTTTTTTTGAGACAGAGTCTCACTGTCGCCCCGGCTGGAGTGCAGTGGCGTGATCTTGGCTCACTGCAACCTCCGTCTCCTGGATTCAAGCGATTCTCCTGCCTCAGCCTCCCGAGTAGCTGGGATTACAGGCACTCACCACCACGCCTGGCTAATTTTTTGTACTTTTAGTAGAGACGGGGTTTCACCATGTTGGTCAGGCTGGTCTGGAACTCCTGACCTCGTGATCTGCCCACCTCGGCCTCCCAAAGTGCTGGGATTACAGGCGTGAGCCACCGTGCCCGGTGAAATACCTCAAATTTTTAATAATATTTAAAAGATTTTCAATAAAAAGATACCATAATTTCCCATTTTTCTCTAAATAGAGGAATATTTTTAAAAACGAGACACATTAATTAAAATGTAGTTAAGTTGGACTAAAGATCAGAACTCTTAATGAAAACCAATTTTTTTTCTTTACTCATCTAGGAACAAATTCAGTCCCCACCCAACTCCTCAAGACAAAACGAGAACATTGACATGGGCCTATATCTACAGTACAAGGATACAGGAAGGCTAGCACAGTGCCTAGCAACACAGGCTCTGGGGCAAGGCAGATGTAGCTCAAACTTCAACTCCTGCATTTAACAGCCATGTGACCATGGACATCTCCTTTACCTGGGCTTCACTTTAAGGGCTCCTGTATGGCTCTGGAGGCAAGGCAGTGCACAGCTAACTGAATGAGGTATCCCTGTTGTTTCCTGACTGATGCCAGGAGAATCTGTATCAAGTATCTTTAGTTCCTAAGGTGGTGTGAGGATTAAATGAGGGCAATGCAGATGAAAGCACCTAGTACAGTGCTTAGCACATACTAAGAGAGCATGAAAGTTAAGAGTCATTGTTAGCAAACCTTTGTTGGGGACTTACGATGTGTTAGGCACGGAGTTAAGAGCAGAGGTATATATTTCCTAACCAAAGTTCTAAAATACTTTTCTAAACTACATACAGGGTTCAATTTGATTTGAGTCCCAGGTTTTAAACAAAACCAAAAGTTGTTTCTCCAATATTACTCTCATTAAATATAATCAACAGCTTCATTAGTTAAAATTACTTTTAACTAGTAAAATACAGCATTATCTAGTATTTAGAAAATAGAGAAAAAAGTCAATACTCATTACAACAGTAATGTTGATATATTTCCTTCCAGTCTTCTCTTTTTCCTTCTCTTCTTTTTTGAGACAGGGTCTCACTCTGTTGCCCAGGCTGGAGGGCAATGGCGAGATCTTGGCTCACTGCAACCTCTGCCTCCTGGGTTCAAGCAATTCTCCCATCTCAGTTTCTCAGGTAGCTGGGACTACAGGTGCATGCCACCATGCCTGGCTAATTTTTGTATTTTTTGGTAGAGACAGTGTTTCACCATGTTGGCCAGGCTGGTCTTGAACTCCTCAACTCAAGTGATCTGCCTGTCTTGGCCTCTGAAAGTGCTGGGATTACAGCGCCTGGCAGAGTCTTTACCAAATGAAGTTTTACATAGTTGAATTTAAGAATACATAAAAATACATACTTTGCATAATCTTTTTTTTTCTTCTTTTTTTTTTGATACAGAGTCTTGCTCTGTCACCAAGGCTGGAGTGCAGTGACACATTCTTGACTTGCCTCTGGGTTCAAGCAATTCTTGTGCCTCAGCCTCTCGAGCAGCTGGGATTAACGGCATGCACCACCATGCCTGGCTAATTTTTGTATTTTTAGTAGAGACAGGGTTTTGCCATGTCGGCCAGGCTGGTCTTGAACTCCTGACCTCAGGTGATCCACCTGCCTTGGCCTCCCAAAGTGCTGGGATTATAGGTGTGAGCCACCACGCCCGGCCACTATACAGTCTTTATAACAACTGTTCAGGGGAGCAAAATATTCTGTTGTGTAGTGGTACTATAACTACTACCTTAACAGGTGAAAAAATGGTAACTGTTTCATTTTGCTTTCTCTGGTGTGTGTGTAATTAGTGAGGGTGAATTTTTTTTTCTAATCAGAATCCACAAATATTTCTTTTTTTAAGTTTTGTTTTTATTTATTTTTATTACTGCTCCTTGTGGAGCAGGGCTACCCCATAGGCAGTATGCCCAGAGTAGCCCATAAATACTTCTTGAAAACAATATTGTTTTCTTCTAGTTCTTCCATGTTTCCATTTAGTATTTAATTCTTCAGTCTAACAAGGATTAATTTTGTGTGCCAGTGAAACGATGGTTTAACTTTCAATAAATTTCTTCTTCTGCTAATCAGTTAATCTAGCACCACATTGACTTGTGATAGTTCGTTTATTATTATGTTTTGTTTTTTTTCCAGAAGACTTTTATAATGTTTTATAATGTTCCTGTGCAGTTAGAAAAAACATATTATGATGTTTATAAGCATTATATTAAGTTTATAAGTCAATGTGTGAAGAACTAATATTTATAATATTTATTTTTCCCATCCATGAATTCAAGCAATTCTATTAATTTTTTTTTTTTTGAGATGGAGTCTCGCTCTGTCACCCAGGCTGGAGTGCAATGGCTCGATCTCGGCTCACTGCAACCTCCACCTCCCCAGTTCAAGCAATTCCCCTGCCTCAGCCTCCCGAGTAGCTGGGATTATAGGCATGCACCACCACGCCTGGCTAATTTTTGTATGTTTAGTAGAGATGGGGTTCTACCATGTTGGCCAGGCTGGTCTCAAACTCCTGACCTCAGGTGATCCACCTGCCTTGGCGTCCCAAAGTGCTGGGATTACAGGAGTGAGCCACCGCGCCCAGCCAATTATATTAATTTTTAAAAAATTCACTGTTTAAAAAATTATGAAAGTAACAAGATGAGCTCTATTAATTTTCAGGTCCATCCATTCTTTTTCTATTCAACCAATCCCTCCACTCCACTACTCTCTGATTCACTGCTGTTCTTGAAGACTCTTCAAAGGTAATTTCTACCTTTCCCTTTTTGAATAAGGGTCTACTTGATCTACACTTAAATGACAGAATTAACTCTGCTAGAAATAATGCTCTTGCATGAGTAAGACCTATTTACCCACTCAACTCTCATTCACTGAACATTTTAACTGTATTATGTGGAAGACACAGGAGATACAACATCGTACACAATAGACATCTGTCTCTGTCCTCACAGAATTACAGCTTCACAATACTCTATTAGTAGCAGAAATTATTTACAATGAATAAAAACATACACCTGGCATTTTTCTTTTCATGAAAGGAATACATGGAGAAAAACACTTACTGCATCACTTAAGACTTCACTGTTTATAGGTAAGATGTGTTCAATTCGCACAAAAGGTAAGAGAGAAGAAAGGATCTCTCTGAGCTCTTCCATGTCCAGGTCCCGTCTTTTTACACCTCTTTTGTTCACACTATGGGCAGTGCCACTCAGTAAGTTTGGCTCTATGAGACAGAAAATGAAAAGTTTCCAACCAAATCCAAATGTTCTGAGACAGGTTTCCTTTGTTCTCTAGTACATACACTAACAGTACCACTCTATAGACTTATGTGCCTCTGCTTTAAAAAGGGTTATAAATCAATTATTTTCTTTCATGTTTGTTTAATAGGGATGTTCTTGGATAAAGAAAAAGCATGGTATCAACAGTACAATAAAATTATTTTATCACTGCTCTGCAATAAAGAATAAAGGATTCCTTTCTATAGACTAACTCAAAAGAGAAAAGATGACAATCTACTAAAATCTAGTTTTATCAAGGGCTTTTTAAAAAGCCTTCTCACTTTTGTGACCAGTGTTTAGTAGTATAAGGTCATTGTAGAGCATATGCCATTTCTGGTCACTGTAAGTTATCAGTATGCTCATTAGCCTACATATGTGTAACAGTAATTTAACAACATGTTAATCACTTGGTGTTTGAAGCAGCAAAGCATAATGTGCTTTATTTGGTTTTAAGATTTTTATGAAAATCTCCCAAATTTCCATAATATGGGAACATTACTGCATAAAAGTAGACCCTTTGATCTTTGACATGTAATATATGTCCATCATCCAAGGCAGAGAATGATTTCTTCATTGGGCATTAGTGAACAACAATCTGAAATACATGTATGCTTATGCTATTGAGGTGGGAAGAAAAATTATGTAATTTGGAAATCTTTAATCATGGCTTTAATCTAGGGGTCTGTAATTTTTTTCTTAAAAAAATTAACACAGAATAAGATCTTATTATTCATGAAATGCTGGATTTTTTTCAAATATTCTACAGGAAAACTGGTATCTTCCTTAAATCGTGTGTGTGTGTGTGTGTGTATGAGAGAGAGAGAGAGAGAATTGATTGTTTTTGAGAAGCTAAGTTTTTTTCTGGATTCATTCAGAATAAAATTGTTAACTGTGTAGAAAAGAGTCATTTTTTTCCCCCTTGCCTAGCTATGATTTAGCTTCATACTTATTTAAGGCATTCTGCTTTTCAAAATATTTTTTTTTCTTAAAGTAGTGACATCCTGTTTTCATATAAAATCTTACATGAAACCCCCAAATATGTGACAGGTAAGTGCAGAATCCTCCTGTATAAAACTGACTGAAACAAAGCTATGGCCTGGTTCACTTAGCTTCCTTCTTATCCTTGCAGAAGAACCTTCCACTAACCCAGTGTGGAAACTACCTTTTATTTATTTTTTTATTATTATTTTTTAAGATGGAGTCTTGCTGTGTTGCCCAGGCTAGAGTGCAGTGGCATGATCTTGGCTCACTGCAACCTCCACCTCCTGGGTTCAAGCGATTCTCCTGCCTCAGCCTCCCAAGTAGCTGGGATTATAGGCACCCGCCACCACACGCAGCTAATTTTTCTATTTTTAGTAGAGATGGGGTTTCACCATGTTGGCCAGGCTGGTCTCAAACTCCTGACCTCAGGTGATCCACTCACCTTGGCCTTCCAAAGTGCTGGGATTACAGGCGTGAGCCACCGTGCCTGGCCTAGCAACTATTTTTCTAAGGAAAATTTTAACCCTTAACAGGCAGATGCCTGTTATCTGCCCCAAATAAATGACATTTCATCATTACCAACTTTACATCACTGAACAAGCTTATGGTCTATAACATTTACACAGAGTTATATACAATCGGTTCTTATTATCTGAAGTAGTTATAAAGTCAACACAAACAATGAATCAGCATATACTGAACTGTTGCTCATAGGGAAAACACAGGGTTAGGTTCCTGTGAACCTCTGGGTACAACATTTTTGTCCAATGATTAAGACAGAACCTTGTTTTATGTGTTTCTGTTTAAAGACACTTTATTTAATATATGTGGCTGATTTATTAACACTAACCTCACAACCAACAGCACTGTAACTCACGCCTGAATGAAGCTTACCTAACTCATGTATTATCTCTGTATGGCACACCACAGCCTTCCTGTTCTCAGGAACACTAGACAGCACTTCAGTACTACACCTGGGGGCCATCTTGAACAGTGAGATCACGAAAACATAAAAATGTAAAAAATGTGGCACTTGGTAAGGAGATCTGAAACAAGAAGGCAGAGTGCCTCTGTCTTGTTAGAACTCAGCTGGGAATGTGCTTGTTGGGAGACCAAGCTTTTTGCTACTCCGTGAATGACCATGAAAGTATCACCAGTATTGATTTTGGGGTTACAAATAAATTTCAGTGACTAGGTAAGTTGACAAATATAAAAGCTACGAATGAGAACTAATTGTATGCTGGCATTTAAAAAACTTTCTAAATCAACTGTAATGGTTTTCATATTTTAAAAAATTCATAACTTGCTGGGCATGGTGGATCATCTGAGGTCAGGAGTTCGAGAACAGCCTGGCTAACATGGCGAAACCCTGTGTCTACTAAAAATACAAAAATTAGCCACGCGTGGTGGCACGTGCCTGTAATCCCAGCTACTCGGGAAGCTGAGGCAGGAGAATAGCTTGAACCCGGGAGGCAGAGGTTGCAGCGAGCTGAGATCGCGCCACTGTACTCCAGCCTGGGAAACACAGCAAGACTCCATCTCAAATAAAAAAATAAATCAAAAACAAAAATCATAACTTTGTTGCTCTCTGAAATAAAATTTTAAAAATAAAAATAAACACATTCAAATCTGAGAATTGCTAAAGGTTTTTGCCAGCCACAGAAAAAAAATTGGAGAAATAAAATAGAAGGACTGCTTTTGTTCCCTAGAGCTTGGATAGTAGCATATTAAAGAAACACTATAAAAAGGCTTAAAGGCAGGTTTAGCACAACATTTTTTATATTTAAAAATGTGACAAAACAACTCTATAAAGGTACTAAAATCCACTGACTTGAACACTTCAAACCGGTGAACTTTAAGATACATAAATTATATCTAAATAAAACTATCGAAAGGTGACAGAAAAAGGAAATTGGTATTTAATTTTTCAATTAAAAATTTTAAATTTAGATTCAGTACATAAAGGAATACAACGATGTTTGAGGGAAGGAGGACAGGTGGGTGGGCTAACCCTACACACAAACAAAAGACTGCTGTAGAATCACAAATTTCCAAAGTTGAAAGCCCAGCCTCCAACATATGATGCTTCCTTCTCTTCTGCAGTGACCCCACTGGGAGGTCATTCAGAAGTATTATTTATTTCTCTTTTACCTTCCACAACATTTTTTTTTTTTTTTTGAGACGAAGTTTTGCTCTTGTTGCCCCAGGCTGGAATGCAATGGCCCCATCTCGGCTCACCACAACCTCTGCCTCCCGGGTTCAAGTGATTCTCCTGCCTCAGCTTCCCAGGTGGCAGGGATTACAGGCACATGCCACCATGCCCAGCTTATTTTTTATTTTTAGTAGAGACAGGGTTTCTCCATGTTGGTCAGGCTGGTCTCGAACTTCCAACCTCAGGTGATCCGCCCGCCTCGGCCTCCCAAAGTGCTGGGATTACAGGCGTGAGCCACTGCACCCAGCCTACTTTCTACAACATTTAAAAATAAACAATGAATGCTTTTTTATTTGTACTCTTTTTTTTTTTGAGTCTTGCTCTTTCACCCATGTGGAGTGCAATAGTGCAATCTCAGCTCACTGCAACCTCTGCCTCCCAGGTTCAAGTGATTCTCATGCCTCAGTCTCCCGAGTAGCTGGGAGTACAGGCGCGTGCCACGACTTCCCACTAATTTTTGTATTTTTAGTAGAGGCGGGATTCTGCCATGTTGGCCAGGCTGGTCTCAAACTCCTGACCTCAGGTCAGCCTGTACTCGTATTTTTAAACTGAGGTTAAAATTCACATAACACAAAATTTATTTAAAACATTTTAAAGCGTACCATTCAGTGGCTCTTACTATACTTGTATTGTTGTGCAACCATCAACACTAATTCCAAATTTTCATCAACATTATGCTTTTGTAATACTTTAGTCATTATATGAAATTATATGAAATTTTTCATTCTAGTACTTCCACGAATCAGTCATGTTTTATTAAGCACCTAAGAACATAATAATAAAAAGTATCCTTTTAAAGCTGCAAAATAAGACTTTCTGATATATTTATTTTAATAAACTATACCCTGTCCACTAAAGGATTTTGCTGGTGGTAAAAACTTCCATTTTCACCAGGCAACAGTGTCAATTTTCAAGACTGATGTGCGGCATGCATTTCTATATAAGAACCACCAAATTTTACACAAGGTAACTAGTGCAAGCTAATTTTCGGAGCTTACCTCTATCTGCTATTCTTTTCATCAACTGATGCTCTCCCCATTTAATCAGATATTTAAGGATATCTTGTTCACTTGCCTATAATAAAAAATGGTTTATATTTATTTTAGTGAAATTAGATAAGTGGTTAATTTCATTAAGGACTTTTCGTAGGTGGGAAATAACAGCATGCAACTTACCATGTTTCACTCTTTCCATTGGCTGTTTGAAGTTTTAGTGTTAAATCTGTGGTCCATCAACAGGAAATATACAAGACTGCATTACATATATTTTATCCAGTAACCTCAATCTTGGCTCCAACTAATTTTTAAATTTCATTTCTATCTTCTTTTTCTGTAATCTGCTCCCTTCCTATTTTATTTTTTCATTTTAATTTTTCCTTTTGAGATGAAGTCGTACTCTATTGCCCAGGCTGGAGTGCAGCAGTGCCATCATGGGTCTCTGCAGCCTCAACCTCCTGGGCTCAAGTGATTCTCCCCGCTTCAGCCTCCTGAGCAGCTGGGACTACAGGTATGTGCTACCACACCCAGCTAATTTTTTTTTTTTTTTTTGAGAGGGAGTCTCGCGCTGTTGCCCAGGCTGGAGTGCAGTGGTGTGATCTTGACTCACTGCAAGCTCCTCCTCCCAGGTTCACGCCATTCTCCTGCCTCAGTCTCCCAAGTAGCTGGGACTACAGGCGCCCGCCACCACGCCTGGCTAATTTTTTTGTATTTTTAGTAGAGACAGGGTTTTACCTTGTTAGTCAGGATGGTCTCGATCTCCTGACCTCGTGATCCGCCTGCCTTGGCCTCCCAAAATGGCTAATTTTTTTTTAAATTTTTTGTACAAATGGGGTCCCACCTGTTGCCAAGGCTGGTCTCGTACTTCCGGGCTCAAGCAACCCACTTCCTATTTTAAATTTATTTTATCTTACTATGTGGTTTCTATATAGCTGCCTTAAATTCTCTTTTGGAAGAAAACAGAGATAAGTAAATGAAAGTGTAAGTATAGGGTATAGGCAGAGTAACTACTCTCTCCTGGAGGGACAGGAAAAACAAGTCAGTCAACTTGTTTTGGCAGAAGAAACTACAATCTCTACAAGGTATTCTACTGGTTAGTGAAGCACAATCTGTGAAATGGCAATGTAGCCCTCATTTCTTTGTATTTTATTTAAAATCTTAGAGCAAATCTAGGCTGCTCTCTGTTTTTTTTTTTTTTAATACTTTCTAAGAAGGAATGCAAAGCTCCTAAAGACAATAATCTAAGAGAACTAACAACTTCTAACACAAACATAAAGCGTCCAGTTTTGATCAGGACAATGAGACAAGGTTAATGAACAAAGATTCTCCATAAATCAAGCCCAAGTATGCCATCTGTACTGCAATCAAAGCAACATACAAAGGAAAAGCACAGATGCTGAGTGTATTATTTAACTCTCCACTGCATTTCTGACTAAAATGGTAGCATTTTATTATTTTTCTAGTACAAATACAAAGAAATAGGAAGTGGTTCAATGGGTTTATGTCTTTAATAGCATTAAAACGGTTGTACAGTTTTTAGCATAAAATTCATATAGCCAATGCACAAAAATTAAGCTTGGATATACTTTGCCTGTAAGTATTTTCTGTAATGTATAAAATCTATTATTAATGTAAATTTCCAAATTAAATTGACATTTAAGTCAAGAACACAAGAATTTGCTAAAAACTACTTCTGGTTAAAAATAAGTAGTTGAAAACATTACCGTACTTTGGAAGAATACATGCACTGAGTTTTGATAAAAATGTGAGCAGATCAGAAATTGAATATTATTTTTACTTTGTGCTGCTGAAGCTACTGTCTTACAATCTAAGTATGTGATGCTCCACCAAAAGTAAGAAACCACTATAGAGAAGCTACATTAATAGAAGTCAAGAAAATCATGTTGGGATGTGCTTCTGACCTTGCCTACTGCCCCAATCTCTTTTTGGTGCATTTGGCTGGGACCTGGGCTTGTTCAATGTTGAGTCATGGTAGCAGTGTACATGAAGAGCCAGTGAGCCAGAAGGCTTTTGTTGTACAACTATGAAGAGGGCAGTCCTGGGTGGTTTGATCACAGCCTGTTTCTCTTCCCCTGCCCTACCCTAGATGGAAGAGTAATAGAGCATAGATGGGTTTCTTGGCGCACATATGAATGACAGAGTTTGAGAGGTGTTTAAATGATTACCTGTAGGTAGTCAGACTGGATAGCAGTAAGCAGATGGTCTTTGCTGAGTTCATAAAAAACATCCGAAGTCATGACCTGGGAAAATTCCTCACAGAGGAAATGTAAAGCTTGTCGGTGCACCCATTTAGAGCCATATGGATGAGAACTCCACTTGAGGATGGCAATTAAGGTATCTAATGAGATGCTCTCAGCAATGATATCCTCACAGCCTAAAAGAGAAGGCAAATACTTCTTGAGATTAATCATAAATATTACTTATTGAACATTAGTGTGCTAGGCACGATATTTAAAAGTCACAATAGCAAAAAAGAACTCAAGGAGATAAATAAAATCTCATGAAAATCACCAAGACTTGGTGGGATGGGTAAACAATAGACTATGGCATCTATAGAAAATCTGCTGCCTTACAGAGATGGATCTACAGAAAAAGGCAGAGAATCCTCCCAAGTTCAAGATAATAAACATCTATGTGCAAACCAATAATGTGAGTAAGTCAGTATAGAGGAAGACATTGGACCAAAAGGGAAAGAAGAGTAGGCAAAAAGGCTGCAGTGGTGGAAACTGGCTAGAGGAAGGAAGTGGATGACACCTGACTGATGAGAGAATGCACACCTCAGAATAAGGTAGGTGGGCTGCCAGCTATGCAGACATCCACTCTTTGTATGAAAACATAGCACCTTGCATTGTTGACAGTTTAATCCTTCAGAAAATAGACAAAATACATCTGAGCTTAATTCTGGCAAACTTGAAAAAGTAAGTGAAGAGGACCAGGATCCTGGAGAAAGCAACTATGGCATTTCAAGAACTCAAGGAAGAAAAGAAAACCTAAGGAGACTCAACTCTCCTCCTTAGGAAAGATCATTTCAAAATATAAAGATAAAATATAAGTAAAAATCTGAGTGACAAAGATTATGGGAGTGAGAATGGCTAAAGTTGAACAGAAATTTTTCATTAAGCTTACTATAAAACAAAAAACAATCCTGATAATGTGAAAACAAACAAACAAACAAACAGGTGTTTAAACACCACCACCAGGCCGGACACAGTGGCTCTTGCTTGTAATCCCAGCACTCTGGGAGTCCAAGGCGGGCAGATCACCTAAGGTCAGGAGTTAAGACCAGTCTGGCCAACATGGTGAAACCCAGTCTCTACTAAAAATACAAAAATTAGCTGGGCGTCCTGTAATCCCAGCTACTCGGGAGGCTAAGGCAGGAGAATCACTTGAACTCGAGAGGCGGAGGTTGCAGTGAGCTGAAATTATGTCTGAAATCGTGTCACTACACTCCAGCCTGGGCGACAAAGCAAGACTCCGTCTCAAATAAAATAAAATAAAATAAACACTACCAAACTATGGCTACACAGAAAGGGCGTAAATAAACTCCAGAGACTTCTAAAGTTCAAAGCTGTTTGTGAAACCATGAAAGGTGTAAAGATAAAGGGAGTGAATCCCACTTTCAAGTGATAGAAGATAATGAGTAGCAATATGGAGTCTACAAAAAGTAAACCCTCATTCCCCTTTCTGATACGCTACCAGATGAGGAGAAATATCATAGAGAACCGTATAACTTCATTTCCACAAAGCATTTAGAAAATATTTCATGATGCTGCTAAACTGTAAGCACCACAAGATAGGGACGGCTATCTTCAATGTATTCCTAGCACCTTCTCGCACATGTGCTAAACCTGTGCTAAGTAAAAATGTGTTGAATGTACAAATGAGATCTTTGCAGATAACATGAAGAGACAGGGGATGGGATGACAGGACAGTGGTTAACAGAACCATTCATAAACAGCACTGATTAACTTGATGCGTGGAGTGGGAAGTTGGTTTTTGCCATGTTTATCAAGAATTTGGGGCCGGGTGCGGCGGCGCACGCCTGTAATCCCAGCACTTTGGGAGGCTGAGGCAGGTGGATCACCTGAGGTCAGGAGTTCGAGACCAGCTTGGCCAACATGGTGAAATCCCATCTCTACTAAAAATACAAAAATCAGCTGGGTGTGGCGGCAAGTGCCTGTAATCCCAGCTACTCAGGAGGCTGAGGCAGGAGAATTGCTTGAACCCGGGAAGTGGAGGCTGCAGTGAGCTGAGATCGCACCACTGCACTCCAGCCTGGGCTACAGAGTGAGACTCTGTCTCGAAACAAACAAACAAACAAACAAAAATCTTGGATAATGATGTGGAAAGTATGTTTCAAAATCTTCAGATGACCCCAAACTTGGAAACACAGTTAACACCACACTGCATAGCAGAATCATAATTGCCTAAAAAGACTGATCAAAATGAAGCTGAAATATAACTAGGAGAATTAGTTCTACATTTAAAGAAATCGACTGCACAGCAGATGATGGTTGGCTTAACTGGAACTATATAAAATATCTGGGTTTTTTTTTTTCACTGAATGAATGCAAAATGTGACATGGCTGTTATAGATCTGAAGCAATCTCAGGCTTTTCAGGTACGAGCATTGAGCCGTAATCAAAGGACTCATGTTGCTGCTTTCTGTGGAGTGCTGTGTCATTCTGGGCCCCGTGGGTCAGTTTAGATTAGCACTGACCAAACTGCAAGAGTCTCAGGAGGGCAAGGGAATAGTAGAGAGTTCGCAACTTATCACAGGAAAAAAGCTCCAAGCAAGAGATGATTTGGGTTATGTAAGAGAAACCTGAGGAGAGACATGAGAGCTGTCTTTAAATGCCTCTTCACGAGGCAGAGGAGAAATAACTGATTTATCCGTTGTTCCTAGGAAACAGACAGATGTTAAAAGTGGGGAGATTTTGGTTCAATGATAAGAAATTTCTAACAATTAGAATTTCCATCCTCTTCTCCCATTAAAAAAAGGATCCTTCTAGAAAGTGTCAGAACAGAGGCTGGCTCGTCACATTAGGGATGGAGTATAAGGAACCCTGACACTGGAAAGGAACTAAGGTCAGAAGACATCCAAGCTGATTTCATCACAAAGACAAAACCGTTTCTATAAGATGGTAACAGAGCAAATAAAAGATGTCTTTATTCCAAGCACTAAAAGAATATCCCTATAAGGAACACAATGAGACCACCACATTTATATCCACATATAGATGACACCCAAAGGCGTGAAGATGTGCTAATGAGAAGTGGGAAATATGGGAAAGTTTTCAACAGTCGTCATTTTATGACGAGCCTTTGAGCCTTGAATACCAAGCTGAGGAGGACAGACCTCATTCAGTAGCCAGTGGAGGACCTCTGTTGGCCTGTTGTTTTAAAGTGGGCATTGGAATAGAATTGAGTGGGATGAGTTAATCTGATAGGAAAGGCAATCTCATAGATGTGTTTGGGAGTGAAGCAGGGGAAATGAGAGAAAAGCTGGTTATTTAAAATGATGTGTCACAATCCTACTAAACCAGGATACTGGCAGAGGTGAAGAAAAAGAATGAAAGATAACATGATCACAAATATTTAAACTGCTGAGGTTTACAAAGCAGCAGGATACAGTAGGAAAAAAAATGGGCTTTAAAATCAGATTGGACTTGAAATCCTAGCGCTGCCACTCAGTAGCAAAATCACTTTAGGCAAATCACTTCACTCTTTAAGAGTCTGAAATGTTCTCATCTGCAAAGCTGAGATTATTTCCTACCTCACAGGGTTGTTATGGGATTTAAATGAGACCATACTCTTGACACTCTACATTTGCTCAAACAGTCTGGAGTACCTAAGCCGAGTACCATGAATATCCAGCTCTTTTCACTGCCTGGTGATGTCACTTGCCCCACGGCCTTCACCTCATTATATCCCTGACTTCCCAGCTGATAGCTCCAAGCCTGAGCTGACTCCCAGTCACACCTGACTTTCACATGGATTTTCCACAGACATCTTAAATGCCAAAGTCAATTCATTTCCTCTGGGAAATCTGGGCCTCTTCAGTCACCAAAGGCAGAGATCTCAGTACTATTATTGGGTTCTTCTCCGGATGCCCATATCCAATCTATCACCAGATGCTGTTCATTCTTCTTTTCAATTCAACCCCTCCACAGAATCTCCATTGAATTTTTACCACCTCCTTTTCAGAACCTGATACTTTTCCCCTGCATTATTGAAATGGCTTTTAAAAAATTCCCACCTCCAGTCTTTCCCTTTCTAATCTGCTCTCTGTACTGTTGCCAGAATGATCTTTTAAAATGTAAATTATATATGGCCTCTTTAACGAATTATTCAATAACTTCATGCTACAAATGATTTCAAGAAAAAGTCCAAGCTACATCTCCCTTGATGATCTGGCACCTGCCTACTCCCCAGCCCATCCCTGCGCAGACTCTACACCCGTCATACTGTGTCCCTTCCAATTCCCCAGAAGTCCACCAATCGCTTGCACCTCCAGGCTTTTGTGTATGTTGTTCCATTTTTCTGAAATGCCCCTAACTCTTTTTCTTAACTCCTCTGCATCTTTAAGTCTCAGCTTAGATGCTGCCTCTTTTAAGAGCCTACTTTGATACTGCTCCTCAAAGCCTTAGGTCAGGTGTTCCTCCTATCTAAAAGTTTCTCTGGTACCCTGTGTTTGTCTGTAACAGCACAAAACTCTCATACTACTATATCTTTCTTATATATATTTGTCTGACTCTTCCACCAGACTAAGTTCCTTTTCGGTAAAAGCCCCATCTTATCTGATTCTATAGTGTCTGGCACCTAGTAGATAATTAACTAAAAGCAAATAATAATAGTAGCTAACATTCTTGAAAACTTATTATGTATATGTATCAGGCTCTGTGTTAACTGCTTACTTTAGAATATTTAATTTTAGCACTTCTTCTCAAAGAAGGGTGTATTATTATTACTATTATTATCATCCCCATTTTATAGATGAGAAAACTAAGACTCAGAAAGATTAAATAAGTTACCCAAGGTTATACATCTAGGAAGAAACAAGTCCTACCTAAACATATCCTTCCTTCCCCTCCCAAAAGTTCCCCTTCCCAGCCTTTTATGCCTCTAACTTAGACCTTTTTTTTTTTTTTTTTTTTTGAGACAGATTTTGCTCAGCCGCCCAGGCTGGAGTGCAGCAGCACGATCTCAGCTCACTACAACCACCACCTCCTGGGTTCAAGGGATTCTCCCGTCTCAGCCTCCTGAGTAGCTGGGATTACAGGCACCCACCATCATGCCCGGCTAATTTTTTATATTTTAGTAGAGACGGGGTTTCACCATGTTGGCCAGGCTGGTCTTGAACTCTTGATCTCAGGTGATCCGCCCGCCTCGGCCACCCAAAGTGCTAGGATTACAGGTGTAAGCCACTGCACCCAGCTCTAACTTAGGACTTTTACTAATCAATGCTCATTAGAACTTATTTAGAACTACTTCTCTCACGAGCAGAAAGCACCTTATAAATACACCAAACATGGTGATATTAACTCAAAAATGTAAAAGGAAGACAGATAAAAAACTGGAATGTTGGTAAAAAGAGATTTATCTTATAATGTCAAAATTAATGTTTTAATCTGATGGTAAAGGATTTCAATTAATGATAATACAACTTTGTCAAGGTTATCAATATTGGAATGAAAATGTAAATATAGCAGCAAGGCAGAAGGGATGCTGGCAGGGAAAGGCCAACAAGTGGGTGCTGAGAGGCTTTACACGGTGCCACATCCTTGGTAATGGACAAGTCCTGTAGGTACGAAACCATCAGCACACTCAAAGATGGTCAGACTCTTGGTGACAAAGTGATCCTAACACAAACCCATGACACATGCGTAGATCAGAATGCTTACTCATGGGCAGTACAGGGAGTCAGTTCTAGTGAGCAGAATGTCATGTGTTCTCTCTCGGCACTTTGCAAACTATCGCGAGTCATGCTACAGTTTTTTCTTTCTTTTTAAATTTCCAACGTGTCCTGGACCAATACTTTAGTAAAATTCAGCAAAAACACCGCTTGAATATTGTGGCAATTGTTTAGTTTCTAAATGCTTGTTGTTAATTTCTGTACCTATCTCACTCACTGCAGACATGCTTTGAATAGTACTGCTCTGTCTAGAGTCCCTTTCCTCTTTAGGGAACTGGGCTTGCCTTCTTCCCTCCTACCACGTGAAAAGTATGCTGTGACTAGCTTATTGGTCCCAGGAGGAGAATGGGCAGCCCTGGGAACACAGCCACCCCTGCTGATCCACAGTGGCAATGAGAGAGGCCCCAGCTGCTGCAAACTGAAGCAGAAATGCCCCACCTAACCCAGAAACTTATTAGAAATAAATGTTCATTGTGTTATACCACTGAGGTTCTCAGATTGTTTCTTACACAGCAACGGTTGACTAATAAACCAGTTAGCTTTTTAGATCAACTCAAAAGCTTTTATTTTTATTTTTTTGAGATGGAGTTTCACTCTTGTTGCCAGACTGGAGTGCAGTGGCGTGATCTCAGCTCACTGCAACCTCAGCTATCCGGGTTCAAGCAATTCTACTGCCTCAGCCTCCTGAGTAGCTGGGATTACAGGCGCCTGCCACAACACCCGGCTAACTTTTCTATTTTTAGTAGAGACGGGATTTTGCCATGTTGGCCAGGCTAGTCTTGAACTCCTGACCTCAGGTGATCCACCCGCCTCAGCCTCCCAAAGTGCTGGGATTACAGGCGTGAGCCACTGCGCCTGGCCAAAAGCTTTTATTAACAGCCAAGCGTGGTGGTGGGCATCTGTAATCCCACACTTTAAGAGGCTGAGGCAGGTAGATTACCCGAGGTCAGGAGTTCGAGACAAGCCTAGCCAACATGGCGAAACCCAGTCTCTACTAAAAATACAAGAATTAGCTGGGTGTGGTGGCATGTGTCTGTAGAGTCCCAGCTACTCAGGAGGCTGAGGCAGGATAATCACTTGAATCCAGGAGGCAGAGGTTGCAGTGAGCCGAGGTTGTGCCACTGTACTCCAGCCTGGGCAACAGAGCGAGACTCTTGTCTCAAAAAAAAAAAAAAAAGCTTTTATTAACAATTTCCTGGTAACAGAAAAATTCCACCTGTAGCCAAGGCATTTAATGGATAAAAGGCACCAATACATTCCGCTCAGGCAGACTTTCAGTGATGCTCTTGGGAGGCTGGCAGGTAGTACAAAGTCAACTTCTTACAATTTCTTTTGCTTGTGTGATAACCACACTTTACAGATCCATCTCCTACTTATTTAATCCTTTCCTCTATTCTCTTTTACTAGGATATTTTCTTTCTAATCTTTAATGTAAGCAAAAATACCTTCCCTCAAAAAATTGAGTCACATAACCAGTAGGAATGAATGACCAAGGCTGAAGGTTTAGACTTAAAGAGCTAACAAATCAATCTGAAATTCAGTAACACAAATGACTGTATTGCTGCATGTTAAATAGGATCACTTTCTGTTTTTATTATCAATTTTTGTTTCTCCTCTTCATGTTTGTCCCTCTGGTAACTAAAAATAGCCTCAACGTTGACAGTTCTCCTGAATACACTGTCAGGATCTTTGTTTCCCCCTTACTTGTTATTCCTACAATGCCACCCTATTTGTTTCACCAATACCAGTGGGAAACTTTTCCGCTGGCTCATGTCCATCAGGAAATATATAAACGACTTCCAGATTCATATTGAGGTCGGGGTGGAAAGAGGAAGGAGGAAACAGGCAAGGGGGAAAGGAAAAAGGAACAGGGAGATTACAGCTTGCCATGCAACATAAAACAAGATCGTAAGTTTAGAGGAGGGCCGGCCTTAGACTTGGCATGGTGATTCTTCAGAGGCACCAGAGTTAGAAATAAGAATTGAAGTACAAACAGGCTCGAGAGAAAAGTTGCTTCAATTCTTTCTTACTAACCAGTACATGACTGATTCAGAATCCTGAGAAAAGAAATTAAGAAATAATGGAAGTGAGTGTGGCAGGAAGTGAAAGACCATAGGTTTTAAATTCAGGCAGCTGCATCACTAATTCTTGACCCTCACTCAGCCTGTACCAGATTAAAACACATCCTGTCCAGGTGTGATGGCTCACACCGGTAATCCCAGCACTTTGGGAGGCCAAGACGGGCGGATCGTTTGGGCTCAGGAGTTTTGAGACCAGCCTGGGCAATATGGTGAAACCTTGTCTCTACAAAAAATACAAAAATTAGGTGGGTATAATGGTGCATGCCTGTAGTCCCAAGCACTCAGGAGGCTGACGTGGGAAGACCGCTTGAACCTGGGAGGTAGAGGTTGCAGTGAGCCAAGAGATGCCATTGTACTCCAGCTTGAATGACAGATGAGACCCTGTCTTAAAAAGACAAAACAAACAAAAACTACATCCTGTGGGCGGGCGCAGTGGCTCATGCCTGTAATCCCAGCACTTTGGGAGGCCGAGGTGGGCGGATCACCAGGTCAGGAGTTTGAGACCAGCCTGACCAACATGGTGAAACCCCATCTGTACTAAAAATCTACTCGGGACCTCAGGAGGTTGAGGCAGGAGAATCGCTTGAACCCGGGAGGTAGAGATTGCAGTGAGCCAAGATTGCACCACTGCACTCCAGCCTGGGCAACAGAACGAGACTGTCTCAAAAACACAAAAACAAACCTACATCCTGTGAGTCTTATTTTCTCATGTCAGCTGAAAGAATCTGAAGTTCTGAGGATTACACTGGAAATTGGGGAGAAATGTGTCTACACAGTACCCTATAAATCTTTAATTTCTACTCTGCCTTTCTGCCCTCCTTTGACCTCAATATCTAACCAATGTGTCCTACAGATTTGTCCTTCAGAACACCCTTCAATTAGCCTCTCTTCCATTCCCACTAGAATACCACCTTAGTTCAAATCCTTAGCATCTCATATACCAATTACTGAAAAGCTTCCTACTGTCTCCCTCCACCCAGGATTCCAATGCATACAGAGCACACTATTGAAAGGTTTAAGTTTTCTAAAACAGCACTACCATCACATCACACCTACAAATCTATTTTTAAAAGGCAACCAGGAATTCCGGATCCAAAGCAAAAACTGAGTGTCAGATATAAGGGCGAGAAGACAAGTCAACCTGCGCCTCAGTGTTCTGCACTGTCGGTCCTTAGATGCTGTGACTCTGAGAGCTGCTTGGATGAATGCTCCTCTCTACTATTTCTCAGGAGGACAATTCTGATGAAGAGCCTAAGCCCAGGTGTCTGCAGTGGTGATCAGCTCAATGACACACTCTTGTACTGCTCCCCCTCACTCCTGCTCATGGGATACTTACTGACTAAATGACCTGCATGTCAGCCTTTGATCTGGGCTGTGCTTTCGGCATGCACTGTGGGGAATGGGAGGAGACACCCAGCAAAGATAACAGAAATGGCCCTAGAAAACAAGGTTCTTGAATGAGATTCTAGATCTACCTTACTCACTGACCAAATGGCAAAAGGTCTCCCCCTCCCATTCCTACTGGTAGGAGACATGGTGATAACCCCTGCACATAGTAGCATGACAACACCAGGAGCAGATTAAAATGAGGTACATGTGGAAGGTAAAGTATCAGATCACCAATCATGGTGGCACTTGAATGGAATGGAAACATTAGTGACTATAAGGCCTAGATACTGGCTGGATTAACAACTTTAGAGGCCATGAACAAACAGAATGACAGGCTCAGGTTAGCCAACCCTTAAATCTAGGCATTCTTCAAAGTCTGAAGACTTCCAGGTCAGTGTCTGAAAAGACCCTATTTCTTGCAGCTGCGGGGCAGATTGCCAAAATTCAGGCTCCAGACTTAATTTAAAAGATATCAGAACTACAAAGGAGATATGAAAGAAAGCCTTGACAGGTGTTCTATGATAAAATCTGGGTCCTGGTAGGAACACTTGGACACAGAAACCTGGAATGGGGATATTTGGTTGGCTTAGCTGAGAATATTAAACCCCAAGATTTACCTGAATTTTTTGGGCTAGGAGAAGCAGCTCCCCCAACTCCTTGCTAGAGAGCAGCAGCCTCCTTCATCTGGAGACCCTGCAGGTGCCTGAAAAGATAATGCTTGTTCTCTTTAAGATCAGTTCCTGCCTTCTCTCACTACCTCCAAACCAATAATGAGGATCATGTTCCCAGCACAGTCTGATTGGGAAAATACAGTCCCTGTTCTGGGAGGAAAGAGTGTAGGCACCTAAAGAATGGTAAGACCTGGCTATATGCACTGGCAGGTCCTGAAGGTACACTCGTACAAGTGGATCCTGTGTTGGATGAGGTGCAAGGTCTGTGGCTATACAACAGCAGTTCATTCAGAACCCAGGGGATTCACTGCAGCATCTTCTGGTGCTTCTTTGCTGAGGGATAACAGAGACCTAGTGATTGTAGCAACTACTAATAAAGAAACTAAGAGCTCAAATACCTCTGGGATGAAGGTCTGGCTCACACCTAGTAGGCTGCCTAGGCCTGCTGAAGTATTGGCAAAGAATGATGAAAATCTAGTTTCAATCTCTTCCATGATTGAGTCTTTTGTAGAGGTGTGGCTGGCCACCATCTTGAAGATTCCGTGATGATGGAGCACACAAACTGATCTGAGTGATGCAAGAAGTAGACTAAATTCAGCAACTCTTGCGCCCACTGCACAACCTCTCTGCCTTTCACCACAGCAGCCCAGTTACAGCACCCTGCCTCAGCAGTACCTTTGTATCTTTTGTTGTCTGCTGTGAAAATTGTGACCCTTGGAGTCAGCACCTCTGGAAATCTGCTAGGCACCTGTCCATATGCAAACCATGAGATGCAAGGGAGTGAACACCCTATTGGAAACACTTTTCCAATGGAGGGATGGAAGGTGGTAGGTAAATGTCCCCTCTTTCTTCCCTCTGGAAGACAATCCTGAAGTACATTCCATGTGGCTCATCAGTGAGTTCCAGTAGGATTATGCCTGATTGACCACAGCAGTGATCAGCTCAGAACACATGCTTGTATTGGCTTGTTCTCATTCCATTTCACTCATCAGTTACCCACTCCTATTCTCTGGTAGAACTTCCCAAAATAAACTTTTTGCTTGCAAGTCCTTATACGAGGCTCTACTTTTTGGAGGGAACCCAGGCTAAGAAAGAGCAGATACAAAAATCTACAGTTTTGACACTGGTCTAAAAGAAGTAATGTTATTTTTAATTGCCACTCTAGATTTTGGTCAAACTAATGGGTCATTCAGCCCTGGATTCCAGGTTACCTTTCTAGACTTTCATTTAAAAAAATTATTGAGCTTTGTGCAGGCTCTGTACTACATGTGAGGGATACAATGATAAATAATACAGCTCTTGATTTCAAGAAGCTAACAATGTTCTAGAAGGGTAGAAAAAGAAGTAGGCAATCTCACCTCTATGTAGTAAGTACTACCAAAGGGGTGTACAAAAGGCTATGGTACACAGTGGGGGGCTACCTAAATTCTCAGGTGGAGTGAGAATGGCAAGGGATAGAACCTACATATAACCCACTACTGTGTGAATACCAGAAAACGGAGATTAGGGTTCATCTTAGGGTCTACTTGTTGCACTACATTTATGGCCACCTTAGTAATATACTTTCTGACAGACTGGACAATCCTAATCACTTCAGTTTGCTCTTTGTATCCCTATTCCTTTTATCTTCTTCAGCTTTCTTTTCTCAGAACACACCTAACTTCACCACTTCTCTGAACAGTGGGAAGAATATATAATTTGTATTTTAGGCAAGGATGCATTATAGTTTGGCAAAAAAATTTTTAAAGTTGTAGTTTTCTGTGTTTTGTTTCTTATACCCTTGTAGCTAATATTTGGAATTTGGTTGTCCCTGTTGGGTAAAGAGGCATAACAGAGTGTAGTCTTAAAGTTGCTTAACAGTGGTCACTTAACAGAAATACCATCTGAGAAAAGCATTGTTAGGCAATTTCATCATTGTGCGAACATCAGAGTGTACGTACACAAACCTAGATGGTTTAAGGCCTATTACACACCTAGGGTACACAGTATATAAGGCCATTTTTTTGCTCATAGGCTATGAATCTGTACAGTGTGTCACTGTATTGAATACTGTAGGCAACTATAATGCAATGGTATCTGTTCACTGAAACACATCTAAACATTATAAAGGTACTGTGAAAGTACGTTATTACATAACCTTATAGGACCACTGTTGTACATGTGGTCTGCTGTTTACTGAATCATCATTATGTGGTACATGACCATTTATCCACATAGAAACGTATCTTTCAAGTCTCTGTCCGTTTTAATAGTCTTGGCCATGCATGGTGGCTCACGCCTGTAGTCCCAGCACTTTGGGAGGCTTAGGTGGGGCAGATCTTTTGAGCCCAGGAGTCCAAGACCAGCTTGGGCAACACAGTGAGACCCTGTCTCTAAAAACAAATTTAAAAATTAGCCAGGCATGGTGGCATATGCCTGTAGTCCCAGCTACTTGGGAGGCTGAGGTGGGAGAATTGATTGAGCTTGGGAGGTCAAGGTTGCAGTGAGCTGTGATCATGCCACTGCAGCACTCCAGCCTGGGCAACAGAGCGAGACCTTGTCTCAAAAAGTCTTACAAGATTTTCCCGCAAGAGCTAAATGCCAGTCAGGCATTACTAATACTATATTTCCAATCTAAGTATCTTTTCATGCTCCCTTACAATACATTTTAGGTTATGTTCTGAGACAATCTCTGGATTATCTATCTGGAAGGGTACACAGGAACCTGTAACACTGGTTGCCTCTGTCAAGGGCAACTGAGTGGCTGGGGAACAAAGTGGAAGGGTGGGGGACTCTTTACAGAATACCATGTTGAATTCTGTTCCGTGTGAATGTATTACCTATTAAAAGTTAAATTAAAAAAAAGTACCACCAGGCTATGGAAGCTGCCAGAAGTTCTTTTCCTTAGTACTCTGTAAAAAATTAATCACTGACTACAAAACCAAGTGAATACTGGAAATGAGAAGGCTATCTACCTGGAGAACATTAATCCCTTCTAATGGGAAAGAGGCAATCACTGAGATTGATGCTGCATGTGTGTGAAAAGGTACACAATGTTTATATTCTTTATTCTTACAGCTTCTGACAAGTTGTGTGAGAGACAAAAGCAAACAAAGCTGGAAAAGCAGCTGAAAACTTCTAGGGAATAACTTTAGTAACTTAGTAGAGGAAGCTAAAGCATACACACAATTCATGAACGATTTCTCTTCAAGCCACGACACACACACACACAGATTAATTTTTTTTTTTTTTTTTTTTTTTTTTTGAGATGGAATCTCACTCTGTCACCCAGCCTGGAGTGCAGTGGCATGATCTCAGCTCACTGCAACCTCTGCCTCCCGGGTTCAAGCAATTCTCTGATCTCAGCTTCCTGAGTAGCTCGGATTACAGGCACGCACCACCACACCCAGAAAATTTTTGTATTTTTAGTAGAGACAGGGTTTCACCATGTTGGCCAGGCTGGTCCTGAAATCCCGACCTCAGGTGATCCGCCCACCTTGGCCTCCCAAAGTGCTGGGATTACAGGTGTGAGCCACTGTGCCCGGCTCAGGTTAATAATTCTTAAGGTACTCAATTGACTAGATTGATATTTCTTTAATGTTTACTTCATAAATTAGTGTTATCTAATACGGCATTTAAAATGTTTACATTTAAGCATGGGGGGTAATGAGAATAGCATAATGAAGGGAAAGCATTCATGGGGATGTCAGTTCTCTGCACAAAGACACCACATATAGCCCTCTACTGTAATGCAGGGGGAGCTAACTCTGGGACCTACAGGATGCCTGAAATCTCTGAAATAGAGCACATTCTTATATGCAGGCATCTTGCTGGAAGAGACAGAAAGGATATACCACTAGAGTGGGACTGACCAGAAACCCAATTCCAATTCTCTTTAGCTGTGTGATGTGTGAAATCTTTGCCTGTTTCCTTATCTGAAAAATGTGGATAATACCGTCTACCCTAGGGGGTTACTTTCAGGATTAAATAATATACATACAGCTCTTAGTCCATTGCTTACCTTATGGTAAATGTTAAATGAATGACAGCTATTTCTATAATCAAAGTTCCCTGATAAGCGTACGCACTGTACTGATGTATTCTACTACCAAAGCAAGCACAGGATTTGCGGGATGTGCAAGGGGGAAGGGAGGGAGCGTAGTCTGAAGAGAGCAGGGCAAGTCAAACACCTATAATGAGAACAGAAACAGTGACAACCCAAATGTATAATTTCCTGTCACAGGTTTATCAAAATGTTAAATAAAAACTATCCTCCTACTCAGCAGGTGAAAAATTCAGCGGTTCACACCTCTTTATCTGAAAACAAAAGCTAGTCATTTACACCTGTATTTTGTTTACTATCCTTAGACCATTACCCCACTAGTGATGAATAGTAAATTATTATAATGGAATTAAGAATATCATTGAAGGGAAAAACCAAAGCTTTTGGGGTACAGCCATGTAATTATGTTTTTCAGCCAGGCGTGGTGGCTCACGCCTCTAATCCCAGCACTTTGGGAAGCCGAGGTGGGTGGATCACTTGAGGTCAGGAGTTCGAGACCAGCCTGGCCAACATGGTGAAATCCCACCTCTATTAAAAACACAAAAAATTAGCCAGGCGTGGTGGCAGACGCCTCTAATTCCAGCTACTTGGGAAGCTGAGGTAGGAGAATCGCTTGAGCCCAGGAGGCGGAGGTTGCAGTGAGCTGAGATTGCACCACTGCACTCCAGTCTGGGCAACAAGGCTGAAACTCCATATATAAAAAAAAAGTTTTTCAGAAAACCTTCTGATATCTTCTGGTTGGTTACATATGATCATGTGCTCCCTTCAAAACAGTGCACCTCACAGATGATTTCTCCTCAGAGATCATATTCCCTCTTCCCCCTACCTGTGGAAGAGTAGCTGTGGAATCACAAGGACCAGGATTCAAATCTTGGCCTTAACACTTTCTAGCTGTAACATGGTAATGCAATGGTATTTGTTCATCTAAACACATCTAAACATTAAAAAAGTAGAGTGGAAGTACGTATTTTATAACCTTATAGGACCACCATTGTACATGTGGTCTGCTGTTGACTGAAACATCATTATGTGGTACATGACTATTTATCCATATAGAAGCCTATCTTTCAAGTTTCTGTCCCTTTTAATAGTCTTGGCCACGCATAGTGGCTCAGGCATGTAATCCCAGCACTTAGGTGAATTTTTGGTACCCCATTTGGCTGTAAATGGAGGAAAAACCTACCACAGAGGACAACGTGAGTAAAGTGCTTGACACAGTGCCTGAAAAAGAACAGGTGCCCCACAAATTCTCCTGAACAAATGAATACACAGAGCATAAAACTTTTAAAAAGAATTAGTAATTTTGATATAAAATTTACAGATTTCATCTACTTACAGCAGAATGTATGTACTTTTAAGACCCTCACTATTTCTAGAACATTTCTTACGGTCTTCACATGCTACATCCAAAGAGAGCTTTTAGAAAATACAAATGTAATCAGGCCACAAGATTTATGATAGTGAGGATAAAGCCAATTGTCTCAGTTTAGTATACTGAATTCTTTATCTTATAGCCGTGTTTGCCTCTGTTGCCTCATTTCTTGCCATACCTCTCTTTGCAACCCCAGCATCTCCAGCCAAAAAGGCCTAGCTGTCATTTATCTCTAGGCCAGTTCCTGCTGCCTGATATGCTCGCTTTTACCTCCAATCTTTGCTTAACTCCTACTCCAGGTCTCATTGTCTGGGAAGTTTCTGATATGTCCTCCTGCCCTCCCCTTCCATATTGGGGTCTGGGGCTTCTCGTCCTCCTAGGTACTCCCCCAGCACCCAGTGTTCTATTAGGGCACTCACACTCTAACTGCCTATTGGTACTTAACACTGGACTATCCTTTTCTTCTTTTTTTCGTTGAGACAGAGTCTCGCTCTGTTGCCCAGGCTGGAGTGCAGTGGCGTGATCCCAGCTCACTGCAACCTCCGACTCCCGGGTTCAAGCGATTCTCCTGCCTCAGCCTCCCGAGCAGCTGGGATTACAGGTGCCCATGACCACGTCCAGCTAATTTTTGTATTTTTAGTAGAGACAAGGTTTCACCATGTTGGCCAGACTGATGGACTATCATTTTCATTACTTTAATCTCAGGTTCTGGCACACAGTAAGAGCTCAATAAGTGTTTGTTAAATGAGTATAGGAATCATGGTGCTAATTCTATACCAAGGGGCTTATTTGAGTTGATAGGCTATATCTTTTTTAGCTCCAATAATGTCCCATTGTTACCTTTATTTGCTTGAAAACTAGGACAGCAGCTGTTCTCTCAGGTTTATAGACCTAATGTGATGATCAGATCTATAATACTGTATCCATCTACTTTTATTTAATCTACTGCCTCTAAAAATTTGACATCAAAATGTAGTTTAGAAGTGGTGTTCACACCACAGAAAACTTTAGCTTCTTACTATTTTACTGTTCATACTTATAAACAAAAAACTATCAATCTAGGGTTTAAGATGAGGCACAAAAATAACAACTAATCATGCAGTTTAGCTTAGAAAAACTTCTGACTGCTCATAATTAGATACAAGCTCAGATGTCAAAAGATTTAGAAAAACAAGGTAATGCCCATGTACTTTCCAGAGAAAATTTACTGAATCGGTTTCAAAATTCAGCACTGTTCTTTAATGTAAACAATGTAAACGTCAATTAGAAAGGAACACTGACAACGAAAACCTAATATAAAAACCAAACAAACCACTTCAGAAAAGGCTATTATGGTTGAAGATGAATATCGCTAGAAACAAAGACATTTAAGTGTGCAAATATATTTTCAGTTTTTTGGCACTACTTTCAGATGTATGTATATTTCACCCTTAAATTTCATGACATGTATAACATTTATCAGAAGTTTTATAAACATAAACATGCCAATACCTAAGTATGAGATACATAAAAATGTTTTAGTGCAAAGAATCGTAACAGAGCTCAAAGTCTTTTAATATATCAAGTAATCCCCTTGTGGAGACATATTTAGTAAGGCCAGCCCATGTTAATTTACAATAGAGACCAAATATATGAAAAAATGGTTGAAGCCAGGCAATTTCTGGACAGTTTATATTCACCGAGTGTTTTAGCAGTCCCATCATATATATACTCTGAACTAAGATTCGGTCCTTTGAAGGTATTATTTATAAAAAGGCACCTTTTTTTTTTTTTTTGAAACAGATCTTACTCTGTCATCCAGGCTGAATCACAACTCACTGTAGCCTTGACCTCGGTGGACTCAAGCAATCCTCCCATCTCAGCCTTCTGAGTGGCTGGGACTATAGGCACCCACCACCACGCCCAGCTAATTTTTGTTTTGTTCTGTTTTTGAGACAGGGTCTTACTCTGTCAGCCAGGCTGGAGTGCAGTGGCACAACCTTGGCTCACTGCAATCTGCGCTTCTTGGGCTCTTGATCCTCCCACTTCAGCCTCCCAAAGAGCTGGGACCACAGGTGTGCACCACTATGCCTGGCTCTTTTTTTTTTTTTTTTGTAGAGATGGAGTTTCACCATGTTATCCATGCTGATCTCAAACTCCTGGACTCAAGCGATCTGCCTGCCTTGGCCTCCCAAAATGCTAGGATTACAGGCATGAGCCGCTGTGCCCTAATTTTTGTATTTTTTTTTGTAGAGGCAGAGTTTCACCGTGTTGCCTAGGCAGGTCTCAAACTCCTGGACTCAAGCCATCCACCCGCCTCAGCCTCCCAAACTGCTGGGATTACAGGCATGAGCCGCCTCACCTAGCCCAAAAGGTACTTTTTGTTGACAGTAGTTATCACAGAGGAGTGAGACTTTATAGTTCTTAAACACTTTTAGTATTATCTGTGTTATCTGACCACCCAACCTATTACTTGTATTTTTAGACAGTAACTTAAAAAACATCAGTTATTCAAAAGTAAACTCTATATATACTGACATAAACATTTTCCCAAGGTTTATTAAGTATGAAAAAAAGTTATATAGTGTGATGTTATTTATAACAGAATAAGATAGCACGTTAAATACACACACAGATATGCACATATAAAGATTTGTAAGGAAAACCATCAAACTGGCCACAGTATATCACTAATAAGGATTTGGGAAAAGCATTGGTAGTAGACAAAAATACACTTTCTGATATGTTTCTGTATCATTTCTTTTCTCCCCCAGCAATGAGCATGAATTGTTTTTGAAATGAATTAATTCAGAGGTAAAGTTTTACCAGAGAGTTATTATAGGAGATGGTTTATTTATGAATATTATCAATCGTATTATCTAAAGTCTGCTGAAGTGCAAAGTATACATGAAGCTTGATCACTGAGTGTAGAGTAGGTGCTCAATACATTCTTGTTTTGAAGTTCATCTTTTGATCTGTTGAAATAGCCTTGGAGAGGTAGCAACTTAGGATTTGTTACCTCATTTCTATTACAGGAAGCATGACAGCAGTTACCACATAGGTTACTATAAAGATTAAGTGAGGTATTCCATAAAAAGATCTTAGTGCAGTGTTTTCACAGTAACAGCTAAGTAATATCATTATCAATCTATCTTAATTCTTGGAATAGTTTCTTTTCCACTTCTACAACTAAAAGTAAACAGAATTCTTACATCTTGTGATAGTCTTCCTCTGGATGTTTTAGGAGATAAGAGCAATGCTTTTTTCTTTTTTTTTTTTTTTGAGACAGTTTCGCTCTGTTGCCCAGGCTGGAGTGCAGTGGTGCGATTTCTCAGCTCACTACAACTTCTGCCTCCTGGGTTCAAGCGATTCTCCTGCCTCAGACTCCTGAGTAGCTGGGATTACAGGCATCCGCCACCACACCTGGCTAATTTTTGTATTTTTAGTAGAGATGGGGTTTCACAATGTTGGGCAGGCTGGTCTTGAACTCCTGACTGCGTGATCTGCCTGCCTTGGCCTCCCAAAGGGTTGGAATTACAGGCACGAGCCACCGCACCCGGCCTATGCTTGGTTTTAAGACAGAAACTTCAACTGTATCTCAACTCTGAGTTTGAAAAGCCAGGATATTTGTACAATGCAGAGGTTCTTCCTTCCTTCTGTCATTTTCCCTCTTTAGTCAGTAATGCCTCCTCCCCAGTCCTATCTTCCTTATACCAAATCACCTGTATCTTAGACTCCATTCATTTTGTATTCCTTGGTGATGGGAGGCATCACACCTGGCCTCAATTGATGTTAATTATTCTATTTTACTTTGAAAGTCATATATAAATGGTGGTATGTGCAAGGTGCAATGAAGAACACATATCTCAGTAATTCAAGACAAATGTGATGTCATAAGTTTACAAAGTCTGCTATTTTGCCTTCTCCCTCCATCTTTCGAATTTTATTATCAGAGAAAAGGTTTTGCTTGCTGAGAAAGCTTCTAACTAAACTTTGTATAATTTTTGCTGTTGCTGTTGTTTGTTTTGAGACATGGTCTGGCTCTGTCGCCCAGGTTGGAGTGCAGTGGCATGATCTCAGCTCACTGAAACCTCTGCCTCCTGGGCTCAAGCTATGCTCCCACCTCAGCCTCCTGAGGAGCTGAGACTACAAGTGTGTGCCACCCACTCGGCTAATTTCTTTCTATTCTTTTTAGAGACGTGGTTTTGCCATGTTGCCAGGCTTGTCTTGAACTTCTGAGCTCAAGCTATCCATCCGCCATGGCCTCCCAAAGTGTTGGGATTACAAGTGTGAGCCACCATCCCCAGCCAAATTCTGCATTATTTTAAATAAAAAGAAATTTAGACATTTAATGGATTCTACTACAAATTAACAGTGCATATTTTAGAGATATCACTTCTTGTTATAGCTACAAACTACCTGATACATATTTACATTTTAAAAGCCATATAACAAGCTATAACATTTATTTATATACAATGTTTTGTTTTGGTTTGGTTTTGAGACAGTCTCTCACTCTATCACCCAGGCTGGAGTGCAGTAGCAGGATCTCAGCTCACTGTAATCTCCGCCTCCCTGGTTCAAGCAATTTTCATGCCTCAGCCACCAGAGTAGCTGGGATTACAGGTGTGCGCCACCATGCCCGGCTGATTTTTGTATTTTTAGTAGAGATGGGGTTTCACTATGTTGGTCAGGCTGGTCTCGAACTCCTGGCCTTAAGTAATCTGCCTGCTTCGGCCTCTGAAAGTGCTGGGATTACAGGCATGAGCCATTGCACCAGGCCAATACAATGTCTTTTAAGTATATAAATAAGGGTGAATAAACATTCCACTTTCAATAGACAAAGAAATACTGGCAACTCCTTAAAATTTTCTTTTCCCTTAATAAATCAAACAGGACAAGTAAGAAATAAAAAGATACTTAACTTAGATTAAGAATTTCCAAGTTACTTTAACATTCTGAGTTATATAATTTACCATAAATTTAATTCTCATTACTATACCTTTTTATTATTAAATTTGAGATATATAATTAGTTCTTTGATCTAAATTATAAATTAGTGCAGAATGAAAGACTGCCTCTGGATTAAACTTTTTTTGGCCTTAAAAGATGAACAGCATTAAACTGGCTTTTGAGAATTTTCTAAATTCAATTGATATTCTATTTTAAATCAATGAACTGACAAGTAAACAGTGAGTTGATGAGACAGGTTTTCTGACATTAAACTGTGAATTAAATGGTAGAGAGTTATACCATTTAGACCCCATGTAAACTTACTTTTATAAATAATACTTCATATTTTGTTCCTATTCTGGGGTTAAGTGCTTTCATTTTGTTTGCAACTCCTTAGGGATAAAATTTATTACAACCTCTACTATCCCACTCCCCACTTTTTTTTTTTTTAAAGAAAAGGTTACTCAGCTTTCAAAGGTATTAAAAATAATTCAAAACATGTAACTGACAGTATACTAAGAATAAAGCAGTGTGCTAGGTTCTCAGGTTATTCAAAGATGACCAAGATTTTGATACACAACTTTGGGAGCATACAATACACTAGGTGACAGAGGAAATGAGACGGGTACCTAGGTAATTTCAAAACAAGTCAGAAGATATAAAACCCTAAGAACAATAAAAAGTGTTTTAGAAATTCTCAGGATGTAGAAAATACTTTTAACTTGGAATGGCTAAGCAAAACAAGGAAAGTAAGCATGTGAGTTCGGTCTTAAAGGTTAGGGTAGAATTTGGACATTTAATGATCAAAGGCAAAATACCCCCCAGACAAATGAAAAGTGAGAGCAGAGGGTCAGAGGTGAAGAGTTTGTAGTCTATGAAAAATGACTTAAGTTTTAAAACAAAAGATGCAATATTATATATATAAACTTTTTATGTTTTATATATAAACATATATATAAATATGAAACTGAGATTAACTCTTATGTTGCATGTTTGAAACCTGCATTTACTACTCTGATCTGTTGATAATGGTCTTTAGCTTGGCCCCATTCTTCTCTAGGAAGTACATTCAAATTTGCTGAAGAGGAGACAATTATAGACAGAAGTAAAATAAACTGTCAACTCAACAGAACTGAGACAGAGGGAAGAGTGTCAATATGTAGACAGTGGAGGTTGGGAAGAGGGTGAAATGGATGAGTGAGTGGGGACAGTAAGTCTTTGCTATTTTGCATTTGTTTCAAGCCACACACTCTTGGAAAGTGACCAAGTTGCTAAGGGAAAAAACGAGGTCATTGCTTTCAGTTGCTTCTGTTAGATTTTTAATTCAATAAAATATAATCACATCCATTACGACTAAAAATATGGGCAAATGCATTACAGAGTCCATTTTGGAACTAAAGTTATAAATAAATTTCATATTGTAAAGATTGAAAAATGCATTTGTGATCAAGATGAAAAAACAAAATCTGCAGTTTGAAGTCTACAGTAAATATGCATGTAGATGTTGGTGCTAATTCTGGGGTATTTTGCTCTGAGGTCAACAGTATTTATGACAAGGATGGTTAAAGTTCATGAGTTAACCTATAGTTCTCCTAAACAATGAACTTTTCCTCAAAAAATTACCAATGAATGGTATACTCTTACTGTTCTCACATTTTCAGAGCTGTTTACCCAGTATATATGCTAAGGTCATTATGAAAAGTCAAAGTGATCAAACATGTGCTCCTTCTTTGGAGACTCTTCCAATCTAGTCATCTCTTTTGGAGTTTTAAATACTAGTCTTTTAAATATAGGTACTGCTACCAATCAGGCTTCTTATGGTGCAATAGCAGAAAACAAGTCTAGTTGGCTTAAAGAGAAAAGGAATTTATCTCAAAGGACACTATTAATCTACAGTGTTGCTGGGAAAAGCTGGAGACCCAGCTCAGTAAACATGGACTAAGGAAGGCTGCAGGATGGGGACTCCACAACATGGAAGCCCAGTGAAGACCCTGAGTTGCCTGGGACCCTGGCCACTAAAGCTCCTACATTCTGTCCCTGGATAGTGAATGTCATCAATGGCACCACTGCCATGGCCTTCTCTCCTTTTCCACTAGATGTTGCTGCCCCACTCTGCTTCCAGAAAAAATTCTCTATAGTCCCTGCTTTTCTGTACCACTAACCCTGACTAGAGAAGGCTGCAGAAGAAAGTATATGACCTTTAAGGCTTTTCTACTGGGAGGTGGGCTCTGCCTCCTATGAAGACATACACAGTAAGGCTGGGAAGAAGGTCCTAATGCTGGGCAGCCAGAAAAGTCAAATGACTAACATAGGAATGCTACCTATTCAGGAAACAATGGCTGAAACAGTACAAAGCCCCTGTTCTCTGGCTAAGTGCTCTGAAGCAAAGTTTGAGTGAGCTACTCAGATCCCTGACCCTACAGCTTTAAACCTCCTAGCTGAGCCCACATTACCCTCAACCCAAGTCGGGGGTAATGATTTGTTGTTCAGCCACAAATCGGGCTCACAGCTGAGGCTCCTACAAGTTGATGTTTCAATCACTATAGTTTTCTGTTTTGTTCCTAAGAGTAGGCCACAGCCTCCCACCCTCATCCCTGGAAATTGGGTCCAGTATTTCTCCCTTCTCCTACCATGCCCAAATTCCTGAGCCTAGAGTCAGAAGAGCTGGTATGAGTTACAGCTTCGTGACTTCCAAACCTGGGAAAAGGCTAGTTAATAATCTCTGAGCCTCACCACATTCATCGGCTGACAGGATGACCAATGGAGATAAGTAACAGCCCTCTGTACATTCAAATTATAAGCATGAGCTCATTAGTTAACAGACTTCAAAGATATGATAAAGTCTCCAGTTCTTTAGGATTGTGGCCTTCTCTTGGTCTCTCTGGTTCTTATGGGCACTGATGTCATATCTTTACATTTAAAAAGTTAATTCTGGGCCAGGCATGGTGGCTCATGCCTGTAATACCAGCACTGAGGCGGGTGGATCACCTGAGGTCAGGAGTTTGAGACCAGCCTGGCCAACAGAGCAGATCCCCGTCTCTACTAAAAACACAAAAAATTAGCCGGGCATGGTGGCAGGCACCTGTAATCCCAGCTACTTGTGAGGCTGAGGCAGGAGAATCGCTTGAACCTGGGAGGCAGAGGTTGCAATGAGCCAAGATTGGGCCATTGCACTCTAGCCTGGGCGACAGAGCGAGACTCTGTCTCAAAAAAAAAAAAAGTTAACCTTGTAATCAAAGTAGTATATGCTCATCATTTAAAAAGTCTGGTAGTAACACAATGCTAACCCTAAACCCCCCCGCCCCCCCACCCCGTCCTACATCCCTTCCACTTTCAGTTCTGCTCCCCAGAGGTAACTACTCTCAATTCTTTAGCTCTTTCTTCTAGTATTTACCTCTCTATATTACTATTTTTATTAAATCAATATTTAGTGTTTATAATTAAATAGTGCTTACTGCTGAGCCATGCTGTGTACTAAAATTATTTATTCTTTCATATGTACTGTTAAATTTATCTTGGAAATATTCATTTCTTCTTTTTCCATTTGCTTCATTTTCTAAGAACTTATTGCTAATTCTTCATAAATGCACCACAAGAGCCATAAAATTGCTTTGTCATTTGCTATTTAATGTTCAAACATTGAAAGTAATTGATTTCTTCCGAGACACCTCTTTCCTTGGAGACTTTCACCCTCCCGGTCTGGGCTAGACTGAATGCCCACAAGACCTACTGTGTGGCTGATGCGTGGGATCTCCCTTTGCTTCCTTCCCGTGTTGGAGCCCATTTTCTAGATCCTTCACTTCTTTGTTCTTGGTTTGCTTCGTCATTTGGTGGAATACATTCCCAGCAGCTGCCTGAGTGGGGAAGCAGGGGAAATATCCCTACACAGGCAGTTTTTCGAGGTATGACTGAAAAATGCCTTTATTTAGCCTTACACTTGATTGACTGTTTGGCTAAATATAGGATTTTGTGTTTAAAATAATTTTCCATCAGCTTTTGGAAGACACTACTTCACTGTATTGTGGTATTCAGTTGTTGCTACTGAAAATCTCAATACCATCTGATTCCTATTTCTTTGCATGGAACCTAATTTTTCTCCTCCCTGCAACATTTTAAAATTGTCTCTTTTTCCCCAGTGTTCTGAAAAAGAAACTTTTTATATAGAAATTCCTTTAGTTTTGGAAATATTTCTTATATTACTCCTTAGATACTGTCTTCTCTTCACTTTTCTCTGGTATATATTTCTAAAGCCACTATTTGTTAGATGTTAGACCCTGGATGAATACTCTAGTTTTATTTGTCTCCACTCATCTCTTTATTATATTATTTACTTTCTAGATTTCCTCAACTGTACCTTTCAATGCTTCCATTATATCTTTCATTTCTGCTATCTTATTTCTAAAAGCTCCTGTTTTTACTTTAATAGCATCCTGCTTATGTCTCACTGATTCCATAAAAAGTTCTTTTATATAAGGATATTTTGATTCTACTGAAGTTTTCTTCTGCTCCCTTCATTGTCTGCTTCCTCCAGGACTTTGTTCTTTTTGCTCTGATCTCTGTCTCAATTTGGAAGCTTTCCTCAAATGTCCAGTTATCCTTGGATGGGTTTTCATATTTAAGATTGAGGCAGTAAGCAGCTGTTTGAAAGCTCTGCTGCACAGGCAGGCCTGATGACTGTAGTCTCCTCTGTAAAACAAATGGAAGGCAAGCTGGCTTTTTCATTTTATAACCCCTGAGTGTAATTTCACTGTGGAAACCCAAAACATCAGTATCTGTAAGTGTATATACTTTTGAGCTGTTCACCATTTCCAGGACTCCAGTTTCTTCTTGTATTTGCCTGGCTGGTATTACAGCAGGGGTTAAGGAAGTAGGTGATTTCACCATAGGGTTTCACATAATTATAGATTTCAACCCTGTGCCACATCCCTACCCTCCTCTGTTGCTATTTCCAGATTTGGAATCTCTCTAATTTCTTTAGAAAATTCAGAAAATTTTAGAAAATCTCAGGTCTCCTGTGTTTTGTTGTGGGGGCAGTAGCAGAGAGGCGAATTGAGGGGGCGGGGACAAGGGCATGTCACCTTGTTGCAAGTGATAGTAATGCAAGAACAGACAAATGGACCACTGGGACAAAATGGAGACTGAGTACTGATGCATGAATACAATCCATGCATACATAGCAGCTTTAAGAGTGGCACAAATCAGGAATAGGGAATTAGTAGGGAATACTTGGCTCACTATATGCAGAAGAACAAAACCACATCCTTTTCTAATACCATACATAAAGATGAATTCCAGGGTTGGGGAAAGGGTCTGATCCCTCAGTATTCAGACTTAAAATCAACTCTGTCTTTTTAGTTCTATGCTATGCATATCCCTTCTTTCCAGAGTACTTAGTTCCACCTGGCCTGAGCCACGCCAGAGCTCTAACAGGTGAACTGCCTCACTTCTCCTCAGTAGCCCCCTTTACAGCATCTAATTACAGGCTGCTCCTCTGTTAAGCCAGTAATCAAGTCTCTATCTGCTTTCCATTTTCCAAAAATTTCAACATCTTCCCCATTGTTGTTTTCTCCTTAGGTATCTTTGTCTCTTTGTCCTTGAGAGCTTATATTTGTTTTATTCCTTCACTATGATAATAGGGCTTTGAAGGAAATAAAATTAAACATATTCATTTTGTTATGTTTAAATGAAAATCAAGTGAAGTTAAATCTGGTCCTAAATGCCAGGCCTGTAAGTTGAGGCCGTTATCTACTTGTGATTGCCTACTGCCTGCTCCTCCCTACTGATATAAAACACATTCTCTGTGTAGGCCAAGAATCTCAACTCTCTGGGCTTTTTTTTTTTTTTTTTTTTTGGAGACAGAGTCTCACTCAGTTGCCCAGGCTTGGAGTGCAGTGCTGTGATCTCGACTTACTGCAACCTCTGCCTCCTAGGTTTAAGCAATTATTGTGCCTCAGCCTCCCTAGTAGCTGGGATTACAGGTATGCACCACCACGCCCAACTAATTTTTGTAGTTAGAGACGGGGGTTTCACCATGTTGGCCAGGCTGGTCTCGAACTCCTGACTTCAGGTGATCCGCCTGCCTTGGCCTCCCAAAGTGCTGGGATTAAAGGTGTTTGAGCCACCGCACCTGGCACCAAGAATCCTTTTACCCACTTGCCAAACCACTCTAGCTGTCTGCCAATACTGCCTTTTAATTTTTTTTTTTTTTTGAGACGCAGTCTCACTCCGTCGCCCAGGTTGGAGTGCAGTGGTGCGATCTCAGCTCACTGCAAGCTTCGCCTCCTGGGTTCACGCCATTCTCCTGCCTCAGCCTCCTGAGCAGCTGGGACTACAGGCACCTGCCACCATGCCCAGCTAATTTATTGTATTTTTAGTAGAGACGGGGTTTCACCCTGTTAGCCAGGATGGTCTCGATCTCCTGACCTCGTGATCTGCCTGCCCCGGCCTCCCAAAGTGCTGGGGTTACAGGCGTGACCCACTGCACTTGGCCTTTTTTTTTTTTTTTTTTTTTTTTAAGACAAAGTCTCACTCTATCACCCGGGCTGGAGTGGAGTGGTGCAATCTTGGCTCACTGCCACCTCCCGCTCCTGGGTTCAAGTAATTCTCATGCCTCAGCCTCCTGGGTAGCTGGGATTACAGGTGTGTGCCACCACACCCAGCTAAATTTTTTTGTATTTTTATTTTTTTGAGATGGAGACTCACTCTGTCGCCCAGGCTGGTGTGCAGTGGTGCGATCTCAGCTCACTGCAACCTCCATCTCCCGGGTTCAAACGATTCTCCTGCCTCAGCCTACCTGGGACTAGAAGCGTGTACCATGATGCCTGGCTAATTTTTGTATTTTTTGGTAGAGATGGGGTTTCACCATGTTGGTCAAGCTGGTCTTAAACTCCTGGCCTCAAGTGATCCATCCACCTCGGCCTCCCAAAGTGCTGGGATTACAAGTGTGGGCCACTGTGCTAGGCCTAGTTTTTTTTTTTTTTTTTTTTTTTTTGGTAGAGACGAGGTCTCACTATATTGCCCAAGCTGATCTTGAACTCCTGGGCTCAAGTGATCCTCCTGCCTCAGCCTCTCAAAGTGCTGGGATTACAGGTGTGAGCCACCACACCTGGCCTAGTAAAATTATTTTTTAAACTTAAAGTTATTTTTAGAAAAAAACTATATGGTAGTGAGAGACATATGTTGTGGTGATTATTATAGTTTAGCAGCTAACATTTACTGAATGTTTACTATGTAACAGGTGCTACTCAGATCATTTAACATATATTATTTCCTTTAATCATCATAGCTTATAGGGTTTACTATCTTTATTTTACAAATGAGAAAAGAGGGGCTTAGGCTATGTGACTTGGTTAAGGTCAAACTAAGACACGGTAGAGAACTGAAACCCAGTCTGTCTGGTTTTAGAACCTGAACTCTTGAGCTTTATGGTATAAAATCCTACCTCAAGCGAGCTAATATTCTTCTTCCTATGGAAATGAGATAAAAATTATGTTAAAGTTATAGTCTTTTATAAACCTTAATATGAATATTTCATGGGTATGGGGGAAAGATATGCCCCACATGGGTTACAAAAAACAAAACAAAAATAACTCAAACTCTATTTTGAGTAACAAAGGGAAAAAGAAGAGCATATATATCCACATTTAAGGGAATATTTGTACACAAGATTTTTTTTTGCTTGTTTTAAGTAACCAGATTAGACAATGCAAAAAGTATTATTTTATATCTTTAAATACACTGAATAAAATACAACTTTTAGCTAAACACTAAAAAAAAAAAAAGAGAAATTAACTCAAGATAAACTCTAGATAAATAATCAAGTATTACCAAAGATCTTAGAGCTGGCTGACAATTTTACTTTGCATCTAAAACTTAAAAAAACCTGCAAGGTGCGGTGGCTCATGCCTGTAATCCCAGCACCTTGGGAGGCCGAGGCAGGTGGATCACCTGAGGTTAGGAGTTTGAGACCAGCCTGGCCAACATGGTAAAACCCTGTCTCTACTAAAAATACAGAAATTAGCTGGGCATGGTGGCAGGAGCCTGTAATCCCAGCTACTCAAGAGGCTGAGGCAGGAGAATCACTTGAATCCAGGAGGCGGAGGTTGCAGTGAGCCGAAATTGCGCCATTGCACTCCAGCCTGGGTGACAAGATCAAGACTCCGTTTTTAAAAACAAACAAAAAAACATATATTAAAGAATGCTTTCTCATACAAAGTCTATATAATTTGGTTTCTTATTAAAAGGCATCAAAAATAAAAATATTTTGAGAAAATATAGTTTTTTTTTTGGTAATGTTGCAAACTTCAAATTTTTCTGTAGAAGCATTTTCTGACAAATTTGGTTTTACAGAAAAAAATAGTAGCTTAAACTGCTACTCTATTTTTGATAACATATTTTTCCTACAGTTTGACATCTAAATAGTCTATTATTGATACAATAATTCTTATTCTAAACTAATAAACTGTTTTAATGACATTTTGGTTGTTGTAATAAAATAAAACATCTATTATAAAAGGATTATGGTAAAGTAAGGTTTTAAAAGATTCTTTATGTAAAAGAAATCTCAACATTTTCCCACTCATGTTTATCAACGCCTTCTTCTGTGTAAGTTCCCATTTTATTACTGAGATTTTTAAAAAATACAGCTGAGTTCTCACTATGCTGCCCAGAGTACAGTGCAGTAGCTATTCACAGGTATGATCACAGCTCACTGCAGCCCTGAACTCCTGACCTCAAGCGGTCTTCCTGCCTCAGCCTCCCAAGTAGATAGAACTACAACCACACACCACTGAGACTGGCTTAATGTTGTTATTTAACTGGGGCTATTTTTCAATTTCTCAAAGCCCTATTGATAGGCTGACTTAACCATATAATACATATTATTTTCAAGTTCAGTACTTAGCTTTCCTTATTTAAATTCATGTCTCTTACCCAAACCATTAATATTTTCTTCTAACTGGCAACTTCTAATGTTCTTTTAGCTAATATGCATTAGCTAAATTTCTCAAGTAGTCTCATGTCACATAGCTTATTTTCTTTTAATATATGGTCACAGAAAGCTAAGAATGCACTCTGTCAAAACAGCAAACTGTCTTTGCTCTCCTACAAAAGGTCTCTTTCCAGCTCTGAAATGTTAAGATTCTAACATTTACCAACAGATGTATACTTCTTTTAATGTAACTTTCATGAATTTGTTTGCCTATAACACAAAAAACGTGCCGTCCTAATTTTAAAAAAATTTTAGTTTAAATTAAATGAAGAAGGCACATGAGTCTAGCGCTAACTGTGTTTTACACGCTGTAGGCTGTGGCTTGATGTACAAGTTGAATCTAAAAATAAGATAAGGAATATTTTAAAATTTAAATCAGAAACCCTGCCCAATTCTGATTCAACTAAATTCGTATCTAAATGTGACTATCTTCATTTTTGTAATGAATTTTTATTCTTATCCAAACATTTAAACATCAACAAGGTACTGAACATAAATATGAGACTCAAAATGTGGGAAACTGGGCTCTTTCAAAGCTTGGGTGGAGAGGGTGTAGGTTGGTAATTATATATTCCCATACCTATCGTCTTACATTAGGGAAGAAAGAACCTCAAGTCTCATTTAATGCTCTGAAGTCATTAGTACTGAATACTTGGTTTTACTAGTAAATAAAGAACCACATTAATACTGACCCTCAATCTGTCTCAGATGTCATAACTGAAGGTTCAAAAAAACTGACCCTGTAACATCCCAAACACTGAAATCATAGAATATACTGGTTGTGTTTTCAATTTGGAAGATCAATACATAATTCTATAAATCAGAATTAAAAACCAGAACTTCATACCTTGTGCAAGCATGTTAAATTCCAAGAACAGTGCTATGTGGTAAAGTTCCATGGCTTCTTCTGCCCTGGTCATGTTTGGCTTCCCTGCGACGAGAGCCTGAACTTCACTGAGACTCCCCACAGAGGGGCTACAGTGCAAAACAGAGAGGTCCACCACGTCGGTATACATACAGTGTAATATCACTGTTGCATATTTTTTTGGTATAATGGACTCATCTAATATAATTCTTGTGGGAGTCCTCAAAGTTCGGTCTGTGATTTCTTCACCAGTTCGTATCCTCCTTTGTAATAAATTTCGAAAAAATGGGGACCGTGCAGAAATAACAGCCTTGTGGGCTTTGAGCTCTTCATCTAAACAGTTCTGATTTCCACCAAAAGCTTCAACCAGTTCAGAGTCTGAAGAAAAACTAAGGACGACATCATAATAACACATGTAATCAAAGAGTCCACGCATATCTACATCAAGGGAATTTGGTGTTCCAAATTCTTCACTAAGCTGAACAAGGATATCGACATTTTGAAACCTTGAGTCCTCCATTCCAAACTCTCCTGTATAAAGGTAGTGTAACAAAGCAGAAAACATGGGCATATCAATACCAGCTGTATTGATGTCCATTATTATCTCTGCCCCATACTCTGGTGAGGAAGAAAGCAGTGTTTTAAAAAATGGACACCTTGCTGCCAAAATGGCACGATGAACAGGAAAACAAGTTTCTTGAAATATTAAGTCTACATCAGTACAATACTTGTACTCATAAAGATCAGCCATATCTTTCTGCAATGTCCGGGCTTCTGGTCTAGCCAAACTGGCTTGTAGAGAAAGCTCCTTTAATGCTGATGTTCCCTCATATTCCTCCACTAATGCATTGACATCTCTAACATCCCACCCAGAGAGGAGTTCTCGCATCTGCTTGGCATGATCGGCAGACCTATTAGATTTCCGACGCTTAATAAACTTCTTTTTGAGGGTGGCAAGACCAGAGGTTCTCTTTTTTTTGTCTTGTGGTTTCTCATGGCCATGGTCAAGGCTATACAACTTTGATTCGCAACCATAGCCTTGCTGAGAATAGGATGAGGTCCCTAAGAAAAAAATTAAACAAATGAAAATTTATTTTTTCTTAACATTCATTTTCAACGTTTAACATTTTTCATGTTGAAAAATTCTGTAAGCAGACATTACCGAACCACTCAAAATTGCATTTGTTTTTTATAAAGGAAGACAAAAAGTTCAATTAACTCATTTTAGTTTTCAATTCAATTTAATTTTTAGAGATGGAGTCTCACTGTGTTGCTCAAGCTGGAGTGCAGTGGGAAGATCATAGCTCACTGCAGCCTCAAACTCCTGGGCTCAAGGGATTCTCCCCAACCTCAGCTTCCCAAGTAGCTGGGAGTATAGGCATGTGCCACCATGCCTGGCTAATTAAAAAAATTTTTTTTTCTTTTTTTGGTAGAGATAGGGTCTCACTAATGTTGCTCAGGCTGGTCTTGAACTCCTGTCCTGGCCTCATGCAATCTTCCTGCCTTGGCCTCCTAAAGTGCTGGGATTACAGGTGTGAGCCATTGTGACTGGCCTACATTTTTTATATTAAATAAGAAATAGGGACAAACAGAGCAAATTAGTCTAAATTTTTTTAGAAAAAGTCTTTCGTTCCCTGGCTATCAAAGGACATTTGTCATAGATCTTAATCATGGGTTTTTAGGAATGAAAAATAGGCAGAGTTGTAAATTAAGAACATTACTTGTATATAATTGTGAAATGTTTCTTTTTCTTCTTAATTACACAAGTCTGCATTTGTATGGGCAAAATAAATGAAATGGGACACAGGAAATATGTACTTCGCTGTTTTAACACCAATGGAGACTGCTAGTTTGCCTAAGGTAATTGGCAATTATGGTTAAAACATAGAAAAGCTCAATTGTGCTACAAGTGGTTTAAGATAAAAACCATACAAACCAGACTTAAGATTTACGTTTGTTGGGGGAAAAAACCTAGATGCTGCAGAATTATTATAATAACTACAGCTCACTTCTTTTGTCATCTACAGAGACTACCGAAAACACAATTCTATTATAGTCACAAAAGAAAATGAAGTTAGAAAAACTGAAAGTTACCTATAAAAGTCTGTTGGGCCTGTGAATTTCCCCCTACCCTCGGGGAACATGAATGAGGATAATTAGATGCATTAGCACCCATTTTCTTCAGTCACTCAGGCATTCCGTCTGCGGGTTCTTCAGAGTATAATCCCAGAGGCCTTTATGAACCTTCAACCCTGGATCCAGCAGCCTCTTTTCATCCATTTCTTGATATGAAATAAAAATAATTTAATTCATTTTTTCAAGTGTATCTCAGATCACAGTTTTTTTTAAAAAGCTACTGAAAACTGCTTTCATTCACAAATAACAACACGCTGTCAAATTCACATGTCAAATTTTCATAAAATGTAAATCTTTAAGCTTGAATTATCTGTGTTAGCTGCAATTTGAGCCATAAAATGTACCAATTATATACTTTCTAAGTCAGTAAAAAGTAACATATCAAACCAATTTAAATATATAGTTACAGGAAGAGTATTTGAAAACACAGGGAAAAGTACTTGGACTGAAAATAAATGTTTTAATTTTTGTTTTAAATCCTTAGAGGCAATCACCATTCATTATTATCTAACATTGTAAGCAATTTACAAACATTTAAGAGGTCAACACTGGTACCGCACATACAAATAACACATAATTGATTAGTTGTTTTTCTGCCTTAAAATAAAGTTGCTAAAAATCAATCTTTAATCTGTATAATTAGGCATTTTACTAAAAGAGGGAGGAGGAAAGGTGGACAATTAAAGCTAAATATATATAAGCTACTTGTTCTATGGTAATTTTGAAAGAAGTTATTATACACATTGCAAGAGACACAAAACAAAAAATTTTATCTATCCACCCCATAAAGCCCTGAAAAAAAATCCTGCTTTCTATTATGTGATATGATGATTTAAATGGACAGGCCAGTAGCAATAAAAGGTAATTCTAACAATTACAGATTAAATTCTGAACATGGAAACTTAACTCTCAGAGCTGCTAGCAAGAGATTTATGCAAAAAAGAAAATCTAAGAGAGAACAAGATTAATGGAAATACTTCTAAATCTTTACACCATCTGGATATATAAAATCTATCTGACTAAATGGGGTAACGAGTTTAAGAAGAGAAAACGCCATTTAAAATCTATTATTGGAATTGTTAAGAAACCAGTAGGCAGTTAACCTAGCCTCACAATGAAGTGTTTTAACAAATATAGTGAAAAACACGTACACAAATTATCACAAAAATCTGCTAGAAACAGAACTGTGTCAAGATGCTTGGAATTTATTTTCATCTCTGTTAGTGACACAGCATAACCTTATGAATTCATGTTTAAAAATATCGTTAACATTTGTGTTTTCCTACAATCTTTTATAGACTATATTTATATGAAAATTAATTATTTATTTAGACGGAGTCTCGCTCTGGCGCCCAGGCTGGAGTGCAGTGGCGCAATCTCGGCTCACTTTAACCTCTGTCTCCCGGGTTCAAACAATTCTCCTGCCTCAGCCTCCTGAGTAGCTGGGACTACAGGTGAGCGCCATCATGCCTGGCTAATATTTGTATTTTTAGTAGAGATGGGGTTTCACCATGTTGGCCAGGCTGGTCTTGAACTCCTGGCCAAGACCAGGAGTCTTGCAAAACAGGAAAACAGGAACTAAAATTACCTCTATTAATTCCACTTCAAACTTAAAAACCAGTTAAGTCTAACAAATCTTACTTTTAAAGCTGAGCTCCACAGAATCTTCAAGATCTTATCAGGCTTTTATAGTGGTTCTTTCAAAGAAAATAAGGGCCTGGAGGCCAAGTTTGTGGCCTCATTTATAGGTCAAATCCTAATCTCACTCAGGGTTTACATTTAAAACAAAAAACAGCACAAACAATCCTTTCTCAAAAGAGTTTAAAATATATAAACAAAAATCCAGAATAAAACTATCATGTAAAATAAAAAGCCTTTACCAAAATGAGGGGGGAAAAAGACTTTTAAGATGAGCTTGGAATCTGAGTGTAAGGGGAGATGGTGAAAATCATGCTGAAGTGTTTCTAAAGGTAAGACGGCATGGTGTCACTCCTATGGCTAGGCCTCTTTGCACTTTCAAGTTCGATTATTATTTCTTTTTTTTGTTTGTTTTGCTTTTTTATTTCTATTGACTGAGTAAATTTAGTAACATAGCAGAGTATGCTTATGGCATGAAACAAAGAAGAATAGAGCCTTGCCTCCGGATGAAGAAAAATCAGAAGCGTCTTCAGAAGCGGACAAGAATTTACTACTCTTACTTTAACACGTACATGCATGCACACACATATGGAATTATTTTCATCTGAGAATCTTGTATGGTTTGTAGAGACTCAAGATGCCACACGTTGAGCATCCCTAATCAGAAAATCCCAAATCTGAAATGCTCCAAAATCCAATACTTTTTGAGTGCTGACAGGATGCCACAAGTGGAAAATTCTGGAGCTGTCTTCTTTGCTTTTTGATGGTTCAATGTACATAAACTTTGTTTCATGCACTATATTAAAAATATTGTATAAAATTACCTTCAGGCTATGTGTATAAAGTGTGTATCAAACATAAATGAATTTTGTGTTTAGACTTGGGTACCCCACCAAGCTATCTCATTATGTAGACACAAATATTACAAAATTGGAAAAAATCCCAAACCTGAAACACTTCTGGTTCCAAGCATTTCAGATAAGGAATACTCAACGTGTATTACAATGGTTTAATACTTAAACCATGTCAAAAATCCCTTTTTTTAAAAAAAAGCTCTGGTAAGGGAAGAACACCAAGAAAAAAGAAAACAAAATTTAAAAAGCTCTATTTTACGATGAGCACAATTAGATATCCTAAAGCAATTATACAAGAGTTATATGACATCAATGGCCCCACTGGAGAAACAAGAACAAGTTGCAAACACTAGGGAAGTCAGAGGCTGAGCTAAGGATGTTTGGCCATTTGCTGCTACAATAAGCAGTAGTAGCTGCTGGGATAGCTGGGGTTTCACCTTAGAGAGGTGGCCAGAAATACAAGTGTCTTTGGGAGTTAGGGAAAATCTCTTCCTGGTAGCTCCTGGTTAATGGGAACTCCCTTCAGGATGAACTGATTTGGGGACATTCATATATCCTACTGGAGCTCTATATACTAAAATAAACACAGACCTTGGAAGGGAAGGGAGGTGGGGGAGGCAGATTTCCTGGATGAGATGTAACCCTTGAGTCTACCCTGTGTTCCCCAGTTCCAGAGCCTGATGGGTAACCCTGACTACAGTTCTAGTACTACAGCAATATTTCTTCTCAAAATCCTCACAATTAACTCAGGGATTAATGTCATTACTTCTCAGGTAACCAAAATCCTATGTCAGATGGTGCTCAGTATTATGTTATTTATTTCTGAATCTAAACCATCACTTGTAGATGTTGGAAATGAGAACTAGTCTCAGTTTAATCTCTCCAGCGATGTGTTCTCTCCAGGCAAGCCTGGTCTCTTTTCTACAGACATCCAATCTTTGTATGATGCAACGGAGAGAGGAGCAAGGAGAGGGGAGAGGAGAGGAGAAGGTCTACAGGACTTGGAGAGGCCCAGAATATGCAAAAGGCTGATGAATCCTTTTTCTAGAATCACCATTCTGGGGGACTCCCTCTTAATAGCATATGATCAATCCCAATCAGATGATGCTGACTGTCTTAAACTAAAATAAGCTCCAGTGATCACGGCAGACCTAACTGTGGGGTGGGGGCGGGGAATCATGTTGAATGCAAGAAAGACTAAACAACCCATGAGACATTTTTTAAAAAAGAGAAGTCAACTTTCTCCTCCCTAACCCACCCCCTTACCCCAGCCCCAAAAAGAAAGCCCTAGGCCAGCATTTTCCAAAGAGCTTTCCCAAAGTTTAGAAAATGTAGGATTAAACAAAGCCAAATAGGTTTCTTTACTTCAGGACATTTGAGCACCTTTAAAGTGCTGAGGTTCATTGTAAAGAGGGAGCATTCAGCATGATCTAAAGAAGCCCTGCTGCCCCCACGGGGCATGAAGGAATGAACTTGCATAACACACTCAGGAAAATGCTGATCTTTGCCATAAAAACACTTTTTATTGCTTCATGCAATAGAAAGAACTGTGGGAGTTAAGGTATCTAGGATTCGGTTATCTCTGTGTCACTAATTTACTATGTATGTAGGACACGTCACATGTAATCTCTATGGGCCTCAGTTCCTGTATCTGTAACATAAGAACGTCGAAACAGAGTTCCAAAAATTTAATGAAGTTGTACGGTTTATTAGTTTAGGAAATATGGATGGGGAAGGAAGTTCTTTCTTTGTTCTTTTTTTTTTTTTTTTTTGAGATGGACTCTCGCTCTGTCGCCCAGCCTGGAGTGCAGTGGCGTGATCTCAGCTCACTGCAATCTCTGCCTCCTGGGTTCAAGTGATTTTCCTGCCCCACCCTCCTGAGTAGCTAGGATTACAGGTGTGTGTCACCATGCCTGGCTAATTTTTGTATTTTTAGTAGGGACAGGGTTTCACTATGTTGGTCAGGCTGGTCTTGAACTCCTGATCTTGTGATTCGCCCACCTCAGCCTCCCAAAGTGCTGGGATTACAGGCATGAGCCACTGGGTGCCCGGCCCTTTTTTTGAGATATGGTCTTTCTATGCTGCCCAGCTAGACGTGCATGGCTCACTGCAACCTCCACCTCCCAGGCTCAACCAATCCTCCTACCCCAGCCTCTTGAGTACCTGGGACTACAGGCGTGTGCCATCATGCCCAGCTAATTTGTGTGTGTGTGTGTGTGTGTGTGTGTGTGTGTGTGTGTGTGTGTGTGTGTGTGTGTGTGTGTGTGTGTATATATATATATATTTTTTTTTTGTAGAGATAGGGTTTTGCCATGTTGCCCAAACTGGTCTCAAACTCCTGAGCTCAAGTGATCTATCTATCTTGGCTTCCCAAAGTGCTGGGATTACAGGTGTGACCACGGTGCCCAGCTGGAAGGTATTTCCATACTAAATGTTAATCTACAGAGGGGAAAAAAAGAGGCACCTGAATTTCGCATTTTAAACATATTTCCCTTTCAGTCTGACTTTAGGAACAGGATAGGAATGTGGGGCAAATGTGAATATAAATAACAATTAACGGCCTGGCTCAGTGGCTCATGCCTATATTACGTCTATAATCCCAGTGCTTTGGGAGACTGAGGCAGGAGGACTGCTTGAGGCCAGGAGTTAGAGACCAACCTGGGCAACATTGTGAGACTCTGTCTTTCCAAATTTTTTTTTTTTTTGAGACAGAATTTCATTCTTGTTGCCCAGACTGGAGTGCAGTAGTGCGATCTCAGCTCACTGCAACCTCCACCTCCTGGGTTCAAGCGATTCTCCTGCCTCAGCCTCCTGAGTAGCTGGGATTACAGGCATGCATCACCATGCCAGGCTAATTTTCTATTTTTAGTAAAGACAGGGTTTCACCACGTTGGTCAGGCTGGTCTTGAACTCCTGACCACAGGTGATCCGTCTGCCTTGGCCTCCCAAATGCTGGGATTACAGGCGTGAGCCACCGTGCCCAGCCAAAAAATATTTTTACATATATATATATATACACACACACATATACATAAAATTAGCCAGGTGTAGTGGTACGTGCCTATGGTCCTAGCTACTTGGGAGGCTGAGGCAGGAAGATTGCTTGTGCCAGGAGTTCGAGGCTGCAGTGAGCTATGATCACACCACTGCCCTCTAGCCTGGGCAAAAGAGTGAGACTTTCTCAAAAACAAAAACAAAAAACCTAAAGAAAAACCATAATGAAAGAGAAATGTAAAACTATACTAATACTTCACTCCTGTCAAATCTAAGGTAACAACATTGTTATAACAGACCATAGGCATTTGGACTCCCCATGTAATGAAAATTAACAAAGGGACAGACAGATTTCCCAGACAAAGCTTTTATTCTGGGGCTTGTCCTACTGTGCTAGAGCGCAAGGGAGACAGACAGCAGAGCCTGGTTCCCTGAAAAGAGCCAGTAAAGATTTATTAGGCAAAGCGCAGGAATTGACATCAGGGATAAGGTATGCAGGCTGGGCTGGGCAAAGCATGTGAGGGGTAGAGTATGCAGGTTAGCAAGGCTGGTTGTGATGGTTATCTTGAGTACGAGTTAACTGGTGGTCTGTCTGGCTGGCAAAAACAAGGCTGGAAATCAGTTGTTCAGCATTCCTTCCAGAGGTGAGACACTCAACAACCTTGGTTCGATTTTGGATCTCCTAAGGCCAGTTTCTGGAGTTCTTTAAGCACAAGGCATGGTTAAACAGTATGAGAGCACAGAAGAATGGCTATTTTCTTTGTATGACTAAAGCCTTGGGATTAGTGGGTATAGTGCCAGTGAGGCAGTGGTGTGGGTTTTGTGATTAGTGGGAATGTACGAAAAAATGCTAGTGGGGGTGAGCTGAAGCCAAGCCCCATTTTAATATGATGTATTATTCAAACCAAGAAGCTTGAGAGTGAAAAGGGGTACATATCAGAGGGGACGACAGAACACGTGTAGCCCAGGTCTGACCAGGCAAAGTGGGATGAATGGTCATATCTCTAGCTAAATCTCACATTTCCAGAGTAGCTTAGAAATAAAACAAAGTTTTAAAAGAAATAAAGGGCCGGGAGCGATGGCTCAAGCCTGTAATCCCAGCACTTTGGGAGGCCGAGGCGGGCGGATCACGAGGTCAGGAGTTCGAGACCAGCCTGACCAACATGGTGAAACCCTGTCTCTACTAAAAATACAAAAATTAGCCCGGCGTGGTGGCATGTGACTGTAGTCCCAGCTACTCAGGAGGCTGAGACAGAAGAATCGCTTGAACCCAGGAGGACGAGATTGCAGTAAGCCGAGATCACATCACTGTACTCCGCCCTGGGTGACAGAGTGAGACTGTCTCAAAAACAAAACAAAAAACCACTTAGCCAGGCAAAGTGGTGTGTGCCTGTAGTCCCAGCTATTCAGGAGGCTGAGGCAAGAGGATCGTTTGAGGCCTAGAGATTGAGGTTGCAGTGAGCTATGAGCATGCCAGTGCACTGCAGCCTGGGTGACAGAGCAAGATCCTATCTCAAAAAAAGAGGTAAGTCTCAAATGCCAAAGGTATTGGGTCTTTGTTCGGAACACAATAGAGGAACTACTGGAACAAAGCACAGAGTAGTAAGAGCAAAGCAGCACCATTATACTTCTGTTACAGAAAGACTACTGGAAGATGCTTGATCTATAAAAAGATCTTGATGCAGAAAGACTTATTAGAGGATTCTTCCAACAGTCCAGGAAAGTAAGTGTTAATAAGGTCCTGGCTTTATTTCTAAAATGGGGGCAATATAATAACACCTACTTTACAAGGTTGTTTTAAGAGTTAAAATAATATGGACTGCTGGTCAGGCATGGTGACACATGCCTGTAATCCTGGCACTTCAGGAGTCTGAGGCAGGCAGCTCGCTTGAGCTCAGGAGTTCGAGACCAGCCTGAACAACATAGCAAGACCCCATCTCAGAAAAAAAAAAGTTAAAAAAAAAAATAAAAAAGATAATATGGACTGCCACTCGGAAAGCAGAAACAGGAGCCTATCAAAAGAGAAATGTCTTTTGAGGGACTTGGGCCTGTGCCAGGTCTGACCTGGACTAGACGAACTACATCTTAAAAGATGTTAAAATATTCTTTAAAAAATTCAGTTTCTAGCCATTTAAAGCAGAGAACCAATTCCTGGAAAGTGGTGCGTTAAGAATGAATGTGGCTGCACTGTGAAGACACAAATGGGCCTCTCCTACTCTGCCACCTTTACCCTCAGAGCTCACACTCCAAATGCTTCATCCTGACCTACAACCTCAGAAGAAGATCCTCTTGAAGCAACAGATGGAAAATGGGAATTAGAGGGCTGAAACGGCCTCCCCACCCCCCACCAGAGGAAGGCCTGACTCTAGGACAATGGGAGTCGCTTATTCCTCTTATCTGGTCTTTGGCAGAGGGCCTGAGCAGTGATGCCTACAGCAGCCAGTGCAGGAGCTGCCTTGGCCTGGACATCCCCAAAAGTTTTGATGTCTTCTAGCAGCTAGAATCCCCCAAAACTGAAGTAGCTCTGGAAGGAGCCTGAAAAGTCTTCCCCAAAAGTCAGGAAAAAGAGCCTATAAGCAGAGGGTGAAAAATTATTATGAGGCCCTGCAAGACAGACTGCAGAACTTGCCCAATCAACTCTCATAAGGTGATGGGGCCTGCCATTTGGAGCCTCTGTGTTTACGATATGGAAAACTAGCACTGAGCCCGGCACACAATATTTTATTGAATAAAGGAAATGATTGTTCTAATCAGGGACAACTGTTTTTATTGTTGGCTTGAGAGTGTACAGAAAGATGGTTCACTCTAGATTTAGAGATGGTGATAAAAATGAGTCTAGATTTGAGTTTATTATTTATTTATTTTTATTTTTGAGACGGAGTCTCGTGCTGTCGCCCAGGCTGGAGTGCAGTGGCGCAATCTTGGCTCACTGCAACCTCTGCCATCCAGGTTCGAGCGATTCTCCTGCCTCAGCCTCCCGAGTAGCTGGGATTACAGGCGTGCATCCCTACACCTGGCTAATTTTTGTATTTTTAGTAGAGATGAGGTTTCACCATGTTGGCCAGGCTGGTCTCAAACTCCTGACCTCAGGTGATCTGCCGGCCTCGTCTTCCCAGAGTGTTGGGATTACAGGCGTGAGCCACCGTGCCCGGCCTAGATTTGAGTTTAAAGAGGACTTGCAGAGAGAAATAGAACTGACATCAGAGAATACATTCAAATCAACTGAATTTAAAGGGAAAAAATGCAATTTCTCCTAAATTCCATTCAAAGCCAAAACATTCAGATTTTCTGACACCAACTTAGCAAATGTTTAAAATACAAGGGTATACTTCTTATTGATAAGTTACCATGGGTTCCACTAGTAGAGCTGGAGAGATAAGCAAACATGCTGGGTGAACCCTAGAGTAAGCCTGAGACTATGGCTGCACAGACAGAAGAGAACACAGAACAAAACAGAAACTCAAAGGTTTCCTCATCCAGGGCAGTCTTCATGAAGACAGTTCAAATTCCAAACTGTTAGATCATTAAAGGAATAGGCATGTGACTAGCCCTATGAATTATTCAAATTCTTATAAATAAGAAGACAATAATGGCTTAGCAGTTGAGGTAATTACATAGTAAAATTCTATTTTTCTTCACATTACGGAGACTGAGTCTAAATAAATATGAGGGTGGGGGACCCATTACTTTAAATTTTCAGTGAAAAAGTTACAAGTCATATATAATGGCTTAATACTGGCTAGTCACTCCATTCTGATGAGCTCCTGCCCATCAGAATATTTGCTATTTAAAGAATCTTTGTTGGCATGTTAAGTGAAAAATGTGTTCCTCCTAAGTTTCTTCTGAAGTCTACACTTAGAGTCTTGTATATAGTGGTCCTTGTAAAAGAAGCACTAGTGGTTGTGATGATGAACAAGTTTTGAGAACGTTTAGCTATAAAAGACCCTCTCTGTAAGAGACATCAACAAGGTCTCTTATGAAAAACAAGAAGTAGAAAACCAGACAAAACTCTCACTCTCACAAGCATTATTAGAGGGCTTTCTTATAACTATGGTAATTTTTCCTTAATCCCATTGCTTGTTCTGTGCTACCCACTTGTAGCAGAAACACTGGGAGAGGATATTACAGTTTAAGTATGTCAGAATGAAATAGATATTCTTGGCCCTGTTAAGGCAATGAAAGTCTGCATCTTAAAACTCTATTTTCCATTTGTTTAGAAGCTTGTCTTAGTCTGTTTTCTGTTGCCGTAACAGAATATCATAGACTGGGTAATATATAAAAAAATCTATTTCTTACAGTTCTGGAGGGTGGGAGGTCCAAGACCACCCCAATATCTGGTGAGGGCCTTCTTGCTGTGCCCTAACATGGCTGAGGGCACCACATAGCAAGAGGGCAAGAACATGCGTGTCAGCTCAGGTCTCTCTTCCTCTTATAAAGCCACCAGCCCCATTATGGTGGCCCCACCCTGATGATTTTATCTAATCCTAATTACTTTCCAAAGGCCCTACGTTCAACTGACATACAGATTTGGGGATTAAGTTCCCAACACATGCAATGTGGGGAACAGCAAATCATAGTAGACATCTATAATAAAAAATTAAGTAATACATATGAGGTCCTTATCATAGAAGACATAGTGAAGAATGCTCACCAAACTGGTAAGGGGAATGGTGGAGAGGAAGAAGGAAACGATGACTGAGGTTTCTACCTTGCATAACTGGGTGGTTACAATGCTGTAAACCAAGAAGCATATAGGAGAAGCAATTTATGGGTCCACTGAGGGTGATAAAGGTAATGGGTTTGAAATCTGGGAAAGACATATTAAAGAGGCCAGGCACGGTGGCTCACGCCTATAATCCCAGCACTTTGGGAGGCTAAGGAGGATTGCTTGAGGCCAGGAGTTCCAGACTAGCCTGGGCAACAAAACAACCTCATCTCTCTTTAAAAAAAAAAAAAAAAAGACGTTATCAAGGAAGAAACAATTCAAACAGAACATAAAGAAGTCTAAAAACAAAAGTTTTCTAATACTATTAATAATATCTAATTTCTAAAGGTAAAATTCCTTGTATTACAATACAGCATTCTCCCAAGATAATTCATTTACTTTTAAATGAGGATATTATTTACAAATATCTTATCAATGTTTCTAAAAAGATAAATGGAGAGTCTTAAGAAGTAATGGTGCTTATTTCTTGAGGCGCAAAGTTATTTCTGGCATAACTTCACATTACTGCACAGCACCCAGCAAAATATGGGTGATCTCTAACCTCTCTTGAGATCTGAGTCTGAGTGTTCTCCTAATAATATATGTATCACTGTCATATATATCAGTAAGATACTTGGTTATTAAAGTATTTTATTATCTAAGATTTTTAGAGATCATTTCTTAAAACTCAGATTCTCTTTATCAGTTGTCTCATTCTGTCTTCCCTGAACAGATGATAAAATATATCCTTTGGGTTCACTGTACATGCCCCTCTGCCAAGAAAATAACATTTCAGAGGAAAAGGTTATGTCTTCTATGTAGTAATCATTATTGGAATGTCATGTCAGCAGTAATATCTTCCTGACATCTCCCACACCACAAATACAGTATTTTCTAGATTAACAGAATATGCAAATAAATTATCCCTAACAATTTTCTATTTTTAGTTTTCCTGTACTTTTCTTTTTTATTTTTAAGAGGCAGAGTCTCACTGTGTTGCTCAGGCTGAAGTGCAGTGGCACAATCATAGCTCACAGTGCCTGGGCTCAAGCAATCCTCCAAGCCTCAGCCTCCCAAGTAGCTAGAGCAGGCGTGTGCCACCATGTCCAGCTAATTAAAAACATTTTTTTTCTGTAGAGACAGGGCCTCACTAATGTTGTCCAGGCTGGTCTTGAACTCCTGGTCTCAAATGATCCTCCTGCCCTGGCCTCCCAAAGTGCTCAGATTACAGGCACGAGCCAGCACACCCAGACGTGACTTTACTTTCTAGAGCTATCTTACAACAATTGATTTCCTCATATAGGTACTAGGTACTGGTCAAGATAGGCTGTCATCTGATCCCTGAGTTGTCTACTTGAAAAGCATTTCTTACTCCTACCTCAGGGCTCTTCCCTTTGCCTGTACCACTCTTCTGAAACATCTTCACATGTTTCATACTCTCATTTTTACTGAAGTCTTTGCTCAAATACTACCTCTTGGAGAAGACTTCCCTAGTTAGCCTATATAAAATAACATTCCACCCCATCATTCACTATCCTCTTTCTTCAGTTTATTTTCTTTACAGTAGTACTTTTCAGCACTTGAATTTCATTTATTCAACACTAAATCCTCACCACATAATACAGTACCTGGCACTTAGGAGGCATTAAGTTGAAAACTGCTGAATGAAATTAGTTTTAAAAAATAAACATTTAGTAAGGAAAGGCTTATCTGTAATCATTCTTCAAGATTTTGAGTCCAAAAACTATTTCTTGGGATCCATATTCCTTCACAGTCTAAGCCTCTTAGAAGAGTGTGATTAAAAAATTGCGGCCGGGCACGGTGGCTCAATCCTGTAATCCCAGCACTTTGGGAGGCCGAGGTGGGCGGATCATGAGGTCAGGAGATCGAGACCATCCTGGCTAACACAGTGAAACCCCGTCTCTACTAAATATATTAGCCGGGTGTGGTGGTGGGCGCCTGCAGTCCCAGCTCCTCGGGAGGCTGAGGCAGGAGAATGGCGTGAGCCTGGGAGGCGGAGCTTGCAGTGAGCTGAGATCGCACCACTGCACTCCAGCCTAGGCGACAGAGCCAGACTCGGTCTCCAAAAAAAAAAAAAAAAAGAAAAGAAAAGAAAATTGGATTAGTACTTGGAGACAAAAGATTTCCCAGCAAAAAGCCTCATGGATCACAGCGTACATATACCCTCAAATACGACTTGTGGAAATGTTTCCATAAGCAATAAAGTAAATAATTTTTAAAAACACACTGCTTCCTCAATAATTAAACATAGAATTATATGATCCAGCAATTCCATTTGTGGATATATACCAAAAAAAGTGAAAACAGGGACTCAAACAGATGTGTACACCCACGTTCATAGCAAAATTATTCACAACAGCCAAAAGGTAGAAGCAACTCAGGTGTCCACAGATAGATGAATGGGAAAACAAAATGTGGTGTATACATAGAGTAGATTATTCAGCCTTAAAAAGGAAGGAAATTCTGACACATGCTGAAACACAGATGAACCCTAAGAACATTATGTTAAGTGAAATAAGCCAGTCACAAAAGGACGAATATGGATTCCACTTATATGAAGTACTTAGAGTAATCAAATTCATAGAGACAGAAAGTAGAATGATGGTTGTCAGGGGCTGGGAAGTTAGTGTTCAGTAAGCACAAAGTTTCAGTTGTGGAAAATGAGAAAGTTCTGGAGATGGTGGTGATGGCTGCACAACAATGTGAATGTACTTAATGTTGCAGAACTATATATACACTTAAAACTGGTTAAAATGGTAAATGTTATGTATTTTTAAGTGACAACTTAAAAAATGGAAAAAACCTCACAAAAAAACATTAAAACAGAAAAGCAATGACATACCTTCCCTCTCCACTCCCTTTTTTAAACATTCCCCCCAACTTCATGTTCCTTTTAATGACTGGAGTGGGAGTATCTTACATCAGAATGGGAATACAGTTTACCAAGGGCTTTTTCATGTGTTAAGTCATTTTATTCTCACAATAACTCTTCCATGTAGACAGCACAGGCATATTCTCTATTCTCCAAATGAGGAAATCAAAGTAGAGACTTTAAAGTGACTTATCCAAAGTCAAATAAAGAGTAAAATGGGCCAGGTGCAGTAGCTCACGCCTGTAATTCCAGCACTTTGGGAGGCCAAGGTGTGTGGCCTAGGCGACAAGGGCAAAACTCCTCTGTCTCCAAGAAAAAAAAAAAAAAAAGAGTAAAATGGCAAAGCCAAGACCAAAGACCAGGCCTTCAATCCCTCATCTAGTGTGTGTCTTATCCCCCCAACCTCCACACCCCTGCTAAACAAGAAAGCGTCTCAAAAGTCTTCAGTGCTATACCAACCTTTCTGAAGGAAGCTGCCACGTCTACCTCATGCTTCTGTGTCCACTGTGCTGCTGTTTCTATTACTCAACCCTTAAGTCTCCAGTTTCTACTTTATCACCCAACTGAGGTAAAGGGACAGATCTTAATCTCTCTAGTGCTGTGTATTGTTGAACAGTAAAATGTTTCTTGATTGTGATTAATACTCCATAAATATCAAATCTCCTAGCATTCAAACACAGAGGACAATTAAATGACTAAGCTTCTCTAATCTCATCCCTTCCTATTACTTGTTTTTCCTTCCTTTGCAGGAGATACTTTTGTAATTTTTGTAATAAAAATGAAAAAATATACAATAAAAAAGTGGAGAAAATAGTTAATGGATCTCTACCCATTGCCAAGTTTCAACCAACATTTACCAATTGGCAGGTGTTTTTTTTTCCCCCTTTAGAAATGGGGTCTTGCTCTGTTGCAGAGGCTGGGGTGCCGTGGCACAAACATAGCTCACTGCAACCTCAAACTCCTGGACTCAAGTGATCCTCCTGCCTCAGCTTCCCAAAGTGCTGCAATTACAGGTTTAAGTATCAACTATATCCCAGTCCACTATCTACCCAATCCCAGTAGAATATTCTCAAGCAAATCTCAGATAGCATATTATTTCAACCTGTAAATATTTCCATATTTACCTCTAAAAGGATGTAAAGCAACTACAGACTATCATATCTAAAATAAACAATAATTCCTTAATATGAAACTCCTGGGCAGTGTTAACATTTCTCAAATTGTTTTTTCTTTGTTTGAATTAGGATCCAAATAAGGTCTACACACTGTGACTGGATGACTATGTCTCTTCAATCTCTGCATATGGGTTCCTCCCCCTTTACAATTTTTTTTTGTTGAAGAAATCAGGTTACCTGGTTGTTTCCTATAGTTTGGATTTTGCCAAATGTATTACCATGATGTAGTTTAATAATGTGCTTCTGACTCTTGTATTTACAGTAAATTGATAGAGACCAGCGTGGGTAACGTGGTGAAACCCCATCTCTACTAAAATAATAAAAATTGGCCGGGTGTGGTGGCACGCACCTGTAGTCCCAGGTACTCGGGGGCTGAGGCACAAGAATTGCTTGAACCTGGGAGGTGGAGGTTGCAGTGAGCTGAGATAGTACCATTGCACTCTAGCCTGGGCAACAGTGACTCTGTTTCCAAAAACAAACAAACAAAAAAACCAAAAAACTTTTTTTTTTTTTTTTTTTTGCCAAGACTGCTTCACAGGTGGCAGGTAGTATGTACTTCCAACAGTTAAGTTCAAAAGTCTATTGAATTCCCTTTTTTTGATATTAACAGTTATCAATGATCACCAACTAAAGCAATCCATTAACGGGGTTGAAAAACGATCACATGATAGTCTATCATTCTTTCTTTATTCACTAGCTGGAAAAATTCTATAAAAAAAACTCATCAACTATTCAGTTGTCCTGATGCAGTCTGTATAGAAAGGACAGAATAAATGAGTAATTTTTTACTTTTATTTACTAATTTTCAAAACAATTAGTAATAGCTTCCTAGCATCCTTAAAGACAATCAGTGAGTTTTAAAAAGTTATGAATTAATAGACTTACATCTATGTGACAGGTTTTAATCCTTTGTAGTTATTCTTATTGAAGTTCAAACTGTCCCATCTTTGGACAGTAGAGCCTTATTCAAATTGGTTCCTGAGACCTTATGACATAATCCTAACCTCTGCCTCCGAGAGCAGAGGTTACCTTACCTTTCTGGTATTACAACTTATTCCAGGCATATCTTGTATTTTTCTTGCCTTTGACTTGGCACTGGTCATTTCCTTAAAGAAGCCCTAATTCCCTTTAGTGGGAAATGGTATTCAGAAACCACAATCTCAGTAATAGGGATGCTTAATGCCTTTTCAGTACAAAGATCTAAGACATTATATACACACATATCTACATAAACATGTACATAGATACATAAATGTACATTATCATTAGTTTATACTGTTGCTTCCAATTCAAATTCAGGTTTATAGGGTTTTTACTCAATCTCATTATCTTATATCATTTCTCCTTTCTCACATATGAAAACCCTCTATTCTCAATGCAGCCTACATAATAGTTTATCACAAAATATTCACACAACCTGAGAATAAAAATATTAACACTATCATCACCAATATGATCCATGAAAATATTTTTAATTTTTTTTTTTTTTTACAATTCTTTTTATCTTTAGGATATACCCAACTTGGAATATTCTACAAATTACTGTATATGTAAGTCACTTGGAATGGTTTACTCTGTGTGATTATATAACCAATGGGAAATCCACTTTATAAGATTTATTTTGATTTTTAGTCATTGCATTTTTAACTTTGTTATATAATTAAACATTTAAGTGAGTATAAAGTTAAAATAAAAAAAAAAGATACATCCAAAGAATACAAATTGCTGTCCCTGTCTACTCTATTCTAGTCCCTGCCTGCCCCATATGTAACTTTACTTATACTTTATACAACATTTTACATTCCCTGTTTTTTTGGCTATTATCCGTTGGTTCCCTACTATGAGCAATGCTGAAATTAAGTTAGTAACTTCCTTCTCCTGTCTCTACCCCAGTATTTTAAGTGATATATTTTTATTTACAGTGAATACCTATAACCAGTGAGCTTATTTTACATTTCATATATTCTCCCCACATTCTTGATAATTAAACTTTACCTATAGAGTGGTTACATACTACACTCTCAGTCTTAGTTCTACCAATAAAATATATATTTAATGCTCATCATCAGCTTAAAGTACCAGTTAAAGAGTGTTAAGAATACAGGTCTACAATTCTTTTTCAAATAGAAATCTTTGGAGCCACATACATTCAAAAATTCACTTTTTTCTTTTGCTTTCAAAGAGAAATAATATGGTTATAGTAAACATACCTGACAGCAATAATTTAAGCATATCCTTAGAATGACTTTGTATGGCAGATGCACCTGAATGTGTGTTCTGAGCTAGGGAATTCAGGAGTGGCCAACCCAGAGATTCCCTCCTTGTCTATAAGGACATCTGAGCCCCCAACCTGTCTCTTGGAACACAAGCCCTACAGGAGACTGAGGCTCCAAGTTTTGGGTAGAATAAAGAGTGCCAGGTGGAGGTTGCTAGGTGGAAGTGCTAAGTGGAAATGCTATATAAACTGCATGCCTATGGCAGGCAGTTGTGGTTCTTCTGCCCAGCCCACTGCCACTGGACTGTATATAAGGCAGTTCTCCCGTCCAGCCCACTGCCACTGTACCCTCTCCTTTGTATGTAAGCCCCCAATAAAACCCCACATCTCTTTTGCCGGCTCTGGGTCTCTTCTTCGGCCTCTTGAACCTAATGCCATGCCCACTGGAGTGACAGAAGTTTGGCATGACATATGGTATACCAAACATTTACTGTATACTATATAACTATCCCCAGGGAGATCTGGCACAGCACCCTAATTTGTTTGTAATAATTTGTTTGTAACATCAAACAAATTAATATTCTGCAGTAAAATATACTATTTAGACTAACCTATGTTAGTTTAGGTTCGGTTTTGCTGGCAGACAAATCTAGGTCATGTCAGTGTTTGCCATCAAATTAAGTCCTCCCATAACCCCTAAAATAGTTTTCAGAACTTTTGGGATTTCAAATTATAAGTAAGAGAATGTGGACCTGTAGTTAAAAATAGTCTTTTCCCTTATCCACCCACCACCAAAAATAGTCAAGTCAGAAAACATTTCTATTCATGTTAAATGAAAATCTTTAAATTGACATTTTCTATAAAATTCCATTGCATTACTGCAAATGAAGATTAGTTAGTTGTTAGGGTTTTGTTAGGAGAATCTTATTAAGCCATGTGGTTTTTTTCTAATATAACCTATTATAATTCATAACAGCTGTCAGTCCCCTGCTGATACTTTTTTCCCCATTAAAAATGCATTTTTAAAAGAATATAAAAGTACATCACATTCCACTAATATATGCAACAATCGAATAATTTTTCAAACTAGAAAATGATGGAAATACAGAGAAATGAGTTGAGTATGGTTCTTAGAATTCTGAGTCTAGTGAAGAGGAAAGTATCTGAATTTTTGACTTATCCTAAAATGAAACTACACACACACACACACACACACACACACACACACACAATCACACATATATACACACACATTTATTTTAATTTGAGAAAGGGTCCTGCTCTGTTGTCTAGGCTAGAGTATAGTAGTTCACTCATAGCTCATTGCAGCCTCCAACTCCTGGGCTCAAGCAATCCTCCTGCCCCAGCCTCCCAAGTAGCTAGGACTATAGGTGTGTGCCAGCGTGCCCAGCTAATGAACAACAAAATTTTTTTTTTTTTTGGTACAGACGGGTCTCACTATGTTGCCCAGGCTGGTCTTGAACTCCTAGCCTCAAGTGACCTTCCTGCCTCAGCTTTGCAAAGCACTGGGATTACAAAGCATGAGCCACCTCACCTGGCTGAAACTATATTCTTAGTGTTCTTGTAGTATTTCTAGTTATGAAATACTTCTTAAATAAAATATCTGCTATAAATGCATAGTAAGCAAGGTCTGAAATCTGTTAACTCTTAGCTGTTTAAATGATTTAAAAAACATAATCTCCAAAGAGTAACAAACCCAGAGTAGTCAGTAGGGAAGTCTTGTAGATTATCATTCTTAAACAGGGTAGGAAAACCCAAACCAGTGAAGAAATCATTAAAAGAGATACTGAATTATTAGAAAAAAATATTAAATGTGGATATGACTATCTTATTTATGAAAACTAAATTTACACTAAATCCTAAAATTAAAAACTATTATGCACTCATATGTATATCAAAATTTAAAATTTGGCCAGGTGACAGTTTTATACAAAACTATTTTCATTTCATAATATAGCAAGGTTGCAAAAATATGGCCACACACAAAATTTTACTTTACCTTAAAAAAATTCCTACATAGAACTGTGTTGTATAGATATGTAATAATTTACTTAACCAAATCCATATTGAGGGTCACATCCAATTTTTCAATATTATAAATAGCACTGCAAGTCTTTTACACATATCTTTGCCCACTCTGCCCAGTCTAAATTATGTCATTAGAATAAATTTCAAGAAGATTCTTGGGTTAAAGGATATACATGTTTCTAATTTGAAGACATATTGTCAGAAGAGTTGCAATTTACACTCCTATCAGCTCTGCATGAGAATGTCCAAAATGCTGGACATTATTCATCTTTGCAATCTGATGGAGGAAAAATTATGCCATTGCTATTTTAATCTCTTAAAAATTAATAAACTGATATTCATTAGTCCCCATGTTGCTTTATATTCTTTGCCCATTTTTCTATTTGGCTGTTCTTTTTACAAATTTGCAACATTTTCTATATTAATGTTAAAATAATAAACGGAAAATATTCATACGGGCCTTTTAAAACTATGATAGCTTTTGTCACAAATGTTTAAATTTTTCATATAGACAACTCTGTCTTTTCCTTTGTAACTTCTGGGTTTCCTCCTTCTTACTGCAAACATTTTTACATCAGAAAACTAATTTATATATAAATATTTAAGCAGTTAGGACAATATTTGAGAAAGTGCTTTCAATTTGTGTTGTAATCTCCAAATTAGAGTATGTGGGTAAATATTCTTCTATTAAGGAGGAAGTTAACATTAAATTAAGAGTTTATAACACAGTTATTATTGTTTCAAGTCATTTGGTATACTAACATTTAACATTTTATTAAGTCCTAAGTATTAAGCTAACTCAATTACCTGCTGTTGCTAGGAAGCGAGATGGATAAATTTTCCAAATAACTGGAGGATGCTTTTGTTAGCCATTGAGGTGTACAATGTTAGGCTTGACTTTTTACTGAATTTCTTGAGAACGTTGTGCTTAACTGACACTATATTACTTGTAGATACATCTGTGCAGCCATCAGTGGTTCTGACATGTAGAACATTTTCATCACCCCCTAAAAGAAGTTCCATTAGCAGTCACTCACCTCAATTCCCCAATCCTAGGCAACTACTAATCTAATTTCTACCTCTATTATTTTGGACATTTTATATAAATGGGATCATATAATAATGTGGGCTTTTGTGACTGGCTTCTTTCACTTTAGCATGATGTTTTCAAGGTCCATCCACATTGTAGCATTTATCAGTACTACTTTATTCCTCTTTATTTGCTGTATAATATTTCATTGTATGGATATACCACATTGTATTTGATTTATTCATTCATCCATCCATCCATTGATGGACATTTGGGTTGTTTCCACTTTTTGGTTATTATGAATAATGCTGTTACAAACATTTGTACAAGTTGTGTAGACATGTACTTCCACTTCTCTTAAGTATATGCCTAGGAGCAAAATGTATCTTTTTTTTTTTTTTTTTGAGATGGAGTTTTGCTCTTGTTGCCCAGGATGGAGTACAATGGTGTGATCTCGGCTCACTGCAACCTCTGCCTCCCGGGTTCAAGCAATTCTCCTGCCTCAGCCTCCCGAGTAGCTGGGATTACAGGCATCTGCCACCATGCCCAGCTAATTTTTTTGTATTTTTAGTAGAGATAGGGTTTCACCATGTTGGCCAGGCTGGTCTCGAACTCATGACTTCAGGTGATCTACCCACCTTGGCCTCCCCAAAGTGCTAGGATTACAGGTGCAAGCCACCATGCCCAGTCTTTTTTTTTTTAATTTTTTTTAAAAAATAGAGACAGTCTCACTCTGTCACTCAGGCTGAAGTGTGGTGGCACAATCATAGCTCACTGTAGCTTCAAACTCCTGGGCTCAAGTGATCCTCCCGAATAACTGGGACTACAGTATGCACCACTGTGCCCAGCTAATTTATTTTTATTTTTTCTGTTGAGGTCTTGGTGTGTTATAAAGGTTGGTCTTGAACTCTTGGCCTCAAGTGATCCTCCCACTTTGGCCTCTCAGAGTTTAAGGATTACAGGTGTGAGCCACCATACTGGGCATAACATGTATTTTTAATTATTGTTCCCTTTTTCCACTCCCCACTATAAGGTAAACTATATAAGGTCAGGGTTTTTCTTTTATTCACTGTTGTATCTCCAGTGCCTAGAACTGTGTCTGGCAAATATAGTAGGTGCTTAACAAATTTTGCTGAATCTATGAATGAAATAGTAAAAACGTTTGCTTGCTCTGACACAGTAATTGAGCAGAGATGGAGGGACAGTTCATATTCAAGATGGTAAAGTGATCATAATATTGCTGTGGCAAACTGAGAAAATGCCCATGTAACATAGACAATTGTAATTTGATCCTTAGTACTAGATTAAATCTGGGCAGAGTAAGCAAAGTGGGTCAGGGAAAAAAAACGTGAGATGAGGCAGGACATGTAGGCAGTCACCAAGTCATGCACATTCCTGTGAAAAGGCTAAGAGTCCTGTAGTTAAGAAATCTGTTTAACTTTGTTTAATTCATCCTTTCCAAACTTAATCACAGAAACCTTCATAAGAAAGAGTGCAGTGGTACGATCTCAGCTCATTGCAACCTTTGCCTCTTGGGTTCAAGCGATTACCCTGCCTCAGCCTCCCGAGCGGCTAAGATTACAGCCATGTGCCACCACACCCAACTAATTTTTTATTTTTAGTAGAGATGGGGCTTCACTATGTTGGCCAGGCTGGTCTCGAACTCCTGACCTTAAGTGATCTGCCTGCCTCAGCCTCCCAAAGTGCTGGGATTATAGGCGTGAGCCACTGCGCCCGGCCGGAATATACTTTCAATCATATCATAGTAGTCAACCTTTGCACTGAGCTAATGTTGATACTTTTTTTTTTTTTTAAGAGAAACAGGGTTTGGTATGTCGCCCAGGCTGGAGTGCAGTGGTTAATCCTAAGTGCAATTATTGTGCACTACAGCACTCAGCCTCCCAAGTAGCTGAGACTACAGAGGCACACACTACCACACCCAGCTAATCTTGATACATTAGGAAAGAAAACAACGGTGGAGAAAAAAAGAACATAACATAAAGTGATAATTGATTTTTTACTTATTTAAATTTTGAATTCAGAAACAGCAAAAGGTACTATGCCAAAAAGACAACATAGCAGGCCTAAGACTGCTATCTTTAGAAAGGCCTGCATGCAAAGATGGCCCTTGGCAGGTCTCTGGGAAATTGGATTTTGGGAGTGTTCCCATAATTCCCTGACTATTTAATAAGGGTGATTTACTATGCCTAAACTGTTTGTGCAAACAATATGGTTTATGCTGAATATCTGCTTTCCTTCTGGGAGCTTGGAATTTGGTACAAGCTAGACAGAGGGTGCCTATGTGATTATACCCCAATAAACACCCTGGGCAGTGAGTCTCTTATAAGCTTCCCTGGAAGACAACATTTCACAAGGATTGTAACAAGTCAATGCATCCTACGCGGCTTCACTGGGATAAGACTCTTGAAGCTTGTGCCTGGTTTCCTCTGGACGTTGCCCCATGGGCATTTTCGCTTTGTATTTTTTTTGCTGTAGTAACTCTTAGCTGAGTCATACTATATGTTGAGTTCTGTGCTTCCTCCTCACCAAACCTGGGGGTGATCTTGCGGATTCAAAATACAGGCACAAAACGGGATATGATAAAATGTCTTTCTCTACTGTCCTCCCAAAATGACATTATATTGTTTTGGGATAAATATTCAGCTGGTAATCAAGAATAAAGCTATTTTTAAAAATCTGCAAGGAAATTACCATAAAGATCAGAATAGCAGTAACCTTTAAAAGGAGGAAGAAAGTGGTTATGATTGGGAAGAGGCATGAGGGGGGCTTTTGGAATACTTACAGTGCTCTATTTCATGGCCAGAGTGATGTCAGCTTTAAAATAATGTTTTTTTAAGTTAGATTTATTTAATGTACTTTGTATGTGTATTACTTCACAATAAAATGTTTTGTTGGAGCTACTACAAATTTGAAAGTTTCAGCTGAACCCTTGAAATTAAATCCATTTCCTAAAGAAAAGGATCTAGAAGAATGAATGAAAAGCTAAGTGTTGAGTCATAGGAAATGCTGATGATTTGGGGGCTGGAAAAGAAAGAGAACTGAGTAAAGGAGAGTATAAAAACACAAATCAGACTGGGTAGTGACCAGGATAGCCTGCATGTAAGAAGTGGCACTTGAATGAGGTTTACATCAAACTGAGAAATCATCCCTTTCCTATATGCTACCAGAAAGTTTGGGATACACTTCAATTTCCATACTCACTCTGTAAGAGCAATGAATTAAAATTTCCATGTCCTCAAACAGACTAAGTTCTTGGAGTACTGGGACTGTGTCTTATTTCAGTAACTATATAGTCCAAAGACCTTAAAGAGTGCCTGGCTCATAACGAACCCTTAATAAATGAGGTGCAAGCTAGATGCGGGGGCTCACGCCTGTAAACCCAGCACTTCAGGAGGCCGAGGTGGGCAGATTGCTTCAGCCCAGGAGTTTGAGATCAGCCTGGGCAACAGGCTGTTACAAAAAAACAGAAAAATTCGCCAAGTGTGATAGTGTGTGCCTGCAGTCTCAGCTACTCCGGAGGCTGAGATGAGGGATCACTTGAGTCCAGGCATTTGAGGTTACAGTGAGCAGTGAGCCATGACTGCACCACTGCACTACAGCCTGGACAACAGAATGAGACACTGTCTCTAACAATAACAACAACCAAAACCAAAAAACAACAGACAAAATCTGCTCTGGTCCTTGCAGGATGTTAAACTATGGAGAAATATAGGCAAGGAGATTTCAATACAGAGACCAGCTTAACAATTAATAGATATCACAACAGCCAAGATGTGGAAACAACCTAAATATCCATTGACAGATGAATGAATAAAGAAAATGTAGTAAATACATAAATGGAATACTATTTGGCCTCAGAGAAGAAGGAAATATGGTGACAACATGGATGAACCTTGAAGACATTATGCTAAGTAAAATAAGCCAGTCACAGAAAGACAAATACTACATAATTCCACTTATATGAGGTCTTTATCTAGGCCTGGTCATTACCCAGAATGATAAGTGAGTATCTAAAATAATCAAATTCATAGAATCGAAGAGTGAAAGGGGAGTTGTCAGGGGCTGGGGGGAAATGCAGACTTATTAATCAACGGGCATACAGTTTCAGTTAAGCAAAATGAGTAAGCTCTAGAGATCTACTGTACAACACTGTACCTATAGTCAACAATAATGTATTGTATACTTAAAAATTTGTTGAAAGGGTAGATCTCATATTGTGTTCTTACCAAAAAAAATAAAAATGAATAGGACAACACATATGAGAGACAACATTAAGCACTAGGAAATGAGGCAAGAAAGGAAGACTTGAGAGTTGAATAACAGAGAACAAGAAAGAAAGGGGCAAAGATGATGCCATTGTCCAACTAGGTAGAACTGATAAAGAAAATAAAAATGGAACGGCCAGAGAGATAGAGGAAAACTAGAAAAATGTGGTCTCAATAGAATTCAAAAGAGGAAACTGAACTGCAAGTGAAAACTTGGAGAGAACAGATGTTTTACAATTCTTTTTTAGAAGTATGGCTGCAAAAAGGTTCAGAGAAATGAGGCAGTAGCAGAGAGGCAGGAAGTCTGAAAAGGTAAGTGTGAGAGGGAGGGGAAGATATTAAAACAAATGAGTAAGTGGACAGAATGATGTAGGAAAGCTGCAATTTTCAACTGGGGTGATTGTTCTCCCCTTCCACCCTCCCTAACCCCCACACTTGACAATGTCTGGAGACATTTCAAATTGCCACAACTGGACAGGGGAAAGGGGAAGGATACTATTTGCCTCTAACAGGTAGAAGCCAAGGATGCTGCTAAACATTTCACAAGGCACAGGACAGTCCTCCACAACAAAGAATTACCTGGCCCCAAATGTCAAGAGTGCCAAGGTTGAGAAGCCCTGTAATAGAGTGTAAGGAATACAGAAAAGAAAGATTAATCAAAGAAGTCAGGCTTTGGCAAGAACATTCAGAGAGGAGGAAGACTTTTTTGGTTCTCTGTCTACTGACCTGATTGAGAATTACAGCAGAATTACAGCTAGAAGTAGCTTTCAGATTTTTCATTTGAAAAGTCTACTGAAGTATAATGACATTCCAACTTCTCCAACAAACACATGAACACAATGTGCATGCCTTACATCATTATCCACCATGTGACTACTGGACACAGATAAACCACTTTTTTTTTTGAGGTAACAGTCAAGGTTTAAAATATGGGATACTTTAAAAAACCTCTACACACAGAGAAATTACACCTCTGTAATTTGTTAAAAGGTTAAACAGTATAAATGATCAGAGTCCATCTACTAGTATAATTTTATTTTATACAATTTCCTACATACCCTTTAGAAACTAATTAAAAATGATCTATATTTTAACAGTTCACAGAGGGATAATATGAGAAAGAGGCCTACAAAGCACTAGTTTTTACAGTTGCAAAGTGATACCGTTACGCAGTATAGGGCAAAAAGGAATTAAGAGAGGTTATAAAAAATGAGCTTGTAACCATGATTAACTTGATCATAAAAATTTCACTTTGTATAATAAGTAGGCATGAAAACATTACTGCATTTACTGACACACTACATGAAAGGTACTGAGAAGAATTTAATCAAAACACTCTCTCCCTCAAATAAGAATTTTCATTCATTTAAATATTTTCTGAGCACCTAGTATGTGCTAAGCACATGGGGATATAACAATGAACAAGACAGGCATAATTTTTCCTCCAAAGGTGCTTCTTTTAAGGGGGGCAGTGGCTCACACCTATAATCCCAGCACTTTCAGAGGCCTAGGCGGGTGGATCGCTTGAGGTCAGGAGTTCAAGACCAGCCTGGCCAACATGGTGAAACCCCGTCTCTACTAAAAATACAAAAATTAGCTGGACGTGGTGGTGCGTGCCTGTAATCCCAGCTGCTCGGGAGGCTGAGGCAGGAGAATCGCTTGAACCCGGGAGGTGGAGGTTGCAGTGAGCTGAGATCGCGCCATGGCACTCCAGCCTGGGCTACAGAGCAAGACTCCGTCACAAACAAACAAGCAAACAATACCCCAAAGGTGCTCATAGTGGGGCAAACTGTTGAACAGGCAATTACAATGTAGGGGAAGCATAAATCAGTGGCGATAAAGACTTCTGGAGCAAAACTGCCCAAGTTTGGATCTGACTCTGCCATTTCTAAACTGTATGATCTTGGGCAATTTTTTTTTTTAATCTTCTTTGTGGCTGATAATACAACTGTTTATCTTAAACGATTCTTGAGAAAGTGACATTTGGGATGATATCCAAGACTGACAATAGAAAGTGTGAGCTTTCCTCTTTTCTTGGTGAAAATAATAGAAGGAGCGAGAAGAATGCCAAAATAATGCTCCAAACAGCAGTGGGAACTAACTATGAGAAGGCCCACGGAGAGAACAAAACTGGATTCCTGAAGGAAATAAAAGTATTTCTATATAGAGTGCAGCAGGCAGTGGCAAGATATGAGCCATAGGATCCAAAAAGGAATTTGGACTTAAAAGAGTTGTTTGTTGTTTTTTAAAAAAATATGCTATTGCTTATTTTTATTTTAGAGACAGGGTCTCATTCTGTCAACCAGGCTTGGAGTGCAGTGGGGTGATCGCTACTCACCATAACCTCAAATTTCTGGGCTCAAGCGATCCTTCCACCTCAGCCTCTCGAATAGCTAAGAACTACAGGTACATACCACCATACCTGGCTAATTTTTAAACTTTTTTTTTTGTAGAGGTGTGATCTCGCTATGTTGCCCAGACTGGTCTTCAATTCCAGGACTCAAGTGATCCTTTTGCCTTGGCCTCCTAAAGTGTTGGGATTATAGGGGTGAGCCACTAAAACCCAGCCTGCTTATTTATTTAAAAACATACACTATATGCTTAAACATATACTATTACTATTGCTTGATTTAAATGATTTTTTTAAATTCAAGAATTAGTAAGCCCACAATAAAGAACACATAAAAAATACAGAAGAGAGATCTTGGCTTAAATAATTAAAAGTTGAAATTCAAAGAGCATTTACTTAATTTTCAAAGTGGATAGAGAAATATAAAATGAGTAATTTTACAGATGTGGAACTAAAGCACAGAAAAGTTAACTGGGCTTTAGTAAAGTAAAAAGCTAACAACCAGACATCAAAACAAGAAGGTTTTTCTTCATAGGCAAATACATCCTTTCAGAATCATCCAATACACAGTATCATATATTTTTAAAGGTATACTCTATTCCTCTTGTCTTCATTTTAAAAATAACTACAAGGCTGGGTGATGTGGCTCATGCCTATAATTCCAGTGCTTTGGGAAGCCAAGATGGGATGAATTGCTTGAGGCCAGGAGTTCAAGACCAGCCTGGGCAACAACACAGCAGGACCCCATCTCTACAAAAAAAAATGTTTACAAATTAGCTGAGCATGATGGCGTGTGCCTGCTGCCCTAGCTACTCAGGTGGCTGAGGCAGGACAATCTCTTGAGCCTATGAGTTTGAGGCTGCGGTGAGCTATGATAGGGCCACTGCACTCCAGCCTGGGCACAGAATGAGTATCCTGTCTCTTAAAAAAAACAAACACTGCAAAGCTGGGTGTGGCAATCTCAATTACTCAGAAGGCTTGAGGATCGCTTGAGCCCAGGAGTTTGGAACCAGCCTGGGGAACATAGCAAGAACGCGAATAGAAAAAAAAAATTTTTTTAACCCTACAAATTACTATGTTAATGTTTAATTTATTTGACCAAAGCCAATAAATGATGAAATATATACAGTTAGTAAATTGTAACTCTTCTTCCCCATCCTTCCTCCCTTATCAGACATTATTGTTGAAGCATGTGACAGAACTATGACTCTGCAATTGAGGCTATGAGACTTCTGTCATAGCTATCACTAACATTCACTACAAACTCATCCAGTCCTGTCACAAAGCTTTCTGCTTACAAGAAAATTCTCATGTCTGGTCTTAAGCAAGCAAAAAATATTTTAGGCAAGTCTGAAGACAAGAATAGGTCTCATGAAGCATATTATAGAATTTTTCTCTAAAGAATAATTCACAATTGAATCCCAGATGAAACAGAGCTAAATGTAATATTGCTCCTTCCGTAAAGGACTACAGCCAGGAGACTGACATAGTTTTTATCTAAATGAAAATGTCTAGGTAATAATGAGGGGCAAGCAAAAAACAATGTCTGATCTCACTGGTTTTTCCATTTTTACTTTAAAGACAACACCACACGTCATGTTTATTTAAAAAATGGCTTACAATTAGCAGAACAGAAACTCTTTAAAAAACTGCTTTCAAAGCACTCTTTCATGTTACTATTTCATCTTAACTCACTTACTGAATACCTATTACTTGTTGTGTGACACTATTAGACACTGTGCGACATCCCGTACACTTTGGTTCAAACCATACAGTCATGTAGAGGAGTCAGGCATACAAGCAATTATAATACAGGGCAATAAAGAATAGAAGTGTAAAGTTCTAAAAGAACATATGACTATTGTGCAAAGTTCCAAAAGAATGTATGACTGTTGGTAAAGGTATCATAACTTGATCTTGAAAAATAAAGAGGACTGTATCAATCAAGAGATTTTGGGCCAGGTGCAGTGGTTCACACCTGTAATCCCAACACTTTGGGAGACTGAGGTGGGAGGATCACTTGAGACCAGGAGTTCAAGACGCCTGGGCAATACAGGGAGACCCTGCCTCTACAAATAATTTTTTTAAAGTAGCCAGGTGTGGTGGCTACTTCTCAGAAGCCTGAAGCAGGAGGACTGCTGAACCCAAGAGGTCAAGGTTGGAGTGAGCTGTGATTGTATCACTGCACTCCAGCCTGGGTGACAGAGCGAGACCCTGTCTCAAAAAAAAAAAAAAGAGATTTTTGATGGCAAATAACTCCAAAGAACTGTCTGAAACATTAAGAAAATTATCTGTCATGAGAAGTCCTGTGGTGGGGATGGCTCCAGGCCCAATAAAATATGTGGTTAAATGATGTTACCAAGGATCCAGATACCCTCTACCTCTCTGATCTGCCATCTTCAGGAAGTGCTTCATCCCTTGTGATCCCAAGACAGCTGTCGGTAGCAATAGGGGCCTTGTGTTCCCTTGTTCACATACAAGAGAGGAAAGAATCTTCTCCCCCAGAAACAGAATGTCTACTTCCCTTCAAATCTGATCGGTACAAATAAGAGTTTACAGGGAAATGCCATGATTTGACTGGTTTGAACTAATGGAACTCTACTACTGGAGGTGGTGACAAATCAGCTTCTCCAAGTCTGCTGCATGCATGAACAAAAGCAGATTTCTGTTAGGAAAGAAGAGAAAAGTAGACATTAGATGGGCAGCTAACAGAATAGGCAAAGAATAAGAACTCCAAACAATGGGATAAACACACACAAGACAGAGGCACAGGGAACAAGAAACAGCATGGCTGGAGTGACAGGAGACCTAAGGTTGAACACATTCTATAAACTCTTGTGAGTCTGGACTTTATCGACAAGGGAAGTTAACAAAGGTATTTTAAGTAGAGAAGCAGCATGCTCCAATTTTTTTTTTTTTTTTTTTTTTTTTGAGACAGAGTCTAGCTCTATCACCCAGGCTGAAGTGCAGTGGCGCAATCTTGGCTCACTGCAACCTCCGCCTCTTGGGGACAAGCGATTCTCCCGCCTCAGCCTCCCAAGTAGCTGGGATTATAGGCACCTGCCACCACACCAGATTTTTGTATCTTTAGTAGAGATGGGGTTTCGCCATGTTGGCCAGACTGGTCTTGAACTCCTGACCTCAGGTGATCTGCCGACCTCAGGTGATCCGCCCACCTCAGCCTCCCAAAGTGCTGGGATTACAGGTGTGAGCCATCGTGTCTGGCCTGTTTTTTAAGAACATAATTGTCATAGTAATATAGAGAATAGCCAGAGATGGAGAGGTACAGTGGGAGAACAAGTTGCAGAGACTTAGCTGGCAGGCTGTTTAATACGTAGTCCAGACTAATAAGGGAGTGGCAATAGAGAGGGGAACAATGGAGTAAAAAAATACATACAAGGTAGAAAAGCTTCAAGATTTCCATACCTATTTTAACAGATGAGAAAATTAATCTTCAGATAGGTTAAGTGACTTGCTTTAAGATCATAAAACTATAAACATCAGTCAGAATCTAAATGGAGGTTTGATTCCCAGTCTGGTGTTCTATCACAACTATATCTAAAAACCCCAACGATGCTCTAAAAGGGAACTATTTTGAATCCTGTAACTTAAAGAATGTTCTGTGTATTGGATTAAAGTGTTTCCTAGCTATTCCAAGTGTCCCCATCTATTTCAATCTTAACATAATGCTCACATGTCACACAATGACATGGATTTAATGTCAATTTATAATACTAAGTATATTATGTTTCTAAAGTTACTATATTATTTGAAATAGTAAGGGTATCTGAAAGATTCAATTTGTGATGTCAAATTTACAAACTGTCCAAAATTTTAAAATTAAAAAAACAAAAACAAAAAACCACCACAGCGTGGTGGTTCTTAACTTTTGAACTTGTTCTGCAAATAAGTGCTGAATGTTCAAATTTCATTATAAATCTGGAATCAGCAGACACTTGAAAAGTTTCGTTGAAATTATGCCTCAGCTGGGCATGGTGGCTCACACCTATAATCCCAGCACTTTGGGAGGCCAAGGTTGGAGGACTGCTGGAGTCTTGGAGTTCGAGACCAGCCTGGGCAGCACAGTGAAACCCCATCTCCAGAAAAAGTACAAAAGTTAGCCAGGCATAGTGGCACATGCCCATAGTCCCAGGTGCTCAGGAGGCTGAGGTGGAAAGACTGCTTGAGCCCAGGTAGTTGAGGTTCTGGTGAGTCGTGATTGCACCACTGCAGCTTAGGCGACAGAGCAAAAAGCCTCCTTCTGAAACTTTGGATTCTGATAACTAACTTCCACTAGCATTCACCCAAAAAGAAAACTGGGCCAGACATGGTAGCTCACGCCTATAATCCCAGCAATTTGGGAGGCTGAGGCGGGTGGGTCACCTTATGTAAGGAGTTTGAGACCAGCCTGGCCAATGGGGCGAAACCCTGTCTCTACTAAAAATACAAAAATCAGCCAGGTGTGGTGGCGCGTACCTACAGTCCCAGCTACTTGGGAGGCTGAGGCAGGAGAGAATCACTTGAACCTGGGAGGCAGCAGTTGCAGTGAGCCAGGATCACGCCATTGCGCTCCAGCCTGGGCGACAGAGCAAAACTCTGTCTAAAAAAAAAAAAAAGTCAAAAGAAAAACTGTTACCTCACTTTAATAATGATACTATACCTGTTTTAGAAAAAGTCACTTGCCTAATTCTTCTAGAGTGGTGAACTTTGATTTTGCTTTATTACCATTGTACCAAGACTGGGTTAACAGGGAAAATGGTTTTAAATAAAGCCTAGGCAACACTGCAAGGCCCTGTCTCTCACAACAAAAATTAGCCAGGCATGGTGGCACGTGCCTGTATTCCCAGCTACTCGGGAGGCTGAGGCAGGAGGCTTGCTGGAGCCCAGGAGGCCAAGGCAGCAGTGAGTCATGACTACACCACTGCGCTCAGCCCGCTGTCAAAGTGAGACTCTGTCTCAAGAAAATTAAAAACTGGTAAAATAAAAATAAACATTATTTCCATTAAAAAATTATATAATAATATGTTTTTTACTTTACTGGGTTAAACCTTACTCTTCTGCTTCTTGATTCAATTAGCAACTTCACTGAATGCCCCTGTGCCAGGCACAGTGCTAGATACTAGAAATACAAATGTGAGCCAGTTGTACTATAGTTATTCAGACATACATCTGCATAATTATTTGAGTAATGTCAGTCTTCCCCACTAAATAACTATAGTATTATTTTTATCAATCAAAACAGGTCTGTAAATGTACAAAGATGATGCCTAAAACATCAACTTCATGATAATATATTATTCTGTCAATGACTCCAGGATTCTCTCACTCACCAGGCTAGAAATTCTTTCTTTTCAGCACCCACAAATGATTTTTCTTAAAATACACCTGTTAAAACACTCAACAAACCAGGAATATAAGGAAACTACCTGAACATAATCAAGGTCTTATATAAAAAACTCATGTTAGTATCATATTCAACAGGGAAAGACTCAAAACGTTTCCTCTAAGATCAGGAACAAGCCAAGGATGCCTGCTTTTACCACCTCTAGTCGACACAGTACCGGAAGTCCTAGCTGAGATTAGGCAAGGAAAAAAATAAAAGGCATCCAAATTCGAAAGCAAGAAGTAAATTAACTGTTTGCAAATGACACGATCCTATATGTAGAAAACTCCACAAAAAAGATTCCACACACAAAAAAACTATTAGAACTAATAAATCAGTAAAGTTGTAGGATACAAAATTAACACACAAAAATGAGTTGCATTCTTAAACATTAACAATGAACAATCCAAAAGAGAAATTAAGACAAGAATCCTATCTACAATCACATCAAAAAGAATAAAATACTTAGGAATAAACTTAGACAAGGAGACAAAAGACTTTTACACTGAAAACTAAAAAACACTGCTGAAATAAAGACACAAATAAATGGAAAGATATTCCATGTTCATGGACTGGAAGACAGTATTTAGATGTCAACATTACCCAAAGCAACCTAGAGATTCAATACAATTCCTAACAAAATACTAATAGCCTATTTTTTGCAGAAATAGAAAAACCCATCCTAAAATTCATATGGCATCTCAAGGAATCCCAAACTACCAAAACAATCTTGAAAAGAACAAAGTGGAGTCTCACACTTCTTGATTTCAAAAGTTACTATAAAACTACAGTAATTAAAATAGAGTGGTATTGGCATAAAAACAAACTTATGGACCAATGGAATAGAATACACAGCCCAGAAATAAACCCTCAAACTTGTGGTCGAATAATTTTCAACAAAGGTGCCAAGACCATTTAATGGGAAATGGACAGTTTTCTCAACAAATGGTAATGCAAAAACCACGTATATGGTAATAGATATCCACACATAAAGACCTAAATTAAGAGCCAGAACTATAAAATTCTTTAAAAAAAAAAAAAAAAAAAAAAAAAGGCTGGGCACAGTGGCTCACACCTGTAATCCCAGTACCTTGGGTTGAGGCGGGAGGACCACTTGAGTCCAAAAGTTCGAGACCAGCCTGGGCAACATAGTGAGACCCCATCTCCTCAGAAAATTTTAAAAACTTAGCCAGGCGTGGATGTACGCACCTGTAGTCCCAGCTGTTCGGGAGGCTGAGATGTGAGGGCTGTTTGAGACCAGAGTTCAAGGCTACTGTGAGCCATAATCACACTAGTGTACTCCAGCCTTGGTGACAGACCCAGAACCTATCTATCTTTAAAAAAGAAAGAAAACATAGGGGAAAAGCTTCCTGACACTGGATTTAATAATGATTTCTTGGCTATGACACCAAAAGCATAAGCAACAAAAGAAAATCTAGGTAAGCTGGATTTCATCAAAATTAAAAACTGTGTGTACATCAAAGGACGCTATCAACAGGGTGAAAAGGCAGCCTACAGAATGGGAGAAAACATTTGCAAATCATGTCTGATAAGGGATTGATATTCAGCATACATAAGTAACTTCCACACTCAACAACAAAAAAAAATCCTAATTAGAAAACAGGGAAATAATGTGAATATTTTTCTAAAAAAATACAAAAGATCAATAAGCACATGAAAAGATGCTTAACATCACCAATCATTTTTAAAAAATGCAAACCAAAAACACAATGAAATATCACTTCATACTCATCAGGATGAATATTAGGAAAAAAAAACCCAAACAGCAAATAACAAGTATTGGTGAAGATGTAGAGAAACTGGAACCCTTGTGCACTGCTGGTGGGGTTGTAAAATTTTCTGGATATAAAATTCATAAAATAAATGAAAGCAGAGACTCAGATATTTTAACATCCATGTTCACAGCAGCTTTATTCACAACAGTCAAAATGTGGATGCAACTTAAGTGCCCATTGAGGGGAACTTAACAAAATATAAAAATAACATACAATGGAATATTATTCAGCCTTAAAAAGAAAGCAAATTGTGACACATGCTACAATATGGATGGACCTTGATGACATTATACTAAGTGAAATAAGCCAGATATAGAAGGACAAATACTGTATAATTTCACTTATACGTGGTACTTACAGTAGTCAAAATAAAAGAGACAGTAGAACTGTGGGTGCCAGGGGCTGGGGGTAAGGGAAAATGGACAGTTTCGGTTTAGAAATATGTAGTCATGAGCCTAAGAAAACTCCAAATGAAAGAATTCTACAGATGGATGGTGGTGATGGCATGGCTACACAACAATGTAAATGTACTTATGCCACAGAACTATACACTTAAAAATGGTTAAGATGGTAAATTGTATGTGGATTTTACCACAATTAAGCCCACAGATATCTGCTATCCAAATCCTTCCTACTGACTTTATCCGGGTCTAAGATCTCCTATTTGGGTTACTACAGCAGCTACTGTCTTCCTTGGTTCATTACATTCTCTCCTCACTCTAACTTAACCTGTAGATCATTAACAGGTTTACCTTCCTGGTTTACCACATTAATCCCTGGCCTCCAAACTTTCAAAGGCTCTCTATACCTTGCACAACAGGATAAAAGTAGAAATCTCCTCAATTCAGCACTCAAACTCTTCTACAGACAAATAGCTTTCCAACTGACTAAAGTTTCCTAACGAAAACATTCTCCTCAGGAAATTCAGTTGTCAGCTCATCCTAGTCTCCTTCTATTTCCCTCCCCCTAAGCTAATCTTCACTTTACACTCTTGCTTTTTCCTCACAAAGTAACTGCTACAATCTCTCGGTAAATCTAAACTTTCATAGGCCAGCTCAAATCCGAAGTTTCCCAAGTTCTTTGGACTCTTGGGGTCTCACTCATCTCTCTCTACCCTGTATACCAACAGCATTCTTTGCATTAGTAGAACTCACTAGATTGTCTTCGAGACTCATGTTGGTACACCTGATCTTTCCAATAAGAACTTGAGGGAAAAGTCTATATGTTAATGGCAAAAACTGCAGTTACTTTTGCACCAACCTAATATTATGTTTCTTTCCTTTCTTCCACATCATTCATCTAATGCAAAACAAAAAGCAGACCTTCAACAGTCACCTATGTAATTTTGGATGTGTGAGCTTCCGTGACTAGAATCTGAAATCAGAATAACTTTGGCATTACTGCACTTCCGAAGGTTTACCTGAGACACACTATAAAAATGCTGTGACTCAAGATGATACCTGGAAACTAGGTAGTGTAACCTAGAAATCAACACAGGTGCTTTAAATCCTAAAATCAGAGTCTGATAGAAAAACCTTGTTTAAATGCTGGTGTTGGGACACAAAACAATACAGTAGTCAGGTTTTGTGGGACAGAATATTGACCTATGAGTTTTACTGAATTCATGCAAGAATGAGCCATGCTAAAACTGGGTGAAAATGTAGTCATGAGCCTAAGAAAACTCCAAACGAAATATCACTCCGTTTTTATTAAGTTCAGGTTAGGAAAAAAAAAAAATCTTCATCAGTTACTTGAAGTAGCTGTCAGAATGAGACAGAGGCTCTCATTTTCGCTTTCAACTTTATTACACCAAAACCCTATGGATAGGGGTAGGTAGTGAATGGTGAAGAATGCAATCAATGAAAAGTAAGCAGCTCAGCAGTGTAGTAACAATGAGCTCTCTAAATGGGGTAATGGGGTGTAGAGGCCTACATCTTAGTTTTGGTCTAATCCATCGCCAGCTGTAGGATCCACAACAAGTCACTCGCCTCTCTGGGTCTGGTTTCCCGGCTCTAAAACAATATTCACACCTTTAGATCTCTAAAAGTTTTTCTGACTCCAAAATTCCATGACAAGTCTAATAACAGTTGCTATTAACAACGTATGATTCTTGCAAAGCAATTTCAAGTCTTTCTTCCACATTTCAGGAAGAAAGCAATTCATTTCAGCAATCTAAAGGAAACAGATGCTATTAGGGACAAAAGATTGTTAGTTGACCAGACCGGGCGCGGTGGCTCACGCCTGCAATCCCAGTAGTTCGGAAGGACGAGGCGGGCGGATCACCAGAGGTCAGGAGCTCGAGACCAGTCTGGCCAACATGGTGAAACCACGTCTCTATTAAAAATACAAAAACTAGCCGGGCGTGGCAGCGGGCGCCTGTAATCCCAGCTACTTGGGAGGCTGAGACAGGAGAATCGCTTGAACCTGAGAGGCGGAGGTTGCAGTGAGTCGAGATCGCACCACTGTTCTCCAGCCTGGGTGACAGAGCGAGACTCCGTCTCCCCCCCCCCAAAAAGGTTGTTAGTTGAAAAAGCTAAGTAATTCTGTAAAAATGTCTACTTTCTCATTACAGTAAGATGTTTTCGCAGAGTTAACAGTGCTCTGGTGTAGATAACCAAGACTGCTTCTGTAAATTAGGCCTACTCCAGAGTACTTATTATCTGTGCTGGTATGTGAAGACGTGCAATTGTAGTTCACAGGAGAAACAACACTCCTCAGAGTTTCTTGAAAAACGGTGAGAAAGTTCTCACCCTCGGGGTAAAGCTAGCAAACACTGTGCAAATAAGGTACTGAAATATGCACACTTTTTGCCATTCAAGTAGTCCAACAAGCACAGCCTCCTCTTCTTTATCAAACACTCGGTATTGTCTCCCTCCCAACCTGTCAAAGCTCAATTCCAGGTTTATCCCGCAATAGTAACTTACCCGGACAATCTAACTTCCCCTGGGAGTAGCAGTCCTCAGGCCTGCTCCCTTCCCAGACCCCGCCGGCCACTCTCACGCCCACCCCTGGCGGTCGCAACCCCGCACCCGGGTAAACACGCGCCCCCGTCTCGGGAGCGGTTTCTCAGCGTCCTGGGAGCGACGGGTCCCGCCCCTCGGCGCCCGGAGCCCAAAGCCGGCCGGGCTGCCGTCGCGACTCCCTCGGGCCGCTCTCCCCGCCCCGAGCGCCACACCTCGCGCCCCTGCCCCAGGGACGGCGGCGCGCTCCAGCCCGCCCCTCGGAGCGCACAGAGACCGGCCAGTCCGGCGCCGCCGCGCCTCAGCCCCAGACGGACGACTGGCCCCTCCCCGCCCGGCGCCCCAGCGCCTCCCGCGGCGGCTTGGCCCCAGCCCCGGCGCCCCCACGCCTAAGAACAGCCCCTTCCTCTCCCGGACGCCCCGCGCCACACCGGACACAGCCTCGGCTCCACAGCCTCAGAGACACCAAGGGACACTCACCCCGGAGGCTCCTCCCGCCGCTGCTGCTGCCGCTGGGACCGCTGCCGTCGCCTCCGCCGCCGCCGCCACCAGCACCGCCGTCCGCACCGGCGCCAGCACCCCCGGCCATCCTCCTCCCACCGCCGCCGCCGCCGCCCTCTCCTCTCCTGTCAGTGGCTCAGGCTCCGGGACTGCTCCAGGTTCCCCTCGCCGCCATTTTGACTCCTAGACGGAGCAGGAGGGGCTCGGTTCGGCGTGGCCCTGGGGCGCCTGCGCGGCGCTGCGGAGCCGGCCGGAGCCCCCGCCCTCCCCTGCCGTCGTCCCGCTCAGGGTCACGTGGCCCGACGTCGCCGCGCGAGTCGGGCCGCGTGGGGGGGCGGTGCGTTCGCTGGATCCATGGGAGCGGAGTGCGCGCGCATTATTTTTGCTCGTCGGCTGGGAGCCGGGCGTCGGGTCGCTGGGAGTTTGCCTCTTGTGGCAGCATCCTGCTTAGTCCAGCGAATTGTGACACATTATTAAATGTATCAGAATATAAGAACTGTGTCACTACTACGTCACCAGATGGCCATTTCCACGAATTCATGTTTCCGTTCGGCGGCCGGCGTCCCTCGGGTGGTCGCATGCAATGAGTGCATCTTTCTCGAGAACAACTCTTCCGCGGAAAGTCATTGCTGACAGTCCTGGCATTCCGGTGGCTGCTTCTTGGCAGTGAGCACTTGTCTATCGTAAGCACTTGTCTGCATGGTACTTTTACAGGCACCACCTTGCTACTTGTGTAGTAGGTTAAAAAATAATCTTTAAGACACTGAAAAGTTTTCCTTAACAAGATACCCCTGTAAACAAAGGACAAAATTGATGAAAACACACAGTCGCCACGTGGGAGAGCCAAGTCGCTCTTCCCTAGATGCCCCTTGTTTGGGGGTTTGCAATAATTTCAGCGATGCAATAACAAAAATACTGTATTTATGGGGCACTGTCGTTTTCCAGAGAGATCCATGGTTTCATTTGAACGCCAAAGCCACCCTTTGTGGTAGTCAGGATAGGTGTTTTTATTGCTGTTTTACAACCAAGGAGACAGGCTCAGAAATACTAACAAGTAGGCAAGCCAAGATCAGAACCCAGGCATTCTGAACCCAGTGAGGAGGCACCGTTACACCTCCTTTTCCTCTGATAGACATTAGCAACTCTGGGAATTTATTTGAAAGTATTGTATTTGCATTTTCAATCTCTACCCATTGTTTAACAAGTTTTGTGTCACACAGTTTTTTGTTGTTGTTGTTCTGAAACCACCTCTAAGCTTCAAAGGATAAGAGCAATTTGGAATTTTGTGATGTGTTTTTAACCATCTCTTGACCCTCCATTATTTTATGCTTTTCATATTCAGTTGGAGACAATATCATTGTTGTTTTCCTCTGGACTTCCTTCAGATTTGTATTTTCCTCACCCTCATTCTTCATCACCTTACTTCCTTGAAAAGGATAGCTCTTTCCAATTTGTATTACTTCATTTTCTTTACCCATCTCACCCTTTTCACCCTCTTACCCAATCCTTGAAGGTTTGGAGATTGTAGCAGAGATTGTAGCAGTCCCTTGCCTGAAATTCCCCTCTAGCTGGTAAGGGTCACTTCAGTTGAACATACAGCCTCAGGGCGATAGACAAGAAATGCATGGAAAAGTGAGAAAATATAAAAGAAATAGGTCCATCTAATTGGAGCCAATGATTACCTCTGAGTGTCCACCTCTTGTTCCACACTTTTATACTTCCCCAAAGGCGTAAGTGAACCTTATCTAAATTCAAGCCATTTACTGTTATTTTCCATCATTTTACCTTTGTCTTAATTTGCTAAATACAGTTAACACTTGAACAACACGGGTTTGAACTGTGCGGATCGATCAATGCAACCTGGTACATGGGATTCTAAACACCGTATTGAGAGGGCCGACTTTTCTTATACTCACATTCCACAGGACGGACAGGCAGACTTGAGTATGCTTGGATTGGGGTATATGTGGTGGGTCCTGGAACCAATCCCACGTATATAGTATATGGGGGATGACTGTATTGCATTAACTGAAAGAGCTATGATTAGCAAACTAAAAAGCGGTGTGTAAACACTGCTTCTTTATAATTTATGGAAATGTTAAATAAGATCAGTCCCCACTGTTTACACTTATTACTAACCTTTATTACTTGACTTTGCTTCTATTTCCTAGCCACAATTTAAAAAACAAAATTAAAATGGTATCAACAACAATAGAATTCTAAGTAATTTCAGGATAACACTTTTTCTAACAGCCTTTGATGTGGAAATCTAAAACTTTTTGAAAAGCCAAGTAAGGTCTGCTGGTTGCACCTTGTCCTTTTGTCTATCTGCACAGCTGGAGACTTCTAGTAGACTGTTTGGATCTAGAAACCATTTGTAAGTGATCCATGATTTTTTTCTACCCTTTAATTCATTCACTGTTTCCTTATTATACCATTTAACTGTACTTTTGAGATCCTGAATTAGCTCAGTTTACACACTCATCAGAATTTAGATGTTTATTTTAGTTCAGTCCGATACACATTTAAAGTATCCAGTACCATGTGCCAAGCACGGTACTACATGCTGGGGGTAAAAAATAAATGGATCTTTGTACTTAAGGAGCTTAGAATCTAAATAAGAAGACAGAGTGAAAAACATTTTTTTAAGGCTAGTGTTAAGATGGTACTAAGTAGTGGTTAACAGCATGCATTCTAGAATCAGATAGATCTGGATGGCCATATGACACAAATAGGTCAACCAGAACCTTTTCTGGAAATTTTTGCCACACTCTCAGAGGAGATGTTTCTTCTTACTCTATTTCTCCGGGATTATGACTCGAAAGGACATGTAAATTGGCTTTGTTTGCCAATGAGGAGAAAGCCATGTGCGGTAGGAAAGGAGGAAGACCATAAACAAAGAAACAAAGTGAGAGAAAGGAAAACCATGACATCATTTGAATACCTGGGCCTACCTGGGCCTGAAACCAACCCATCCCTGGTCTTTTCATTTTTAGAAGCCATTAAGTTGCCCTAACACCTCTTTTTATCTTAAGTTAGTTGGAAATGGGTAAAAACAGTGAACTTCTGTGGCTTTCAACCAAAAGTCCTGAATTTATGTTTTGTTCCTTTCTCCACTCCCTCCATCAGTGAATGGCATCCCATCCACCTGGTCATCTATGTTGAAAATAAGAGTAATCAACATTTCATGGTATATTCCATGGTCTGTCACTCCAGTCTTTTCCTTCCTTTGTACCCCCCTTTTTTACCACACATAACCATCCACTGAAACCCATTCCCACACTCATCTTCCTGGAAATACAGGATGGAAGCTGGGTTTTTGAAATTAAGGAGAAAAGACAAATTTTATCTCCCCCTATTTCTCTGCATGTAACAATCCTGTTTTCATGCATTTTTCTGAATTTCCTGAAGTCTAAAAGGTGAAGAGGATTGAAAACCCCAGAACAGTGATAAGTACCTTGTAGATGCTTAATTAAGAAGTGCTTAATAATTATTCAATTTTCAATTTTTTTTTTTCTTGAGACAGAGTCTTGCTCTGTCACCCAGGCTGGAGTGCAATGACGCAATCTCAGCTCAGTGCAACCTCCGCCTCCTGGGTTCAAGTGATTCTCCTGCCTCAGCCTCCCGAGTAGCTGGGATTACAGGTGCGTGCCACCATGCCTGACTAATTTTTTGTATTTTTAGTAGAGACAGGGTTTCACCATGTTGGCCAGGCTGGTCTCAAACTCCTGACCTCGTGATCCGCCCACCTTGGCCTCCCAAAGTGCTAGGATTACAGGCGTGAGCCACTGCACATGGCCTTAATAATTATTAAATTAACAAATAATACAATTAATAAAGGTTTTAGAAAATAATATTGGAAAATATTCATTGCCTTGGGGAAGAAAAGACAAGCAAGTCACAGAAAACATTAATCATGAAGACAAGATTCATAGATTCAACTGTATTTAAAATATGAACTTAAGTGCATCAAAATGTACTGATATGGTTTGGATGTTTGTCCCCTCCAAATCTCATGTTGAAATGTAATCGCCAGTGTTGGAAGTGGGACCTGGTGGGAGGTGTTTGGATCATGAAGGCAGATCCCTCATGAATGGCTTCACACTATCCCCTTGTGATGGTGGTGGGAGGCAGACAGGTTCCTAGGTGGGAAGGGGTGGGTCCCTGGTGAAACCCCACCTTCAAACCAGAGATGGCCTAAAGCCTGGGGGCCAGGCTGCCAGTTCCCAGTGAAGTCCACGACCTGGAGTGAGAACTTCCTTGATGCCTTTCAGCCAATAAAGTAGTGCTTTTTCCAGGCCCGCCCACAGACCAATTAGCATGCATTTCTTCCTGCCCATGGACCAATCAGCATGCACTTCATTCTGAGCCAATAAAAACCCCCAGACCCAGCCTAACTCACAGACTCATAGAGTCTACGCACTTTGGGTCTTGGCTCCTCTGAGAGCTGTTTGGTTGCCCAAAAAAGCTCTTCTTAAGTTTGTTTCCCCTCCAGTTGTCCATGTAACTTATTCTTCCTTGACATGGGACAAGAACTCGGGAACCTTCGAGTGGCAGGAGTGAAAGGAGCTGTAACACTTTCCTGACTGGCTAGCTGACCTGTGGATGGTGACATACTCCCAGACTGTAGGAGTGAAGAGTGGCGAACCTTCTGGGGCCCAGACCTGGGGATTCCCCAACCCAGAGTTGTAACACTATAGCCCTCCTGCCCTCTGCAGGTGCTGGGCTGCCACCTCACATGATAGGAAGCAGTGGCAGGGCTGGGCCAGCCCAGGAGCTGCAGCCTGGAGTGGGGTGGTGGGATTGAAAGAGCTTTAACACAAATGGGCTGAAACATGCCCCCCTGAAACACACCCCTCTGCTTGCCATGCTGTGGGTGACAAGGAGGAGAGAAGAGCTGCAGCCCTTCTGGGAGCCTAGACCTCAGGGCTCCCCAAACTAGGGCTGTGACATGCTGTAACACTCCCTTTGGGGCTCTGTGGTTCCTGGTGTTTCCAAGCTTTTGGGTGCCACTGTGTTTGCCTTGTCCAGATGCTGGTGCCCACAGTAGAAGCCGCTTGTGGTATGTCTGGTCCAGCTGCAGCCTCACATGGAGCTGGTGTCTATGCCAGTGCCTGGAGCTGCCCACCTCACCCCAGCAGCCAGTGTACCTGGCTGTGTGCAGTGGCCAGATCCCATGCTGGCTCACTCACATACCCCTCACTGCTCTGCGCCTGGCTCGCCCTTGGCAAGCATGGGATCCAGGCTGGTAGCACAAGCCGAGCGCAGCCTGCCAGGCTGAGTGGGCAGAATGAGCCTAGCAGGTGTGAGCAAAACTCAAGCAGAGGTGCTGCCGGCCACAGAGGTTTCCAGCTGGCGAAGCAACACCTGAAGGATCCTGTGACATTTTGGGATGAGTGAGTTCTCTGAATTCACTGGTGATCTGGTTGTTTAAAAGTGTGCACCACCTCCCACCGACCAGTCCATCTCTTGCCATGTGACACTGCTTGCTCTCCCTTTGCCTTCCACCATGATTATAAACTTTCTAAGGTCTCACCAGTAAGGCCTGCAGAACTGTGAGCCAATTAAACCTCTTTTTAAAATAGATTACCCAGACTTAGGTATTTCTAGCAACACAAAAACGGACTAACACATACACAGTGGGGGAAAAAGACAAGCCATACAATGGAAAAAGATATTTGTAATACATAAAACCAAAAAAGAGCTTATATCCAGCATATGTAAAGAATGCTTACAATTTAGTAAGAACAAGACAACCAAACAGGAATGACAAAAGACTTGAACGGCTGAGTGCAGTGGCTTATGGCTGTTATCCCAGCAGGTTGGAAGGCCCAGGTGGGTGGATCTCTTGAGCCCAAGGGTTCAAGACCAGCCTGGGCAACATGGCAAAACTCTGTCTCTATGAAAAAAAGACAAAAATTAGCTGGGTGTGGTGGCATGTGCCTGTAGTCCTAGCTATTCAGGTGGCTGAGGTGGGAGGATCATTTGAGCCTGGGAGGTGGAGGTTGCTGTGAGCTGAGATCACACCACTGCACTCCAGCCTGGGTGACAGAGTAAGACCGTCTCAAAAACAAACAAAAAAAACTTCAGACAAATTAAATTTAATAGAGTTTACTTGGTTAAAATGATTTGTAAATTGGGCAGACCCCTTAACCAGAAGAGGTTCAGAGTGACTCTAGAGCTGCTATGCAGTCTGAGAATATTTATGGATAGGAAAAGGAAAGTGATGTACAGAAAATGGAGGTGAGGTACTAAATAGAGCATCCTTGACATAAGTAATGCCATCTTAGAAAAAGACTCCATCATATATTTTAAAAGGCATCATGCCAACAGGGTACAGATGTTCACACAGAGACAACCCCCAACCAGATTAGAGTGTAACCCTTTACTATCAGCCCTCACCAGATGACTCAAAGACTTTAGCAGGACTTGATCAGCTCTAGATGGCCATTTTTTTCTTTATTTTTCTTTTTTTTTGAGACAGAGTCTCACTGTGTTGCCCAGGCTGGAGTGCAGTGGCGTGATCTCGGCTCACTGCAAGCTCCACCTCCCGGGTTCACGCCATTCTCCTGCCTCAGCCTCCCGAGTAGCTGGGACTACAGGTGCCTGCCACCACGCCCGGCTAATTTTTTGTATTTTTAGTAGAGACGGGATTTCACCATGTTGGCCAGGCTGGTTTCAAACTCCTCACCTCGTGATCGACCCGCCTCATCCTCCCAAAGTGCTGGGATTACAGGCGTGAGCCACTGCGCCCGGCCTAGATGGCCATTTTAACAGATACTGTCTTTCTGTTACTCGTGGTCAGCACCTGGCATTTGCCTCTGAAGGCTCTGCCCAAATCACAGACTTTTCCTTGAAAGATGTTGATGACTGTCTGGATTAGCTCAGGACATTCTGTTTGTCCGTGTTGCTCTCCTTGTACTGGTTTGTTAACCCCTTTTACTATTTTCTTTTCTCCTGATGTTAAATTTTACTTTGATGTGGAAATTTTAATCTATGACATTTACACATTAAATATGCTAGTATGTATGGTTGCAATATTGACTGACTTGTGGATTGGCTTGAGTCTGTGCCCCCATGGCTCTGACTAGAGTGAACGGGAAGTAATAAGGAGAATGGCCTGTTTGGTTACTCTATTAGCTCATGGCTTTCGTGATTGAATAAGCATCAAAAAATGTTTGACCTTGTAGAAAGACACAAAAGTGCATGGACCTGGTTATGTCTGACCTTGTGCTGTTCATGACAGCTATAGAAACACCTGGACTGGTTACAACTTGGCAGTTGCCTTATTTGAATATGGTTTTAAGAGTTGGACACCTATGCTGGGTGCGGTGGCTCATGCCTGTAATCCCAGCACTTTGGTAGGCCAAGGTGGGCGGATCGCGAGGTCAGGAGATCGAGACCATCCTGGCTAACGCGGTGAAATGCCATCTCTACTAAAAATATAAAAAATTAGCCAGGCATGGTGGCGGGTGCCTGTAGTCCCAGCTACTCGGGAGGCTGAGGCAGGAGAATGGCATGAACCCAGGAGGCGGAGCTTGCAGTGAGCAGAGATTGCGCCACTGCACTCTAGCCTGGGCGACAGAGCAAAACGCTGTCTCAAAAAAAAAAAAAAAAAAAAAAAGAAGGCCACCTATGACTGGCCTGGCCAAAACTCTGTGATTAGTACGAAAGTAGTTTACAATCTGTTTATACATCCAGTCAGGTTACAGTTCACTATGTAGGAGAAACTTTTTTTTTTTTTTTTTGAGACAGGGTATCACTCTGTTTCCCAGGCTGGTGTGCAGTGACATGATTATAGCTCACTGCAGTCTTGACCTCCCCAGCCTCAGATGATTCTCCCAACTCAGCCTCCTGAGTAGCTAGGCCTACAGATGTGCACCACCATACCTGGATAATTTTTGTATTTTTTGTAGAGATGGGGTTTTGTCATGTTGCCCAGGCTGGTCTCAATCTCCTGGGCTCAAGCAATCTGCCCATCTCAGCCTCCTAAAGTGCTGTGATTACAGGTGTGAGCCACCATGTCTGGCCTACGAGAAACCTTTAGGCCCAAGTTAAAATACGTAAGGACGCAGCTTCAGGCTACACTTAATCTAATAATGGATACACATACTGTCTGATTTAACCTCCATATCCACATTCTAAGAGAAATATGCTTTATTTTCCTGAGGCTATGTGGTTAGTAAATGATAGTGCTGGAATTTGACCTTTGATCTTTTGGACCCCAACTGCCAATCTTTTCATGTCAGTATAACAGAAATCCATTGAAGAATATCTAGATGTAATTCAGGAGAAGAAGAGGAATGTGAAATTTAAAAATGAAAAGGTGGCCGGGTGCAGTGGTTCACGCCTGCAATCTTAGCACTTTGGGAGGCCGAGGTGGGTGGATTGGGAGTTCCTGAGGTCAGGAGTTCGAGACCAGCCTGACCAACATGGAGAAACCCCGTCTCTACTAAAAATACAAAAATGAGCCAGGCGTGGTGGTACATGGCTGTAATCCCAGCTACTCAGGCGGCTGAGACAGGAGAATCGCTTGAACTTGGGAGGCAGAGGTTGTAGTGAGCTGAGATCGCACCACTGTACTCCAGCCTGGGCAACAACTGTGAAACTCCGTCTCAAAAAGAAAAAAAATGATGAAAAGATGCCAGGTGTGGTGGTTTATGCCTGCAATCCTAGCACTTTCGGAGGCTGAGGCAAGAGGATTGCTTGAGCCCAGAAGTTTGAGACCATCAGCCTAAGCAAAATTGTGAGACTCTGTCTCTACAAAAAAAAAAAAAAAAAAAATTAGCTGGGCATGGTGGTGCATGCCTGTGTTCCCACCTACTTGGGAGGCTGAGGTGGGAGGATTGCTTGGATCCAGGAGTTCAAGGCTGCAGTGAATGTAAACCAAAAATAAAATTCTAAGGCCTCCCCCACCATCTAAATGAACCCCTCCTCTCTGCCAAGGGCATGCCACAGTTAACCCAACAGGGCAGCCATTAAATCTTAAAGCTCCAAAATAATCTCTTTTGACTCCATGTCTCACATCCAAGACATACTGATGCAAGAGGTGGGTTCCCAAGGCCTTGGGCAGCTATTCTTGTGTGGCTCTGCAGGATACAGGCCCCGTGACTGCTTTCACAGGCTGGTGTTGAGTGCCTGTGGCTTTTCCAGGTGCATGGTGCAAGCTGTTGGTGGATCTAACATTCTGAGTTCCGGAGGATGGTGGCTTTCTTCTCACAGCTCCACTAGGCAGTGCTGTAGTAGAGACTCTGTGTGGGGGCTGCAACCCCACATTTCCCCCTCTCCATTGCCATAGTAGAGATTCTCCATGAGGGCTCTGCCCCTGCAGCAAACTTCTGCCTGGACATCCAAGAGTTTTCATACATCCTCTAAAATCTAGGTGGAGACTCCCAAAGCTTAACTCTTGTCTTCTGTGCACCCACAGGACCAATACCACATGGAAGCTTCCAAGGCTTGGAGCTTGTTCCCTCTGAAGCAATGACTCAAGCTCTACCTTGATCCTTTTTAGCCATGGCTGGAGCTGGAGTGGCTGGGACACAGGGCACCATGTCTTGAGGCTGCACAGAGAAACAGGGTCCTGGGCCCACCCCATGAAGCCATTTTTCCTTCCTAGGCCTCTGGGCCTGTGATGGGAGGGGCTGCTGTGAGGATCTCTGAAATACCCTGGAGACATTTTCCTCATTGTCTTGGCCATTGACATTTGGCCTCTCTTTACTTATGCAAATTTTTGTAGTTGGTGGCTTGAATTTCTCCCCACAAAATGGGTTTTTCTTTTCTACCACATGGTCAGGCTGCAAATTTTCCAAACTTTTATGCTCTGCTTCTGTTTTAAGCATAAGTTCCAATTTCAGACCATCCATTCATAAATGCATATGACTGTATGCTTTCAGAAAAAGCTAGGTCACATCTTGAATGCTTTGCTGCTCGGAAATTTCTTCTGCCAGATACCCTAAGTAATCTCTTGCAAGTTCAAAGTTTCACAGATCTCTAGGACAGGGGCAAAATGCTGCCAGTCTCTTTGCTAAGGCATAGCAAGAGTGGCCTTTGTTTTAGTTCTCAATAAGTTCCTCATCTCCATCTGAGACTATCTCAGCCTGGACTTCATTGTCCATATATCATACTATCAGCATGGTATCATATATCATACTATCAGTATTTTGGTCAAAACCATTCCACAGGTCTCTAGGAAGTTCCAAACTTTCCCACATCTTCCTGTCTTCTTCTGAGCCCTCCAAACTGTTCCAACCTCTGCCTATTACCCAGTTCCAAAGTGACTTCCACATTTTTAGTTATCTTTATAGCAGTACCCCACTCCTGTTACCAATTTTCTATATTAGTCTGTTTTTACACTGCTATAAAGAACTACCTGAGACTGGATAGTTTATAAAGAAAAGAGGTTTAATTGATTCATAGTTCTGCATGGCTGGGGAGGCCTCAGCAAACTTACAATCATGGTAGAAGGCAAAGGGGAGCAAGGGGCATGTCTTCTTATATCATCTTCTATTACTGTTGTGCTTGCAATCCAAGTGTGTTACTGATGTTGCCAGTTGCAGAACTTGAATATGTTTCCCACTTTTGCAACTCTTCTGCTTTTGTTGCTTACTTATCTGAGTATCTCGATCATTGAGGTTGTGCAATTGTAAAGACAGATGCAAATACAAAGAGAAACACTTTGTTCCTCAAAGGCCTTTGGTTCTTTTTTTTTCCTCCCCTATTTTTCAGAGACTTTTGTTCTGAAGCCTTTGGTTCTTGAATCAGAATTAAACATGTTTTTCTAGAGAGGAATGAATTTGAGATATTTGGGGCTGAGGTAGTGCAATCTTAATTCATTATATAATTTTCTAGAACTTTAACACCAGTTTATTTAGAGCATGAATATTTATAAAAATCACATTATAAAAGGTAAGTGGGCGAGGGTGTCTTTCTCATTCATTGTGTACATACAGCTCAGAAAACCTGATCTCTAGGTTATAGCTCTAATTAAGTTCTTTTATATAACTGCAGAAGGAAGTTCTTGCATTGTGGGTCACTGAGAATACATCGAATCCCAGCCCACTAAACCCTTTATTGAAAATTGTAGAGGTTTGAGTTAACAGTGCTAGTCTTTTGTGACTTGCAGAAATTAAACTGAGGAATGTTGTTTGTATTGGTAATTTGAGCAGCTAAAAGAGCTGTCTCCTGGGGTGGGGGTGGGTGGCAGGGAGCTTAATTGTGTTGTGGCTGAATTTGGAGTCACCACTGTCGAAAGTGTTTTAAGGCTTTTGTTACAGAGAAAGACCTAAAATGCTTAAATCTCACTTGAATTGCACTCTCTTCTAAACTTCTCAAGATTAGGATTAAACCAGTCAAGCTTGCCTATTATTGGGCTCTTTCTCACTTTACTTCAGAATTTTTGTTGCTTTTTAAAAATTAAAAATGGGGTATTACCCAAAGAAAAAAGTCTTGACTAATATCGTCTTTCTTAAAGCTCTTTTGTTGTTAGCAATAGAAATGCAGCACCACCTAGTTTAAGCCCAAAGCAGGATTTATCATAAAGTATATAAAGAGAGGCCCAGAACTCAAGGAGAGGAAAGTGTCCTAACTTCAGAATAGGGAGAATTCAAACCAGGGCTTTGAACACAGGCAGGATATTCCCTCTGGTTCTTATCTCTGGTTCTTTGAGCAGCTTGGCTACATTATTAACTCACTGTGGAAGGGCTTTCTTGCTAGGCAGGGAAAAAAAAACATGGCTCCCAAGTTACAACATCCATCCCAACCAACAGACTGGGTCCCAGCCCTCTCTTTGGTCCAATATTTGAGTCAAGTAGTGTAACAACTGTGGCCAGGAAACAGAGCAATGTTGCACTAAATCATTTCTTACAGGACTCGTGTAAATCACAGGTGCTCAAATTATTATCTGGGGATATCTAAGGCAAAATTAGAGTTTACCTGATGTGACTGGGCAGGATGAGCCAAGGGAAGACTGAGAACAAGGAGATGAGGTTAGGGAGGTGGCCAGCCATGGTTCATGCAGGTCCTTGATTGGTTAGGGTAAGATTCCAGAGCACAGTTGCCCAGTGGAAATGTAACATGGGCTGGGCATGATGGTTAACTCCTGTAATCCTAACATTTTGGGAGGCCGAGGCAGGTGGATTGCTTGAGGCCAGGAGTTCAAGACCAGCCTGGGCAACATGGTGAAACATGCCCCAGAGTTAGGAGGCGGGGCCTTTGGGAAGTAATTAGATCATACCACAGCCCTCATGAATAGGATTAGTACCCTTATAAAAGAGGCCCTAGAGAGCTACCTTGTTGCTTCCATCATACGAGGACACAACCAGAACAAGGAAGTGGGCCCTCACTGGACATCAAATCTACCAGCACATTGATTTTGAATTTCTAGCATCCAGAACTGTAAGAAATACATTTCCGTCATTTATAAGCCATCCAGTCTGTTGTATTGTAACAGCCTGAACAGACTGAGACAGTAACAGAAAGGAACAAAAGTAACTGACCTGCTTCTTCATATTCATAAGCATGAAATGACAACCAAGGATCATAAGATACTTGAATAAAACTGGCAAGTTCAAAATAAATAAATAGAATGTACGCTAAAGAAACACAGTTCATGGAATAGAGATAACTTTTTAAAAGTTCAGATTAATATTCTGAAAGAAATCTAAAGTGATAATATCTATAAAATACTAACAGGTGACTGTAAAAGCAAAAAATAGTATGTTTTAAAACTATAATTCTAAAATAAAAAATCATGGGCTAGAAGAAAAAGTCAAGGAAATCCTGCAAAATGTAGAACAAGGGACAAAACGTTGATGAGTGAGAAAAAGGTTGAAAGACAGAGGTGACCCGCTAAGAAGGGCCAGTGTCCGTCAATAAGAATTTTAGGTTGAGAACAAAGAAAACAGAGAAGCAAATAAATAGGAATAGTGCTCCTATGGCTAAAGAACCATGACTTCAGATAGAAAGGTCTTACCCACTGCTAATCCATATGAATGGAAAAATACCCATATCTAACAGTATCCTGGAGGAACGTCACAATTCCAAAGACAAAAAGGAATGCCTAAAAGATTCCCAAAAGGAAAAAAGAGGGTACTCAAAGGAATGACAACTATATTGGCATTATATTTATCGGCTCACTAGATGCTGGAAAAGAAAGGAACAATGCCTTTTGAAAATCTCTGAAGGACAATGATTTTGAGCCCAGAGTTCTATAACCATTCAAATTAGCATTTAAATGGAGACCAATATATATATATTTTGATTTCCAAGGACTGAGGAACTTTATCACCTACAAACCCTTCCTGAAAGAACAGCTTAAGGATGTACTACAGCAAAACGAAAAGAAATCTAAGAAAGAGGAAGATACCAGGCTGCAGGAACAGAGGAATCCAGAGAAACCCTAGAGTGTTACTCGTGCAATAGGCCCCCAAAAGAAATAATGTGAAGACACAGGATCATTGTAGTGGATAAAGTTTTATTACAGTACTAAATTTAAAAATCACAGTATATTTACTTTTCCCTCAAGAGGGTCTGGGCACAGTGCCTCATGCCTGTAATCCCAGTACTTTGGGAGGCTGAGACAAGAGGATGGCTTGAGCCCAGGAGTTTGAGATCAGCCTGGGTGACACAGTGAGACCTGTCTCTACAAAAAAATAAGAAAATTAGCCGTAGTGACAGATAATTACATCACTGTTTCTACTGGGTCCAAACACTCTATTTGACCCTGCCATGAATATTTTTTATATCATCAGCCGACTATAGAAACTTGTTCTTGGTTTTCAGTGTTAAGAATTAACCTATAGACATTTTATGGAAGATTTAATTTGCATTAGAAACAGTGTGCTATAAACTCTGCCAATGCCAGGGCATGTTAAGAGGTATATAAAGTATAGGTAGAGAGGAAGACAAAGGAAAGGAGTAGGGGTGCCAAGTCCCTCACCTTACCCTGCAGAAAAGAGATACTTAGTGTGAGGTGGGGTTGGGGCTCAGGGGAGGGTGGCAGGAGAGTTTAGGAGAGGATAGGACACGTGGGTGGAAAGTGAGGTGAATGAGGGCTGGGAGGTTGCAGGGAGCCCTGAGTGGAAAAGGCGGGGCAGAGCAGGGGGTACTGAACTGAAGAGAGTGGAGCAGAGCAGGGGTGTGCTGGGTGGAAGGGGTGGTGCAGAGCAAGTGGTGCTAAGCAGAGGGGGTGGGGCAAAGCACGGACTGCTGAGTGGAAAGGGCAGTACAGAGAAAGGAGTGGTGAGCGGAAGAGGCGGGGCAGAGCAGGAGGTGCTGGGCAGAAGGGGTGGGGTAGGGGGCGAGGGCAGAGCGCCCCCTCGTGGCTGGGGCGCCTGCGCAAACCAGCTGCCTCACGAGCACTGGAGCTTGCGTTACTTGGCCTCACCTCACCTGTGCTGTCCACGCCTGGCTTTGTCTCACCTGACGCGATATGCCTCTCCTGCGTGGGCGCTGTCCTGCCCGCCGCCACTACCGCCGCTTGGCCCTGCTCGGCCTGCAGCCCGCTCCCCGCTTCGCCCACTCGGGGCCCCCGCGCCAGCGGCCCCTGTCTGCCGCGGTGAGTTGAGGCCCAGCCATCATGGTGGGCGGGAAGCGCGTGGCCCTGGCGGGGCGCCCCGACGGGTGGGGAGAAGGGAGGACACGGCGTGCAGGCCTCGCGTGGGAGGCTCTTGTGGCTTGGTCGCCGTTGGGGGAGGTTCCTGTGGCTTGGTCGCCTTTGGGGGAGGTTCCTGGGAGAGGGTCGCGGTGAGGATGCCGTCGTCGGGCACAGGGGCGGAAAGCCCGGGACCCTGAGGAACGCGCGGGGATTGGGCCTCCTTCGTTGTTACCCTTTACCGGCACCTGGCTCGGGGGCGGGGCTGTGGTTTCGCGGAGGAATGATTTACCATCCTCGGACGTCCTCGGCACTGCGAAGATCTAGCGTTTTCGATAAAATGGTGGAAATCCTGGGCCACATCGAAGTTCCAGAGTGCGAAGGTTGGAACCGGAGACCCCTTAGATGAAAAATGAATTAAAAAAAAAAATCAGGTGATCCATGAATCGATTTTCAGCATTTTAGATTTCACTAGGCGCCTGTTTCTAGGACAACGGTCTAGGTGCTCAAAATGTTTTTTTTAAGCACTTTTTGTTAGGCAGCAAGTCACTGGCCTAGGAAGCCATACTCAGCAGCGCGTGTCATCTTCTCTTCCAGGAAATGGCTGTTGGACTTGTGGTGTTTTTTACGACCTTCTTAACACCAGCTGCATATGTGCTAGGCAACCTGAAGCAGTTCAGAAGGAATTAGATGGAAGATGATGTTGAACAGCTGTTAACGTCCAAAAAACTTTCAGAAAAAGCTGTGTTTTTGTTAACGAGCAAAATTGCCTAGTTGAGTTGATGCAACCATTGTGGTATTCACTTTCCTCATGTTTATGATGAATATTTTGCACTTTTTTAGTACTGTGCATTATATAGATGTATAGTCAAAAATGTTCTGCTTAAGTGTTAAATAAAACGGAAACACTTATTCGTGCTTGGTAATATGTGTGCAGATTATTTTCTAAACATCGTGAAAGCTGATGAAAATTTACCGAGAACTGCTGTGAAAGGTCTGACTTAGTGACTCAGGGAGTGACATTGTTACTATATGGGAGTGAATGTATCTAGTGACATCACCCTTAAAAGATTAGATGTGTAGCTGTGAGGTAATATAAGTTTAGCTAAATGGTTTTTATGTTCTATTAGTACTGCCATGCCACACTTCACAATTTGCTGTGAGAAGTACAACCATTTCTTTGCCTCTTTAAATGACTACACGTCAGAATGTGAAGAATGAGTACATCTCCTATTTTAATGATTTTATTATCTTCTCTTAGTCTTCTGTGAGGTTTGAAGAATCATACACATCTTTGAACTGTCTTAGCTGTTGATGATGCTGTTATCATGGGCAACATAGTTCAACTCTGAGTCTTGGTTTCCTTATCTCTGTAATGGGGACTTAAAATTGCTGTCTTGAAGTGATGTTGTGGAAATAAAACATTGAACAAAGAAAGATAAAGTACCTCTCAACATAGTACCTGAAACAATAGTCAATAAATAGAAGTTGGGCAACCCGCTGGGGTCCCCTTCCGCACTGTGGAAGCTTTGTTCTTTCGCTCTTCGCAATAAATCTTGCTGCTGCTCACTATTTGGGTCCGTGCCGCCTTTAAGAGCTGTAACACTCATGGCAAGGTCTGCAGCTTCACTCCTGAAGCCAGCGACACCACGAACCCACCAGAAGGAAGAAACTCCGGACACATTTGAACATCTGAAGGAACAAACTCCGGACACACACCATCTTTAACAACTGTAACACTCACCGTGAAGGTCTGCAGCTTCATTCTTGAAGTCAGCGGGACCAAGAACCCACCAATTCCGGACACAATAAGTGATTAACAGCAGATATACCAATTGTGAGAAACACATATTCACCTGGCCAAACCCTTGGAGACATGAAGAACAGCAGAAGCGAGACTTTTAATGGCAGACTTGCAAGACTGGCCGTCTGGTAGGCAGGCACACCTGGGGCAGTTACAGCAGGTAATTTATCCCCTAGCATGTAATAAGTCCCTCCCCGAGTTCCTCACTAGTCAAGTACTATGGGGTTACAATCTTCCTGGATGTTGCCTAAGTTTCATTATCCCCCTATAAGGTTATACCCCAGTCCCCTTCCCCACTTAAGTTTTGATTTCCCAATAACAAAACTTTCTTCCCTTTTATGGGCTGATCTCTCCTCTACATTCTGTTTGCTTATTGACCTTCTAGGTGCGTGAGCTGTGTGGTTTGTTACATCCACAGGCTGGCTGCACGTACTTAGATTTATCATGCCTTGAAAGTGGACTGTTTAAAGTGTTTTCTCACACCAATTATTTTATATCTACCTTCGCTAAATATTTCAGGTTCAATAAAAACAGCTGAGGCTTCTGAATTATTGGCAAAATGTCCTTGTGGTTAAGGTTCTTACTCAGGTGAACCTGATGTTCACAGGCTTTATAAATGATTAACAGAAATAATTTTAAATGACAACTAGTTTTGTCTAATATCTTCATTTTTCAGAAGTAATCTAGATAAACTGTTAAAAATAAAAAAAATTAAGTGCATAAAAATAGGATAAATGCTTCCAGGTAAACTTTTTATGTAATTTTAAAATCGTAAAATTATTTTGGATGCTTGTTGAATATTTGGGTCATTTCTAACTAAGAAAGGGTTATAATATGGGAAAATGTATTTCTAAAATTGTAGAGTGGTTTCGTCTATAAAATGTTCACATCTGATAGTTCAGGATTTCTTGCTTCCTAGGTTTTCACTAAAATTTAAGGTTACTAAGAATAAGAATTCTAGTTAATATATAATTCTTATATAATTCTAAAAGTTGTGTTCTTGAGAAAAAATAATTTTGTATAATTTAGAAGTTATTCAAAAGTTAAAAAAGGTAAAAAGAAAATAGGAAGTAAAAGAGATGTGAGAAAAGTTATGAATGTGAATATATTTTTGGTAAGTAAGATTGTTTAAAAATAATAATTTTATCTAAAGATCTTGTGTGGTAAATTTTTGTCTTAAAGTAAAATAACTGGTTATTTTTAAAAAGAACTGTAATGTAAGACAAGTAAGAAAGTAAAAAATGTTATAAATGGGCTGTGTAAGTGGTTATAAGGTATAAGAAACAGAATTTATAAAAGGAACGTTGTAAGTAATTAAGTTGGTTATAATTAAAAAGGAAACCATTATAATAGTCTTTCTAAAGGTTAGCCCCTTACATTAAAACAGGGGTTACTTAAGGTATTGCTTTGCTTTTAGGGAAATTACAAGAGGTTTTGATTTTTAATTATATAACCAATTTCTTTTAAAAACTTCTTAGATTCGTATCTCAGAGGTTCAACATTTGTTGTGTCTTGTTGCTTTCAGCTTTTCCTCCCCTTGAGAAGGCTTGAGATGACAACTCTCTTCCTCAGTTTTTTCATCACACCTGAAATTTTTTGCCTCTAGTTCCAGCTGTTGTGGCCTAATACTAAAATGTTTTATCTTCAAAGTCTAAAAAAGCAATGTTTACCTCCAGTATAACTTTATCTGTACTCTTGATTTTTCTTGATAAGTCTAAATTTTTCAATGTAATCAGGAATTTCTCATGCTATTACTAAGAGTCATGTATTCTCCTGCTATACTCATAACCTTGAACAGACTCTGTGTCTGATTAAATTCATGTACTCTTTTCAACAGGTTTGACTTTTGGGTTATCTTTAGATAAAGCCCATTTATGGGCTTCCCATAAAGAGAAGCAATTACACTGCAGGAAGTTTTCTTTGCCTTTTTGGTACTTGGCTTAAAAAAATGAAGATTTTACATTTTATTAATAGCAAAATAATTTCTATATTATATTCGTAGGTTTTTGATTCTTTAGGAAAACTAAAATTTAAAAGGGCTAAGGTATTTATATTCATATAACTTTGTGTATTGCTTTTAAAGTCTTTTAATTATCAATCTTTGGTTAAATGAACACATTTTTTGTTTTGGTGAAATGTTTTGAACCTTTTAACATCTTTAATAAATATTCTTGAAATAAAAAATAAATAAATAGAAGTTATTGTTTGAGGATATACAAGTTTGCTAATATTCATTCATTCAACAAATACTGAATTCCTGTGATGTGCCAGGTGTTATGTGAGGTCAGTATACCCCAAATAGACTCCTTCCTTGTTTAGCTTACAGGTCTTAGAGGGCTAATGTTTTGTTACTTTAGTATTTTTACATTTCTATCTCAAAATTTATATTGATGTATTAGTTGATGTTCTCCGTAGAAACAGAAAAAATAGGATGTGTATATATACACATTTATATATGGAGAGAGAGAGAGATTGGTTTATTTTAAGGAATTGGCTCGTGGTTGTGGAAGCTGGCAGGTCAAAAATCTGCAGGATAGGCTGGCAGGCAGGAAGACATAGGAAGGAGTTGGAGTTCCAGTCTGAGGACAGTCTTCTGTCAGAATTCCCTTTTTGCTAAGGCCAGTCTTTAAAGCCTCCGACTGATTGGATGAGGTCCACCTACACTTTGAAGGACTATCTTCTTTATTCAAGGCCTACCGATTTAAATGTTAATCTCTTACAGTCTTCACAGAAACACCTAAATGGTATTTGACCAGATACCTGGGAACTGTGGCCTAGCCAAGTTGACACAAAATTAACCATCACAATTGGATAAAATTATTTTTCGGAGTGAGAGAGCATGAAAAAGGTTGGTGATACCCTGAAATGTAAAGGTGTGAGCACAGTGGCTAATCAAAATATTAGCAGTTTCTTAAGATCTATCTTCGCTGTTCACTGGTTGCAAACCTGCTCCTAGGCCCTTTACGTGAACTCCCATCGGGACACAGGCTCAATCTTCTGATTTCTTGTATTCAGTGAGACCTTACTTTTGCTGCCAATTTTGAACTTACTTTTTCCTTCTCTAACTTTGGCGGCTTTGTATTTCAGCTTCTGATGCCTACCTTCATGTGCTCCAAATTATGGCAAAAGACAGCTTTACCCTCCTAGCTGGGGAAGAATATTGAACTATAGGAATCTTTTCCATAGAACTTTAGCACTTAGTGTTTTGAACCGTTTGACACTCAAGTTATTGAGTACTCTCATGCAATAATACTGTATGTTGGGAAATGGTACCTTATTTTGATGAATGAACTCTGTTGCCCTGTCTCATTAATTTTACACTCATAAAGGTGTCACATTCAAGGTACAGTTTGTTCTTGTTTGGGGTAGTTTTGTTCTATAAAGGCACTGTGAACACTGAATTAATGAATACTGAACTCCTAGGGGAAATTCAGGGTTAAGTTCCTGTGAGCCTCTGGTCATAACATTTTTGTCAGCCTCTCAGTCTATAACTTATTTTATGTCTGTTTCTTTTTAAAAACACCTTATTTAATATACAGATGCTCTTGGACTTAACAATGGGGTTACCTCCTGATAAACCCATTGTAAATTGAAAGTATTGTAAGTACTGTAAGTTGAAAATGCATTTAATCCACCTAACCTGAATATCATAGCCTACCTTAAACGTGCTCAGAACACTTATAAATCAAGTGCTGTTTTAAATGGAACCTATTTATAGTTTATGCACATATGCACAAACATAGACATACAATATGATACTTTGGTAGGTTCAACAGTTGGGGGAATCACATCTCTAATGTCATATGTGATGTCAGCCTTCAATCAGCTGAGCTTCCTTATTCCACTGTTCCCACCACACCTTGACTTGACATCACTGAGATTTCTACTTCTTTCTTCTCCACAGGACCCTGCTATTTTTCCTTTTACTTATCGAACCTTATCTTTTTGTAGTATGTGGAACTACTTTATTTTTTATTTTTATTTTTTGAGACAGTATCTCACTGTGTCGCCCAGGCTGGAGTGCAGTGGCACAGTCACAGCTCACTGAAGCCTTGAATTCCTGGGCTCAAGTGATTTTCCCACCTTGACTTCCCAAAGCTTTGGATTATAGGCATGAGCCACTGTGCCCAGCATATTCAGCATATTCAAACTCTGTTTGAAATCACCTTTGCCATAGTATCACACACTGTGGTTTGGCTGCATCTTATTTTCCTGCTATGAGTTTGATAGTTCTTTCTTAGTCTTAGCCTCTCTTTTTTTCTGTTGTAAAATTTATTCTTTCTTTGTATTCTCATTCCTTGAGTAACTTCAGTTACCATATACTTGTTTACTCCCATATCAATCACCCTGTCCCATATCGTTCTCCTGAAATCCAGATAATTTTGTGTATTTGCTTAACATTTCCTCTTGAATATTGTGTAGACACTTCAGATTTAAAAATCCAAACCTGAAACCTTTCTCTCCTCAAACTTGCTCTTCTTCCTGTGCATTGAGTGATTCGTTCAATATTTGATCACGTTTGGACACTTACTGTACACCACTGTACACTGTGCTAGGAACTGGATATTTACTGAAGAACCAAAAAGAAAAAGTCAGTGCCCTAACTTGCTCTAGAGGAGGAGATAGACAAACATGTAACCTTAAATACAAAGACAAAGTCAGTGCCCTAACTTGCCCTAGAAGAGGAGATAGACAAACATGTAACCTTAAATACATAATCAAAAATAGGGTATGGAAAATAGCCATGGGACCTAACTTAAACTGGGGGAGGAGGGAGTCACAGAAGTTATGTTTGCTAACATGTTATTTAAGTTGACCTGAACGATAAATAGATGAAGAATGGGGGAAAAAAACTAAAATTTTAGGCAGAAAGAACATCATATATGACACCCTGAGGGGGCCAATATCTTTAACATTTTGTAGAATTGAAGAAAGCTATGTTAACTTTAAGGGTTTTGAGTGAGAAGGAAAGTGATATGAGAAGATGATGATGGGCAGGTGAGAGCCAAATCCTTACAGGCTGTGTTTTATGGACATTTAAAGTTTTATTGTAAGTACAAGTTGAATACCTCTAATTTGAAAATCTGAAATCCAAAATGCTCCAAGATCTGAAACTTAGGAGTGCTGACATGATGCTCAAAGGAAATGCTCATTGGAGCATTTCAGATTTTGGATTTTTAGCTTGGGATGCTCAAGTGGTAAGTATAATGCACATATTTCAATATCCAAGAAAATTCAAAATCTGAAACACTTCTGGTCCCCAGCATTTTTTTCTTTTTTTGAGACAGGGTCTTACTCTGTCACCCAGGCTGGAATGTAGTGGTGCTATCGTGGCTTACTGTACCCTTGACATCCTGGTCTCAAGTGATCCTCCCACCTCAGTCCCTTGAGTAGCTGGGACCACAGGCATGCGCCACCATGCCCAACAAATTAAAAAACTTTTTTTTTGTAGGGACGGGGTCTTGCTATGTTGCCCAGACTGGTCTTGATCTCCTGGGCTCAAGTAATCCTCCTGCCTTGATCTCCCAAAGTGCTGGGATTACAGGCATGAGATACTGCACCCAGCCCTAAGCATTTTGAATAAGAGATATTCAGTCTATACAGGAAAAGGGTTTTGAACAGGAAAGGGTTAGGATCTGGTTTTGGTAAGACAACCCAAGTACTTTATGAAAGTAAATATAATGAGAAGTAGATCATGTTTGGCTTGAATCTCAAAAGTAAGCTAGTATGGTCATTTCAGCCACCAGAGATAGACATGGAAGCCATCTTTGTCTTTAGTGTAGCTCTAATTTTACAGCCTTTTTTTTTTTTTTGACAGAGTTTCGCTCTTATCACCCAGGCTGGGAGTGCAATGACGTCATCTTGACTCACTGCAACCTCCTCCTCCTGGGTTCAAGCAATTCTCCTGCCTCAGCCTCCTGAGTAGCTGGGATTACAGGCGCCTGCCACCATGCCCGGCTAGTTTTTTTTTCCCCCTGAGACAGAGTTTTGCTCTTTCGCCCAGGCTGGAGTGCAGTGGCACGTTCTCAGCTCACTCACTGCAACCTCCGCCTTCTGGTTTCAAGCAGACTCTCCTGCCTCAGCCTCCCAAGTAGCTGGGATTATAGGTGCCTGCCACCATACCCAGCTAATTTTTGAGTTTTTAATAGAGACGGGGTTTCACCATATTGGCCAGGCTGGTCTCGAACACTTGACCTCGTGATCGGCCTGCCTTGGCCTCCCAAACTGCTGGGATTACAGGCGTGAGCCACTGCACCCAGCCAGTTTTTTGTATTTTTAGTAGAGATGAGGTTTCACCATGTTGGCCAGGGTGGTCTCGACCTCCTGACCTCCAGTGATCTGCCCGCCTTGGCCTCCCAAAGTACTGGGATTATAGATGTGAGCCACCGTGCCTAATTTTACAGTCTTAATAATTTTACATTTTTAACTTCTCTTACATTGACCACCTCTTTCCATCCAGGTTCAGCTTCATCTCTTAACAACTCTTAACTGTCTTCCTAACTATGCTCTTGTTATAGTCAACTACTCATATTTTCATGCCCCTATCCTATCAATGCACCAGTTTTTCAGATTGCCTGCAGCCTTTACATAGGTAGCTACTGTCTCTAGAATGCTTTTCTCCTTCTTCTCCAATTTGTACTTTGGCTTGGATAATTTTTACTCCTATTGCTCTCTCAGCTCTCAGATTAAATGTGTCCTTTGGATAACCTGCCCATCTCCTGTGTTCCCATGACATCCGTAGCTTACTCTTATTACAAGTGTAGTCTCTTCAGGAATCTATTACTAGTGTACTTTTTTTTTTTTTTTTTTTGAGGCAGAGTCTTGTTGTGTTGCCCAGGCTGGAGTGCAGTGATGCGATTTAGGCTCACTGCAACCTCCGCCTCCCGGGTTCAAGCAATTCTCCTGCCTTAGCCTCCCAAGTAGCTGGGATTACAGGCACCTGCCACCACGCCTGGCTAATTGTTGTATTTTTAGTAGAGACAGAGTTTCGTTGGCCAGGCTGGTCTCAAACTCCTGACCTCAGGTGATCCACCGGCCTTGGCCTCCCAAAGTGCTGGGATTACAGTACAGGCATGAGCCACTGTTCCCAGCCACTTCTATTTCACTCTTGTAGGCTGCAACCCTTTGAGGTCTTAACCCAAATTGATGTGGGTTCACCCAATCACCTGATTCCTCTCCCAACACAGATCCCTTTGTACTCTGGGCTCCAATCTCTGTTTCCTCACCCACGAGAGACTGTCAAAAGCACTTCTCAGGCACTTCTTCCAGAATTGCCGAATGCAGGGCTCTCTTGATCTCTGTATTTCACCAGTGTCTGGCCTGGTAGGTCTTCAGAGTTTTGCAGTTCTTCAGTACCTTCAAGGAGATGTTTGTGTATTTTGTTCTACTTGTCTAGTAGATGAGCAGAAATAACTGGCTTTACTGACCCATTCTGCCATTACCAGAAGTGCAAATCCACTATATGATCTGATTTTTCAGGTTTTGAAATATTTAAAAAATTTTTTTGCCACATCTGGCCTAGTAATCTGTTTTTAAAGCTATGGTTAAAGCAAATGAATAGCTCTCTTTATATAAGGTGAATGGAGAATTTGAAATAATCTAAACTCAGGTTAAAAATTTTTTCCCTAGCTTTTATTTTAGGTTTGGGGGTACATGTGCAGATTTGTTAATATGGGTAAATTGTATGTCGTGAGGTTTGGGTATACAGATTATTTTGTCACCCAGGTAATAAGCATAGTACTCAACAGGAAGTTTTTCAATTCTCACCCTCCTTCCACCCTTCAAACTGAAGTAGGCCCCAGTGTTTCTTGTTCCTTTGTTTCCATGTGTACCCCATGTTTCACTCCCACTTACAAGAGAGAGCATGTGGTATTTGGTTTTCTGCTTCTGCATTAATTCACTTAGGACGTGTGTTAATTCACATAGGACGATGGCCTCCAGCTCTATCCATGTTAGTGCAAAGGACATGATCTCCTTTGTTTTCATGGCTGCATAGTATTCCATGGTGTTTATATGCCACATTTTCTTTATCCAGTCCACCACTAATGGGCATTGTGATGGTCAATACTGAGTGTCAAGTTTATTGGATTGAAGGATGCAAAGTATTGGTCCTGGGTGTGTCTGTGAGGGTGTTGCCAAAGGAGATTAACATTTCAGTCAGTGGGCTGCGAAAGGCAAACCCACCCTCGATCTGGTTGGGCACCATCTAATCAGCTGCCAGTGTGGCCAGAATATAAAGCAGGCAGAAAAACGTGAAAACACTAGACTGGCTTAGCCTCCCAGCCTAAATCTTTCTCCCATACTGGATGCTCCTGCCCTTAAACATCAGACTCCAAGTTCTTTAGCTTTGGGACTCAGACTGGCTTCCTTGCTTCTTAGCTTGCAGATGGCCTATTGTGGGACCTTGTGATTGTGTGAGTTAATACTACTTAATAAACTCCCATATATATATATATATATATATATATATATATATATATATATATGGATATATGGATGTATATATATATATGGATATATGGATATATATATATGGATATGTGGATATATGGATATATATATATGGATATATGGATATATATATATGGATATATGGATATGTATATATATGGATATATGGATATATATATGGATATATGGATATATATATGGATATATGGAGATATATATCTATATATATCCATATATATAGATATATATGGATATATGGAGATATATATCTATATATATCCATATATATAGATATATATCTCTCTCCTGTTAGATCTGTCCCTCTGGAGAACTCTGGTGAATACAGATTTTGGTACCAGGAGTGGTTCTAGAGGAACAGAATATTAAGGATGGAGTTCTTTCACTGGTTTTAGGGTTTCTGGAGTTGGTTGCTTAATATGATTAGACCCCATAATGGTAAGGATGCTACTTCTAATAGTATGGAGAACACTGATAGTCCTTGGCATGAACTGTTTAGAGAGTTATGCAAAATAAATGCATTTGACACCCCTGAGAGGCAAGGAGTTTAGTGACTCTATACATCATACCTTTGACTATATGTGGAGGACCAAGGAACATAATGAAGTTGGTTGGTTGCTCCTAAGTTCACTGGACAAAGTGATGAAAGAAAATGATGAACTCAGGGATTCTAACTGCCAGCTTCAGAAGCAGATCCTGAGCCTCAAATCTTCTAAGATTGCCCTGAATGAGAGTCTTATCTCCTGTAGAGAAAGAGCTGAAATTGTAGAAAAACAGACACAAGCTCTTATCACGTGCATGGCTGACCTGCAATGAAAGGTGGATGCACAGCCTCACCAGGTGTCTACTGTTAAAGTGAGGTCATTGATTGGAAAAGAATGGGACCCTGCAACTTGGAATGGGGACATGTGGGAGGACCGTGATGAAACTGGAGACACTGAGCTTGTAAACTCTGATGAACTTTTTTTTGCCAGAAGAAACAGCTTCCCCATTCCCAGTAGTGGCAACATCCCCTCCCTGATCCATGCTGCCATCAGCCTTTCCACCTTTGTCTGAGGAGATAAACCTTGTGCTGCTGCCTGAGGCAACAGTGATGGCCTCCCCTGTGTCAGTTGCCAGGCAAGATAATGTTGATTCTCCTTAGGAGCCACCCCCAACACCCTTGTCTACTTCTAGAACTATAACTAGACTAAAGTCCCAGCGGGCCCCTAGAGGTGAGGTTGAGAGTGTTACCCATGAAGAGGTGCACTACACTCAAAAGGAACTACTTGAGTTTTCTAATTTATGTAAGCAGAAATCTGGAGAACAGGCATGGGAATGGATATTAAGGGTGTGGGATAATGGTGGAAGGAACATAGAGTTGGATCAGGCTGAATTTATTGATTTGGGCCAATAAATAGGGTTTCTGCATTTAATGTTGTAGCTTGGGTAGTTAAAAAAGGTTCTAATAGTTTATTTGCTTGGTTAGCTGAAATATGGATTAAAAGATGGCCCACTGCAAGTGAGCTGGAAATGCCTGATCTCCCTTGGTCTGATGTAGAGGAAGGGATCCAAAGGCTTAGGGAGATTGGTATGGTGGAGAGGATTAGTCACTTTAGACCTACTCATCCCAGCTGGGAGGGTCCGGAAGGTATACCCTTGACCAATGCTTTGCAAAACAGATTTATGAGGGCAGCACCTGCATCTTTGAAAAGCCCTGTAATTGCTCTTCTCCGTATGTCAGATCTAACAGTGGGAACTGCAGTCACTCAACTACAGAATTTAAATAAAATGGGGATAATTAGATCCCATGGTGGCAGGGGCCAAGTGGCAGCACTCAACAATCAAAGGCAAGGTCAGCATAGCTACCATAATGGACAGCAGAGGCAAAGCAACAATTAGAATAGTCTGACTCGTGTAGAGCTCTGGCATTGGCTAAGTACATTGTTCCTAGAAGTGAAATTGATAGGAAGCCTACTGCATTCCTACTTAATTTATATAAGCAGAAAACTTCCAGGTCAAATGGACAAAAGGCTAATTTGAATTATAAAAAGAGAGAATCATGTCCCCTCAATTAATTTCCAGACGAGCCACTTTACAGACCCAGAACCCCTTGAATGAAGGGGAGGCCGGGTCTCTTTGAGGAAGGACCCCACTACACTACCAACAATTTCTGCTGTTCATCTTTTTCCCATCCTTCCCCACGGAGACATCCAGCCTTTTACCAGGGTAACTGTGCACTGGGGAAAGGGAAATGATCAGACATTTTGGGGATTACTGGATACCGGATCTGAGCTGATGTTGATTCCAGGGGACTCAAAACATCATTGTGGTCCTCCAGTTAAAGTAGGGACTTATGGAGGTAAGGTAATTAATGGAGTGTTAGCTCAGGTCAAACTTACAGTGGGTCCAGTGGGTCCCTGGTCTCATCCTGTGGTCATTTCCCCAGTGCTAGAATGCATAATTGGCATTAACATACTTAGCAGCTTGCAGAACCCCCACATTGGCTCCCTGACTGGTAGGATGAGGGCTATTATGGTGGTAAGGGCTGAATAGAAACCATTAGAGCTGCCTCTACCTAGGAAAATAGTAAATAAAAAACAATATCGCATCCCTGGAGGGATTGTGGAAATTAGTGCCACCATCAAGGATTTGAAATATACAGAGGTGGTGATTCCCTTCACATCCCCAGTCAACTCATTTGGCCTGTGCAGAAGACAGATGGATCTTGGAGAATGACCGTGGATTATCGTAAGTTTAACCAAGTGGTGACTCCAATGGCAGCTCTGTACCAGATGCGGTTTCATTGCTTGAGCAAATTAACACATTTCCTGGTACCTGGTATGCAGCCATTGACTTGGCAAATGCCTTTTTCTCCATTCCTGTCCATGAGGCCCACCAGAAGCAATTTGCCTTCACTACCTCAGGGGTATATCAACTTTCCAGCTTTGTGTCATAATCTTATTCGGAGAGAACTTGATTTCTTTTTGCTTCTACAAGATATCACACTGGTCCATTACATTGATGACATTCTGCTGATTGGATCCAGTGAGCAAGAAGTAGTAAACACACTGGACTTATTGGTGAGACATTTGTGTTCCAGAGAATAAATTTGACTGAAATTCAGGGAACTTCTACCTCAGTAAAATTTTTAGGGGTCCAGTGGTGTGGGGCCTGTCAAGATATTCCTTGTAAGGTGAAGGGTAAGTTGCTGCATTTGGCCTCTTCTACAACCAAGAAAGAGGCACAGGCTGGGTGCGGCAGCTCATGCCTGTAATCCCAGCACTTTGGGAGGCCAAGGCAGGTGGATCACTTGAGGTCAGGAGTTCAAGACCAGCTTGGTCAACATGGTGAAACCCCGTCTCTACTAAAAATACAAAAATTACCCGGGCATGGTGGTACACGCCTGTAATCCCAGCTACTCAGGAGTCTGAGTTAGGAGAATCACGTGAACCTGAGGTGGAGGTTGCAGTGAGCTGAAATCATGCCACTGCACTCTAGCCTGGGTGACAGAGCAAGACTCTGTCTCAAAAAAAAAAAAAAAAAAAAAAAAAGAAAAGAAAAGAAAAGAAAAGAAGGAGGCACAACGCCTAGCAGGCCTGTTTGGATTTTGTAGGCAACACATTCCTCATTTGGGTGTGTTACTCCGGCCCATTTATTGAGACCCTATCTCTATTAAAAAAAATTAGCTGGGCATGGTGGCCTGTGGTCTTAGTTACCTGGGAGGCTGAGGTGGGAGGATTGCTTGAGCCCAGGACATTAAGGCTGCATTGTTCCATGTTTGAACTACAGCACTACAGCCTGGGCGACACAGTGAGACACTATCTCAAAAAAAAAAAAAAAGAAAGAAATGCTACTGGTTTTTATACCCTAAAACTTTGCTGAAGTTGTTTCTCAAATCTAGGAGCCTTTGGTCAGACTATGAGGTTTTCTAGATATAGGATCATATCTACAAAGAGAGATAGCTTGACTTCCTCTCTTCCTTTTTGGATGCCTTTTATTTCTTTCTCCCACCTGATTGCTCTGGCTAG